>NC_000017.11:34435980-35685980 GCF_000001405.40 Homo sapiens
TAAGCAAAAGGAAACTTCTTGATAATCTATCTAAGGCTCAAAAGAATCTGCAGGAAGCCTGGAGAGTCCAGCCTGGACATGGGTGGGAACCAGGGCCACTTGGAAGGCCAGGTATGAAAACAGGGAAATCAAGACCTCTTTGTCCTGGGCCCTGTGCTGTGGGGACATGAGCTCCCTGTATTTCAGAAGCTTGATGCCTCCTTCCTAACTCCAGAAGACAGCTATGCTTGTTCACTTGCTGTCCTTTTGGTGATAGAATCACAGGCTCCAGGTTATCATCCTATCAGATTGTAGCTGATGGGGAAGAAGTAACTCCCCAACAAATTTCTACCAGAAGGGTGACACAGAGAAGAGAGCATCAAGTAGCTTGGGGCAGGGAGACACAGATGACAGCAGGCTTTACAGAACAGCAAGTCTTAAACCAAGGCTGCAAAGGGGAGCCATGGAATCCTAATGACAGCTCACTGGGAGGGCACACACATTCTAAAAAAGCTGAGCTGAGCCTGCCCCACGCTTTAGCACATTCCCTCCTCCCAGTAACCTGTTGAGACAGGGACTGTTAGCACCCCATTGTAGAGGGAAGGAAACTGAGGTGCAGAAAGCTGAAGTTTCTTACCCAAGACCCCACAGGTATAAGTGGCTGAGCTGGAATTCAGTCCAGGCCTGGCTGACTCCAGAATCTAAGCACTTAACTGCTCTGCTAGCAAATATTGCCTCACTATAACAGAGCATTACACATGTCAAAGTGCTCTAAGATCCATTATCTCAGTTCACACTGCAACCCTGCAAAGTAGATAGGGCAGGTGTGATGATGCACATTTCCCAGCCGAGCAAATGGGGCCCAGAGATGCTAAGCGACCTACAGAAGGTCACACAGCTGGTGAATGAGAGAGCCTGCCCTGCCACCTCCTGGCTCAGCACCCTCCTTGCTGCTAATATACTCCAGAGGACTCTGAGTGCCCAGTTGAAGAGAGGATCAGAGTCAGGACAAGAAAGAGACATTCATTTCTAGATTCTGGTATTTAATTCCCAGGCAGGCCACCTGACCCTTCGCCCTGAGAAGGCACCCAAGTGCCATCAAGCGCCTGGTGCCCTGCCGCCTCAAGGTCTGGGCACGATTAAACAAAAACGAGGGATTGTTGCCTAACAAATTAGCAACAGGTAAAAGCAATCAAGCCATCTGTTGCCTCCCGCCGCTGCTGCCTAATCCCCTTTCTCGGCGGTGACCCCCGCTCTGCGCTCAAACACAAATTAATAAACTGGCCTTTGCATATGTATTTGTGGCTTCAGGTGTGGAGAGAGCCACATGAGCAGGTGGTGGGAATGCAGTTGCTGAAGATGCTCTGCTCATGCAAATGTCCTTAGGTAGGGAGGGAAGTCTGCTGAAGGGCAATGGGACAGGGTCAGCTGACAGAGAGGATGAGCCCTGAGTGGCCAGTGAAGGTGGGGCTTACGGGTTAGCTCTCTGTTCCACGTGGGAAGTGTCTCTATGCCTTGCTCATCCCTCTGAGGTCTTGCATCGCTGGTCCCATTCTCCATATTAAAAACACTGAGGCCAAGAGAGGCTATATGATCATCCCAGGGACAGCGGAAGGCATGGACAAAGGCAGAAGTGAGCCCCAGGCCCCCCATGATGGCCAGCTTTCCTAGGAGCTGGTCTTAGGCCACCTCCCAGAGTCTCAGTTTCCTCACTGCAAGTTTCTAAGATATGTAAGTGCATCAGCAATGCTTAATTGGACTTGACCAGAATTAATATTAATCGTGACTAGTATTTATTTCACCTTCTCACCATCCTTAGAAAGTAGATGTTACTATGCCCACTTTACAAATGCAGAAACTGAGATTCCAGAGCTGTTAATTGCAATTATTTGTTAATTGGTACTTACTGTGGTCTAGGCTGGGCTCAGGCTAACAGTAGGCACTTGGATGCAAAGATGTACAGGGAAGGCCTTATTCCTGTCCTCACAGCACTGACAAAGTCAGTTACAAGTGCTTTGGATTAAATTAAATAATGGGGGGGGGGTGGGCACAGATAGGTGGGTCAGGGCTATGCAGCCTCTCTGAGGCCCAAAGGATGAAAAGGAACCAAGCAGACAAGAAGAGGGCAAGGGCATTCCAGGAAGAGGAAACAGCATGTCAGAGGCCCTGAGAAGGGAAAGGATATGGTGTCTGGGGTCAGTGTGCTGGTGCCCAGAGCAAGAAAAAGGTTGAGCTCGTGGTTAGACCCAGATCAGACAGGGCCTGGCCAGCCCTAGTGGAAGCTCTGGATTTTCTCCTGTGTGTAGCAGGAGGAGGGCCACCTGATCAGTTAGACACCAAAGACAGGCTCCCTTCACTGCGCCACGCTGTCCCCTCACAGGGCTGCTCCTGCAGGAGTAAAGGAAACTAGTGGTCACCTCCTTGGAAAGCCTTCTCATAGCCCCAGATTGGACCAGAGTGAGGACCCTGGAAGTTCCTAGACTAGGGTTTTCTTCTCCTGGTCACACAGGAGCCACACAGAGCTAGGACATTGTCTTTCCCATTTTAAAATCCCATGTTACTCCGGATAAGGACAGCAAAGGAGGAAAGGAACCTTTTCTGGGCCACCAGAAGGATGAGCTTGGGCTTGGGAGACACATCTCTAAGCATCCAGAAATGTGTCTGGGAGTGGGGACGGCAGAGCTCCCATGCTGTGATCTCACAGGGGGACAGGGCTGGGAAGTCCCTTTTAACTTCTGACATCCCAGTCCAGGTAGTGGCAAAGATCTGGGCTCTGGAGTACCCCCCATTCCTTGCTGTGTGACCTGGGGCCTTTCCAAACTCTGTGTGCCTTTGTTTCCCCACTTGTAAAATGGACAGTCTCCCTCAAAGAGCGTTGGGGAATAGAAAACAGCTGCAGGCACCGAGCCGGATGTCTGCACTGAGTAGGTGCTGAGCGACATTAGCATTAACCTCCATCTGCTTCCAGGCTGCCCCTCTTTTAGCCAGTCAGCATCAAACCTACAACTCCTATTGTCCCAGAGCCTTGCTGCATCTGAAGTTTCAAATCCCTTGTTAAAAATAAGCTTCAAAACAAGCCAGAAGAGGAGGTGGGAAAGGAAAATAAGAGAAGGAGAGAGGTGGAAGGAGCTTTGCTCACCTGAAGCCAGACCTCTAATTCTGCTGGTGGCCAGGGACAGCCCTGCCGCCAGTTTCTCTCACAAATCAAAGGGCTGTGGAGTAATCAACTGCAAAGTGCTGAGTTCTTTGAGGGTAGAAGCCAGAAAGGATGTGCTTGTCCTTCTCAGCTCACAGGAGTGCCTTGAGGAGATGGGCTGGGCGGGCCTGTAACTGGAGTTGGAGGGGAGAGGAGGGTGGTCAAGCTGGAGAAAGGGAGGAGAGTTGAGACCAACACTGGCTGTGCAGTCAGACCTGATCCTCCTCCTGTGATTCTGGCCAGTTACCCACTTCCTTAAGGCTGTGTTGTCTTATCTGTGAAATGGATCGATAGCAGCTGCCTGGCAGGCTTGTTGGGAGGAGGGTATTGAATACCAGATTCAGAGCCCTGTACCCTGGGTGTGGCACACAGTAGGTGCAGCACACAAGAGGTGCTCCGTGAGTGTTGCTTCTCATTCATTCACCCCTCTCTGCAGGGAAAGGGGAGGACTGGAGTGGGCTCAAGTGTCCAAATGCCAGGCTTGCCATCTCCCCACCCCATTGAGCTGTCTTCCCTCATGTGTTCCTTAGAAGCATCTTCCTAGTCTTAGGGTGTGAAGTTGCATGTCTAGGCTCCTACGCCATTATTCCCCTCCTTTCTCTCTCTTTTTTTTTTTTTTTTGAGACAGAGTCTCGCTCTGTCACCCAAGCTGGAGTGCAGTGGCGCGATCTCAGCTCACTGCAAGCTCTGCCTCCCAGGTTCACGCCATTCTCCTGCCTCAGCATCCTGAGTAGCTGGGACTACAGGCACCTGCCACCACGCCTGGCTAATTTTTTGTATTTGTAGTAGAGACAGGGTTTCACCATGTTAGCCAGGATGGTCTCGATCTCCTGAGCTTGTGATCCGCCCACCTCGGCCTCCCAAAGTGCTGGGATTACAGGCGTGAGCCACCGCACCATGCTCCCTTTCTCTTTTTATTCTGTCCCCACGGCCCTCCCCACTGCCTTTCTCCTGAGCTGACCCAGCCCCCTCCTAATAGGCTTCACTGCCCCCAGCCTCTGAGCTGCCCCCAGGCCCACTGAGCACACGACTGCAGATCCACCACCCTGAGGCCCAGGTCTGCTTTCCCCTGGCCTCGGCACCAGGCTCAGGCACACTCCCCATCACAATGGCTCCACTTGGCAGCCAAAGCCAGCCACTCTCTGGGTGCTGCTGGCCTTATGGAATGACCATCACAGCACCTGGCACCAGCTGGCACCCAACCAACCGTCAACAGCCCTCACCGCACAACCCCCTCTACCCGCTCTCAGCACTGCCATTCCCAACGCTCACCATACCCGATCCTGCCTCTTTATTTTTGCTCATGCAAAAACCCAACATCCTTCAGCAATCAGCTAAAATGCTCTCTCCCTCCAGAATCCCCCCAGAATATTCTCTCCCTCACACTGTGCAGAATTTGGGCTCCTTATTCTAGCACTCATCAAAGTCTACTTAGAATAGGGCCATTTGCATAGATGGGTAATTTGCTAAGTCTGCATTTAAGTTTGTACTACATGGAACAGGATGTTAGCTCTGAGGTGCCAATGAGATAGATACCTGGAAACAAAGTGAGTGTGAGTTGGGGCTACTCCAGGGCAGTCAGGGGATGGGGTAACATGAATTGTCAAGGGTGTGGTGATGCTGTGGGACAGAAGGAAGTGTGTGGGTATGTGCACACCAGTCTGCATATGTGCACTGGGGACTTCACACACACAGAGCTCCTTGCAGTCCTAAGTGAGCATTCAGGCCTCATTCTCTCTCTCTCTCTCTTCTCTCTCTCTCTCACACACACACAAACACACACACACACACACTGCACATATAATGCAAAGACATCTTGTAGATCTTCACATTCTTAAACCTCATGATTGGTACAAATTAAACAAATATTGAAAGAAACTCCAGCAGAGCTCTCCAAGCCTCAGTCCTGCTGGGTATACCAAAACACCTCCAGCAGCTGAACAGCACAATGATAAGGAATGACAATATGTTTTACCCTTTCTGGAGTGCTGTTCACAAGCAGCTCTTAGATCCTTGCGATCTGCTCCCATCTTTAGGGAGGAGGCCTGAGGGCACAGTCTGTTTGAGGCAGAGCTGGTGTTCAAAGTCCCTCTTGGGATTCTGACTCCCAAGCTCTACGGGCAGAAGCTGTGGAAGGCTTTATATCATCAGGTACTGCATCTCCTTGGGACTCTCTCCACAAGCAGAGTTCCTCCAAGCCTCACGGATCTACGCCTCCTTCTTCTATGAGACAAGAAACTGGAATTTTCCATGTGAGCTAAGTAATGAGGGCATGAGCATGCACATCCTCCCTTGAGGTTCAGCTTAGACACAACTTCCCCCAGGAAATCTCTCCTACAACTCTCCCCTCATCCCCAGGCTCCAGTATGTTCCCATAGCACCAAATCTTGGCAGGTAGTATAGTGGCCTGTTTGCAGGTCCGTCATCTGGATCCTGCAGCAGCCTTTGAGCCCTAACCACAGGGACAGGGTCTCATTCACCTATGGGTCCAGGTCCTGGCATATCTTAGACTTTAACAAAGCCTTACTGAACATATGGTTGGATGGATGACTGGATGGACAGATGGATGGAGGGATGGATGGATGGATGGATGGATGGATGGATGGACAGATGGACAGATGGATGGATGGATGACCCAGGATGCAAATGAACTCTATGCACAGCTACAGCTATAGAAGCAAGGCTCAATCACTTGCGGGTGTATGGGGAGAGGAGGAGGAGGGAGAGGGAACGAGAGCCGGCCTTTGTCCTCATCTCTTCCACCCGGCAATTTTCCCAAGGAAGCATGAGTTAGTCTTCTAAGGAAAGTAGAGGGGATGTGAATAGAGAAGGAAACCCCACTACCTTCAGTGGGGTCCAAGAAGGCAGCTCAGCCCTCAATCCTAGATGCCTCCTGAGCCCAGAGATCAGTCTTTAGATAAGAAAGTGAGTGTTCTCTGTCACTGCCCCTGCCAGGGGGAGAGAGGCCCCTCCTATACCTGCTCCTAGTACACTCTGCACCCATTACCAGTTTCCCTGGCTGAAAATCTCAAGAGATTTTTCCTCAAGTACTTGTATCTACAGGAGTTTAAGAAATGATCATGCAGAGAATTGTCATCCCCGACTCCTCTGCAAACCCTACAGAGGCTTGGAAAAGTTCATCTTCCCCAGACTCCCAACATTCTCTTTTCTGTGGCCAGTAGCCAACCATGAGCGAGTTCATTAATATTAATGTTAATAATCTCCTACATTTGCTTCACGCTTTCCTGCTTACAAAGCACTTTCAGATCCATCATCTCAGACAATCCTCAACACCAGCCTGAGAGGTCAGCGGGGCAGTGATTACCATCCCCATTTCACTGAGGAGGGAACAAAGGTCCGGGAAGAGAAGGGATCAGCCCAAGGTCACAGAGCAGCCAGGACTGGAGAGAGCTCAGGGCAGAGTCCAGGTGTCCTGACCCCCAGGCCAGCGCTGGGTTACTCCACCTCCATGCTGACAACCCCTTTCCTTCTCTGCCTCATCAATGTCACCATTGGCGTCATCTCCTGGTTCTCAGTCATTAAAAAGATAGGCTTAAAATAAATACAAGAGGCAGGCTTTAGCCATCTGCTAAAATGGGTAAAACGACCTGCCAGCAATTTGCTGGATGACCTTGGGCTAGACAGTTTCCTATCTGGGCCTGCAATTCCTTGTGTTTCAAGTGACAGTGCTGGCCTCTTCTCCTCCGGCCCTACCCACTGTGACGGGAGGCTGCTGGAACCTAAGGGTGCCACCCTTGGTGCCAGACTGGGGCTGGCAGCAATCATGCCTCTGCGATCCCCTCCTCAGCACTCTGGAGTGGGAGGGATAGACACCTGTCATGAGCCTGTGACAGCCAAAGGATGGAGCTATAAAGCAACAGAGGACTGGCAAGAACCCTCCTGAGCGTGGGGGTGGAGCTAATCACAATTGCTACAGTGTAGCTACTCTATGACAAGTGCTTTATGCATGTTATTGACATGCCTCAAAATAGTTCTACCAGACAGCAATTAGCAATTATTTTCATTTTAAAGATGAGACACTCCAAGCTCAGAGAGGTTTCTTGACACGCCCAAACTCACACAGCAAACAGCAGAGGCAAGTTCCAAACCCAGATCTGCTCTGATTTCTCAGTCCCAAATGCTAGAAGGTGGAGTGGGAGGGGTGCACGTGGAACCCCCTAAGTTCACCCTTCCTCCATTTTCTTTCTCCCAACCTCTCTCCCCTCCCTTCTCCTCTCTTCCTCCCTCCCTTTCCCTGGAGTCACAGTCCCAGGCTGGGTCTCCTCTGCTGCACCAGCTCGCCCTGTCATCTCAGCACAGGCGGAGATTTATGGATCTCACTTCAAGGATTTTTCTTTAATAATAACATTTATAATCATTTTAGAAATTAAGAACTGAGGATGCAAAGCATTTTAATTAAAATAATCCGCAGTTGATAATTATAGGACTCTCTTAGCTGGAACCATCTTCTTTCAATCTGTCACACTCCCTAAGGAAGGCAGGAGATAATCGTGAGGCAGTGAGCTGGTGAGCCAGCCCTGGTACCTGTGTGTGATACCGTGTGTCCCAGGGGTCATTCTCAGAGGCTGCCTGCTAGGGAGGTCGGCTTCGGGGTGAGCTGGGCTGGCATCATCTTTAGAGTTGGTCCCCTGTGAGCCATGCAAGGCTGGCTTTTCACAGGAGGATAAGCCCTTCCAGAGCCTCCTCCCCACCCCTACGACACAGTCTTCTGCTGGTTACCCCTGTGGGCTCAGAGGGTCTGAGACCCAAGACACAGAGGAACGTAGAACCCTCGCTCGGCCAATGCCCTCCTGCTAATGCCCCCAAATTCCCTGCCTCTCTGCCCCAGCCCCAACCTCACCCTCACCCCAGGTGCAGTTCTGCCCTCTGTGGTCAGGAGAGGGCAGCCAAGGCCACCAAATGCAGACAGAGTCCCTGAAGAATGGGCCTGCTTATTGGACTTAGAGAAGGACAAGAGAGGAGCCCCGGCTTGGGGAGGTGGGATATGAACAAGCCAAAGTGACCCCACTCGATGCCTACCACTGAGACACCTCTGCTCAGCTCTGGCCCCACCAACAGAGAATGACACAGATATCTCTTCCCTTCGAAGGTCACATTCCAGCAGAGACAATAAACATGTAAATTAATGGTAACAGAAAGTGATTCATGCCCAAAATGAAGCTGCAGCAGTGAGGGTCCCAAGAGTCTTCAGGTCTGTGTGTGGGGTCATCAGGGAAGGCTTCACTGAGGAGGCAATGCCTTGGCAGGGTTGTGAAGGATGAATAGGAGCCCACCCCGGCTCAGTGACAATCTTGACCACTAGGATTTCTTGACTGTTTAGCATGTGCCACACACTGTGTTGGTCTGTTGTCACATCTCATTCAAGCTTCACAACATGCCTGAAAGATAGACTTTATTATCAGCACCTTTGTTTTTCTCTAGATAAAGAGACAGACTTGGAGAGGTTGGATCATGCACTCCAGGTCACATAGTAAATAAGAGGCAGAGGTAGGCATTGAACCCCAACCCATCAGTGCCAACCCCTGTGCTTATCCTGTGCGACGTGGGGCCCTCCAGGATAACAGATTTGTCTAGGAAGACTTATCCCCCACAGAGGAAATGTGTACAAGGCTGCAGGGCCCAAAGCGAGTGACAGCAGCTGGTAAGAGAGGAGGCAGGGGTGACAGCTAGGTGTGTCCTGCCAGAAGACCAGTTTGGGGAAAGCTTAACTGAGTGACTGTCCCTTTCTGGGTCTTAGTTTCCCCATCAATAAGTGTAGGGTGGGGCTGTCTCCAGGGACTCTGATTGTAATTGATAACAAATAATGGCATTTGGATTGGTTGGGACTGCTTTAGAGAGCTCAGAGGGTCTTCAGATTTCTGGGCCCACTGTAGCATCCCAAGCTCTGGGCAGAGTGCCTCTCCCCTGCCCCAACACTCATCCTGGGAGAGAGGGGGTGCACAGGGAAGGTGCTCCTCACCAGGGCTCCACCCCAAATCCATTAAGGGCAAAAATGTAATCGGGAAGGAGATTCTGACAGTGGCTTGAAAGTGACCTCACTCGGGCTGATGAATGCCTCCGTTTCCTCGTGGAAAACATGCGGGACATGAGCCGGCCAGCCAGGAGAGGATTGGACACCTCCAGCAGGAAGTGGCAGCTGTCCCGCCACTGAGGCCAGACCTGTCCCTCCACCCTCTGCAGTCCAAGCAGCTTCCGTCCCCACCCCCACTGGAGCCTCCCCAAGCAGTGGACAAGACCGGAAAATGATTATATAGGCTCACTCATGGATAAAATTGGTTCTTGGTCTGAGAAGCCACAAAGGGGAGATCCAAGATGAGCACCATGGAGGTCCTGGGGCTGGCACGCTGGCAGCGAGGCAGCAGGAGTGGAAGTCTGTGCCACGCTGGCCCAGGACACACCATCAGGGCCACCCTTCTATCCCAGTAATCACAGCTTAGGCAGCAGCCCCAATCCCCTGATAAGCACCTTCTCTGCACCCTCAAGAGGGCAGAAATTGGCTGGGAATACTGAGAAGAAATTTGGGCCTCCCAGACCCAGGGTTTCTGGGGAACAGCTCTGCCAGGGTTGAGCAATCTAGGGAGGATATGCTAGTTTTGCGAGGCTCCAGGCTGCAGATAAGGCTAGATTAAGTGAGGGTTTGAAGGAGGGGCGTACTCAATGAGCCCACCTTCTAAACACTGCCCAGCAAAGCACAACCTTCCCACTACTTCCTAAATAGTGGCTTCTCTGGATGCTAGCTGGCCTCTTCAGATGAGGAATTTCCCTCCCATTCTGGGCCCTCCCCTTCAGAGAACACTGGAGCCCAAGGTGCTTTCAGTAACAAGTTTCATTGCAGCTAAAAATAATGGAGCGACCCATATCTCATTTCCTGCATTCTGTAACGACAAGTGCCCCAAAAGGGGCAGTGGCTGGGGATTAGCAAAAATTCAAGGCAACTGGAAAATATTTAGATACAATAAAATATGTGCATTCAAAAGAAAGCTAAGAAAAGGCAGGATTCAGAATGATGGTTACCTTGGGTGGGGAAAGGCAGGGAGATGGGACAGGCAGGAGGAAGCCACACAATTAAGTGTCAATCATTGTCAAGGACTCTCCTTTTATGTTAGGAGGTGAGTTGGGGGCACTTATTGCATTGTTATCATGTGCAAATGGATGAATGAAAGAAAAATAGGACCAAACATGGCCCAATGAGGAGAGTGTAACAAAGATGATAATTACTCAAATTTGGTGCATCTGAGCTTCCAAAAATTGGGGAAAATATCAAAGAAAAGTGTAAATTCTATGTGGACCACACATCCCTCCCCTTCCCCTGTTTGGCTCCCATTACTGAGCCTTTCTGGCTTTCCAAGAAGAGTCTTAGGGCCCAGATTATGCAGAAAATTTCCTCTTAAAGCAGAACTCAACCTGCTACTTTGGTGTCCTGGACATTAAAAAGGAAAGGAATAATTTTAAATTAAAAAAAATTATCCTAAGATGTGCAGGCCAAACGGTGTCTGCTCCCCCTGGGACCCAAGGGGTTTCACCCCAGGGGAGGCTGGTGTGCCAAGGACATTGGCTGTGATTTGGGAAGGGTGAGAATCAAGAGAGCCAGAGGGTCAGCTTCTCTCCCTTCCCCACTTTGAGTATTCCTGCCCTGAGAATCTTGTCCTGACTTGGGCCTCAGGTGGCAGGGTTTCCTGAACATGGCTACCCCACTCTAGGCCCAGGACAAGGGGACCTGTCCTACTCTGCCAACCTCTGTCTCTCTCTCCCACTCCCATTCCCCTCCCTGGCCTTTCCCTAAGGAAGAGATCCTATGGGACTTCCCACATTCTCCTGTCTTAGGGTGCTCAGCTTTTCCTGAGCAGATGGGATGGATGCTCTTGAGGGGCTCCTCTACTTCACAAAGGAGCAAGAGGTCAGGATCCCTACCATTCCAGCCAGACAGAAGCCCCGGCCCCTTGCCTCCAAATTCCCAGGAAAACAGGATACAGAAGAGACCCTTATCTCCCTGTCCTTGTTCAAGCTGATCCATCATTATGTCTCATTTCATAGCTCTTGAATCCAAATAAACTACCATGGAGCATGTTAGTGAGGCTTCCCATGCTGTGGTTGGTCTGCTCTGGTTAGTATCCCATGGGGAAGGCCAAAAAGAGCAGCTGTTTTTATAGAAATGGAGAGATTAGGGGAAGCAAGCTCAGGCTAAAGCCCAGGAAGAGATGAGGTGAATGTCTGGACCAAGCCTCTCCTCCAAGCTTTATGATCCTTATGCACAGCCCTTTGAGGTCTGCACAGTCCTTTATTGTATGTCATCTCACCTGATAGTACTTTGAGAGTTGTCAGCCCCATTTTCTGGATGGGGCCAGTGGCTCAGGAGTTTGCACTTCCTGCTTTGCTGGTGTGGCCCTAGGAAGACAGGTGACAGGTGCAAGTTCACAGGACTCATAAGTGACAGACACTGGCCTCGAGCCCATTTCTGCTGGTTTCTGGCCTGGCACTCTCGAGCCACTGCTTCCATGCCAGCCTTTCCAACTGCTTCCCTCAGCTGGTGGCCTAGGGAGGCCACCCCCTTCCACTGTGGCAAGGTTGCCCCAGGGAAAGGGAATAGACAGGGAAAGGGGTGAGGGCCAATGACTGCAGAACGATTGGCCTCAGAGGAGACTTTGATTCAGTCTAAGGAAGCGCTTGGTAACAAGACTTAAGGAAAGAAATTGTGGAGAGATGACAGGGAGGAATCTTGGCTCTGTTCATTCTTGCTGTGATACTCAGGCATGGCCACTTACCTTCTCTGGGTTTCAGGGTCCCCCTTGACAAAAGGACATTTTATTACTCATCTTCCTGCCTCACAGACCAGCTGGGAGTTAAATGTGATATGATGTGTTATGGAAGAGCTTCCTCAATGACCTAAGCTATTCACTGAGAGCCAACCCGGCTCTTTGTACTGTCCAACAGAGGAACATTCTAGCTGGTGAGAGTGCTCAGCCTAGGCCTTATGTTCCCTCCAGGACAGTACAATTCCACAAATATTCACTGGGCACATACTATGTGCCAGGGCACTGTGCTAGGTGCCAGGGACAGAGAGGCTAAGTGATCAACCTGGTCCCTGACTCCTTAGTGCTCAGACTCTGGTCTAGTGATTCTCAGCTACGATTGCACCTTAGGATCCCTGGAGGGAAGTGGCAAAAGCATCAGTACCCAAGCCCCATTCCAGGCCAACGAATCTGAATCTATATATTTTTCAAAGCTCCAAGGTGATTCTGAATGCAGGATGAGACAAGAAAGTAAGCAATTACAGTATTTTCTTATCCTTGGTCTGCTCAGGAAAGTACAGGGAGACCTTGGAAAGGTGCCTAAGTCAGATTTTAGTGGTGGTGGTGGAAGGAGGGTTAGGGAAGGCTACTGGAAGAAATGACAAGTGACTCCATGCAATGTGATGGCAAAGTTGGAGGCCCTGAAGGCAGTTCTGCTGGACTGACTCAGAAGGTAAGGGGAAGGCAACATGTTTGAGGCTGGAAGAGGCAGTCAGGGGCCAGATTGCAGAGGGCAGGTTTGCCCAATTAGGGAGTTTGCACAGACCCCAGAGGCAATGGGGTACATGGAGAGGAGTTAAGCAAAGAAATGCCATGATCAGATGTCTGCTGGTTGCTTAGGGGACTTACGTTGTTCATCTGGGTAGCAAAAGGCTCCAGCAAGTTGGGGTCAGGACCTCTTCCACTACCCCCATGCATCTGGAGAGGGCAGAAGCTTTCCCCAGGGCTGCTGGGCGCTACTAGTTTAATCTGAGTTTCATGGTGCATTAGCAATGAGCTCTCAGGATCAGCCAAGTCCCTGGTACTAATCAGCCGCTGAGGCAGGATCGATGGCAACTACATTGATCTTGCTTTTTAGCTTTGGCTCCTTATAGAGCTTATTGACTGGACAATCTAAGAGGGCGGGGGATGTGCACCCAAGTCTCACCGAACTGTGGTAGAAAAGCGAGGAGAAGGGTCCCTCACAGGTCCTGCACCTCACTCTAGTCTCACACTCATCCTGAATGTGGCCCCCACTGCCAAATCCTACACCCTACACAAAATCATGGTGTTCAAGGCTTCAGCCTCAGCTGTTGCCACTCACTCTCCGTGTTCAGGTTTGAACCCACAGAAATGCCTTTCCAGCTCCTCTGCCTCTAGATACGTTCTTCTCTCTAACAAGGATGTGACTGACTCCTACCTCAATTTACCCAGTCTGATCTCTTCCTTCCTCCAGATCCAGCTCAAATATCGCCTCCTCTAGGAAGCCTTCTGTGGCCTAACCTCACCCCCAAAGCACCAATAAAGTCTTCTGTATGTCCACAGCATTTGATATGTAACTGTATGTATGACACTGATACACTTTTACAACTAATTACTGTGTCTGTCTCCCCAGAATGTAAGTTATTTAAGGACCTAGCATACAGCAGATGCTCAATGAAGGGTTCTGGAGTGAATGAGTGAACAAATGAATGAAGAAATGCTTTAAAATATCATACAGATTTCAGATTTATTTCTTTAATCCTGACCCCGCACAGCCCTCTAAGGGTACAGAATAGCAGAGACTCTGCCTAATCTAATATGGATGGCACTGGTTCAGATTTATACCTGAAATATTAGAACTGGGAGGAAACTTATGCCTTATTGTTATTGAGTTCAATCCCTAATTTTATAGTTGGGGCCACAGGTCCAGGGACAATAACTGACTCACTCAAATCTCACAAAAGCAGATGGCAGGCTGAGAACCCTCCAGGTGCTACTTTATGTGGACATGACCATGAAAGTGGGGGATAGCAAAGCCCACTGAACACCTCCAGGTATTCCCACCCATCACTCTGACTTCCTGTAACAGTCTTTGTCTCTTGAGGTGCATCTGGCTGAACAGGTACCTATTAGCTGGGCCACAGGATGGAGGCTCCCAGAAGACAAAAGTTCTTTCTTACAGTGACTCACTATATGAAAAAAGGGCTTTATTTCATATCTACAAGCCTCAGTTTCCCAATCATTAAAATGGGGGAAAAGATTATCTGCCTTTTCTCTTCTGGTCTTAGGAGAGGCTACTCCTTGAGCAAAGCCTGCCATTCTTTAAAAAATATCTTCACAGGTCATGCCATCTGGTATCGATGAGAGAAGGCAAGAGAACATGGGGTCTAGGAAGTCAAGCTGAGAACATAGCCTGTTTTTGTTTGTTGGTTTACTTTTTATTGAAATACAACATACAGAAAAATGAACTTATCATAAGTGCACAGCCCATACATTTTTCAAAAACTGAACCAATGTGTACATAATATGTAGATCAAGAAATAGAGCCTTCCCGAAGCTGCCCTTGGACTCCCTTCCCATCACTACTGCCTAAATCCACCATACTGATCTCAAGCACCATAGATTAGCTCTGTCTCTTTTTGCACTTCATAGAAACAAAATCTTATAACTGCTCCTCCTTTGTGTATACCTCCTTTTGTACAACATCATGCTTCCATAAGGTTGTGTGTCATTGTAGAGTGGCCATTCTAATTGCTAGATATTATTCTATTGTATAATTATATTATGATTTGCTTATCCATTCTACTATTGATGGACATTTGGGTAGTTTCCAGTTTGGTGCTATTACAGATAGTGTTAAAATAGTCTGTTTTTAATATTTTAAACAATCACTTAAAAAGACAGATACTTTAAAATATCCAGGAAGAAAATAATTGTATATTCATGCTTCCATTTAATAAATATTTGTCAAGCACCAACTGTGTCCTGGAATGGTCTTCTCCCTTCCTCTCCTAAGCTTAGCCTTTACAGAACAGGTGACATCCCACCTCTTCTACAAAGCATTTTTGCTTGCCCCCAACCTATAGTGACATTCTCCCAACCCTTAAGCCTCAAGGTAGGTCTTGCCAAGAACACACAGTAGACCATGAGCCCACCCTGCTAGCCTTGTTCCTGCTCCTTCTCTGCTTATTTTCAGGTGGGCACTTCTGAAAAGCAGGTATCATCTTTCTCTGCCTTCCACAATACCATGCACAACACTGGGCACATTATCAAACTCACAGAATATACATTCAATTTAACTAGATCTCAGCCATAAGAAGGTGATGTAAATGCATGAAGACCCCCACTCTCTGTCTCTACCCCAAGGATAATATTTTTGCAAAACATGGAAAAGATCTATGCCAAACATGGGCAAAACCCACGGACAGCGATGGATGGAGAAATGCATTGCAGTAGCCTTGATAGCCAAAATGAATTGGTTCCAGAGCCTGAGCTCTATGTTGTGGTTTATAATCACTTCTCTCTCCACTCCTTGGTGCAAATAATCAGTAGACACTGAAGTTTTGGATAGAGGACAAATTTCAGCACCATGGGTAGATCATCCTGTTGGCTGTTCTCAAGGAGCCACAGCAGACTTAACAGCAAGGTATTTTAGTGAGACAAACTCATCTTAGTTGAATTTCAGAAATGCTCATATCCTATTTTCACTTTCCCACAGACTTCTGCTAAGCTCTAAATTCCATATAATGAGGTTGAAAAAGTATAGGTTTTAAAGCTAGATAGACTTGAAATTCAAATTCCTGCTGTATTGCTTGTCAGCTCGACTTTAGGAAAATTACTCAATCTTTATGAACCTGAATTTATTTTATTTGTAAATCATGCTTATAATATTTCTTTATTTCAGATGTTATATTTCCAAGTCTAAAATTTGCATTTGGTTCTCTTCTGTGGTTTCTTTTCATTTCTTCTTCTTCTTCTTTTTTTTTTTTTTTTTTTTTTTTTTGCTAACATTGGTAGTTCAGTCTTTACATTCATTGTAGACATACTTTTCTTTATATCCTTGAGCATAGTTATAAGAGCAGCTTTAAAATATTTGTCTGCTAATTCCAAAATCTGGGTCATTTTAGGGCCAGTCTCAAATGTTTTCTATGGGTAAAGTTTTCCTATTTCTTCCTATGGCTAGTAATTTTGAATTACATACTGGATAAAGTAAATAGTATAAAGTGTTTAGATTCTGTATATTGCTATAAAAAGTATTGTTTGTTGTTTGCTTGTTTAATTAAGCAGTTAGTTTGACTAAATTCTCACTGCAAAACTGTCACCCCTTTGGTGGATGGCACCTGAAATTTCAGTTCCATTAGCCTTAATTGGGCACCTTGGTGTCTGTCCTGCATATGCATTGGTTCAGGGGTAAGCCAGATATTTGATAGAGGTTGTACACAGAGTCTGAGGTTCCCCACCCTGGTTTGCCTCTTTCAAGGTTTCCTCCTTTACTTTTCAGCTACCATAGTTGCCTTGAAATCTATTCCCTGGCTCTTCAAATCAGTATGACGAGGTTTCGACCCATCTAAGACACCTAGCATGAGGAGTACTGGGGTTTGCCCTCCGGCTAAACTTATTAAGAAAGCGAAATTTACTCAGTGCCCTTCCCTTCTCCCAAGTGCCAATAAACACCCACGCGAACCCTTCTGGAATCTGCCCACTTTAAGTTACTCTCCTTCTGAGAACGATTTTTTAAATATTTTGTTCAGAGTTCACAGCTATTATCTGTGGCAGGTGTGGTCTGTTAAGAGTTTCTCAGCTGGAATCAGAAGCAAAAACTCCCATAGTACCTCTCTGAAGAGCTGTGTGGAAGGTGGTATGAGACAAGTCTATAAAGTACTCATCGTAGATGCTCAATAAATGTTGCCTTTCCATACTGCCATCCCCAGGCCTCCTTTTTTTAAGCCTGAAATAATCCTTCCATAAATAGTGTTTTGTTCTTCTTGAAGCCCTTTCAGCTACATTGCATCATCCAACCCTCACAAAATTCCTGAGGAATCTGCAGGGTAAACATCAGTCCCCCTCTTGACAAGTGAGAAAACCAAGGTTCCAAGGAATTATGAGACTTGACCAAAGCCACATAGTTAACCAGTAGCAATGGCAGCCCCCTGCTTGCTGACATCTCCCTCCACAAACATCTGTTGGCCATGAGGATGAGCAAATAGAACGCTCTAGCAAATCCAGGCAGGTTGGGGGAGGGCTTCACCCTCACACTTCCAGACTCTTTGCTATAGAGGAATCCTGAGGGTACATATGGAATATGCCTTCCTGTGTCTAGCTTCACCCCAGCAGTGAAAGTCCTGCAGACTATAGGGTCCAGCACTGATGGGTCTGAACACACCAATGAGTTTATGTTAAGTGCCTCGAGGGTCCCTGCATTTATCACAAAACTGGGCAGGGAGCAGTGTGTTCTCACAACACTGGCACTGCCACCCAGGTCCAGTAAGCTGTGTGCCTTGCAGTAGTAAACACAATTTCCCAACCTGTTAAATGGCAAAAATATCTACATGGCCAGCTTTACATGTTTCTAGCAGGCACGGAGATAATGTGAAGATCATAGGAGTACTTTGTAAATAAAACAGCAAGTGCCTGCAAAACAGTGCTGCTCTGATCTCCAGTCCCTCAGAGAGACACAGGACCCCTGTCTTGCTGCACTACAATGATCTGTGTCCCTGGGTATGAGTGAGCCCACACAAGACGAGGCTTAGCAGAGGAAGGCTAGGTGGCTGACGATACTGGCTTTAAATCTCTACTGCTTTACTTCTTAACTGTGCACCTTGGGGCAAGTTACTTCACTTCTCTGAACCTTGGTTTCTTTATCTTAAAAATGAGAATAATAACAATAATGATAGAAATAGTAAATAAATCATGAGGTTATTATGAGGAGTAAATGTGATTATGTATATTAAGTGCTTTGCACAGTGTCTAGCATGCAGCAAGTATTCAATAAATAATAGCTAGTAATAAAAATGGCAAGTGTTACCTGTGAGTGCACAGAGGTTCTGAGCAGGCTGCCCATTGCCATGGAGGCACATGCAGCTGCCTGGACCCTTGTGCCTGGTGCTGCCCATGACCTGCTGTGCAAGCTCTGACTCTGGGGAACTTGCCCTCTGCCTCTGAACCTTCATTCCTGGTCTCAAAAACGAGGGGGCTGGATTAGAGCCTGTCTTCCAGGTTCCACATTCTGCTGAGCTGCTTCTAGACCCCCCTAGACAAAGCAAGAGATTTGGGGAAGAAGGAGCAATTGGTATACTCAGCTCCAGGCAGTTGCCTGCAGGGACGGGAAGGCTTCCAGACTGTGCTGAGCCCAGGAAATGTGGCCTGGCGGGTGTGGGCTGCAGAAAAGCCCAGTGAGGGGGATAGATTTCCCACACAGAAGGGAGAGAGGGCACCACCCAAGGAACATGAAGCAAACTCCAGCCAGGCTGAAGGACCTGAGACCCCCCAGAGTGGAAGCTGGGATTTCAGCCACAAATTAAACCTGCCCGGCCTCCACCCAAAGTCCCTCCACCACCTCCTCTGATGGGAGTAGGTTTCAATTCCATCTTGAAGTGAGCTCATTCCTGGGCCTGGCCCAGCAAGTCCTGCCTAGCACACCCCATTCCCATCCCCTCCCTCTCTCTCTGCACTTCTCAGTTAGATAGAGGTGGTGAGAGGAAGTTGAGACCCTGGCTTTGCCACTCTCTATTCTTGAGGAAAGCACCTCTAAACCTCAGCTTCCAAATACATGAACGAGGTCTAATGATCCTACCCTCATAAGGTTTCACTGAACAATGTATGGAGGAGTGCATGAGCTGGACGATGGTCCTTGGGCCCTGGCGCTGATGCCCCCTCCCTGCCACTCAGGGTGCAGGGGTTGTTGCAGGCTGTCTGAGAATGTCCTCTCACTGCAGTCTTTTTGCATTCCTTCATTTGCTCAAAAAACAGTGAATGGGCATCTACTTTGCCCATGGCTAGATCAGAGCTTTTCAAAGTTTAATATGATTCAACCGGAGAAAGCTTATTGAAATTAAAAAAAAAAAGTCTAACATGCACACAAATTACCTGGGATCTTGTTTAAATGCAGACGTTGATTCAGGAGGTCTGGAGTGGCACCTGAGACTCTGCATTTCTAATAACATTTCAAGTGATGCGGAAGCTGCCAGGCATGGACCACACTTTGAGTAGCAAGAGACTGGACCCTAGTACTACCATTCTGAGCAAGGTGTACCCCTGCCTGCTTGGAGTTCAGAGTCTAATGGGAGATAAGAAAAGAATCATACACTCAGGGAGTGATAGTGTCGCTCATAGTGGCAGGGAGGCACAGGGTGTTATGGAAGTGAGAGGAGAGACACCTAGTCTGAACTTCAGAAATCTTGGAGGGCTTCCCGGGAAAAGAAAGCATGTGGAGGAAACAGTCAGGTCAAGACAAGATGGACGAGGTGGGACAGAAGATGGCATTGCAGAGAGAACAACCTATGGGGAGGCCTTCACTCCAGTGGATGGGCTGACTGAGTTCATCATACCAGACTGAAGAGCTACAGAGTGAGGAGTTGGGGAGGAGGCTGCAGAGGCGGGCAGGGGCCATGTCAGGAAGGACCTTGAAGCCACACATCTGAGCTGGATTCAGTGGGTGACAGGGAGACTTTGAAGGATTTTAAGCAAAGAAGGGACATGGTCAGATTGAAGGTTTAGAAAGCTGCCTCTGCCTGCTGTGAAGAGAAGGGCCCTCCAGGCTCACCCCAGGCTGAACCACTGCAAGCAGAGAAGGCCACGTCCTGCTGCACGTTCCCCTCCTTCCCAGCGTCCTTACTCCCCCCTGCCCCCACCACCACCCAGAACACTCCTTCCAGCCCAGGATGTCATTAAGCTGGTAACCAAATACAACACAAGAGCCTCAAATGCCACTTCCCACCCCCATTAAACATTCAAGGTGTCAGAAGCCCAGCCGGGTCTTAGGAAGGAACAGAAAAAGAAGCACCAGTCCTTTCAATAACACGCTCCTGTCCTGGACATCCCAAATTCAGAAGCATAAAAGTCAAAAAGAAGACCCTGGGCCTCAAAGAGCCCTTCCATCCACTGCATGGAGGTACCTGAGATTTGCTGCTGGGATTGAAGAAGAGGCAGAATTTAGGGCAAGGAGGTGATGGTTCTACCATCCTTGTGAAACATCCAGAACTTGGACAACCAAGGACACCTGAGACCCTTCTGGAAGGCCTAAGCTGCTGCAGAGGACACTTATCTTGGGTACCTGGAACATCTCAGCTGGGAGAGGAGAAGCAGCTGCCTCTTGGGGTTAGAGTTTACCTCTGAAGCGTCCCACTTCCTGCAGTTGCTCTTAATATAGAGATTATCAGACAAGGGAGGGCTGGGTTTGAGTCTTGCATCTGCTTGAGATTTGTCATGTCACCTGTATGAGCTAGCAGTTTGAGCTAGATGATCTTAATATAGACACACCCATCTCTCGGAGTCTGAAACTTCTCAGCTCCTTAGACCCTACATGCCTTGTCCCATGGTCTAAACACATCTCTTGCCCTTTTGCACTAACTGTCCTGGTTGTGACCTCTGGCCTGAGTCTGTGAGTCTCAGGCCCTGCTTATAGGTCTATGGTCTCTTACTTGGCACTAGAAGTGGTCCAGGCAGTGAGAGATAGTGGCAAGAACACTGGGTTTGAAGTCAGGTGGCTGCTAGATTCCTAGTTCAGCCATTTACCTCTGTCACCATGTTGAATAAGTTCTCAAATTCTTTGATCCTCAGTTTCCATATCTGTGAAATGGAGATGAGACTTCTATATTCTCCAGTGGTTATGGGCATTCATTGAGAACATGAGAAACTTTAGACAGAACTGCAAGATGATCATATAATTTCCCAGGAGCCTCTGGTCAGGAAGCTCCTGACCTCTCCCTGGAAGCATGACAGGTGGGCAAGATAGTGCATTTGGCTTAAGGCAGCCTCATCCCAACCCCTAAATTCCCCGTTTGTTTCCTGTACACCTTATCAAATGAAAGAAAGAATATTAGCTTTGGAGTCCAAGACCCCTCTGTTTAAAGCCCAGCTTTTGTTCTAACCAGGTGACCTTAGACAAGTCACCTTTTCTTCCCAAGTCTGGGCTTCTCATTTGCAAACTTGAAATACCCACTTATGGAACAATTGTGAGAATTAAATGAGACAATGTCTGCAAAACACCTAGCACACAGTAGACATGCAGCAACCCTCCACTCTTTTCCAAGGACAACATAGTTTAAAATATATAAACCTTCATTTCCTTTGGAAAGAACACCCCTGGCAGGAATTAAACCCAATGAAAATCAAACACTGATTCTCCCACTCCAATCTCTCTCACCCCTTGTTAAGGAACGTTCTGCCTCATGTCTGCCTGTGTTCCTCTTCCTGCCCGAGCTCACAGATTCTGTCATCAATCAGCATGTGGTCGGTGGCCCCCATGGTGTGAGCAAGGCAGGGGATGTGGACAGACTGTGGGATCAAGGAGCTAAAAATCTGTATGGGCTGTGATTCAAACACATGGAAACTAAATTAATGCAATGAGCATCGCCCCAGGTCCCTGGCACTTCCATTGCAAACAGGCATGTCACAGAGGTGGGGGATGCTCGAGTACCAGAGCAGAGAAGTTCCCTGGAGGCCAGAGAACATCACCAAATGTGCAGAATGGGTACCTTGGAATACCAGCCCAGGGGCTCAAAGGTGCCTCACAGGGTGAGCATAAATGAGGCTTGGTTGGGGGGAGTCTCCATGGAAGGCAGAAGGACAGGACTTCAAGCTGAGCTGCTCTTGTGTGCAAAGGCCACCAGCCAGCCCTCTTCATCTGCACCCTCAGGTCTGAAGGACAAGTTAGTATCAAGCTGTGGAGAGAAGTTTTCGCAGAAGCAGGTAGATCTGGGTTCAAGTCCCACCTCCAGGCACATCACCTGTGAGGCCCTGGGCAAACTTAGTCACCTCTCTGAGCTCCCCTTTCCCCCTGGGCCTAAGGGTGGGAAAACGCCTTGTCTGCCCACCCCTTGGACTGCTGGGAGTATCACAGCAGGGAAGATTGGGAACTCACATTATAGCTGAGCCTTTGTGTCTGGAGTGGAGATGCTGGTGGTGATTGTTCGGAAGAGGCTGTGTGGAATCCCTCCTACCCCAGGGTAGGTGGGGACCTGGTGTTGGGGAGAAGGTGGCAGTGGAGGTGGCAACAGAGTCCAATGTCTTTCTCAGCCTGAGACAAGTACAACTACATATCAGGGTTAGAGCCATGGTTCCCAGCAGACAAATGCCACGGGCCCAACCCCTTGCTCTGGGAGCTCCAGTCCTCATGGAGGAAAGATGAGATGATGTTCAGAAATCTCCTGCCTTTAATGAATAAGCTCTGTATCCACCCAGCTGCCAGTCCCCAAATACCTCTTCCCTTCCACCTTGAAGCCAGAGTCCTTTCTATCCTTCCCAGACTCTGAGCTCCATTTCTGGCCCCTGGGGTGTCCAGGACTTGGTGGCCTGGCCCAACCCCTCAGAAGCCCCAGCAGTGGTCCTGGAGCAGCCAGGCCCTGCAGCTTCCACCTCCTCTCATCCTCCCCTCACCCGCCTTCCCTGAGACCTGTCAGGGGACGCTCAGTGTTTCCTCCTCTCCTCCGCTTGATAATTAAGCGTCCTTGTCCTCAGTCCCCTTCCTAATCTATTCATTGTGAATCGTTAGTGGATAATTGGACGGAACTGAAGAACCTGGACAGCTCCAAGCTGGACTTGGAGGCCCCTCCCCACGGGCCGAACAGCCTCCTTCCCTGTGGCTCCAAGCAGAGGTGTCAGCCCAGGTCATTTTCTCTCTGCCATGTTTCCTCTTTCTCTCTGTCACTGTTTACGGCTGTGTCTCCCCCTCCTTTCTTCCCGGTTCACAGCAAGACTGTGAGCAGGGACCTGATGTGATCCAGCACTGTGCCCCAATTCCTGGCCCTTTCCTTGGCTGATACTAGGTGCTCAATAAATATTTGCTCTCTGAATGAATGAATAATGGCATTTCCCAAGTAAGTACATCCTATTTCATGGGACGGTTTTCAATTAAAGAGTTTTCTGGCATCTTTGAACAGGAGTGGTAGTAAAATATTCAACAACCAGCCCTGGAGCAGGAGCCCGGAGGTTCCACTGAAGGAGGGTACTTGGCAGGAGGTGGTGCTCACAGAGCTCTGGGAAGTAACTACTTAGCAGCCGAGGTGGGAGAATTTCACTATTTTAAAAGGATACTGGTGCATCCTGGCTGCAAGTCAGACCCAAGCGAATGATTGAATGCAGGCATCACTCTATCTCCTGGTCACCCTGGGTTTTACCTCGGTCTGCCTTGCCCACTCCTTACTCTGCCTCTCTGCCCTTTTGTAATGGGGTTGGGAGGTTATTTCCCTGAGAAAAACACTGAGGAGCAGCCCCCGGAGTTGATAGGAAAAGAGTGGTCCTACTCAGGCAAGCTGCAGCTAGGGCTCAGACAGCCACCCAAGAAGAAAGGGCAGAGTGCCCTAGTGCAGCCCCACCCACCAGGCTGCCCCAGATGGAGCCCAGGCAGCCTCAACCACCGAACATCCTGTGCCCGTCAACAGAACACAGAGAGACGGACTGGCTGGAGGCAGCCTGCACAACTTCCTAGCCCTAACCATGAGAGCCAGAGCTCTGGAAGCCTGATCCCATGTTGACCTTGACCTGCTCTGTGGTCTTGAATAAGCTGGCATTAGTTTGGCTAAATGGAAAAATGAGTTCTCTGCTCTATCTCTGAACAATTTCTGTCAAGATCAATAAGCCAGAAGCCAAAAAGTCCAATCTTAGGCTTGGTTGCCCAGGACAAGCAGGGAGGTAACCCCATCAGGAGGAACACCTAGTTCCTCCTGCCCCACCCCCAACTACCACCCTTGGACCAGTCTGCTACAGCAAATCTCTCATTTTTCAATATTGCTTCTTTGATAAGAACAGGTCATATATGGGGGAAAAAAAGGTGTTTACAGGCATTATGTTGTTGACATTAGCTTCAACATCATCATTCCAACTTTGCAGGGGGAGAAACAAAGGCTCAGGAGGGCTATGAGGGTGCCCCAAGATTTCACACTAATCATGGACCCAGGTCTGCCTGGCTCCTTCCAAAATACAGAAACCAATGCAAAGGAGAAAAGAGTTTGCTATCTATTCAAATTTCCCCATCTTTTCTCTCTCCACCCCCATACACAAAGGGCTTTAATGGGTGCCTTTGCCAGGCTCCAGGCACAATTAGGGGCATTGCCTTTCTGGCAGCAGAAGTGAGGCTGAAGCAGCCCCCTTAGGCTGGGGGATCCAGCTGGGATCAATCCAGCTGAGTTAAGAGATGAATGAATTGGTGGAGTTTGGGGCCAGTGGCCTGAAGCCCTGGGAAGCTAGTAGTGGCAACAGCAAGGCAGGGTCAGGTCCTCAGAACTAGGAATGAATCCACACACTGATCCCTTTTGTGATCTCTCTTAAGTTCCATAGGCCAGGATTTGGGGGCATGTGGTACCAAGTGATAGGTACTTGGAGAGATCTCAGTTGACAGCAAGGAGCTGGACCCAGCCATAGGTAGCATTTTCATCCCTGAAAGACAAACAGAGCCCATCCAGGAGTGCAGGTGCGGGAGAGCCAAACCTCTTGCTGACACTCTGGGCCACTGGGCAAGAGCCAGGGTGCAAGAGGTCTGAATGGAGCAGGGATCAGTGTGTTCACTCATTCCAGTTCTGAGGACTTGGCCCTGCCATTGCTCCTGCCACTGCTAGCTTCTCAGGGCCTCAGTCCATTGGCCGCAAAGCTCCACTAATTGGTTCATCTTCTAACTCAGCCAGATTTGCCCCAGCTGGATATCCCAGGCCAACAACTCCTTTCTCGACCTTCCATTTCCTTTGGGTGCCCCTGGCTTGAGTTATGATTGCTCTGGAGTCTGAGGTTTAGTTGAACCCCAGGAAGCTGTGTATGTCATTGTAAGGGTACAAAGAGGGCTAGATCACACATTAGAAAGAACAAACACACCCTCACCGGGGTCCAGTCATAGGAATTGTGATTTGCCAGGGAGGTTCTCCAGCTCAGACTGTCACCCTGCTGCTGTGTCACACTGCTGGGAATCTACCTTCATCCATGCATTCCTTTGAAGCACTTTGAAGATGCCCCTCTTCGTGGGGGTCCATGCCTTAAACCCTAATTATGATCAGATGAGCTGAACTGCAAACTTGTGGATGAAGCCCAAGGCATGCTGAATGGGAGAAGGATGTCACGGCAGGAAGCGGAGAGAGGAATCATCAGTAAGGAAGCAAAAGATAGAAATGGGACTGCACGTGGCTTCACTGTTCCTCATGGCAACTCTGTGAGGTAGGAATTATTTTACTTATTTTAAAGTCAAGAAACAAGAAGTTCAGAAAGGTGAACAGGCTTCCCGAGTTCACAGTCATAAAGATCGTGTTGTCTTTCTCGCATGAACTATCACCTGAGAGATTTCTGGTTTTGATTCCTTGCAAGGCCATCGATGTACACAAATCCCCATGTATGGGTTTATTTTTCTTCTGATCTTTTATAGTCTTGCCCACCCCTAACTCAACAGCAATTTTTTAGCAACCTTCCCAATGCATTACATTAATTACCATAGAAACATAACTTTTCTGCACTGTTATTTAATTGGCTTATGTTACAGTTGGTTAAATTACCTGTTTACAGTGACAAGTGCAACTGACATAAACAGGCTTGGGGGCACACACACTGGGAACGCACATGACGTGGGCAAACTGGGAAAGGGTTGTCTAATAGGCAGACATTCCAAGAGCCCCAGGCTATAGCTGTGTTTGAGTATTTTACAAAGGGAGTAGAGGAATCAGGTCATCTAGTTCATCGGTTAAATAAGGTTAGTTCAGAAAGTCTCTCTGAGGCAGGATTTGAATCCTGGTCTGACTCCAAAATTCAGGTTCTTTCCACTATGCACACACCCATATTGCAAGCTTAAACCTTTGCCGAGGGCCAGCCCTATGTGGGTCTGAACTCTTAGGGGCTGCTTTTTCAGGCATGTGTAGGTGGTTTACCCCAGCCTTTGGCTTCCCTTGGCTTCACCCCATAAGCTCTCCAATGGTCTCTCCAAGAAAAGGGTGATTCCAAATGGGGCCCCCTCCATTGAGCCACTCCATGACTCACTGTCCTCATCTGCTAGTGGGAGAGTTAATACCTACCCACATGTCACCTCAAGGATCAAAGATAGAGAACAGGGCTGGGCACACAGAAAGAGCTTCTCCTCACCACATCCTCTCCCAATTTTCTTTAGAGAAACACACATCTGGATTCTCAGAACCAGAGGGAATCTTGGAGAGGAGAATTTATTCCAATATTTTCCAAACTGTGTGGCACAGTCATTCCTTCCTTGGGATAAAAATAAGTGGCTTGAGGAAAACAGGGTCATCAAGGGAGTCTGGGAAACACCTGGTCAGGCTAAGTTGAACAGGTGTCTGTGCTATGGAGATTTCAGAGCCTGTAATGTGTGTGGGAGCATGAAAAGTTTGTTCTCCCAAATTCTTTCCCCAGGACATGTTACATGAACAGCCTTCTAAGTAACCCTCTTTGTAAACCCCTGGTCTGGCCTATTCCTCTCATCTTACTGAAGAGTTGAATGAGGCCATGAATGTGGAAGGAATTTGCTCAAGGGTACCCAGCCTCAGAACTGGAAATACCTTCTCAGTGTTCTCATTCCATGGTGGCTCCCCTCCTCCCCCAGCCCACCTGTGTCTCCCAACTCCCAGCCTCATCAGACTTTGAGGATGTGCAAAGAGGAGGACCAGAAGAGCAAACAGGATGATGGGGGCCCCTGCTCAAGCAGCCTCCACAACAGCTGAGGAGTCTCCAGAAACCAAGAGATTGGGGCAGTGCTTGAGAGACACCTGCTTATACTGGTTCAGCATAATCCCATGGGAAAAAAAGCCCAGACCCACAAGTAGACTCCCCTTGGGCCTCTGAGCATTTGCTCATCTTGCTTAGAGCTGTCTGTCCCTGGGGCTCTTCTCTCTGCCTGGCCAAAGGTTTTGGAAAGAGAGCTTGTGTCCCTCTCTGTCTCAGGGAGATTCTGCCCTAGCACCCCTAGTGTTGGTGTTGATATGGAGGGGAGTTGGAGTTGTGTCTGTGTCTATCAGCATTCTTGACATTCTGGTTGAAGAGAGGAGAAAAGGAGGAAGAGGGCTAAGGTCCTACTCATGGGGTTTTCCTGGCAACGTTGCCCCAGGCCCTGTCTGTCCAACTCCCCACCTGTGGAGGCAAGAGGTGACCCCCAGCTGGTGCTGGGCAGAATGTCAAGTCAGCAAGGCTAGCGTCAGCTCACCCCTTCACCTGTTCATCTCTGCACATCGAGGATGCTACTGCCTCAGCCCTGTCCTCTCCATTCCTGTCTCTGAGCCAAAGCATTTCAGATGGTGCCCTGGGCTTCCTGGCCCCCGACGCCTCACTCCACTCCCCCCAGGGCCTCTCCCTCTGTGCCAGCATCAAGCTGAAATCAGTGCTCATGAGTGGGCTACAGAGGTTGGTGCCCAAAGCCTCATGCATTCACCCCATGCCCACCATCCAGGACTTTAGGCCCTATCGCCCTCAGACATTGTCTACCTGGTCCCTGGTACAACACATCTCGCTCCTCCACGACAAGCCTTCCCTTTACAAAGGATCTGATTGCTGTGGGTCAGTAGTTGTTATGGCTAAAGTAAAAAGGGTGCATCCTCTGGTGACAGTCCAGCCACTGCTGTCCCATAGGGAACGTTGTTGGTGGCCTGCCATCCATGTATTCTTGGGAAGGCCCTTCCATTCTTCCTCTTCAAGGAAGCTGCCCCTGCTCCACCTGGCTCAAGCACCCTTCCTGTGCTCCCAGGTCCCCCCGCCACCTCCGTCACAGCACTAGCCACATTGCTGGAGTTGCTGAGTCTCATCTGCCTTCCTCACTTGAGTGGGATCTCACAGGAGGGGGATAAGTCTTCTTTATCCTCCCATCCCCAGCTCTTCGTGTGGGGAGCCACAGAGCAGGCTCTTGGTGTCACCCGTGCTGTTGTTGTTTAAACATCTTGATCAAGGAAGGAGTGTGTCATTTTTCAAATAATCTCGCAGACAGCTGGGGAGGGTAAAAATAAGTCTCCCCAAAGGGCACAGAGGATGAGGGATGTGCATCAGGCAGTCCCTGGCAGGCCTGTGGGGGGCACAACACTGGCTAGACGAGCTGGTCCGAGACTTTGAAACTCAATGTTCTGATTCACTTTGGCAACCCCTGGCTGTTTGTCGTGCCAGGGAAGTTATTGACATTGAAATTGAAATTGAAATTGAGTTAGGAGAGGGGAGGGAGGCCTGCAGGAGCCATGCAAATCAGGGTGAGAGAGATGGAGACATTCCTATTCTGGGAAGCCCTTTATTATCCCACGTTCCCAGCTTCTGTTTATTCATAACCTGTTGCCATTAATTGGCCTTTCTTCTTTCTCCAGCTCCAAGGCTGTGGGATAGGGCCTTAAGATCACTTCGTCCAACCTCCCTCCTAATTACAGTTCTGTCTTTGAGCATCTACTATGTGCCAAGCCCTGTGCAAAGTGCTTTACAAGGGTTATCTACAGAAATCATCACCTTAAACATCAGTCCATCTCAACCTTTCCAGTCTTACTCTCCCAGGGCAGGAAACACCCCGCCAAAGCAGCCCTGACAAGTGGGTGGCCAGCCTATAATTGAACAAGTTCCGTGACAGGGAGATCACTACCTCACCAGCACCCCACTTTGTTTGTTGGACAGCCCCATGGTTACAAAGGTTCTTCCTGAGCTGAAATGTGCCTCTTCATCTGTTGTCATGGGTACTGTCCCTTCTCCTGCTACTCCTCCCAGAGCCTCCATGAGGGACACCACTGTCAGTGGTCATGGGTGCAGACAGACAGTGCTTTGCAGTGGGATGAGCGGTGCTCCAGGCATCCCCCTAGGATTGGGAAGAACTTGAGTGACCCTGTCTCAAAGAGGACAACCCAACTGTCAGCCCTATGCATGCGCACATGTTCCATCCCCCATATGTGTGCTCCCATCTGTCATTCTCCTTCACTCTCATTTGTCACCTCTCTGTCACTCGCACATCATAAAATGGAGCCCAGGTGCAAGAGAGTCAGCTGCAATCAAAGCAATAGGAAGGCAGATTGCTGCAGACTGACAGACGGACAGGAAGTCAGGCAGGCCTCTGCAGAAACACAGGCAGCAGGCAGGTAACAAACCTGACAGTTTTTTTCCCTGGGACAGATGGACAGACAGTTGGGGCAGACAGACAGAGCCAGGCCTCGAGCAGGAAGAAAGTCAAGCAGACCTGCAGATGGGCAGCAGACGGTCAGGCCCCTCTGTCTGGGAAATGGGCCCTCGCTTTGTGTGCTGAGGTCCCGGGCTGCTCTCCTGGGCTCTGAGCCCCACCTTGGCTGAGAAGTTCTAAGGAGAAGTCTGAGAACAGCTTCTGTCACATCACAGAGGGGTCAGATTCCCCACTGAGGAGAGCACCCTCAGTCCTTCCTCCTCCCACGCTCTCTACCCTCTTTGGCAGCAGCCTCCATGCCCATCGCTGTGGCCTCCTCATCACAAAGCCAGGGAAGGGGCCAGAAAGAGAGTCTGTATCTCCTTCTGGAAGCTTCCACAAACTGATCACTGGAAGCATATTCTTTAAAAGAGAGGAATTAAAGGAAATGAGAGAGATTATTAAGTATGGTTAGCCCATTTGAGGCAACAGAATGTCAAAGAATTAAAATGATTTACCCAAAGCCCTTCAGCCAGCCAGGGGCAGAGGTGAGATTTGAACACTGGTGCATGTGACCTTGGAAGTTACAGTCTTCTCTCTGCTCCCAAAGCCATCTCCAGAGGACACCCGGACTTCTTCTGGCTCCACGTACTGGGTTCCCTCTGTTTTCTCGGGAGGATGAGGTAGTCATGACAGATGGGGTGATTTATGTTCTGAAGGAAGTTCCCACTAAAGAAGGCTATGAATTGGTCCAGAAATAGCAGATGATGTCAGCCAGGGCATCCCGCCCTCCCCAGGCCCTTGGCATCATCCTCATGAGACCGTCACAAGAATTGATGTACCAACAATTACAGAGATTGGATTTGCCCTTTCCTGGCTTGGCCTGCTCAGACGTCATCCCTGGTGTTCAGGGAACACCTGTCTATTTGCCCAGCTCCCTCATCATCATGTACGCCCTCGTCCCTTCCCTAAGCCTGGGAAGAGAACATCAAGAGGCAATATTGTATTCCAGCAGCATCACCCAGCACAGCACAGTTTCCATCCTGAGCCACTCGCCCTAGCCCTCTTTGCACTCCACACTTCCAAACGTGTTGCTAATCTTCTTAGTGCCTAACGTCCTGACTCTTTTTTTTCACCTATAGCCTCACCTCTGGCTCAAACCCAGTGCTAGGCACTCTAGCCCTTTTGCTTTCTGCATGACCTTGGCTTGGATTCTTCCTCTGGCTGGGCTGTCGTCGTGTTTAGGATACAGGCAGTGATGTGCTGGAGCCGGCCCCTACCAGCTCACAAGGGCCGAGTGTGCACATCTCTTTTATCTCCATGCTCAGTGGTTTCATGTTAGTGGATTGCAGTTGGTTGTGGTGGGAGCATTTACACCGGAGAAACTGGCAAACCCTACAAATCGGGGCTTTCTGCTTGCAGGGAGCCAGCTGTTAAAACATTTACCAGCATAAAGGACTCGGTGAAGGACTTGCCCAGCGAAGTCCAGCCACAGGACTCCACACTTCAGCACAATGGATGACAGTCCCGATACTTCCTCCAATCCCAGGCTCCAGACAAAACAGCCTGGCCCCAAACTACACATTAAAAAAAGCTAAAGCTAAAATAGGATCTAACACAGGTCACCTAGTGGGTCAAAGGCAGGGCCGGGCTGTGGTTTGGGACCCTCACTCTGCTGACAAAGGCCTCTCACCCCCTCTCCTCCAGGCTGTGTTCCAAGAAAGTAGGGGTAATTTCAGGTCAGAAATGGCAGGATCATTCTGGCTTTGATCCTGGTCTGAGCATTTGGGGGGTCCCAGCTGAAATAGTGTAGGGTAAGCCTTGAGATGGTGGGGAGAGGGAGAGAGGTCCTCTTCTGTCTGGCAACCAGTACCAGGGGGCCTACCCACAGCACCCTCACATCTCTCTGCTGAAGGAACAACTAGAAAGGACTGGCATTGCCCCTCCCAGTCAAGGCAGTTATTGTGTAATCCAAGAGCAAAAACTAGGGGGGTGGAAGATGGTTGTGGGGACAGTATGGGGCTGGAGAGGCCCTCATGAGATGCAGGCAGCCCATCGACAGTGTCCTGTGTGGAGAATCTAGCCCATTATAAGGGGTGGTGGCAGAAGATGCACAGATGGAATTAAGGTGATGGGAGCTGTGGCAAGATTTGTCTGCCTGACTTGTCACTGCAGCCTGAGAGCAGGATTTGGGCTCCCTGGAGAGCCGGGGATGGCACACACTTACTCCCACACACATACACACTCACATGTGCAGAACTAGTCTCACAATTCCTGGGGCAGGCGTCCATGCCACTTCACAGCAAGCTAGACATCACACGCCCTGAAGCACATTCACAAGCAGACACATACAAACATGTTTGCACCCAAAAGTGTACACTTGGAGAAATGCACATTCACTTGGAGGTGTGTACACACATACACGCATGGAGAATATTTTGCTCCTAATCAGCTTCTTTAAGCTGTCAGACAGAGGCTGCCAATATCCCTGCATTTCTGCAAGAAACCCTTCCCTGGCCTCCTGGCTCCAGTCTCATGCACTCCATTCCAACCTCCACATGGGAGTCACATTCATGCTCCTGAAACATGATCCTGATCTTGCTCTTCTCTGGCATGGAACTCTTGCTTTCCTATATGGAAAGAGGACATTCAAGGGCACCTACTGGCTCCAGCGTCGGAACCCAGCCTGGCATGCAGAGCCCTGTGAAATCTGGCCCCTCCACCTTCCTGTATATCCCCACTATTCCCCACCACTCACCTCTCACCATGCCTCTGGTGCTCTTCCTCTAGCTCCCTATGGCCAAATCCACTGCAGGATTATGAAGACCACTGCTTCAGGGATACACTCAGACATGCCCTAGAGAGAGGTGATCTCTCATGGCTCTGAACAAGTCCATGGCCTCGTCTGTCCTCTTTTGGGTCCTGTGGCTATGTCCAGCCTGTCTGAGAAAGTGGTGACCATGCCTCACCTTACCTGCTGCACTACAGGCTTCCCGTAGCTCATTTCCTGTCTGTCTGAGATTCTGGCACATGGTACAACCTCAGAAAAGGTTTGTAGGCAGCTAGGTTGGACCATTGTCCTTTCTCAGTCACCTCCCCTGTCGCCTTCTCTCTTTTCTCCTGTTTATGGTGGGTCTGGAGCTCACTGCTAGAGAAAGTTCCCTGGAAGTGAAGCTCCCAAACTTCCCACACCATGCCAAGAGAATTCAGGAAGGTCTGTCAGTCACCCACTGCATGCAAGCAGTCCTCAGGCTAGGGGAGTCTCTAGGGGCCATTGAGTCCATCCGTTTCGTATGCAAGCATATAGTCGGTCACTAAATCTCAGAGATAAATACAGATTCTCCTGCCCTACTCCCAAACATCTGTAGGCCGCTCTGGAAAGCTTTCTTATTAGAACATTCTTTCTCATGCCTGACTTCAGAAGGTAAAAAATTGTAGCATAGGGAGTGGCTTTATGGTCAGGCTCTCCTCCCATTCCACGCCTGCTCCACGAATATCTTCAGGGAAGGTTAGCTCACTCCCTACAATACTGAGCACCTCCCAGCAAAGCTCTCTTAGCCCCCTTGTGAGGCACTGGATGACCCATTCAACCCTCTTAGGCCACAGCAATCTCCAGCACCCTCCAGGACAGAACTCTAAATATTTTGGCAAGAGACAGTCCTGTATGTTCACACAACCATTCCCCATAGGATGTGGATTCCATTCACTCCCCCTTTTCTGAGCACCTTCCCATTGGCTGCACCTTCCTGAAATGCAGAATTTAGAATCAGCCTTGCCCCTGGAGACCCAGCTCCCTTCCTATGCCTTCACTAAGCCCTACCTGAAGGTCTCAACCCGCTCTGCCTGACCCCAGATCTTACCTCACCTATCCCTCTTGTTCCAGTCTAGCGCTTTGCTCCATTTCTAAGTAGTTCCCATGAGATCCCAGCAGGGAGGTATTTCTTCCCCTCAGGGAAAGAGCACTGGGTTTGGACTAAGGCAGACCCGACTCCAACCATGAGCCTAGTTGCTGACCCCGTGCGACCTGAGATGAGGTACTTTACCCCTCTGAGTTCATCTTCTCTTCTGCAACTGGAACAATAGCCTCTTCATTGCTGAGTGTTGTGGTATTGAATAAAGCCCCCAGACAATGCCTGGCCCAGATATACATTTGACATCACCCCCTTGTCCCTTCCAGGAGTGCTGGCTTCCACTGGGGATCCCGGTGATGCCAGCTTCCCTCCAACCCTAATGGAATGAATTTAGCAAGCATCTGCACAACCCTCTATCAAGGGCTCTGCTAAAAGCAAGATTCATAATGTCTAATATGTTCCCTTCATCTGCTAAGTTAATAATTCTGCTAAAACATGAGCTCATTTGGTCCACAATTTGCTTCCCAGAGGCCTAACGCCTCCTATTGCTCATGACTTCATTAGCTCTCCGATGCACACATTCTCTACCCGCCCTTGTTTTTAAGAAAGCAAAGCTGGATATGAGCAACTGTAATGGTCCCAAGCTCCCTTCCTTTCCCTCTCCCCTTTGTGCCTCTCCTTTGGAAGGTGAGGGTAGGCATGTTCTCTCCTGCCTTCTGGTTTTTCCTTGCCTCTCCACACTGGCTGTGGAGACGGGTTTGTGCCCTTTGGGCCACAGCCTCAACATCCGGGAGGACCAATAGGTTCAAATTGTAAGGATACAGAGTTCAGGTGAGTGTGAAGACAGGCTTTCCCCGCAAATTGCGCTTTCCTCAACCAAGCAACATCAAGCATAGTTGTGAGTTCCTTGGGACTGAGATACCACATTAAAGGTGTCAGGAATCCTTCAGGGCAATGCTTTATTTTTAAATTTTTTTATTTTTAAGAGATATGACTATTAGGCCTCTTCACTTCCCCCAGCTACCTCTGGACCACACTTCCATCACTTTCTCAGCTCTAGCCTCACTAGCCTTGGGCAACAGAATTTTTAACCTGGTGTCTGCGAATCCCTAGGGGATTGATGAATGGGCTTCAAGGAGTCACTTATCCTCATGAAATTGAATACAACATATTCTGTGTGTGTTCATATATTCAATCTCGAAGCCTTTATCAAAGTCTCAAAGGGGTCTCTGGTCCAAGAAAGATTAAAAGCCAATGCTATAAAACAGTGGTAGGTAAAAGGCAAGATCAGAAATGGTTTTGAGGGCCATAGGATCCCAACTACTCAACTCTGTTGCTGTAGTGCAAAAGCAGCTGTAAACAATAGACACATGGATGTGGCTGTGTTCCAATAAAACTTTCTTCCTATAAGCAGGCATCTGGTCAGATTTGGCCCACAAGCCATAATTTGTTGACCCCTGCTAGAGGTAAAAATTATTGTTTTGAGAGGGAGTTTACACTAGGTAACCCTTTAGATTCCTCCCAACTCATTCATTTATTCACTCATTTTATTACATATACTGAACCCTTGCTGTATGCTAAGCCTTATAATAAGCACAACAGAAAAATAAAAAGGAATAAGAAACAATCACTGCCCTCAAGAATTCCACAGCTTAACTGGAGAGACATGCATGGAAACAATTGTCAGTCGGTGTGATAAGAACTGTAATAGAAGCTTGTACAAGAGAGTAGTGGCTTAAAGGAGACCAAAGATGCTTGATCCACAGATACAAGGATGAGGAGAATTTTCCAAGTAGGTGACTGGGAGAGCACTCCAGGTAGAGGAAGCAGTAAATTCAAAGGCACTGAGACATGAACCACGTTTGGGTAAGTGTAAGGTAGGCAGCCTAGAACTAGAGTGTGGAGTGCAGGTAGGTGTCAAAGGGGAGGGGAAGCTAGAGGAAAAGACAGAGTGATATCATAAAGGTCTTTTAATCCAAGCTCAGAAATTTAGATTTTATTCTGATGGCAAAAAGAAGCCACAAAAGGATCCAACCATTGACAGTTACAGTTCTTTAGTGAAGTTGTAGCTCCTAAGTGAGCATATATGTGTAATTTGTCCTCTTCTCTTCTTCTGACACTGGTAAATTTGGTATTCACTCAAGTATTACTACTATAAGTCCTTTGATTTCCCTAATTCAAGCCAAATTGCACAAAGCCAAAATTTGGTGATGGTATTAGTCTTCTCATGCTGCTATGAAGAAATACCTGAGACTGGATAATTCATAAAGAAGAGAGTTTTAATTGACTCACGGTTCTGCATGGCTGCAGAGGCCTCAGGAAACTTACAATCATGGCAGAAGGCATCTCTTCACAGGTCAGCAGGAGACAGAATGGGTGCCAGAAGGGGAAATGCCAGATGCTTTTAAGGCCATCAGATCTCGTGAGAACTCACTCACTATCACGAGAACAGCATGGGAGAAACCTCCCCCATAATTCAATTACCTCCCACCGGATCCCTCCTGTGATATGTGGGGATTATAGGGATTACAATTCAAGATGAGATTTGGGTGAGGACACAGCCAAACCATATCAGTGAGGGAGGAATTTTCCTCCACATGATTGGAAAGGAAACCTATCTTGCTGAAATGAAAGCCTAGTCTTCCTTCCTTCCCTCCCTCCTCCCCACCCACCCTCCCTTTCTTCCTTCCTCTCTCTCTGTCTTTCTCCCTCTCTGTCTTTCATTTTGGCCTTTTATCAGTTGGATTGGGGAGCTCAGAACAAGGCTAGCACAATGTCACCAGGAAAATGTCCATAAAAATGTAATCAGAAGGAAGCAGTCCCATTAATAAGAGCACATAGCTTACTGGGACAACATTAAGTGCTTTTAAGACTTTGAAGTGAGTCTTTGCTTCTCTCTCGGGAGTATCTTCATTTACAAAGGCTCCTAATCTTGGAGAGGTGTGGACAGAGGTAGAGGCAGGAACTAGAAGCCGTGTAATTGTACTGGTCTGTGACTACTTATGGGCAATCTAAATCTTTGAGACAATAGGAAAAAATATAGCAACCACTAAGTGTAGCTACAAGCCATACTGTCTCCTCTTTCCTCAGCTGGTCCATTTCCAACAGGAATCTAGGATATCAGATCCTCATGCTATTTCATACTTTAATGTATTTCTTATCTAATTGTTGGCTCCATCAGGGTAGGGGCTGTATCCATCTTATATTTCCAGTGGTCATAATAATCTTGCACATAGTTGGTACTCAATTCATGTGCAGCTTGCCTTACCCCATTAACTTCTAGGGCCAGTTTATGACTTTAAGATCTTAATAAAGCACAACCCATAGGCTCGGAACCCTAGCATGTGGGTGGGTGAAGATCTGGAATATCAGCTGCACACCCCCCCTTCCAGCTCTCCATGGCTAATTCTTCAATTACTCATTAATGCTATTTATCAAGCATTTCCATTTCTGTCTTCTAGGCATATGGTAGGATTGCTTTTCCTCATCTTCTTTTTATTGGAGGTATCATGTGACTAGTTCTGGCAAAATGATTGTAAGCAACAGTAATCATGTGACTAGTTATAGCCAATAGATTGTGAGCAAAAGTAACTCTGTGACTAGTTCTGGCCCATGAATTGTAAATAAAAGTATCCATGTGACTAGTTCTGGCCAATGGAGTACGAATGAAAATATTACTTCTGGGCTAATGGCTAGAGTGAAACCCTCTTCTCTCTAACACAGTGACTGGCAATGTTCAATGCTCAATCAACTTACATGCTTCAGTGACTAAAATGAGCAGTTTCCCTGCCAACCCACGTAGACATGTAGCATGAATGAGAAATAAACCTTTGCTGTTTTCAGCTACTGAGATCTGGGACTTGTTTGTCACCATAGCACAACACAGCCTTAATCTATCTTGTCATCTCCTTCTAATTCCTCTTTTTTCTTCCACTTGGTCCAGCATTCCAAGATCTCTTCTTTCCTTAGTTTTTTATCTCACAAACTTGATCTTCTCTTCTCCATTCAATTATCCATTTCTTTAACAAACATTCCCTGAGCATCAGCTCCAAGGAGACAGAATATGAAGAACTAGAGAGATGAACCAGACATGCCCTCAGGAACTCACAGTCTAGTGGACCCTGCCCTGGCCTGGGCAGGTCTCCCCACTCCTAGTAAGTCCTGTGTCTGTTAATCCAATGCTCTAATCACTGGCCATCTGGCTCGTCCTTGAAGAGGAAGGTCAGGAAGCACTTACTACCCCGACCATGGTCCTCCATCACTACCAGGACCTCCCTTGGAAGAACTTCCTTGACTGTGTGGCTGGATGGCCCAGGGGCCTGGATCCATGCACAGAGCACTCTGGAATCCCACTGTGATGCCCTGTGGCAGAGCATGGAGCTGCCTGTAAAGTCTTTGATTCTTTTATTGGTAAAGAAACCAAAATACAGAGGGACAGCAATGATGTACCCAGGTCACCCAGTCTCAGGATCACAGGGTCTGGGACTAGAATTTAAGACTCTTGTGCCCTTGAAAGAAAGAATTCTGGTCTTGAGCCTCAGTCTACTCTCATAACAGTGAAAGGGTTTCCAGGAAGCTGTAAGAAACCATTAGACCCATGAACTTAAGAGGAAAGCCACAGGGATGTACGGGTGGAGGAGTAGGAATTGGGGAAAAGAAGATCGTCTCACTCATGGGAGGGGCCAGAAGAGGGGCTAGTGTGATGTCACTAATGAGAGTAAAATGAGGAAGGAGCTTGGCCTACCTAAGCCATTCTCCTGTCTCCAAGCAGGTGAGTCTACACCCCTCTGGGCTACCACCCCTCACCTCATGCTGTCTCCTGAAAAGGACTCTTCCCCTGGACTGAAACAGGCTTGGCACATCACCTACAGGTATCTGGGCAACCAGGTAAGTCATCTCCCTTCAAATACCTCCAATCCCTGAGATGAGTGCATTTAGATTCGAGGAGGGAGGACAGGAGTGGGGCATGAGGGCCAGATTTGTGTATTTCAGCTCCTCATACTCAGTGTCTTCCTTGTGGTGGCCGTAGTCTTGGCCTAGGCACCCTGTCAACCTGCTCCCCTGGCCCCTGGCTGCCTCTTATTACTATCATTCAAACAGGGGTAAAGTTATGTAGCAAGGTGACCCTGTCCCTCCATTCTGAGGTGGATGGGGAGGCTGGAGACTAAGTAATTAACACACAGTTGGGAGTAAAGGTGCCCAGGGAAATTTCCTGCAGAAGCCAAGCCTGGCAGACGGGAAAGCTCAGCAGGAGCAAGGCAGTGAGGCGGGGCATGGGGCTGGGAAAGCCATGGGCAGCCTCTTTGCACTTTGCCTACTTTTGCTCTGGTAAGAAGCTGTCATGGTGAGGGCAGTGGGGGCCAGGGAGAGGGAAAGTGCAGGGTGCTGGACAGAGAGAGGAGCGGGACCCAGGCCTGGAGAGAAAGGTCATTCTCCTCTGGGTTCTTTCCTGAAGAGGGACAGCCACTACAGTCCTTGGACTCCCAGCCAGGCCATGGGCCTCCTGGCTGGAGGAGTAGGCTTTGAGGAGCTCAGGAGGCTTCTAAACACAGCACACACACAACATGCACATGCAACATAGCAACAACAGACATGAATCACATAGATTGGCAAACAGCAACACACAGTACCATGGCAGGCACACATGCTCAGCCACACGCGCCACACACAAGCAGCAAGAAGTTCACAAGCATGGTCACACATGCAGGGGCACACAATAGCACATGCACACACACATACAGCAACTGCACCCAAGATTTCTTCCACATTTTTCCAAGGAACTGGAGTCTGGAAGCCAACTTCTCAGAGAGAGGCCCCTCACTTCCCTGCCTCCCTTCTGCGTGACTTTACTCCTAGAATCCAGGAGGGGCAGCTGTGAGCCTCACTCCAAAGAGACTGACCAAGCATGGGACCAGGTGTCCAGAGACACAGGTCCGTGCCTGGCTCTGCAGCCCTCTGTCTGGGAGACCTTGGGCAACTCATAATGACTCTGGCCACTTTCCTCATCTGTCCAAAGAGTAAGAGTAAGAATAGTGCCTATTCATGTGATCTCTATTAGGTCTGTAAAAGCACTTTGTAAGTCACAGGCTACCTAGAGATATGACTCCCCAGACTAGGGTGCAGAGCCCCACTCTCAGGCACACACAGCCCTCCAAGAACTCCCTGCTAGGCTCCTAATAACATTCCAGCCAGCCAGGTCTGATCCCAGTTACCCTCAATACAAAAACCCATACCCACAAAGACCTTCTCATTCTAATTTTTGCTTTGTGTCTAATACTTGCTCATGTATTCATTCATTCCGCAGTTACAGGATGCTAGATACAAGGTGCTATGTATGATACAAAAATGGGCATTGCCTGACTTTTGCTCTCAGGCAACTCATGGTCTAGCTCAGCATTCTCCATCCTGGTTAGCAGTCAGAATCCATGGCCTGGAAAGCTTTTAAAACAGCTGGGCCCTATCCCCTGGGATTCATAGTCATTTGATCTGGAATGGGGCTCAGGCATCCATGTTCATTAAAATCCCCCCTCCCTATCCCATCCGGTGATTCTAATGCACAGTCGAGACTAATACCCATCCAACTAGTGGAGAAATTAGACATACACCAAAAGACAGAATGGGACGTTTTACAATGGATGGACACACAATAATAATAGCTAACATTTACTGAGTCATTTTTTGCAGGTGCCTAGCACTGTGCCAACTCATACATTAGCATATTTAGTCTTCCCCAAAACCCAGTAAGGCAGGCCCCATTCTGCTCATTTTACAGATGAATAAATGAGGCTCCAGAGATGAAGTAACATACTCAAGGCAAGACTTTGTAAAGGTAACATTTATGCTGAAAAGAAGACAGAATTTTGCCCTAGAGAGACAGAGAAATGGAAGAATGGGCGTGTTCTCCACCCTGGCTGTCATTAGAATCTATGACCTGGAATGTGTGGGGGTGCAGTCAGTGGCCCTGCTGAGCGGGGCACTGGAATTCTGAAGGGGACTAGAGGGAGCTTAGGTCACAGGGGCTGACAGGGGCCAAACGATGGGAAGATAACTTTTTATGGCAAATAAAACATAGAGCTACTTTACCCAACAGATAACAATTATGTACCTGTTGTGATTATCCCTGGAAGTAGCAGGGATGAAAATAGAATGTCAAGATAGAATCAGAGACAGTGGACCCAGAAGGAGTTTGCTGAGGGGCCGGGGGGGATTATCCTTAACTTTTTGAGCACTGGCAAATAGAAATCAGCCACCATACATCCTTTATTCAGAAGCAACAAAGTGTGAAAAAGAGAGCTTTGAACTGGGGGTCAAAGGCCAAATTCCATATTTTTTCCTCTCTTAACCTGGGCTTCATCATTTGTAAAATGAGGGCAGGGATTGTTGTGTCTAAGTGGTTTTCACACTGAGTTCTGGCAGCCAGTGTCTCAGGGAGAAGCTGGTGAGGGTTGAGGGGTAGCAAGCGGGGGTCTCTAGGCCTCATCCTCTCCAGCTGGGTAGCTCTGCTTTCCTTGGCTTTACACGTTGGCTGTCACAGAAAGTTTCCTTTGACCTGGAGGTTCTGCAGCTAAAACAGTTTGAAAATGCAGCTTTGACTTCTAGTTAAAGATGGCTTTATCTCCTTTCTCCCTAGAAGCCCCTAAAATGATAGCAAACTCTGCAGGGGCTCAGGCCTTGAAGACACCAGGTGCAGGGAGGTGAGAATGACACCTGGAGCTGCAAATGAGGATGAAGTGGAAGTCTGAACAGAAATCAGTGGGAGCCTCGGGCCCTCCTAAATCATAGAACTCTTCACTGCCATTTATAGTGGGGGAGAAATTGTGATAAGCAGGGGTTGGAGGGGAGCTTAAAATGCCAGTATGCTCTTCAATGGCAGGTGCAGGCTCCCCAGCCAGCACTCTACCCTATCCTTTCCACAAGTTTCACTGCTAAACACAAAACTTCCAATGAGCTTTTCAGAACCACTCATGTATTTGAGAAGAGATATTTTAGATGTGCGCTGGGGATGCTTCCAGGCATTTTCCATATAGTAACTTTTCTCATCCTCCCAACAAGTCTGTGAAGTAGGTTTCTATTTTGTTCCCATTTTACAGATGAGTACTTTGAAGAAGAAAGAAGCCAAGCCCAAGTACAGTTAGCCATAGAACTGAGCTCCATGCCTATGCACTCTGCCTCTAGACTGATGTAGGGCAAGTGAGCCCCCAAATTGGGACTTAGACCGGAAGAGTTCTTGGCTTCACCCAGGAAATAATTCAAGGGTGAGTCGATGGTTTAGACAGCAGCTTTTATTGAAGTGGCAGTGTATGGCAGCAACAGTAGTTTCCATGCCTTCTCCATGAGAAGAACATCCCTGGGCTAGCTCACTGGTCCCACGAGGAAGGTGTGAGACGTTTGGAGCAGAGTTAAAGTCCGCCAGCCAACACTACCCTAAATCAGCCATCTCCTACTCTGCTCACAGATGTGTAGGTAAGCCCAGTCAACTCTAGCAATGCCAGTCAAACAAGTTCAGCATAAATTAGTGTCCCTCAGGCAACCACAGATCTGTGAGTATAAGTAACCATGTCTTAAGCCACTGAGTTTGGGGTTGGTTTGTTATATAGCATTATTGTAGCCATGGTTAACTTATGCGAGTAACAATCCAGGAACTGGTCCCCAATTAATGGAGAAAATACAACAAAGGGAATTATCAAAGAAATAATTCAAGGCAGTTTCCTAGCACTAAAAAATATGAACCTTCAGATTAAAGGGCCTACCAAGTGGTCAAAACAAGGTAAATCCTCTTCAAAACAGATTATTGTAAATTTTCAGAACATATAGACACAGATATGATTCTAAAAGCTTCTAGAAGGGAAAGTAACAGGTTTCATACAAAGGACTATGAATCAGATGGTTGTAGGACTTGTTGAGTGCAACGCTGGATACTGGGCAACAGTGAAACCCTGCCTTCTAAATTCTTGGGGCAAACTATTCTCAATATAGAACTCTATAGCTAAACACATGATTAAAACATAAGTTGAGACTTTAAATATGTTCTAGATGTGTAAGGATTCAGAGAATTTACTTTGCAGAGTACCAGAGGATATGTTTCAGCAAAAATTAGAAGTAAACCAAGAATATAGAATCCAGGGGATTCAACACGGGAGAGTAGCAGAGGAAATTCCCAGGACGTGAGCTTCGCAGCAGGCATAAAGAGTAACAGGCCAGGTTGAAAGAAGAAATCCAGAGCCCCAGGAGGGAAGACTCCAGGGAAAGAGGAGAGACTGATAGATGCTATGATGTAAGACAAAACTTATGAAAATAATCTTAATAATAATGGTATGGCAGATATAATGCAACATTTGGAAACATTTAAGAAAACGATGCAACTGAAAATATGGAGCAATTATTACCTCTGGGTATATTTATCAGGATAGTTGATGCTAGATGTCGCAATAGATATAAATGTTTATTTCCCTTTGTATCACAATCTAATAAGGAGGCAGTCCTTCATTTTGTGTTTGTACAGCATGGAGCCCACAACATGTACAAGCTCCTTGCTAGGGAAGAGAAAGATGGAAGAGCCACACGGGCTCTTAGCTGCCTCAACTCAAAAAGATCATTCTAGTCACATGGCCCTAACCTAACTAGAAGGGAAGCTGAGGAATATAGGGGAACAGGTAGATATTCAATAGGCACTACCCGTATTCGCCACACTGAAGGGGGAAATGTATGGGAAAGAAAATATAATCAGAGCCCATTGCTTAACTCTAGAGTGAGCCTCATTTATACATTTATAATAATGTTCTTGGTTTGACTAAAAGTTGCAATAGGACTATATAAGGAGGAAGGGGACAGAAAGGTGAGTAACAAAGCAAAATCTGTGTTTACTATAGCAGGAAGTCAATAGAGGATGTCTAAAACTGACAAAGCAGAAATAGCAGAATATGCATATTATTTAGAAATATGAACACACAGAGCAAAAGAAGCAGCTGAAAGGGCTAAAAATGTGTTGTCCCAGGAGAGCAAGAGTAGCAGTAGGAAGGTTGGGGGGAAAGATAGTGCTTTTTTATTTTAAGTCTTTTGGCATTAAAAAATTTTTTTGTTTTTCACATATCTTATTTGGGCAATTTTTAAGGCAAACAAAAAACTAATGATAAAAATGCCCTGCATTCTCCAATAATTAAGACTTGTTCAGTTCTGACCTCCTAGGGTTCTTGAATTCTAAGCATCCATTGTGTCACAATGCAGATTCATCTGAACACAAACTGTCATAGGCCCTGGGTTGGAGAAGTCAAAACAAAGGTCACCATGTTGTTCTGAGCCTAAGGGGTCTTTGTGAGATCTTGCACTACAAACTGCAGCCAAGGGGATCCCGAATGGGCAAGACTTGATCCTCATACTGGTGAAACCTCCTGAGTCCCCAGGGACCCTGTCAGACCAGGCTCCAGCCTCCCTGCGGTCTCTGAGAGAGAATGTGGCTAGTTCTGCCCCACGGCTCCCTGGCAGGTACCACGGGCATCAGGTGTAATGAGAAGTGACAGGCGCAATTGCTGGGGGAACATCCCAGCTTAGAGCTGAAGTTGCCCAGAGTAGCTGGAGGGCTTTTCCAGCTGTCAAGAGGGTCCCCAAACACTTGGAGGCTGCAGTCAGTCTGGTTTTCAGCATTAGCATCTCATTAGCATGGGCTGAGGCCAACCTGGGGCCCGGTCAACAGCCCAGCTTTGTGTGGAGGGAGGGGAAACCAAGAACCCAGGTGGACAGAGGGGAGGAGTTTAGCAGTCTCACCTTGCTCCCTCGTCCAGTCCAGCGGTCAGAAGTGGCCACGCAGAACCCAACATTCAGCCTGGGTGCAGACACTGCCTCTAGCCTCCTCCCCAAGCACTCTCCTAGTATGGTAAGAGAATAAACTGAAGTCCCTAGAGGCCAAGGGTCTCACCTAAGTGGTCATATCCTACAGTTTTAAGTCTGGAGCATTTCTCCTTATAGTTTCTCTGTCTAGAATGTTCTTCCCCCATTTCTTCAGCTAAATCCTACTGCTCCTTTAATATCTGGTCGTAGTTTTGCTGCCTTTCGAAGTCAGTTGACTCTAACTAGGTCACCCCATTTCTGGACAGCATGGGTACAATATCACTCACCTGATAGAAAGAACATGAGGCTGTGAAAAGTTTTTGCATACATTCAGGAGGGATTTTCAGCCATGCCCACCCATCCTCTTTGGGCTTATTGACTCTTCCCTGCCAGAAGGAAAGGCAGTTAGGGAGCTGTAGTCACCAAACATAGGAGGAGAGGACCTAAGTGCCCACCCCACCTCCATTCAAAATGTACCTGGGCCACTTCTCGCCAAGTGCCCAGGGAAGGAAGGTTGGTCAGCTGGTGCAGAGAGGTGTATATTGGACAACAGCAGGGCATAGCTGGAAGGAGGGGACCTGGGTTCAAAACAGATTTTGTGACTGCTGCCATAGAACCTCAGCTAGTTCCTTCCTGAGCTAGTCCCTCAGCTTCTTTGACCATGGAAAGAGGCGCCAGATGTGACATTCTCTTGGGGGTCTTCCTGCTATGACAGTCTGTGACATGGGGCTGGCTGGCTTTCTTTCCCTTTCTTTCTTTCTTTCTTTCTTTCTTTCTTTCTTTCTTTCTTTCTTTCTTTCTTTCTTTCTCTCTTTCTTTCTCTCTTTCTTTCTTTCTTCTTTTTTTTTTTTTTCAAGACAGGGTTTCTCTCTGTTACCCAGGCTGGGGTGCAGTGGTATGGACACAGCTCACTGCAGCGTTGACCTCCTGGGCTCAAGCAATCCTCCCACCTCAGCCTCCTGTGTAACTCAAACTATAGGCACACACCACCACGCCTGTCTAATTTTTGTATTTTTTGTAGAGACAGGGTGTCACCTCTTGCCCAGGCTGATCTCAAACTCCTGGGCTCGAGTGATCTACCTACCTCAGCCTCCCAAAGTGTTGGGATTACAGGCGCAAGCCACTGCACCTGGCTGAGACTTCTTGATACCCATTTCCGCTGATATTGAGATGCCCACAGCTGATAGGTCTCTGTCTCCATCGTCCTGTTTCCAGGCAAAACAGCCCTTGAGAGATTGCAGAAAGCCATCAACCTTGAAGATAACAGGAGCCCTCCCAAGGAAATGTGTTCAGGAGACCTTCTAAGACCATGCCATTTCCTGGGTCCCTCTCCCAGTGGGGAAATTCTCCCAGTAGCAGATTCTGGCAGACAGCAGAGACACACTCTATGCCCAACACTAGGCACCGGATGGATGAGATAATCATAAATCCACAAACTGCAACAAGATAAAATTATCATTAGATGAAGTTAAATTATTAATTAGCACCTCCAAAAAAAGACCGGCACCACCTGGGCTTGAATCTTGGAAGCTGTCTTTCTGAAAGCAAGAGAAACATCAAAATAGTTTATCGATGCTCTGTGGTGTGGGTATAGCCTATGGTTCCCAGAAGCCTGATGGTCAGAGGTCCCACCAGGCAGGCCTGCCCCGCCTGCCCTCTTCTTGCAGTGTTGCCAGAAATAGCCAGTTTGGATAATGTTACTAGGGAAAGGGAAGCAACTAATGTGACCCATTTTTATGACTGGAGAAACTGAGGCAAAGGACGAGGCAGAAAGGCCACAGAAGATGGCTCAGGGTGGGCTGAAGAATTTGTGTACTGGGTTGGGAAGGGGTAGGTCCTCAGATTGCCTGATTATCTAAGGACTAAGGAACACTCATTCGTTCAGTGCACTGCTATTTTGTGCTTACTATGTGCCAGGCACCCGGAATACAGAGGAAAAAGCCATAATTCCTTGTCCTTAAGCACAATGTCTGATGGGCTAGTCTGATGAATCAGCTGTTTCTCCTCTCTGCCTCCCCAGCCTCAAGTCCTAGGACTTAGCCTCTTTATCATCAGCCTTGTTTCCATCATTGTCATCATCATCCACTACCACCACCACCAACTCCTACAACCCATATTTATTCATTGAATCCTGGAACCACAGCAGCTAATGATGGGGGAGGAGGCTTTAAAGACCATCTTTCTAGCCAGAACATCAATCCTTGCTACAGAATTCCGTGTGAATTGTGATCCAGTAGAACACTCCCAGCAATAAGCAGCTTACTCACTGCCTCATAAATCAGCCCATTGCATCTCTGGAGAGCAATTCCTCACTCATTCATTTATTCATTCATTCAACAAGCATTTACCAAGCATCTACTAGGAGCCACCTCAGTACTAGTTCTTGGAGGTACCTAGTAAAATGTGATCCAGTACCTTCTTTAAAAATCTCCCAGGATGATGAGAAAGGCAAACAACCAACCAAGCAATGACAATCCAGTGTGGTCTGGAGGTTGAGCACTCATTCCACCCCAGCACTGTAGACGTCTGATCTCCATTGCTCTGTGCACAGCAGCCCTGTGAGGCAGAAGCCATCGCTCTCCCCATCTTACAGGTGAAGAACCTTCAGCACAGGAAGATTAAGTAACTTGCCCAAGCTTAGTCAGCTGTAAAGTAGAAGGGTCAGGATTTACACCTAAGCTGTCTGACTCCAGAGTTTTGTCCTCTGCCCCTTATATGAAATGTGTCATCCTCTTGTTGATTGATGTAGGCCAGCCTGCCAATCAGCCCGCTGTCCTGAGCACCGATGGTATGCTCTGTGCAGGTCTCTGCGCTTGAAGGTTGGGGAGCTCTCACCCCGAGGCATCCTCTGCTCCCCTGGGCTCACAATGGGCAGATCACTCTGGATCCAACAGGACGTGGGTGTCAGCTTGAATGGAGATGAAGACAGAGACAACTCTGTGTTCCACATGCTTCCTCCACGTGCCCTCCAAATGGCACAGACCGCATGGCCCAAACTCTCCTCCAGCCCCAATATCTACCCTGGCTCCAGCCAAATGAGGCCTGAATAATTCATGGCCAATGCGCATGGCCCAGTCGTGGAGCAGCTTTCTGGTGGCTAAATTGGAGAGCAGGGTGGAGGCCAGGGCAGCTGGACCTGGGAGGGGGCTGTGGTGGGGTTTTGAGAGCCACTAACAGCCAGGAAGGGAAGAGTAAACAAGGTCTGATGAATTATTCAGCCAGGCAGCTGCTGATGCAGCCCGGGGGTGGCATGACAATGTGCTAAGTGGGACGTCACCACTCACCAGGGGCCAGCCTGGCATGTCCAGTGTGGCCAGGCTCTGACCAGAGCCCAGAGGGCAAGAGGAAACTGGAGAAAGCACAGTCACAGCCCCTACCTGGGAGAGTGGCAGGGACCAGATGGCGGCCAGAGCCAAACCAAACCTGCATCCTGGTCATGGGTCTGCTGAAAGTACAGGCGGGGGTAACATGGGACTGGAAAAGGGTGGACTCTAGCTGAGTTCCAAGCATAATCAAAGCAGTGTGCTCTCGAGAACCATTTAACCTCAGTTTTCTCAACTAGCAAATGGAAAGCATGAGCTGGGTTGGGGTAAAACCTCAAATGCTACCAGATGGTTGGAATAATTGCTTTGCCACAACCTGAACCCCACAATCCTGGCACAGCACTGAGTCCTTTCCTGAGCACGTGGTGGTGAATAGTACTCCGTTCACCCTACTTCCCATCCCTGGAGCCTGCCAACTCTCTGGGACCCCAGAAACATCTTTCATCCCTCCCTGCTGTCGTCTCACCCACTTCACTTCGCCGGATCTCCTGGGAGAGGGAACTCTGCCAGTGACCCCTGATATAAGCGTTTGCTCAGGGAGGACGCTGAAATGTCTGCAAGTTCTCCACAGAGCCATGGCTTCATGCCCCCATTGTCAGCAGCACAGGCAAGAGGCATAAAACTGGCCGGCAGAGACCTGCTTTCCCCCCAGTGATTGCTGTGTGACCCTGCACCAGCCCCGTTCTCTCTCTGGACCTCTGGACCTGGGGGTGTGGGGCTACACAAGAAGGTCCCTCAGGTTCCTCTGGCTCTGACCTCAATGAAAATAAGATAGATGGGAGAGAAGGGCTGGATGACTGTTCCCCCCGGCAGGGCTCCTGGGGCAGGAGGTGGGAGGAGCCAGACTTTTCTGGAATCCACGGAGTAGGGGTCAGGCCTTCCTTCACAAGGTTCTAGCCCTTTGGTTTCTGTTTTCCACTGAAAGTCCCCATGCTCTAATGATAACAGAAAAACAGTAACTACCAACAGTAAGGGCTCCACAGGCCCACACTATCATGGCATGGGGCTCACAGCCTCACAAGGCAGGGTCGTGAGCATGGTTGTGATTCCAAGTATAAAGATGCAGCAGCAGCAGCAGCTCAGCTCAGAGAAGTTAAGTGCTTGGTCCAAGGCCACACAGCCAGCAATGAGCAGAGCCCGTTCCAGAATCCCAGACCAGACCTGCAGTCTCCATCATTCATGTGCGACGCTGGCTTCCAAAGTAGGACCACACCAAATCCTCCAGCCTGCTCCCCAGCACGGCTCCCGGAGGCTGGGAGGCTGCACAGGGACTCAGCAGGTCATTAGTCATTTGGTAAACTTGACAAGGATCAAGTCCTGGCTCTGCCACTCACCAGCTGTGTGCCCTTGAGCAAGACTCTCACCCACTCTGAAAGGCAGTCTGCGTCCCTGGAATGGTGGGGTAATCATGCTAATCCCAGCCCCGTGCTGCAGTGGGGCTCTGACAGGACTGCCCTCTGAGCTCACCCTCTAGGTGGCTTGGGCAGCTCAAGGCCAGACTGGCTGAGCTGCATCCTGGGTAAGGAGACAAGGGAAGAAGAAGGAGGGCATGCTGGGTGGGAGCCTGGAACAGCTCCCTAAGTGCTCAGTAATAAATAAGTGATATTGGCCACACCTAATGCTTCCACAGTGCCTGCCAGGCAGAGTGGGAGGGGTGGCTAATGGGGAGGTTTATTATAGGCCCGGCCACCTTTGGGTCTTACTCACATGTCGACCCTCATGCACCCTTAATAGGTTCATGGGTGGCAGGCTGACTCTAAGGGCACAGGGCCTCCTCCAGAGCTAGAGGGCCAGTACCCAGCAATGTTGACCCCCTGGGGGAGGTTCCTAGGAGCAAATGGCACCAGATCGGCACGGGCTAAGGCATCTCATATTCTTCCAGTCATGGTAATGAGGGAGAGAGAAGGGGAGTCTGGATGCCTGGGTTCTCAGCCACCCTCTCAGCAGTGCTCCTTATGCCCAAGGCCTCAGTTTACCTGCCTATAAATCAGAGATAATCCTGGAGTTTGGGAAGCCATGGTCCAAATGAAGGGCTGTTGGTTTCTCCACCAGAGGAGGCTGGTAACATGCCCCAGGAACTGAGACTTCCTCAGTTGGGGAAGAGCAAAGCTGCAACAGCCCCTAGAGACCATCTGCCTCCTTCAGTTGTACAGCAGGGCAAATTGAGGCCTATGGCATCCCCTGTCAGCCTGCTGGGGCTTTGCAGACGCAGACGGGAAGGCTCTGCCTCCTGAACTAAAGCTCACCTTGGAAGGGGTTCCCGGAGCCTTGAGGAGCTGGAGCACACTAGGCTGTGTGTGGCCAGCTGTGTGACCTTCAGGAGGCTCTGCCTCTCTGTGCTCCTGTGTCCCCGTCTACCCCATTTATCGCAAGCAGAATCATCACACCTCAGTTTGGTGTTCCCATTGGCCATCTTCAAAGGTGCCAGAGGCATGCACTAAGAACCCTAAACAGAATGGCCTTGGCTGGGCCACCACCTCACACGAGAGGCAGATGAAGAGCTCATCACGTGGCCCCCACTTTCCTGTCCATAAGCGAGGGTATGGGGCTTTTGAAGCTCCTCTCTTGTCTAAGAGTCTATGGCCAGAAATAATCTGGTGGTTCCTCAAATAAATTAAAAACAGATTACCATACAAATCAGCAATTCCACTTCTGGGTATACACCCAGAAAAACTGAATGCAGGGACTTGAACAGGTATTTGTATACTCATGTTCATTGCATCGGGATCTGCAATAGCCAAAAGGTGGAAGCAACTCAACTGTCCATCAGCAGATAATGGGATAAACAAAACGTGGTAGATACGTACAATGGAATATTATTCAGCTGCAAAAAGAAAATAAATTTTGACACATGGATGAAACTTGAAAATGATACGCTAAGTGAATAAGCCAGTCACAAAAAAGGCAAATGCCATATGATTCCACTTAGAAGAGGGCACGTAGAGTAGTTTAACTCATAGAGACAGAAAATAGAATGGTGGTTGCCAGGGTTTGGAGGGAAGAGGAAGTGGGGAGCTGTTAGATGAGTAGAGTTTCAGTTGCGCAAGATGAAAAAATTCTGGAGATTGGTTACACAACCGTGTGAATATATTTAACACTACTGAGGTGTGCACTTACAAATGGTTAAGGCTGGGTGTGGTGGCTCACGCCCATAATCCCAGCACTTTGGGAGACTGAGGTGGCAGGATTGCTTGAGTCTAGGAGTTCGAGACCAGCCTGGCGGACATGGCGAAACCCCATCTCTAGAAAACATACAAAAGTTACCCAGGTGTGGTGGTGTGGTGCCTGTAGTCCCAGCTACTCCGGGGGCTGAGGAAGGAGGATCCCTTTACCCAGGAGGTTGAGGCAGCAGTGAGCTGTGACTGTGCCACTGCACTTTAACTTGGGCAACAGAGCCAGACCCTGTATCAAAAAGGTAAAAAAAAAAAAAAAAAAAGGTTAAGAAGGTAAGATGGTAAAATTTATTTATGTGTATTTTGTCACAATTTAACTTAAAAAAAAACAGAAAGAGAGCCTATGTCCAGGAGCTCAATGCGGAGGTCTGCTACATCTTGCATTTCAAGTATATTTCCTAAAAAAAAAAAAGAGAAAAAGACACCAAGGAGACTTGTTCTTTGAATGAAATTGTTGTACAGCCTTTTGTGGCATGAAGAATTCTGTGAGTAAGAAAAGCATCCTCATCCAGCCTGTCTGTGTCGGTTAGAGACTAGCACGTTTTGCAAAAACAGCACATTTTCTCCTCATGATGCGATAAGCATCGAGCTGGCACCCTACCTGCTAGTGTGAGGCTGGCGCATGAAGCACTCCTGCTGGGAGAGTAACAGCCTTGGTACTCAAGGCCCTCTGTGGTCTGCACCATGAATCCTGGGCAGACGTCACCCTCTACCCACCCCAGACCTGCATGTGTCACCCCTTGGAAGCCGCCCTGAGACCCCCGCAGAGCCAGCTTCTGTTCCCTCTGCCACTTCACAGCCTCTGCTCCCTTGGTTTCTTGGTTAATCCTCAAGGTTCCTGCCTCTGCCTCCCCAACCAGATTGCAAGCTCCTTCAGTGAGGGTCTATGCCCTATTCAAGTTGTCATAGCCCCTCTCCTCACTTCCATTTCAGCATGTCACACAGTAGGGTCATGTGTGTAACTACCTCAAAACGTCTGTGAAAACAAGGAATAATCCTGCAATGAATGTCTTCATTATCTACCCAGATTGACAAATTAAGTCCAAATTAAGGCCCCAGCTGTACCACTATGGACAGGGGAATATTTGCTATATCTCTTAATTAGAATTATAGGTGTAGGGAGTACTTGCTGAGGCCCAAACATTGACTAGGTGCTTTCCATTCTAATCTTTTAAAGTCCTTCCAAGAGCCTTTGTAAGTTGTGCCTTTGGCACCGACTGTGCCTGTTTTACAGATGAGGACGTTGAGGTTCTGAGAGGTTAAAGACCTTGCCCAGGGTCTCCCAGCTAGTGACTGGCAAGTTGAAATTGAACCCAGGAGTGCCTATTTTCACGACAGGTGCTGTGTGAGCTGGTTGCCTCCTGAGCTGCTCCCTGTAGCACTAAGGGGCTCAGCCACAGCCACAGCCACCACCACCGCCCAGAGCTGAAGGCTGAGCTGGGCGCTGCGGCTTCACTTGGCGCCGCCCTCCCTACAGCCTGGGAGATGAGTGGCCCTGCGCTGCCTCCCCTGGTTAGCGCCCTGATGGCTGACTGATTGGCTGCGCGGAGCTCACAGCTGCTGCTGCTGCTGCTGCCTCGACAATTCTTTGAATTAGCTCCATGGCTCACTGACCTGTTGGAAAAGTAAATGCAAACTGCAGAAGAAGGGGAAGAAAACACTCTCCTGCAACTGCCGCTCCTCCCACTGCCCCAGCAAAGCCGCTGTTTCGGCAAAGGTGTTCCCCAGAAAAGCCCCTAGGCAGGAGCAGGTAGAGCACAGGAGGTCCCCAGGTCTCAAGATGGGTTGGGTCCATGGAAGATCAGAGCTGGAGAGGTCTTGGGAGGTCTTCCGCTTGCGTCCCTCCAGGCGGGTCAGGAGGGCCGCACTGCAGGCATCCACAGAGTTGCTGACTGGGCTTCTCCTGCAAGGGCTGACAGGGAGCACCAAGTCAGTAGGGAGTGGGGAGCAGCGGCCAGAAGGGGAGTGCTCACCTCTCACCTCAGTTTTGAATGTGGTGACAGCTGGGTCTCTCAGGGAAACTGAGGCAGGGCTACCTTCCCAAGTCTGGCACCTGATTCAATTCCTACCCAGCACAGAGCTTAGGGCAAAGACCCTGGAGAGACAAAAACTATGGGGCTGGATGCCTGCCCCTTGAGGGTGATGAGGCTGGGTACCAATGGCTGACATCCAAGGCGGAAGGAGAATGATCAATACCTTGTGTCTGACCAGACCTTGGACATTTACAAAGTTTCCATTAATCCCTAAACAATCCTGAGCTACAGCAACCAATACTTATTGTGCTCTAAGTGCAAGGCATTATTCTAAGAGTTCTACATGTATTATCACATTTAATCCACATAACACTGTGGGTTAGGTATAATTGCCAGCATCTCCATGTTACAGGTGGAAAAACTAAGGCACAGAAAGGTTAAGTAACTTTGCCAAGGTCAGAGCTAGATTGAGCCCAGGCAATCTAACTGAATCCAGGCGTACCATCACCCTGCTCCACTCTTTGCAGCTTCTGAATGATCATGGTGCTGGGCACTGGGCAAGTGTTTCTACTCATAACAGTGAGGAAACAGAGGCTCATTTAAAGAAACCACCTAAGGCCACACAGCTAGTAAAAGGTAAAGGCAGGATTTGAACCTAGGACTAGCTGACTCCAAGGTATGCCAACTTTTAAATGTCATGATTTTGCCCCTCTTTCAGATGAGGAAACTGAGGCTCCAAGTGATAACATGATTTACCTACAGTCACACCCTGCAGCCAGGTAGAAGAGTTAAGATTTGAGCCCACATCCTTTTATTTCAAATCCAAAAAACACACAAGTTCAGAGAGGAGAAATTCTATTCTACTGACAAATCAGGAAAGGCTTTCTAAAGGGGACAGCATTAAAGGACCTTAAAGTAGGGCCAGGCAGAGGGGACCAGGTGAGCAAAGACACAGGTGCTAGGAATAAGAGCTGCAAGCAGCCAAGTCTGGAGGAAGGGCAGGACCTATGTAGAGGGATGGCCAAGGTAGGAGAGACTGGTGGATTTAAAGCCTTTACCATTTGCCAGCCATGTGACCTTAGGCAGTTAATTTTACTACCCTATGCCTCAGTTTCCTTATGTAAAAATGGGGATGATAATAATACATACTTCGTAGAGGTCTAGGGAGGGTCATATAAAACATGAAGAAAGCACTTAAGCACCTCCTGTGTGCTGGTCCCAGGCTAGAGGCTTAATGGAATATCACTGATGTCACACAAATTCCTAAAAGTGAGTGTTATTAACCACATTTTACAGATGAGGAAACCAAGGCTCTAAAAGATCAAGTTCTCAGCTAAGGTCTCAGAACTCATAAATAGTGGAGGTGGGATTTGAACTCACGCTGAAATCAGGAAGAGGCTTGATCAATACATCAGGGAATGTGGGCCTTATTGACTGGAGCTTCTGGGCAGTGGGGAGTCCTTGGAGTTTGGAAGGTTGGGGGAAGTAAGTGTCAGTGGCCAATTCTCTCCCTGGCTCAGCAGTGAGGCTTTCCAAGCACCTGTCCCCACCTCCTCACCTGCCACTCTCAGTTGCTCATAGGGGTCACTTCTTCCTATCCTTGGATTTCAAATCTAAAAAACACACAAGTTCAGAAAAGAGAAATTCCATTCTGTTGACAAATCAGGAAAGGCTGCTTCTCGTGCTAAATAAACAAAAACAAAAATGTGGCTTAATTAAGACCATGGAAAGCAGGTGCTATCTCCTCTCAGTAGAGAGAGGACAGAGTAATCAGATCAAAATGTAGGCAGATATTCAGAACTGGGCACAGTTCACCGCCTCAACCCCCATCCCCAAAAATCTGGCTCCTGGCTATTGTCCCTCACCTGTCTGCCTGAGAGACGGGGAGAGATGAGGGGGTGCAGCCAGGGAGGAGAGTCCAACCTTGTGTGAAAACCCTTGCCTTGTTGCAGCTGACACCCTCAGGAGGCTGCATTCCACCTGACTTGGTGGCTCAGGGCACAGGCTCTGAAGCTAGACTACCTGGATTTGAATTCTTGTCACGTGCCAGCTGTGTGACCTTAGGCAAGTAACTTAACTTCTCCATGCCTCAGTTTCTTCATCTGGAAGATGATTTGAACGAGGCTAACAGAGGTTGACCTCACAGAGGTTCCTCAATGGAACACGTGTTGAATGCTTAGAACTGCCTGCGAAATAGAATGAGCTACTGTGTATGTTAGCTATTATTATTACTATTATTATTAATGGACAGATGGCCCACTCAAAATGGATAGAAGTCCTCAGTCTTCCCTGATCAGGCCCAGGTAGTTTTGTCTGTGGCTCATTTATAGCCCAGCTTTCCACTTCCTCATGCATGCCACAACCTACGCTCCCGCCACCAAGACCCTCTTCCCCTAAACACTCCTCCTGTCCCTCAGGCCCTCATGCCTGGGCACATGCCCATCCTCAGGCCCACATGCCCTTTCTCTCCCATGTTAACCTGAAGTTTTCTTGCTCCTCCTTCAAGACCAAGTTCTGTTGCCTCTTCTGTGCAGATTCCCAATCTCCTCCCAGTCCTCCCTCACTTCCTCCATGGCCTCCAGTACCTGGCATACACCTCACCACCCAAACCGTCCCATGACTCTGTGCACATGGACTGTCTCCACCAAAACAGGTGCCTCTGAGGGTGAGGACAGTGTCCATCTTTATATCCACACCCCAAGCCCCAGGGTCTAACCCAGTGCCATACAGAAGTAAACAACCAATCTGCGAGAATGGGAAGGGAGGAAGGAGGGAAGGAAGTAGGGGAGGGAGAGAGAAAAGGCAGAGTAATGCCATTTTTCCAATGAGAGAATGATAACTCCTAGTCCTACTCTCCAGACAAGGATCTGGGGTCTGGGAGGAGGAAGGGGTCTGAGGTCAGTGGGGAACCCTGCACGTCCCTACCATGGCTATAACTTGAGGCCTCTGAGTTCAGAGACAATGACAAATAGAGCTGAAAGTCATTAATGGCCATCAAGCCCTACTCACCCATTTTCTAGATGAGGAATCTGAGGCCCAGAGAGGGGCAGCAAATCATCTAGGTTGTTTAGGGAATTCATGTCAGAGCTGGAACAAGAATTCACGTCTCTGTTGAACAATTTCCGCTGTGCCATACAGCCAATCCTGTTCTCCAGGCCCTGTGCCCTGCTGCCCCACCAAACATCTTCAGGCTTTGCTGGGTGTGCTCCATGAATGTAGGCTGGTGACAGAATTTGCAGGGAGTACTGAACTACAAGGCTGATGCCCTTGGTTGAGGCCAGGCTTAGGATGAGTTAGAAAGAGAAAACATTGACAGTGTTGGGAAACCTCGACCATGGGACCCACATTTGCTACTGTTGATGGAGACCCCAGAGATCCTCCAGTCCCACCTGTTCATCTTTCAGGACAGGGAAATAGGTAATCCTCTCAGCTTCAAGGTCTTGGGCCTCAGATCTGCTGCATGGCTGGCCAGCCCAGCCCAGCCATGTCCCCATCTCCTGCACCAGCCCCTGCCCCAGGACCATTTCCTGGACTAGAGATGGTTGGCATGATACACTCATCTATACTGGTTTCTTCTTGGCCATCCCCATTCCCCTTCCCAGAATCTCAGAGACAGACAGTCCATCCCTGCCCCTGGGTAAAGGGCTGGCTGAAACCATACCAAAGACATTGGATTTTAAAATGGGTGAAGTAATACCGATGATTGGAAAGAGAGTGAGACAGTGCTGAACCAGAGGGGCCTGCTTCTTCCAAGATAGCAGAGCGGGGTCCGGTGGCTCCTCCATCAGTCCTCTGCTGGAGCTTGCTCTGTCAGGGATGCTGGGAGCAATGGCTGCGGAAAATCTTGTGCTGCTCCCTGATGAAGGTGACGATGATGGTGAGGAGGAGGAGGAAGATGGGGAGGAGGACCAGAAGAACTAAACATCAGCAGAGTGTCTTCCGAGCACTTGCCCTGCAGCAGACACTGCGTTGAGTGCTTTACTTGATTGTACACATGATCTCATTTAATCCTCACAACAACTAAGAGGTGAATATTAATTTGCGGATGAAGAAATTGAGGCTCAAGGAGGTTAATAACTTGCCAATGTCAAAGATGCAGAAAGTGGTGGAGCCATAGTCACAAGTCCTATGTGATTAACTGTCTCAGGTGGAGGGAGAGAGAGATGCACAGAACAAAACAGACATGCAGGGAAAGACCTGCAAAGCCACTGAGTCCTTTCCAATCCCCATCAATTTTCAGAATAAAAAAACCAAGTTCCAGAGGGTGCCATGGCTTGCCTAAGATTACACAGCAATCCCGCAGGATGGCAGCCAGCTGGGACTTAAGCTCAGGTCCATGTACCGGAGTCCGTGGTCCCACCATACTGCCAAGTCTCTGAAGCCCCTGGTGCAGGAAATGGAGGAAGATGACAAGAGTTATCTGCCTGCACCTGCTGCTGGCCGCTTTGTCTCCTCAGGGAATGGATGTGGCGGCAAGAGAAACACCTCACAGCCTCACACAAAAGTGGAAGTTTGCAGTGAGGGGAAGCTGAAGATGGGGGTGGAGAATGGACTCCACAAGGGTTCCCAGGAGAACTGGAAAAATGATAGGGACTCATGCCTCTGCAGGTAGTGGGGGCTTACCCCGGGGACATTCAGTGTTGCTCAGGCCCTGCTCTGACAAAAAGCTCAGACTAGCTGAAATAACATATATATGTTATATGTATGACAATATAGAATATATATTATAGAATATAGATTATATAGAATGCCTAGCAGGGTGCCTGATATACAGCAGGGCTCAAAATCTCCTCTGGAGGGAGCTTATTTATTTATTACCCAAGTATTTATTGATTACCTACTATGCATGATGTAGCACCCATGAAGCTCCTTCAAGCATCCACCCTGAGCCCACGCCAAGGACCAGGCACTGCGAAGCTCGCCCCCAGCTCTCTGCAAGGTTGCACGGCTTTAGGCTCCTCTCACGCCCAGCTTCATCCTCTTGTGTGCTCCAGCTGGCTCTGAAACTCCCAGTGTCCACCTCCAAGGACACTTGCCCACCCACTAAACATGGGGCTTATCGCCGGATTTTCCTAGAGTTGGATTTCTTGAACCCAACATAGGGGTCAACCCATCTAAGGGTAGATATAGACACACAATTTGTATTGTATAACCATAAGGAAAAGGCAAAAGTAACTTGGAAGACAGTTCAAAAGTTGTGAGATGCATTATCGACTTCCTAGATATTGCCCAGGTGCCTCCTCAACCAAGATTCCAATAGATTCTCTGGCTCTGGGGTCTCAACTGGCCTTGGAAAATGCACCTCCTTGGTGGATAGTCATCCTGCTTGCCTTCCTTACCTGCCCAGGGCAGAATCAGGTGTGAGGCACTATGCTATGGGAATGACAGCACATCTATACCCTCCTGGAATCTTCCTGCAGCACTACAAAAGAGCTTGGGAGTCAAGCAGCCCTAGTTCAGTTCCCAGCTCTGCCTTTTCTAGCTATGTGACTGTGAGCAAGTTATTTAACCTCTCCGAGCTTCATTCCCCACAAAGGAAGATGATAGCAATTCCTTACCTGTCTCCTGGGGTTGGTGAGAGGATTAAATGAGATAATACAACTAGAAAAACTTGCATACTCCTGAATCACAGGAGGAGCTCAATAAATGGAAGCTGTGATTATTATGCTCAAGTCTCCACCTCCAAATCAATTGCTCTGTTTCTCAACTCTCCCTGCATGATGTCAGTACCATGCCCTGTGGGAAACAGAACTGAGCAAAGTCTTCTCCCATGGCTGATCTCCACCCACAATCTCAGAGGGTCAGGGCAGCCACACATGGCTGGGGACAGCTGCTGGTTCCATTAGCAGCCAGAGAAAGGAGCAGAGACGTGCATTCCTCTAATAGCCAGGTTATTTTCCACTTCACCCGCTGATAGTGGAAGCAGAGTGAACATGGGGGCAGAAGGCGAGGGAGCCTGGGAAGAGGCAATGCTAACAGAACCAGGAATGCCTATTCTCCACCCCAGGCCCCTTTGTTCATGGGCCCCAAACAAGCAGCTCAGAGACTCCTAGTCCAATTCCGGCCCCTTAGATGCTCTGCCAGTTTCCCTCCCAGGGAGAGATCAAGCTATTAGCCAGTGTGTGACCACCCACCAGAGTCACCTTAGTCTCAGCCTTAGCTGGCAGGACAGGAAGGTACTTGTTGAACTTCCATTTCTCCCTGCCTATTCTCCTTGGAACTTAGAATTGCAGACAGGCCTGAAGATTCCTGGGGACTTAGCTTTACCCTGCTGGCTCTGAGTCAGAGACTTGCAGTCCAGACCATGGATGGCTGCAATCGGGCAGCAAGCAGCATTGCAGCCTCAATGGGAGGAGGTCCAGGTGACCAGAAGGAGCAGGGGCAGGTGAAATGCTGAAGTCTGGGCAGGTGGGGATAAGGCAATATGGCTGCAAAAAGTAAGGAGACAGCTGTAGGGACAGGACCCCCTTCCTAGAAGAACCCTTATCCCAGAGGAAATAGTTTCCAAACAGAAGTACCAGGCAGGCCCTTGATGACAGGGTTGGCAAGAGCCAGGGCCAATAGTCGGAGCTGGACCAGCAGCTCAGCTGGGTTCTTTCACATTCCTCCCTCCCAAGGGGCAGAGTTGGTCCTCTTCTGAGTGTGACTGAGGCCACAGAAAGAAGTATAGGAGTTTCAGGTGATCCAGGGACAGGGCAGACAACCAAGTCAGGGGCACACTACTGGCTTCACTGGATGCCAGTGTGGAGAATTAGCATATATCTATTGTGCCCCTGGTATATGCTCAACACTATCCAAAGGGTCTGAGTTCCATCTATGAAGAAGGGCCAGGCCAGGTAAGAAGTGCTGACCACAGGGGCTCAGGAATGGGTCTCCTGGGAGCTGAGATAAGCAGGAACATTATCCAGAGGGCTGACAGGATCCTCAAAGAGCAAAGGCAGGGAGGCAGAGCCAAGGTGGGGAACCAGCAGCGGCCAGCTTGGAAACAGAACAAGACCGTAAACTCCTTCTGCAAGGACTATCCATGCATGGCATATACAGGAAGCTAATTAAATATTCATTAAATGAATGAATGAAGGAGCAAACCGTTAAAGATTAAATGCCACAAATCCTGGGGCTATGGCTTCTTTTTCTGAATTCTTAGAGCACTTCATGCCCAGTCCAAGTACCCAACTATGCCTGAGCCAACTTGGTACCACAATTATGTTTCTTGTGTCCACCTCTCTGGCCACGGGCAACCTGCTAATATTGAGAGATCCCTGGTCTGGGTGTCCCCCACCCTGAGTGTGCCTTCTAACTGTTCCAGACTGATGTAGAGCCCTGGGCAAATCATCCCTGGGGCTTCAAGTACTTCATTTTTAAGTGGTGGAGTCAGACAAGAAGATCCTCCAAGGACCCTAATGGCATGAATATCCTGATTCTGTAAGACATAAGAAAAGTGCTGATCTGTGCTCAACTGTCCCTGGCATTCTCACTTTTGATTTCACCTCCTTCTCAATGCAGTCCTGTGAAGAGAGCTCCCCAAGGCAGCATCTATGCTTTAAGCACCCCCGAGTTCCCAGCCATGCCCGGCACAGTGCCAAGCATACTGTAGGTGCATAGTAGCACATAGCCTCATAGTTCACTGTGGGCACATATAATACATGGTCAGACTGGTAGCTTTCAGGGCTAGAATGGCATGAAAGTGATCTGGTCCAGCCCAAGGCCACCAACAGGTAATTTAGTTCAGAACCACAAACACTTATTCAGTGGCTATAGCATTCAAGCACCATGCCAGGCACAGTGGTACACAGACAAAGGATCTGCAAAGAAAACATTGAATCCCTTTCCTACCCTTCTGCTGTGCTGAGCTGAACTCTCTCCCCAGGAGAGCAAGACCCCCCAGGTCTGAGAAGAATGCACTCTACCGAGATAGATGCAGAGCCCTCTGTGGCCAAGGGGGCTGGGCATTCTCTGGACAAGCAGAAGCAGCTGACACCAACAGAATTGCACTTCACTTGGCAGACAGGCTAGGAGGGGAAGACAACCACTTCCCAACAACAAGCATTAGGAGACAAGCTATTTGAAGTACAGGATTGGGGTCCCTCTCCCTGGACATTGCCAGGGTACCCATTAGCTATCAGCATTCTTTCCCTCCAATCATCCTTCTCCATACATTCTGTTCCTCTCCGTCTGAAGTTGGTCCATGACCACAGACAGCACTGGGCTTGGACAGCTACGTGGGACCAGTGACAACAGAGCAGGGGATGGGGAAAAAAAAGCCTTTTCCAGAAGGGAGAAAGGGGCAGTGGAAAGAAGTTCCTCTCCCTCCCCCAAGAAACACTCACTCCCAATGCCAAATCCACTTTCAAAATAACAGGAAAAGAAGTGCAAATGCTGGTTCCTGCTTTGAGATGAAATCCTCCTTCCTCTGTCTCTAGACTCCATTAAGCATTCTGGAAGAGATGGAAAGTGATTATGGGAAAAGAGAGAGGGCTCATGGCAGGGGAAGAGAGGGAAGGAGAGAAGGCGGACGACAGCTAAGTGAGCCCAGGCACATGCCTGGGTGCGCGCACGCACACACACACACACACACACACACACACACACATACACCCAAAGATCCCCTTATCTGATTAAGAATCCAAGGGAAGTTGAAAAGCTTTGGGAAAATTAAAATAACCCACCAGGTTAACCAGCCAAGATCTGCAGGCAGATTATGAAAACCAAGTGGAGTGGGGATTTCCTTTGCTCTGGGTGAGTTCTCCAGGCTCTAGTTCTTAGGCCAAAGGACAGCAAGTCAGCCAAAGAGATGGAGCTCAGGGTGGCATTTGCCCCACTGGGGTTCCAACCCTTATCACAGCAGGGCTGTGGCTGTTGCCTGCACCCAAGCCAATTTCTTTGCAAGGCTCAGAGGAAAATGGAGACAAGGACCAGGCCTTCATCTGCCCAGAGGCTTGAAGACTGGATGCCATTTCCTCCTTCCCTCCCTGATTTCTGGTTCTGGCCTCTATCAAAAATGCAGCGGTTTCGGGTATGGATGCAACATCTTCCCTAGACTCTGACCACCGAACAGAATGTCTAGGAATGTTGTGGCTGGCCTGGGTCAAGCTCCACTCTGCCATCACCTGCACCAGTGACTTTAGGCAAGTACCTTTCCTCTCTGGACCTCAGTTCTTCTGGCTACAAGTGGGCCATAGGACTCAATGCTCTCCATAGGCCCCTGTAGCTCTGGATTTTAAGACCGCCTGAGAGTAGGACTGCACCCTTCACAGGGAGTTTGTCACACTGCGCTGGTAGATCCTTGACTCTCTGTCCCTCTGTGATAGAATAAACAGGATGATCGTGAGATGTGTTTCTTCTCTCAGAGCTACTGAGGCAGGCCTGGGTTCACAAAGGGAGAAGAAAGTTTAAACACCACAGAGAACATCAGCTTAAAATGGGAACAGCCCCTCCAGCATGCCTGCAGAGCTGTTTGCCGAGCTCTATAACATATTTGCAAACATGCCAGAATACACATATTAGGAAACTAACAAGTTGCCTGGCATTGAAAATATATTATACACAATGTCAGATATATTTAATATGCATCTGCAATGATCCTTTTTTCTCTGCTTGCAATGATATACTTTGCTTTTTTTTTTTTATTTTGAAGAGTTCATTTCCCATGATGTTACAACCAGCCAGTGGTATTAACTTAGCCACTTGACCAGGCCCAGCACAGCATGGTGCACACTGTCAGCACTCAATAGATGTGGGGGTTTCCGGGATGCACAAATTAAACCCCCTGACAGGAGTGACTTTGGGCTCTGTGGTCACCTGGAGCCAATGAGGACTGCGGCTGCGCTCTTAATTTCTCTCCCTTGGAGGATGCAGTAAGAACCTTGGCTTTATTAGCTCTGGAAATATTACTTCATCCTCTTGGGGAACTTCTTGTTTCTTGGCAAGTTGCTCCTGGAACTGCTCTAGCTCAACCCTGAGGCCTTAAATGTTGGATTTCTCAAATCCAAAGAAACAAGAAAGCTTCAATTCTGGATTTTCTTCTTTTATTTTTCTTTTCTACTTCCAAGTGTCAGATTCCTGGGCTGTGAAAAGGAAGGTGCTAATGACCATTTTCAGGGTTGCTGTGAAAATTCAATGGGATTGTGGACAGGGAAGGTATTTGCATTTCCTTCTTTATGTGCACACACAGTCACTCAACAAACACTAGGTATAGATTCTTGTTACAAGCCAAGCACCATGCTAGGCAGTAGGGATAGAGTTTTCTCGATGGTCCTCGCTCTTGAGGAACATAGTCAGGGGAGGAAACATGAGAACAAATGATAACACTGCACTACCAAAGGAAGAGGGAAAAGCCACATAGCAAAGAGACTCTAGACCCTGAAGACTTGGGTTCAATTTTACCCCCACCCCTTGGTGGGTGCTCTAAAATGTTGGGTAAGTTACTTAACCCCTCTAAGCCTTGATTGTTTCACCTGCAAGATGGGAAGAGGATTAGCTATTCTCTAGAGCTGTTTTCAGGACTGGAGTTATAAAAGTGCACCACAGCACAATGCCTGGCACAAATTGAGCTTTCATAAATAAACAAAGATAGGAACCAAGGGTTTCAGACCTATGGAAAGGGGAGCTAAGAACTGTACCTAGAAATGTGAGGGATACCTTTTAAAAGATGCGGCCTTTGAGTGAGATCTTATAGGAAAAGAAGATGTTTATCAGGCAGAGATGGGGGAGGAGTCACAGGGCAAAGAAACCACATAAACAAACCACAGAGGCATGGGAACACTGAGGAACCTGGGGAACAATGAGAAGTTGGGAACTGCTGGATCCTGAAGTGCTTGGAAGAGGACTTGAGGGATGAAGCTCGAAATATGAGCTAATATCTGAAAGCAAATTGGAGGCTGTTGGAGAATTTAGACAGGAAACTTTCATAACAAGATGTATTTCATAGATCAAGCCCCGAGAAGGGGAGTGAAGCAAAGTTGAGCTCGGGAGGGGAGATTGCAGACTAGGAGGTGGCTTCATTGATCCACATAAGTAATGATACATGCTTGAAATGAAGTAGTGGTAGAAGTGGAGAAGGAGGAGTTAGCCTAGGAGACACTAGGTCTTAGGAAGAGGAGAAGCAGTGGGATATAGAGGATACAGACCAGGAGTCTGGCATGTGTGACTGGGAAATGCAGGGGACTACACAGAGCCTGAGAATACAGGGAAAGGAGCAGAATTGGGGGATAAAAGAGAATATTCAGGTATGAATATATTGTGGTAAATGGGTGCTTGAGATGAGGAACCCATGTGGAATAGTCAAGAAAACAGCTGAATAAACACATTTGGAGTGCAGAAGCAATGCCTGGGCTGGGAATAAGGATTGCAGAGTCCTGTAGGTTCAGGCATTTGAAGCCAGGGAGGGTGTAAGTTCTTACTAGAGTAATTGAGGGACGTCAGGACCAAGGACAGAGCTGTGTGACTGATAACATCCATTGATAGGAAAAGGGAAGGGCAGAGTACTCACCTAAGACTAAGAAGAATTGGTCAGGGAGGCAGGCAACAGGTGAGAGGCATAGAGCTTCTAGAAGGAAGAAATAGCCCCAAATGTCACATGTTGCAGAGGGGCCTGGCCACACCCCTGCCCCCTTTAGTTTATTCTCTACACAGCAGCCAGAAGGATGCTTTTAAATGTAAGTCAGACCACTCATTTCTCTGCTCCAGTCCTTTGATTTCTTCTCTTCTCATTCAAAGTTACAGACGAAGTTCTCACCCCAGCCTGAAAGGCTACATGGCCATGTCCCTGTTAACTCTGACCCTATCTCCTACGACCATCCCCTGACTCACTTTCCTCCAGAAACACTGGCTTCCCTGCTGCTTCTTAAACTCACCATATGTACTGCTACATTTGCACTTGCTGCTCCAGCACCTGGAACCCTCCATCCCAGCATCCACATGGCTACCCTCCTCCCTTGTTTTGTTTCAGTTCTCAGTTCAAATTTCATCTTCTCAGAGACTTTCCATGACCACCTAAACATCATGCGTCTTCCACGATTATCTCCCTCATCCTGCTCTGTTTTCTCCATAGCACTGACTGCCACTGCCTCATTGTTTCCATGATAGTATGTAGTCTGTCAACCTTGTCCACTTGGATGTAGGTGCTATGACAGCAGGGACTCGCTTCTGTTTTGTTCATTACTTTATCTCTAGGGCCTAGAATGATGCTTAACATATAGTAGTAACTCAACAATATTTGTCAAATAAATGAATGAATGAAGCTGAAGAAGATGAGAACTACATAATTCCCACTGAAGTTGACAACCAGGAAGTCATAGGTTGGACAGGGCTTGATGGGGACAGAAGCCTGGCTCCAATAGGTGTGGACAGTCTGGGAGGTAAGGGAGTAGAGTAGGGCAAGGAAGAGAAAAGGTGGTGACTGGAAGAAGCAGCAGGGTTGAGCAAGCACATATCCCAAGGGCACAAGATACTTAAGTACACTCTTATGTTGAGGTGAAAGAGCCAAGGAAGACAGTAAGGTTGAAAATATGAGAGAGAGAGAAAGTGTAATTGATGGACCCAAATCCCAGAAGTTGCAGGAAGAACTATAAATTGCTAAGCAAATAAAATAGACTGTTTCTTGCTGTTTATCCTTGTATCATAGGAAGAGTGAAGTCTCTGCAAAGGAAACAGGGTCTGAGTTATGTCTTGCCTACCCAAAGCTTTACTGGCTGTGGACCTTGCAGAAGCTGTCTAAGCTTTCTTTGCCTCAGTTTCCTTCCTGCACTATAGGGATGAAATTTCCTACCTCGTATATTGCTGAGAGATTTGATGAGAGAATTCATTTGTAAAGTGTGTGGTACTCGGAGATCACGCCACAAATACCAGCTCCCCCTCCCTTTACATTACCATCTGCTCAGCCAAGAAGGAAATTTGACAAGTACTTCCTTGACAACATCAGCCAACACCAGGGCATCCTTTCCTCAAAAGTCACTACTGAATGAAATTGACAGCCCAGCCTCTCTAACAGACTCCCCTGCAGCAGCAGGAGGAAGGATGCTCTCTCCCTGTCACAGCACCTCAAGCCCCCACCTGAGTGCTGAATCCAACATACCAATGCCAGCCTGGCCAGGAGGGTCTTAAGAGGCTGGAGAGGACATTGATTCACTAATGTGAGCCTCTGTTGCCACTGATCCCAAAATGCTTAGGGCCACCAAGGACCACATATCGAACTGTATAGTGAGAAGGGTGGGCTACAGCTTAGATTCTCTGGCTTCACCTGCCAGACCTTCCCCTTAACTAGCTGAGCAACCTGGGGCACAGCACCTATCTGCCCTGAGCCTCCCAACAATCCTACAAAGCATATTTTATTTGCCCATTTTACCCACAGAGAAATCGAGACTCAAAAATGTAAAATAACATACTCAGGGTCACACAGTGTATATCAGGAAGCCAAAGACAGACCAAAATGGAATTAATCTGAGTCTAATAAAAGGTTATTTGTGAAAACATAGAGCATAAGGAAACAACAGAGATGTGGAAGTACCTGGGGGTAGGTAACTACAGGTGTCTTTAGCTGATTCCTAGAACCCAAGGATAGAAGGGGCTGTGTGGAGAGGGCCAGCTGTCAGCAGTCACGGTCTTTAGCTGAATGACACCATGTGTTGAGGGGGAATGGAGAATTAAATACTCCAACCTCACTTTTCCCCCTCCCTCCCATCTCCTATTGGTGCTCTCTATGACATGAACCCAATCATAAGCCAGGGGACAAAGGGAGCCCACCAATGCAGTCGATACAGGTCAGCCTCACTGGCACAGGTAGTAGGGAATGGATCTGGAGGGCAGATGGAAGATATTCAGTACACACAGCTAACTCTTAAATGTCAGAGTAAGAACTTGAATCAGGGCTATCAGACCCCTGCCACTACAATGCCATTTCCTGTAGATCCTCAGTAAATGGTCATTGAATGGTTGAAAGGATGGATGGATGGATGGGTGGATGGATGGATGGATGGATGGATGGATGGATGGATGGATGGATGGGTAATTCATGAAGACTTCATTCATGTGCCTTTGGTTAATCTTGTCACCTGACTAGAAATATGAGGCATGTTAGAAAGTTTATTTCTAAGCCATAAATGGGTTCTAAGAATAAAAGCCTTCTTCCCAGTTTGTACATCCCTGTAGGAGTTGCTTATGTCTCTCTGGCCTCTGGCTCATTTTTCCTGCTATTACTGCTGCTGCTGTTGCTGCTGGAGCTGCTTCTCTCTCCAATATTTGAGCCTTGAGTAGGGTCAAGCTTCCTGCAAACAAAGTGAAGAGAAGGCAGAGGTCAGAGGAGGCTGTTGCCCTTGCTCCCCCCGGGACTGGAGTGCAAGGCTAAGTTAGCCAGCTTCTCTGTGAGTTCAAGGGAGCTGCGGGGGTGGAAAGAGGAGGGAAGTGGGAAGGCAGGATGTTCACTGTAATTATTTTCATTGATTTGTCTACTCGGAACCCAAGTGCTTCAAAGCCGTTGTGACATTTAATAAAAATAATTCAAGGTAAAAATACCTCTTCCTCTCTGCTCCCTCCTCCCCTTTCATCAGCATCACCTCAGTTTGCAAAGGTGGGAACCTACCAAGGGAGAAAAGGCTGGGGACATGGAGTCTGTAGGTCTGGATTGGAGACTGTACTATTACCAGCTGGCTAGTGACTCCAAGCAAGTTTCTGTCCCTCTCTAAATGTTGGCTGCCCCTGCTCTAAAATTAAGAGATAAGCTAAATATGGAAGGTCCTAGTGCGGAGGCAACAGTCCAGGATTCTAATGCACCATTCTGGGGCAAAAGGGCATGATTTCCCCACAACTTCCTGCAGATCTTGTTCCTATCTGTTGAGTTCATTTTTTATCTTTACCATTTGACAAAGGAAGGACCTCCCATACTACCATTTCTTGCTAGTTTCCAGGTCATAGGAGGTTCATGCTTCCCCTTCTCTGTTCTTTCTTCATTGTGAAATAAATAATATTCTGTCCATTATATAGAGAGGATAAACAAATGCTAGAGTGACAATTAGTGTTACCTTGCCTTGTCCACTGACTATACACCTGAAGCTTTAAATATATGACCTTGAATCCTGACAACAACTCTTCCCTATAGAGGCTTGAGGAAACTGAGGCTCAGAGCAGTTAAATCTGCCACCTAGAGAAGCACAGATAGACAGTAGCAAAGCTGGACTCTGACTCAGGTCACTGTGACTCCAGAGGCCACAGCTCTCACTGCTGGCTCTCACTGCCTCACTATAATGTATCCAAGGCTGAGCCTGGAACCGAGCATCCTGCCTTCCAAGTAGAAAAGCCCCAAAACACAACCTGACTCAGCAGCATGAAGGAAGCAGAGGAGGGAGCTAGATTCTGAAAACCTCCTAACTCAGGAGGTCCTCTGAGAGCTGCAAAGCCATCCCAGGCTGTCAGGGGAAGATGTAATCAGGGTGACCTCATATGTTTCACGGATTCATTAAAGCCCATGTTCTGGGGTAAATGATTGCTTTCCCCCAGTCCTTCTGAAAAGAAAATCGATCGCCTTCCTGTAGATTTAGAACAGGACAGTTGGCAATTAGAAAACACTTCGCCAGGCAGGCGCTGGGGAAGGAGGTCTCATTCCACTTCCCATTCATTCTGTCAGTGACACACTGGCTGTGCCTCCTGGCTTGCAGCAAGCTGGGGAAGTCCCAGCCTGGGCCTAGGGATGTGGCTGAGGACTCACGTGGGCGCTCTGGGCTGTAAGTCCTATCTCTGCTGCTGAGGCCCCATTCGGGCTTTTGCTTTCTTTTCCCATTCCCCACCCCCATCCCTGCCCCTGACAGCTAATGGATTTTTCTCTGTACAGAGAGATTTACTAAACAACTGAACTAGGACACATTAAGTCTGCGGGTTTGGAGGTTTGTTTTAGAGCAACTCTCGCCCCAAGAACAGGCCACTGAAATTAAGATGCATTCTTCTCAGCAAATATTGATTTCAACTAGAAGTAAATCCGAGAAGCTTGCTGCTCACTGGATCTAAGCTCTGGCAGCTGCGGTTTGGACTAAGGATGGGTCACCCAGGTGCTCCCCACCTGAGGCCCAGGAGATAAGGGCAGTGAAGAAGATTCGAGGTTAAGCTAGAGCTGAAAACTCACCACAAAAATATACCAAGAAAAACTCACTTTGAGCCTTATAGTTGCTTGTGTATATTGCCAGATAAGGAAAATGCCCTTATTGTATATATTGGTGAGCACTCTTGGTCTACACAGCCTCTTGTGAGATGGAACTCTCACACATGGCCACAGGGACCAACACATGGACTTAATGCTTTCCTTCCAAATTGGACCCCAGAGTTTCCTTCCTTTGGGAAGCTTTGCTTAACTAACTCCATCATTTCACTCCATTTCCTCCAGTATTTTCAGCAGCGCAGAAACACATGTCCATGTGTATCTTCTCATCCTCAAATTTTCCTGCATTTCTTTCATTTCTCCCAAAAACTTTCCAGGGCTTGGGACCATGTATATGTCTTCAGTATCGTCTACAGCACTAAGGTCTACAGCAGAGAAAGCCTGGAACCTTTAGAAATGAAGTCAGTCCATCTAAGTTCTTAAGCCAATTCACCAACTTTCTAATTGTGGGATCTTGGCCAAAACATCTCTCTAGATTTCAGTTTTCTTATTACTAAGAACCAGATTGGACTAGATAATCTCAAAGAATTTTCTCAGCTACTAAAAATAGAGTATAGCTCTGCTGTGGTTCTCAGTTCTAGATAACACCCACCACCCACCAACCTTCTCAATACTTGGCAAAGGTTCTTGATGGAGCAACAGTGCTCTTTTGTAGGCCCCTCAGGCAAGGGAGCAAAGTTCTTGGGATACATGACAATTTAGCATAAATTTTAAAAGGCAACAATTTTGATATAGGGGCATTTGGGCACTTCGTTGAAGGAGATATAAGGATGGCAAATAAGCACATTGAAAATGCCCACATCCTTAGTCATAGGCCACAATATACCTTCTAGAATGGCTAAAAAAATTGTTTTAACTGACAATACAAATGAGGTGCTGGTGAAGATGGGACTTTCATACGTTGCTGGCAGGAAATCAAAATGTGCAGCTACTCTAGAAAACCATTTGGCAATTTATTATAAAGTTAAGCGTATGCTTATCACATGACCCAGTCATCCTGCTTTTAGGTATTTGCCCAAGAAAAATGAAAATGTATGTTCACAAAAAAAAAACCCTGCACATGAATGTATATAGAAGCTTTGTTCATCATTGCCAAAATCTGAAACATTGCAAGTGCCCTTCCATAGGGAACTGGATAAACAAACAATAGTGTCTCTAAACTCTAGTATCTCCATATAATGGAAAACTACTCAGCAATAAGAAGGAACAAACTACTGATACCTGCAGCCGTATCATAGATAAATCTCAAATGCATTTTACTAAGTGAAAGAAACCTGACCCAAAAGGCTTTATACTGTATGTTTCCACTTATATGACTTTCTGGAAAAAGGAACACTATAGGGATAAGTACAATATTAGTGACTGTCAGGGAGATGCTTAGGGGAACAGGCTACAAGAGAATTTGGGAGACTGATGACAGTATTCTGTATCATGATTGTGGTGGTGGATTCATGATATTGTGCATTTGTAAAAAACCCACAGAACTGTACACTACAAAGAGTAAATTTTTCTGGATGCAAACCTAAAAATAAATTCTAAGAAAATGAAAACACAAAGCCAAAAAAAGTTAATGTGGCCATTTTTACACGTTAAAATGGCTGCATCAAATGGCCCTAGTCAACTGTTCTGCTTTAGACCCCTCTTCCCTAGATTTCTGTGCATTTCAAGTCTCTGGGATGTAGACAGGAAATTTTTCAGAAGGAACAGAGAAGTTATTGAGGATGCCTCCTCTCTCCTTCATCTTCTTTCATCTCCCATTTAGTCTGTGGAGCAGGTGAGTCTGCAGAGATGGAGAATCCTTCTGCTGGAATAGCCTGAGCAGGCTCTGAGCAGTAAGGAAGTGGCATGCATGGAGCTGGCTGTTCATCATGGAGGTCAAGGGGACCTTGGATTTCCTTCTGCTTTGTCCAGCCTAAATTCTAGAGCAAAGAGGCAAACATGGAGTCAGGACAGAATTCCAGTGCATGTGGATCCTGCTGAGGAAGGAATCCCCTATAAAACACAACAGCAGAGAAAAGGAAAGGAAAGAGGTAGTGTGGCACATAGATTCTCAGTATTGGTACCCATTTTCCAGTTTGGTCTGCCAATCCCATCTTCTCATTTTCTTTCTATGTAATCTTGAGCAAATTGCTGGTTAAGGTAAGTTGTAGTTTTTCCTGGGTTTCTTCCTCTGTAAAACTGGAAAAATAATCATACCTATTGAGATTATTACGTGAGTTAATAGCCATTCATTGACTCAACACGTATTTATTGAGTATCTATTATGCACCTATCACTGTCTTATGTGCTTCACATACAGATAAGAGACTAGAAATTGACAAAATGGGGGATGCCAGTTTATACAGAATAATCAGGGAAGGCTCACCAAGGAGGTGAGATTTGAGCAGAGACCTGAAGGAAGTGAGAGAATGGGCTGGGAAGGGCAGAGGTCCACACAGAGGGAACAGCCTAGGCAGACTCTGAGGCAGGAGCATGCTTGACAGAGCTGAGGAAGAGCCAAGAGGCCAGTGTGGCTAAAGAGGGAAATGCCCTTTTTTTATAGGATAGAAATGAGACCAGAGAAATAGTGAGAGATCGGATAATGAGGGGCCTGGAGATGTCCATTGTCTGTGCATTGTCTATTATTCAGAGTAAGATAAGAAATCACTGAAAGCCTTTGAGGAGTGGCATGATCTGACTTGTGTTCTAAAAGAATCTCTCTGGGCAGTTTGTGAAGAATAGACAGTAGGGCAGCAAGGGCAAAGTCAGGGAGCCCAGTTAGGAAGTTATTGCATGATCCAGAAGAGAGATGATGGTAGCTTGAACAGATAGAAACACATATATAATACTTAGAACAGACCCTGGCACATACAAAGTGCTCAGTCAATGCTATCTATAATTATTATTGCTGGCATCATCAAATTCATCATCATCATCTAGGGTAGGAGGTCAGGAAAAGTCTTAACCATCCTGCGTTCCCAGCAGGAACAAATCCCAGACCCTGCTGAACCCCACATGAGGCTGTGTGAACCTGGGGACCCACTTCGGAAACTCACAGGCTCTGGGTTAAGGTTTCACACACTGCCTCCTCCCTCCCACCTCAGTTCCCTGAGAGCAGTGACAGGGCTTTCTGACACACACAGTACTTTAGTTTGGGGGAAGAAGCAGATGGAAGAAGCCTGGGTGCAGTAGAGCTCCTAAGCAAGGATGGGAAACACAAAAGAAAATAGCCTGGCAGGGCGTGGTGGCTCATGCCTATAATCCCAGCACTTTGGGAAGCTGAGGCGGGTGGATTGCCTGAGCTCAGGAGTTTGAGACCAGCCTGGGCAACATAGTGAGACCCTGTCTCTACAAAAAAAAAAAAGAAATAGCCAGGCACCTGTAGTCCCAGCTACTCGGGAGGCTGAGGTGGAAGGATTGCTCGAGCCCAGGAGGTTGAGGCTGCAGTGAGTTGTGAATGCACCACTGCACTCCAGCCTGGGAGACAGAGCGAGACTCTGTCAAAAAAGAAAGAAAGAAGGAAAGAAAGAAGGAAAGAAAGAAAGAAAGAAAGAAAGAAAGAAAGAAAGAAAGAAAGAAAGAAAGAAAGAAAGAAAGAAAGAAAAGAAAGAGAGAGAGAGAGAGAGAAAGGAAAGGAAAGGAAAGGAAAGGAAAGGAAAGGAAAGGAAAGGAAAGGAAAGGAAAGGAAAGGAAAGGAAAGGAAAGGAAAGGAAAGGAAAGGAAAGGAAAGAAAGGGGCCCAAGCTGAGCACAAGTTGTTGCTGTCTCATGTGGTCATCTCATTTCATCCAAAACGCATTCTGAAGTAGTTACCTCCATTCCTCATAAAAGAAAAGAGGACCTGAGAAAAGTGAACTGCCCAGGTATTAGTAGGAGACCCAGGATTCTGACTTGGGAGCAGTGGAACACCCAAGAACCTCTGTTCCCCAGTGGGCAGCTCAGCCTCCCCAGGTAGATTGTGTACATTCTCTGACTTAGGGCTAAGGGCTCCAAACAGGACTGAGACCAAAAGTCACACTTCTGAGTGCCTCCCCACATCTGAATCTCCAGTACATAGAACCAAGCAGTTCTGAAATCACACTTTCCTTTGCTCCTTTGTTTACAAAGATAAGATGTCTTCTTCTTCATTATAGAAAACAGTGGTTTTTCATAAACTGTTATCTCTATTGGCCATTGTTTTTTACAAACACAACAATGATATGCTCTCACCTGATAGAATTTTCCAAATTAATTTCAGAGAAAACCACCTATCTGTGCCAAGGAACTGAACCTCCAATATTCCTGGAAAATATTTGGCCTTTCCTTTCTAACAAAGAAGCCTATCAAGGCTTTTTCTATCATAGTTAACCTATAAAACATCATGTATAACTGTGTCAAAAAAAAAAACTGAGTATCCTTAGGAAAAAGGCTAATTCTAAAACCAGGAGAAGAAAAAGTACAAAATAAACTAGAAACAAGGAAACTACCAAACATTATCAAAGATTATTGGATTTCTGTCAAAATGTCAAGGGAACCAAAATAACTAGGCTCCCATTGGTCAAAGATGGTATAATTTAAGCATCAATAAGAACAATAACTACCCTGTATTAAAATACATCAAAATGTTTAAATTAGTGAGTTTATTATGATACTTGTTTTGAAAAGTGGCAAATAAAGGGAAAAAAGTCAAACATTTATCCTGCCTTTCCTACACAAATGATACCACTGGGTAACCAAATACTTTATAAGAAGAAATTTATATAGAAGTATCACAGTCCTAATAAATGATAAATAAATAATAACAAATAAATGATAAATGAAGAATGAATAACTGCTGTATCATTTTGTAGCAACTAATGGATTAGTAGAACTAGGAAAGACAACTAGACATTGATACCTCCCCATAGAAGAACACAAGACCACCTGTGTAGTGACCTTGGCAAAAATAAATCAAACCTTAATCTGATCAAGCTTCCAGATATATCCAGCTCCCCACCTATAGGAAATTTAGGGATACAGGAATCCACCATAGCATTCAGTAAAATCAGATTATGGGAAAATCTACAGGAAAAAGGACCCAGCAAGAAGGAAAAAAAGATTGGAATTGGAAGTGAAAACTGTAGATTAAAGGAAAGTTAAGAGACATGCCAATCAAAACAGATAGGTCTTATTGGATCTTGATAATAGCAAGTACAAAACAAAAAAGTCTATGAGACAATGAAGGCAATGTCAACACTGATTAGGTATTTGATGACATTAAGGAATTACTGTGATTTTTTTGGTGGGTGTTTGCATCAATTAGCTATTGCTGAATAACAAACCATCCCAAAATACAGTGACTTAAATATGCAAATATTTTGTCTACCTATGATTCTGCCAGACGATGAATATGGGCAGTGTCACCTAGGATGGCTCATATCTATCCCACATGGTGTGGCTGGGATCACTCATATGCATGGAGCCTCAACAGAAACGGCTGTTCTCTCTCTCTCTCCCTCTCTCTCTCTCTCTCTTTCTCTCTCCCTCTTTGTGGTCTTGTGTTCTCTCATTCTCAAGGATGCTAGCCTGGGCTTCTTCCTGCCTTCATACGGTGGCAGAAGCATTCATAGTAAGCATCAAAAGAGGGAAGGCCCCAATGGGCAGGTGCTTTCTGAGCCTCTGCCTTGTGCTGTATTTGTTCTTGTCCCATTGACCAAAGAGACACACATTGTCCAGCTCAGAGTTATTGTAGGAGGGGACTTCACCAACACTAATGGCCATAGCTCATCAAAGGTCATTACTATGGTGACCTACCACAGGGTGACCATGGTAGAATGGTTATGGTTTTTAAAAGAGTTTTTATCCCCTAGAAATACATATTAAATATTTCCATATAAAATGATAAGCCTGAAAATAACAGGAGGTGGGAAGGAGAGAGTGGGTGGGTATAGAGAAGAAATAAGATTGGCCATGAATTTACTGAGGCTGATTGATGAATACATAGGGGATCATTACATTATTGTCTCTATTTTATATGTGTTCAAAATTTTTATGGTAAAAAGTTTATTTTAAATGGCTAGTCAGTGTCCAACACTAGGAGAACCCAAGGGGGACTACAGCCTTCTCCCATTGTTGCTGCTTCAAGATATTGTGTCCTACTTCCCAAGGTAATGATGTGTGAGGCAATAACAGGGGGCATTTTCTAGGCACGCGGCTCCCTTCCCTCTCTGGAGAGTCATGTGAAACCCAGCAATTTGTATAAGCAACACAGTGGGCCAAAATCCATTCCCCTTGCATACACAACACCTATGATTTTATTTATTAGTATTCACTTCTTTCCCAGGTTATTGTAAGACTTAGGACATGGACCTATTCTGGATGATAAATTACATCTCATTGCAATTATTAACTGAAAGAAGAATGAAAGAATGAGAATTCAGGAGCCATAAAGGGGGTGGGGTGAGAGGCAGTGGCCTCCTTAACAGGGAGTTAACAGAGAAGGAGGAAGAAGAGAAGAAATAAATCTCAGCCAACTGGTATCAATCAACACTTATTGCATGCATAATGTATACTGAACACTTATTTGCAGAGAAAAAGAAAAAAATGTAAAGTGCATTAGACACTGTTCATGTCTTTCCATGCTTATAGTCAGTTATTCCTTCAAAATATTTATTGAATAACTACTGTATGTCAGGCCCTGTTAGATGCTAGATGAGAATAACAAGAGGATTTAAGACACTTTTCCAATCTGTATTAATGAGGGTCTATTCCAGTTGTAATAATAAATTACAATTTAAATGGTTTAAGCAGAAAAGATAACTTACTGGCTTGTGTAGCTGGAAAGTCTGGAGGTAGCTTCAGGCACATCTGGATCCAGGTGCTCCAACAATGTTGTCAAGAGTCTGTCTCTTTTCATCTCTTAATCAGCTTCCCTCTGTGCGGGCATCATTCCCAGACAGACTTTCCTACCGGCAACAACAGGCTTACATCCTACCGCATTGGCAGCAAGTGTTCCAGGACTGAGTCTCCCTGGAACAGCTTGGCCCAGTGCCCATTCTCAGTCAGGGAGAAGGAGCATTCTGATGGGCCAGGTCTAGATTGTAGGCCTGGCTCTGTGACTGTGGAAGAGGTCAGACCCATTCACCAACACAGACTGAGAGAGGAAAAGGGCAGCTCCTCCAAAGAATAATCACATTGTTGCCACTAGAAGGAGGAGGGACAGATATGGACCTGGCAAAGTAACCAAAGTCCTCTCAGTACTTGCAGTCATTCATTCATTCACTCAGTAAGTCCTTCTTTTGTGCATGTCATGTGCCAGGTTGTATTGTAGGTGCTGGGGATACAGTAGTGAACAAGACAGACAAAGTTACTGAGCCTTGTATTTTAGAGGTAGAGACAGAAAACAAATGTGTCAACAATCCATTTTTGTGTAAATTACAGACAGGGTGTTGTAGGAGAGAATAACAGAGATAATCTTCTTGAAATGGGTGGTCAGGGAGGGCTCACTGAGGCGAGGATATTAAAGCTGGGAGGCGGAGGGTGAGAAGGAGCCTTAAGCATCCCAAGTGTGGATTGGGAACTGAGGGTGGGGAGATGAATACGGCATCCTCCCTGCCCTTGAGGAGCTCATGGCTGAATGGGAGAGAAGATGAGTAGATAGAAACCCTGCCATACAGTACAGCAAGTGCTATCTATAATATAGACAGGATCCCTCCCTGGGGACATCAAAAAGGAAGTAACTAAATCAGATGATAAGGCTTGGTGGTGGCGGCGGAGAGTTAGAAGGCTTTACAGAGACATTTGAGCTGAACCTTAAAGGATAAGCAGATAGAAGTTAGAAACAAGGGAAAAGGAATTACAGACAAGGGGGACCATCATGAGGCAAATATCAGGCATAGCTGGGGAGGAGTGATGCTCAGTCTGGTGGGTACACTGAGGCCACAGCCGTGGGGAAGGCTGGGCTCATCTGTGAAGGTGGTTAATAATGTCTTGACTGCCCCACCCACATGGAACAAGCTTGAGGGAAACAGGTCAGATCAAGGCTTGAGTTCACTGTGTAGCCAAACAGGAAAGAAGGACTCAGCTCCCTGGGAGCACCCTAAAGGGCTTCAGGCAGGAGGGGGCTTTTGAGCTGTGCTTTGAATAAATTCATCTCCCTCTTCTTTATCCCCTAACAATTAACATGTCTTCATTAAGCCAGACAGAGGACTAGGAGAAGTACAAAGCAGGAGGCATGATCTCTGACCTCGGTTTGCTCTTGTGGAGTCAACTCACAGACCACAAGTTAGATTGACCTTGACTCTACACTGGAAGGAGCCTTAGATACAGTCTAGTGGCTCTGAGATTCAGAGAGGGCAAGTGAGTTGCACAAAGTCACACAGAAAACTAAGACTAGAATCCTAATTCTTCTCCCTGCTTTTGAGCAAATGAGTGCTTTGCACCTGGTACCTTCCACCCATCAGTCCTGTTTCTGCCCCCTGGGGCCTCTGGAGCCAGTCCAAGTTCTTTCTAATATGTCAAAACAGTCCAGAAACTCCCCAGCCTTTTCTTCCTCAAGTCAAGTTCCTTCAGCTTTGCTCCAGATGGCTCAAAGTTCAGACTCTTCAGCACCCACCTCCAATTTGTCGAAGTCCATCTCCAAGTGTGGTGCCTAGGACTGGATACCAGTGTCCCACAGAGTGGGTTATCACTTCTTTACTCTGAGCATCGTACCGTCTCTGCGTTCATCAATCCCAGGGCATTGTTCAGAGCAGCAGGAGTTGAATTGAGCTTCCCCAGAATCATTGCATGAGCTCCCACCTGCAGCCTCCAAACCTGTGCACTCTTAGCTTGAAATTAATTTAGCAGCAGCCAAAGGTTCCACTGGGGTGCACTCTAGAGAGTATGTTCCTCAACTATGTGGGGATTAGGGCAGGGAGCAGATTTATGAGTAGGAAGACGGAGGGAAGCTGTGAGGGCAAAAACACGAGCCTGGGTCTGTCCCAAGTGAAACTTTCCTCCCACTCCTCAGCCTTGACCACTGGACCCATTCCCACCCTTTCCCAGCTGAAATGCAGCAAATAAGCTGGCTGCTGCAAAAAGTGCATGGGGTGGGAAGAGCACTGTACAAGGAGTCAGGAGGCCTCAGCTCAGGCCTGCTTTGCCACCAGAGCACTGAGAGACCTTAGGCCAGTCAGTCTGCCTCTCTGAGCCTCACTTCCGCCATCTCTAAGTAGAATGTCTCTATGTTTTACATGCATATCTTTCTTCATGATGGCAGCAATCACTGATTCCTGGGGGCTACCCGAAGCTTCCTAAAGGCCATTGGTTAGCATGGATCCACTACCAGGAGGTGAGGGCTACTGTTCTTGTGTATAAATGGTTGGGGACAGTCCCCCTGTTTGGGACTGTGCCCTCCAAGACAGAGAGACACCCAAGGACCCTTCCAGAGGCAGGAGGAAGGAGTGGTCAAGACTAACTTGCCAGATAAAGTGCAGAACGCCCAGTTAATCTGAATTTTGGATAAACAACAACTAATTTTAGTGTAAGTGTATCCCAAGACTTGCATGGGATATACTTATACAAAAATATATTTGTTTTTTATTTGAAATTCAAATTAAGTGTCTGTCCTGTATTTTTATTTGCTTAATCTAAGCCAGACCCAGGTGAAGTTGGAAGTGTTTGTGGGGAGACACCAAGTACCAAACACCTAGTTGCACCCCCTCATCCCCCAACTTTTTGCTTCCTGCCTCTGTGTGGTCCTCACTGCCATGAAGCTGAGCATACAGAAGGAGAAGCAGGAAGCCCCAAAGCAATGGCAGGAGTGGGAAGATGTGAGAAAATGAAGGAGACGGAGAGGAACACTGCACCAGAGAGAGACGGTGCCTTTCTGGAGGTCACCTGTCCCTGCAGAAGTGGGACAGTCAGAGTGGGTAGAGGTGCCACAGAGCACCAAGTTAAGGCAGCGGGCACCTGTGTTCAGAACTGTAGCATCATAAAGCCTCTTAGAGGGAAAATATCTCCCTGCAAGGTGGCCTGGACCCCAGCAGAGAGAGGGCCAAGCAGGAGCCGATTACTGCTGACAAGCTGGGTTTTTTTTTAAGCCTCTCTCATTCTTACTCTCTTAAAGATCCTTTCCTGCCACCAGTTGATGTAGTCTCCGAGGGGATGCTCTGAATCCCCAAACACCCATAATAATCGCCTTGTTTTTATTTCATCTGGGGATAAGCACTGTGGCTGAGAGGACAGCAGGCTCCAATTTGAGCCCTGGACCTAGAGAGACGGTGCCAGGGCAGACATGTCTCCTCATTCCCCGAGACCCAGAGATCTCATTCCTTATCCCCTTTCGGGATCCCAGCACCACCCTCCACACACACCCTCCCTGGCCCCTCTCCTACCGCTATACCTGAATTAACTAAGTACTCAGTGACCCAGGCCTCCAACAAGCAGCCGGTCAAGCCTGGAGAGTGTTTTAATTCTGTACCACTCTGGTGCTGTCTCCAAAAACAAGCACTGTTGGTTTCCCAGGGGCCTTCCCTGCACAGAATTTTGCATGACTATTATTCACAACTGGTAGGGACCTGAACTGTCAGCCTGCACCCCAGGCAGGGTCCCTTAATGCGTGGCCCAGCCTGCAGGGAGCTCTCAGTTCCTGGGAAGTACGACAAGGGTTTGGGTCCATCCAACTCCTGCAGCCAGGAAAGGGCATCACTGGGGAAAGGAGAGGAATGGGAAGAACAAGGAGACAAGGGGACATCAGTCTCAGTGTGCCTGGAGTGGGAGACAATGGGGGTCAAGGATTTTCACAGCAGAAATTAACCAGTTCTTCCCCTGTTGCAATAAAATTTTCCATTGGTACCTTCCACCCTGATATCAGTTCTGCCCGCTGAGGCCTCTGGAGGAAGTCTAAGTTACTTTTAATACGTCAAAACAGTGCAGAAACTCTCCAGTCTTTTCGTCTCTATGTCCAGCTCCTTCAACTTTGTTCCAGATGGCTCAAAGTTCAGACTCTCCATCACCCACCTCTAGTGTGTCAAAGGCCATCTCAAAGTGCAGTGCCTAGGACTGAACCCTGGTGTCCTGCACAGAGTGGGTTATCACCTCCTTTGCTCTGAGCACCACATCTCTACAAATGCTGCCAAAGATGTTGCTAATTTCTATCCAAAGGCTAGACTGAGCCCCAGCCACTGACCTAGTCACAGTAGAAGGAGGAAAACTCCCAAGAAGTCAAATACTCAAGAAACCCTAAAGCAGGAAGAAACACCCCAAAACTCTAAAGTTGGCTTTGGCAAATACAGCCAAATTCCACTTTTTCTGTTACCCAGACTGCCCAGGCTCACCCCCACCTTTTCCAGCCTTCCTTTCTCTTTCAGCTTCTCTTTGCCACCTCTTCTCATCCGACATCAAATAACTGTATGACCTTGGGCAAGTCACTTTGCCTCTCGGAAGCTCTTGTTCTTCATCTGAAATGACAGTAATAATCCCTGGGCTGCTTACGTCGCAGGCCTGCATGAGACTCGATTGAGATAATTAATGGATGAGAAAGCACTTTGAAAATTAGTCAACACTGCGCAAATGAAAGGCACTCTTTATTCCTTTATTCATTTATTTACTAATCTTGCACATGACCCTGCACTGAGAATTCCACAAAAGGAGAGAACTAAGCAGAGCTCATGACTGCCCAGAGCTTAAATTCTGGAATGTCAGAGGCAGAGGAACCTTAGAGAGCAGCAAGCATAACCCCTTCATTGTACAGGCGGGGAAACTGAGGCCCAAATTATTGTAATAGTCAACGTATGTTAAGCTATTTCTAAGTACTTTGGGGTCTTAACTTCTTTAAGCCTCTAAAATCCTATGGAGCAGGTACTATTATTCCCCTGTTTAAAAGATGAGGAAACTAAGGTTCAGAGAAGTGAAGTAACTTGTCCCAGATCATGCAGCTAACAGGAAGCAAAAACAGAATTCAAGCCTGGAAAGGCTTATTCCAGAACACATATCTTGACTACTGTGCAAGGTCACCCAGTGTGAAAGGAGCAGAGGCTGCCAGCCAGGGCTCCTTCCATTCCAGGCTGTCCCCACATTGAGAAACAGACTGGCCACAAATAGAAGTAGGGCCCGAAAGCAGCTCAAAGTGGCCCCATCCCATGAGACCTACCATCACTTTGGGTACCCACCCATGTATGCCTTATGCCCTGGGTCAGAAGGAGGAATCTTGGAGGAAAGTCACGTCTGGAAGGAGGGGTATTCAGCACAGCAAGAAAATAGCAGAATACTAGAAACAGGGAAAAGAAAGAGAGTAGAAAAGAGGCTTCCCAAAGACAGGGAATAAGAAGGGGCATGTGAGGTGTCAGAGGTGACTGGGACAGGCATGAAGCTGCTCTGGTCAGCACTTGGACATCCACTGAATACATCCTCATCAGGGCCTCCTACTGTGCTAGGCCCAGGGCAGGGGACATAAGACACAAGCAGTTTCACAACTCCTGAATACCTGCCAGGTGCCAGCCCCAGGGCTCAGCACCAGGCACACAGACTCAAGTCCTGAGCCCAGGGTTTCACATTCTAGGAGGTATCCCAAGACAAACTATTAAAAATCCTCAAGATTTTAAAGCTGTAGATTCAAAGTCAAGAGCCCGGGTTTCTGGCCTAAGCCCTTGTTTGCTGTGTGGTTTTAGGGTAAGTCACTTCCTTAACCTTCATTGGCTGCCATCTTCCCATCTGTAAAATGGGGACAGCAAATCTGACCTATCTCACCACTGGGTTTCCCTAAAGAGGACATGAGCTTCTGGCTCTGAAAGAATTTGATTTAGGAAGTGCCATCATTTGTGAGGATGCTGATTGAGGTGGAGGGTGGCAATGAGGTGACTGGAAGAGAGTGAGGAATGGGAAAAGTGGTCCTATGTCTGAGCTGACTTGTGGGACAAGAATGGAGGAAATAGGTAGAACCTGAGTCTCCTGCTTTTGAGCCCACGGCTCCTTCCACTGTACTTGATGCCAATACTCCCTACAATGAATCCATTGCTAAAAATGCTAGAGTTAGGTTACATTACTAGATGTAGAGTGCCCAGACCCAGGAAGAAGGCAGATAGCCTGGTCTCTCTAATCAGGCAGGATCTATGGTGGGGGTCCATCCTGAGCCCCATGCTTTGGGCAGAGTAGTGACACATGGAAGCACATCCACAGAGGCGGCTCAGTGTGGCACAGGAACTGGTAACCAAGCCCTCAAGATCTAGATAAGGGCATTGCAGGTGTTTCCACTGGAGAAGAGGTGACTCAGGGCTCATGAACCTGCCTGCCCATCCAGAGCTCCTCCCATGGTCCCCACCTGGCTCCTTGCAGTCCAAGCCCCCAGAGGCCTGCCCACTTACTCCTCTGCTTCACTCTCACAGAGCTAGATAATTCAGGTATGAGGCCAGAATGGAGTTGTAGCCAGGGCCCTTAAGAAAATGTCCCAAGGATGTATCTCAGCCCCAACTTCACCTGCAAGGCAGGACCTACAGGCTCAATGAACTCTCTTGTTCCCAGATAATAGCTCTCCATTACCTACCAGAGGAGAGCCAAGGCCCCTTTCCAGGTAACCAATCCACTTCCTAAATTCACCCCCATCACAACACTTTCCCTCAGCCTCACTGTCTCATGTTTCCATGCTCAAGCTGTCCCTTTTTCCCAAAGGCGCTTCTCCCCCATCTTGTTCTGTTGAAAACCTCCCATCCTCCAAAGTCCTCTGGCATCAGAAAGGGTGGAATCTGAACCCAAGCCCTGTGACTTATTAACGCCATGACCTGGGGTTGCCCATTTAACTGCCCTGGCTTCAGTGTCTGCATCTGTTAAATGGGGATGGATGAAGATTCAAGGTGCGGTTTCAAATAGCCCTTCTTAAATACCAACATGCAAGCAATCACCCTTGGATATCGTTGTCCAGCAGACATTGATTCAGTAGGTCTGGAGTAGGGCCCAAATGTGTGCATTTCTAACCAACTCCCAGGTGATGCTGCTGGTGCTGGCACACCTGGAGGAATGCGCATTTCAAACACCTCATCTAATGACTCGCAAGTAGCGCTAGCTCCCTGGAGTTGCAGGAATGGAGGGGTGCAGCCAGGTGAATACGGGGCCCAGGATATCCCTGGGGACTCTGAGGCTGCTGGAGGCCTCTCCTCCCTTCCACCCAGCCTAGCAGTTTTTAAGTGTGCTAGTACCTTACTAGGGGATCCAATCCCACAACCCCAGCCTTTTAATAGAGATAAGTTTACCAAGAACCTCAAAGGTGACCTCAAAGGGACCTCCCTCCCAATAAATGTGAACTTTGAGAACAAAGGTGGCAGGACAGGGGGTCCCAGAAGGATAATCTGAATAAAGGTGGAGTGGGGTAGAAGGGTGGGCTCCCCAACTCTGCCTTGGCACTAGGGAAAGTGAGTTGAGGACATCACAGACCTGATGGTCAGCTCTGAGAACAGGCCCTTAGGCCTCTGCTCACTCTTAGAGACTAGGCACCCCCAAACTTGGGCTGAGCCTGCTACCCATTTGCATATCCTGCCAGCAGCCGTGGGGCCTCTGGATCCCAGATGGATCCTGGAATCAAATCCTGCCTCTGAGAGTCAGCCACCAACCCCCAGTGTGACCTGGGCCCAGGCACCACCCCTCTGGGCTCCCAGGCTCCTTGCTGTAACATTTGAGGTGGATTCCATGGTTTCTGAGCTTCTTCTCTGGGGCTGTAATCATTCGAATGGAGGCTAGAAGGAGGAGGGCATGCAGGGATAAAGTGACAGCGTGGGGGCATGGAGAACCAAAACACCCAAAGAGAAAAATTCTACTTGTAAACTATTAAATATAGAGTTACTTTGTCAGGAAACAGGGCACACAGCACCATAAAAATTAAAGTAATTTACTATGAAACTCCATCCTGTTTTATTTTGTGTTATTCCCAAGCCAAAACTCCCAAGCTGACCTAAGTCAAGAATATCAACAGCACAGGCAGCAGCAGAGGAAGAAAAGAGAGCGCGTTCTCACCTTAGCACCATCTTGGGGCGACTCAACCCCACCTGTCTCCATGGAAACCAGGCAGAACCTGGTGGTCCAGGACTTGGCCAGAGAACCAGGGCCTTAGCGCCCTCTGTTGGGTGAAGCTGGACACAGCTTAGCCCAGGAGACAGCCCAGAGAGATGGGGGCCCCCATCCAGGCCAGGACAGGGTGGGGTTCAGCATCTCTGAAGGTTCTAAGCTGAGTCAGCCGCCCATCTCATGCCCTGCAAGCACAGCGAGGCTGGTCTCAGGTGCCACTGGTGGAGCAGAAAAAACTAAGGAGTCCCAGGGTTGCGATACTGCCCTACCTCTCACCAACTGGGAAATGCGGTAAGTTGCTGAAACTTTCTGGACCTTGGTTTTGTAAATTTCATCTGTAAAATAGGGATAGTTCCACTCAATTCACAGAGCTGTTGGGAGGAATAAATAAGAGCCTCTATGTCAGGTATCTGACCCTCCTGGGAGTTTAGCACCCTTAAGAAGTCCAGGCCCTTGAAACGGACCCAGACTCTCTGGGAGGAGGCTGCCTGCCCTGTGCACTCTGCACCCACCTCCCCCCACACTCATGCAGTGGCTCCTTGTCTGCTTTGCCTGGAGCATGAAGCCCCAACAGCAATGACAGTGGTGATAGCAGTAAACATTACCCAATTCTTCCTAGGTACACCTCTCATTTAGGTCGCACAACGGTCCTGATCCATGTGCATCCAGTGATGAAAGAGAGAGGTTGAGACCCTCCCAGGTCATACAGCAGCAAGCCAGGGGCTGGGCCTGCATGTGAGCCTAGATCTTTCTGCTCCCAAAGCTTGTGTACTTAACTACTACCCCAGACTTCCTCTCCTGTCATGGAAAGAATCCTGCCCAGAAAACCAGGGCTCCAAATCCTAATCTCAGCATTGCCACTGGGAAACCACGTGACTTGGGCAAATAACTCACCCCTGGCCTCGGTTTCCCTGTCCATTACCAAAGGGGTGAAGAAGATGATCTCTAGGGGCTCTTCTGGCTCTGATGTTGTGATTCCAGTGAGCCGATGGGGTGACAAGGAGTAAAGGCGAGGTTTGGTTCTCCCCAAAAAAAGTGATGACTATGGCAGAGCAGTGACAGCCAAGCCATAGAAGGCCTCCCCAGTGGCCTAATGACCTCTGCTAATGACAGGCTTACACATTGCCCCTGCTGTCTGTATCTGTGTTGGTCATGCCCCTGCTGTCTGTATCTGTATTGGTCACTGCTGCCTGACAGTGGCAAGTCCCCGCATAACCGCAGGGAACAGGAATCTCTGATCCGGCTTTGGATAGAAAACTCTCACCTGCATGTTCTCGCTATCTTACTTTCCCACTTGCTACAGCTCCCCTGGGCTCCTGTGATCAAAGTGTCTTTCCATAAGTCTCCCAGGGCTGGCACAGTCTGGTAGGAGGGGAGGAGACAGTGTGACAGACTCTGACTGAGCAGAGGGAAATCACAGGGAGGCCGCCAAGACATTCCTGCCCGCTTAGGCCAGAAGACATCACCTCCTCGTCCCCCTGGCCTGAGGAAGGCTGGAGGTAGTGCGGCAGGAGGCAACAATGAGAGGTAGGGAAAGGGGTGCAGCGTTCCTGGTCTTTAAAAATGAAGGCCACCACTCCCCTCCTGCCAGCAGATGTTGAACAGTGTGGTCCTGAAGAAGCATCCCAGCTGGCCTGGTTGTGAGATGCAGAAAGAGGATAACTCTCCCCAGCCCCCGCTGTTACCAAACCCCTCTGAGCCCTAGTTTTCATTAATCAAATGAGAATATAAGTACCCACCTACCTTCTAGACTCACTGTGACAATGATAAAACACACATAAAGAACTTAACGGTGTCTGGTACAAAAGGCTCTACAAATAGCTGCTCCCATCCTTTCTTCCCCATCCTTTCTGTCCCCACATGGAGGTTCAAGCCCCTAATCTCTAAGAGGCAGTAACAATGTGTAGGCCCTACCTCTTAGGGTTGACAGAAAAATTAACTAGCGACGCATGCTCATGGCACTCAAGCAAAGCCCCTCCTTCCCCTCCCGAGCCTCAGTTTCTGTGTCTGTAAACGAGAGCCAACAGCGCTCACTTCTCAAAGCTGCCGAGGGGACTGACAGAGGTGAACAGGCAGCATGTGGCGCATGCCTGGCACTTGGAAGGGGCCATCAGTACATGTGAGTCCCCCCACCCCAGCCCCGCCTGCTTGCTCAGGGCAGGACCTTGTCTGTTCATTGCCAGATACCATACTCAGAACAAGACCTGACACGTATCTATTTGTTGAATGAATAAATGCATGGAGACCCATTGCACAGATGGGAAAATCTAGGCACAAGTTCTGGGGTTCCACATTTGGTCCATCATAGGATTTGCTGTTGGGAGTGGACAGCACCACAAGAGCAGCTGATGCTTGGTAATGTGCAGCCACTTACACCACTGATTGGCAGCCAGCTGTCCTCTCAGGAGCTCAGCAGGAGGGAGCTAGGTAGTGCCGTCCTTCAGCTGCCAAGGGTTATTATTGCACAGGGACCAAGAGGGTCAGGGCCTTTCTTTCCAGGCTAAGTGGTTGTGGGCCGGATGGGCAGGAGGGTAGAGGGCCAGGAGAGAGGGCCGTAGATCTCCTGCCTCCTGCATGGTGGCTGCTACAGTCACCGCTCAGATTCATCGGAAGGGCCCACTTCCGGCAGAAAAGCAGGCCGGTATATCTCCATCAGAGACTCCTGCTCAAGGGCAGCACCATAAATCCTGGGGTGGGAGTGAGCAAGCGAGCAGGCCAACCACTCCTTGGTGAGCATCTTTCCTCCTGGGGCCTGGGTGCTCTGCACGAGGTGGGCACGGAAGCCCGTGCAGGAAGCATAATCTGCAGTTCTGCATCTGATCCATCAATAACACCAGGAGAAGAGCCTTCCTCCTGCTCCAAGCAGGCGGAGACAACTGCCTGTTTCTCACCTCCCCCTGAAGTCAGGAGTTTAACGCTCCCCCAGGACCAGGATCTCTCTCACTTCCTGCGATGCTTCTGCAGCTGCTCGCCTGTGTTCACCAGCTCAGCCGACCCTTCCCAGCCCAGGCTGCTGAGGAGAGAAAGGAGTACTCTGGCACCACACAAGAGGGAGGGGTGGGTGGGAAAGGAAGGATGGGAGCCAAAGCAAGGAAGAAGAGGTGGGCGGGGCTGGAGGCCTAGAGCCACAGACTCCTCAGCCAGCAAGCTACTTGTGCCTAGATGTTCCCATCTGTACAATGGGTCTCCATGCATGCATTTATTCATTCCACAAATATTTATGGGTCAGAATCTTGTTCTGAATGTTATATCTAGCAATGAATAGCAAGATCCTTCCCTGAGCAAGCTTGCATTCCAGTGAAGGAGACCAGCAGTGTCAAGGTAAACAGGTAGAGAAACTAGATTATTTCTGATAATAACTATGCAGAAAATTGGAGGAGTGTTGGAAGAGAGGGTGGCTGGGGTGAGGATACTACATAAGCTAGGAGTTCAGGGAAAATCTGAATAAGTGGCATTCGAGCTATGGTCTCAGTGATAAAGAATGACCAAGCAAGGAGATGAAGGGAGTGTGTTCCTGGCAGAGAGAATAGCAATACTAAGTCTTGAAGCAGAAAGGAGCTTAGCTTGTTCAGGCAGAATGGAAACCAGTGTCACTGAAATGTGGGAGGTGGGTGTCTAGGAAATGGGGTTAGTGAGGAAGGCAGAGGCACATAATGCAGGGCCTTGTAGACCATAGGCTGCAAAAGGGCTGTGGATTTCACTTACAATGGAAACACATTGGAGGGTTTTGAGCCAGGGACATGCTCTGATTTAAATCTGATGCAGCCTCCTGGAGCTGCTTTGTAGAGAGTAATTTGAAGAGGGCAGGAGTGGAAGCCCTAGGTAAGGAATGAGGCCCCATAATAGTTATAAATATTTGACCTAAATGAGCTTAGAAAGGAGGCAGGTAAAATGCAGCATTAAAAGGGCAGATTCAACAAAGATAAGCCAAAGAGCCAATGCCATGCCAACCCTGGTAGGCCAACCTTCTCGTGTTTAGTTGACAATCCAGCAAACATTTATCTAGCATCTTCTGTATGCCAGGTGACGGGGAATCAGACATAAGGAAGATGTCCTCAAGGAGGTCTCAGACTAGTGGGGGAGACAGGCAAGGAGACAAATGACTTCAGGCAGAGGCTGCAAGTGGCCCCCTTAACCAGAGAGATGGCGGGGAGGCTTCCCAGAGGAGGTTACCTCTAGCATTTTCAGGAAGAGAGGAGGTTAAGACAAATATGACATGTAGTAGGGAAGTCTCAGACACAGATCCCAGGCCAGGTTGAATGGCCAAAACCTGGACTCCAGCCCATGTGGAGAGGAACTGAGGCCCCCAGCAGGAAACCAGCATCAACATCCAGACAGATTCCAGCCCCTGGTCCTTGAATGGTCCATCTGAGACCCCAGATATCATAGGGTAGAGAAAAGTCCTCCCCACTGTGCCTTGACCCAACTCCTGACCCATAGACTCTGGGAGCATAATGAATGGTTGTTTTACACCACTCTGTGTTGGGGTAATTTGTGACACAGGCAGAGTAACTAGCACAGCTCCCCAATGCCAGCTCTTATTATTAAGTCCAAGCTCTTCAAACTTACTGGGCCCTCCATGACCTGGGCTCCTCTCTCCTCTCCTCTCCTCTCCTCTCCTCTCCTCTCCTCTCCTCTCCTCTCCTCCCACAGCCTTTGCTTCTGCAGATGAAATGCCTTAAATTCTGGATCACAGCAGGCTCCACACTTAAGGTGGGCTCTCCCTGTTTCCCAGAACACTCCTTACTCCTCAACGGCGCTGGCTAACTATGCCACCAGGTCTCACCGAAGACCCCATCTTCCTCAGGCAATGAGTGCCCTTCTCATATGCGCTCAGGATACCCTCTGACCCCAAACACAGTAGTTATCACTCACGCTGAGACCATTGCCTGTCCTCGTGTCCATCTGCCTCCCTTGACCAGAACCTCTGTAAGGGCAACCACGTTGTTGTCCCTTTCATTGTTTAGTCCCCCAACACAATGTCTGGCACAAATGTGTTGAACAAATGCACAGTTGAATATATGAGTGAATTCTTCCTCAACAGGAGCAACGAAGGGCACGCCAGGCATTTCTTGAGCCCCTTCTATGTGTGGAGCACTGCTGGGTGCACAGTAAGTGCTGTCAATGAGGAAAGAAGCCAGCTCTAGGGCAATCGGAAGGACAGCTCTCATCCATTGGGGCTTCCCAGAGGAGGTGGCATTGGAGCTGGGCCTGGGACTGCTGGGCCTGTCCAACGATGGACAGGATTTTGACAGGCAGGCAGGGAGGGAAACAGCACAGTCAAGGGAAACAAAATGAACTGCCTGGATAAAGTCTAAAGCAGCACAACCCAACATGCCAATCCACAGATCACACTTTGAGTAGCACCGGTCTCAGTAGAGAGACCAGGACCCAGAAATGGCCAAGGCATCTTGATAGAGGAAAAGTTGACCCCACAAGGGAGAAGTCAACCTGTGTGCCGGTATCCAGTCCCTGAGGAAATGCAGAAGAAAGGTGTTTGGAGCTGGGGATGGGGAGCATATTAGGGCAGAGTCAGAGTCTCCAAGGCAGAATAGCCAGGCAGAGATGCCCTACTCAGAGGCCACAGGCCCCAGATAAGACAAAGCATAAAGCTGCCCTCTGTGTGCACTGTGCGTAAGCAACCAGTTCCTCAGTGATTCCCGTCATTCGCAGGCTGGTGCGATGTCTCCTAACCTTTTTGCAACAATAGACCACTTCGAAGACTCTGTTAGCGCTGTGGACCCTCCCTCTGAAATATTTCCACGTATCCGTGCACTGACATGTTGACCTACAATTTCAGAAGTTCATAGACTTTCACCGTCCCCCCTACCCCTGCAGTTAAGAACCCTGGTCTAATGTACCGAGAAGCTCCTTGGACAATGTGTGGGAGCCCCTAATTCCAGGATCACTAGAGTCAAGCAGGGAAGGCACACCTCAAGAAAGATCTGAAGGCATGTGGGGCTGGAAAAGCAGGAAGGGGAGCTGATTCAAACTCTGCCTAAAGGCAGGGCAGAGGCTGGGAGAGGCAGCCAGCCAGGAAGTGAGGTGGGAGGGAGGAATTAGGCATCTGTGGGCTGGGGGGTTAAAGCCATGGAGAGGGGATGCGGCTGGTGAGGCTGAGGCAACCCCAGGGGAGGGTGGCTGATATTTGGTTCCCAGGCAAGGGGAGATCTAGGGAGAGATCCGGGCACCAGGTGTCTCAGCCTTAGCTTCCCCATTTGTGAAATGGGAAAATACTCCTCTTACCTGCTTCCTCCCCAGTGGATTCCAGTGAGGAGGGCTTCAGTAAAGCCCATCCGGCACCCTGGGTCCCTCAGAGAGGAGCCCTGGATTAATGTGAAGATTATGCTCATTATAAGGAATCTGCTGTAATGCCCAGGAAGCAGGAGGCATGTGAAGCATCCAGCCTTCCAGGGAGAGAGATAACAGCCAGACCGATAATGCCGGCAGAGGAGGATGGAGAGCATCCAGAGGGTTTTTATGGAGATAGGAGGGAAGAAAGCAGCCGACTATGCAGAGGGGGCAGGAAGCTGAGGGGAGGAAGTAAGACAAGGAGATAGTTGGAGTATTCCACATCTAACACTGGTTCCTGCCCCTCTGAGGACCTTGGAAGTTGGGGAGCAGCCCCCCTAGCCCCACACCCCAACTCTGCCTCTTGCTTACCCCATGGCCCCCACCCAGCCCCTTAGCCTCTATGAGTCTCAAAGAAAGGGGGTTACTTGGTGGTGCTCAGGACACATGGGCACCCCCTATTCCAAGAACATGTTGCTCCCTGCCTCCTGCCTGCAGGGAACACAGACCTAAGGCCTTCGTGCCACTCTGCCAGGTCTACAGATGAAGAAACTGAGGCACAGAGACATCAAAGAGAGTGTCCAACTTGAGAGCTCAGGTCTCACTGTGTTATTCTGGGGTCTGGGGTAGGTGGCTGAGGCTGGAAGAGAGAAACTGGAACATCCTGGCCTAAGGGGAGGACCCTTCTTACAGGAAGAGCTGGCCTGGGGCTCATGGAGTAGGCAGCCCTCTGGCTAGGCCTGGAAGGAGGAGTGGGGCTGGAGGTGGAAGCAGCAAGTGTGGGGGTCAGGGACATTGAAGGCAGCAGGCAGCAGAGCCTGAGCTAGGCTGAGAGGAGACACGAGGTTATTAATCATTTATAACAGCTGTAATTAATTGAGAACCTACTATGCGCCAGACACTTGACTTACAGAAGGTGTCCCACTGAATCCACACAACGGCTGTATGAGAAGGACTCATTAGCTCTTTTGACAGGCAGTCAGAGAGGTTAAGTGACTTGCCTCTAGTCACCCAGCCAGGAAGTGGAAGCCAGGATTTGAACAAGGTGTGTCTACTGCTTTTCTCACTGTCTACACTGCCTCTCTGAGCATCTATTTATGTTCCCACCCACATCTAGGGTGGTTGGGATTTAGGTACTCAGTAAGTGGCAACCACAGGAGGGTCCAATTCCCACTGTGGGGAGGAGAGCAGGTGTCAGTGCCTCTGAGGCCTTAATAAACAAGCCCATGTGTCTCAGGAAGGCCCCTGCAAGCAGGAGCTGGAGAGCAGGGCATTCCCCTGCTTTGGCCCCGGAAGACTGCCTGTTTTGTCCCTCAGTCAGTCATCAGACATCATTGGGTCTCTGGCCTCTCCATGCCCCAGAATGCCCGGCAGCATTGGCTTTGCTTCACATGTTAATTTTTTGATCTGATAAAAGATATTTGTCTCCCAGCCGCTTCTCTTTTCTACTAGAGAGGGGCATTTCCTGAATTCCGACCCTCAGGGAGACAAACACCGTTAAAAAATCATCAGCCTTCAAACAAGGCTCAGAGACACAGGGCTGGAGCCTGTCGCCTGGCTCTGAGCTGCGTGTTAGATTCCTGAGCATAGCCCCCAGCTCCACGTGGGGTGGCTGACATTCCTTGGGTTTCTCTCCACCCTCCCTGCTGCCCACAGCCGGGAGGTCCCTGAGCTCTGCCTGTTCTCATCCCGGTCCACTGCCCCTTCTGGGGACCTTGGCATCTCCTGGCTGTACACTGGCCATCCTGCCCGCATGACTGGCCCCCACACCAGCTTCCTGTACTTATACATTGGTTACTTGGTTCATTCAACTCCTACTGCGTGCCAGGACCTACTATGTGCTAGCACCACTGCTAATCCCTGCCTACTGGAGTGAAAAACATAGTTCCTGCTTTCTAGGAGCTTACAGGGTAGTGGAGGCGGGATGGTGGGTTTCGGGGGGGTTGGGAGGGGGACCATGAGACTCCACGAACTTGGGAATGAACCCTTTCAGGGAGGGGTGGTGAAGCTTAGGGTGAGGTAGGTCCGGTGCTGTAGGAGGAAAAGGGCGGCGCAGCTGCTGCCACAGAACGGGTCCCAGCACAGGGGAGGCATGAGTTCAGCCTTAAAGGACGAATAGGAGTCAGCCACCTGGGCTTTGCCCCTCCCTGTTTTCCATCTGTCAAAATTCTAACTAAAAGGCCCAACTTAAAAACCCTTTCCCCACCACACATGCTTCCACTCTTATGAGTACTCAGTAAATGTTGCAGGCAAGGTCCTTCCCTAGGCCCCTGCTGACTGTGCAGGGTCCGCTTAGGGCCTCCCTTCCCCGGGTGGTAAGAACAGCGCCCCCTAAAGTTCTGCAGTGCACAACCTGCACAGCTACACAGGATGGCCCTTAGGCTATCGGTGATTTTCTTCCTCAGCATCAGCCCTGCCTGCTTTCACACAGCAGAATATCAAATCCGTCCTCACCTTGCTCGACTCTGCTGCCCATCCACCACTCTGTCCATTTCCACCTGCCTCACAGGCCCCTCTCCTTCCTTGAAACCTTACCTCTGCTTTCAATGGCTTCTGCTGACGTGGCAAACCACGTTTAAAGTGACCACGGCCATAGTCCTGTCCCATCTGTGTTCTCAGAATCCTCCTCTGAGCATCGTTTTAAGAAATATATCGATTCATGGAATTAGGGAGTGTCAGCATGTGTGCATGGACTACAAATGGAAAAGGGAAGTCACGTCATTGACCATATACTGTGTGCAAGCCACCGTGCTAGCTGCTTCACATATCTAGATAGAGGCTATTTTAAGTGAAAAGAAGAAAATTATCTCAGCCTTTTAGGATGGAATGGAAGGGAGCCAAAGCTGGAGGCATTTGCTGAATGCACACATTGAATACATATATGACAAAGCGCTTCAAGTTCCATTTTCTCCCTTCCTGAAACTCCTTCTGTACATATAATGCCCTTTGGTCTATCATGATAGTGTAGATGAGTGTGAACTGAAACAGACAAATGAGGGCTTGAGACTGTCTTCCTAAGAGTGGGAATTGAGCCCATCATTTCAGCTCTCTAGGCCTCAACTTCTTCATCGATGCTGTAAAGGTAACACTAGAAGCACCTCGCAGGCTCACCAGGATTTACTGGGCAACCCCACACCAAGTGTTTAACATGCTGCCGGTCACATATTAAGCAATACACATGAGCTACTCTTACTGTTGCCGTCATTGTTGAGATGCCAGCTTCTTTCCTTGTTGGAGTCTCCATGCCTGCTCAGTGTACATTTGAGTGATGAGGATGAGGATGGCAGGAGCTGCACCAGCCCCATTCCCATGCCCATCTCCATGGGTCCAAGCAATCCAGCAAGTGGGAGTCAGGGGGCAGCCCTGAGAGAGGTATCCTGGAAAGCACTAGTTGGGGCACTGGTTCTGCCAAGTCCACTTTTCTGGGAGCCACTGTCACCACACGAGGGTGCGAGAAATAAACCAGGAGTATGCATACAGCTCCCCAAAGGGTGCTGAGAGGCCGAGAAGGTTGATGTTTTCCAAGTGATTTGAGATTGTCAAGTAAAATCCCCTATGTAAATATGATTCCCTAATGGATTCATGGCAGCAAGGGAGATGTCGTTCAACTGACTATTTAACAAAGCTGTTTAAAGAGAGAGAGATGGTGGAGATCATGTTTTATGTATTAGATGTGAAAAAATTCTCTTTAAAATTTGTCTCAGTCATCTGAACGCTGGAGTTCCGATAAAGACCCAAGTTTTATGATAGATGTTTTACAAGGATGCACACCTTCTCTGGCCTTCTCTGGCATCACCCCACCCTCCACTTCCTTCCCTGATCAAATCCTCAAGAGATACATTTAATCCTCCCCCATTCCCAAAATGTTCTAAGGCAAATATGCAATATCATTTTTCAAGTGTGCATTAATAATGCAAGCTTTACACCAAGTTTTCAAACTGGATTGGCATCCTGGGCCGATGTAGAAATGTCTGGGTCAAATATACTTTAAAGAAAAATTTCTTTAATTAGTTTCTTTTGAACGTTACACAAAGGCCTTGCCTGATAGCGAGGCAATTTATTGCCATCTTGACATTGCCTCCGTGTTTATCAGTTAAATGATTCTATTGCATTGAAAATAGGACATCTTAGCTCTGAAGGACCTTGCAGACTTGTGTACTTACTATCCTTCTCCTTGTCTGCTTTTGAGAAGGCTCTGGGCATTGTTCTCTCTGGTTTGAAGGTGAAAGGGTGGTCAGCCTGGCCTGGAGATCAAAGTCATTTGGCCAACATTATAGAACAAGGAGAAGCCAGAGTTAGATGAATAACTCAAATCTCCCTGTATGATCCTGGCAAATTGCTCTATCACCCCAGACTGAGTTTTCTCATCTCTGAAACGGGTGTAATGATGATATCTCCTTGATAAAGTTGTTGTGAGGATTAAATAAGATCATGAATGTCAAGTGCCTATCACATAGTAAATGCTCAATAAACTTTAGCAATTATGATGATAAAAATCATTATTAGTCTCCTCTCAAGATGTTTCCTCTCTCCATTCCTGAGGTCCTGGTATTAAAATCCTCTCCAATGCCTTCCTTATAATGTTCAGGAAACCTGACTAGTCTCTTAGAGGAATAGACAAGGTTCTAAGTGCAGGTCATCTAGCCCCGCACTAGTCAACCATTAATGTGCACATAAATCTGAATATCTTGATACATGAGAATTCTGATTCAGTAGGTATGGGTAGGGCCTGGGACTCTGCATTTCTAATAGCCTCCCAGGAGATACTAATACTGCTGGGCCATGGCCCACACTCTGAGTGCTAGGGGCTAGCCCACAGGGTAAACATTTGTTCTTGGGAAATGTACACAGCTTGTGGGAGGGAGGGTTGTAGGGGAAAAAGGGGAGATATTGGTCTTTTCTCTCCCTCCCTCCCTCCCTTCTTCTTTCCTTCCTTCCTTCCTTCCTTCCTTCCTTCCTGGTTACTTTGCTTTCACAGGCTGAGCCTCCACTGTCCAAAGAATGGAGGGCTATAGAATGACCCAAGCCAGGACAATTCAGTTGTTCAATCCAGCCCTGCTTCCTTCCTCTTTCAACAAGCAGGAATTGCATAGCTATTATGTGCCAGACACCACACACAGAAAGAAGGCCAAAGAAACAAAATTCCTTCCTATAACCAAAAACCAGTGAGACAGCCCTTGATGGCTACAGGACTCTGGGTGAGATCTTTACACTGACATATTTTAGAAACTTGGGACCAATAAGGAGAGCAAAGCCACTACAGAGGTCAGAGTAGATATTGTTTCCATAGCCACTGATCAAGAGGTCAGGGGATTGCAGGCTGTTTCCAGGAATCGTGAGGGGCCAGGGGAGGGGAGGAGTCATAGCAACATTGACCCAGACAGCACTGTCTGGGAGGAAAAGGGTACAGCCGGGATAGGCAGGCCACGGGCCCAATCCCAGCTCTCCAGGTCCTCCCTGGGAGACTGAAGCTCCCTAACCTGTTAGTAAGAGCACCTCCATCCCAGAGATGCAGGAAGGATGAGTGTGATCCTGTGTGCACAGTGCAGTGCCAGGTACATCCCTCTCTCCATGTCTGGGAGCTCCCTTCTCCAGCCATCCGAGGGAGCTGGGGATTTGGTCTGCAAGTGACAGATTGAGCAGCATTGAATTATAAGGCGTTGGTTCTTTTGTTTGTTTATTTCCCATCGCAAGCCTGTCTACTCAATAATTCAATTCAACAAGCCCTACTTAAGCTCTACCTTATTCTAAGGGCTGTACAGTGCACTGGAGGGGATAGAAAAATAAAGATAAATAAGACTCCATTCCTGCTCTCAAGGAACTTCCTGTCCTGCCAATGAGGAAGCTAGACACCCTTACACAGCCCTACTCCCCAGAGAGGGGCCCAGGGTAGCAGTCAGCAACATAAACAACTATCACAAGTGCATGGAATCAGCTGTGGGTATTATTGCAAAGACGGAAATCTGATTCTATTTGCTCTGTAACAGGGTTAAAATTTCCCAAAATTTTATTAAAGAAGAAAACAAAAATACAGATTCTTGGTGGCATCTGATGAAAAGGTCAAGACATCAAAGATACCTGAGCATGCCCTCTGAAATACATCCACTATTGTTCTTTTAATCCTCACTCCATCTATACACACACATAAATCTGATGTCAGGTAAATTGAGATCAATGCTATAATTAAGATGCCCAAATAGCCCAGACTTTTGCTGGCCATCACAATTTCCCATATTCCATTCTGTTGTCTCCCTAGGTACATGAGTGCTTGCCGGGTCAGTTGTCCTGATGTGGGGCTGGGAAAATGTGGTCGCCATAAGGATAATGGACAGTTAACCATGCTGGCTGCCTTGTTTTGGAACACCTAGCAGAGTGCAGCATAATAAACTGCTTTGTTGTCTCTCTCCAGCTCTAGGACAGGTTCTCCAGAAAGGCAGGGACTGTGTGTCTTATCAGTGGAAATTCTATGTGTCCAGGGACTGGTATGTAGATTGCTTTTCAAATGAAAAAAAAAACAACTAAATAACAGAAGACCCATTGCATCTTGCATTGGTGAACAGCTGAATAAAAGGAGAAGGGTAGAAAAGAAGGAAAGGAAGGAGGAAGGAAGAAAGAGAATGGAAGAGGAATAGATCCCTTCCACCTTGGAGGAATTGCTCCTTTGAGGAGGTGGGAGTTGTATCCGTTTATTATGATGCTAATGAAGTCTGACTTATTCTGGCAGGTTCCCAAACCTCTGCCTTTCTCCTCTGCCCCGTGCTCCCTCCAGTTAAAGATTAACGTGATCCTGATAGTGATGCTGTTTTGTGTGAGTCCAGGGCAGTCAGCACTGCTGAAAAGAAAAGAGCATCTAGAAACACTTGGGGCTCTCAACCCACACTCAAGGCCTAGGGTGCTTAGAGATTCATGTGGCAAGGGGGACTAGCCCCAGAGCTAGGGTCCCTGTTGCAAACCCAGCATTGCACCCTCCAAGACTCTAAGCAAGTCACAACTCGCTCCTCCTTTCTGAGTCTTAGTTTTCCCATCTGTAAAATGAGCATTTGAGATGTGATCAGTGAGGTTCAACCTCTGCTCCCTGCAGTTGTAAGGAATCTACCAAAGTGGATGGAAAGAGGGAAGTCGAAGCTGGGAGAGGCCTGCCCCCACCCACCACTGTCAGAACAACTCAGCTTGTATCTATATATAGACTGGGCCTCTGCATAAAGTTTTCCTTTGAAGAAAGGGTTTTGAGGTTAAAAATAACTTGAGAATTACTGGATTGGATGTCCTCTGAGGTTTCTTTCAGCTTTGACATTCTACTTCCTTCCTTGAATCTATATCTTGAGCGCCCACTGCAAGTCAGGCACCATGCTGACTGATAGGAAAGGACTGGCGATCAAACCCCCATCCCACCCACAGGACCTCACGGTCCCAAGGTGGGGACGATGCAGCCATTCAGAGTGCCACACTTAAAAGCAGCAGCTGGCAAGTACTTAGTGGCAGGAGCCAGCTCCTGAGGGATCACACTCAACCCCAGGCAAGATGGTTCCCAAGCCATTTCTAGGAAATAATTCACAGGAGCTACTCCTCCAAAGTGAGTTTAGACACATGAAGAGGACAAGCTTAGGGATTCAAATGTGGAAATGCCCTGACTGCTACCTCTTATCCCCAGGATTTCGCACAGGCATAAGGACACAAAGGCATCGGGTGCTCACCCGCATACCAGCGCTTTGCCTGAGTATTAAATCTTCATGCTCTTACAATCTGGGCATTCTTATCTCCCTTGTACAGATGAGAAAACTGAGGTTCAAAACCACAAAGTGACTTGCTCTCCACCCTGCTTTCCACCGTCTAGAGTCAAGACTCGCCACAGCCTTTACTAAAGATCATCTGGTCTCTACTTGGCCCTGTTATAGGGTATAAAGAGAAGAGTTGTTTGTCCATGGTGGGGCCAGAGTGACACTGAAGGGCCAGCATCCCCCTAGGGCCAGCGGCAGAAATTGGAATGGGAATCTTTGAGAAGAGGTGGAGCTGAGATCCTTGTCCGCTGCTCTCCTGCCAGCCCCTCCTTCCTACACAAACTTGGAAGCATGGAGTCTTGCATCCAGACCCGAGGCATTTCTTACAGTACGCGGATGGGTGAAAGGGTGCCCGCCACTCCACAGATCACTAGGGCTAATTGGACTGCCTTGGCTGGCTGGATGAGATCACCCTCATTTGTCCGTGGCCCATGCACAATCCCCCAAAGAGGCTGATTTTCCAAGGAACATCTGATCCTTCTTATGCCTAGAAATGGTTAAACATTAGGACTCAAACTGACCTAAGTTCCAATTCTGGCTCCTCTGTTTATTAGCAACCTGACCTTGAGTGAATCATTTAGCCCTCTCTGAATCTTGGCTTCTTCTCTGTAAAACAGAAACAGTAATACATTACAGGACTATTCCTCCTTTTTTTTTTTTTTTTTTTTCCAGAATTAGTGTGTGATTTCTAATTTAATTTTTGTTTTCTTCTGTGTTATACATGCTTATAGTTTAAAGGTCAAATCATTATTCAAGACTTTTGAAAAAGAGCTGCCATCTCTCACTTCTCTAAGAAACTTTCAATTTTAGCAGCCTTATTGATATATAATCCACAAACGACACAATTCACCCACTTAATATGTATGGATCAGTGGCTTTTGACACATTCACAGAGTTGTGCATTCTTCACCACCAATGATTTTAAATATTTTCATTATCCCCCTAAAAAGTCTCACCTCCCTTTAGCCATCAATTCCCAGCTTCCCCATCCCCTCCCTAATCCCAGCCCCTGTCAACTACTAATCTACTTCCTGTCTCTATAGATTTGCCTTCTCTGGACTTTCCTGTAAAGGGTACCATATAATATGTGATCTTTTTTGTGACTGGCTTCTTTCACTTAGAATAAGGTTTTCAAGGTTCACTCATGTTGTAACAAGTAGAGGTACTTCATTTGTTTTTTTGCCATTTTGTAGATAGACAGTACCACATTTTATTCATCCACTCATCAGTCAATGGCTATTTGGGTTGTTTCCACCTTTTGGCTATCACGAATAACATTGTATGAACATTTGTACACAAGTCTTTGTGTGGACATGTGTCTTTATTTATCTTGGGCACGAACCTGGGAGTGGAATTGCTGGGTCATATGGTAACTATGTTTAACCAGCTAAGGAACTGCCAGGCTGTTTTCAGAAGCATCTTAGCCATTTTACATTTCCACCAGCAGTGCATGAGGCACAGAGTTGTTCTTAGGAGGTTTCACTGAGATGATGTTTATGAAGTACCTAGTATGGTGTGTGACATGTAGTCAAAGAAATAATAGTTTCCTCTTTCCCTTGCTTTATGATTATAATATGTCAGTGTTCTTAACACTTTTAACTCTTCTCAACACATAACCTAAGGCTACCTGCTCACCTAATTCTAAATCTAGGGCAGAGTTCCTTTTCCCAATTTATATCACAGTTGCATAGAGAAAGTTTCTTTAGTCAAATTAACCCCATGCATCAAGGGAGGGCATGCTAGGAGCCCCCAGCAGGACCTCACTTGCTCATCCCCCAAACATAATTGGGAGGGCCAACTTTTGGCTTAACCTCACTTTATCACTATTGCTCATTCTTCTGGCATCTTGTACATCTGCACTGTCCCAGAGGCACTTGGGAACTCACATCCAAGTCAAGAATATGCTGTCTTCTTGGCATTAGGGTTACAACTCAGATCATGTACATCCTGCCCAGCACCCAGTGTCTATAGATAAGGCCCACCGAGCAAAGCTAGAACAAAACTCTAGGTATAGAATTCCAGCCCTGACTATCTAAGCCTCCCTCAAGCACAATGGGAGTCTGTAAAATACTCTAAGATAAAAGGACATGAAAGATGCAAGAAATAAATACAAGCAAGAGAACCATGGCAGGGGAAATTCACTCTAAGACAGCCTTTCCTGACTTTTGACCCCAACACCTTTAGCACGATGCCCTCTATAGTTTGCCCCAAGTCTCTTAGAATACCTCCTTTGTAGTAGCTAGGTTTCTTATGGTTGAAAGTTATAAAAACCCAACTTGAGAAAGCTGAAGCTAAAATAGGACTCACTTGGCTCATTTAATAAAGAAGTCTGGGAGGGGGGAGGGGGACACATCTGAAATGATACCACCACTTAAGTGCCCTCTTTCTTATATAAAGGTCTGTGGCCCTTTCCTGCTGGAGACAGGCTTCTCCATGGGGTTGTGTAGGTCGGACAGAAGGGTAGGGGTAGGTGTTGTGCCCTAGATATTTCTAGGCTTAAATAAATCCAGCTTAGTAATCTCAAGCACAAGGAAAGAGTTTTTTGCCCAAGTGTCTGATATAAAATTCCAGGTCGAGCTTGGGCCATATGCCCACCCTGAGTTTGAAATGCTGAGGTTGGAAATTCCACTAGTACTGCATGGAATGGGAGACAGGAAATTCCCCAAAGATGGGGAGTTGTTTCCCCCAAGATGGGGAATCTTGAATAGACAAACATAACAGCGCTCCTGTGTGTGGTTTTCCATCTTCTCAACAAGAACCACAGAGTCTCCCAGCACCTGGCTCATTGGCATTTAGGCCTCCTTATAACCACACCTTTTACCTACTGAATGCCCAGGATCTGCCAGGCACTACCCATGGGATTTCCCTAATCCTCCCAACAGGGTTCTAAGATAGGTGTTAGCACCCCATTCTACAGATAAAGAACCTGAGGCTCAAGGAGGTCAAGTAAGTTGCCAAAAGTCACAAAGCTAGAAAGTGGCTGAGCTGAGATTCAAACTCTGAATCCAAATCCCATGTTCTTTTCTCTCATTCCCTCTCCTTAGTGACAACCCAACAGCCAGCTGGCATCTGCATGCTAGCCGCCAGCACAGGTGTGTTCTCTTAAACTTTCTGACAATGACTGAAGCCTTTTGAAGGAGGTTCCTCTGCCTCTCTCCATTCCCCATCATCCTTAGGCAGGCTGGCTCCCACCAGAGGAGGCTGGGATATTCATTACAAGGCTAACAAGCTTGTGCACCTGTCATTCAGTGACAGCACCTGAATAAGCTTTCAAGACTCGCACAGAAGGACTGTCTCCCACCAGGCAGGGATGGCAGGAGATGTTCCAACAGGGTTAGGCATTGCCTGGGTTCAGCAGCAGCCACAATTCAGCAGAGGGGTCTATCCTGGGTGTTCTGGCAGCTGGTGACCATGTCCTCTGGTTCCATGCTGACAAAATGACAGCCTAGCAGGCAGCCAACTTTATTTCCAAGCTTCAATGGGCAATATAGCATGTGGGGTCTGGAGCCAGACTGTCTGGGTTTGAATCCTAACTCTCTCACTAACTCTACAACCTCAGTCAAGTTATTTAACTTTCTCTGTGCCTCAGTTTCCTCATCTGTGATATTACCATCAAGGTATTGTCATGAGGGAATAATAGAATAATACTCACAAAATGTTTTAAACTGTGCCCCATAAATGCCAGCCATTACTAGTCCAGTGGCTCTGTGTACCCTTGACCAAAGGGAAGAGGAGGGAAGGGAGGGATAGCAGTTCCTTGTGCTCCAGGGTAGAATGACTAGATCTACCTCCTCCCAGGGGCAGCTATGACATCTTAGCTATCACCCAGATCTGGCTCCCAAGTTGTCTTATGGCCCTGGATGCTTCACTTGACCCTGAAGAGCTTTAGTTATGTTATCTGCAAAACAATGGTGATAACACCTGCCACTCCATGTAGTTTATAGCAGTGACAGCAACATGTGAACTCTAAATGATGATTCACATTCAATAAGATGTCCTGGTGGGATTACTGGGAAAGTGGATGCAAAATGAAGGTAAGCAGGACCTTTCCCTAAGCAGATGCAAAAGTTAAGACCAGGCTCTGGGCATAGAAATCTGTGGGGGTTAAAATTCTCGTCATTCTTATCACCATCTCCATCATCATCATCATCATCATCACCATCATCATCAGAATATCAAATGTTGTTACTAAACGCTTGATTGCATATGGTAATTGATGGGACTATTTGAAAATAATTACCTGGTCTCTGCCCTTACCTGTGGATAAGTTATTCTCTACATTAATGGTTCTCAACTGGAGGTAATTTTGCCCCCCAAGGGACATTTGGCAATGTGTAGAGACGCTTTTTGGTTGTCATAACCAGGGAGGTTGTCACAACCAGTGGGTAGAGGCCAGGGATGCTGTTAAACGCTCTAAAATTACAGGAGAGTTCCATAGCAAAGAATTATCCAGCTCAAAACATCAATAGTGCTGAGGTTGAGAAGCCCTGCTTTACACTCTTGATATTTAAAGTGTGACTGAGGTCCAGACTTACCTGGGAGATTGTTTCTCAGGACTGTTGAATAAGAATCTGTATACATATTACAGTTGAATAAGCATGCTTTAACATAGTGAGATTCCATCTCTACAAAAACTAAAATAAAAAAAATGAACCAAGTATGGTGGCATGCACCTGTAGTCCCAGCTACTTGGGAGCTGAGGCAGAAGGATCACTTGAGCCCAGGAGTTTGAGACTAGCCTGGGCAATATAGAAAGGCCCCGTCTTTAAAAAAAAATTTTTTTTAATTAGGTATGTGCAGTGGCACATGCCTGTAGTCGTAGCTACTCAGGAGGCTGAGGCAGGAGAATCACTTGAACTCAAGAGTTCAAGGCTGCAGTGAGCTATCATCATGCCACTGCACGATCTGTCACTCCAGCCTAGGCGACAGAACAAGACCTTGTCTGAAAAAAATTTTTAAATAAAAAATAAGGCCGGGCGAGGTGGCTCAAGCCTGTAATCCCAGCACTTTGGGGGGCTGAGGCGGGTGGATCACCTGAGGTCAGGAGTTCAAGACCAGCCTGGTCAACATGGTGAAACCCCGTCTCTACTAAAAATACAAAAATTAGATGGGCGTGGTGGCACATGCCTGTAGTCCCAGCTACTGGGGAAGCTGAGGCAGGGGAATGACTTGAACCTGGGAAGCAGAGATTGCAGTGAGCCAAGAATACACCACTGCATTCCAGGCTGGGCAACAGAACGAGTCTCCATCTCAAAATAAATAAATAAATAAATAAATAAATAAATAAATAAATAAATAAAATTTTAAAAAATAATAATTAAAAAATTTCCTTAAAAAACCCAGATGCATAGAGAATACATAGACAGCAAAACTATTTAACTATTAAGCATGTAGGCCAAATGCAGGGCATTTGGGCATAGGGAAAACAGCAGACAGACTAACAGTGGATGATGGGAGGATAGATGGATTGGCAGAATTAAGATTTGTTGAACACCTAACGTATGCCAAGCACTATGTAGGTTCTTTACATAGGTTATCTCATTTATCTCCAAGATAACCCTGGGCAGCAGGTATTCCTTCTCATTGTTACTGATGCTTACATATCTAAAGTCTGGAAAGACTATGTCAACCATGACATCCCTATCTACACATATGTAACATTTTCCAGAGTCTGCCTACTGCCATCTAAACCAGATTATATGGGGAACATAGTTTCATAATATGCTTGTATGTAAAACCTTATTTACAGTTGGCATTTGATATTAACCTCTAGTTTCTCACTCAAGTAGAGGCTTATCCTTTTTACATGCACAAGAATACAATTTTCTTCTTTGTTTTCTCTTAAAAGATCAATAAACATCTTGTTTGCCCTTAACAAAAGTTATGTGAATTCTCTACAATCAGCACTTATTTCCTTTTATTAAGAGGATATTTCTACAGTTAACAATAAAGTTTAGTAACATTGGGTCTTTATGATCCAAAAACTCAATGACTGCACAACAGGGATATAATAACAATAATATCTACTATTTATTAAACCCCTCCTGCTTATGATCGGCTTCATAGGAGCGCTGTTTATCACTTCTTATTCCCATTTTTCAGAAGAAGAAACTAAGGCATAGTTTAGGTCAGGATTGGACGTAAGACCTTCCTGGCTCTGAAGCCCAAGCTCTCTGCCTGCCCTCACACTGTCTCTTACTCGGAGTGGTCCTTGGCACTCCCTGGAATGTCAGCAGGGTCCAGTGCACGCGCTCACGGTTCCCATTCTACCTAACTACTCTCATTCCACGTCAGAGTCGTGTTTCTCCAGGTCTCCTGCACCCTTCCATCAGCAGGACCCACCTTCCCTCCAGCTCCAACTTAACCCTGGGCTTAGAAGATGTGGCACAAGAACTTCAATGCTAAAGGTAGATGGTTGTTGACCTGGCTCAGGGTCAGCGGACTTCTTCTGTAAAGTGTAAGATAGCAAATATTTTAGGCTTTGTAAGATATACAGTCTGCATCACACTTACTCAAATCTGCTATTGTAGCACAAAGGCAGTCAGAGACAAATACATTACAAAATGGATGTGGCTGTGTTCCAATAAAACTTTATTGACAAAAACAGGTGGCAGGCCAGATTTGGGCCCCAGGCTGTAGTTTGCCAACCCCTCACCCATATGATCTCTAGGGTTTCTTTTCTTTTCTTTTCTTTTTGAAATGGAGTCTCACTCTGTTGCCAGGCTGGAGTGCAGTGGCACAATCTCGGCTCACTGCAACCTCCACCTCCCGGGTTCAAGTGATTCTCCTGCCTCAGCCTCCCGAGTAGCTGGGACTACAGGCGCCCGCCACCATGCCCAGCTAATTTTTGTATTTTTTAGTAGAGATGGCGTTTCACCACATTAGCCAGGATGGTCTTGATCTCTTGACCCTGTAGATCCACCTGCCTCGGCCTCCCAAAGTGCTGGGATTACAGGCGTGAGCCACCGCACCCAGCCTGATCTCTAGGGTTTTTGTTAACCCGCTGGTGTTCCGTGGCTTATGTATGAGAGAAAGGCCTAGACTAAAGATTGAAAAATGGTGATCCGAGGCCACATCCAGCCCGCTGACAGGTTTTGTTCGACCCAGAGTGTTTATTTTTGTGATGATTTTTTAAAACATACCCAAAAGCAAAGACGAGCATAATTAACCTGCATATACATACCATCCAGCTTCCCTATCACCATTTTGTCAATCTCATCTCATCTATCCCCAACACACCTTTTAGTTTCTGAAATATTTTAAAGCAAATCCAGACATTATATTATCTCACCCATAAATACTTCAGTGTGTCTCTCTAGCAGACAAAGACTTTTTAAAACCGTAACCACAAAACCATTATCACCCTAACAAAATGAAGAATAATTCCTTATTAGTGTCTATTTAAATTTTCCTAATTGTCTCAAAAATGTCTTTTTACAGGTGGTTTGTTTGAATCCAAATAAGGTCTATGCATTGTATTCATACAGAGCTTTTAAATTTTTGAATTAGTTGTCAACATGTGAAAATCTGGATTTCACATAAACATCAGGTTTTCAGCTTGTCTTGAAAAAAACCTGGAAGATCTTGCAACTTTGCCGCCTCCTTCCCCAGCAGCAGGAGATCAGTCGGCACACAATTTAGACAATGACCTGCCTTCTCCTGCCCCCACTATGGCCCCCACATTGTCACCCCTTCAACAGAATCCCTGAGGGCATTAGAGTTTGCCATTTCTACTTTTGCCGATCCACTCGCTCCCTCTCCCCTCCTATACAAAGTCACTCGAGCCATTCCCTGGCCTACTTTGCCCTCCACCTATGCCAAAGCTGCCCCTTTATCATTATTTTTCCTCCTTCAAAGCAAATTTTCAGAGTGTATCTGATTCCAGAAGGGTGAGCAGAGAAGAGGGATTTGCCCAGCATGATCAGCCACCCCTCTAGCCCCTTGGGGTGGCTGCTTACAGGGAATTCAGGAAAGCTCCCCAGACCCCCTACACACACACCCTCCCACGCTGGCTCAGTTTGTGCCTGTTGCTCACAGAGCACAGAAACCTTGCTTTCAGGTGGAAAGAGAACAAGCCTGCCTCAAATTTGCTGTGTGACCTTGAAGAAATCACTCTCCCTTTCTGGGCCTCAATTGCCCCTTTTATACAATGAAGGAGTTCATGAGGGGGAAGGTCGGGGAAGAGGATGGTCCAAATTGAATTGCCAGGTGAGACATGAACATTCTGGAGCGGACAACCTTGTGATCCTGGGATTCTGTTGGCCGTACACGGCCTCTTCACCTCATCACTAGGATGGCCAAGGGAGGAGGGAGAGGGGAGGGGACATGAAATGGATCAAGAGCAAGGCCAGGAGAGGTGCCACCTTCAGGTCTGAGCAGGAGGGGGAAATAACACACACCCCTACTTTCCCTTCCACCTTCTCAGGCCATCATCTTCTGACTGTGGGTGCACATTGGTTCATGATTCTCTTTCCCTTTGGGTATTGACTGGTCCTGTCTGGCCATGCCTCAAGAATGGCACATATAGGATATCCACCAAGGTAGGAAAGATGCTAAGGCTGGCTGTGAGCCTCTGTGGGGGTGTGTCCACATAGGGAAGAAATGGGATGGTGGTGATAGGTTCAGGGTCTGAAAAATATGATTCAGACAGTGGCCCATCCTGGGTGTTCAGTCATGCCAAGGAGTCCAGCTTCAGGAAAACCAGGTGGCAGTCCCAGCCCGGTGGGGCAGTCAAACACATAAACAAGCAATTACAACAAAATGCGGTAAATACCAGAGTAAAAACATGCATCAGACACCTTGGAAACATAGAGGAAACGATCTATTTGTTCATCCAGTTATATGTACCCCAACCGTGTTCCAAAAATGATATGTACCCCAACCGTGTCCCAAAAACGATTTCAAGAGGCCAGCAAAGCTCAATACAGATAACAAAGTGAAAATTAAGTAAATGAGGAAAGGGAAATGATGCAGGAAGAACAAGATGAAATCAAGGGTAAAGTTAATACCCAAAATATCTGCCGAGAGTTTCTACACTTTTGCTAGAATTAAGCCACAGACTTGGCGCTGAGCTTCCTAGCAGTTGATGCAAAAGGAGAAAGCCCGGGAGTTGTCAAATATACAGTGTTCCTAAAAATACAGTCTGAAAATAGCTCTGGAGATGCTCAAGCAATCCTGAGGCTGAGACCAGAGAGATAATTTCCTCTCTAGGCTGTTCTAAGGAAGAGCCCCTAAAGCCACGGGAGCAGTATGCGGAAACTCTCTGCACCATATTTGCAACTTTCCTGTAAATCTCAAAATGTTCCAAAATTAGATTTAAAATAGAAAATCCACAGGTAGAGCCCAATTGTAGCTCCAAGTGCCCCTCCGCACTGCACGGACCTGACATAAATTGGTGCTATTCCGATTTGTAACTCCAGGGGGCGCCATGCACACAGGCACAAGGTCTGACACATAGTAGGTTCTCTATATTGTAAATATCAACTGATAAACCCTTGAGTGGTCAAAATGGACATTTTGGGGGCCTCGAGAAAGGACTGTCTATTATACATGAAGGATATGGACCCTGAACTGAGGGAGTACTTACTAGATAATCCCAGGTGTTTAGGGGCATTTTAAACTACCTTGATAGGCATCAATAATTTGACATTTTCGTCTATGCCTATTGGTTTCTGTAAATGTCATGTCCTTGGGCAGTAACAAAGTCACAGGATAGAATTTAGAGTAGGATTTGCAGAACCATGACAAGATTTGGGAGAACCATTTTGAATAAGCAATTGGACTTTAACTGGCTCTCTTTTTTTCCCTTTTTCAAAACTATTAACTTTAAAGTGACACAATAATTTTCTTTCAGTAAAACTATAGTTGTTCATCACCAGAACATTATCCGGGATATCTGTCCTTAAGGCTACAAGGAAAACAAGATGACGGGAAGGAAATGGAAGGCATGAGAAAGATGCTATGCTGAATTCTGAATGTTGTCACATATGGCCTGCCTTATTTTAGTCACATTAAAATCCCTAGTTGATCTCTAGACCAATACAACAAACCACAGCCTAAATCTGTGACTGGGCCTCACACAAAATGATGGAATTCTTAACCAGAACATGATTCTTAGTGCGAATATATAATCCTTTAGTAAAAATGCTGTGGTGTACTTTTTAGCTATACCTTTGTAATATGGATACATCTACCTGAGATTCCCATTTCCAGCCGCCACTCCCTCAGCAAAACCAAAACAAAACAAAACAAAAGACCCAGGGTAATGGGATAAATAAGCAATGGTCTCTAATCATGCAGTTGATACAACAGTAAGCTTCCTAGGGCAGGAACGTCAGGGAAGCTTTCCCAGAAGAGGTGACTTTGGGCTAAGTCCTCAAGGATAAGTAGGAGGTTGCCAGTTCGACAAGGGAGAAACAGGGGAAGGCAAGGACTTTTAGGCAGATGGGAAAGCAGTGATACCTTCCATTTGCCCCTTTGGAATCACTCTCTCCACCCTCCTCTGGGACCCATAGCTTCCCACAGAGTTTGGCCAAGGGGATGCTGAAGATGTTGGTGCTTCCCCTGCTGCAGCCAGCATCGACTTCCTGCCTGAACTTTGAGTGGAGGAATTAGAGGAGGGCGTCTAAAGATGGAGCTAATGGTGCACTTTAATTGGGAAAGATGAACATGTGGGTTCCAGGGCATACACACTCCCTGCTCTCTGTGTGGAAGATGATGCCAGAAGCCTTTCCAAGGTGAGTTACAAACAAAGTGCCCCAACCAGCCTGCTCACCAAACCTCCTAATTATGCCAGCCTTGAGCCAAAAATTCTATCCTAACCCAATGGGAGGGTGGAGGTCAGAGGGATACAGCTGTCTGCCTGAGTTCCAATCACAGGTCTGAATAGGTCATTTCTTGTATCACGCATTTCCCCCAGAAAGGGCTGAAATGCTTTTCCAACACAGGAGAGGTCAGAATAGGACCAGTCACAAAGCCAGAGCTTGTGGTCTCAGAGAAGCTGCCCAGGAGCCTCCGGGCTTCCACTCCTCTGCCCACACATCCTCCCAACCTTGGTCTTGTGGCATCTTTCCAGACACTGTCAGGGATGGTAGGCCATGGAAAGATTCAAAGACCAGGACAGTGGTGCTCAGAACTTTGGTGCACAACAGACTTCAGGGAGAATGTTGACAATAAAAACATCAGGATGGTTTAGGGCATCTGTGTGGTTAGCAAACTCCCTGTGTGTCTCTGAGGCATGCCAGAGTTTGAGCCTACTGGACAAAGGAAATCCTCAGATGGAAAAAGGATGGATGTCTCTATTTGGTAAGCATTTATTATTGTCACTACTACTATTAATATTGTTAGAAGAATTGAATTTTACAGCAAATGTTGTAATAGTCAAGTAGCTGAATGATAATTACCAATAATGATAATATCATGATTTGCAGCTACTGTGTACCAGGCTCATTTTGTGCATGAAAACATATCCTTACGTAAATAAAATGTGGTACATCCATACAACAGAAAATTATTCAGCCTTTTAAAATACAGGAATTTCTGACACATGCTGCAATATGGATGAACCTTGATGACATTAGCTAAGTGAAACAAGCCAGTCGCAAAAGGACAAAGATTGCATGACTCCACCAATATGAGGTACCCAGAATAGTCAACTTCACAGCAACAGAAAGTAAAAAGGTGGATACCAGGGCTGGGGGAGGGAGGAATGGGGAGTTACTGTATAATGGGGACAGAGTTTCAATCTGGGAAGATAAAAAAGTTCTGGAGATGGATGGTAGTGATGGTTGCACAACGATGTGAATATACTTCATGCCACTGGACTACGCCCTCAAAAATGGTTAAAGTAGTAAATTTTATGCTGTGTATACTTTACTACAATTTTAAAAATTATTTCAATAAAGCTAGGTTGGAAAGTGAAGCATGAACTTCAGAGTCAGGCAGGTCTGGATGTGAATCCCAGCTGCCTGAACAATCTTTGGCAACGTGACCTCCCTGAGCTTCCACTTTCTTTTCTGTGATATGAGGAGGGGGCAAGAAGCAACATCTTGGGGTGTATGGAATGGCAGCCATTTTACAAAAATTATCTCAGATATCTGTCCCCCAGCCCTATAATGCCAGTGGGTAATTATTAGCCTCATTTTACAAATGAGAAAGTTGAGCCTCAGTGAAGTGATGGAGTGTGTGTAAGGTCACACAGTCAGGAAGTAGAAGGGCCAGGGTTCAAAATATAAAGATAAAGATGAACATAAAACTGGGCTCTGTATTTCCTGCATTATGATCCTCCAGACACATCTTGAAGCACACGCAGAATCTCACCTTGGGTTTGAAGACTTGGAGGGCACAAACCCAGATGCCCGATTTAGGGACCACTGTTCAGATTCTGATATAAAACCTACTGTTTTAAAGGCCATTACCCAGCACCTCTCAGTTTATGGGCCTCTTTTATATTTACAAGTCCTATGAATGTGCAATTGAAATAGACCAAAAAATGTGTCTCTAGAATCTTACGTGCTTGGAAATCAAAGCAGGACACACTGGTGAAGACAGAAGTTGTTCCAAAAGCTGAAGTCTAAATTATGGGAATCAAGTTGAAATCTCAGTTCTCAGAGTAAAGTTCAAAATACATAAAGAACCAGACAAGATAACAGGTATCATTGCCAAGAGAAGGGAATGGAACTTCAGCAGGAAAAACAAGCCCAAGAGAGTTATCAGATGCTAAAGACCCAGGGTTTCCATGCCACTTCCCCGCCGGGGGCCTCACATGGAGCCCCCTGACTCCAGGATGTGCCATTCACATGTGCTATTCAATAAGATAAATGGTGCCCCCTTAAGTTGTGCGGTATGCCAGCCGGCTCCATCTTCAGGTTATGAGGATTTCTAAAGAGATCAACCATGGTGGGGAGTCAAAGAAGATGGTGAAGTAAGATGTGGGAAATGCCCTTTCAAAAGGTGAAAGCAACATATCCAACATGTGTGCAGCACCTGGTCTGTGTCTCCTTCCTAGGTCTTCACTTGTTTTGTCTCATTTTATTCTCTGCATCTCCCATTTAAGAAGCTCAGAGAGGTTCAATAACTTGGCCACAGTCACACAGCTAGTTTTGGTAGAACCCCAGTTGGAATCCAGATCACTGACTGCACATCAGTCCCTCTCCATCCAGCCACCAGCTGAGAGGACTCCAAGCCAGTCTGGACATGATTTTAACCAGGCCAAACCAGGCTGGAAGAGCCATTGAGGGCTGATGGAAGGAGGAAATTAAGCCACAGAAAGGTAACCTGAAGGGTTTGGGGTATAAACAGAGGGAGGAGGAGACCCAGTTCCTCTAAGCTCTAAGGACCGGGGGGATGAGAATTGAGGGGTTACTGTTGATTAGCATCAGTGAAAACTAGCATCCAGGGTAGGGAGCTGCCACTTGTCTCCCCACTTTCCCAAGTCTCTGTCTTTCCAGGCTTTACTGAGGGATGACCAGTCTGTCCCTGGGTTCTGAACATTCTGGAAATGGCTCTACTGGGGTATTGGAGGGTAGGGGCACTGGAATGCAAAGCTCTGACTTTGGGTCAGGAAGCCTATCTCAGGCACTTGGGTCCAGAAGTGGCCTGTGAACTCAGCATTGGATGGGAGAAAGAGGGACTGAGGTCTTGTCCTTTCTTGGCCCCTTTGAGCTTGACTTTGGGTGTGTCACCTTGCCTCTATGACACTCAGTTTCTTACTTCAATATAGTACAAGGAGGTTAGACTTAGATGATATTTCTAACTGTTTTTCCATACCTAACATCCTTTGTTTCTGGAATTTGCCTCTGCTCCAATCAGAAAGGCTAGAGTAAAGCCTTCTCCAGGGCAGTGGCCTTGTTTTGCAGGCTCACTTGGTCTGGGTGGCTCAGTTGTGTCCCGCCCTTCTCCTTACCCACATGCTCCAGGGCTCAGGCTTCATGAGGAGAAGTGGGGGAGGGGAGCAGCAGCAATGCCTCCCTGGTTCCCAGCACCTCCCTACCTTTCTGAATTTTTAAAAGTGCCTTTACTCAAAGTTCATCAAAAATTCATCAGGCTTGGGATTGGCCCAAGTGTTTGCCTGAGGAGCCAAGTCAAGGTGGAACAGGAGGCCAGCAGGTGGTGCAGACCTCTGGAGCTGCACTGAGGGCATGGCACAGGCCTATATGCTGAACCCTGCACCACCCCGTGGAGAGAGGCCAGAGACCAGGGCAGCAGCCTGCCTGGGGAAGCTTGATCCCACCTCTGGAGACAACCTTTCATCAGCCTGGGCCTTACCTTCTGCAAAGTAGGAGTCAGAGCCTGCCTGTCCTTTTCAAGGAGGTCGGGAGGATCGATGAGGCAATGGGCAGGCCTCACTCTTTCTAAAGTGAGGGCTTTAACATATGGAAAGGGAATTGGATAGCATCACAACTGACTTTAAAGGAAGGTATTTGAGAGCTCCTGGGAGAGCCCAGTGTTTCCAGCCTGGGCAGATGCAAGGGGAAGAAGGGAGATTGCTGGGCCAAACACTCTCCTCTGGGCTTCCAGTAGCTCCTTTCCTCATCCACCTTGTCTCTTTAGCTGCTACAGAAGATTCTGTTTTGGAAAAAAAAAAAAGATGCTGTTAACTTTTTAAAGTTTGCATAGCACTGAATAGTCCACTCTTTCTTTAGAGAAAAAGAAACGGAGGCCCTGCATGGAGAAGTGACTTTCCCAAGGCCATTCAGCCAATCAGTAGCAGAGATGGGGCTGGAGCCCAAGGGTTCTAGCTCCCAGGCCAGGAGCCTGCCTGCTTCTGCATCAGTTTCACCTTGCCAATGCCTTTGTCTGGATGTGTCCTTGGTCACCCAAACCAGATGTCAGCTTATCTGACCACAGAAAGACATTCTCCAAGTCAGCATGACCAGGTTAAGAAAGTGAGTGGATCTTCATTGGACGCCCATGATGGGATGTTCTTGTTTGTGTCTGGCTTATAGGTGCCCCTGGCTGGAGTCTTTCTGTGGAACAAAGTGAAGACCCTCCAGCCCCCAACAGGTACTTGGGTTTCAGTCCTCAGAGCACTGGGTTATCTGGTCCAACTCTCTGGTTTTCAGATGTGGAAATTGAAGCCCAAAGAAATTGTAAGTCAAGGGCAGGCATGGTGTGGGTCACACCTATAATCTCAGCAGTTTGGAAGACAAAGGCAGAAGGACTGCTTGAGGACAGGGGTTTGAAACCAGCCTGAGCAACAGAACCAGACCCTATCTTTATAAAAAATAAAAATAATTAAAAAATTAGCTAGGCACGGTGGCACACACCTGTAGTCCCAACTACTCTGGAGGCTGAGGTGGGAGGATCACTTGAGCCCAGGAGGTTGAGGCCACAGTGAGTCATCATCAAATCACTGTACTCCAGCCTGGGCAAAAGAGCAAGACTCTGTCTCTAAAAAGGAGGAGGAGGAGAGTTGTGAGTCAAATTGACACTAGGCCTCCTGGGTGCCCAGTTAGTGCTCCTGCCACATCACCACACCTCCACTGGTTCTCTGTTCTCCTAGAAGTCCCCTCGGCCCCTCCTCCCCCAGAGGTGTCACGAGGCTGGGGAGGTATGGGGATCCACTCTGGAGGTCTTCACCTCTCGCACTGTATCAGAGAGTCTTGGCCAGCTCTCAGAACCAGAAAACCCACTGAGGACCAAGCAGGACCATAAACCGCAATAATCATGTTTTTAATAATCGCCTAGAGTTTGTTTAACATACAATCACAGCCAGCAATAAATCCAAATTAAAGGCCCAACCAGGAGGCCTAAGTTAAGCTGCCTGCTTGGAAATAGAACAGCTGAAGAAGAGGAGGGGAGAGGAGGAAGAGGAAGAGTAGGAGCAGGAGAAGGGGAGCAGCCCTCTGAGGAGGTAACACCCTCAGGAGGGCCAGGGAGGTGGCCCCAAGCAGGTTAGTAGGTTCCTGCCTGGCCCTAGCTCCAGCCCCAACCCTAGCACAGGTCTTGCTATCTTCACCCAAAAGGATTTCTCAATGGTTCAAGCAGAGAAAATATCTAAGTTCCAAAACCTCAGAGCTGCAAAAGAAAGAGACAATATTCACTCCTCTGCCTGTGGGCACACAAGCTCCATAAGGGCAAGGACCTTCTTGTTATGTTCAGTTCTGTGCTGCCCCCAGCTCCTGGCATCTAGTAGGTAATCAGCAAACATCTGTTGAATAAACACATGAATAAATGAGTGAGTGTGAACGAATGCTTTCCCATCCATTTATTCATTCATTTGGGATATTTTTCCCTCTCAAATATTCATTGAGCAACTATAGTACCTGCAGGTACAGAGATGAACAAGATTCCTGTCATCTAGAAACTGAGTGCCAAAGGACGAATAACAGAGATGACTCCAGCCTAAGGGGGCCTGGCCAGGCCAGCAGTGAAGGGTGGGAAGAGTAAAGGGTTTCAGAAGGGGTTTGCTTAAAGCTGAGTTCTGAAGAGCAATTAAGTGTTAACCAGACTCGCAGGAGCCTAGACCTGGGTGTGGCAAGTGATACTGACCAGAGGATAATGTTCTAGACCAAAGGGGCAGCATGTGCAGAGCAGGGGAGCAAGAGAGGATGTGGCATTGCCCAAGAACCACAGAGAGTTCAGTGGGGCTGGGAACAGAATGAGAGCTGGAAGCCGAGGAGGAAGGAGGGAGGGAGGTGGACAGTTGGCAGGGGCCAGCCATGGACAGCTGTGTGAGCCATGCTAAACAGTTTGGACTTTATCCCGGGGGCAAAAGGGAACTTATGGAAGTGTTTTAAGCAGGAGGTTGACATGACCAGAATTGAAGTTTGGAAAAATCGCTCTAGCCGCAGTATGGAGAATGGATTAGAGGTGAGGGTGCCTGGGGCCAGGCAGAGCCGTCAGGAGGTGGCTGCGGTGATCCACTGAGAAAAGCGAGGGCTGGGACCAGTGAGGGATGTTGACACAGACACCAAGGAGGGCCAAACTCAAGGGATGGGGAGGGAGCAAAGGGCGGCAGTGACTGAGTGTGGGAGTGAGGCAGTGGGGGCATCTGGTGTCTCCCAGTATCTCAGGTGAGTGGGCAATAGCAGTGCCGCTGAGAACCGAAGTGGAGCATGCTGGCCAAGACACTAGGTCTCCTGCAAAGGCCTCTCTGGGAAGATATAGCCACTTGCCGCCTGCAAGGGAGGACAGACACACTCCCCTAGGTCTGCCTTTGGTCCAGTTTGGAAACTGAGGCCTAGGGAGGGTAGAGACTCACCCAATGTCACTCAGCGAGCTAGTGGCAGAGCTGGGAACAGAATCCAGGTCACCTGACTGGGAGCAGAGGCATTACAGTGATGGCATAGTCCAGATTCCCCAGGGCAGCTCCCAGTCCAGATATACCATCTGCCTGTTCTTTTTACCACACTTGAGCTTTTCAAGTCTGTGTCCCCCCTGAGGGGTCAGAAAACACCATCTCTGTTACTGCACTAAAGTGCAGAACTCAAAGGCTACACCGTCCTTTAGACTCTAACCATGGAGGAGAAAGGAAAGAAAACAAGGCATTGGGACATCTGGTTTGAGTCCTTCCTTTTCTGCTTGCTTAGGCTGGGCAACTTCCTGACCCTCTCTGAGCCCCAGACTCATCTGTAAAAAGGGAATCAAATGGGCTCAAGGTATGGATTGAATAAGAACACACACATGAAAGATGAACTGTGAAGCACCACAGATAAAATGATGGTTTATTTTCACATCAACTCCTTTAACAAATATTTGGCCTCTGCCTGTTCCATTCCGGACCTGCCTGGAAGCACCATGGTGCATGTGGAGATGACTAAGACAAGGGCTGCCCGTGGGAACCGTCCCCTGGTCCACAGGCTCTGGAATCTGAGTGAATCCATACAGAAGCTGGGGGCTGGGTCGCATCAGCAGGTGGTCTTACGTGCCAGGGCCTCCCATCCCTTGCACTGCCCCAGGTCTCACTCACACTATATCCTCAACCTTGAATTCCCACCTGGGACTATCATCCCAAGCTATCCAACATTCATTCAACACACCTTTACTGTATGCCAGGCATGGAGATAAGTGCTGCGGTCCCTGCCCTCTGGGAACTTACAATCTGACAGGCCTGGGTGCATATGGGTCCAGTCTGCAAGCAGCTCATGGCACACTCCTGCTCAAAACCCTCCCATTGCACTTAGGATAAAAATCGCACACCTGCCCTTGTCTCAGGGATGTGTCCACCACACTGACCTCATGTCATAGCACTACCCCTCACTTGTGCCACTCCAGAGACAAGTTCTTCAAACACACCAAGAACAGTCCCACTGCAAAGCCTGCGCACGTGCCATACCCTCTGCCTGGAATGTTCCTCTCCAAATACCTACATGGTTCACTCCTTCACTTCATTCAAGCCTGCACAAATATCCCCTCCTCAGAGATGCTTTCCCGATCACCCTTGCTAAAAGAACTGCCCCAATCTCATTTCATCTTCCTAACCTGATGTATTTCTTCAAAGCACTTACTATGACCTTTCTTTTAGATTATTTAGATTCAATTATATTTTTATTTGTTTACTATCTGTTTCTCCCAATGCAATATAAGCTGCATGAGATTTGATTTCGTTAACTGCTCCCCCTCAGTGCCTGCAACAGAGGTCAATAAAGATTGATTGATTGATTGATTTGTTGATTGATTGGATGAGTGAATGCCTGAGTCAATACTTGTGGCCTTTGTGCGATGAGAGAAGCACTGACTGCTTCTCCCTGACTCCAAAATGCACTTTTCAAAAACACTTACTCATTTCTGAGATGGAAATACATACATTTAGAGCAGGGTTTCTGTTCCCCCAAAAGCTATTATTAAATCGATGGTGCATCTCACAATCGATGGTATCTCACAATTGAGGGAATGCACAGTAACCCAGAGAGGGCAGGGAGTCCTCCTCCCCAAGGAGACTCGGTGGAAACTTCTCCAGACAGATAATATTTCATGGAGCTTTAAGGAATGAGTGAGCATTTTCTGCAATGAGGTGGCAGAAAAAGCATTCCAGGCAGAGGAAACAGCACATCCAAAGGCACAGGGGTCTGGAACAGCAGCTGTTTGTTGCCAGAAGAGACCCATAGTCTGGAGCAGCTGGAGTGGAAGGCATTGGGGGTAGTGACTAAAGATGAGATGACAGGTCATTTAGAAAGGGCCTTAACTGCCCCTCCAAGGGACATGAGCTTTGTTCTGGAGGCAGATGGTAGCCATGGAGGGGTGTGAATTCCTCATTCTTCTCTCTCATGTCCACCCCATATCAGACCACACAGAAAAGCATGCTTCCGGATTTAGTAGGGTAGGTTAAATCCTACATCCAAACACCAAAACCCAAAATGGATTTTTTTCTACTTTCTCTCCATTATGCAGGTGATTTGCTACTAGACCTGTTTCCACTTGGCCTTCAGAAGCCGAGCCTGTGGGGCATGGCACTCCCTTTGGCATCCCCTACCAGGCCTGGGGAAGGGCAGCAGTCTGGTCCTCTGCCTGCCCAGGATGGCCTTCCTGCCTCAGGGAGATTGATTTCCCTCCTGCCCTGGAAAGGAAAGAAAGGAGGAAGCAGAGCCCCAAGCTGCCTCCTGATACTACCAGGTGCCAGGCACTGTGCTGAGCACGTCATATCCATTACCTTCTCTCCCTGGGAGGTGGGTAACACTGTCATTCCCATTTCACAGATGAGGAAACTGGGGCTGCCGCTCCAGCACCTGCCATTGCCTGGCCCATAGTGGACACTTTATAAACATTTCATTTTCCCATAACATTAACTGGGCACTCACTCTATGCAAGGCCTTCCACCAGGACCTGTTTCTAAATGCTCATGCTGGTCTCTCTGAACGGAGTCCCCTGTGCCCCTTCACACCTGGAAAACTCCATGGATTCTTCAAGTTGCTGCTCAGATGCCACCTCTTCTGTAAGGCTTTGCCTGACCTTCCCCAGCAGGACCCAGTACTCTGTCCTCTGCTTCCCTCCCACTCTGCACAGCATGAGACTTCCCTTCTTCTAGGGCAGGAACTGAGCCTAGCACACAATCTGGCATACAGTGAGTCTTCAAAACATATTGGTTAAATGTGTGAGTGAGTGAATGAATGAATGAATGAACGAACAACCAAGTGATCAACAAAAAGATGCTCCCATAATGGAGAGCAGAATCAAAAGTGGGGAAATATACCAAGCTGAAGTAGGAGTCAGGGAAGGCCAGCTTCCTTCCACCAAGCTTAGGATGTCAGAGCCAGGAGGAAGGCATTCTGGGATTACTCCAACCCGGGGTGAAGGAAGGATGAGGGGAGTTTTCACAGAGGAAGTAGCTTCGGATAGGGCTTTGACAGGAGTTACAAAGGACTTGCATGGGAGGAGAAAGAGCAGTAGGAAAGGCCAGGCCAGCTTGTCCTGGCAGCAGCCATGCCTGAGGGTGGGGGCCCATTTAGCAAATGGAGCTCAGCATTCAACCGCCCTTCACCAAGCACCAGCAGAACAGAAGTAATCTTTGGGTTTGCAGTTAATTTGTTCTTTTAATGGACCTGTATTGTTGTCAGTGATTAAAATGGGCTTCCCCCATTAGCTGCTGGATTCCAGGGAGGCAGCTGGTTTCCCAGCCCCTCTGCCTTAACAAAAAGTGAATGGACGGGCACATATGTGTTCAGGACTGGGGGGAGCTGGGCAAACACACACTAGCTCAGAGGCATGTGTACCCCTGTGGATATGCACGGTGAAACTTAAACACAGGCTATTTTGAACATAGAGACTCAAGTCCAGTACATTTAAATGTGAATCACACCAATGTCTGCGCATATGGATTGAAAAGATTCAGTGATTCCTATATTCATGAAAAGGCTGAGCTGAAAAAAGCCTTAGAGACCATTGAATCTAAGCCTTTTTTTTTTTTTTTTTTTTGACAAATAAAAGGGAAATCCCAGAAAGGATAATCAACTTTCCTGAGGCTACACAGCACCTTGATGCCAGAGCCAGGTCTGGAACCCTCCTCCCCTGGTCTGTGTCAGGGACCTCCTAAAATATGAGCAGCAGCAGCAGGTCTAGGCACCTCAGAGCCTGAGTTCCCAACTGTCCTCCAGGGTCTGCCTTCTTGTTCATTTTCTGCTCCACCAACCTGTTTCCTAAACATAAATGTAATTACGGCATCACAGTTCAGCTCACAACAGTTCTACCCGCTGACATGTGTGCAGCACTTTACAGTTTGCAAACTGCTGCACCTCATTAACTCTCAGTCTCAAAGGTAGGCAGAGCTGGTATTATTTTAATCTCCATTTTTCAGATAAGGAAGCCAAGGTTCAGAGACAGTAAGGGATTTTTCCAAGCTCACAGCTTGAAAAGATAAGACCAAAATTCAAAGCCAGGCCTCCCAAATCCAAATCCCAGTTCCCCCCAAAAGCTGTTCCATGGTTGCTGAGTGCAGAAACCAAGGTTCGTTCTTCTAAAATTGCATTCAGAAACACGACGGTCAAGAAGCACACACACACACACCCATCACCCCAACACATGTGCCCGAACAAATGAGCAAGGCTGGGATGTGTTCATCAGCCTCCCCTATTCATACATTCCCTCCCCAACCTAGCCAAGGCTGGTCCAAATCTGCTGACACTCCGGGCACTTAATAAACAAAAACATCAAGTCACTCAATCAATAAGCTCAGCTGTCAACAACAAGCGAGGGCTGAGCACTCCTAAGAGCTAATAATGCTTTGAGCTATAAACATGGCCATTAGCTGGGCTCCTGCCCTGCCAGGCGGGCTCTGCCACTGTAGGCAGGGGTACCTGCAGCTGGAGGCCGTGGTATTTCATGGTCGGCTGAACCCACCAGCCCATCCGGGCTGGGCTTTTGCTGCCACCTCCTTCCCCTGACATCCTGGGTACCCCTGCCTGGGACATAAGGAGGGGCTGCCAGGCTAAGAAGGCCCCAACTGAATCCTCCCAGAAAATGTGGAAACCCCAAGGGCCACCACTTCCAGGGCTTCTGACTTGGAAGCCTGTGCTGCCTCCACAACCACATAGTGCCACCCTTGAGAGCTGCCAGTGGATGATGCTACACATCAGCCTTGGAGGAGTCCCATTCAGAGAGGATGCCAGACTATCTGCATTTGAATCTGGCTCGGCAACTTAGCAGCTGTGGGACCCTGGGCAAGTTACTTAACTTCTCTGTTCCTCAGCTGCCTTATCTGTAAAATGTAAATTACAGCCATCTCCCAAGGTGACTGTGAAGCTCCTGAGGTGGCTGTTGTGACTTCTGTGCCTAGCAGAATGTCCAGCAGTTAAATGGTGCCTGGGAAATGACACAAGAGGAAAGTAATCCATGGAGCCACCTATGTGGGTGGGAGAAGCCAGCACGGTTGAAAGGGGGAGGAAACCTGAGCCAAGAGGACAATGTCCCCACCCTCCTGTCTCCCATACCTTGATGTCAAGCATGGTTGGGCAGCAAGCAGAGTCCACCTTTGTCCAGCTGTTTCCTCCAGATGATATCTGACCTTAAAAATTTTGTTCAGCCTGGGCAGGTGGGGGAGGTGAGGGATTAGCAGGCCTGGATGGTACCGGAAGACAAAAGACAGTGGCCTGCCAGGATGCCAGCCCTGGACTAGGGTGGGCACTGAGGCCCCACCCTGGATCCTAAATCCAGGCACAAGATTACACTACTAGACTCTTCTTTTAAATGAGTATAAACCTTGGCAGGGAGTTGCACCACCTGAGCTGTTGTTGCAGCATGTAGAATCAGGGGTCATGTACTCCTCCAGCTTCCCAGAGGAAAATAAGATGCCTTCTTTGTAAGTAGGATTACTTGTCAGCACTTTTGACATTCCAGTGGCTTCTCCTATCTGTCTCCCTGCCTGCCTGTCTCACAGTCTCTGTCTCTCTCCTCTATCTCTCTCTATGGCTCTGTGCCTGTCTCTGTCTGTTCCTTTTTGTCTCCCTTTATCTTTTTGTCTCTATTTTATCCCTCAGAGACAGTGTGAGCACACACACACACATATGCACATGATCTTATTTCACCTACCACTAACTCTTCACCCAGTTCAGAATTCCTGGGAACTTTTGGATAAGAGTTACCACCAATGTCCCAAGGTTAAGGAGCGAAGCATCTGCCAGGTATGACGGTTCAGAACCATGGACAGAGTTTCGTGGCTGGGATCTCCTGGCCCTTAAGGAAGGAGGGCAGCTCACAGTGTCTTGGATGGGTCAGGGGAGTAGGGGAAGAAGCTCCTAAGACTGGCAAGGGAAGAAGAGGAGGAGCCTGGAGAGGTGTGAAGGGCTGGACCTGTGAAAGGAGGTGGAAGTGAGTGTCAAGTGGTGAGGCTGACTTGGGCATATCTGCGTGTAAAAGTGAAGTAAATGAAATGTAAATGCCGTGACTGTGTAAGGGAGTTGAGTGGATCTGAAGGCAGCTATGAAGGCCATGCTAAGGAATGCAACCCAGAGTGAGAGCTGTGTTGGCTTCAGCCTTCCTAGGGTTTCCCTCCTCACTGACTCCTGGAATCCAGAGTGAGTCCCAGGGGCAGCAGAGACCTACCAAGCTAAGCCCCAGGGAGCAGCAGGAGAGCTGAGTGCCTGTGGAGGGAGGGCAGGCAAGAGAAGCAGGACATTCCACCAGGCTGGAGGGTAAATATTTAAAGGGCTGTTTCCATGTGTATAAAAACTCAGTGCATCTGCTAGGCAGTATTTGCAGAAGCTGGGAGGGGAGAGCTGGACCCAGGCCAGCCAAGAAGCCTGTTTAAACCCTCTAACTCACAGCTCCCTCAACCCACACTGCACCGGCCTTCTGGCTCTTAGAGACACAGAGCCCTCTGCCTACTGATACACATGCTTGCACACAACAATACCCTGTGTACAGGGACATGACTAGACACACAAACATACATACATGCACGCACACACATATGCACAGCTCACTGGTTCCTACAGAGATGCACAAGTGAACACACACTCACAGCACCCAGATACACACCACAGACTCACAGCCAGACAGTGCAGATAGCACACTGCATGCCAGATCTCTCTCTGTCTCTCTCTCTCTCTCTCATACACACACACACACACACACACACACACACACACACACACACACACACACACAAACGCACCAGCCACACTGTATCACATACCCAATCAGACCACATAGCTCACATATCATTACAAATACATCCACAGTGGCCTATACATCTCACATGGTAACTCACACACTTGGTCCACATGGCATCACACCCACAAATGTCTGTATGACTTACACTGAAACACACAGAGACCAAGAATCACACATTAAACAATATTACAGGTGAGCCAGTACATGCACAGAAAGCCTGCCAGATCTCAAACAGGAATCAAATACAGTCATCCTCCACGTAATGCTGTTTCAATCAACAACAGCCTGCATATTCAAGGGTGGTCCCATAAGATTATAATGGAGCTGAAAATTTCCTATCGCCTAGTGATGTAATGTTGTAGCACAGCCCATTACTCACATGTTTGTAGTGATGCTGCTATAAACAAACCTACAGGACTACCAATTGTATAATAGTCTAGCATGTACAATTATGTATAGTACATAATATTTGATAATGATAATAAAGGACTGTGTTGATGGTTTATCTATTTACTATACCATGCTTTTTATCGTTAGAGTGTACACCTTCTACTTATTAAAAAAAATGTTTACTGTAAAACAGTATGCTGTGTTACTCCAGCAGCAGCCTCATATATCTCGTTTACTGCACTTCTTGATTGCACTGTTTTCTCTTGTGCTTGATTTAACCTCACAATGTTTTGTTCATCATAGCCCCAAAGTGAACAAAATCCACTGCTAATGTTGCCAGTAAGAGGCCACATCAAGTGATTGTCCTGGAAACAAAATTAAAAGTGATTAAGGACTATGAAGGTGGAGAATCAGTGATGGTTACTGCTCATCAGTCAGGCATGTGTCATTCCACCATAGCTACAATCTTGAAGAACAAGATCAAAGTGACAGAAGCTGCTAAAGGATCTGCTTCATTGAAGGCAATGATACTAACAAAAGTTCTAAAAGGGCCCATATCAGATAGACAGAAATTTCTAATGACTTGATTTGAAGACTAGACACAGAAGCCTATCCCTCCCAGCACCGTGATGATCACTGCCAAAGCAAAAATTTCGTGATGTTGAAAGAAGATGCTGGACCCAACTATGATGTTGAATTTACTGTTAGCCCCGGGTGGATTAAATGATTCAAGAATCATTATTTATTACATTCTGTGAAAGTGAGTGGTGAGTTTTCAAGTGCTGATGTGATGGCAGCTGAAGAATTTTTGAAAACTCTGGCAATCTGATCGTGGAGGAAAATTACTTGCCAGAGCAAATCTTCAATATGGATGAAAGCTGCCTATTCTGGAAATGGATGCCTGAAAGGACTTTAATCCTAAAGAAGGTCAAGTCAATGCCAGATTTCAAGACTTTTAAGGACAGGATGACAATCTTGCTTGGGGACAATGTTGCAGGCCACAAATTGAAACCCTTTGTGATCTGGGACAGTGAGAACCCCAGGGCCTCAAGCATATCAATAAGCACACATGGCCAGTGTACTTCAGGAGCAATAATAAGTCATGGATGACCCAACTCCTCTTCCAAGACGCCCCCTTGAGTTGCTATGCCAGCAAAATAGAGAAATGCTGTTTGGAGAATAACATACATTTCAAGATTTTGCTTATTGTTGATAATGCTCCCACACATCCCTCTTTTATTGGTGATCTTCATTTCAATATCAACGTGGTCTTTCTGTCTCCAAACACCACCTCTTTGATTCAACCAATGGAGAAACGAATTATAGCAGCTTGTAAGACCTACTGCTCAGGGAAGATCTTTGTTCAGGCTATTGCTACAACTAAGGAAGGCACTGAGAAGATATTGACGCAATTCTGGAAAAATTACATCTTTGCATCGTGAACCTTGCTTGGGCTTAAGTGATGTCATCAATGAGTGTATGAATGGCATCTGGAAGAAGACACTCAAGAGGTTTATCCAAGCTTCAAAGGATTTTCCAAGCATAAGGGGATTAAAAATCAACAAGGCTGTGGTTGAAATGGCAAACAGCTTCAACCCGGGTGTGGATGAGGATGACATTGAGGAGCTCTCAGAGGTGGTTAATGAAGAATTGACTAAGGAGGAATTGTTGGAACTGGAACAGGATCACATAGCTGAAGAAGAGGCAAGAAAAAGGGAAAGTACAGGAGAAGAAAAAGAACCCTGAAGAAAATTCACAGTGAGGAGTTTAGCAGAAGCTTTTGCAGACCGCAACAAGCTCCTTAAAAGGTTTGAAAATGTAGACCCTAACAACAAAAGGTTTGCATTAATAGAGAGGAATGTTCATGGTGCATTATTTGCTTACAAGCAAATCTATGATGAAAAAAGAAAACAACCAAGCAAACTACCATGGATACGTTTCTGAAAAGAGTGACACTACCTCAGGAACAGCCTCAGGCAGGTCCTTCAGGAGGAATTCCAGGAGAAAGCACCATTATCACAGGAGATGACAGCTCTATACATGTTATTGCCCCTGAAGACCTTCCAGTGCAACAAGATGTGGAGGTGGAAGACAGTGATATTGATCATGCTGACCCTGTGTAGGCCCAGGCTAATGTGTGTGTTCATGTCTTCACTTTTAACAAAAAACTTTATGAAGTACAAAAGAAATAAAAAATTTTAAATAGGAAATCTCTTATAGATTAAGGATATAAAGAAAGAAGATATTTTGTACAGCTATACAACATTTGTGTTTTAAGCTGTTATTACAAGAGTCTGAAAGTTAAAAAAAAATTAAAAAGAGTTTACAAACTAAAGAAGTTACAGTAAGCTAAGGTTAGTTTATTACTGAAGAAAGAAAAATATTTTTAATAAATTTAATGTAGCCTAAATGTACAGTGTTTATAAAGTCTACAGTAGTGTACAGTACTGTCCTAGGCCTTCAAGTCCATTCACCACTCACTGATTGACTTACCCAGATCAGCTTCCAGTCCTCCACATGCCATTCATGGTAAGTGTTCCATACAGGTGTGCCATTCTCTATCTTTTATACTGTATTTATACCCTACCTTTTTTCTATGTTTGAATATGTTTAGATACACAAATACCACTGTGTTAAAATTGCCTACAGTATGCAACATGGTAATATGCTGCACAGGTTTGTAGCCTAGGAATAAGAGGTCATACTATATAGCCTAGGTGTGTAGTAAGCTATACCATCCAGGTTTCTGTAAGTACACTCCATGATGTGTGCACAACAATGAAATCACCTAATGATACATGTTTCAGAATGTATCTTCATCACTAAGCAACGCATGACTGCATATACTTTAAATAGCATGTCACACTCACACATAAGTGTGCACACACAGACATTTAACACTCATGAACTCACATAGCTCACACATCAGTTTACTTATTAAAGGCCCGAGAAACATCCTGCAGCATTACATGCTACCTTGCATATGCCACTTATCACCACTCAGGAGGCTTGAGACTATAAGTATAAACACTGTACATTTAGACTACATTAAATTTATTAAAAATATTTTTTCTTCAATAATAAACTAACCTTAGCTTACTGTAACTTGTTTAGTTTGTAAACTCTTTTTAATTTTTTTAACTTTCAGACTCTTGTAATAACAGCTTAAAACACAAACGTTGTACTACCATATAAAGTTTATATGGTAGTAATTAAGAGACTTACTCTGGAGTCAGATGGCCCGGGTTAGAATCCCAGTTCTGCTATTTATAATCTGATCTCGGAGGTGCTCATGAGAATTAAACGAGGTAATGAATGATGAACTTAGAATGGTATCAAGCACATGAAATGCACTCAATAAACCCTATAATTATTATACGGTTTGCAAATATTTACAGTGCCCATTTCACAGGTAAGGAAATTGAGGCCCAGAGAGTTGAAGTGATATGTCCAGAACCATAAGAATGATAATAAAGATGGCAGTGGTGGGGATAATTGTGGTGATGATGACAATAATGGTGACGATGGTGATGACAATGATGGTAGTGATGAAGATGATGGTGATGATTATGATGATGATACTGATGCTGGTAGTGATGATGATGGTGGTATTCATGGTGATGACAATGATGATGGTGGTGGTGATAGTGATGATGGTGGTGATTATGTTGATGATGATGATGGTGATGATGGTGACAGCAATGATATATAACAGCAGATACTTATTTAGCACTTACAAGAGCCTAACATAGTCTTCAATGCTTTCATGTATATTATCGCATTTCATACACATAACATTCATATGAGATAGGCACTATGATTATCCCCATTTTACAGTTGAGGAAACTGAAGAACATAAATGTTAAGTAATTTGCCCCAAGTCGCATAGTGAGTGATTCAAAGAACCATGCAGCTCTGGCCAAGGAGCCTTAACTCCTCTGACTTCCCTTCTGCTCTTCTGTGAAATGGTAACAACTATGTCTCCCTCAGAGGGATTGTTTCTAGGACTGGGCATATTTGCAAGCATAAATGGTCTTTGTAAACTATGAAACTATCTATAGATATTGACAGCAGTACCATGGATCTAGGAACTTCACAGAAAGTTTGGCTTTCAGTTTCTGTGATCAGAGAGGCATCTGGATCTCTGTCTGGTTTTCTTGGGAACATTCACAAATGCCAGAATTCTTTGAAGAAAGTGCTCAGAGAGAGATGGTTCTGGGGCCAGCAAGGGTAGAGCCTTGGGAGCAAACTGGTTTACATGACTTTTTCTAGCAATGAGAAAAGTTACATCTCAGTTCAGCATAGGCTATGTTACACTGCAGTAACAACCCCAAAATCATCTTGTTGTCATTAAATTTCCATCACCATTCAGCAGGAGGTTCTGCTCAGGGTCGCCACTGGGCCCCGGACTGATGGAGTGGCTAACATCTTGCATGTTGCCAGTCACTCTACCAGAAGGAGAAGATTGCTCTGGAGGGTCTTACTTTGGCAATTAAGCGCTTGGTCTGGAAGTGACACATGCCAATTCTGCTCACAAAGTGAGGAGACAGAACTAACACAAAACCCCACTCAAGAGGACCAGGCACAGCAATCCTACCATGTAGGTGGGGAACAGGTGGGGACAGCTGGAAATAGCTGTATAGCAGTACTAATGATGGCCACAAGGAGGAAAGAAGCAGCAGCAATGGCTCAAAACAAGGGGAGTGCTATGCTCTGCAGCCAGAACTGCTGGGGTGGATCCGCCTGCTGTGGCAAGCACACCTGGTCCTGAGAAAGCTTCCCTCCCAGGGTGATGTTCCAGGGAAGACTTGGACTATGGAGTCCTAGAGATCTGGATTTGGAAGCTGGTTTTGCAACAATTCTATGTAACTGTGGATGGTTATATCCTCTTTGAGCCTCAGTTTCCTCATCTGCAAAACAGGGTAAGCTCCCTACCAAAAAAGATGTCGAGGAGATAGCACCTGTACTGTGCTAGACACCATGCTTGGTACATACCAAATGCTTTAGAAAGGGTGGCTATTCTTCTCCAAGGGTTAAGGCATTGAAGACACCTATCCTCCACCCTGGCCCCAGCCTCTGAGCCTGGACTTTCCCACCTCTCAGTTTATCCCACCCTGTCGGCCTCCTGCTGTCATCAGGTGTCTGCAGTCCTGTCATGCCTTGCAGTGACACTGGCACATCCTTTACGCATGAAAGGAGAGAGGGGAATGCTGCCTACCTGGAAAGGAGTGAGCCAAGGAAAACTTCAGTGGTTTATATGCATGCTCATTAATGAGGAAAACAATTATCCCCCCAAACGTAGGGACTTGATGAAGAAGAGATCTTCCAAGGTAGCACAGGTACCCTCATCCTGAGAATCTGCCTCTCCCGCAAACTATGGTTGCCTCTGGGTCCAGAATGATTCGTGGGCATCCCCAGATCAGGTGGGTGGAGAAGAAGAGGTGGGGGTCTGCTTTCCTCAAGCCCATACTTCCTCAGCTTCCTTATCTTTTCTCTTTATTCTTTTTCCCAAGCACATGTTTACACCCCCATATCTCCAACTGCTGCCCATAAGTGTGCAGCTCCCAAATTGCTCTCTGGTCCAAACTTCTCTCTCAAGCTCCTAGCTCATGTTCTCCTTGCCTCTTGTGTATTTCCATGCCCAAGTCCACAGACACACCAAGTTCAGCCTGGTCCAAACCTAACTTATCTTCTCTCCCAGCCCTCCCCAACCTGGTCTTCCTCCCACATTCCCCATGTAATTGCATGAACATTTAAAGACATCCATTTGTTCAACACAACTTTAATATCCTCTCTCTAGCAGACCCTGTGCCAGGAGCTGGGGATACAAAAATGAAGGACATGGTCTCAGTCCTTGGCAAGTTCTCAGTCTAAACGGAAAGACAGACATGGACCAAGCACTGTGAAGCAATTGCAGGGACATATGGGGGCAAAAGAGGGAGTAATCAACTTTGCAGTTGAGGCTGGAAGTGGTTAGAAAAACCTCCCAGGGAAGGCAACTTGAAAGGTGAGCATCCTGGGAACAGGTGGGAGGTGGCATTCCAGGCAAAGGGAATAGCAAGTGCAGAGTCTCTCAACATCACAGCACATTCGGAGAGCACAGCCATCTGTGGCTAAAGCATCAGGTGCAGAATTGGAGGAAAGGAGTGAGTAGGGGTAATTAAGTGCAAAAGCAAGCAGGGGACAAGTATTTCGGTGTCACTTCACTATGTCCTGAGAATAGATTCCCTCTACTAATGGGGGCGCATTGACAGGACAAGTGTGTGTGTCTCATCAAGGAGTAAGGGATCTCTAGGATCACTGGGGACTCCCTTAGCCAAGTCCACGTTCAACAAAACCTGCCAAAAATGGGAGGTCATTTCCTTTTACCTCGTAGCTTCTGCTTCCTCTTGGCTTATGCCTCCTCTTAGCTTGTGCTGGCCATGACCTCTTAAGGCCCTGACTCTTCCTCATTTTCCTGGATTCTTCCGTAAACTCTAGTAATTCTGGAGCCTTGGGTTGCCTGGTCTTGAGTTAAGTCTACCCCAGGTCCAGCCAGCTGAAACCCAGGGAGACCCGTGGCTGCCCTTTCACTAGGGAATCTGCACAGATGAGATTGATAAGGGAAACAGAGGGGTTTGAGTAGCTCAGCCACCTCCAGGTCTAGTGCTGCAGCAGGTCTACAGGGCCTTAGAGGAAGTACTTGGACTTTATTCTGAGGGCAATAGGTATCCATAGATGGATTCTAAAAACGAAAGTGATAAAGCAAGATTTTTGAATTAAACAGATGATGGGAAGATGCTCTAAGTGCTTGGCAGTGTGGGCCAGAACATTCATGGAGGAGGTAGCCCTGGCCCTTCTGCCCATAAATCAGAGGCTCTGGGGCACAAAGTGCACTAATGGGAGCTAGTCACTAAAGAAAGTTTATTTCCCAGACTCATGGAAGGCAGAGCTCACTCATTCCCACTTATTCATGTAGATAAGGAGCAAGAGTCTTGCTCAAAGTCACTGTATGAGAGTCCAAGCTGAACTTGAGTCCAGTCTCTAATCCAGTGCTGCACAGCTTCTGTGGCTGAAAGCCTCCCCACCTTACAGAAGGGAAGAAGCCGTTTCTAACTCCCTATAAACAACTGGGAGCCCCCACCACAGCTCCTTTATGAATGCAGCCTAAACCTATCACCCCACTACCTCCACATCCTATTTTTCTGGACTAATTTGTCAAGGACAGAGGCAGCCAAATCAGCAAGCCTGCTGCTGTGAAAGCCAGGTGGCAGGGAGGTAAAAATCCATGATAGGAGGCCCTAACACCCTTTCTGGTCCCTGAAAAAAAAAAAAAAAAAGCATTCTGAAGCCCACAATTCAAACATGCAGACAAGCACACACATACAATACACACATAGAAGTTGCCAATTCAGCCAAAAACCTTTCAGAAGTATCTCCAGGCTGCACTGTCTGTCCTCATTTTAGCCAGTTCTCCCTGGAGAACTCTGGGTGGGGATCCTGAGCAGAGACCACTACACAGATCAGTTGCCCCCTGGTCCTGCTCAAAAACTTACTTTTCCTCTCTAGGCTTTTTGCCTCTTAAATCTCCTCTTTGACGTGTACTCTGTCTCTTGGCTGCTTTCTGTCTCTATTTCTCTCTGTATCTTCCTGGATCTTAATGAGTCTTTTGTCTAGGTCTTCCTAGGTCTCTCTGGGTCTCTGCCTTGGTCTGTGTGTGTCTACGTCTCTGTCGCGCTGTCTTTTTCTATTTTTTTTCTCTGTTTATATGACTCTTTTTCTGTGGCACCGTTATAGACTAGCAGAGTAGAAAGAGCCTTTGGACTTTATCAGGCCCAAACCGGTACCTGTGAAAATGAGGAAATTGGAGCCCAACATGAGGAAGAGACTTACCCATGAACATACATCCAGTTTTGTACTACTATGACTAAAGCCTCTCTTGTTTTATCAAAACTAGAGTTTTCCACACCAGTTTGTATTGGTGCCAAGTAGAAGGAGGAGAAACAAGATAAGGAAGGCAGTGGAGATTCTACAGCAGCTAGGTGCACTAGGAAGAGCCTTGAATCAGTAGATAAGAACTCAGTTCTAGTAAGAGTAAGTGAACATGTTGCTTAACCTCAGGCATGTCACTTACCATCTCTGAGCCTCAGTTTCCTCTTCTGTGAAATGGAGATAACTAGACCAATCCTGCCTGCTTCAAAGGTCTCTGATTAATTTCTTATTAGAGAAAGGATGTGGAAGTATTTTGGAATAAATTATAAAGCATCAAGCAGGAATGGAAGGCAGGACAAGGACAATAACTGATGACTGATAATGATGATGATAATGATGGTAGTGATAGCAATGAGAGTGGTAATGATGACAGTGGTGGTGGTAATGAGAATGATGATGCTGGTGATGAGAGTTGCGATGATGGTGGTGACAGTTATGATGATGTTGATGTTAAGGTTATTGATGGTACTGATGATGGTGATGTTAGTGACAAGAGCTGTGATGATAGTGGAGATGTTGGTGATGACAGTAACGAGGGTGATGAGAGTTATTATGAGAGGGTAATGATAATGTTAGTGATGATGGCAGTGATAATGGCGATGTTGGTAATGAGAGTTATGATGATGGGGACAATGATGATGCTCGTGATGATGGGGGTGAGAGCTGTGATGGTGGTGATGATAGTGATGAGAGTTATGATGATGGTAATGTTGGTGGTGATGGTGGTGATAATGGTGATGTTTGTGATGGTGGTGGTGATGCTGGTAATAATGGTGACAATGGTGATGGTGGTGATGAGAGTTGAGATGAGGAAGACAATAGTGATGATGGTGATTGTGTTCACAAAAACAAAATGTAATGCCCTGGATCCAGCCTTCTGAGAGTGACATATAAAACAGTGAGCATGCTTTGGAGACATCAGCACTCCTTCCACCTCATACCCAAGAACTTCTCCCCACCCCATACCAACCCAGGCCTCCAATCACACCTTCTCCTCCAAGTTACCCCAAATCCCTGATCCAAGCTCCAGACCCCTCAGCCTTCCCATCTCCTCCAGCCCCTTCCTTGCAGGTGCCACTCTATGCTGAGCCGATGTGTGTCACCTCCCTCTCTGCAGCCTCAGCTGCTCTCCCCTGGCCACCTCCCCAGCCTGTTCTTTCCCTGGACTCACTCCTACACCCAGGAAAGGAGAGCACACACAGTCACCATAGCTATTTATACCTGGAACACTTCATGTTTTCCTGCCTCGGCCTCCTTCCATTCAGCACCACCCTGCATCCAGCTTTCTAATACAGGACAGCCAGAGCTCTTCCTGCTGCCCACACCCTAGCTCTTCCTTGACTTCTGCAGCAAGACCACTATGGGATGTAAGAGGGTTGCTCACAAGGTAGAACCAAACCCAATTCTCAGCCTCAATTTCCCCAACATGGGAATGATCCCTTAGGCTCTGGAGACTATGAGAAGAGTTTCCTAGCATGCATAGATGGAGGGTCAGTGGCTTCCAACCTCTGATGACACCCTTCCCTTCCACAGCAGGCTGGAGCCAGAGGAGTGCAGCTGTAAGATGGGCAGTGTTCTCTGTGTCATGGGGCAACCAGTGCTTCTTCCCATTGCCCTCTCTTTAGCACAGAGAAAGGATCAGGACCAGTCAGGGGATTAGAAGGGATTAAGAGCAGGAGGGAAACAGAGCTGTCGGACAGAACTAAAGGCTGAAGTTCGGAGCTCCAGTGTCCTTATCCTTGTAATGCCTCCCATCTGTTGTACCTCAGTCTCCCTTTTGTAGAAGGCATAGCCTCTGAAAGATGCAGAAGCCTATTGAATGGCCTCAGTGCACAAGGGGACAGCGGCTGGCAGCCTCCTACTGCCCTGGCCTCCCCTGCACCACCTCCCCCATCCATGGCTGCATCTTTGACAAGGACCGCTAGGGAATCAATCACTCTCAGCAGAGCCAGGCCCCGGCCCCTGACATTCCAATTAAATGCTTCACTCTGACCTTGGTTGCATCATCTCAGCTTGGAATAACATCATCTATCTTCTGTAGATGGACAAAGCCTATGAACCAGGCAGCGGAAACTAGCAGCCACCAGTCCTCAGAGCCGCCTCATCACCACAGGGACACATTTCAATCAAAAGGAACTGCAGCAGCAGCATTCTCAGGTAGAAAAGCCATCATCCTTCCCAGGGACAAGCATTCATCTCTGCTGGAGGAACGAAACAGCCTGAGTCCCTGCCAAGGGGAGCCCCATGTTTATCCTGCTGTCTTTCCCATTAGTCGGCTGTCAGCATTCGGTTGGGAACTCTGGAGTCCCAGGTGGTGATCGCTGGGAAAAGGGAGACCAAGGACAGGGCTGATGGAACCTGGTTAGAGCTGGGAGACAGCCCCCCGCAGGGAGTGCCCTTGCCTGATGGAGTACATCCAGCCCTTCCCTGAGGCAGCCCACACACTTAGAGGGGAGAAGATGCCTCTACAGTGGAGCTTCTTCCAGACTGATAGGAAGAAGACCCTCCTCTCTGATGAGGAGACACAGCCCTTCCTGGCGAGAGCCCAGTCTGAGAGACACAGAGAAGACATGGCCCCTCCCTGGCTGCAGAGACACAGCACTTGCTTTGTAATACTCCATCTGAAGGGGAGTATCACAAGGCCTCTGCTGCATCATGGGTATCCCCCTGCATTCCCCCCGATGGAAGACCTCGGGAAGCTGAGCCCCTCAATGCAGGGATTCCTAGAGGAATGTTTGTAATCTCTGATGTCAGACAGGCCTGACCTGGGTTCCAACTCTAACTCTATGTTTTCCTCCCTGTGTGTCCTTGAACCAGTGACTCAACCTCTCTGAGCCTCCTCTCTTTACCAAGAAAGTGGGAACCACCTTGAGAAGGAACTGAGGTCATGTATATGAAACACAGAACGTCTGACACACTGAGACCCTCAGTGGAAGACAGTGGACTCTGGGCGTGTCCAACTCAAGGGACAGGGAAAGGGAGCAACCCAGGTCCCACACGGTAAGAACCGAGTCAGCATCGGGGACCAGGAGTGGGGCCCCCAATCTGCCACACCCCTCTTTGGACCACCAGAAGGCAGCACAGAGGTCAGATGCCCAGGAAGCATACTGAAGACAACCTGGCGACCTAGATTGTAGGGGCAGGGGCCAGGACTCACCCCCAAGACAACTCCAGGTTTAAAAATTAGAATCTATTATCCCAGAAGCAACAGAAGAGGTTCCTTGAACGCCCCCACCTCCGAAGAGCTGCTTCTGAGCTGGCACTGTTTCCTATGGGGTTATTTTTAGTTTGTTTTCCCAGTAATTATTCTTTTGGGTGGATTTCAGGGTTGTAGCTGGGTGCTCTCTGGGAGATGGGCGCGGTATCCATACAAAAAAAAAAAGAGGGTTGTTATTCATAGTAATTCAACTGGATTTGTAAAGTTGTTATTAAGCATTTGTCGCCACAAAAGTCACTTTGATTTGGCTTTCCTTGGAGCCGTTCTTTCTGCCCAATTTTGCTTCCTTGTCTTACAAGGGAGGCCTAGAGTATTTAAGAGGCCTATCCAGAACACACAGAAAGAAACAGAGATGACTCTTCGCAGGAAGAGAAAACAAATCCTCTGAGGCTTGCATCTCAGAGGAAGAACATGATGTGGATAACAATGATAGCAAACGTGCACAGAGCACTTACCACGAGCCAGTCACTGCTCCAAAGTGCTTTGCAACTTTACAAGGTAGGTGCTATTAATATCTCCATTTTACAGATGAGGAATAGGCACAGAAAGGTTAAGTAAGTTGTCCAATGTCACATAGTTAGTAGATAGCCAAGTTGGTATTTGAACTCAGGCAGCCTGGCTCTGGAACTTGGCTTCAGAACCACCCAATGACAGCTCCTGGTGACCATCTGAGAGTATCTGAGAGACAGATGGTGAGATGGAAACGAGGACAGGGCCCCCGTGAGACCAGGGTTAATTTTTGTGTTCTGTTCTGCAAGCCTAGAACATTACTTCACTTGGCCTGGGGAGGGAAGGGGGATTTCCAAGTGAGGAAAACACTCTGCAGGTACCCCCAGAATCCCCTTGAGGATCCCCTGCTGATGGATGTTGATGCGGACACAAGAATTCCCAGGAAGATCAGCCTCAGAGGGCATTTATAATCAGATGTGCTGTGAGCTGGTGAATTAAACACAGGCTTTAAAAACAAATAGACTTGAGATCAAATCCCAGCTCTGCCAGTTTCTAGCTACATAACCTTGAACAAGTGACTTTCCCTCTCGGAGGTTCAGTCAGCTTCCTCTCTAAGTGTAGATAATATTTACACACCACTCAAGATGATAGAGAAGCTTCAAAGAGGCTTTGGATAGAAAGTAACTGAGAGTGCAGGGCTGTGGTATCTGAACTACTGCCTCTTTTGCCATACATTCGTTTGTTCAGTAAATGTCTAGGAACATTTACCCCATGTGTGCCGCTGTGTTCAATGTTATGGAAGATTTAAAGATGAACAAAATGTAATCTGTGTCCCTCTATTAATCAATTATTGCATTGCTATAAAGAAGTACCTGAGGTAATTTATAAAGAAAAGAGGTTTAATTGGCTTCTGGCTCTGCAGGCTACACAGGAAGCATGGCACTGCCATCTGCTTCTGGTGAGGGCCTCAGAAAGCTTCCAATCATGGAGGAAGGCAAAAGGGAGGGGCTGGCATCACATGGTGAGAGCATGAGCAAGAGAGAGAAGTGGGAGGTGCCACACTCTTAAACAATCAGATCTCATGTAACTCAGATCTCGCAAGAACTCACTCATGATCTCAAAGACAGCAACAAGCTATTCATGAGGGATCCACCCCCCATGACCCCTCCCACCAGGCCCCACCTCCAACACTGGGGATTATATTTCAACATGAGATTTGAGGGGACAAACATCCAAACCACATTAGTCCCTACAGATTTTATACGTGAATGAGAGGAAGGCTAAACAAAGATCAGATGGATTCTAACAATGAGGCAGACAGTGATTGATTCCACCTGGGGTGGATGAAAGAGCCTTTACAGAAGGGCCCCAAGAAGAGATGGGGAAGGAGGAACAGGCATTCCAGCAGAGCAAAAGGGAACCACGGCAGAGAAAGGCATGACTTTTTGGGGAAGAATGGCTAAAAGTGGGGAGGGTGGGCTGGAAAATATGTGTCAAACCCTAAATGTAAATCTGGGGAATTTGGGATTAATCCTGTGGGCATTGTGGAGCCATAGACGGGTTTTTAGCAAGAGGAAGACGTAAGTGAGCTGAGAATCAGATTTGGGAGGTAGGGTGGGAACCTAAAGCAGGATTCCCATCTTAAAGGATCTGGAAAGAGAACCTGGGTTTTGATCTCAACTCTGAAATGGGCTCCTGTGTGAAATCAGGCAAGATACCCACTGCTGTGGGCCTCACATTCCCCCTGTAATGCTCACAGGTTACCAGGATGGCCTCTAATGGCCCATCTGGCCATATGTCTATGATGTGAGGGCTTCCCCTCTTCAGAGTAGACCCGGCTTCCTCTGCAGTCCTCAGCATGCCTGGCTCCTTCTCTCACCCTCCCAGCAGGCCCAATTGGCCCTCCTGCCCAGTTCAGGAATCCTGGGCACTGCCAACCCCAGGAGCCAGGCAGAGCTGGCTCAACAACTCTGGGAGGTCACGGGCAGCTGATCAGGAGGCCATGGAGAGAAGTTGGGCCCCCGGCTCTTCCTCTCCCACTTGTACCTGGCAGCCAAGTTGGCCAACAAACAAGAAGTTGAGGAGCTTGTAACCACATCAGAGTTCGCTGCCGTTTGGCTGCTGGGCTGTGGCAAAGAAAGTGTCCTTGCTCTCTTCGTCTCTGTATTTCCGTCTCTGGCTCTTGCTCTCTTCGTCTCTGTATTTCCGTCTCTGGCTCTTGCTCTCTTTCTCTGGCTCGCATTAGGCAAGTGCTTTGCCCTGGAATTAAATGAAGCTGTATGGGGGTGGGGAGGAAAAGAGAGGGAGGGGACAGCGGAGCCCAGCCTGCATGGCTCAAGTCCAAATCCTCCCTTGGCTGGGTGCCCAGGGTGGTCCTAGCTTACTGTCCACGTGGGCCAGAGGGAGGAAGAGAAAGGGGACAGCTAGAGTCAGGGCTGGCCACGGGGTGGGGGATGGAGGAAGTGTGATGCCTGAAGAGGAACTAAAGGTAGAGATTCTAGGGAAATGGGAGTAAAAAGATCTGTAAGCAGCCAGTACAGAAGGTAACCCATTTTGCAGAGAGTTGAGCTGCCCAAATAATGTTGGGCATTAATGTGGGGTCGGGGTCAGGGACTGTGCACAAATGTGTGGGGTCGGGGTTAGGGACTGTGCACAAACACACTGATAAAATGTTTCATAAGCCTCCCAGTGTCTTTGGCCCCAAACGTGTGAAGTCGTATAACTGAGTATAGTAACCACGAGCGTGCATGTCACCACAGACAGGTATCTTTGGGCACAGAGGCGATGGGCCTGCTTCCTCTCCAGCCCCTTTCCTAGCTTTGCCCCAGCTCTCAAATGCCCCAGCCATGCAGAAACACTCACTGTCTCCTGATCACACCATGTCCTCCCTGAATCCAGGCTTTAAAATGTTATTTTCTGTTCTTGAAGCAGCCTCCTCCCCTCCCTTTCTTCTCCCCACTTCCCCAAACCAGCTTGTCCTTCCCTTAGTGTAGCTCAAAGTCACCTCCTTCAAGAAGCTTTCTCATATCCTGCAGCACTCATGTCCTAGGCTGAACTAGATGCCCCTCGTTCCTGCCCCAGGGCTCCTGTGCTTCCTTCCAGGGCAGCACCCACTGCCACTGTGCATCATAATCCTATGTGTCTGCCCACTTCCCTCTCCCACACAATGGCAAACTCCTTGAGGGCAGAGGCCATCTCATTCATCTAGCATAGCTCCAAACACACAGTAGGTGATTAATAATTCACTTAGTCAATAGCCATTAACTGAATACTCAACAGACATCAGGCAAGGGGCACATAACAAGGGTCAACGCAGATAGTGCCTGCCTTCCTGGGTCTCCCCTTTATGGGAGGAGACAGGCAAATCAAGGCGATCTGAAAGCTGCTTAGATGTGGGAGACGCACGGCCCTGCAGGTGAACTGAATAGGGATGGGGGTGTGGGCAGTGTCAGGGAAGGTTTCAAAGAGGAAGAAATGTCCAAGGTGAGGCTGAATGACTGGATGAGTACATAAATGCAACTGCTAGAACTGGAGTCCAAGGTCTGGGTCAGTCTAGCATCCACACTGCATCAGGGATAAATCCCTGAAATAATTATCCAAGGAGCCTCATTCTCTCTAGGAAAGAAAAGATGGGTTTCCATGTCTGAGGCAGGGCTGAGCCAGGCAGTGAAAGTTTGGGAATGGGCACACCGTGCGGCAGGGAGCCAGGCATATCCTTACATGGGGTTATATTCCTGTCTGTGCCAGTAACTGGCTGTGTGGACTTGGACCTGTCACTAGCTCTCTCTGGGCCTTGGGTTTCTTATCTATAAAAATAGGAAGGGGGTGGATTCTGAGCAATAATCTTAATGAGAACATGACCCCATTGCAGGGGGGATTTACTGTATAGTGATGACTAGGCACTCAAGGTGCAGAGAAAAACTAAACAGAAGGAAATGTGGTCAGAACTTGAACCCTGCCTGATTCCAAAATCTCTGTTTGTTCTTTTTTTCCATGAGGCCATATAACCATTTCACAATGTGTCTGAGAACTTTATAAAGAAGACCCCTGAGCTGAAACGTGAAGATGGGCACGATTTTAATTGGTGGGGAAAAACACAAAGGAAGCTGGGTACAGCAGGAACAAAGGTGGGGAGGGAAGAATGAGCCTGGCATGAAGAGGAGCATCCCTCGTGATGGTGGCGGCAGGGAGTTCGGCTTGGCCTGGCTGGGGCAGAGGAGTCATGTTGGGGAATGGTAGGAGATGCAGATGTCTCTGTCCTTCAGGACTTGGTGGTGGGAAGTGGTGGGAGGAATCAGGGCTCTGGGGTCCCAGCCCAAGCCCTACCAGTCAGGATGAGGCTGACATGGCAGGTGGAGGAACTCCAGCCTCCACAAGGAAAAGGGCATAGTAAGAGTTGGGACTGCCAAGAGAAGCATCAGGGGCATGGGCTGTGGGCTCCCAGGCTCTGGAAGATCATGGAAGTGAGGTGCCAGGCAGGGCCCTTATGGGAACACAGACCCAAGACCCAATTATCGGGACTGGGTAAAATCAAAGACCCAGTTACTGAAGTAAGTGAATATGGATAAATAATCCAGTCAGTTTATTTTGTTAAGCACATATGCCAGGCACCATTCTGGGCACTGGGGATACGTTGGTGAATGGTTCATACAGAATCTTGGCCCTTGGGGAGCTTACATTCTATCAGAAGAGACAGATAGATACACAGGCAATTCTAAAATAAAATACCAACTGCTATGAATCCAATTAAAGTAGCATAAAAGAATAAAGCAATGGAGGTAGAACAATAGTTGCATTATTTTATATCAGCTCATCATATATCTCGGAAGGTATCTCTGAGGAAGTGGCAGTTGGGCAAAAACCTGAATGAAGTAAAGGAGCAAGGGGTTAGGGGAAAACATTCCAGGTGGAGGGAACAACAGGTACAAAGGCCCTGAGGCAGGAATGTGCTTGATATATGACTGCTGGGCGGCCTTTGTGGTGCCAGTGTAATAAAATAGAAGGGAGAAGGGGGAAGGGGGAAGAAATGAATTTGGAAAAGCAGCTAGGGGTCAAATCACATAGGCCCATAGACCTCAGTGAGCAGTTTGGTTTCAATAATAGCAATGGTTAACCTTTACAGAGCATGCAGTGGTGCTCAGTACTGTCAGGTAATCAGTATGCATTTACTAGTATTTTAAAAGTGCCTGCTTGGGGGAGTTGATATGATTATCTCCATTCAACAGATGAAGAAACTGAGACTCAGAGAGGTGCAGTGGTTTAAAAGAAGATGGCTGTAGAGTGAGTGATGGGGCCAGAATGTTAGGGTGTCCATATGTTCCAGTTTGCCCTAAATGGTCCATTTAAGACTGCTGCTCCAAAGTAATTTTTAGCCCATTTATGCCTAGTGTTCCATTATTGGAATGCTAAGCATGTGGGAATTATTTATATCCTACCGCTCCAGGTCATTGCCAAGATCTGATTGCAAAACTTCAAAAAATTGCAACCTCAGGCATAAATGGGTTAACAGAACCCCTTTTTACTCTCAAATATATCTTCTACCTCCAAAATTCATACGTTGAAGTTCCAACCCCAAGTAACTCAGCATACAACAATCTTTGGAGCTAACGTCTTTAAAGAGGTGAGTAAGTTAAAATGAACCATTTTCATGGGGCCCAAATCCAATATGACTAGCGTCCTTATAAGAAGAGGAAGATAAACCATGATTCATGAACACAGAAAAATGACCGTATGTGAAAACATAGCAAGAAGGTGTCCATCTTCTAGCTAAGGAAAGAGTCCTAAGGGGAAACCAACCCTGCCAGCACGCTGATCTTGGACTCCAGCCTCCAGAACGGTGAGAAAAAAAAACTTCTGTCGTTTAAGCCATTTGGTCTGTAGTATTTTGTCACAGCAGCATGAGCAAACTAATACAGTTGCCTTGCCTTCTAGGACTGGAACCCAGGTCTCTGCTTGGGAAAGCCACATGCTGGCCATCATGCTGCCCTTCACTGCTGACATTCTCCTGTCCCACAAATAGCTATTGGTGCTGGAATCTAAGCTGGGAGCTCAGCCTACAGGGGAAGGCAAAGCAGCCCAGCTGCAGGGTGAAAGTTCGACAATTGCTACAATAGCCACGTGTATGCATAACTGTGTACTAAATGGGGTGAATGTCTAACAGCATGTAGGTGTGAATCTGGGTGCTGGGGAAGGGGAACAAGAGGCTGAGCTACTCAGAACAGTACTGCAGAAAGAACACTACTTTCTCATCAGAGGTGCCTGTGTTCCCAGAGCCCCTGTGCTGGCCTCCTTCACACACTGCCCTCCCCGTGTTGAACAGCCTATTTATGCCTGGTACCCCACTGCCCCTAAACATGTCCACCCAGAAATGATAGCTTTGCTATATATGAAATCCTGGGCCCTTGCATATCACAGTGAAAGTGGCTAAATGGGTTACGTATCTGAGCTTTGGAATCACATATATGTGCTTTTGAGCTGTGACTCTGCTACTTTATAGCTCTATGACCCTAGGCAAGAAACTTGCCTTCACTGAGCCTCAGTTTTCTCATCTGGAAAATGGTTATAATAACAGTACCTACGTAACAGCGTTGTAGTGAGGACTCAGATAATGCATGCAAAATGCTGGGCACAGTGACTGGCACGTAAAAAGCATGGATTCATTAACATTAGTCATTAATATTACTAGGTTCTCTATATGGGTTGGTGAAAGCTCTTGAACTTCTGCCATCTGGGCCTTTCTGTCTTGTTCAACCTATGCATTCCAGTACAGAAGCATTCCATAATACTTCACACACAATTAGAGCTCAATAAAAATTTCAAAGGATTTCATAAAATGACTGAATTAACAGGCCTCCGTTTTTGCAGCTGTAAAATGAGAGGGCTAGCTTAGGAAATCTCGGAACCCCCTTGAGCTGAGACAGAGTCGGATTCCAGGATGATCCCAGGAACATGTCTTCATGATGCTCCACATTGGCTCATCTGATTGTCTCCTGATGGTAGACATTCTGAAAAACAGAGGCATGCTGAAGGACAGATGTCACCTGGCCTATCATGAGGGCAGGTCAGGCATGGGAGGAAGTGGGTGCCAGTTTATGTATGGGTCCTTGATAAGCATCCATGTAGGGCACCGGGGCCTGGGACAGAACCCCACTTGCTGCCTGGCTTCTTGGCAGGAGGACAGGGTTCTTCCAGGCATCACCTGGGAACTGGTGACTGAGATAACCTCCAACCATTGCCAATCCTCTGTCCAGAAGACACAAACAGAATGGAAACAGCAGAGACACTACCACCTTAAGTTGATAAGGTGCTCATCTGGGATAGAAGAGTACACACATGCCAGGTCCTCTCTCCAGCCCGGGCTCCAGTTGGGGTGGCTCCTCTGACTTCCCCTTATCTAAGCTCCAGTGGCATTGCTGTTTGGGAATCCGTAACTAGGACTAACAGGTGAGACCGAGGGCAGTCTGCTGGGGTAGTAGGAAAGGCAGAGGGAATGTATAGAACCCCTTTCCAGGTAAATGACATGCAGGATTGGAATAGCTGAAACAACTGGCTGTCTACCTTGTGCCAACTGCCTTCTCTCTGAGCAGTAGGATTTACACTGCTGAGAATGACAGGTCCATGGAGCACTGCAGGTTGTAGTCATATTTTATTCTCCAGGTGGGCTATCGGCTGCCCTTCACTTCCCTGAGGCAAGGAGGAGGAAAATCTGGCATTTGGAGAGTCAGAGGATCATCAGGCCCATGGACTTGGCACAAGGCTTCAATCCAGGAAGGGTAGATCCATATCGGAGGTACAGGAAGAACTTGAGGCTGAAACTGTGTTCTCTAAAGATAGCAGGCTGCTCCCTCGCCCTTTCCAACCACAGGCCTCAGTCTTCTCCATAAGATGAGCGAAGTGCATGATGCCAAATCACACCACAATTGCAAGCAATTAGAAGCTTAGTGTCTGCCTTCCCCTCTAGAAAGTTAGTTCCATGAGGACAAGAGCTGGTTTTGTCCTGCTCACTGTTGTACCTACAATGCCTGTGATGTTGGAGATATGCACCATACTACTGTGAAAGGGAGGGACAGAGACAGGGAGGGAGGAGGAGAAACTGAATCACAAAGGAAGGTCACATAAGAGCTATGGGGTGGGGTGAGATGGGGTTGCAGAGAGAAGAATTCTATGTCTGAGTCCCTGCCCACCCTGACCAGAACACTGTGCTATTTCCACAGATGGCTGGGAGAGATGCAACATTGCTGCCCCTCAGACCCTAGCGTCAACTGGGAACATTTGAGGAGAAAGGAAATTTGATCCACAACACAGGGTAAGGTGTGTCTTGGGCTCAGAAAAGCACCTTGTCTCTTCCTTCTGGCCATGCTCAGGCTCCATGACCCTTCTGATGGGGTGCTGGGCAGGGATGGAGGGCCCTCCCTGCTTCCTTCCTCCTCTTCCTGAAGCCCTCCTCTGCCTCAGGAGGTGGATCTTTCCCCCTTTCTCCCCCACACAGAGCCTGATTGCTAGCTTGCTTCTCAGGGGGTTGGTGAATAAGCCCTTGGGTGACATTAATTGCCATCAGGCATTAGGGGCCTAATGAGAATAATCTTCTTTGACGACTCCAGCACCTTCTATCCCCAGGGCCTCCAAGAGCTGGCCAGCTCTCCTCAGGCTGCACCTCCCCCCAGCTCCAGACAGATGTAGGGGTGGGGGAAGGGCCAGAGCAGCCCTCTACAGGCCCCAGTACCAAGCGAGGCAGCAACAGCCAGCAGCCAGGGAGGAGGAAGCCTTCCATGAAAAATGCAAGCACATTTTCCAAAAACAAAATGTCACCGTCCTAGATGAAAGGAAACTCTCAGGGTCAAGAGGGCTAGCATGGAGTCAGGCAGATGGAGGGCACGGTTTGAGTGCCCCAGCTGGCTTTGCTCTGACCTGGCCCCACACTCTCACTCCAGTTGAGTGCAGAGGTATGGAAGGGTGACCCTCAAGATCCATATCCTCCCCAGTAGGGATATGTCCATGGGATTGAAGACCCTGTCCCTCCAGAGCAGGGTAGGATTGAAATTCACCCTCTGGGGATTGGAGTTGATACCCAACGAAGCTATAAAATCATTGCCATGGATCCGATGCCTGGTTGACAGATGAGGTGTGAAGGTTGACTTGCCGGGTCTGATCTAGGTTGCACTCTAATGGAAAGGGCCTGATGGTGGGAACAGATATCACTCCAGCCACCCCTCCCGCTAGTCAGCAGGTGCCTGGGTGAGTATGCAAGAGGGGCAGTTCCCCACCCCCACCTCATGCCTCTTTAAAGGCTTGCTAAACAACCTGTAGGAAAGCACTGTCCCCTCCTCTTCTCCGTCTTCCTTCCCCAGCAACAGAATAAATAGGTTTCCCACAGCTGCGCCCCGGACCCATCCCGCACGAAGCTGAGCCCCAGAGCCCCCGCGGCCCGAGAGGAGCTGGGCACAGCAGCGAGGCTGATTCCCAGCCAGTGCCCAGCGAACTCTGGGGGTGGGGGTAGGGTGCCCCCTACCCGCGCCTCTGGAAGAGCGGCTGCAAAACACCTCCGGCGCCCGGTGGGGAGCGTGCATCCTTTGAAAAGGGACATCAGTGACTGCGGTGGCGTCTACCCTGGAGAAACGCAGCTGAGGGAGGTGGAGGCTCCTCCCGCCGCAGCTGGCCGGCCCCATTCGGGTCCCAGCGCTAGCCGGCGTTGGGAAGGAAAAATCAAACATAAAATAGGGGCGAGCGGAATCGCGAGGTCGGCCCTTGGCCCGAGTCTCATTAAGGAGCCGCGCGCGCCGCCAGGCTAGGAATGCGGAATGGACACGTGGACAGAGGAGGGGGAGCTAGGAGTCGGGGAGTCTCCGTGGCGCGCGAGCTGTGGGCCGCGCGCTCGGGGGCCACGTGACCACGGGGAATCTGGGAGGGGTGGGAGTGAGCGCGCCAAGCTCGGCGCCCGCTTCTGCCCGGGTGGGCGCTGAATCCCGGACGGAGGAGGAGGGCGGGCGAGCGCGAGTGTGTGTGTCTCTCTCGAGTCATTTACGGCGGAGCAGCCGGCGCGAGCGCCGAGGAGGCGGCGACGGCGGCGGCGGCTGCTTCGTGCAACTGTGGCTTCCCCCACCTCCTCTTCCTTTTTGCTCCTCGATTCTTCTTCTTCCCCCACACACGTCCATGGGGAGCCGGCTCCCCTGCCAGCACCTCCTCTCCTCTCGGCCCCGTAGGCACCAGCTGCCGCTTCCCTGGCCGCAAGCTGCGCAGGTGCCGGCTGCCCTGGCCCCTGGCGCCGCGCCCGCGTCTCACCGCCCGCAGCCCGGACTGGCGCGGCGATCCGCTCGCCCAAACTGACTCGGAGGGAGCGGGAGCCGATGCCCGGCAGCATCGAGACAGCGGGCGAACGGGCGTCCGGGGACAGGGTGGGGGCGGCGGGGAGGAGGCGTCGGAGACTCTGAACCCCAGAAAAGTTCAAGGTTTGTGCAGGTTCCCCCAGGGAAGGCGAGGAGCGAGGCGGGGCAGCGCGCCTCTCTGCCGAGACAGCGAGACCTTAGCGGGGTGGCCCGGAGCTGCCGTGAGCTGCAGGAGCCCCTCTGCATCTTACAGCGTTTATGGTCATCAAGCTGGAGTCGACGTCCTGGGCAGGAAGGGCTCGGGGCAGGGCGCATTAGCCGGCTTTCTCGCTCCCTCGCTTCTCCAAGCCCCATCTACATGGGGCAGCCCGTTCTGGCCGCGCCACCCTTGCCCCAGCCGCCGAGCGGCTGCCTGGGCAGGAGGCGCTGAGCCGGCCTGTGTGGAGCCTGGGCCCTGATCCAGACTGGAGAAAGCGCGCTGGAGCGGAGGAGCGAGCCTTGCGAGGGGACAAACATCTGGCCGCCCGCCTCGGGCATCCGGTCTGGGCGTCGCCTAGGGTGGTGGCGACCGGCGTCGCCAGTTTCAGCACCGCACGGAAACTTTTCCTTCTCCAGATGGATTAAAGTTGTCTGGATTTTCTCTTTCTTTGAGAAAGACAGCATTCATTTGCACCTGACCTGGGATTTTTATGCTGGGCTGCTGCAGGGGCTTGGAGGAAGAAAGCGGCGCTATCCATGTGCGGTTACTACCGAAACCGAGGAAACTGGGGATTGCGTTGGAAGTCGGCACCCTCGAGTGAGTTCGGATTCGAGCTGGGCCGTGAGGCCGGGAGATTCAGCACTGGGCTCTAGGTAGCCCCCGGGACGCCCGCGGCCACCGGGCTCCGGACTGCACGTGCAGCTCCCCCCGCGCCTCGCAGATCCTGCAGGGGGCACCAGCTGGGGGAGGTGGAGGCTCCTCCCGCCCGGAGCTGCGCCCCCACCGGCTCCGAGGGTGTAGCCGCCAGCGCCTGGGACGCCCCCTCCCCGCAAAGTGTCCCCGAATTGCACTCTCTGGTCCCGGAGCTGCATCTGAGACAGCCGGGCGCCACGGCAGCCCTGAGTTGGATGTGACCAAGCCCAGCCTGGGGCCAAGTCGTCGTCGACTGTTGCTCTCTCGGACCCCTCCCGCCCCCGCCTCGGCCATGGCCCCGGGGATGTCGGGCCGCGGCGGCGCCGCCCTGCTCTGCCTCTCAGCGCTACTCGCCCACGGTAAGTGTCGCGGCGCGGACTGGGGGTGAGGATGCGGCAGGCGCCACTGGAGGGGGTACGGGGAAGACTGGGGAGAGGAGCACCCACACCCCCTGGACTCGCAGCCGCCACTCCGGGTTTGGCGTCTCTGGCTGCAGCTCGAGTTACCGCCAGCCCCCGAGCCCTCCGGCGAGCTCAGCTGAGGGGACCGAGCCCGGCGCCAGAAAAGGGTGGGGGGAGGGTGTCGCTCCAGTCCTCTCCTGGTTATAAAGAAGGGTTCGAACCCGAAGGTCTGGGGTCGTGTCCGCCCACGGAAATCTAGAGGGATCCGAGGGATCCTCCGGATCGCGTCCAGGCCGCCCCCCGCCCCCGTCTCTCCCTGCAGCCGGCCGGGCTGGGGGCTGTTGGGATCCGCCGGGATCGCGTCTTTCCTCGCCCCGGGCGCGCAGGCCGGTGCGGGGCCGCGCCGCCCGTCGCCTCGCTTCCTGCGGCGGTCCTCGGGAAGGGAAGTGGACTGACTCCGGGCCGGGGAGCCGCCGCGGCTCGCACGCCCGCGGTCCTGTGAGCTGCATCTAAATGGCCGGCTTAGGCGAGCCCGGAGGGCGGGGGTCTGGGCACCCGCACAGGCCGGGGCGGTGGGCCGCGGGCCGCGCGCGGAGGGAGCGGGCTCCGCGCTCTCGCATTCTGCAATCTGTTGCGTCTGCTCCCCAGGCTCGCCCCGGGCTCCGCGGTAAAGGGGGTGGGAGAAGGAGGGATTGAGGTTGGCGCGCTTTGGCGGTGGGACAGCGGGCATACGGGTGGGGGGCAGCGGGTTTTTGAACAGCCCCCAAGAATGGGAAATCAGACCAGAGGGAAGGAGGCTGCAGCGGGCCTTCCGCAAGCTGGAGACGCTCCAGGAGGCGAGGGGAGCAGACCGAGGTGGGAGGGAGAGAGCTCCGAAAGGAGAGTGGAGAAGCGGGGCCCTCTGCTCCCTCCTAACGTGAAACCAGCCGACCTGGGATACATTTTCTTAACCAGCAAGGCGTGGCGGGGTTGGGGGGCGGGGGTGTTTCGATGCTCCACGCTGAGGGGTGAGCCTCAGGCAGAATGGAGGGCGCTTAGATGGAGGGGGCAGTGGGCTCTCCGCATTGGTGGAGCGCCCTCGGTGTGCCGGGCTCAGCTCTTGCCCAGATCTGCCCAGTCCCTAAGAGCCTGCTCAAGCTCGCCAGGAGTGTGCCCAAGGTCTCTAACCAGCGGCCTCTTTCACCCTGACCAAAGCGCATTCTCAAGGTTGAGAGAATAAGAAAAAGAGGGGCTCTCGGAATCGTAGGGTCCTGGGGCTAGGAGGGGGGCGGGGAGCAGGCAGACCTCCCTCTATGGGTGGCTTGGTTATTCCCGGCTGAGGTAACACCAGGGGGGGTTGTTTTGCGTTCAGTTCACCAGAGACAGCTAACCTCAGTTCTCTATGGGAGGAATAGGCAGAGCAGCGAGCCAGCAGGGGGGCGAGGGTGAGGTGGGGCGAAGTGGGAGCATAGCGGGGAACCAGAAATCTCTAGGCTCTGTGTGCAACACTGAGAATGAAGGTGGGGGAGAGGGAGGTGGGCTGCCTGTCTGCGCACTGGAGCTGCATGGGCTGCACTTGTGACCTAGCACTGGCCGGCAGGGAGTTTCCCTGCCCAGTAGGAGGAAGCCCAGAAACCCAGGCCTGAGTCTAGGTGGGTTCTTCCCCTCTTCTTACATCTTGCTGTCGGAGTTCCCTTCCCAAAGCCCAACCATGGCGTCACCTCAAACGCTGATGATGGGCAGCTCAAACTCTGTCATTAGGGTCCCTCTGCCCACCTTCCCGATCCCTGAGCCTGGAATTAAAGATCCCTTTCCCTTCCTCACCTGCCAGAATCCTGCCTGTTCCTAAGACGCAGTTCCAGCTGGGCCTTAGCGTCCTGGCTGCCTTCCCTTGGTCTTGGCCTTGGCCTCCTTTTTTCCTTAGGCACCAGTGCCCTCTCTGTGCCCCAGTAGTCCTGGATTGGTGGAGGCAGAGCCATGGGCTTATTCCCTGTCTCTCCACACAGCCAGTGCCTAACACAGTGACAGCACACCTAGGGCAGAGGGCTTGGCTGCCTGAGCAGAAAGAAGGTATTTGAGGAGGTAGGGTCTGAATCGCCCTACTGAGCGGACATTTCCCCTCCTGACTATCTGGCTTCCTTTCCAACCTCCTTCCCTGAGTCCTGAACTCTCTTCTCCATCGCATGTCTCAGTCTCCCCTGCCTCAGAGAAGGGTGCCAGCAGATACTTAAAACTTGGGGGATCCCCCAGATGGGTAAGGCCAGTATGATAGAAATCCCCCCACAATAAAACCCCATCTTGCCTGGGCTGCCCTCCTCCTCCAGGGCTGCCTGACACCCACGTAGCCACCCCTTCCCTCTGTTAAGAATAGGGTCCGGGGACTTAGTCTCCCTTTAAACTGACTCTTGGTTGGGGTTCCGGGGCTTTTCTAAAATGCTGGGAGATAGAGGGACAGTTGCAGTTTTCTGTGCCTGGCAGGCAATTGAGGTCACAGGGTTCTGACCACACAGCCAGACTGGGAGCCAAGTAGCCTGGGTTTCAGTCTGACTCTGGCGCCACCGGGCAGGGTGACCTTGGGCTGCCTCCCTCACATTCCCCATCTTCCACAGGCAGCGTGGTCTCTGGCCTTTCTTTCCCCTTTCCAGTTTCTGCCAGGACTCCTGGACAGAGACCATGTGTGAATGGAGCCTTACTACCTTTTCAGGGCCCAGTTCAGCCCATGAGATAGGCAGAGTGGTGTGTTTGGGCACCTCTACACTGTTCCCAGTCTCCAGCCCTCTTCCAGGGAACATCTGTGAAGGCCACTTTCTTGTATCTAATATTTGGGGAGACTCCCAGCCCCACTGTTAGTTTGAATAGGAGTTTAGGGGTCAGCGTGGTGGATAAATCTGTTAGAGGGCTGATTATGTCAGCTCACTACTCAGGAACAATTACTGGTTCCCCACAGCCTCTAGGATCAAGGGCACACTCATTGCCCTGGCATCCAAAGCCATTTATGATCTTGTCCAAATCCACATCTTTACTTCAAAGATACTGGCCTCTCGCCATCCTCCGTGTGCCCTATGAGGTATTGCTTTTCTCACTTTCCTGCCTTTCTGCTTTTGCACCCACCAGCCCCTCCATCTGGAATACTTTGCCTCCAGAAATTCTTACTTAACCTTCAAAGCGGAGTTCAAATGTCACCTCCTCCAGGGAGCCTCCGTAGATTACCCCCTAGCTTCTCACCAGCAGTCCCCATACCCTGATAGAAATAAATGAACTTTTTCCATGACTTCTTTGGTACTTCATGCTACTTTTCTAGCACTTTTTCCTCATAGGCTGCTGTGTGAGGGGTATACATGGGCATGCTTACCTGTGCAATCCTCCTGATCCCCACGTTCTTGCATTTAGGGCAGGAGCCATGTCTTCTATGTGTTTGCATGGCTCTCCAGTGTTTGACACATAGCAGGTGCTCAGAAGAAATGGATGGGGTAGGAGGACAACTCTGTATTGAGGGACCCTCCCAGCATCAGTTGAAAAGGGAGCTCTGGGGTAGAGGGCAGAAGAGGGGCAGGGGAGGAGACAGGCAGAGATACCACAAAGAGAGCAAGAGGATGGAGCAGGCCCATGCCATGCCCCTTGAGTGGGCACATACAAGACCCATGTGTCTCCGGTGACATGTTATGACATGGTCTCACAGGATACAAATGTAGTGTCCAGGGTCATTCTGAATACATGGTCTCAAAACGTGTCCTCACCTCCATGATCCCCAGCCCAGCAACCTTGAGTTTCTCCTGCGGGTTGTGTCCACACCCCTACCCCATCCCCCGATCACCCAAGCCCTGAGCCCTTTTGGAGATGCAGGAGGAACACAGCAGGACAGGGTAAGCACCAGCCCTTGGGAGACCCCTTTATTGCCGGGCGTGAGGGATGATGCTTGCTTCGCCTCTCCCACACCCATCTTTCTTCTGGCCACATGCAGCCGTATTCACAACATAGCCTTGTTAATGTTTAAGACCAGTAGGTGGGGATGTGTTATAAACTTGGTGGCAGGAAATGAGCTTTATTGGAATCCATTCTGAGGACGGCTGGTGCTTCGCTGTGGGAGATAAGGCCACTGTGGAATACCAGAGCTGGACTTGGGTGTCTCCTAGGCCCTTGCCGGGGGCCTGTCTGGAACTGACAGACCCTGGACTTGAGATTGGTAGTGAGTGCTGGCGATGCTGCAGAAACTGAAACCCTGAGAGGCACCAACTCCCACCACTGGGGTCTGGCCCACCTACCTGGAGCAGGGGAGTGTGTAGTAGCGGGCAGGGTCTCACCTTGTTGCCCTGCACATAATGATGTCCAAAACACTGAAAGAGGAACCACCAAATCCAACCTCATGTGGATGAGGAAATGGACACACAGGGAAGGGACTGGCCAAGCTCACTCTGCAAGTTTGTTCTGGAATCAGAACAAGCACCAGAGCCCAAATGGGGCTGTCTGCCCCAGACTCCTCAACAGATTCCATCACCTCTACTATCCCCTCTCTCTGCAGCTTCTTCCAGTGATGGGCTTCTAGCCTCAAGCCAGCCTCTGGTTGCAAGCAGTCATGATAATCAATTACTAGTAGCATTCATTAATAAACCTTACCAAGTGCTATGAAAGAAATGTGAGGGATTCCAGACCTGACCTCCAGCTCTTTCAGTAGCTCAAAGTCCAACTGGGGGGAATGAGACAAAGGTCCAAAGTCTTGAAATTCAAAGCAGTTTGAAATCACACAGTCCTCAGGATACAGGATATCTGGGTTCAAACCCTGACTTTGTCATCAGTTTGCTGTGTAGCCACAGGAATTTCACCTACTTCTCTGGGTCTTGTTTTCTTGCTCTCCCAAATGTGAGGGGGCGGTGCCCTCCAAGCCCCCTCCCAACTCTTTTGTTCTATGATGAAGAAGCCCCTTCTTACCTCCCTCATCTTTCTCTGTCAGAGCACACGCCTCTCTCCCCAAGCACACGCCTCTCTCCCCTGATTCCTGCAGCCGATGCTAACAAGTGGAAGAATCGTATTCTTCCTCCCCGTTTCCTCCCCAGGGTCTTCCTTACTTCTTCCTTGCCCATGCTCAACACAGAATTTTAATAAGAGATTAATGAACCAGTTGTGTGTGTGTGTGTGTGTGTTTTTAGGAACATAAATTTCTTTAAAATTTTTCCTTCTCTGTCTTCTTAAATGAAAAGAAAAGTAGGCCTTCTTATCACCAATTCAGCTGGCTCTGCCATACTCCAGCAGTCCCCAAGGATGGGACAGTGTATCACAGAGCACCAACACTCAGCTAGCTACTGCACGGGTCTCTGGGGGACAAATGCACTGCCCAGAGAAAGGGGGGACTGAGACAAGTGAGCCAATGTTGCAACAAGTGGGGGGGGACAAGCAAGCCATTAGAGTGGTCTCAGCACCCACAGTCCGAGTCCAGGCATCATTATCTCCTTTCTGCTGTGTCATTTGACCCTTTCAGCTCCCCACCACCACCACTTCCCACCCACTCTCTGCCATACACACTTCCATCCCAGGCCCTGCTGGCTAGCAGACAACCCAGCAAGATGAAGTGGAAAATGGAAGCAGTTACCTAGATAATTCAATGCTTGTTGCACGAATGAATGAGTGCAAGGATGAATAATTCAATGCAAAAAAAAAAAGGGAAGTAGAAAAGATAATTGAAGAAAATCTCTTTTTGCCTAAATTATCTAGGACATTACCTGCCCTCAAAAAGTTCTGCTTTTTATCAAACTGTAATCCTTCCTGCTGCATTCTCACCCACACTTTTTTTGGCCTGTGAGAATGAGCAGCTGGTTATTCTCTTCTCTTACATGACTTTTTTTGTTCAGTTCAAACTGACGGCAGTGGGCAGGATGTGTGCTTGCTGGCAGAACTTCTCAGATTTTCTGTTTCCCTGGGCCTATCTTTCACGACCACTGGAGCTGGAGAATGAGGTTACCAGGATGGATAGGATGACTCCTAAAATGGTCCAGGTTCTCAGCAGCATCTCCATCCAAGAATTCCCAGAACTGAACATCAGACCCCACGGGGCCCTGGCCCTGAGAGAACAGGCAGCTAGGATACCCCACCTTACTCCTAAACCCCTCCCCAGGAACACAGCCCTGGAGCTGGCCAACCCTTAAACAGAATTAGTCACAGTCACAGAGCGGCAACCTCTCTCTTTTTCTGAAGAAGAAAAGCTGTGGCAGTGGGGGGGAATGGTTCTTGCACTTGGGGAGCACCCAGTATAACAAGGGAGGCAAATTTCCATCTTCAGAGAGGCCCCAATAAGATGAGGGAGGCACAGCTCCAGATCTCAGGGGTAGCCTTTATTCCTTGCGTGGTGAGGGTCTGATAGTGACTGATGACCACTTTGCCCAGAGACTGAGGACCCCACAACCTTCTCAGCCCCTCCTGGTCTCTCCTTCCCTACCTCAGCCCCCAGGGTTTTGGGGGAGCCTGGCTCTGGTCCAGAAGCCAGTGTATTTTTAGTAGCTTGGTACAGGTGATGCAGCGGCCTTGTCATGGTGGAAGAATGGTGTTGGTGGGAGGTAGGAGCACAGGTGCACACTCATGTGCACACCCACTCAGTCACGGCCACACACTGCTAAGCTTGAGCATTCTAACTCTTCTGCAGTTCAGATCCATGATGGCTTTGTTTGTCACATTGGCTGCTATGTGAAGGCAGCACTGTGATCCCCTTTTTATGCAAGGCAAAGCTGAGGCTCAACAGAGTCCTGGCTGCACTGGCTTTTGAAGTCATGACCCTGCCTTCGGAGGTCTTCTTGCCATACCTCTCTGTCTCCTGCCAACAGAATCAGCACAGATGCAGGCAGCCAGCCATGCGGGCCCTTATACCTGAGTGAGTCCTGCCGGGTGCTGTCAGGGCCCACTGACCCTCCAGTTTCCTCTGAGCCTTTCTCTTCCCTTGCCCTCCATGCTTCTTTCAGTCCCTCGAATAAGTCATGCTCTTTTGCATGTCACAGTCTTTGTGCATGCTGTTCCCTCTGACCAGAACACTCACACTCTTCCACTCCATTGCCTACTCAGCTGTCAGGGCAGAGCATATCCACCACTTCTTCCTGGAAGCCCATCCCTATTCTAAGAACAAGGACCCACTACCCACTGCAACTCATTGCAGATTTGCCGTGGTTTTAATTCTGCATTGCCTGGCTTCCTGCTGGCCAAAAGCTCAAATAGACCTGGAACGTGTGTGATCTTTTCTCTGCCTCTGTATTCCCAGAGTCTGTCTGGGAGGTGATGTCTGGAATAAACTAGGCAACTGATGACTTGTCAAATGAATCAATGAATGAATCATTGTGCACATACAGGCACACAGAGACGTTGTCACTCAACAAGTATTCAGTTAGCGCTTACTACGTGCCAAGCACTGTTCTAGGCATTTGGTTGTAGTCAGCGCACACAACAAAAATCCCTGCATTCATGGTGGGTATGTTTGTCAGAGGAGGGATGCACAATATACATTCTTATGTATATTGTGGGTGGGGAAGGCAGACAGTAAATAATAAATTCATTGAATAAGTGAATTATATATGTTCAAAGGCAACGAGTGGTTTTTGTTGTTTTGCTGTTGTTTTTCTGAGACGGAGTCTCACTCTGTCACCCTGGTTGTCACCCAGGCTGGAGTGCAGTGGTGCCATCTCGGCTCACTGCAACCACTGTCTCCTGGGTTCAAGTGATTCTCCTGCCTCAGCCTCCCGAGTAGCTGAGACTGCAGGTGTGCACCACCACACCTGGCTAATTTTTGTGTTTTTGGTAGAGATGGGGTTTCACCATGTTGGCCAGGCTGGTCTCGAACTCCTGACTTCAGGTGATCCACCCACCTTGGCCTCCCAAAGTGCTGGGATTACAGGCAAGTGCTATTTATTTTAAAGGCAGGGAAGCAGGGTGAGGGGAATTGGGAAATCTGAGGTGGGTGTGTATGTCAGGGGAGGGATGCGTAGCATTAATACCAATGATCAGTTGATAGAATGTCCTTTGGCAAAGACGTTAAGGAGGTAAGAGAGAAACTAAGTGAATATCTGAGAGCCTTCGGGGTGGAGGGACCAGTCAGGATAAGAGCCCTAGGAGGAGTGGGCTTGACCATTCAAAGAACAGCAAGGAGGCCAGCGGGGCAGAGCACCTGGACGGACCAGGAGGGAGGGGAAAGGGCCAGGGGCGCCCTTGTAGTCACAGTGACTGGCAGGCTGAGGGAAATAGGGAGCTGTCATGATGGAGGCCACATGCCGGCTGTTCTCATCTGCCCAGGGCATATGGGATGCTAAGCAACCTTCAGTGTATTTCACAGATTTGGATTTTCTTACTAATTACCTGCCTTTACAAAAAATCAGTTCAGGGGCAGGGATTACATGCACTTGTTTGGCCTGTCTGATCTTACACCACTCTGATTTGGGGAGTGCAATAGTGGCAGGTGTGGGGGTCCTTGTGTTCAGGGACTGCAAAGTCAACTTCTTCTGAGTCCCTGAGCACCCCGCAAAGGCCCTGGGTTACCTGTTGCTCTGACCTTACTGCCTGTTGCCGTTCTATGTCTGCAAATGCCTTAGTTGGTAGTCCCTCCACCCACAACCGGAGCCCTGCCACCGCATGACGGCTGCAGCCCACCCTCCTAGCCAAGGAGGTGACCTGCCCCAGGATGACCACATTGTCCCCTGCCCTGTCTCTACTGGAGAGAGGCTGGCTTATGGGGTCTTTTTTCCAAAAGCAAGGAACTATTGGATTGGAAATAGGAAAAATGGCCATTTTCTCAGCTGCCAACACAGCAGAGAAATGATCTCAATTTTCTATGGCTGTACTCGGCAGGATAAAAACTGCCATCAGCCAGCCCCATGCATGAGAGGTCTGAAATGCTGTGGGAGGTGGTGGGGTGAGAGGCAAGGGTACTGGCATGGTGCAGAGGGCTGGGCTCCATCCTGGGGCATTGCCAGCCCTCCTGCCTGGGAAGTTCGCCCCCACCTCCAGCCACCACTGACCACACACCTGTGTCTGAGCAGTTATTGAACTAGCTAGTTATTTCAATGGTCACTTATGAAATGAGCACCTGCTATGAGCCACATCCTGTGCTGGACACCAGGAATCCTCCCCCCCGGAGCTGGCTATGGACTCTATTCTCTTGGCTTGGTCCCGACACTCATAGCTTTCCTCCTCCACTCTCACCCTTTCCCTACACTCAGCTCTAAAACCAACCTGTCTGCTGTCCTCACTTCCACATCTGCACAGATTGTAATAAAATGCGGAGTCATTGACATGTTGCAAAGGATACAGAGCATTGTGGAGGAAGAGGGAGAAATGTCATAACTGTTAGAGGGATCTGGGGAGGCTTCATGGAAGAAGTGCCACTTTAGGAGCCCTTGACTAAGTTCAAGAATTCTGCTTCTGAAGACTAATCAGCCAGCATCTACTGTTTGTCTGATACCCTGGATAAGATAAAAACACAGGGCAAAAATGGTCACTGGCCAGCGAACTCTCAGAGTCTTGGTGGGAGAGAGCCAAAATGCCTGTGAAGAAATAGCAAGATACAATGCTAAATTCAGGGTATGTAATTGGTAACTCTTTACCTGGGTGATCTTTAAAGACTTTGGCCCAATGTTCCATGAAGTGCTGGGGAGGTGTAGAGAGTTATGGAGTGAGGGAGTGACATCATCAAAGCAGGGTTCTCAATAATTACTTGATCAGGGAACAATTGGCAGATTGGATCAATGCTGAAGCAAGTGTTGGCAGCATCTGATCTGGGAGTGGGGGCCTTGGGATGGGAAATGAGCACCAGAAGTCATCTGAGGCGCCACCCCATGACAAAGAGCTCACCGTTAGAACCAGAGGGATACATCTGAGTGTGAGTGCTGACTCTGCCGCTTACCAGCAGCCTGACTTAGGTTTCCACTCCTTGGTTTCCACCTCTGTAAGACTGGATGGCAAATTGAAGGTGAGGAGCCCACAGCACGAGGGCTCAGTACGTGGAAGTGTCTTTATTATTTTAGCAGCCAACTCCTGGAGAGCAGAAGGGACATGCCTGTGACTTCACAGCCAGTTCTGACCCCTTGGTGTACAGGAGCATCCTTACGGTCCAGTCAGGAGTTCTGAAGAATATGGCCAAGTAGGAGAACCTAGAGAGAGATGGGATCTCCCTCACTATTTTTTTTTTTTTGAAAGACAAAGTCTTGCTCTGTCACCCAGGCTGGAGTGTAGTAGTATGATCACAGCTGGCTGCAGACTCAACTTCCTGGGCTCAAACAATCCTCCCACCTCCACATCCCCAAGTAGCTGGGACTACAGGCACATGCCATCATACCTGGCTAACTTTTAAGTTTTTCTCTCCCTGGGGTCTTGCAAATACATTGTTGCCCAGTCTGGCCTCGAACTTCTAGCCTCAAGTGATTCTCTGGCCTTGGCCTCCCAAAGTGTTGGGATTATAGGCATGAGCCACCACATCCAGGCTTCCTCACTATTTTTAATGGAGAACCAGCCTACCTCCTCATTCCTCATCCAACAGTCAGCCAGCAGCTGAAGGAGCGGATCCACACAGGTGTCACTGTCAGCATTTGGGCCCCAGGAAGGTCTTAGGAACCAGTCATGTCAGAGAATCATGGTGGGTCTTCAAGTCACACAAATGTAGGTTGAAATGGTGTGGGCTGCCTGCCCTGCTGCAGTGTAGCTGAGTGACCCTGGAGCACTTGCTGACATCTCCCTGAGCCTCTCCTCCCCTGTCTGCACTGGGAGTAATATCCTCTCTCAGGCTGGGCTGCCGCATGAATGAGATCCCACGGTGTGTTTGGAAGTATCCAGAACAAATGCTACGTGCCTGCTGGAGGGGCTCGGTAAACTGGTGTCTTTCCATCCTTTCTTGCCTAGAGCCAGGCCTTACTGCTGGGAAGCATGTTTAAGACAGTGCCAAAGACTTCCCGGAGAGCTGTTTTCTGGTGGTTGGGTTTTTTGTTTTGCTTGGGATTTTTGTTTTTTAACCCTTGATGCCTCTTAGCAACATGCTGCTTGTTTTAAAAACAGCAGTGGCCAGCTGCTGGCCCCCACCCTTCCTCCCTCCCCACTTTCCTTCCCAGGAAAGCAGTCACAGGCATTGCCCCATGTTCCCAGTGCTTCTGCAGCCCAACCGGGGTGGAGGAGGCATTCCTGCGTCCAGCAGCCGGCCCCCATCACAATGCCAAAGTTGCACCCAGCTGGCAAGCCCACTGCTTCCTGAAATTTGCTTCCTCCCCATGGTGGGTATAAAGTCTGTCTACACACTGCCAGGACAGCACTGCCATTGCCAGATAGCAGGTCTAGGGTTATAGGGAGTTTCTGACAAGGAACACAGGCCTCCCTAATCTGCAGCCTGAAGGTGTATGGGGAGAGATACAGGCTTGAACCCTGAAGATCCTGGAGCAGGAGCCTCCTCATCCACTCCTAGCAGGATGGCCAGGTAACCATACGCATATTACTCTTTCGTTTCAGTTTCTTTATGTGCAAACAATAAGAAGAAAAACCTACTCATCTTGCAGGGTTGTTGAGGATGGGGCCACTGCAGTTATGCACTCCGCCTGACACTGTCAGTGCTCACTCAGTAAATGGTTGCCATAATCATTATTTCATAATGGTATCATTGGCATCAAGGAACACTTAGGAGTCACCTCAGACAAACCAGACCCACCCAGAGGGTCCCCCACCTCCCCACATTCCCACCTCTGGTGTTGCTCTTTCCACCACTGTTCTCTCAGCCAACTGCAAGCCCTGTGATAAACCCTTCCTCCCAGTGGAATTTTGTTTTCTTGTCTTTGAAATAGAGGTTGCTGAGCAGCATCGGCACTGTCCAATAGAAATATAACAGCAGCCACGTATCTCACTTAATCTTGTCTATTTATCACATGAGAAAAAGTGAAAAGAAACAGGTGGAATTAATTTTAATAGTATGTTTTAACCAATATGCCCAAACAATTGTCATTTCAACATGTAATCAGGGCCAGGCCTGGTGGCTCATATCTGTAATCCTAGCACTTTGGGAAGCTGAGGCCAGAGAATCCCTTGAGACCAGGAGTTCGAGACCACCCTGAGCAACAAAATAAAACTCCATCTCTACATTAAAAAAAAATTATATTGAAACAATCAAAAATAAAAACGTGTAATCAGTATAAAAGATTATGAATGAGATACTTTGTTCTTTTCTTTTGTATTAAATCTTCAAAATCCCCTGTGCGTTCTGCCTTGCCAGCAGCATATCTTCATGCCAACTAGCCACATTTCAGTTGCTCCACAGCCACATGTGGTGAGTGGCCACCCAACAGGACAGTACAGGGCTGGATGCTGCCCACGGGCTTATCCATACCCAGTTCTCCTATTGGAGGTATTTTCAGGGCCCCAGAGTCAGTGCTCTGGGACTGATAAGCTGAGCCCACTCACCTCCTGCTGTCCTTCTTGGAAATCCCCTGCCCAGCTCAGTGCCTGCTCAGCCCTTCCTCAGCTCTGGCATGATTTGTGCTGACGATGATGACTCCCATCCATTCAGAGGCAGCAGCTTCTAGGGCCGGGGTAGGCAGCTTCCAGCTGCCTCCTAAGGCCACTTTCCCTTCTGCTCTGCCAGGAGATCCTGCAAACCACAAGTCAAATCATCACCCTTCTTCTCAGAACCACCTCACTGAGAGTGAGAGCCAAAGTCCTCACAGTAGCTCATACCACCAGCATGATCTGTCCCTTTTCCCGACACTACTTCTTTGACCCAATCTTCCCCTTCACCTGCTCGTCTCCGGTCACGCTGGCTTCTTTTCTGTCCCTGACATGCCAGGCACAGAGCCTCAAGGACTTGGCTGGCCCTTGCTGCCCCTCGAATAAACACGATTCCCGCCTCTTACCTCCTACCTCTTTCAGGTCCCTCCCTGGTCCCCCTCTATCTAAAGCAGCCCTGTGCACTTTCACTCTGTCCCCTGACCCTGCTCTGTTTCCCTTCACCTGACATATGACATGGTTATGTGTTCCATTGGAATGGAAGCCCTTGAGAGCAGAGGCCATCTCTGTTTTGTTCACTGCTGTATCCCCAACCCCTGGGGCCTGGCACAGAGGAGATGCTCAATAATGATCTGCGGGATGAATGAATGAACCTGGGAGCCTACTCCTTCGCAACTGCTCACCCTTTCCACCCAAGGAGTCACTAGCAAGACAGACTGGGTGGCATGATTGGCAGTAACCAGAGAAAGAAAATGTATTCCTTCATTCACTCATTAACACATTCATCTGCCATATCCCAGCTGTGTGGTCTTGGAAATATTGCTTAAATTCTCTGTGGCTCCGTTTCCACGTTTATAAAATGGGATAATAAGAGTGCCTTTCTCATAGAGTTGCTGTAATGAATAAATGAGTTAATGCATGTAAAGTGCTTGGAGCAGCGCCTGGCTTGTAGGAAGTGCTCAAATAGACACTCGCTATTGTTTCATTCAGCACATGTTTTTTTGTTTGTTTGTTTTGTATTTTAGAGACAGGGTCTTGCTCTGGCATGATCATAGCTCACTGCAGCCTCGAACTCTTGGGCTCAAGTGATCCTCCTGCCTCAGCCTCCTGAGTAGTAGCTGGGACTACAGGTGCATGCCACCATGCCCAGCTAATTGGTTTCTTGAGGTTTTATTTTTAGAGATGGAATTCTAATGATGTTATCCAAGCTGGTCTTGAGCTTCTGGCTTCAAGTGGTCCGCTCGCCTTAGTTTCCCAAAATGCTGGGGTTACAGGTGTGAGCATGTTTTTGAACACCTACTGCACACCAAGCACTGTGACAAACACCAGGCATGCAGAGATGAAGACACAGTGGCTGGCTGATATGAGACAAGGATGCAAATAATTTCAGTGCAGTGTCATCGATGCCAGGGTGCTGGAGGAGCAGGGACTGGCCTACCCGGACTTTGGAAAGGGCCAGGTATGGCTTCCTGTCATTCTGTAGGAACCACTGCCAAAATCTGTGTGAACTGATGAGTTGAGCTCCAGCAGCATCATGGAGTAACATTTCGTCCAGAGCTTTGCCCATTCAGCCACTGCAGTGTGGTGAACAGAGCACAGCCTAGGAGTTAGGGAACCTCAGCTCTGACAGCAACCTGATAGGGGTCACTTTTGTTCCCTAAACTTCAGTCTTCTTACCTGTAAGGTGGTCTATACTGAACAGTGCCCACCTCTTAGATCATAAGAATTCAATGAGCTGATGGATGTAAAGTACCAGCATGTGCCTGGATGCTCAATAAACAGGACAGATACTCTGATTATCCTCATTATTGGTACCAGCCAATGGGAAGACCTCCTTATAGGGTGCCCTGCATACAGCTGGCACTAGATCAGTGTGTGTGGACCTGCACTGAGAGCCTGTGTGTACTCTGAATTCCTCTCTGGACTGTGGCACAGAGGGCTTCACAATGAGGTGTGATCCTTAAAGTCAAAGAAACATGGGACAAGGGCTGGCAGGGAGATTCAGGCCCCTCTCACCTGGAACCATTTCTGTTTTAAAGATGGGAAAACCAAAGTCCAGAGAGGGGAGGAGTTATAAAGCCAGGGTTAAGACCCGTGTGCCTGACTCCCAGGCCAGTGGTCTCCTTCTTGTGTCTTCTTTGGTTTCACATGAGGGTATTGACAGGGGCAGCAACGCCAACAATTGCTGAAGGAAGTTGGTTGGTCACAGCTGTGGGTAACCTCACCTCTGGCTTCTTCAGGGACTGTATTTGGGGAGGCGCCTCAGTAGGCCTGGTATTTACATTGAGTAACCAGATTCCATCTCCAATAATCACATCACAAACAGCATGAAATGTGAACTATGGGGAAGGCTTTGCTAAATGTGTGACTGGTTTTCTTATTTTTCCCTCCATTCCCCTCCCTCGGACCCCAACCCCTCTCTCCCTCTCACGTCTCTCTGTCACACACACACACACACACACGCACAACTTGCATTCCCCAGGCAACCAGTGCAGGCCTCTGATTCCAGCCCAGTGAAGGCCATCTTTAGAAGAGAGATTTCCCCTGTCTGGGGTGTGGCAAGAGGAATTGGTATTTGAAGATCAGGTTCTTGTTCCTTGCAGTTCACCACTGTTCCCCACCATGACCAAGGAGTGTGGAGCCCTTGGCAGTTTAAAAATGGCTAAACATCTTACACCATGTAAGCCTCATCCATGAAATTGGCAATCATGATTCCCATTATGTGGATGCGGAAACTGAGGCTTAGAGTATGGAAGGGACTGCCAGGTCACAGAGACAGAATTAGCAGAGCAGGACTCTAGCTCAGGAGACGGTGTCCTCTACTCCCCCTGGGCCCTAATCCTCTAGGCCTCCAGCCCCTAGTGTCATAGAGGATGTGTCACACCCATTCAGCTTGGTCCCAGTGCCATCAAATTTACCTATGCAGGTGCCCCAGTCACAAAAAAGGGAAACTGAGGCAGGGAATGGCTGACTCATTCCTGGCAGTTGCTTTTCTCCTCATGTGTCTTAGCCCTTGGTCCATCATTTGCTTCCTTTTCCTTGGTCCCTGGCTATTCCCAAGGGTCTCCCAGCCCTGATGTGTGGGACAGAACCCTGCAGGTCCTCCTCAGAATCCAGATTTTCCTCCACATCTCTGCAAAGCTGATCAGCATAAAACCATCCCTAGGCTTTGCCTTTAAAAGTCTTCATCTTTTCTCTTCTCCCTAAATGGCCCCTAAATGATTTCTGTAAATTGCTCTAAGTAGCTCAAAAAAAAAAAAAAAAAAAAAAGGAAGAAAGAAATAATAATAACTCAGTGACTGCCTGCCTGACCGGAATCTCGATGGCTCTCCTCCTGCCTGGCTGCACCTCCCAGCTCCATCCCACCGAGCATCCAGACACGCAGCCCCTCTGCTCCAAAGCTAGGAAGGGGGAGCTATGCCTCAGCCTGAGCCCTGCCTCCTCCCTCAGGCAGGAGGCTGCCCAAGTCAGGGCTGCAGCCACCGTATCAGACAGGGAGCTCCTCAGGACAGCAGTATCCTCCCCTTCCCTTCCCCTACCACCACCAGACTGGGGAGTTTCCCAGGGGAGACCTGCACTTCCCTCATCAGTCTGGGGACTCCTCCAGAGGAGTCCAAGACTGCTTCCTTCTCAGACTAGGGGCTTCCCCAGTAGAGGCTGTGCCTGCCCCAACAGACGGGATTCCCTTGGGGCAGGGCTCCAGGGGCACTCAGAAGCCCCTCTGAGTCTAGCTTTCCTTGTTCTGCATCCAGCTCCTTTATAGAGCCTCATTTATTTTACCCCAGGTTAGAAATCTAGGTCCTGATTCCTAGGAAAAAGATCTTAGGATCTTTTTCATTGATTCAGTCAACTATTCATTCATTCATTCAATTCTGCAAAGGTTTCCTGAACACCGACTGTGTGCCAGACACTGACTGGATATGTGTCCTTCTGCAGATGCGGTCCCTTTGAGGAGGTCCTGTGGCCAGAGACCCCAGGCATGATTCTTCTTGGGGCAGGGCATCCAGCCCAAGGCTGACACCCCATGGAGGTGAACCCAGCCTCAGCTCCTGGCCACCATCATGATCTTCATGACCACAGCCTTTTTTCAGTGTGGGCCAGGAAGCAGAGGCCAAAGGTAGGAGGGCCCCACCAGCTCTGGTGCTTCCCATGAGCCTCTGGCCTGGCCCACCTTTCCATCCATAACCTCCACTCATGCTCTCCTCCACACTTCCTGCCCATGGAGATCTGCCATCTCCTGGTCACTGGGGGCTGAGATCCTGCCCAGAGACCTCAATCCTAGCAGCTCAGCCCCTAAAGTGATGGTGTGGCCTTGAGCAAGTCCCTTCCCTCCCTCCAGGCCTCAGTTTCCCTGTTTGAGATGAGACAGAATTGGACTAAATCAATGATTTCCTAAAACATTTTTAGCCAGTAAATTATATATGTAATAGATAATGCATTACAATATGTCATATACATTACATATAATACATGTATTATATATAATGCATATATGATACTGGTAAAAGCAGAACTACTGGTTGAAGAGAGAGTGGAGGTACCTCCCTAAGGTCTCATCTGTCCCACCTTCCCCTGTCACCCCATGGAAGGCCTTGAGACACCCCCAGAGAGCCCAGCTGGCAAGTTGTTGGTGAATTTAATCCCTTCCTAAGGCCACTTCCACTGTGCCATGGGGAGAGGGGTCTGGGTGGTGCTATTGAGCCCATCAGGTGATGGGACAGTGAGGGAGACATGGCACAGTGGGGGAGACAGTCCCATCAGAGAGTCCCATCACCTATCTGCCCCCTGATTACCTGGGGCCCCACTCTGCTTTCTGGTGGGGGTGAAGCCCAGGAGAAGGATTGGCTCTTGCTGGGTACCCAGCACCCTCTAGGACTGGAATAAGTCCAGCCCCTGATTAGAAATGCAGGCCCCAGGGAAGCTCAGCAGGCAGAGGCGGGGCCTACCCAGGACAGCCCTGCCCACCCCTGACAGAAGGCGGGATTGTTCCAGATGAGATAAAGCCCCTTTGTCATCCTCCCTGCACTCCCTTTGATGTGCAGAAGGTGGAAGGAGGAGAATAAACACAGACACAGTCCTCTGCTTCCTCTCTGATGTAATTGGAACCCAATTAAGTGAATAATTGTTACAAATGTTGAAATTACCTTCCACCAACTTGGGGATGTGAGCCTGCTCTCAGCAGGAGCCTCTGAGACCCAGGCTGGGACCTGGCCCTGGCCTAGCAATTTTGGGTTTCCCTGGGGTGGGGAGGTGTTGAACTACAGCACTCTTGATTGTCCCGCCAGAAGAGATGCTGAGCGATCCAGTCCAGCCCCTGGCTGCTGCAGACCCTGGCCCCCAGCCTCAGATATTCATTCAGCTAACCTTTACTTACACTTCCAGAGCTTACAGACACTTGCTCATAGGAGCTGACCTGAGTCCAGGCGGATGAAAATAACTAGCACTGTTGAGGCATAGACAGGGGTCCCAAGGAGAAACAGAGAGGGAGGGCCCCAACTGGAGCAGTGCAAACCTTAGGCAAAACCTTGCAAGATGGGTGGGAGTGAGGTTCCTGGTTCTGTCCAGAGTGGGCATCTTCAGTAGAAACTGAGGTGGGGGGTTCCCCACAGCAAGAGGGTATGTGGAGAATCAGAGCATGGAAGATGAATGACTCAGATTAGGATGCATTCTAGAAACCTGCATAAGGAACACCCCACCACGGGGCACCTGCTAATGCTGCTCAACCCCCACTGTCTAGCCATAAGCGCAGTTGCACCATCATGGGGCGCATCCAGCCCTCACCTTCAGGGCTGGTTTATCTGATGGTGGCCTTTGTGTTGGGGCTTTTAGGGTATACCAACCTCATTGATGACACTTGCAAACTGAATGGCTGATGCCACTGCTTCTGCCAGCAGTGGGTGGAGGGGAGAGTAGGGGGACAGGGCAGGTGTTAATTTCGTAATGAATTTGGTGGATTCAGATGCAGGGAAAGGCAACACTTTTGTGAAAACTAGAACTCAGGCAGTGCTTCTCAATCTTGGCTGCACATTGAAGAGTTTTTTATTTTTTATTTTTATTTTTTATTATTATCATTTTTTTTATTCCAGTACCTGGGTCCTAGCCCTAGAGATTCTGAATTCACTAATCTGGGCACAGCCAGGGATCCCAGGTGCTTCTAATGGGAAATCAAGCCTGAGCCTCACTCACTGTCAGAGCAAGGCTTCCCAAGTGTGGTGGAGGGAGTGGGGAGGGGGCCAGAATCACCTTCTCAGCACCTAGACCAGAACTTCTGAATTAGGATGGCTGGGAGGGTCCCAGGGACCTGCATTTTATAAGGCCCTCCAGCATCGTGACAGGCCTAGGGCAGATCCCCTGATGCTGGGGGCCCTGGTGGGGAGGGGGGCTTGGAGGCCCTGGGGCCAGAGGACAGGACCCCAGGAAGGAAGAAGAACATAGAAAAAGTGTGGAAGATAGGTATGTCCTATTTTTAAATGATTTGAAAGGGAACCTTTATTCACTTCCTATCTTCTTTTCTTCCTCTCGTTCACTTAGTCCCCTGTTCTAGGACCCAGAATCCAAGATAATACTCTTAGAACCACTCTTTAGTCTCATTAGACACATAGTAGATGCTCAATAAATATTGACTGAAGGAATTATGGGTAAACTCTGTTTGGTGGGCTAACCTGGAAACGTAACTACTGATAATTGCTACTACTACTGAACTGCTACTGATAATATAGTCCCTGTGTGGGAAAGTATTGAAATGTGTTTCCAAGCTCTAATAGCTAATTTCTAAAGAACTTTTGATAAGCAGCCCGTTTGTTAAGTTTGAGCGTATATGAGTGTGTGTGTGTGTGTGTGTGTGTGTGTGTGTGTGTGGCAGGGTGGGGAAAGAGAGTTCTGCTCTTAATGAACCCAGCAGGGGATCCACCCTTGGGAGTCTGCCCTGAGGTTTGCCATGGGGCACCTGGATTGATATTCCCAGTGGGGCATTTATGGAGATGGCAAAGTAGAACAAGGTCGGGGTAGGAGGGCCTGAGTGACTGCTAAGGAGAGAAGCAGCCAGGAGAAGCCAAAGAAGGCTGACAGGTCTAGGGCAGGAGGGCCAGGAGTTGGAGTGCGGCCCCGGCAGAACTGGCAGTCCAGGATGGAGCTGTGAAGTACCCAGAGCAGCAGGGCACCTTGCACGTGGCCTTTCCGAGGTGTGCAAGAGCAACCCCAGCAGGTCAAAGGTTTCAAGCAGGAAAGTGATGGATGCACCTGCAGAGGCAGAGCTGTGAGACAGAGGCCATGAGGTCATGGAAGCAGGAGGTCACTGGCAGCCTCAAGCCCCTAGGCCCTCGCCAGCTCACGGCACACACTCTCTCTCCATGTTTGCTCTGGGAGAGAAGAAGGGCTGGTCTCCACTGGGGAGCAGGCAGAATCCAGGAGGCCATTGGGCTGGACAAATGGCCTTCCTGCCTTCTCACAGTGTGAAATTTGGGCAGCAACAGCCAACAAGAATCCCAGGGGGTGCAGTTTTCAGGAGGATTTCAGGAGATCTCAATTTGATTCTTGCCACATCCCCAACACCCTCCATGCCAGCATTAATGAGGAAATAGACAAAAAGCTGAAAGAGAGAGAAGCAGAGCGGGTCCAGAGGCCTGGGAAGAGCCTGCCCTTCTGTGAGCCTCTGGAAAGCCCAGGAGGCAGACCGCATCTTGTGGGGGTACTACAGTCAGCCTTTCCCAGTGAATCCCTCCCTCTCCCTGGGGCAGCCATTGAACTCAGAGTGAGGGGCTTGGAGGAGATCCCCCAGTCCCTGACTGCCCTGTCCCAGGCTGGGCTGTCTCTACTGAAGCCAGGCTGTCAGCTCTGCAGGGAACTCCGGCCTCTGGCTGGAGGCTGTCTTTGTCCCCAAAGTCCCAGCCCTACTTTGTACTGATGGAGGACTCCAGAGAGGGGGCAATTCACAAGGGAGACGAACCTGATGGCCTTGTGGGAGGGGGCTGTCCCTGACCACACAGGGTGACAGTGATTAAATGCACCAGCAGCTGGGCCATCAGGGCCCTCCCTGCTGCTAATTTGGGTCAATTAAGCCAATTTGTCTTTGTTGACTTGAAGTCTCTTCTCTGTAATGGCTCCAGCCCCTCTGGGGCTTCAGAGGGAAGAGAAGAGGAAGGAGGCAGTCTCCTGGCTACAGGGCTACCTCTCCCTTCCCCACCCCAAAACCCCAGGCCCGAGTACCTTCCTCAACCTTGTGACCCCTCTCATTGTCCTGCCCGAGGGCCTCCACAGCTGTCATCCCTGCCGATGCCTCAGGGTTAATCTCACTCCACAGATGAGCAATTAGGGGTCCTCTAGAGAGGGTGCTACTCCAAGTTAGTGGGAGAGGGGGGACCCCAGCATTTGGACTCACAGTCTAGTGCTCCTCTCCAGTCTCCACAAGGCACTGGGTCCATGGTCTGGCCCCTTGGGAGTCCTGCTACCATGGCCCCCTGAGGGGTTCCAGGGAACACCATTTAAAAACCACTTCCTCAGCCCATTAGGCTCCATCTGGTACCCAAAAAATGGGGGAGGCAGGGACCAAAAAATGTTGTCTCCAGAGAGAGACAGCTGCCTCCGCATGGCCTCCCAGTCTAGGAGAGGACAGAGTCTGAAATGAACAATCGTGCTGCTTTAAGCTGGCTCTCATGTCCCACTGCCCCCTGGGCTGGCCCAGCCCGCAAGAGATTGAGGCAGCAGCATATTGGGCACAGGTCAGAGACAAGGCTGACACAAGGCTCTGTCCATTCTGAGGCCCCTTCACTTCTCTGGGCCTCAGTTTACCCATCTCTGGGATCCCAGGAGCTGAAGAGGAAGGCTGCAGTAGGCCCCTGCAGCTCTCACATTTGGAGAGTTGGCCTGACAGGGGCCAGGGTGGAGGAGGAGGCTTTTCTCCCTTCTAGCTTAGAAGATGGAGTGCTTCCTCTCTGTCTCCATTCTTGACAGGTGAGAGCAGGTGGGACATGTTGTCACACTGGAGACTGGCAAGGACAGGAAGACCCAGAGCTTCAGCATCCCCTGCAGGAGGCTGCAGCTCCAATTTCATCCCCATGGAGTCAATCTGGCAGAGGGAGGGCTTCACCCAGGGCAGTGGGGTCAAAAGGGAAGGAGCTGTGGTTTCTGGGGAAGAGAACCCGGGAGCTGTACACAGCAGGATTAGTGTCCACGAAGGAGAGAATTAGCTGAGTTTCCCTTTCAAACTCCACAAGATGGCTTCCTTAACCCATCTGTGGCCAGGACCATTGGCGCCAAGGGCAGAAGCTGGGGAAGCAGGTCCACGTGGGATGGAAGTAAGTGGACTGTCATTGCAAAGAGAGATGCCAGTTGCCTCTCCAAGATCTTCCTGGAGATGCTGGTGTCAAACACTAGAGCCAGCTACATGGGGCTAGGAGGTGGCATTGCCTCCCAGGGAGGCACAGAGGCTGTGTCCTCCCAGCCTAGGCCTGTCTTACACAGGAAGGGGGTCATCTTCTGGTGTTAAGTCACCTGCATTAAGTCCTTTTCGTGGCTGCATCTAGGCTGACAGAAAGTGGGATGGGCAGGGGTCAGGTTGCGAGACAGTGATGCACAGAGGAGACCCTGACCTCGTAGCCATCCTCCTGGGGGATAAGGCAGTGTCTGTATCAGATGTGTGTAACCTCAGATTCCTCCACTGCAATGTTAGGGCCTCTAGGGCAGGAGCCTGGAGGGTAACAGACACAGACCCTCGGACCCCCAGAAGGAACCTGAGGGAAGGGCTGGCTCAACCCCCTCTTGTTATTACTGGTGGGGAAACTGAGGCGAGATGGCTCCCCACAGCTAGCACCCTGTATAGTCGTGTTCCACAGAGGCTAGAGTATGACTCCCAGGCTCAACTGAGCACTGTTTTCCTAGTCATACTTCAGAAACCTCCATGCCATTCCAGGGACTGCAGGAAGAGGGGCTGTGTGCCATGCCTGCTCCTGCACAGGGATCCAGCAGGCAGAAGACACAGAGGTGTCAGGCAGCGATGCTGAGTGGACCTGGGTCTGGAGCCTCAGAGGCCATTCCTTCCCTGTGTGGGCTGTGGCAGGGTCCTCCTCTGGCCAGCTCTTCCCCCTGGGTGTTCCTGTCCTCCCCTCCCTAAGCCTTGCCTTCTCAGCCTCATGGTGGCTCCTCTGCAGTGCCTGCCACCCTCAGTGATATGCCCTTGTGGGCCTCCATCCCTGGCCATCTCAGCCATACTCACTGTCCCAGCTGCAGCTGACCACTCGTCCACCATCTCCTGTGGCTATTCCATGAGTTCCTCACTGTGGGTACCAGCCCCCTCCGCCACCAGGCCTGGTCCCTTCTTTCATCCCCCTCCCTCACTCAATGGAGCCACCCTCCCTCTACCTAGAAGCCACATCAGGACAACTGCACCCCTCCCTCTACTCCCTCCTGCCCTGGAGCCCCCTTGGACTGTGCTGCTTCAGAGTAACAGCAAAAGTAAGCCTCTTCCTGAGTGCTGGGCATTGTTCTAAGGGCTTTGTTTAATCCTCACAACAACAGTACTTGTACTGTCTTCACTTCACAGGCTCAGAGAAGGCAGTAACATGTCCAAGGTCACACAGCACTGATAACAGTGGGGCTGGGACCAAGTGCAGGCAGAGTCTGAGCTCTTCAGAATGGCTTCTTAGGAAGGGTTCGCTCCTTCTTTGCTGCTACTGCCTGTTGGGGACTCCACATCTCTCCCCTGGACCATGACAGCTGCATTCTGAGCGCTCTCCCTAGTCTTGGTCTCCCCAGCACACCATCCGCCAAGAGAGCCCTTCCCAAAATGAAAATCTGACCATGTCACCGGCATCCATCCACATTTGATAGCTTCCATCTCCCATTGTCTGTGTGGAGGATGAGATCCTTCCAGCTCCTCATGGCAGCATCCAAGGCCCCTGTGATCTGAACTTGCCTTGCCTGTTCTCCTGTGTCATCACCTGCGTCTCATCCTCTCCCTCCACACATGTGCGCACCCTCTGCCCCCTCCCCCAACTCAGATGACCATCTGCAGGCTTCCAGCTCTGCATCTCCACTAGTTCTCTGTGGGTCTGTCCCCCTCAGAAACCAACTTTGACCTCTCTGTGCCCCTCCTGGCACACAGTAAGTCCTTGAGGGAGCAAAGAAAGGGAAAGAATGCATTTTGAGGGAAGATGAAGTCCAAAGTCTAATGAGAATGATTTATTATTAATAGCAACAGCTAATGTTTATTTCTGAGCATTTCTGTGCCAGGCACTTGCATTTCCTCCTCACGACAGCCCCATGAGCTGGATGTTACTGTTGTCAGCACTTTAAAGGACAGGTGGCTGAGGCTCAGCAAGGTTAAACAACTTTCTCAAGGTCACACAGCTGGAAAGAGGCTGGATTGGGATTCAAAGCCAGGTTTATCTGAGCCCAAAACTTAAGCTGGAGACCTCTACTTTCTGTAACCCACCTTCCAAAGCTGTCCAGAATCACTGGGTGATCCTGGATGGGGCCTGTGATTTCGTAGGCTGCACTGAGAGGGATGTGCCTGTCCTCCACTTCCTAAAGAGCTGCCTGTATTTTCTTATGTAATCAGCCATGACGTCCTAAGTGAGTGGATTCAGGTCCCTTGTCACCTACTGTCGCACGGGCTGTTGGGGCCCTCAGAGCATGAATCGTGTAATAAGTGAGGCTCAGCCCAGCTTCGGAACCATGCGGTGCTTCAAAGCTGGGCCCGGAAAGGTATTTCCTTTTGGAATAAAGTGGTCAGGTGTACTCAGCACCTCCCTCAGTGAGTGGGGTCAGCCAGGAGGAGTGGCCCCTTCCAGGCTAGCTTCTATGGAAGGCCTTCCCTCACCATCCAGAACAGGCCCCACTGAGCCAGCCTCCCCCAAGTACCCCCAGCATCACAGCATCCTGACCCCACCCTGCTGTCCTGCTTGGGCTGAACACAGACAGGGAAGAGCCCTGTGGCTCTCCTAAGCAATAGCTTTGCCTACAGGCGGAGGAAGGGCTGAGGTTATCCTTCAAAGCCCCCCACCATCAGCACCAGGATTCCAAGCATCTAGGAAAGAAGATTTATTCGCTATTGCCACGATAAAGCCACGTAACAAACCACCCCCAAATCCCATGGCTTGAAACAGTGAGTGTTTATTTCTCGTGAGTCGACCAGATGTCTGGGGTTTGGTTGCTTTAGGCTGGGTTCAGCTGGTTGGACTCCCAGCTGCTGATTTGGTCTTGGTCTGTTCATGCTTCTCTCCACCTCTTTAGAACCGACGCTACTTGAGACGTATTCTTCTCGTGGCGAAAAGGCCCAATTGTGCGAGCATGTTTCCAACCTCTACATGCGTCCCATTCATTAAAATCTCATCCACTAAACCAAGTCCCATGACTGAGCCTCAAATCAGGAGGTGGAGAAGTAGATTCCACCTACAACAAAGCCATGGCAGGAGTATGGCCGGGTCATGCTATTCCAGAGCAATGTGAAGAACTGGGTCTGGGCCGGGAGCAGTGGCTCATGCCTGTAATCCTAGCATTTTGGGAGGCCAAGGCGGGTGGATCACCTCAGGTCAGGAGTTCGAGACCAGCCTGACCAACCTGGTGAAACCCCATCTCTACTAAAAATACAAAAAAATTAGCCAGGCATGGTGGTGAGCACCTGTAATCCCAGCTACTTGAGAGGCTGAGGCAGGAGAATCGCTTGAACCCAGGAGGCAGAGGCTGCAGTGAGCCGAGATCGCACCATTGCACTCCAGCCTGGGCAACAAGAGCGAAACTCCATCTCAAAAAATAAATAAACAAAAATAAAAGATTGAGACTGATAGTTCAGTCTACTACACAGGAAGAGAGTAGTCCAGAAGTCAGAACTGGAAAGGGCCTGAGAATTCACAAGCATAGAAACTGAGGCCCAGGGAGGGGAAGAGACTTGTCCAAACCACAAAGCAAGAGCTGGGCAGAACTAGGAGATGCACACATGCTCAGAGCTCTGGATTTGTTCTGCCCCACAGCTCTACCTCCCCTTCGCCCTCACAGACTTCCTGGAAGCCCAGTCCCTGGACGAGGGCTGTTTAGGGAGCTATGAGCCCAGTCTCATTCTCAGACCATGGTTCTTACATAGGTCCCCTGGCAAGTTGGAGGAGCTGGGCCACCCGGGGCTGGGGCAGTGATGTGCCATTCCTGAACCCAGAACCACCACTAATGAGCAGAGAGACATGGCTGTTTCAGTTTTCCCAGCTCCAACCCTGTGTGACCTGCCTGGCTGCACTTCCTCTGCCCGTAAAACAGTACAAGGGCCCTCCTCTCCCCACTCACTCGCTCTCTCTCTGCTCCTTTCCTGGCCTCCTTCCTTTCCTCCTCCGCCTTCCACACAGCAGGCAGCAGCTCCGAAGAATGGCAACCTCCCAGAATCTCACAGCTGGAAAATCATGCAGACCAACCAGCTGCTTGTGCAGAAGGCTCTGCATGGCATCCCTGATGGGAATCAATCAGCTTCAGGTGGCTGGGATCCTTCCTGGGACAGGGAGCTCAGTACGCTACAAGGCAGCTCCTTTCATTACAGCTCTGACCCTGAGAAATTACTAACCCATTTTTGGTTCCAAGACAGCCTTCCCCAAACTTTTATGCACTGATCTTAGCTCTACCATTATTTAGGGAGAACTTACTATGTAAAAGCTGCGGACCGGGGATACAGAGATAGGGTCACTGTGCACCTCCTCAAGGGGCCCACAGACCACAGGGGAGACAGACATGGCAACATGGTGCCAGGTGACACGTGCTCAGGCAGAGAAGGATGGGGGAACCAGGGTTGACTTGGGGAGGACCCCTATTCTTCCTGCAGCAACAAACAAATCTCTTCCCAAAGGAAAATCCTGCTCCTCTTTTCACAATATTTCAGACACCAAATGTGCAGGATTTTATTCCTCACACCAAGGCAACTCTCCAGTTCTCTGTGGGCATGAAATGGGTGTCCACAATTCAATTTAGTTCTGATATTAACTGCCTGGAGTTAACACAGACTCCACAGGTTAAAGACTCAGTCCCACAAGACTGCTACCCATTTCAGATGCCAGTTGCAAGTATTGAGTGCCCAGGTACCACACTTCTGTCTGACTCGGCTACGACGGGGATTCCCAGGACCCCTTCCTCAAGTTCAATAATTTACTGCTATGGCTCAAAGAACTCAGGAAAATCTTTTTTTTTTTTAACTATTACCAGTTTATTATTAAGGATACAATGAATCATCAGATGGAGAGGTACATAGGGTGAGGTCTGAAAGGGTCCCGAGTGCAGGAGCTTCTGTCCCCCTGAAGTTGGGGTGTACCACTTTCCCAGCACACGGATATATTGTTCACCAACCTGGGAGACCTCCAAACCCCGTAGTTTAGGTAGGTTTTCAATAAAGGTTCCATTATGTAGGTGTGATTGATTCGATCATTGGCCATTGTTGATTGGCTCAGTCTCCAGCTCTTGTCCCCTCCTTGGAGGTCAGGGAGTGGGGCTGAAGGTTTCAACCTTCTAATCACAAGCTGGTTCCCCTGGCAACCAGCTACAACCTCCTGGAGTCACTCCATTAGCATAAACTCAGGTTTAGTTGAAAAGGGCTTATCATGAATAACAAAAGGTGCTGTTCTCACCCCTATCACTCAGAAATTCTGAGGGTTTTAGGAGCTCTGTGTCAGGAACAGGGATGAAAACCAAATATATATTTCTTATTACGTCACAATGTCACACTTCCCCAGGACGCTCTGCAGATGCATTGGTGCTAGTCAGACCTGAGTTTGAGTTCCAGATCCATCATCTACTAGCGATGATCTTGCACATGGCTAAGCTGCAGTGTCCTGTATACAGTTGGGAAGACGGATGCATATTCTCATGGGAGAATGGAAGGTAGAATACATAAACCACTCGGCACATGCAAGAACCCAGTGAATGGTGCTGTGGCCGTTATTATTGTTCATTATGCAACCCAGGATGGAATTAGCACTTAGCATATCTGTACTCATGAAACTAAAACCTTGTCCTTCCAAGTGGGACTGTACACTTACCCCACGTTGGAGTCTGCAAAGAACTGTTGGGGATATGACTCTGTTATCTGCCTTCTTGTCTCCTCCTCTCAGAAATCAGGATGGAGGGGCTTGGCAGCAAGACGCAGCCGTGGACCATTCAAACCACATAAGACCTCTTTTTCGCAGAGACAGGGGAGCAGGTGGCCTTAGCATTGAAGAAGATATCAATATCATCTGCTCTTTTGTGGCCTCATAGGGAACCTCAAAAATGTCCAGCCGAATACCCCGTCTGATTATTGTAGTCAGAAGGCTAAGGACAGTAAAGCTATGACATGGAGGCCCCTGTTTCCCATCTAGCACTCGCAGCAGACAGCCTTAATCAGTCATGGCTCTCTTCTTCCTCTGAGTTTGGACTCAGATCCTGAGTCATTCCCATCTCAGATTCCTTGGCATGAGAGAGAAAAACCTTTTAACCAGCCTGGCTCTACAGCAGTCGGGACAGTCTTCCTGGAGAAGGTGGGATTTCAGAATTTTGTAAAATGGGGGTGAATCACATTAAGCAGATGTGAGGAAAGCATGTTTTGAGTATGGAGTCTGGGGGGTGTCTGAAGAAGGTCTGTGCCCAGTTCTGCATGTGGCCTGGAAGAGAAGCCTCCGGCTGCCCTGCCTTTCCTGAACCTTCCTCGCAGAGCTTGGGTAAGGCCTCAGGAAGGGTGTGGAATGTGAGAAAAAGGATGAGATGGACGGAAGTGAAGTGAGATGGGGAGAGGTGGGGAGGAAGAGGAACACAACTGTGAGCAGATGAGGTCATCAGGTGAGGGGAGTGGCACCTGCCCCTTTACCTCAGGATGCCTGAGCAGAACCAGAGCAGGGGAGCTCTTTCCTCCCCAGGACCTGACAGATTGCTGAGATAACTTAAGCTGGAGAACTTAATTACAGCACTTGCCTCTCGCCCTATGCACCAGCCCCATGGAACGGCAGCTCTGTCTGCCTCCCCTGCCTTTGCCCTGCTGTCCAAGTGTGTGTGGTATGTGTGGATGTGGAGGAGACAAAGACAAGCACCACCTTGTGGTCTCATTCCCCTGCTCAAGAACCCTAAAGGCTCCCTATTGCTCATGCCGTGATGGGCAAACTTTTACAAGTATAGGATCTATTATTTTTGCAACAGTCTATGTGAAAAATCATGACAATAAAAGCTGACCCTGGGACCTGGGACTCCTCTGCAGAGCCCCAGGGCTCTAAGGAGTACAGTTTCAAAACCCCTGGGATAAAATCCACAGACTCCTTAGCTTAGCATTCAAAGCCCTTTGTTCTCTTGGTGTTAACCTGCCGGTCCAGCCCCATCTCTTTGCTTTCCCTCTTCCATGCCACTCAATCCAAACCTGCCTTTAATCCCTGGACCCCACTTGCCACTCTGTTCCCTCCATCCCTGACCCCACCCACCCAGGTCCCACCACACCCAATCAGTCCTCGAGTTTCTACCCATTCTTCAAGATCTTACTACTCAAATGACTCCTGCCCCTGAAAGCCTTTCTTTTGTGGGCATCTGGCTCTCAGAATGCTCAGGGAGCTCTGCACTTCTCCGAAGCCTAGCAGCACTTCCTACCTTTTAGCATGGTTATTTATGTACTTGTCTGATCTCCCTGTTAGCCGGCAAATTCCTTAAGGGCAGAAACTATCTTCTTTATCTCTGTCTCCCTGGCAGTTCCCAGCAGGGTCTGGTGCAGAGAAGGGGCTGAATAAATATTTATTTGTTGAATATCTTTACTGGGTGTCAGTTACAAATCTAGTATTGTACTAGGCAGTCAGGCTGCATGGTGAAAGGCGCGGTCTCTGCCCAAAGCAGGGCCTCCATCTAAGAGAAAGTAAAACATGCAAACCGACAGTTGCAATGCAGAGAAAAAATACAGAATGACAGATGTGAGCAGACCAGAATCCTGCTTAACCCACCCTTGTGTAGTGGTCAAGGAAGGCTTCAAAGAGGAGGTGATGCTGCGAGAAAAAGGACATGTGACACTGATACTGGTGGGCTGAGGGAGGTCCCCAAACACCGGTGCAAAGCAGCTGGTGTCGAGGCTCTTGACACTGTTGTGAGAATGAATTCAAGGATGAGTCAAATAACAGTGAAATCACAGAGATTTATTGCAAAGGGAAAAGTACACACTCAAGAACAGGGAGCGGGAGCATACTCAAGAGAATCATGCAAGTGGGTCGGGGCTGCTACCTTTATGGATTTCTTTGACTGAGGGGTGGAATATTAATGAAAACTCCTGAAAAAGTCGTGATTTCTTGGAACTGTGGTGCTATTCATTTTTATACCAAATATGGATGTTCTCAGAACTGTCATGGCACTGGTGGATGTGTGATTTAGTGTGTTAATGAGTGGATAATGAGGTCCTAGGTGAAACCTAGATCAAATCCAGTGCCATATTGGGTCCAGTCGGTCTTAGCCAACTTGATTCACAACCTGTTTTTCAGGGTCTTATCAGCCCATAGCCTCTAGTCATGTGAAACTGCTGCCTGGAATTTTTTATTCTTGTCTCAACACCTACCAGGTGGAATGTGTGAGGAACAACACAGCAGACAGAGGGAACAGCATGTGCAAAGGCACAGAGGCAGAAAGAGTATGACTGGAGATGCCCAGACCTGGGGGTGTGGGTTGGGGAGTGGGAGAAGGGAACTCAAGAGCAGGCAGGGGTGGGACAAAGGAAACACTTGTGGAAAAGTTGGATTGGGAAGTAGGAAGGTAAGCAGCCCTAAGAGATGAGAAATGAGCTAAAATGAGACAGAATGGCAGATGGGAGAGGAGGGAGCTGTGAGACCTTGGGTGGGCTTTTTCTCCTCTCTGGACCTTAGTCTTTTCTGGAAAATGAGTGGTTTGAACTACAGTCTTGAAGGCCCCTTTCCAGCACTGAGTTAGAAGTGCTGATGAAGCAGCAGCCAGACAACTGTCAATCAATCAATATCGTGCCAAGAGAAACCAAGTATAATAAGGCGTAGGCTTGGAGGGGTGGTTAGAACAGGAAAGAGCCCATCAGGGAGGGCCCTGTGGGGAAGACCAGGCAGCTGGAGAGTGGGGACGTCACGTGCGAGCCAGGGTCTAGGAGAAGCACTCTGCCTGGATTCCCATATTCACTCCACAACAATTATGTATGGGTAGGTTTTGTTAGCTCCATTTTGTAGATAGGGAAGCTGAGGTTCAAAGACTAAGTGTCTTGAATTCACGGTGATGATTCCAGGGGCTTCCATCCTCCACCCCCAACAGAAGAAACTGGCCCAGTCCCCAGTCACCTCTGCACACATTGCAGGTCTCTTTTCTGGGCCTTGTCACCACCCTATGGGGCAGAGAAGGGAGGTTAGCCTCATTCTGAGGGTAACTAACTGTCCCAGTTGGCCTGGGACCGAGGGTCTACTATTAAACCTGTAGTAGTCTCAGGCAAACCAGGACAAGTTGATCAGCCTACTTATTCCACAGATGGTGAACTGAGGCCCAAGTCACCCCTGGCAGGTGGCAGTGCCCTAGACCCCCAGAGTTTGCCCTACTCTCAACGCACACACACCTGCTGCCTAGAGACCAGCTCAGGAAGGGGGCTGTCCTTCCCAGCCACCCAATTCTCTAGGCTTCATGTGACCTGGCCCTGAGTTGGAGGCCACTGAAGACACTAGGAAAGTAGACAGCATGTAACTGAGTCAGGGAAACCAAGCTAAGACTCAAAGCGCAGAAAGGAAGTGGTCAATTCGGGGCTGAGGAAAGCAGGCTCCTCCTCCAGGGGCAGGTGCCCAGAGGGGCTTGGAATGTGCTCTGCTGTTGCTTCACTCTCCTCCCCAACTGGAAATGCCCTGGCTTTTCCAGCAGGGGCCTTGGCTTATGGGACCCAACTGTGGAGCCCCGGCAGAGCCCCCACTCAGAGGTAGGAGTGTGAGTTCCAAAGCCCACTCTCTGCCACTAAACCTCTGGGATCTTGAACAAATATCTTCCCTTTTCTAGGCCTCAGTTAAAACAGGCATCAGAATATGGTCCAAGTCTCAGGAATGTCGTCAAAACATCAGAGATCATTCACACACAAGTGCCTGGCAGAGCAGTGAGGAAGTCCCACCTTCATGACCAAGCCCACCTCCAGCTCAGGTCTGGGATCATAGCTCAGGGGATCTCTACACCTGGTCCCCAACTTCCAGGCTCACTGCTCCCATGAAGTGAGCCCAGGACCAGGGAAATCAGGAGGGCCGGTGGGGCCTAACCTCAGCTGTGTGTTTTGGGGAAGCCTTTCAGCCTCTCTCAGCTTTGGTTCCGTCACTGGGGGGGGCAGTGGGGTGGGAAAGATGCAGTTTTCCCAGAGTTATTGTGAGGTTGGGGTGACACTCAGCCAGTACCTAGCACTCCAGAGGCAGCCTCTAAATGTTAGGGGGACCCCATGTCCCCCACCCTGCACCTCTAAGGCTGCTGTTTGTTGCAGCTCTTACCTTGCCCAGGGCTGAATGGGCTGGAGGGGTGAGGTGGTTCCCCAGCTTCCCCCAGAGCCTCCCCTCCCAAAGCCCAGCTCCAAAACCTTCTCCACCCACTGCAGGCCTATGGTGGCACTCACACTCTCTCTCTCTCTCTCTCTCTACACACACACACACACACACACCCACACACACACACACGCGCGCGCGCGCGCGTTCTTACATTCTTTTTCCGTTGTTTGCGGCTAATTGTTTATTAGGAGATGCAGGCGGCTGTGCCAGTGGGAAGGCTCAGCTTGCTCTGCTATAATTAGGATAATGCACATTAGTCATTTAGTGTAACTCTGAGAGCAGCCCCCTCCCCCGCACTCCCCTCCCCCGCTGCTCCTGCTTAGCTGGCTGGGTTCCCAGGCCAGGGCTGTGCAGGTTTGTTCAGGTTCCCTCCTGGGCCTTCTCGGTTGGCCCTGGCTCTACCTCACTACTAGTCCGTCCAGCAGTCCCTAAGCCCCCCACTGCCTCCCCTGACTCCAGGATAGGGTTTTCTCTATTTTCTCTCTCCAGGCTTATCTCCTATTTCCTTCCTCTCTGTCCCCTCTTTCTCCGCCTCCCCCTATCTCTTTCCTTTGAACCCTAGCTTTCTCTCCCTCTCCCCTGTTCTCAGCCCTTCTCCCTAGCTTCTGCACCCTTGCCTTATTGCGGGGGTCTCTCTCCCTCCCCCAGCCCTCCATGGGTAGGTAGCCCAGCAGAGCAGGTCAAGCCTACACTCCAGGCCCTGGGGGGTTGGTGGCAGTTCTCCTCTCTGGCGTGACTGTAGGAGGTAGTCCAGACCCTCTCCCTGGAGCCTGATCCTCAGGAGGTTGTCCTTGCTGCTGCCTTCCCTGACACTCCCCGCCCCCAAACACAACCCACTGTTTTTGGCTGAGGACTAGGCTGGCAAAGGTAGGCCATTGTCTCCAAAAGGCCCTTCCCACAAGCACACCAGTGTGGCCTCCTTGCCTTGTTCCCCCCTTCCCTCGTGGTCATCCTGAGATCCAAGAAATTGGGCCCCACAGGAGGCTAGGGTGCTGGGGGGTGAAGGTGAGGGCTCTCATCATGCTGGCTGGAGCAGGTAGCCCTCTGTTTCATGTGGCCTGGATTGGGCACCAGGCAGCCGGGTGGTAGGGAGTATCTTTTCCACTAGGAAAGAGAGGCTCTTCAACAGTGTCTTTTTGTCTCTAGCTGCACAGCCGCTGGCCAACTCCAGACCTGCTGACAAATAAACCTCCTGACCCCTATTCCTACATCCCTGAGACCCCCACGCAGCCCTTTCCATCACAAAAGGGACCTCACATCAAAGCCCATTACAGCTAGGCAGACTGAGCTCTAGGGCCAAGGGTTTGCCCTGCAGGTCGCTGCTGGGGTAAGGGTGAGGGTGGGGTCCCTCCAGTGTTTCAGAAATAAAAGAGCTGTTCCCAGGGGTAAGCGATGCTTGATTGGAAGTACAAAGCCTTTCTTGTCTTCATAAGCCTGTTGATGTCTCTGGTCCTGATCCTGAAATCACAGATGCAGACAGACTAACAGACACAGGCTTACAACTTGCAGGGCAGGCTCACAGAGCAGGTACCACAGAGGGCCTGGGGTCACTGTGCACTTGGAAGGGCCAGAGCTTCTGTCCCCTACATCTGATATCTCTCCTCTGCCTGGACTCTCCATGCAACAACTGGGCCTCCAAACTCCAAGCCCCTCTTGCCTTGGGACCCCTCCAGCCCAGGGACACCAGCCTGAGTTGTACATATTGTAGTCCCTGCCCCTAGAGGTCCACATCACCCTATCCTGAACTACTCCTTCTCACCCTCCTTCTCTATCATGTGCCCCGAGGCTCTGTCCCTCAGTGCCATGTGCAGCTTACAGGATCCCATGGGAGCAGAGTCTAGAGGGGAAGGGAGGGACCATGGCCCAGCTGATCTCCCAGGACCAGGGAACCTTTCCTTGGCCTCCTCTTGGGATTGCTTCCCCATAGGTGGCAAGGCTCCAGGGGCCAGAGGAAGGTACCCCTGAGACTAGCAGGGAACTGGGAAACAAGAGCCCTGGTTTTCAGTAAGTCTCTCATACCACCTTGCTGTATGCTTTCAGCAAGTCTTCCCTCCCTGGGTTTCCCCAGGAGCAGGACTAGGAGGCCAGTTCAGGGGCTGTCCTGGTGGCAGCTTCTTGGGGTCTCATGGCCACCTGTCCTTCTAGTACCCTCGTCCTCCTTCAGGCTTTCAGGAAGCAGACCTAGCCCCCAAGTTAGCTGAGCTTGATTCATTCTTTCATTCACCAATCTGTAGTTTAGTACCCCCCTCCCCGATTCCTCTGCCTAGGTCTCTGTGATTTCCTTCCTTCCTTACTCTCAAAGATGAGGAAGTCACACTGAGCAGCAGGCTTGGTCTGGTTTTAGGCAGAGGGAGCAAAAGGAGTGGCCAGTTTAGGATAGATGTCCCAGGATGGGGTACAGCAAGGGTGCCTGCAAGGGGAAGACTGGCACAGATGTGTGTGTGTGTGTGTGTGTGTGTGTGTGTGTGTTAGCACAACCACCTCCCAGGGCCATCCCAGTCATTCCTTCACTCACTCATTCACTCGACAATCCTCTGTTCCACACAGACCATGTGTAAGACTCTGTGCTAGGTGCCAGGGATTAAAAAAAAACAGCAGGGTCTCCACCCTTAGCGGCAGGCAAGTTGAGCCCCAGTCAGAGCACAAGAGGATTCGCATTGGGTTCACATATAGGAGAGAGGGGAGTCGGTCGCTGGGTCTTGGAGGATCTCTGCCTCCTGACTCAGGAGGCCGTGTGGGGGATCCATTTAATGACGATGATAATAACACTCAGAGAACAGCTAACATTTAAAGAGGGCTGCCTGTGTGCCAGGCACCGCTGAAACATTTCACAGGTAATCTTATAACATAGGCATTTTGTTAGCAAAGCAAGTCAGTGAAAAAGGGGCTATTCTCACTCCGTTGTACAGTTTAGGAAACTGAGGTGGGGGATGTGAAGCCACTTGCCCATGATCACACAGCTAAGAAATGACAGAGCCAGCCTGACCCAAACCTTTGTGACCCTTTTTTCTCATCTGTAAGGTGTACGGGAGGGACCCTGATATCCCTTCAGCTAAGAGATGGGGAGTTCCCAGGCAGATGGCAGGAAACCAGAGCTGCTGGGAGTCAGCAGGCAGGAGGTCTCCTGGGAGGGGATTCAGGGCAAAGTGGAGGAGGGGCGCCCCTCCTGCTGGCCCCTCCCCACAGCTGACTTTTATTCCAACATTGGGTTCCAGCCAAGCATGGGGGTGGGGTGGATAACAGTACTGGGAAGCTGCTTCTCCAGGATTTACAACCTGCCAGGGAGTAGGCAAGAGCCATCTGGGGGCTGCTAGCTGCTGGTGGCTTCAGTGGCTCTTCCTCCCACCCACCCACTGAGGGAGTGGCCACAGCATGGAGTCAGTGATTATGTATTCCCCGGCTACATGTCCTTGCTCTGGGGCTCCTGCTGCTCCTAGCGCAGCCCAGGCTGCAGTCACCCAGAGGCACTCAGTGTTGGGAATACGGTGGAGAGAGGAAAGTGGAGCCTCCAGGTTGATGAGGGAGACACTAGCCTGTGCCAGAGGAGAACCCAGGCTGGTCCTAGAGATGGGGTCTGCAGCTTCGTGGTGGGGAAGGTTTGAGCTGCTTTGGAGGAGGGAGGAGCTACAGGGCTGGGGATGGGGTGGACATCTCCCTCAGACCCCAGACCTCAGGGAGGCACTCATCCCTCTGTCTCTGGACTGGACCCCTCTTCTCCCCTCTGGCCCAATGTGGTTTACTGCAGCTCCAGCCTGGGGTGGGGACATGCCTGTGGGGACCAGCTTAGGTGGTATCTTTGTGCAATTTAGAAAGATACAAAAGCAGCCCCTCACTAGGCACCGGGCTTGGCGAGCAGAGCCGGGGCTGGGTTTTAACCTCTGTTTGCTCCTTGAGCTGTGCATCTTTGTCCAAGACACCAACTGTTCAATAGTATTATACATAGAGGCCCTGCCCTGGTGCTTAGGGAAGGCAGTGTTCAGGGCCCACCGGGCCCAAGTCATCACCTCTCCTTCGGCCAGCTGACTGCTACCTAGTCCAGAACTCCCTGCAGACATAACCGCTACCTACTTCTAGGTCACTCATGTGGCATGCAGAGCAGGGACTATCCTCTTCTCCCAAAGAAAGAAGCTGAGGCCCAGAGAAAGGAAAGAAACTGCCCAAGGTTACGCAGCAGATCAGTGACAGAGCTTTCTGGGCCAAATTCTAGGGCCCCTCAACAGCTGGCACTCCTTCCAGCCTCGGTGCCTCTTTGGAGGCCTTTGGGACACTGCTCCATGTGCCTGTCATCTCTGTACTTGTCTTATTTAACTTAACCAACCTTGGCAGAAGACCTGCGTGAGCCAGACAATGCACCAAGTGCAGGAGAAAAACAGGTGAGCACTTCCCTCCTCTCAGAACTAAATAACCAATAAATGTTGAATGAATGAATGAATGAATGAATGAACGAATGAACACTGAGCACCAACTTTGTACCAGAAATTACACCAAGCGAGCAATTTGCTTATTTAATCACAACTCTGTGAAATAGGTTCTAAGCTCTTCATTTCACAGGTATGGAAATTGAGGCTCTGAGAGGTTAAGTAACTTGCCCAAGGACACACAGCTATGTCAGAGCTGAAATTTGACTGAGAGTTTATGTGACTCCAAAGCCAAACGGGCTCTTTCTTATTTTTTTAAGGATTTCCTCTTTAAAAAAAATTCTTGGAACAACTTCAAACACTTTCATTTATTTTAAATGGCATTTATTTTTCCCTTTCTAATTTTACAAGCAATGTGTGTTCATTGCAGACAACTGGAAAATACATAAAAACATAAAGTAAAATATAGCAATCATCCATAATCCCCACCCCCTAGAGATAACCACCATTAGCATTTTGATACATTTCTTCCCAGTGTTTACATCTTTGTACATAAAATTGGTATTATGCCATATAGCCAGTTTAATGCCCTGCTTTGTTAATTCGCACTATTTTGTGAACATTTTCCCATTCAGGTAAATATTATTTTTGAAAACTTGATCTACAATGGCTGCATATATCCATTTTTATGCATTTGCATTTATTTAATCTAACTCTGCTTTTGACATTTAGGTTGTTTCTAATTTTTTACTATAAACATAGCATTACAGTGAACATCTATGTAAATTTTTTTGTTTTTTGTTTGTTTGTTTTAGAGACAGGGTCTCACTCTGTTGCCCAGGCTGGAATGCAGTGATGTGATCATAGCTCACTGCAGCCTTGAACTTCTGGGCTCAAGTGATCCTCCTGTCTCAGCCTCCCAAGTAGTTGGGACCACAGGTCCACGTCTGGTGATTTTTTTTTTTTTTTTTTGAGAGATGGGATCTCGCTTTGTTGTCCAAGCTGGTCTCAAACTCCTGGTCTCAAGCGATCCTCCCTCCTGAGCCTCCCAAAGTGCTGGAATTATAGGAGTAAGCCACCATGCCCGGCCAACATTTGTAAATCTTTGAGCAGATTTCTGTTTATTAGATTCCCAAAGCAGGATTTCTTGGGTCAAAGAGCATGAACAGTTTTAAGACCTTTAAAGCATATTTTGTAATTGCTTTCTAGAAAGCTTACCTAGTTCACCCTCCACTAGGAGGGCAGAGGAGTGCACCAGTTCTTTAGCCCCTTGCTAACACTGGGTATCGCTGATTTTTTAAAAAATGAAACATCTTTCTCAAGACCCAGGTTTTTCCCACTGCAACGCTCTGCTCCACAGGAATGATTTGGTATCATGGGCTAATAATTCCCCATTTGCCTAGGGGGAAGTACGGCCCTGGAGAGCAGAAATGACCTGCTAGGTCAGATTTGCCAATCAGCCAAGGAAGAGCAGGCCTGGAACCCAGGCATCCTTCCTCCCAGTTCAGAGCCCTCTTCTTTATACCCTTGGCCTCAGCTTCCTCCACCGCAGGTCTCCTGGGTTGGGGGTGTTTCCCCAGGGCCAGTCCGTCCTACTCCCTTAGGTTATACCACTCCTGTGGTCCTCCAGGTCTGGGTTGGGGTGGGGTTGCTGGGCAGAGCCTATTTCTGGCCTCTTCATCATGGACCACATAGCACCTGGGATTCTCACCACTGGCACTAATCATGGCTCATGCCCCCTCTCATTCATTCATTCATTCATTCATAGATTTGACAAAAAGATGTGTTTTGCATCTATATGGGCCAGGCACTGTTCTAGGCTCGGGGTACTTGTCATCATTAACTATCAGCAACGCCAACGTTATGCTGCGCAAGTCACAGCCTCTTCAGCATCTTCACCAGCTCTTCCTACTTAGCGCTATGTTCCAAGCATCTGCCATAATAACAACGCCTGGAATGCTTCATAAATATACAGATACCAGGCCTGTCCCCTGGAAATTCTCACTGTATAGGCACTAATCATGGCTCATGCCCCCTCTCATTCATTCATTCATTCATTCATTCGTAGATTTGATAAAAAAGGTGTTTCACATCTACATGGGCCAGGCACTGTTCTAGGCTCTGGGTACTTGTCACCATTAACTATCAGCAATGTCAGCGTTATGCTGTGCAAGTCACAGCCTCTTCAGCATCTTCACCAACCCTTCCTACTTAGTGCTATGTTCCAAGCATCTGCCATGATAACAATGCCTGGGGTGCTTCATAAACGTGGATACCAGGCCTGTCCCCTGGAAATTCTGACTGTATAAGCCTGGGCCCTTCCGTAGGCATTGTTTGCTGTTGTTTTGTTTGCTCTGGTTGATTCCTATATTCAGGCAAACCCAGGAGCAAGTGCTAACAGATCCCTAAACACTGACATCTGGTGTGGATGCATGTGCATGTGCACACAGAGGTGAGCAGGCCAAGCTCCCTCCCAGCACAGCCCAGCACCCTTGAGCCCTGCTGGCACACCTGCTGTGCCTCTGAACCACAAACTCACCAAACCTAATGACAATTTTTTTTCTGATTTGCAAGAGATTAGTTTTAATTTGGAGACAATTAGAGGTAGAAGCAGGAGGCATCAGATCTTGATTAGAAGCAGAGACATGGCCAGGGGAGCCCCCACCCCTAGCCTGCCCGGCCCTAGCTTCCACAGAGATTCATTTATGTGCCCAATAAGGTAGGGGCTGGCCTCTGCACCTGGGGAGAAGGTTGTCTGGGAGAGGCAGAGGGCCCCTGCTGTGCTCCCAGACACCTAAGGCAAGCCTGGGCAGGTACCCCCAACCTCAGAAAAGTATGGAATTGACATTTGTTTCAGCACCCACTGTGTTCCACTTGAGTTGGGCATCTTTGTCCAAGACACCAACTGTTCTATAGTATTATATATAGAGGCCCTGTCCTGGTGGTTAGGGAGGGCAGTGTTCAGGGCCCACCGGGCCCAAGTCATCACCTCTCCTTCAGCCAGCTGACCTTGTACTACGCAAAGCTGGTCCAGCCCCAGTGTACACCAATATCCCAGTTCAGCTGCATAGGCAGAGGTATGAAAAACAACTATGTGCCATCTAATGGTGGAGACGGCTTGAGAGACCTCTGTGCAGGCACAGGGACACAGGAGCCAGTGTCTCATGGCCCCAGGGGAGCAATCACAGAAGTGACTAATGAGAGAGTTCCCAGATCACATGCGTTTCACTCATACCAGGACCAGGATCCTCCTGATCTGTCAGAGTCAGAGCTGGCCAGAGCAGAACAGTGGCAGAGAGGAGGAGGGGTTGAATGACTAGGATGGTGGCCGTGAGAGGTATCAGCGAAGGCTTCAAGGAGGAGGCAGTGGCTGAGCTGGGCATGGAAGGATGAGGGGGACCCCCACATCCTCCCACATGCAAGTCTGCTCTTGGGTCTTGTTGGGTCAGATACCCTCCTGCAGAGCTGGTGAAGCCACTATTCATGTATTTGTCTTTTTGGGTTGTGAGAAGAACAGAGCTGGTCCAGCTCATATGGAAAGGGTCCCTCGCTAAGCACAGTCTGGCAGGGGTCGGGGAGGCTGGGGAGAGCTGGGAACACCTCAGTCATCATCATTATCCCCATGTGCAAAAGCTGGATGATCCCAGCCTGTCTTCCTCCCCCTGTATGTTGTCTCTACATTTTACTGGGGAAACTGAGGCTCGGAGGGGCAGAAATACCAAATCCCCATGTATCAGTTTGCTAGGGCTGCCATGACAAAGTTCCACAGGCTGGGTGGCTTAACAGAAATTTATTTTCTCACAGTTCTGGGGGCTGGAAGTCTGAGGTCAAGGTGTCAGCAGGATTGATTTCTGGTGAGGGTTGTCTTCCTGGCTCGTAGACAGCTACCTTCTCACTGTGTCTTCACAACTTCTCTCTGTGTGTGTCTGCATCCTCATCTCTTCTTCTTATAAGTACACCAGTCATATTGGATTAGGGCCCACCCTCACAGCTTAATTTTAAGCCTAGTAGCCTCTTTAAGGATCCTGTCTTCAAATACAGCCATATTCTGAGATACGGAGGGTTAGGATCTCAAGGGCAGGGCACAGTTCAGCCCATAACACCCCATCATAAGTCAGAGGAGACATGGAGAAGCCCCTTTTCTCAGGAGACGGCAGCAAGGGAGAGGGTCCCAGGGCCAGACCCAAATGACTGAAGACCAAGTCAGAGCCCAGGTCATCAGCAGGAAGGCAGCAGGCAAACTGGTCTGCAGGGCAAGCTGGGGTCAAAACAGAACTGCAGCCTGGGGGCCCAGTGGAGCCAGGGTTCAGAACCAGGCCCACGGAATTGTTATGGGCAGCCTGCTGTGGAAGTGGGGGGCGGGCAGGTGCCAGCCTGTGTGTGTGTGTGTGTGTGTGTCCTCCCAGGTCAGTCTGGAGGGCATAGGCACACCTTAGTGTTGTGCGTCCAAGGTGGGTCCAAGCAGTGCCTTCCCCCACAACCTCTCTTCTCTCCCACCTCCAGTCCTGGCCTGACCTCAGTTTCTGTGTTGATCAGCCTCCCTTCTCCCCACCCCACATCTGTCTTCCTTCAAGGAACCTTCCAGTAGCTTTTCCTCCCATGCCATGCTCCATGATGTCTGGCAGTCAGAGCTCTGTGCCGAGATGCAGGCCAGAGTGCATGTTAGCACACACGCGTGTGTGCACTCAAGCACATATTTAGTGTCTCTGAAAACTTGACAGACCAACTGATCTGCTCATTCCACCAGTCTTACCTCTTCCCTCTCTAGCCACACCAGAACGCTTCCAGGGCCTTCTCCACCTCCCAGGAGAAACTGAGGTCCAGAGAGATCAAGCAGGTTCCTTTAAGCTCCAGAACAAGTGAGTGGGAGAGCAGAGATTAGTGTTAGGTCTCAGGGACCCACCCTGCTCCAATGCTGAGGAGACTGAAGGGCCCCAGCAGGATGGAATGGTTCATGGTGGTGATGGGAGAGGCTGCTGTGGGCCACAGTGACATAAATAAAAAATTGCAATGCCCTAATGTCAGCTTTCCGGCTCCCTCTTCTGAATGCCAGCTGTTTTCTTGATACAGGTTACTTCCCCTTCCAGAAACTCAGCTTTCTTATCTGCAAGGTTGCTGACAGGGTCCAGAGCCCCTAGGCCTGGTGCCAGGAGCCCTCCCCTCAGTGGCCACCCAGTCTCCTCTTGGATGCCCCATTGACAAGGAACTCATTACCCTCACAGCATCCCAGTCACTGCCGGGCTGCTTATTCAGAGAATTTCATTCTTTCAACAAAAATATATTGAGGGCCTGCCTGCTATGTGCCAGGCCATGTTGTAAGCACTAAAATAGAGCAGGGAGTAAAGCCATGTCTGTGCCCCTGTGGAACTTAATTTCTAGTTGGCAGAAACAGACACATGCATATAATATAGAGGTAAGTGGCGGTAAGTGCTATGAAGAAAATGAAACAGGAAAAGGGATAGAGAGAGATCAGTGGTGGGGCTGGGGGAGAGACAGCGCTACTTTAGATAAATGATCAGGAGTATGTCCCTAAACAAAGATTGATGAGAGAGAGAGAGAAAAGAGAGGGGGAGAGAAACATTGAATATCAAGGGGAGAAAATTCAAGGCAGGAGGAACGGCAATGCAAAGGCCCTGGGGTAGAAATATTTTCTCAGTGTAATCCAAGAACAGCAAATGGTTTGGATGATCCAGGATGTTGGTTTTGCCAGACCAGGTCCTCCCCCAGGGGGGGTGAGGGGATCCGGGTGGGGCATGCAGTCACAATTGTCCAATCCCTTCCTTCATGCCCCTCTGAGTCCGGTGCCCATCTGGTGGTCTCTGCCCCTGCCGTGCCTCCAAGGAATCCAGATGGTCAGCCGTGAAGTTGGAACAGTAAGAGAGGGCAAAGGGGACTAAGTGCCACTTAGCAGCTCTGGGGTCTCCAGGGGATGGATAACTAAGGCAGGGCTAGTACCCGCTCCCCCCCCCCCCCCCGTCCCTCTACAGCCTGGATAGTGAGCACTGAGAGCCCACTGACCACAGCTGCCCTTCTCCCAGCCCAGAGGGAGGAGCGTGGGGCCCCACCTTGGCCTCAGCACTCAAAGGCCCTGTACCTCCCCATACATGCAGCAGTGCCCCTGCCCTGGGCTGCTCTGCAGGTCCCAGAGGATGTCCTGTTCTTGGTCTTTCAGCTACTCTCAACATCCCTGTGAGGGGGAGGGACTGATGTCACCACCACAACTTTAGAGGTGGAAATGGAGGCTCAAAATGGAAAGCAACTTGCACAGTGAGTCTGTGGCAGGGAGAGGGCTTGCACTTGAGTCCCAAAGCCAGTTGGTTCGCCTGCTTGCTGCTGCTTCCAAAGCAGGGTCCAAATGTGGACCCTGCATTTCCACAGTTGGCCTCGGGGCCAGCATTCCCCAGGCTGCAGGGACACGTTATGAGACCTAGGCACCAGCCAGAAAAGCTCTCCCCATCTCTGCAAACAACTTCCTGTCCTCACTTGGACTCTGCTGCACACCCCCACCCCACCATCAGCTCCCAGCATTTCTTGCCGGTGATTTCCCCAGTTGGTCCTAAGGGCTGCTCACGTCCTTCCGAGCATGCCACAGGAGAAGTGGTGAGAGCATGTGCCACGCCTCTTAAAACAACTGACCCCGAGGGCCTTTGTCATGCCCCAAGCCTGTTGCCTTATTTTTTGAACAAGGAAGATTACTGCAGATTTTATTTTTTTGAAGGATATTGAGACCAGAGCCTCAAGAGCAAGGAATTTTTAGTTCACCGCTTTTGCGAGGAACTGGATGTGAATGTTTGTGAAACTGCCAAGGTTTAACTGACAGTGGTAAAATGATAAATATGCATAAACTGCAAGTAATATCTAGTACTGACTAGGAGTCTCCTCTTTGGGACATAGGTCTCTGCAGATCACTCAGTGTAGATCAGCCATGATTTGTTGAAGGCTTTCTTGGCGCAAGGCCAGGTAGGTAACTAACTCCCACACAGGCAGGATGGGAGGTCCCTTCAGAGAAGGACAAAGCTCTGAGGAAACCCCCAGGAGTTGAGGGCACATCTTGGAGGGCTTCATGAAGGAGGTGGCATTGAAGCTGGACCCTGGAGGAAGATTCAGATTTGGATATGCACAGATAGGAAAGGAGATAATCTAATGCAGAGGGTGCAGCATGAACAAAGGAGGGGAGATAAGGCAGCAGCCGTGAGTGTGAAGGTGAGTGAGTTGTCCAGTTACGCCACCAGCAGGGGATTGGGAGGAGTCCTAGGAGAAAAAGGATCCTGACGCCTTGTGTAGGGGGCCCTGAATGTCACACTCAGGTACAAAGTGAGTTTGGATTTTATTTTGTAAGCAGATAGGAGCGCTTCTTTGATATACACACATTTGCATTGTGTTGCACAATTTATAGAGTGCTTTCTTATTTGATTCTGAGAAACAAAACAAATGACAACACAGCCTCCTGCGAGACCAGCATTACTGTTATCATTGTCCTGTTTTTACAGTTGAGGAATGTGACTCGGGAGGTTCTTGGGGAGATCCAAAATAAGATTTCAAACCTCAAACCTCCGTTTGGGTCCTTCCTGTTCCTTGACAGTGTCCAACGAGTTTTGGGCTGGGAGTGAGAGGGGCAACAATGTCTGATTTGTGTCCAGGAGAAAAAAATACTCTGGCTACTGTGTGGGGGAGGAGAATGCCAGAGAGGAGGGGAGACCCTATTGGCCAGTGGTATGTCGTCATAGCGACAGCAGTAAGGCCAGAATGGGGGCAGGGAGGGAGGACAAGGGGCAGCCTGAGGTGGAATTGCCAGAAGTTGGCAGCTTCCTTGGTGGGTAGGGAGAGGCAGTTAAGAGGAGGGAGGAGGCCCATGTTTAGGTGTGGGAGACTGAGGATAAAATTTCCTGGTTATATAGTCTGTGGCCAAAGGGAGAAGGGAGAGAGCTGGATCCCTGGGGACCCTACACCAGCTGAGAGAGCAGGTACAATACTAAGGAGCTTGGGTTCGAGAGTCAGGGGACCCCAGGTTCAAGTCCCACTGCTGGCCCCTTTGCCCATATAACTTGGTTAAATTATTTAAGTGTCCTGCACCTTAGTTCATTTATCTGTAAGATGTTAGGATTGGCACTCAAAAAGGAAGTTACTGATAGAAAACTGGTCGCGTGGATGGAGATCATAATAAGAGGTACCTCAGAGCATTGATCTGAGGATGAAATACGCTAAGGCCTGTCCCACACGGAGCGCAGTGCAGGATACACAGGGATCACAGGGACTCTTTTCAGCACCAGAGTCCACTCAGCCCTCTATGCGCACGACTTTGAAAGTCCTCACAATGGCACTTTGAGGCAGAAACAATTTTTATACTTGTTTTACAAGTGAGGGCGCTGGGGATAGAACCTCCTGAAGGTTCACAAGGTTTTGCGACGGTATTATCTTTACCCCTATGTCGCAGGTAAATAAATGAAGCGGTGGGTGAGAGGGTAATTCACATACCAGCAAAGGGGGTGCCAGGCTTGGAGCTCTGGGAGCCAGGCCTGAGCCAGGGTTGGGGCCCACCGGAGGATGGACAGCCAGGCTGAACCTGCCCAGCTAGAGGAGTTGGCAGCCCTCTGTGGGGTGGGAGAGACGAGCCTGGGGGCACCCTGGGGTCCCAGCGTGGCCTCTCCTGACCACCCTGGGCCTCTTTCCTCTGTCTGTCCCCAGCCTCTGGCCGCTCCCACCCGGCCAGCCCCAGCCCGCCGGGGCCGCAGGCCAGCCCGGTGCTGCCAGTCAGCTACCGCCTGTCGCACACGCGGCTGGCCTTCTTCCTGCGGGAGGCGCGGCCCCCGTCACCCGCGGTCGCCAACAGCTCTCTGCAGCGCTCCGAGCCCTTCGTGGTGTTCCAGACCAAGGAGCTGCCGGTCCTCAACGTCTCTCTGGGGCCCTTCAGCACCAGCCAGGTGGTGGCGCGGGAGCTCCTGCAGCCGTCCAGCACCCTGGACATCCCCGAGCGCCTGACGGTGAACTGGAAGGTGCGGGCCTTCATCGTCCGCTCGCACGTGCCCGCCTCGCAGCCCGTGGTCCAGGTGCTGTTCTACGTAGCCGGCCGGGACTGGGACGACTTCGGCGTCACCGAGCGGCTGCCCTGTGTCCGCCTGCATGCCTTCCGGGATGCCCGGGAAGTCAAGAGCTCCTGCCGCCTCAGCGGGGGCCTGGCCACTTGTCTGGTGCGGGCAGAGCTGCCCCTGGCCTGGTTCGGGCCCCCAGCCCCCGCTGCGCCACCCACGGCCCGCCGCAAGTCCCCGGACGGGCTGGAGCCCGAGGCGACGGGGGAGAGCCAGCAGGCCGAGCTCTACTACACGCTCCACGCCCCTGATGCGTCGGGGGGCTGCGGGGGCTCCCGCCGGGGGGCCGGGCCCGGGGTGGGGGCCCGAGCGGAAAGCCCTACCCAGCACCCCCTGCTGCGCATCGGGAGCATCAGCCTGTTCCGCCCGCCCCCCAGGAGGACCCTGCAGGAGCACAGGCTGGACAGCAACCTGATGATCCGCCTGCCAGACCGGCCCCTCAAGCCCGGGGAAGTGCTCAGCATCCTCCTCTATCTGGCCCCCAACTCCTCCTCGCCCTCCAGCCCCAGCGTGGAGCACTTCACACTCAGGTAGTAGGGAAGATGGGTGGGGATCTGGTTTCCCTTCCAAGATCAAATGCATACCTGACTCCTTGTGGGTGGGTTGGGGGGTGGGGGGACCTCCCAGCTGTATCCCTGTCCAGCATCCTAATCCCGGATCTGTCACTTAGCACTTGAGCAACCTCAGGAAGATACCTCGCTTATTGGAGCCTCAAGGCTCTTATCTGTCTAATGGCAACAAACATTCCTGCCCCTATTTCTGGATCTCATAGAAATGGCATCATGGTAAAGAGGAAATATCAGTTTCACAAGCATAGATTTCCAGAATAATAGAACTGGGACTAGAAGGGCCCTTAGACATTTTACAGACAAGGAGACTGAGGCCAAGGAAGAGAAATTGGGTCCAGAGAGCAGCCTCTTGGCTGGGAGCCAAAAGAATCGTGTGTGTGTGTGTGTGTGTGTGTGTGTGTGTGTGTGTTTTGGGACATTTGCCCCAGTCCTAGAGTTGGGAGAAAAATTTTCAGAATTCCCAGCTCTTTCTATCCTTCTACACCTTGAAAAGGACACAGTTTGCAAACTCAAAAATGCCTTAAATTGTATCACATCCACCCCAAAAATGATAATATTTCACACTAGGAATCTGTGGTTTGAGTTATGTTGTGTGACTCTGAGGACACCCACCAAAATGCTTCCTCAGCCCCAGGCACTATGCCTTGGACCTGAAACATCACTATAAGCCTGCAGCTTCTTTAAGTATTTCCCTGTCTCCTCAGTGTCCTACCTTCAAGTTTAAATGCTGTCGGAAAGGGTCATGCCTCATTCAGTGATTGATACCTGAATGTGAACATAAGTGAAATCAGTCATCAGAGATCTTGGGCTGCATTAATAGGAGTAGAGCTTGCAGAATTAGAGAGGTGGCAATCACCTTGCTTTAGCCAATGTTCATTGGAGTGCAGCTGAAGTGTCGTATTTAGTATGGGATACTTCACATTTAGTGTCCAGAGGAGTGTGACTGGCTGTGAGGTGATTCAGAACTATGGCAAAAAACAATTGGAGGCACTGAAGGAAAGAAGATTCAGAGAACACCTACTCACCTCGCCAGCTTTTTGAAGAACTACTACAGTTAGGACAGAGGGGAATTGTTCTCTGTTGCCCAGCAGAGCCTGTGGCTGTTTTAGCTCAGCTACATCCAGGGAAGATCTTTCTAGTTTTCTTGGTCTTTCTGAAAATGGAATGGGATGTGTGCAGAAGTAGTGAGTCCCCTGTCACTAAGGTATGCCAGTAGAGATTAGGCAAAGACTTGGCAGGGATACGGTAGAAGGGATTGCAGCTTTCACCGAGGGTCAGAGTTTTCAGCTGTGTGATACCAGATTCCCCAAGTTCATCTGAAACATTCATCTGAAACATCCAGGACTCGGGGTAACTTAGCTTATCTGTTCCCCCTCCCCCCAGTACAGTCTAGTGATGGTGGCCAGGCAGGCAGCTTTGGGCTGTAGCCTGACCCTCTCCCTCTTCTTCCTCCCACTTTGTCCCAGGGTGAAGGCCAAGAAGGGTGTGACCCTTTTAGGTACCAAGTCACGGAGTGGCCAGTGGCATGTGACCTCGGAGCTGCTGACTGGGGCAAAGCACTCAACAGCCACCGTGGATGTGGCCTGGGCTCAGAGCACACCCCTGCCCCCCAGGTGAGCCCGAGGTGGTGCATCTACCCACCTCTTCGCAAAGCAGCCATCTGAGAGGAGTGGGGAATCTTTGAAGGAGGAGGCTAGGCTTGGGGAGGGCTGGGGCTCGGTCATTGGGGTCTCTGAGGTCCAGGCCCCTCAGTGGGATCCTGGGGCTGGAGCACCTCAGATGGGCTGGAGAAGGCCCAGAGGGCCCCATCAGGCAGCTGCCGGGGAGGGGTGGGGTCCCCACTGAGAGTTTCTGAGCTCCTGGGCTGCTCCCAGCCCTTCATCCTCTGCTCTCCTTCCCTCCCCTACCCTGGCAGGGAGGGCCAGGGCCCCTTGGAGATCTTGCAGCTGGACTTTGAAATGGAGAACTTCACCAGCCAGTCAGTCAAGCGGAGGATCATGTGGCACATTGACTACCGTGGCCACGGCGCCCTGCCTGACCTGGAGCGGGCAGTCACTGAGCTGACGGTCATTCAGCGGGATGTGCAAGCCATCCTGCCCCTGGCCATGGTGAGCAGGCAGGTGACCAGCCCAGAAGATGCCTGGGTCTATGCATGTGTGCACATTTGTGTGACAAGAATGTGAACCACTGAGTATATGTACAAATTGACATGTGTGTATATGTGAGACTTCCTGCCATGCCCAGGTATGCCTGTGTGAGAAGGTGCATGCATGTGTTTTATATTTGTCGGGCCATGAGGACAGCAGATGCTCAGGGGGGCAGAGGTGGGAGATGTCACCATGGAGGGACCACTGATGGGAAGTTTGCAGAAGGAGGTAGCAATGCAGTTGAGTCTTGGAGGTCACCTGGGAGGGAGCCTCCCAGAGATGCAGGGTGTGTCCCAGGCAGGGCATTACTTGGGCAAAGGTACAGTAGTGAGAATATGAGTAGTTTGTTCAAAAGAACTATAGATTTAGAAAGAGTGTCATGGAGTGGTAGGGCTGGAATGATTGTCTGGGGCCAGCCCAGGGCAGCTTGAATAGCCAGGCATGTGTTGGATGTTACTGTGTGAGTCCTGAGGAGCCTGGAAGCTGTTTAAGAGGAGATGGCAGGGGCCTGGGGAAGGGTTGTTTCCCGGCAGCACAGTGAGGTGGACCCTGAGGTTCCTGCAAAAGCCCGAGTGAGCAGACCATCTGTCAAGGAGTGCCAGGAGGGGTGGTTGCCTATCCCTGCACACGGGTGCAAGTGTCCCCACTGGAAGGATGTGCATCTGAGGAGTGGGGGGGGAGCGTCCAGGAGCTGGGGCCTTGGCTAGTGTGTCCCAGGACAGAAGGGGACCACAAGTAGAGCCCCCCCCTTCTCCTCCCTGCAGGACACAGAGATCATCAACACGGCCATTCTGACTGGCCGGACAGTGGCCATCCCTGTCAAGGTCATTGCCATCGAGGTGAATGGCCTCGTCCTGGACATCTCCGCCCTAGTGGAATGCGAGTCTGACAATGAAGACATCATCAAGGTGGGCATCCTGGAGGTGGGGCCCCTGGGGAAGAAGCCCTAGGCCTTCAGGAGAGTAGAACCTCAAACCAGAGTCCAGGTGGCTGACTCTTACTCATCCTCTAACACTGAACCCAGGCCTCCCTGTGCTGGGACCCCTTCTGTTGCAGCAGCTGCCCCCACCTTTTCCTCCTACAGCACTGGCCTTACTTCATCCCAAGCTTCACCACACCATTCTGAAAGGGTTGATTCTCAAGTGTACTGACTCCCATGATACTCCCTCTTCCTGCCCCTGGATATTGCTTTGGCCAGTCCTGGAGGGCTTCCTGTAGGAATATGAAACAGACAGTCAGGCCAGAGGGGGAGAAAGCAGTGTCAACAACTTGAAATCAATCTAGCAAGACATTATTGAACCTTGGTGTGTGCAGACACTTGGCAAGGCAGCAGGGGGTGGGTGAGGGAGACAACCCCTCAAAGACCTGCCGTGAACCCAGAGTGCAAGTGATCAGATGAAGGCAATGTAGCTCAGGAAGAAGCCTCAAGAAACATATGAGTTAGGCCAGGCATGAAGGTTGTGTACTGAGGGCCCCACTCCCGGCACACACGCTCCAGCTTCTCCAACTCCTAAAGGCTCCTGTCAGCCGTGAGCTCCCACCCCACCCCTGAGCTCCTTCCCAGGGACCTGCTTTGGCCCCAGGTCCCCCACAGCCCAGCCCACATGACACTCATCTGACTCAATGACCCAGTTTGCCACCTCCCCAAGAGGGCTCCAGATTCCCTCCTTCCCCTGGCTTTGAACAGTGGTCAGAAGTGAGTTGGGAAGAGGAGGCAGTAGAGTGGGCAGTGGTGTGAGCAGATGTCCAGCCCTGGTAACTGTGGGGTGGGCCAGCCACTCACTATGCCACCCTCCAGTAGGCATCAAAATCAGATGGTTAGACAACTGAATTTGTTCTTGCTCCTGTAAATAATTCAGCTTGAAGGAAAGCAGGACAGTTGGAATGCAGATGTCCTTCTCCTCCTTGTCACTTGGGCTCCCTCCTGCTGTCTCTCTCTCTATGCTTTGCCTTTGGGTCCCTCCAAGTCTGGGAAGCATGGGGCTCACCTCATCTATCCATGATCCAGGAAGGATGCCTTCCAAGGGAGCCAGAGTAGATGGTCTGGAACCCCCGCTCCACTGCATCACCCCCTTCAGAGAAGCCTCACCAGAAGCCTGTGAGCTGTCCACTGCTGGAAGACTGGGATGGGAAGAAACAGGCCTGCTCCCAAGGGCCCTCACCCAGCACCTTCTCTGCCACCCAGACTCCCCCATCCCAGCTCCAGAGCAGACCAGAACCAAGGGGTAATCAGAGAAGATTCTAAATGAAATTGGTTACAAATCTTGATGAAATATACTCAGGTCTTTACGGAGTTTGCCACATTCTAAGTGGAATTTACAGGTCTGCGTTGGAATTCTTTGCCTTCCGAGGTGGGAAATGAGCATTTCTGGCAGGGCTGCTGTCCCATCCCTCCACCCACCCCTCTGAGATGATGATGGGAGCTGGCAGCGTTTGGGATGCCCCAGGGGCTCATCTCCATGGATAAACCATAGTCCCAGAGCCCCTGGGTCCTTCCAGAGCCTTCAGGGCATCATCAGCCCACCAGCTGAATGATAGACCTTCCCCCAAACTCAAGACCATGCACCCATGGACGTGCACCAGCATGAGCACCTAGATGCATGTACACACAGGATCCGTTCTGGGGTGCCAGGTGTGTGCGTGGGCATATTTAACACACAGAGCCATCTGCATTTGCCCTAAAGTACTGGCAGTGACACCTCTGTGAGTGGGCACAGGTATCAATGAAGATGTACTCAGCAGGCATGTGGTTTCCATCCAGGGAACCTCTAGGAATGCAAGTCAGTATCCAGGTGGGCAGGCATTTACAACAGCCACATCCATTGGTGGCAGCCATTCACCCGTCTGTGCTTGGGGTTCTAAGGTCCTGAGTTTTCCTCTCCCATTCCCTCATCTCCACACCTGGTTAAGCAGCCCCCCTCACCGGAAATTAACTACCTGCCCATTCTCCTGGGGCAGCCATGCCAGAGAGGCCGTGGAGGACATGGGTCTGCCCCCCATCCCCATCCCCTGCACCTCAACTTCCTCCCTGCCCAGTCAAGTGCCCATGTCCTTTTTCTGCATCATAGAGGACTCTACCTGCCAGACCCCTGGCTCCAGAGCCCCGTCAGTCTTGCTGGGGGAGGGGAGCCAGCCCTGAGAGGCCCTCACCCTGGAGCGTCCTCCAAAGCGTGGCTCTGGCAGGTCAGGAACAGCCCCTGTAAAAGCATTTGCATGTTGGCTCCTTACTAAGGAACAAAATCCTCCCCCAGTGGGCACCAAGAGGTGATCTCAAGAAAGAGCAGAAGCAGTGATAGAAGCCAGGACTCCCAGAGGAATCAGTGCTTCCTTCCACTGGCCTCCTCCCCTTCAGCCTCCTAGGACTTTCCCTCCAGCCCTGGTTGTCAGACTGAAGTCCTCCGCACTGCCTCACAGGAAGACCTGTAGGGAAGATGTGCCAACTGTTCCTCCCTTCCCCCAGGTATCCAGCAGCTGTGACTACGTGTTTGTGAGTGGAAAAGAGTCTCGAGGGTCCATGAACGCCAGGGTCACCTTCCGCTACGACGTCCTCAATGCTCCCCTGGAAATGACAGTCTGGGTCCCCAAGCTGCCCTTGCACATTGAGCTCTCAGATGCCCGCCTCAGCCAAGTGAAGGGCTGGAGGGTACCTATCCTCCCCGACCGGAGGTACAGCCCCTCTCCCATGGCGGATACTTGGGAAACTCATGGGTGGATACAGCCTCGGCCCACAGTCTGATCTGCATATGGGTATAAGGCCCTTGGTATACATAGTCTGTAGGTTGGTTGTGCAGTCAACAAGCTTTCATTGACCAGCTACTGTGTGCTAGGCACTGGCAAGTGTTTGAGAGATGGGGTGAATGTGGCCAGTGCCTGACCCTGCCAGTCTCTCAGTCCAGCAGGGGAGGAAGGCATGTGCATGCCACAGAACATGGTGGTGGGTGGGAAGCCCCGTGTGCAGGGAATCAAGTGGCACAAGGAGAGAACCCCCTCTCCCTCCAGGAGAAGTCAAGGCAGGCTTCCTGGAAGAGACAACTCTTGAGCTAAGTCTTAAAGGATGAACTGAAAGGAGTTGGCTGGGGAGACAGGTTAAGAGACTGCCTGCAGTCAGGCAGACAAAATGAAGCAGACACACCTGTACACATGTGTCCCAGCCTGGGCACACCAAGGGCACACTAGTGAGTGCATGAGTGCAGACACACTGTGACTCATACCCAGGCTCCCTTGCGGGCTTGTAGGCTCAGGCACCTGGGTGCCCATACGTGGGGCACATACATGTGTACTCACCGCATTCCAATCACCCACTCAGAGCTGCTGGAGAGAAAAGCACAGCAGGGAAGAGAAGAGAGGAAAGTGACAGGCAGCTAAGAGCAGGAGGTGGGCGGGGCTGGAGAGGGAAGCAGGTGGTGAGAGAAACAGGTGGCCAAGTGAGAATTGGGCTGAGTTCAACTCAGAGAGATTTGGAAGAGTAAGGTGTGTAGACCAGTGCCTCTCAAACTTTAATGTGTACACGAATCACCTGGGGATCTCAGTAAAATGCAGATTCTGACTGGGCAGGTCTGGGGTAAAGCCTGTGATTCTGCATTTCTCACCAGCTCCTGGGTGATAGCGATACTGCTTTGAGTAGCAAGGATGTAGCGGACTCTGAAGCCAGACAGCCTGGTTTAAGTCCTGCCTCTGCTATTTACTAGCTGTGTAAACTTGGGCTACTTACATAACCACTCTGTGCCTCCATCTCCGTATCTGTAAAATGGGCACAATAACACCTGCCTCATAGGATTTTTGTGAGGAATAAATTAATGAACCCAGGTAAAAGAATGCTCTGTGTGAATGAATATTCTGGTTGCTTGATCCTCCAGTACACTAACAAAGCACTAGCTACAGAGAAAAACACTTGGCTTTCTCACCAAAGCACACCTTCCTGGCAGTAAACCTCTCAATTTTAGCATTTTTTGCAACGTGCACAGGCTGAGAATTTCCCAAATCATCAAGTCCAGGTTCCCTTTTGCTTAACAGTTTATTTATGTGTCTCTCTCCTCTCACATTTGACTAAAAGCAGCAAGAGGAAACCAGGCCACGATTTCCACACCTTGCTTGGAAATCTCCTCAGTTAAATGTCCGAGTTCATCACCTACAGGTCCTGCTTAGTTTCCACACAACTGCAGGACACAATTCAGCTAAGATTTCTGGCATTCTGTAAGAAGGATCACATTTGCTCCAGGTTAGAGCTTAGAACAGTGCCAGGCACAAACTTAGTACTGAAGAAGAGGCAGCAGTTGCTGTTAGGATTTGACGCCAGCTATTCCTAGGCTTGGCTTAAGCCAAGAAGAGGCAGAGAGGGACAGGAGGTAGGGTCAAGAATGTACTTTTCTAGGAGAGAAAAGGCTGGGACTCCTGGTTCCCAACTTAGAGATGGAAGGCATGAGCCATAGAGGAAGCTTGCTTTTGCAGAGCTTCTGGGAAGCTGGGAGGACCCAACAGGGCAAGGGTGCGGGGTGTGTACTGTGCAGGTCAGAGTCCAGGTGAGAAGCCTTCAGCATGGCATGTCCCCACCCCAGGTCAGTCCGGGAAAGCGAGGATGAGGATGAGGAGGAGGAGGAGCGGCGGCAGAGTGCAAGCCGTGGCTGCACCCTGCAGTACCAGCATGCCACCCTGCAGGTCTTCACCCAGTTCCACACGACATCATCCGAGGGCACTGACCAGGTGGTCACCATGTTAGGCCCGGACTGGCTGGTGGAGGTCACCGACCTAGTCAGTGACTTCATGCGGGTGGGCGATCCCCGAGTGGCACACATGGTGGACAGCAGCACGCTGGCAGGACTGGAGCCAGGCACCACCCCCTTTAAGGTAGGTATGGGCTCTGTCCCAGCACAAAGGGGCAGTGTCGGGAGCCTTATTTACCTGTGGGTGCAGAACTCAGATTTTCCTAACCCCAACTGGCCCCCAGAACACTCTTCCCTGCCTGCCCCTTGTCTGAAATTCCAAGGTCAGGCTCTTTTAGCTTCATCTTGGTAAAAGTTCTCACTCCAAGTTGTATCAACCTTTATCAATCCTCAGTGTGGGTGACTCAAGCAGACCCCTCCCTGAGAGCAGAGGGGGAGCAGGTGAGAGTCAGCCAGCCTAGAGTCCAGGAAGGTGCATTTGGTGATCTAGGAACTCAACTTTGACCTTTCCTGACTTGTTTCTACCCTGACAATTGGGTGTCTGGATAGAAATCATCTACCTAAGAAACTGTTGTGATCTGTGGGCTAGAATCTGCCTGCAGACATATCTTCTTTGTAAAACAATTGATCCAATGTGTTTTAAATTGGGAGATTTCTCATTTAAAAAATATATAGAGATTTCTGGTTTCACAAAAAATGAATCTGGTAACAATCAGCTAAAGCCAGTATTGGTGCCTCCTATACACGAGAATGAGTTCCCTCATTTTCTAAGTTGTCGCCACTCCCTTTTGTCTCCCTGACATTGAGGTTGCACATCAATTGCTACTAGTCACCATGCGGGGGTTGTTGTTTTCCTTAGAATTGGCCCACCTCTCTCATTTGTGTTCCCGCCTGGCTCCTGTGAGCCCCCGACCCTCTCATGACCTCTGGACACTGGTTCCTGGTTGCAGACCTGAGGCAGAGCTGCGAAGTCCTGCCTCCCAGCCTGCCTCACCCTTCAGGCCCCTCTTCCAGCAGTGCTGGGATTTCTCCCTAGCTGGGGGTCTTGGGCAGGGGGGTGTGCTTTCCTGGTTCTCTCCCACCCCGGTCCCGCTCTGCCTCAGGTGGTGTCTCCGCTGACGGAGGCTGTGCTCGGGGAGACGCTGCTGACGGTGACTGAGGAGAAGGTCAGCATCACACAGCTTCAGGCCCAGGTGGTGGCCAGCCTGGCCCTCTCCCTGCGGCCCAGCCCTGGGAGCAGCCACACCATCCTAGCCACCACAGCTGCCCAACAGACCTTGAGCTTCCTCAAGCAGGTAACTGGCTCCTTGGCCCACCAGCCAGGGAGTTGGTGGTATGGAAGGAGAACTTGGGGGCTCTGCTTTGCCCTAGCACCAAGAGTCCCCATATTAGGGCTTTAGGAAATGGAGGATCTCTGCCCTCCATGCCCTGCACAACTGCCCACCCTATGGCCACAACATCTACATGGGAGGTCAGAGCAAGGTCTTGCTTGCTGCTCTTGCCACCTGAGATGTTCCCTCTGAGGGTCTCCCTCCTGGATTCACAGAGGGCTGTCACCTCCACATCACCCCCAGGAAGTACCCTCACTCAACTCTGGAGCCCCAAGTATACACCACAGGCATAGCCACAGGATGAAAGTGGAAAGGTGACAGATGAGAGTCCTGGGGAGTGAGGAGGTGACAGGTGAGAGTCCTGGGGAGTGAGGAGGTGAGCATCAAGTGCTGAGCCCGGAGTTAGGACACGGGTCCTCTGTCCCTAACTCACTCCATCACCCCAAGGCAATCACTTCTCTCTGAACCCTGCTTCCTCATCTGGAGGGAGGGCAATCCTCAGAAGGTTTTAGCCAACAGGCAGAAGTGGGGAGGGGGTGTGTATTCTCAACAGCCTGTTGTCTGATGGGGGTAAGCCCAAGGTTAGGCATGGAGATATGGAGCTATTCCAGCAGCAGAAGGGACTTGAATTAGACCCAAGGCAAAACTTACCTTTAGGTTATCCAGGGGAGAAGGGTGAAGTGGACAAGGGCATCCTCAGAGCAGTATGAGGCCTGGATGCCATGGTCTGGGATTTACCCTCCCCACACCCTGTGAGGAGGACTCTCACTTGAACAGTAGTTCCTGAATGCCCGCCACAGGTCACAGGCACAGTTCCAGTGCTGAGAATACAGCAGGGAGCCAGAGACCCGTGGTCCCTGCCCCTACAGAGCCCAGGATCTAGCAGGAAGCCAGCTGAACCAGCTCTTTGACTCCTATCCCCTCCTTCTCCTTCTCCTCCAGGAAGCCCTACTGAGCCTCTGGCTCTCCTACAGTGATGGCACCACAGCCCCACTCTCCCTCTACAGCCCACGAGACTATGGACTGCTAGTGAGCAGCCTGGATGAGCATGTGGCCACTGTGACCCAGGACCGGGCCTTCCCTCTGGTAGTGGCTGAGGCCGAGGGGTCAGGGGAGCTGCTTCGCGCAGAGCTAACCATCGCTGAGAGCTGCCAGAAAACCAAACGCAAGAGTGTGCTCGCCACGACCCCTGTGGGCCTGCGGGTGCACTTTGGGAGGGACGAGGAGGACCCCACTTATGACTACCCGGGCCCCAGCCAACCAGGGCCCGGCGGGGGCGAGGACGAGGCCCGGGGAGCTGGCCCGCCGGGCTCTGCGCTACCCGCACCGGAGGCTCCAGGCCCGGGCACCGCCAGCCCCGTCGTGCCACCCACAGAAGACTTCCTGCCGCTGCCCACCGGCTTCCTGCAGGTGCCACGGGGTCTGACAGACCTGGAGATCGGCATGTACGCGCTGCTGGGCGTCTTCTGCCTCGCCATCCTCGTCTTCCTCATCAACTGCATCGTTTTTGTGCTGCGCTACCGGCACAAGCGCATCCCGCCCGAGGGCCAGACCAGCATGGACCACTCTCACCACTGGGTGTTCCTGGGCAACGGGCAGCCGCTGCGGGTGCAAGGAGAGCTGTCGCCGCCAGCAGGCAACCCGCTGGAAACCGTGCCCGCCTTCTGCCACGGCGACCACCACAGCAGCGGCAGCTCGCAGACCAGCGTCCAGAGCCAGGTGCACGGCAGGGGCGACGGCTCCTCGGGCGGCTCAGCCCGAGACCAAGCCGAGGACCCCGCCAGCTCGCCCACCTCCAAGCGCAAGCGGGTCAAGTTCACCACCTTCACCACGCTGCCGTCAGAGGAGCTGGCCTATGACTCGGTGCCCGCGGGCGAAGAGGACGAGGAGGAGGAAGAGGACCTGGGTTGGGGCTGCCCGGATGTGGCGGGCCCCACGCGGCCCACTGCACCCCCGGACCTGCACAATTACATGCGCAGAATCAAAGAGATTGCATAGAGGCGCCAGCCGGAGTAGCAGGGACCCCCCCCCCCAACGGGGTCAGCTCGGGGTAGGACACAGCCGGGACCCCGGTTCACACTGACTCTGGGCGGCTGAATTGATTTTGTACTCCCTGCCCCTGCAGCTTGGCTCCGTGCGGAGCGGGCCGCCTCAGTGTCTGGGCCTTCCCTCGCCTCACGCCATTACCCTCTTCTGCCCCCTGCAGGTGGAGGGCTCTTCCTCCAGTGGCTCGTAAGGAGGAAAGCAACCCCAGCCTCTGTTCTGCCCTTTCCAAACCTCCTCCCATCTTAAGCAACCCCCTGCCCCAAGAGTGAGGCAAGGAGGTCCAGCTTGGGGTCAGGTGGGCCCACGCTGTGTCCCGGGCCCGCCTCCCGTCCCCCGTGTCGTCCCCCTGTGCAGGGGGTTCTGTGGGGGTCTTGTGTCACAGGCTGCACAAAGACTTTCCTCAAACTAATATTCAGGGATTTCTGTCCTGCAGGGTGGGGAGGTGGCAGCTGCCTGCCCTGCCAAGGATCTTGCTGTGGACGAAATATCTGGGGGTTAGGGGGACAGTTGTAGCATCTGCTGGCATTCGGGTGCCTCCCAGGACCTGGGAGCTGACTCTACAGAGAGGTCTGGTGCCAAGCCAGGCACCTTCCTGAGTTCTCAGGACTCCCACCTCTGCCCCAAGGGCTTTGGGCAGGGACCTAAAGGGGAAAGAGTCCTGGATCCATCTCTAGCCAAATCACACCCCAGAGCCAGAGGCCTGGGGACCTCCTTGCCTTCCCCGTCCCCCACAGCAAGGTCAACACTACTACGCCTTAGCCACCCGTCACCCTGCTGACTGCGACTTCCCTCTGCAGCACAGGGCAGGCAGCCACCTATGCCCCACAAGACGGAACCCGGGAGGGGAGTAGAGGGCACCAGGGAATGCTGTGAGGGACTTCAGGGTGGGCAAATGCAGAAGGGAGCCAGTGTCGCCCCTACCCCATCCCACAGCCATTTTTCTCTCGGGTTCTACCCACCACTGTGTCGGATTTTTCTTAAATAAATGGAAGCGGTCAGACTGGAGGTGGGGGCAGCAGCTCCCATGAACAGAGAGTACATGGTGGCTGGCTCTGTCTCTTCCTTATGTGCATGGGCAAACATACACACATACACAAGCAAGTGCACACATGCACACACACACACTCACACACTGTGGGCACACTACATGACATGAGACCAAAACTCGGCTAGACCAGGCTGTGGTCCCGCTCTTCCTCCCCCAACATGCAGGTCCTTTAAGACCCTCTGGTACTTTGGGATGCCCAGGTCAAGGGATGAAGAATCCGCTGACCCACAAATGTGCCCTTATAAAGAGGTGCTTCCTCTAAGGCTCTGTTCTGATTGGCTCAGGGGAGGGAAGGGCAGGCCTCGGGACTGCAGAGAAAGGTCTTCTGGGGGGCACAGAAAACTAAGGAGAGAGGTGAGAGGGTTGGTGTGCCTACCTGAGTTACTTCAGCTTCCTTCACTGCCCACCTCTCAGAGGTGGCCCTCCCTGTAACCACCTCTCAGGGAATCCTCCCTTCTCTCCCCCTTGCGGCTGATGGAGAAAGCCTGGGGATCTACATGTTAGAAACCAGGCAGGAGAGAGCACAGGCATGTTGGGGTGCCCCTCCCCACCAGTGGGCCGCGGACTAGCTGCATCTTATGCCACACTTGACCTGTGAGTGTGCACACAGCCTGTCATGAGGCCCTGGGAGCCCACACCCCAGCACAGGCAGCAGCCTAGGGGGCACAGGAGCTCAGGCCTGAGAGGGGCAGGAGCTCAGCCAAGGCTACCTGGCCAGCCTCCAGTGCCCATAGACAGGTGGCTCTGGCAGCCACTTTTGGAAAGGAAAGGAACACTAACCAGCATGTGTCCCAGAAGCAGCCAGCAGCAGAACTGGGGCTACACTGGCACCTGCCCAGACATGCTGTTCCCCACTCTGGAAGGAAGCCTGGCCTCCCACAATCATCTGCTCAGCTGATGGTGCAGCCTAGGGTGGTTGTGAGGATTAAATAGGATCATGTATGGAAAGCACTCTGCACAGCTCCCGCAGACAGCATGCCTAGTACAGACAGCTGCGCGTAGAGGATATCAATGAATGGACTTTGGCACAACCAGGTCTTAATTTTCAGGCAAGGCATAGGTCTGAAAGGAAGACTAGAGACTGACCAGCTGTGCCCAAGATACGTTTAGCAACAAAGAACAGGTGCAACTCAGCAGCAAGTAAGGAGCTACCAGAAAGCTGAGCCCAAAGCAGAACCACAGGGGAGCTTGGCGCGGGGGCGGGGGGGGGGTCTCCTTGAGCTCCCAGAACAACAGATATCTGCCATTCAAACACTGCCCTGACTACATACTCCTGGAAGGGTATGGGGGTCTCAGTCATTTTTTAACCCGCTTGTGCTTAACCTGGTGCCTGGAATCAGCAAGTGCTCAACAAATGATTGCCTACCAAATTAAGTCCAAATGCAAACTCTAAATGGCTTTCACATTATCCCATATTGGGGGATTTTGCACACTCTACCACCTTACTTGAGGTTCATCACCTCATCCCCTTGGAGTTCTTATAAGAGAGAGATGAGGAGGGCAGGGATGTGAGTTGAGGAAGAATACCTTACGTTGGGGAAGTGTGCCAGGTGGGGTGGGTTGCTGCTGTGAAACTTGGAACATGGAGCATTTGTTTCTTCAGTGCATTAAGCTCCTGCTACACCCTGGACCCTGATGGGGAGTCTGGGAAGCAAAACTGTGGATCCGTCCTCAAGGAGCCCCCAGCCCCGTAAGGAAGATGGACAAGTCATCTGCCCACTGTCATCTGGGATGATGACAGACCTTTACCCTGGGTTGACAGGGCACAAAGGAGGAGAGGAGAAGACAACTGAAGCTGAGTTTGCTGAGGACAAGGCCAGGGACAGTCCGGTAAGGAGGACAGAAGTTACAGACTCCACACCCTGTGTTTTGCTGCCTGACTTTGCACTTGCTTTCCCTATGCCTGGAACATGAGTCCCTGGTGAGAGGGGAAGCACAGAAAACACACATGCAAAGGCGCAGAGACCAGAGAGGGTGATCGGTCCAGCAAGGATGGGAATCAGGCTCAGACATGAGGTTTAGCTCTTGTGAAGGAAGGAATGATGGAGGGGAAAGAGGATCGGTTAAGAGGATGCTGCAGCAGAAAGCATGAGGCCCTGAGCCAGAGCAGTAGGTACAGAGAGCTGGGAGCAAACTGGTATTCGGCTGCAGAATTCGGCAACTATACATCCCACACAGGGACGATGAGGAGGAGACATGAGCTGCTTGGCTGCAGAGATCTCTTTCCCAGATAAGCTTCGGAGACCAGGCCACCCCAAGGAGAAAAGTGGAATGCTTTTTGCAGGCACCCAGGGTTTCACAAACAGGGAGACGAGGACCTAGAGAGGAGGAGCAATTGGCCCAAAGGCACACAACAAACTCGGAACAGAGCCAGAGCCATGCCTGCTGCCCTGTCCTGTAATTTGTGTCCCTCTCTCCTCATCCCTCACCCCCTGTCCAAATGCGAGAACTCAGAAGCAATTGCAAGAAACGCCAACTCCTGACCCTCGTGGAGTTCAAGCGGGAGCCGGCTTGGTGGGAATGCAGCAGGACATTTAGTTAACAGCCCCTCTGGAATGGCCCCGGTCCTTGCACTCCTCTTTAAAAATTTGTCTTCAACCCCGAAAACGAATCGAGGGACCTTGTAAAGAATAGTTATTGACAAGAGAGCTGCTCAGGGAGCACCAGGGAGCCAGGCCCATGAATCAGTTCGCTAGCAAAATGAGATTTCTCAGACAGCCAGGGCTGGTGAAGGCAGACCAGGAGATTCAGAGGAACCGCCCGGAGCCCACCCTGCCCCAGCCCCAGCCCCACGCTTCCCACTGTCCTCTCCACACCAGCCCTGGACGCTTCTCCATGCTTGTCTTTAACAAACACTAACTTCAGTTCAGTGTGCTCCCCTTAACAGAAGGCTTCAGGGAGTGGGGGGTGGGAAGTGGGGTTGGAGCCCAGTTGAGAAAATGGAAAACACAATAAGTAGGCTAGAGAAGGAAACTCTCATTTGAAGGGTCAAAATGTTCTAAGATAGGTTGGCAGGGACTCCTGGAGTCTGACAGTGCATTTGCCAGGTGACCTTTAGCCAATATGTCACTATTTCTGAGCCCTGGTGTCCCCATATGTAAAAACATGGGAATCACCACTTCTAGGCAGTGTCCACTGGCCTCCCTGAAGAGGTCCTGCTATTCCAACACTTGTATTTCTTTTTTTCTCTTTTTTTATTTTTCCTTTTATTTATTTATTTATTTTTGAGACAGAGTCTCGCTCTGTCACCCAGGTTGGAGTATAGTGGCACAATCACAGCGTGCTGCAGCCTGGACATCCTGGGCTCAGGCGATCCTCCTGCCTTAGCCTCCCGAGTAGCTGGGACTACAGGTGTGCACCACCACTCCCAGCTACATTTTTGTTTTTTATATTTTGTAGAGATGGCATCTTACCATGTTAACCAGGCTGGTCTTGAGATCCTAGCTTCAAGCAATCCTCCTGCTTCACCCTCCCAAAGTGCTGGGATTATAGGTGTGAGCCACCCTGGCAACACTCGTATTTCTAACAAGAGTCGTGGAAGATAGGAATTATGGCTATTTTATAGATAAGGAGGCAAGCACACAAAGAGGGCAAGTAACGTGCCTTCAGCTTAGAAGTGACCTGGCGGGCAGCTCCAAACCTACCTGCTTTCTGCTACATCCGGAGGCAACTGATGATGTTGGAAAGTGAAGGGAATGAGGTTGGAGAGATTTTTAAGTGGGAGAAGAAGAGGGAAGGGTCTCTAAGGATTTGATGTTCTCAATAGTGGGGTCTAGGCTGTGGGACCCCCATTTAAGTCACAGATTGTGGATAGTGTTGGGGCAGATGGAAGACTATGAATATGCCACAGATGCTTGGCCTCTGCCATTGCTGGAGGAACCAGACTCCCTCCTCCACTGGGAACTCCATCCCTAGCTGACTATCACAGCAGACAACCATCAACTCCTGAAAGCAGAGAACCACCAGACCTTCCTGAGCAAGGTACCGAGCTGAGCTTGTTTGGAGAGCTGGTGGCACAAGCAGAGATGCCTCATGTAAGGAGATGGGCATAAGCCAGCACCTGCCCTTTCCCTTGGGATACTGTCTGCTCCTTCAGCCTCTCGGGCTAAGCAAGAGAAACTGGGAAGTGGAAGCCATCCCCTATGGCCCTCATCCTTGCCACATCGGCTCAGTGAATGTTTATTATACCCTTGCCACAGATCTGACAGAGTAGTGAGCACAGAGGAAGTAGGAGTATTAAATAACCGCTGGCATTCACTGAGAGCTCATTACCTACTAACCACTGTATAGCCATCATTTTATTGACCCCTCACAATAACCAAGTAAGGTAGGTATTATTATTATGCCCATTTTACAGATGATGAAATTGAGGCTCAGAGAAGAGAAGTTACATGACTTGTCTCATGCCACCCAGCAAATAAATAGTAGAGGCAGGGATTCAATCCCAGGTTATAATAGCTCCAAGTTCTAAAGTCTCCCTGCTGCTCCACACTGTCCTCCTCAGTGGAGTCTGGCAGTTCAGAGAATCATTCTGATGCAGTGGCAAGAGTGCTAGGCTGGATTACAGGGGCTTAGTGGGGTTCTCACTCTGGCATTGACTGGTCATGTGGCCACGAGTCTGGTACCACCCACATCTGGAGCAAGCCAAGACCCTCAACAAGAGGCCAGGAGCCAGATGGTCCCTCCAGTGCTGTCCCTTCCGTCTTGATGGTTCTTGGGTCTCATGGTATGAAGCCTGGGCACACCCCGATCTGCCAGTTCACACCCTCCCTTCATCCATCCTCTTGGACAGTTGTTGTGTGGTGGGAGGTGGCAGAGGTGGGCAGTAACAAGCTTCAGGGGTCCCCAGCTATTCTCCAAGCTTTGCCAGCTCCGCCATCCTCTATATGGTGCTGCCATTGGCAGGTGCTCCTGTGGGTTTGGGGTTTGCTGTGTCGGAGGAGGCTGGGCATTGTGAAGGAGAAAGGGAGGATGGGAATGGTAACTACCCCTTTGCTGTGTGTGCTAGAGAGGCACTGAGTCTCAGGGTTAAGACAGAGCTGGAAATTTCAAGTCGTCTATCCTCTGCCCACAAGGAGTGCTCAGGCGAAAGAAGAGAAAAAGGATCTGTCCTACAGCAGCTCCCAGGATAAGGGAGAAAACAAGACACTGGCCCATGAAGAATACCCAGTCTGATGGGGGAGACTAGTCATACCATGAAGAAATGATGTCAGGCATTCAGGGAAATATACAAATAAGTGCAAAGTAACCTATGCATGTAATTTGAGAAGAGGAAATGGAGCAAATGCAGAAGCCAGGCAGTTCATCAGAGAGGTAGCCTGGAGAAGGGTGGAAATGGTGTGAGGAGAGGTACTAGAATGGGCCCACCAGATGGCTGGGATGTCAAAAACAAGCTGAGGATTAGGAGCAGGGATGCATTTAGCCTGACTGGAGGGATGGAGTCTTGGGGGCCTGGCTGAGAGGAGGAGTGGGTGCGAGGAGGCGGAAGAGGTGACCCTCCCTCAGATCTCAGAGTCTGGAGCAGCCCTGGGCACCTCCAGTCACAGTGTGAACTTTCCTGGGTCTCTGCCCTCCTGTGAGATGGGTCTGGACTAAATGTTCTCTGAGTGTCCTCCCCATTCAGGGCCCAACCATAACTTGTCTGCAAAGCGGGTTCAAGCATCACCATCACCAGTGTCTAACAGCCCTCCCTGGCCACTGAGCAGGGCTGGAGCACAGAGGGGGCCTCAGCCCCCTATGTTAATCCCAGCTCTGGAGCATGAGGCAGACAGCTGCAGAGTCCCCTGAGGATGAGGCCAGCAGAATTAGAGCCTTGTCTCTGCCACCGCCTTCTTGTGTGACCTCAGGCAGCCCCTGCAGCCCTCTTTGGGCCCCACTGTGGGGCTGGAAGGGCCCTTTCCCTCTTGACCTTCTGCAATTCTAGAATGGCTTTCTTTCTCCTCCATTACAAACATTTCCAACAGCCCTCCTGTGGTTCCCATGGGACAGGGGCACTGGGCTGCTTCCACAGCTTCTGCAAGGTGGGAGGTGAGGGAAGCTGCCAGCGAGGAGAGTTGACAGGGAACAAAGGAAAAGTGGGCATGTCCTGGGAGCCAGCCTTCATGCCTTCATCTGTAGCAGAGCTGTATGGCCCAATCTCTGCCCTGAGGGTTGACCCCACCTGACAGACCCTTCCACATCCAGACACAGAAGAGGGGAAGGGGAGAGAGGGCAGAAGGGAGCTTAGAAGGTTGAAGATGGTGGAAAGTGGCAAGGGAAGGGTCCCTCTTTCCTGCCTCTGCCCTCCTCACTACCCGCCACCTCCATCTCAATGCACTCTGCCACTCCAAGAAGCAGAGAGCCCAGCCCACCCCTCCCCTGGTGGGGTGCAATTCATCAACATTGACGGGAGCCTGGAAGATATCAGGGGAGGGCCCTCCTGAGCCCACCCTCTCTACACATAGACACACTTGGCCACAAAGTGCTCCTTCCAAAGTCCCTCCCTCTCTAGGCTCAGTTCCAGAATTATCCCTTGTGGGATGGCATTCTGCCAAGGAAAGGGCAGGCCCCATAGGGGTGGGAGAGCTAGAATCTTGTTAGCCCACTGGGCAGGGATCACATATCCCAGCGATTGGGGAGAGAGGAGAGGAGAAGGAGGAAATAATGCTCCAGCAGCTGCAGATCCTCGAGATCTTTAGTGATGCCAGGGCCACAGGGCGACCCTCCACCCCAGAAAACCCCACTCCAGGAAGACACGGCAAAACATCAATCACACCTGGTGACAAAAGTGCAGCCATTGTCAGGAGACAGGAGATGGGCTCTGTGGGCACTGGGCACACAGGGCACACGAATGCACACACACTCCCTGCATGCTCACAGGGCACACATTGTAAAGGCACACTCTCTAAGCACTCTGCTCACACACTCGCCACACTCACAGGGTGCAAACATGCAGGCACACGTACGCACACCCACCACACATGCGCACTTGCATGTATGCATGTGTACCCTGGCTATTGGAGCCACACAGCTCTAGTACAGTAATAACCAGAGGCAGCTAATGGGAAGGCGGAGGTCACAGGGGTGGCTGCCAAACTCAGGCGTGGGCCCAATGGAGAGGGGCTGGAGTAAAGAGAGCAGCCCTCCAGACTCTAGTGTACCCATGGGGTCTCTGCAGAGGGGAACTGCTGCCCATCTGTGTAAATGGCCTTCAGAGGTCCTTACTGGAATAAGAGCTTCTCAGACGGAGGGGTGACCAGGAGCATATCTACTCCATACTTAAAATAATACATAAATAGTCTCATGGCACTCAGAAGAATAGCCATTTGCATGCAAGCCAACAACTGAGTTAATGACAAAGATTCTTATCTGTTCATTAAAGCAGACTAGCGGGCTCTCTATGTGAAAACACTTTGCAGTTAAAGGGACTATGTTATTAACTCTCATGAAATGATTTATTTGGAGCTGATGCCAGGTGAGTTGCAACCTGGGAACAGAGGCCCTCATTCAGGGGTGCCCCTGGACTTCTGGGAGGAAAGGGACAGAGATCCTGGAGAGATGATTAAAACCCTTCCTGTGGATGGAGAGAGGCCTGTCGGAGGCTGGCTGGGACAAAAGGGCACCTCATGCGATTCAGGTTCCATCTGGCCTGGCCGTGGAAGGCAGCAGAATTGATTTCTCCCTGAGCTTCAGTTCTCTGTCTATGAAATGGGGATAAAATAGCACCTACCTCATAGGGTTCTTGTAAGGAATAAATGAGTTATTGCCTGTGAATAACAGAAAATGTCTGGCCCACATCTCACCTCAGTAAATGCAAGCTATTATTTTATCATTTTCCAAAGAAAGATGAATTTTCTAAAGGGATGTGACAGGGAGATCTGATCTGATCCTCCATCTGATACTCTAATTTTTAAAACATTTTTCATTTTTTGGTTTGGTGTTTAGAGTCAGGACTTCCTTCTTGAACTAAGTCAGCTCTCAGGGGTACTTTTGAGAAGATGTTAGAAGTACCCCAAAGAAAGATATTGATGTTTTGCTAATTTGGGGCAGGAGGAGTTCAAGCCATCAGTTTGACAATTCAAAAAAGAGCTTACTCTAAAGTGGTGTCAAGGGTAGCTACATTTAAAGCATCCTTCAAGACGGGTTTTTTCCTGGAATTACTCTAAAATAAGGGGTCTGAACTGAATCTTTCGTGTAGAGGGGAGGAGGCACAACAAATTAATCTTCTTTGTCCAGGCGACACTAACTGGGGATAGGAATGCTTAGGCGGGGCAGGCCCTGGACACTCAGCTATAGAACCAGGCCTTCGGCTAAGGCAGGCCAGGGAGCTTACAGGCCCTGCACAGCCCCACTCCCACTCCTCAGTCAGGCACAGAACTCCAAGGACCATGGTGGGCCTCAGCTTCTAGCCCAGCAGAGATGTCTATCTGCAGGGTGGAGATAAGGCCTGGGCCCTGCAGCAGGGAGCTTATCACAGCCAGCCTTTCTCTGGGCTGTGTTCACAAGCTGGCTGGCTGCCACCTCTCCCCACTCCATCCTTCCATTCCTCTCCTCTTCCAAGACCTGCATCTTAGTCCCCCTGAAGGGGCTGTGCACTGGGACAGGGACTACCAGACACACCAGCCTGGGCCCCTTCCAGAGGAAAGAGCTTCTGCAGTCGGGGCAACCAGGGCAAGAGAAGAGAGAGGAGCCTATACCCTTTTCAGAGCTGGGTATCACCAGGAATTGCCACTGTCTCTGATGGCAGGGAGTCTCTTTCCATGGCAAGACACCACCTGGGAGGAGCATGCCTCATCCATGGGCCTCATCTGCAAATGCTTACTCCTTGGTATTGATGCAGCGCAGGTGAGCCCAAAACTGGGGCTTAGCCCTGGAGGGTTCTTGGCTTTGCCCAGGAAAGAATTCAAGGGTGGGTCAGTAGTGTTAGACAGTGACTTTTACTGAAGCGGCAGAGGTACTGCTCTTTGCCAAGCAGGGCGACCCCATAGGCAGTGTGCCCAGAGTAGCAGCTCCAAGGCAGGGTGGCAGTCATATTTATACCCACTATTAATTATATGCAAATTAAGGGCAGGATAATGCAGAAATTTCTAGAAAAAGGATGGTAACTTCCAGGGCATTGGGTCGTTGCCACGAAAAGAGGCAGTAACTTCTGGGTGTTGCCATGGCAATGGTAAACTGGCAAGGCACACTGGTGGGCATGTCTTATGGAAAGGTGCCTCCCTTTCCACCATGCCAGTTCACCACCTCCTCCCCTCCCCATCCCTGTTTTAGCTAGCCTCAATTCAGTCCAGTGTCCGAGCCCCACCTCCAGAGTCAAGTCCCACCTCCTACCTCAGGATGATGAGCCTCCTGGGAGGGCTGCAGTCCCTGGTCTTGGGGGTGTCCACCTGTATGTTCAAGGAGATGCACAGACTTTGGCTGAGGCTGCCAGATCCCAGGGCAGGACCCAAAAGCTGTCTTCTGTTTGTCTCCTCCCAGACCCATTGGCCTCTGAAGTCAGTGTTGTGGAAACTCACATCCTGAAGATTTGATCCAGGACTGGAGGACCAGTGGGAAAAGCCAGTGATCCGATTCTTGCTTGGCTATCCCCTCCTCAGAGGGCCCTTCTCTGACCCCTCTACCCAAAATAGCAGCCCTGAGTCACTCTCCATCCCTCCAGCTTGTGCCCTTGTCCTGCCTGCACCCACCCCCACCTGACACCCGATTTTGTTAAATGCTGTGTGTCTCCCCCACTAGGATGAAGGGCTCCATGAGGACGGAAGCCTTGTTTTAGTCAACACTGTATCCCTGCATCTGGCTCAGGGCATGGCACACAGAAGGAGCTTCATACGTGTGTTTAATTCTGAGTTGGCGGGGATGTGAGAAGGGGCAGAGGCTTCACTCACAGGGAGCTGGATGGCCCACTGAGCATCACAGGCTGGCATGCACCATCAGTGAGCATCTCCCTCTCAGGTGGAAAGGGAGCCCAACATAGTAAGTTCCTGGGGCCCAAGGCCTCCAGCCCAGCATGCCAGTTTCATCCTGGGTTGCCCTGGGCCTGTGAGGTAGCTGAGAGGACTCCCAGGCTGAGGCGGGCCCACCACCCCATCACCAACAATCTGATGACAGTCAGCCATTAGCTGGGGGTAGTGGGAGAACGGTGGGGTGGGAGACTCACAGGCAGGGACTCTTCCCTGGTCAGAAACACTGGGAAGGGAGGGCATGGCCGAGGGGAGGGCATTGGTTATGGAGTCTGAATTCAAACCCTGGAGAAGGGCTCTAACTGGAGGTTTGTGAAGGACATCAGGGAGTCCACAGCCCCCTGAAATGATTCACAAAGGGAATGTGGGTGTGCACACTTGCACACTGACTTTTCTGAATTTGATTCATTTCTCTAAGTGGCCTTGACACTGAACATATTGAAAACTTGAGGTAAGGTATAGAACTGTACTTAAGTCACAGCCCAGGCCCTCCTAACCCCTAATCCCCGCTCCAGGGTCCCAACTGGAATCCCGCCCTAGGTCACACCTGAAGGGGGATCCTTTTAACGTAAACAAGGCCACTCGCTTGCCTCAGCAGGCAGTGGAAGTTACCACCAAAATAAAGTGAAATAAAATCTCTAACCCCAACTAGCCCATAATGCATTCCCAGACAATGTGGATATGAATTGGAGCATGACGATTCTGTTTGGGATACTCTGTACTCCCCGTCCTTCTGCTGGAAGGAAATGAATGTGCAACAGCTTAATTTATCCTTCGCTGGGAAGCCATGGAGGCTGGGAGGCAGCTCCTGTGAGGTCCAATCAACCCTGTAGAGGATTCCTGCTTATCCTAACCTGCCCACAACCCACAGTCTCTGGGCAGGCGTGGCAGGAGCCGAGCTCTACACCCAGACTGGGAGAACCCCTGCCTTTGATTGCTCAGACTCAGCCTCCTGTAAAAAGACCTGGACGACCTTCTCACCCAGACAGCTTTCCAGGGGTTGGGGGCGGGGCAGGGAAGGAATGAAGTCTGATGGGCAAATAGATGGGGAAGGCTTTAGTAAGGGTTCAAAACTTTCTTCTGGACAACATAAGGAGAACTCATGCTGGCAAGAGGAGAAATCTAGACCCCCAGAAAAGACCCAGGGGCAAGAGGGGCCTGGGAAATTTTAGAAAATCACAAGGATTGTCCCACTGAGCTCAGTGAGCAAGCTGGGAATGGCAGGAGAGGAGAGACAGGGCAGGTAGGCAAGGCAGTCCTAAGGGTCTGGACTTTATCCTGACCCAGAGTGTACCAGGAGAGACTTTTCCAAAGGGAGTGGCTCAAGAAGATTAGACCAATAGGTTTTAGAACAACAGATATGATGCAGGAGAAAGGTGGAAGGACAGGGACTAAATGAGATGAAGCTATGCTAGGTGTTAACTGAAGCCAGGAATGGAAATACTTTCCCAAACGGCTTTTTCAGGATTCCCAAATCCCTCATTTCAATTCCTCAACAAGATTTCCTGACATGCAGGCTTCCAAGATTCGCTGTGCCCTGGGACAGACATGTCATCTAGCAAGAAGAAAGGACTTTGAAGTTCAACAGGGTTGGATTTGAATCTTGGTTCTTCACCTTATTTCTTGCATGTGACTTTGAGTCAGTATCTGTTACCTAATCTGTAAAATGGGGGTGAAGTTGACTTTTTCTAAAGATGGTTGTGGAGATCAGTGATCTTTTCCATACAGTCTAAGGCACATAATAAGTGCTCAATAAACAGTGAACATGAGTACTTTGTCTTTAAATTCCTAGCATGTGCTTGTTAGTCTGGAATCACCAATCCCTAGTACCGGGAGGAATCCATTCCAATATTGGAAGAAACAAGACCCAGAGCAGTAGAGTGACTTTTCCAAAGTCCTAGAGTTTTATTAATAAAGGGGCTGGGATTCAAATCCAGCTCTCCTAACCACTGTTCCATCTTCCATCTTCCCAGTAGTCTCACTCTTGGGCAGACTTGGCCTTTGGGTGCTTCAGGGAAATGACCACCCTTCATCATGCTTTAAGACTGTGAGGATGTCAGGTCTGTAGCCAATGCCTTCTCTTCGCCTCTCCCCAGATCACAGCCTCATCATCTCCCTGCCTGGGAGCATCTGTTTCCAAGTGCCCTCAATGCCCCCAGGCCTGGAGGAGCAGAACGGGGCTGGGACTGCGCAGTGGCGTGGGCGGATCTTGGGGGAGGGAAAGGGCTGCACCGAGGAAGGGAGAGATGCTAAATGTTCGCCCTGTCACCACTCTCTCCCCTGGGCCCCAGCGCAGGGCTGAGGGATGGGCCTGTGCTCTGTCAGCAGCCCCGGTCCACGATGGATGTGGAACCTGGGAGGATGGTGTCAGCAGCACTTGGTGAGATTCATTTCCCCACTGCTATGGGAGAAAAATGTGGCCTTCGTGTCATCCATCTGCTCCGCAGCGAAGTGGTAAACAGGCAAGCCTTGCAGAGAGCAGCCTGGAGCCCAGCCCAGCTCGCAGTCTTCCTACAGGGCTGGGAGGCTGGGACAAAGCACTGTATCCACGTCCCTGGGCCCACGATGGCAGGGCTTCTTGGGGAGGACCCACTAGCTGGGAGCCTTTGGCGCTGCCACATGCACCTCCAAGAACCAAAAGTTAGAAAGTCAGGTGAGCCATCATTCCATATCCAATTCATTCTCACCTCTCAGGTGGTTCCGGAGAAAAATGGCTGGGATCCCCTGAGGTTCCCGAAGCCAGCCCCTCTGCTCAGGCTGTTTCTCTCTCCGCATCAGTCTTGGAATCCTTCCCATGACCAGCCCACAAGTCACTTCCTCCAGGAGCCGTCCCAGATCCTCCCAGCCTGATCTCAGTGTTCCTAGTGGTTCTCTTACCTTTGGATTGGGCTTTAGGTAGTTGAATAGCTTTTATCCCACCTCCACCCCCCAGAGACATTTCTGAACTGCCTCCCTGTCAGCTTCACTGATAGCGAGTTATCTGCATTCCAGCTCAATCAAGGACTGGGCTGGAACACAAAGAAAGCCAAAGTTCACCCTTTCGCCCCAAATCAGAGGCCGCCTCCTAGAAGACTGTATCAAATACTCTTGTCAAATAAATGCGTTGTGCTTCCAGGAAAGCAACTAGGACGCCTCCAGGGGAGTTGACTCCCCCATCTCCTGACACTCCCCATCACCTCCTCCCTTCCCCACCATCACGCCTTTCTATAAAACCTTTCTCAAGTCCTTGCCAACAGTCCCTCCATCTATTCTCTGCAATGTCAAAGCACTTTCATGCCTGCTTGCCCTCTTGTTCTCAGGCCTCACTGACTAAGTTGGTTGCTGCTGTGATGATTTCCCATCTTACAGATGGGGAAACTGAGGCCAGTGCAGAGATGAGTCTTTCCCTAAGTGACAAGAAGGCAACACAAGGATTAGGACTGGATGGATTCAATTAAAAGCCTCAGAAGCAGTCCCTTTCCACATTTTTAATGTTCCCAGCACCAGCATAAGGCCCCTGCTGGATCTTTTACTCTGTTTCCCCACCCCTTGTTCTCCCCAGGATAATGACGACACCCTCTTACCCAGCCTCCCTGCCCGGCTCTCCCCATGTACAGCCTTTAGCTGCAGAGCCATCTTTCTAATCTGTCTCTGATCCTGTCACCCCTCAAGGAGGCTGCCTTTCTCCCTTTCCCCTGCCCCTTATAGGTGTCCTTTAGGGGAGTGCAGAGATGACATTTATGCCACCCCAGGTGGGTGGACCTTGTGGGTGCTTTCAGTCTGCTCCATGGAACACCAGAGCCCTCCCCACTTCCAGGACTCTCTGAGGAAATGGGAAGGACGGCTCATCCATCCAGCGACACACACCAGACTCTGTTCAAAGCCCTGGTCTTGTCTCCACCTTTTATCCCCCAGACCTCCTGCCCCATGGTTCACCAGAAGAAAGGGCATGTAGAGGACAATCAGGAGGGCTGAATCAATCCTTCTCCTTCAATGCCCCTCTTTAGTCAGAGGCTGCAGAGACCATGGGGAGACGAAGATGATCACAACCCAGCCCAGCCCCCAGGACTCACCCCCCATCCCATGTGACATTGGACAAACCCCTTTCCCTCCCCGTCTGTTAAGCAAGAGAGAAGAACCCGGATCTTAACTTGGGGAGGGGACATGGACCCCTTACACACCATCCAGGGGAGTGGTTGATGCAATGACTGCTTCCTGACCATGGATTCCCCTTAAAGCTCCATGGAGGCCACTTTTAGATGCCTTTTCTAGTTTCTGCATCCCCCAAACAGGCCAAGAAAAAGCAGTCCCTCCCTGTCCCGTGGCAGCCAGCTCCGGAATAGGCTAGGGGAGGGGGCGTTTCACCTCTCATCCCTCACGTGGGGTTAGTGGAGCCGGCAGGGCCATCACTCACTGCGCCAATCTCTTGCTCCAGCGCCGGCCCAACCCCATCCCCTCCTCCAGAGATTTGTCCTCCAGCGAGGACAGCTCATCTCTCTCACCCCCAGCTCTCAGCAGGCGTGGCTGGGTGAGAGCCTGGGAAGGACCCTGGAGACCACCCTCCAACTTGGCATTCTGCCTGGGTCCTCCTGCCCTCAGCATCTCTTCAATACTCAGCCCCTCCCTCCGGCCCTCTCCTCCCATCCCACTTTCAGCCAAGGAACATTTTAAATGAATTCAATTTAAAACTTCAGAAGCAATCCCTTCCCACATCTTTAAAGTTCACGGCCCCAGCATCAGACTCATTTGTTCGAGATTTCATTCAACAAGGAGCTCAGTCTGTCACCTCTTTGCTGAAGCATCCAAGCTGAATTGTGGCACTCTGCTTGGAAGTCCTAGAATAAGCACTTCCTTGAGCACCCTGTCTTCAGGGTGAGGGCCTGAGCTCTGGCATCTCTGCCTCTCCCACTGGGCTGTGAACCACTCGAGAGCACACACCCTCTGGATTCATTTTCTAACTCTCTACCTGTGCCTGGCATACAGTATGTGCCATGGATGGCTGACTGCCTCTGCTGATTGGGGATCCACTATGTGCCCAGCATCGTGTAGGCCCAAAGGGCTGGCCAAGAACAATGCATCTAGTGGAGGTGACAGGTGCAGAAACCAACAAAATGCCGCTCTGACCATCAGCACAACAAGGTGAGCAGCCCCCACCCACATGCTGTGCTCTTTATCCACTTACCCACAACTCCAGCCACATTGGCCACACCCTCTAGAGCTGAATCAGGCCCCCCAGGCAGATGAGGAGTCCAGCTCTCCTACATTCCACCACTATCATCACTACCACTCTCCAGAACATTGGGGCCAGAAGAGAGAGCTTAGTGCAAGCTCTGCACCTTGAGAGGAGAGTAGGAAATTCTCTCTGGCTGTTCTTATAAAGGATGGGGAAGGCCTGGCAAAAAGGGGAAGCAAAGAGAACCATTCTCTCACTCTGCCCCGACCACTGGCTTACTTTGGTTAGAGAATATTATCGCAAATGCCATGGGGACAGCAAACTCACTACAGAAAACAGCTGTAGCCCTCAGAATGCATTTGGAGGAGCTGCTTTGGGAGATCTTCCCAGCTCCCTGGGTCTCCTCCTTTAGAGAGCTTGCAACTACAGCAGAAGTCTAGACAGACTCCCCATTGTACATTCGGTCTCAGTTCAAGGGGGTTCAAGGAGGAGAACTCTTCAGATCTAGGCAAAAGGGGCCCCTGCCCGGAGTTAACAAACTTTCTCAAAGGACCAGAAATAAATATTTTAGGCTTGCAGGCCATCCAGGCCCTGTTAAAATTACTCTGCCCTTGTACCTCAAAAGCAGCCTTAGGCAATATCTGGACAAATGGGTCTGGATATGCTCCAATACGACTTTCTAAAAACAGGCAGCTGTCTGCTGGAACTCACACACACCACACAAACACACCCTTAAAGAACATGGGGTGCCTCCTGTCACTCAGAATTATTATGTTCAGCACTGTCATGATGCAGCCTATAATCCTAAACATCTACTTTCATGATTAACACTGTTCAGGCCCCGGGAAATGTTTTTCCACATCTTTTGCTCTAGGTTCTCAAAAGAAAAGACAACAGAGTCAGAATGCTGTGAAGATTTCTGGGATCTGCTGCTGGTGACATCAGGCTCCACTTCAGAATGTTGAGAGGGTATGCGCAGCAGAAGCTCTTAGATAAGAAAGGAGATAATTAATTAGCTTTTCAAATCCTTGCTCTTTGACAGCATGAATGCAATAGATTGTTGAAAAGGTATCGTTTCCAAGTAATGCCAAGTGTCCATTCTCTAGCTGTCTTCCTGTTCCAATGCATGGTTCTGGAAGAACTCATGAGTTGTCAAATTATTATTTGTAGCATTTACTATGGTTGACATGGCAGCTGAGAAACATTTTTCTACATTAGCAATTCGTATGAATCATATGGTACATACGTAGGTCTACACGTAAAAAGTACGATGCTGATTGATTACATTTAAAAATGGCACATTTCATGTTACAGTTGTGAACAGTTTTATCTTTATAAAATATTTAATAATAGTTAAGTATGTTTTCCAAAAAATTAAATACAATTTTAGCTGTACTCAAATGGTTTTTGTTTAATTTTTTTATATTCATTAATCATGATGTGAATTACACCTTTCAATTTTATAGGTGATTTTGAATACTTTTTTGAAAGTATATGTGAGATAAGTATAATGTTTCAATTTTGTACTATACTTGAACTTAAATGTTTAAGAAAAATACCTTCAAATTTTGGACACTGAATAAGATTGCATTTTATTTTCTAATCCTTTACCTGGGTTGTCCAATACAGTATCTGCTGTTTACAAATGGCTATTCAGCACTGGACATGTTGCCTGGCATACTGAGATGAGCTGTAAGAGTAAAATACACACCAAATCCCGGAGACCTAGCATGAAAAAAGGAACATAAAATATCTCATTAATAGTTTTTAAATATTGATTCCCTGTTGAAATAATAACATTTTGGGCATATTGGACTGAATACAATATATTATTAAAATTAATTTCACCTGTTTCTTTTTATTTTTTTATGTGAGTCACAACTAGCCACATTTCAGGCTTGCAGGCCATCCAGGCTCTGTTAAAACTACTCTGCCCTTGTACCTCAAAAGCAGCCTTAGGCAATATCTGGAAAATTGGGTCTGGATATGCTCCAATACGACTTTCTAAAAACAGGCAGCTGTCTGCTGGAACTCACACACACCACACAAACACCCCCTTAAAGAACATGGGGTGCCTCCTGTCACTCAGAATTGTTATGTTCCAAGTTATATGGAGATCCTCATTTTAACAAAATTGATGTTAAATTTTAACCAATTAAACATAATGGCAAGAAAAATAAATTTTATGGAGTAATAATTTAAGCATTAAGTACATCTATTTTTGTGTAATTTTTATTATTCTTTTTTGAGACAGGGTCTCACTCTGTCACCCAGGCTGGAGTGCAGTATCACGAAAACAGCTCACTGCAGCCTTGACCTCCCAGACTCAAGCAATCCTTCCACCTCAGCCTCCCTAGTAGCTGGGACTACAGGCGCATACCACCATGCTCAGATAATTTTTGTATTTTTTTGTAGAGACGGGTTTTTGCCATGTTTTCCAGGCTACTCTCAAACTCCTAGGCTCAAGCGATCTACCTGCCTCAGCCTCCCAAAGTGCTGAGATTACTGGCATAAGCCACCGTGCCTAGCCAATTTTTCTGTGATTTTTAACACCAATTTATTCTAAATTTCTCATGATTCTGACGTCATTAAGGCTTTTGTTGTACTTGAGGTATAATTTACATACAGTGAAATGCCCTTATTTTAAGTATACAGTTGAATGAGTTTGGCTCAGTGTATATACACCATGCCAACATTCCAGTCTAAATAAAAGATAACTGCATTGTCCCAGGAAACACCTCATACTCCTTGTCAGTTAAACTCACCTCAGAGGCAACTGCTTTTCTGATCTCTATCCCCCTATATTCTTTTTGCCTGTTCTTGAACTTCATATAAACAGGATCAAGCATTATCTAGTCTCTTAGGTCTGGCTTCTTTTATGTGCCTTTCTATTATTACTCATCTAAACATCAGCAACCCGCAACAGAACACCAGCACACATACAGGAGAAATTTAATTCAGTTGTCTTCAATATTTGCCACCAAAGCTTTATACATATTTTTCGATTTTGTCATTGTGAAGGTATACTTGCCAAGGGAGGTGGATAAAACATATTTTGTTTACCAATCTGCTTGCTGAATTAATGACTTGTAGGTATTTAGACATGTGGTATGTGAGCCTCCCTTCTGCCCTTTGCCCTGGGCCCCACAGATGGTAGGTAGGCATGGGCTGGCCAAGGAGGGAGAGAGAACAGAGGCCAGTGCTGCAGAATAGCCTCCACCTTCCAGCCCAGGAGCCTGGCCTGGGAGAGCGGGGCAGAGGAAGGGGCTCTGGAGTGCCAAGCTGAAGCAGGCACTACCCATTCCATTAACAAACCTTTATTGAGCATCTAGTATCTGCCCACAGTGTGCTAAGTTTTAGAATTACAATGAGGAAAAAGTAAATAAAAAGACATCCCCTCTGGCTTCATGGAGCTTACAAATTAGAAAGAAGAGACAGATATTAATCAAACAGTCACATCCACAAGGGAGAAAACTTACAGGATCCAGCACAAATTTCCTTGACTGATATTCAGGCCTTTATTATTGCTGCCCTCAGTGCTGGAGATGCCCTTCTCACTCTTGCACCTACAGAAGTCCACATTCATTCAGCAAGGCCTGGCTCCAAATGCCCCACCTTGAGAAACCTACCCTGTCATCTGAATTTGTAGCCCCTTCCCCTGAGTTCCCATAGCACCATCCTGTCACCCCTCTTATCCTGTGCATCATGTTAGTTGGGCACCTTTGCCTCTGCATCTGTCCCTCCCACTGAGAGGTCTCTGGTATGGGGGTATGGGAATGAACAAAGAGGTGATGTGCTTTAAGGCCTGCTTTTTTTTTTTTTTTTTCAAGGCACGTTCTCACTCTGTTGCCCAGGCTAGAGTGCAGTGGCGCAATCACGGCTCACTGCAGCCGTGACCTCCCAGGCTCATGTGATTCTTCCGCCTCAGCCTCCCAAGTAACTGGAACCATAGGTGCACACCACCACTCCCAGCTAAATTTTTATGTTTAAATTTTTTTGTAGAGATGGTGTCTCACTATATTGCCCAGGCTGGCCTTGAACTCCTGGGCTCAAGCGATCCTCCCACCCTTGGCCTCCTGAAGTGCTGGAATCACAGGCATGAGACACCGTGCCTGGAAAGGCCTGCATTTGAGGCCTGGCTCTACCATCTCAAAGCTCTATGGGTTTGCCCAGGTGAATTCTCACCCCTGAGTCTGCTTCCTGGTCTGCACAATAGGAATAATGCTAGTTACTCCATACCGTTTTTGTGAAGATTAACTACGTCTACAAGCACATACAAACACTGAGTGGGTTAGTCTTCACACACACACACATTCCTCCCCTATTCATCTGCAAGGCCCAGGACCTGCTGAAAAAAGAGTTGTCCACCCTCACCTGGCCCTGTAGCCTCTGCATCCAGGGCTCAGGGTTCCTCAAAGCAGATAGACAGCTAGGACAGGGACGGAGAGGGACAGAGACAAGCTGAAGGCTCAGGGCCCCCAGGTTCCCTGGCTGGAAGAGCAACTGGATGAATTGGTCCCCACCTGTAACGTGACTGAGGGTAGGAAGAGGTGGCTCAGGGCCAGCTGCTAGGATGGACCCTGTGTGGTGACAGAACAGGTTCAGAGCAGCTGGGATCCAGGTGGGGACTGCCAGGAACAGGCCCAGGATGCTGGACCGGGGCCCAGAGCCGCTTTCCAAGGCCCATTTTCTCCCCATTCCCAGAGTGTGGCCACCACGCTGCCAACAGTCCTGGCAGCCCCCAGCCCCTCTGTTTCCAGAGCAGCCTGAGATGTTGCCAAGCCAGCTACCGGTGGGCAGAGGTGCCCCTGCCTGAGCTCTGAGAGTAATACCCTTCATCCATTTCATCACCAAGCTCCAGGCTCTCAAATCACGAGTGGCCCTGGAGCAAAGTCCCCACCCCCAGACAGAGAAGGCAGGACGGAGTCCTCATCTTGAACTCACTGCTTCCTCTCTGGAGCTTCCTTTGACCTGGCTGGTGCTTCCCCTCTTCTCACTTATAAAAAGGAAAGAGTAAGCTCTGTGATCCTATCTCCCACAACTCTGTGACTGTAAAATAAGGTGACTCAAGGGGATACGTTTTACACACGGGCCAACTTACTATGTGACCTAAGTCAATGTGTTGCCCTTCTCTGTGCCTTAGTTTATATGAGGCAGCACTAGGACAAAGCTAATATAGTGCTCCCTGACCCCATCTCAGAGAAAAAGGAGAGCACTTCTTAGCAGACATCAAGTTTTCTTTTTTCTCCTTAGAGAAATCAAGGTGGCTTGATTTCCACCTCCCATCTCCATCTGTCCAGGGAGGGTTCCCAAGTCCTGGAAGAAGTCCAGAGGGCCCCTATACGGAAAGATGAGTCCCCAACCAGAGCCCAGCTCCCCTACCAGCAGCCAGGCTCAGCTGGGCTCCTCCTGCCCCCCCCCATGCCAATTATTACTGGCCCTGGGCAGCTCCTCCTGGCAGCTCAGACCTCCACACCTTGCCCAGCTGAGTCTCTCCTCCTATCATTCCTTCCCTGCTCCTCCACACCTGTCATTATTTTTCCAAAATCATTTCATCTAATAGGGATTCCTCAACAGCCTGCTAAGGCCCAGGCACTGAACTAGGCATGGGGATACCACATAAATGAGACACAGCCCAACTTCATGGGGCATGTGGCCAGAATTTACCCCCAGCGAGCCCAGAAAGATGTGCTTCCTTACAGATATATACCAATAGTCAACATTTATTTAGTGATTACCAGGTTCCAAGGACAGAGCTGAGGGATTTACAAGGATCATCTCCTTGAACCATCTCCGCACATCTGTGCACTACAGATACACAGTGCACTGCACAGTAGGGCTCTGCCCTAACACTGATGGTGGGGAAACCAAGGCTGGGTAGAGGCTGTCCAGTGCAAAAACAAAAACGTGGGGTCTCTCTGATATCCTTCCCCATTCCCTGGATCCTTGCCCTGCTATCATTCACGTCCCAACTTTATAATAAAGCAAATAAGTCTGGCCCATGAGATACAGACACTGAGGCTCAGAGAGACTATTTCTTGCTCAAGGTGGCAATGTCTAATAGGGGCAGAGCCAGAGTTCAGACCCAGTGTGTCGGGCATTAAGTCGCTTACTCTTCGCCTACCACCTTATACCATGACCACATCTGGGCAATGAGGAGCCACCAAGTATGCCTGGGAAGACCTAAGAATGCTGAGGTGACTTTCAGACAAGGATGGACCTTGGTAGGTGAATAAGGCTTTGACAGGCAGACAAGGAAGAAAAGGCATTCCAACCAAGGGATAGTGTAGGCAAAGGCACAGAGGCACGGGAGTGCCTGGTGGGTCTGGGGAACACCAGGCTCTTACGTATGGGCAGACCCAAAGAGAAGCCAGAAGGAATGGGGAACATGCAAATTTTCTTTCTTTTTTTTTTTATTATACTTTAAGTTTTAGGGTACATGTGCACACTGTGCAGGTTAGTTACATAGGTATACATGTGCCATGCTGGTGCGCTGCACCCACTAACTCGTCATCTAGCATTAGGTATATCTCCCGATGCTATCCCTCCCCCCTCCCCCCAACCCACCACAGTCCCTAGAGTGTGATATTCCTCTTCCTGTGTCCATGTGATCTCGTTGTTCAATTCCCACCTATGAGTGAGAATATGCGGTGTTTGGTTTTTTGTTCTTGCGATAGTTTACTGAGAATGATGATTTCCAATTTCATCCATATCTCACCTTTTCTTTACAAGTGAGAGGCTGAGGCCCAGGAGAGCTCCACCCATCAAGGCCAAGTTGCCAGGTTGGGACTTCCACTCTCAGATCAAGCTACCTTTCTGTTTCTCCCCTCTTTCCTCCTTTCTTTGCCTCTTCTCCCTGTTCTCCTTCACTCTCTGCAAACCTTTCCTCCCTCCCCTCTCCCCTTCCTGCCACTAGAACCACCTGCAGGAGGTTCCCAACCTTCTGCCACCACCAAGGCTGCTCCCCTTTCTCTATCCCCAGCCTCCTAGACCTGGCCTTCCATTTGCTTCCCTACTACCTCTGATGGGCTTTACCCATAAGGCAGAGGGTGGAGTGAGGTTGTGGGAATGATTTTCCTAGTCTGTGTACAGGGCTCAGGCCACAAACTGCTCACCCACAGGTAAGATACAGGTCTCAGATTAGCCACTCACTTCAGCCTGCTTCCTGATCATGCACAGGTACCAGTGCCCTGCACGAGTGCACTGTGCCCTAGCACTGGGAGTGGGCAAGCCAAGCCTGGGTAGGGGCTGCCCAGTGCAAAAACAAAAATGTGAGGTCCCTTCTGATGGCTCCCTCCCTTTCCTTGCCCCTTGCCTTGCTGACATTCATGTCCCAACTTTATCATAATGCAAATAATTCTGGTCCATAAAAATGCAAATTGTCTGCAGAGGAATGCAATTGATTGTTGTCCTGTGGATGCTGACTAGATCACTAGGCTTTGCATCTATCTCTCTGTAATTTCGTGTCAGCATACCGTATCTGACCATATATGGGAGGTACCTGGAATTCTGCTTTGAACAGGTTGTAATATCTCATGGAGTCCCTCACTAATTAGTGAGTTAAATGCAATCTTTAACACATGTTCATTTTATTTCCATATGAGAGTCATGATTGTACTTTTTCAAAATCAATTATTATTTAATGCTCCCAAGATGGCAGTGGCCAGCTTTCATCTGAAAACTGAGATGGTTGGGATTACGGACATGGTGCCCTCAGTGGCAGGGGTGTGCACCCCAACGTCTGGCTGGCCCAGCACTGCTGCTTCTAGGTAGTTGTTCCCTTGTTATCATCCCTCCCTTAATGAAGCATTTGCTTCACTAAGATTTCTTTTTTTTTTTTTTTCAAACGGGAGTGGAAAGACTTCCGTGTTCCCTCCTGAAGGGAGGCCTCAGCCCCACACTCTGAGCAGAAAAGGGCCTTTCTCTTCCTAGTCATACCTAGCCCTTGAGTCTCACAGAGGAGGGCTCTAGAGGCCAGACAATGGGGACTCAGGATCTTCTGCTGGGGGTCCTCAGTCAGCCATTCATTCAAGCAGCACTAACCGAGCACCTACTAGGTGCCAGGTGCGCTGAGAATAGAGTCCAAGCAAAAGGGCTTCCAGCTCAGGTCTCTCTCACCTTCCCTTGGTCTTGACTCATGACTCACAGCCCAACTGGCCCTGGCTTCAAGTGGGGCCTTATGGAACCAGAGAGGCCCTCTGTGCCAACCCCATCCCTCCCAGCAAACCTGGCCGTAAGTCCTCCCATGGGAAGGAGGGCTCCCATAGGACTCCCGGGAGCTGACCCACCTCACTGACCACCCTCCTGCCCCCAAGGGAAAGCCTTCTCACATGACGCCTACTTCCCCAGGGAGGAAATCATCACCTTTTTCCAGCGAAGGTCCTGGATCTTTAGAGTCTCCCATAATAATTCAGTAAAAAGAGCACTGGGCTGGAGCAAAGTTGGAATCCTGGCTCTTCCACCAGTTACTCGCTGTGTGACCACTCCAATTTCCCATATGGAGGATGGGGACCACGGCACAATAGCCCCTACCTCATAAGGTTGTGAACACTCAGTGGGACCATGTAAGACATCAGAGCATAAGCCCAGCACACAGTAAACTCTGAATAAACGCTGTCTGCTATTACAGAGATTATTAATTAGTAAATCCCGCCCCCAGCCCCCATAAAAGGCTAAGTGAGGTCAGGGCTGTTAATTTCATCTCGTAAAGTAGCAAATTGAGGTCCAGATGACAAGGAGATTCCAAAATGTCTCTAAATGTAAGGTCAAGTACAAAGCCAGAAAACAAGAACCTGGGGACACCCCACCTCCACCTCCACCCCCACCACTACCACCAGTTTGAATTCCTCTCACCAATTCCTGGGGAAGATAAAAGGATGGGACAACCGAATGGCAGATGGGGCAGGAGGAGGAGGCTGGCCACAAAAGCCTGGGTACCCCAAATCCCAGGAGTCCTGTGCCCAGTTTGCTGTATCCCCCTTGGAGTAGTTGAGGGGTCACGTAGGTAGCACAGTCCTCCTGGGACTTCAGCTTGGAGCTCCAGGCACTCCCACCAGGGGCATATGGAGGGTGAGAGGCCTCTCCACCTGGGGCTCCCCATCTCCGTCCCTATCCTGCACTCTCTGAGCTGCAGCAGCCAGCAGGGAGCAGCAAGCAGGTGTCCTGGGAGGCAGGTAATGTGAAAGACTTCATGGAAGTTCATTAAAGAGCTATTAGAGGCTCCACTGCAGACCTGCAGATGGATGGATGGATGAACAGGAGAGTGGAGGGAGATCTTCCCAGGAGACCACAGCCCCACCTCCCCCTGCTGCAGCCCAGGCTGTACCCCCACTTTTCCCCCATGTAGTTTTGGAAGAGAGGAGGAACAGGAAGGCATTTCTGTTGATAACCAAGACACTCTCTTCTTTCAGGCCTGGTGGACCTGGCAGGGATCAGGGCGAAGGGTTCCAAAGGAGGAGAGGGTCAGAGTCCAAGAAGGTGGGGCTTAGATGGATCACAACCTATTCTGGCCCAAGCATCGTGCCAACGACAATAGGTGACCTTCATGTGGCACTTCCTCTGTACCAGGCACTGGTCCAAATGCTTTACTGTGCTATTTCCTTTAGTCCTCACAACCATTAGAAGGGAGCACTGTTATTATCCTCATTTTACTGATGAGGAAACTGAAGCACAGACAGGTTAAGTAACTTGTTGAAGCCAAGCACTGTGTGTACAGGACCCCACTGAATTATTCTCACAACTCTGTGGTGTAAGGGACTATCTCTATCACCATTTTATAGACAAAGAAACAGTGGCTGAGAGGGGTTAAGTAACTTGCATAAGGCTACACAGCTAGAAAGTAGGGCAGTGTGAATTAGAACACGGGAGTTCTTTAGCCTCCTTCACCCCAAGTTTGGGTTCATGATCACCATATCACATTGCCATCAACCCTGAAATGAAGGTGCATGATCACCAGTCCCATTTTCCAGAGGAAGAGGCCAAGGGGTGAAGTGAGTAGCCCAGGGCACACGGTTAGTAACCAGGGCCACCTGCATCTGGACTGGAGCACAGTCTGTCTGTCTCCGCACTCCAGGACACCAAGCACTCCTTCCACCCACACACATGGAGGCTACATCTTCCACATCAGGCCAGGCACCCCAGAATAAGGGACTCTATTTCCAGAATTTCTGCAGTCTCTAGCTGGGTGTCTGCGCAGTGTAGAGAAGATGCCTCCTCAAGCACAGCTGTCTAAAAACGGACTCAGCACTTCACAGGTAGGGAATTCCTCCCCTGGAAGGCCTGCATCAGAGACTGGAGGGCCCGGGGACACTTGGTGGGCTTGCTGGTGGGTGGGGGCCTGTTTTGAGAGGGCCTTGGTGGACCTGATCTCAGAGAAACTTCAAATTCCACCCAGTTCTCAAGAGCTTCCCGTGGAATCCTTGACTCTTGGGAGCCCTGCTCGTCCCCTTGGCACCTACCCCCTGTCCTGGGGGTCTCAGCCTGAGGTGGACAAGAGACCTACACGGTACACTGGTTCCCGGTCTCGACTCCCCTGCTCCCCTTCTCCAGCACTTGGTGGCCCTGGATGGAGGGCCCTTCCACCCTGGGCCTTGTGTGTTTGTCCATTTTGCACTGTTATAAAGGAACAGCTGGCGCTGGGCGATTTATAAAGAAAAGAGGTTTATGTGGCTCATGGCTCTGCAGATGTACAAGCATGGCAGCAACATCTTCTTCTGGCCAGGATCTCAGGAAGCTTTCACCATGAAGGAAGGTGAAGGGGGAGTAGGAGTGTCTCATGGTGAAACAGGAAGCAAGACAGAGAGGAGGAGGTGCCAGGCTCCTTTGAACAACCAGCTCTCATGTGAACCAGCGGAAAGCAACTCCCTCAGTACCCAGTACCCTGGGGAGGCCACCAAGCCATTCATGAGGGGTTCACAGCATGACCCAAGCACCTCCCCCCAGGCTCCACCTCCAACATTGGGGATCACATTTCAACCTGAGGTCTGGAGGGGACAATTCTCTAAACCATATCACCTTGTCTCTCTGAGGGGAGCAGAGGATCCCACCTCAAGTCCCCGCACACATGGAGCCATGAGAGTCCCCACCAGGTGGAGGCAGCCAGGCCCAGGACACTCAGAAACCCACCCCCACGTGCACGGCCCCACCCTGGCGCAGGATGAATGTGTGGCAGGCCCGTGAGGAAGGCCGCCTGCTGTTGCCCGAGGCGGTTGTCTGGAGGAAGGGCACAGGACACATGGGAGAGAGATGGAGATTGAGAAATGGGGGGAAATTAAATGACAGAGAGACATAGGGGGATTTACCAAGACCGAACCACAGGAAAAGATAGAGAGAGAGCCAGAGGGCGTCCCAAAGGCAGAGAACCACGCAGAGAAACAAATCTACAAATCCAAATATAAACCTTGAGGAAGACAGGCAGTGAGAAAACAGGGAAAAGAACAGACATAGAAAAACGGAGGAAGATGGGAAGGGGTATGGCAGGGAGTCGGAGAGAACGCGAAATTCCAAACGAAACACAGAGACCAGGTGCAGGAGAGAAGGTACACAGCAAGGGGGCAGTGAGGAAGAAAGGAGAGAGGAAGCAGAGCGGGGACCGCAGGAGGAGGTGGGGCCTGGAGGGAGCCGAAGCAGAGGGGCCCAGCACCCCCACCCCACCCTGATCACACGCTGCGGCATATGGCTCCTGATTTCCTAGAGGCACGAGAGTGATAACCATTAATCTCTATAAATAATTTTACCAACCCAGGCTTCTAAATGGGTTCTCTGTGTCTGTGAAAGCTTTTAAAAACCATTTGCTTGGTAAACATGCAGGCAGCAAACAAGGCCTCTCCCTACCAGCAGGAGAGGAGGCTGGAAGATCAATTCGGCTGGGGGGATAATTAGAAGGGAGAATATGTGCGCAGGCTCGCCCTGCTGCCTCCTTCCCACCTGGGGCCACGGACCCCGCTGATGAGGCTGCTGAGACCCCTGGCTCTTCACCCTACTTGCACCATATTCCTCTCTTCCCTGCTCGGTGGGCCTGGGCGGGACACCCTGTGGGCATCTCAGCCATTCCCCTGTCCTGATCCCACAGCAGGGATGTTTTTCTTAACCGAACCCTGAGGGAAGGTAAGATCTTGGCTGGTATTCCTAAGCATTTAGGAAGTTCTTCTTCATCTCTACCCCGAGTTCCTCATGCTTTTCCATGTCATTCAGCCTTTAGACCTGACATGTCACCAGTTACAGCTGTCTTAAAACAGACTGGGGCCAGACAGGGTGGCTCACGCCTGTCAGGGAGGACTGCTTGAGCCCACGAGTTCAAGACCAGCCTGGGCAACATGGCAAAACCCCATCTCTACAAAAAAATACAAAAATTAGGCTCACGCCTGTAATCCCAGCACTTTGGGAGGCTGAGGCAGGCGGATTGCCTGAGGTCAGGAGTTCAATACCAGCATGTCCAACATGGTGAAACCCTGTCTCTACTAAAAATACAAAAATTAGCCAGGAATGGTGACACATGCCTGTAATCCCAGCTACTTGGGAGGCTGAGACAGGAGAATTGCTTGAACCCAGGAGACGGAGGTTGCAGTGAGCCAAGATCGTGCCATTGCACTCCAGCTTGGGCAACAGAGCTAGACTCCATCTCAAAAAAAAAAAAAAAAAATAGCCGGGCGTGGTGGTGTGTGCCTGTGCCTGAAGTCCCAGCTACTCAGGAGGCTGAGGTGGGAGGATCACTTGAGCCCAGGAGGTGGAGGCTGCAGTGAGCCTTGATTGTGTCGCTGCACTCTAGCCTGGGAGACAGATCGAGACCCTGTCTCAAAAATTTAAAAAATAAGCAATTAAAATAAACTGGGCAGCCTCCCAGATAAGGAGTTCCAAATCCTTGACTCTAAACCCCAATGTTCAGTGCTGGCCCCAGGCCCTTCTTCCAAATATGATGGTTTCAGGGCCCCTCCTGGCCATCCCCTTGACACACTCCATTTTGTCAAAGTCCTTCCCATGTCTCATACTGGGAATTGGACTTGCCTGGAAAAGAACAGTCTTGCCTTTTAGTTTGGCTGCTGTATTAACAGAGGCCAGGAGAATATTAGTTATTTGGGCATCTATACCTCCCCCTCCAAAAACATAACTGCTGCCTGATGTTAGCTGTGTGTTTGCTGAAGCCCCCAGGTCTTTGTCACTCCTGCTGACCCCAGCCTTGACTCTTGAGACCCCCAAAGCAGGACTTGCCCTTTCTTTCTGTTAAGCTTCATCTTGGATGCTGGACTTTGCTACAATCACCAAGATCCTCTTGGATCCTGGACTTTGCTCCAATCACCAAGATCCTCTTGGATCCTGATTCTATCATCGGGCTTATTCACCATCCCTCTGGTTCCTAAGCAGGCTTTGGTGGCTGGGCTCCAGAGCATTGCTGGGAACACTAGTGTTGTTGGGGACAGGGAACTCTTGTTTGCCCTGAGTCTTCAAGGCTGATCCCTTTGTGGGCTGCCACCAAGCCCTCAATTCATGCTGCACACAATCGCCCAGCTGCACAGAGAACATCACTGGGGGCCCCAGCTTCATGGGCCATGCTCCCACATGGCCCAAAGTGATCCAGTGGTGCTGAGGCTCCCCCAGCCAGCATTCCTTGACCCCCCACCCAAGCCCCACAATTCCTTGACTTTAAGAGCTTAGGTTAAACTGGCCCATGAGGGCTCCACATAGCAAAGAGGGGGCCTGCACACCAGCTCCAGGTGCAATTAAGCAAGATCCTTCCCCTCCGATCCCCAGAGGCCTTGGTGGGAATGGTCCAGGGGAGGAGGGAAGGGTAATGGCTGGACAGATCCATTTCCCAGTGCTGATCTATAACAGCTCTCTAAGCCAGGCAGAATGGCTCACACCTGTAGTCCCAAGTACTCAGGAGGCTGAGGTAAGAGGATGGTTTGAGCTCAGGAGGTTGAGTCTGCAGTGAGCTCAGACCCCTTCTCTAAAAATAAAACAAAACCCAGCTCTCTGTGCAAGGCCAAAGATCGCCCAGAGATATGGTAGTTGTGGCTTCCCAAACTCTGCCTGCATCAAGTCGAGAGAGGAGGAAGGAGCCCAAGACTCCACCAGCCTTTCCCTGAGTCCTGTGTCCAGCAGAGGCCAGGGCCAAGCTGGAAGTGGGAGATGAACAAGTCATGAATAGAATTCATCCTGGATTGACTCTGGGAAAAACAAATCGCCTGACAATGGACATTTTATTTAGTGACCTGTATAGTGACTAAGACTGTGAATTTTGTGTTTGAATGCAGTTCTGCCACTTACCTGCTGGGTGATCCTGAGAAAGTTACCTAACCTTCCCAAGCCTTTATTTTCTGATGTGTAAAATGGGAACACTACTGCCTCCTTACAGGGGCATCTGGCCATTGACTGAGTGCCCACTGTATCTAGGGAGTCACAGGAGGACTGCTTCATTTCAGCCCCATCGAGCAGGTGCTATAGGTCCACATCCATCTTCAGAAACTCTTGCAACCAGATTTTTGGAAGGTAATTCGGTGGATATTCTGTTTATTTCATAATGCCTCCAGGGGTGTGCCCTGTAATCAAATGCATGAATGTATCTGCAGTGAAATATGTGACTGCACACAAAGCAAAACAAATAAGCCCTATATGTTTACAGCCTCATGTCCTTTAAAGTCAAGTTTTGTCAGCAAATGAGTTTTGAAAAAGTTTGGTTTTGGGGGATTGTTGTTTTCCAAATTGTGGGTAAGAGATGTGGACCTGAGTTACTGTCCCCACTTTATGGACGAGGCAATGGAAGCCAAGAGGGCTTAGGCAAAGTGCTCAAGAACCCCCAGCGAGTCTGAACAGGGCAGACTTGGAGCTGAAGTCTGTCTGACTGTCTGCCCGCCTCCAAGACCTGAGCCCTTCCTGGGCACTCAATATAAGATTTTGCCTCTTGCCTGCTACCCAGTGCTTTTACGTCCAGTCTCTACTTTGATCCTTGTAACCCCTGAGGGGCAAACAGGGAAGGTTTGATTTCTATGAATGAGGCATTAAGTCCTAGATTGGAGAGTGACTTTCTCAGGAACACAGGATTTGCCCTTGTTTCTTCTCCCTCCCTTCCTAGCTGGCTTCTCTTTCCAACCCAGACCTTTTCCCTGGACAGCCCCTCATCTTCCAGACCTCAGTAAGGCCGGGATCAAAATCAAAGATCCACTGCAGCTTGAGCCAAGAGGCCGAACCTTTGTACTTGTGGGGGTATGTGCATGCTTATTGTGAGCCAAAGGCAGGCATGGAGGGGGCAGGATTAGGGCAGAGCGCCCTGCAATGGCCAAGGGACTGTGGGTCAGGGGCGTAGCTTCATGGTACTCTGGCGAAAACTCTCCACCCCAACACCCCACCACTAGCTGCCCTGGCCTTAGCAGGGGAAACATTGTCCATTGCCAAGGTCACAGACCTGAGACTTCCTCCCACTGTGCCTCCCCTTCTCTCTCTCCCCTTGACCAGGTCTTCCCTGCTGAGCCCAGTCCATGGTCATCTATCCCTCTAAACCCCGAGTCTCGAGTCCAGGATACTGAGGACCTGTGCATGGTCCTCTCCCAAAGTCCACCCTCTGTTCTGAAGAAGTCCTGGGCCAGGGCTTCCACTCAGAAGTCAAGCAGCTTCCAAACATTATTGGTATCAGTCTTCCATCGCTGCTGTAACACATTCACAAACATGGCAGCTTAAATGATATACATTTATTATTTTATAGCTCTGGGGATCAGAGTCCAAATGTCTCTCACGGACATCACATCCTAGCAAGAGGAAGATGGGGAAAAAAAACAAATCAACATATAAAATATCCAGTGTGGGGGATAACTGTCATGGAGAAAAATAATCAGGGAAAGGGTATAAGGACCAAAGGACAGGGCATGTTGCTGTTTTAGGAAAAGGGGTCATGAAAGGCCTCTCTGAAGTGGTGGCATTAGAGAAAAAGGGAGGAAGTGAATCAAGGCCTGTGAATTTCTAAGGGAAGGATGTTCCAGGCAAGCGGGCCAGTCAGAGCAAAGGCCTGAGGCAAGAGTGTGCCTGGAGTGTTTGAGAAGCAGAAGGGTGATCAGAGTGGTGGGAGGAAGCAGGTTATGGATGAAGATTTTGAAGGTGATGGGAGCCTCATTAAGTAGGGCCTTGTGAGCCGTAGGGATGGAGGACTTTGGGTTTGGTGCTGGATGGAATGGTCAAGCTGAAAATAAACTTCTTGGGAATTGATGTTGTATAAAAACACCTGGTACAAGACCTGACACATAACAGTGGTTTAAAACACTTCCATCCCTAATCCTCCAGGGCAGGAGTTTTGTGTCCTCAGTCTGTCTAGGATTCCCCACGGGCTAAGCTGTGTCTCTCCCGTCAGACTAGCGGATTCCCCCTTCCAACTTCTCCCAGCCTGCAGGGGTCTCTTCCTCACACTCAGAAGCTATAGCCCAGAGCCCAGCCCTCTCCAGACAGCCCCCCGCCGCTGCCCCTGTTTGTGTTTGCTTAGCATTTCCTCGCAGGCCCCGCAGTTCTGTTAGTTTTCATTGCTCCTTTATTAATTGCCTTTTCTGTCCTTGGGATTATTTGATTTCCACTTAATTGCTTGATGGCAGTGAGGTTTATTTTTGTTCTCTTCTTTCCCAGAAATGGGGAGGGTGCTGGGGAGTGGGCCAGGCTGGCCGCTCAGGGCTGTCTAGTTTCCCACCTGGGCCCTTGGATCTCCTTCCCACCTGTCACCCTACAGGGGATGGAGGCTGGGGCCCACAGGCTGCCACAGCTCTAAGCCCCAGGTCAGGGCTGTAGGGGTCAAGGAGGAGGAATACTCGTAGTGTTTACAGCCACGATCTGGCTGCTAAAGACCCAGTTAAACCTCTCATCTGTGGCACTGGTGCCTGGAGCTGACTGGGAAGAGGCTTGAACATACACCATCACTCACTCCCAGCAGCCTGTAAGTGGGAGCCATTAATATCCCAGTTGAGGCAACAAGAACTGCAGGGAACTTGCCTGCAGCCTCAGAGCCAGCATGGGGCAGGACAGGAAGCCAGATCCATCAGATGCAAAAGACAGACCATTCCCTTTTCTGTGCATGAGCTCTACCCTCTGGGGACTCTCAGAGCATGGCAGTGATGGACAAGTAAGCCGACAGTGATCAGTGAACATGGAAGGCAGAAAATTACCCGCCCACACAACCAGGGAAAAAAGCCACAAAACCCTACAGTGTGACCCATTTTTCGGTAAACGAACACTGTCTATTCACATATATGGAAAGATTCATTCTTTCAACAAATATTTACTGAGAGCTTTCTGTGCCTGTTTCTCATCTAGTTACTAGGGATAATGCAGTCATAGAAAAGAGAAGGTCCTGTCCTCATGGGCCTTGCATTCCAGAGGGAGAGATGATCACACATGAGAAAATCAGCAAGTGACAATTTTAAATAATACTACGTGCTATGAAAAATATAGGGCGCAATATTAAATGGTGTGGCTAGGGAAGACCTCTCCAAAAAAGTGGCATCTTGTGGAAACCTGAGTGATGAGGAGCTAGTCAGAATCAGGGCAAGACTGTGCCAGGCAAAGAGGATGACCTGTGCAAAGGCCCTGAGCTTGCAGTGTTTGAAGACCGTCAGACAGAAGCCTGGGAAGTGAGTGGGAAGGAAGACGTCAGAGAGGAAAGCATGGCCAGATCACACAAGGCTTTGTCAGCTATGGAATGGAGTTTGGATGTTATGTTAAGTATAAGGGGATGTTATGGGAGGATTTTAAACTTTATGTAGAAAAAAAAGGTCTGGAAGGATACCTGCTATACTCTAATTGGTGGTAATCCCCTAAGAGAGTGTTGCAGGGTGAAAGAAGACAGGATGAGGGATTGGGGACAGCAAGACTGACATCAAGGTACAAGAGTGGGAGGCAGACTTGGGGCCACTCACAGGCATAGAGGGGCCCAGCACTGGGAAGGCAGAAGGCTTCAGCCAGATGCCTGGGGTGGGGCCAGGGGAAGAGATATTTAGACCCCAATGGAAGAGGCCACTGGGCAGGGAGATGAGTTTCTGGAAGCTTTGTCTGGTTCCAGGGGACCCTGAGAAGGCTGGGTCAGTCTGCCAGGTCAGGGAAGGCCCTGAAAACCTTGACAAGGAACTGGGTTCCCAGGACATGAGCAGAGGGGGCAGCTCTGAAGATTGCATGTTCATGGTGGGGGAAGGGGAAGTTAGGTAAGAGGCTATAGCCTCTGGAGTCCAGGACCCGGGTCACTTGGGGTCACTTATACATTCATTTATTTATTCAGTGAGCATGCATTAAATACCCACAAAGCACCAGACATGCCATCATTACTGGAAATAGAAGAGTGCCCATGATACACTTGGATCCTACCCTCTCGGACGTGAGAGCAATGCAGACTTGACCAGACCCACCTTCTTGTGGGAAGAAGTGAACTCCCTGAGTCTGCACAATGTGCCAGACATGCAATAGGTCTCTCGTATTCATCACACTGTTTAATCCTCATGACAAATCAAGGAGGAAGTATCATTGTTCATGGTTTTTAGATGAGGGCCCTAGGCCTTGGAGAGGTTGAGGGATTTGCTGAAAGTCATGCAGCTATAAATGTGAGACAGAATTTGAACCCAGATCTATCAGAATTAAAATCCTGGGCTCTTTAGATGCCACCATGCTGGGAGCTCAAGGAGGATCTTGTTTCCATGAGCTGGGTAGGGATGAACTTGTGGATGGCTGGTGATATTGGGCGTGTGTGGTGGGGGTGTAGGGTAGTGGAAGGTTACTTAAGACTGACAATCCTGGAGGAGGGGTTGTCATAGGGACTCTGGCAGAAACTGCCTCCTTCATCCATGGAGACCTAGGCCCACACTTGCATGGAGCACTGAGAAGACTCTGAACTGTCACCCAGCCCTTGGGCTCTCTGGCTGGGGACACTTGGAGCCTAAACTTCAGGGTTAGACCCTTTCCTTTCCACTACATTTGGGCTTCCAGATCTGCTCAAAAACGTCAACGACTCACTCCTCCCCACCCATCACTGCCTACAAATGTACGTGTGATCTCAAAGCCTGGCATTCAAAGCCTGGCCCAATCTGGCTCCAAACTCCTCAAGTTCATTTCTAAACACCTGACACCTCTCCAGCACACATGCTCCATCCTGTAGCAAGCCAGGGGTCTTAGCCCAGGGATTTTTGGTGGCCAGGAACAGAAACCCACACATGCTAACATAAGGACCCAACAGGACAACTCGTATCAGGTCCCACAGGCTTTCCCCAGCCCTACTTCCTTCTCCTGCTCTTTGCTGCACACCGGCTTTCCCTGCTCACAGCCCCAGCACTGGGGTGGCAGGTGGCTCTGCTTTGTCTGGCACCAATTCCCACTCCCACACTGTGTCTCCTGTCACCTCACCTGCTCCCTGCCATCAGGATTCAGATTCTCAATTATGAGAAGCAGGGCTGTGATTGGCTCAGCATAGGTTAGGGGTTCACCCTGGTCCAATCAGCTGTGCCTTCAAGGAATGGAGTTCCTTGTACATGACTGCCCTTTCTAAGTGCCCTGGGTCTCTAAGAATGGACAGTGGGCCTAGAAGCCATGGTTGACATTTTACCTTTTCCTGTTCTACAAGCCGACCCCTACTTGCCAGCCCCTGAGCTTTGACTTTTGCTGCCCTTCTACCTGGAACACTCTGCCCACATTTGATTTCTCCAGTCCTCCAACTGGGTAACAATTCCCACCTCCCAAATGCCTTTAGATGCCCCTTCCCCACCTCTTGCCCCATCCAATGATGCTCTCCAGGCCTCCTCAGGCTCTTCCTCGGCACTCCCCAGTTTGGTCCTGCCCAGCCCCAGTTTGCACTGGCACAACATACTTCCCCTAGTCTGTATCCCCACCCCTACCCCAGTACCCAGCATGGATGCTCAAACACATTGATGAGAAAAAGGCAAGTGCAAATTCTGAAGACCCCACTGGTGATGCCAGGCTTTCCAAAGCAAGGCTGACTCCTTCTCTAGATTTGGAAAATTTCTCCTCCCTCTTCTGACTACTCCCCAACCTAGTCTCTAGGACAACCCCCACTCTCAGACCGGGTTTTTTGGCTAGATTCCCCCAGCTGCCCCACCATCCTCCCTGGTGTCCCACTCGGGGGCCCATCTCCTCCCCCTCCCCTTCCTGATGCCTACTCTGAACCTCCAGGTTGGGCAGGGAGAGTTATTCCTCCACCCCCACACACGCACCTGCAAAACCTTTTAAATCAAAGATTACATCAAAATGCTCCAATGCTGAAGATACTAATCACGCCCTCCCTCGCTCGCTTTGCTGGAAGAGCAGGATCTCACTTGGACTTTCCAGTCTCAGCTCCATTAATATTTTCCCTCTCTCTTCCTGTTTAAACACAGGGTAATTTAAAACCTCTTTTCACAGATGAGAAGCTTTTGACTTTGGCACCAGAACCTGGGTTTGATTTAGGTTTTGTTTTTTTTGTTTTTTTTTTTTTTTGATCCTCAGAATAGATTTTTTTCCCAGCCAGAGGGACCCCCCCGATCCTCTGGGCCAAACTGGAGCTTTTACAGAAATGATTGCTGAGACACAGGGAGGAGAAGTGGCCTTCCCCAGGTCCCCAGGGTGAGCAGGGTGAGATCCCAGATTTCCTGACTCCCTTGTTTGCACCCTCCTCACTCTGCTGCACATGGTCATATTTTAATACTTGCAGAAACTATGCACTGAAAGAGAAAAAGAGGAACGGATTGGATCAACAAATGTCACCTTAGAGAGGACCAAAGCCAAACTGATTCCAACACAGACTGGCATAACTATGAGGACAGTCCCTGTGTTACTGCAAAGCTTGGGGCTGGGCCCAGAGTGCAGTGCTGGAACCACAGCTGCCTCCAGAGATCCCTGGCCCCAGAGCAGGGGCTTGGACATGAGAAATAGAGGCTCTGGGGCCTCTGGTCCCCTGATGCCCAGGGAGGCAGGGATCCCAGGATCTACCCAGCATTGTGGCTGCTCCCATCATAGAAGCCCAGGTTCACTGAGGGCTGGTGACATGCCAGGACCTTTGCATGCATCATCACATCCAGTCTTCCCAACAATCCCATGAGGTAGGCATCAGTGCCACTAGGCCCACTGTATGAGTGAGGAAACTGAGGCTCAGAAGAATTCAGCAACTTGTTCAAGATCACACAGCAGGTATAGGGTAGATCGAGGATCAGAAGCCATCAGGCACAAGAGCCCGAGCTCTTCCCATTACTGCCCTTAGATTAGATTTTTTTAAAAATTCTGCAGTTTAGAAAGCAACCAGGTGGGGAAACATGAGAAAGACTGAGGGAATGTTATCTACATGGCTGGGGGTGTGAGGATGCTGTCAGGAGTGCCAGAGGCCAGCAAGTCAGCAGACAGCTGATCTCATTGCCAGCCTGGCTAGGCCCATTGGCAACACTAGCAGCTCAGATGCTCAACTGGGATCAGACCTGTCTTCACTTCCCTCTGAGGCTGACTCTACCCAAGTGGACAAGCCAGCCATTCCAAGGCCAAGACAGCAGTAAGACCCCAGGACAGAGGATGTGCCCTGGCCCATGGGTGGCATCGGAATAGTGCTGGACGAAAGCTGAATGTGCAGGGCCATGGAGGCCACCTGCACCAATTCCTGACATAGCTAAGAATGAAGGAAGGAAGGAGAGGGAGACCAGAGAGGAAGAGGAGGAGGCAGCAGCTCTTGCAAGTAGGAAAATGAAGCTTATCTCTCCTTTGAGCTTGAGTCTTAGAGGATTTCCTGTGGGATTGGTGCTCACCCAGAGTAAAAACAACATTCTTGCCATGACTGTCAGGGCCCTTGGTGACCTGGGCTTTCTGATCTCGCTGACCTCACCTCCTACTTCTGTCCTCAGTGCAGACTCCTCTCCAGCCACATCAGCTGCTTTGCTGTTCCTCAAAGGCCACAGGCACCATCCTGCCTCCTAGCCTTTGCAATTGCAGTTCCCTCTGCCTTCACATCCTCCCATATCATATGCTTGGCTTACTTTCTTTGGGCCTTTACTCAGATATCACCTTCTCAGAGAGACCAGAGAGACTGCCCCAGCAACACTATCTAGAATTGCAAATCAGCCCTACCATTGCCTAAGTCCCATGGTCTCGCATTTCCTCCTCCATACCTCTGGCCATCGAATCTATTTTGTATATATTTGCTTTTCTCTCCACATAAGCTCCATGAGAGTAAAGATTTTGTCTATTTTTTTCCCTGCTCACTCCTCAGAGTTTCCAACAGTGCCTAATGCAGAAGCACATCATTGAATGAGGTTGGTCTTCAGTTTAGCTAGCACCACCTTGACCACAGTCAAGTAGGTGTTTGAAAACGGCAAGGAGATGTTACACCCAGGTACCTGTAAACCACCCAGCTGTGATAGAGTGTGTGAGAGAGGGCAGTGGAAACCAGGATTCAAAGCCAGGCCAGAGAGGAAATTTCCACTGAGTAGTTCCAACTATTATGGCAATTATAGCTGCACATTTCTCTCCATTGCAGCATATGCTTCTATTCAATCAGGAGGGTCTATGCTAACACTGGAGGTTGTATATGAGTGTGAGTGTGTGAGTGTTGAAAGAAAAAATTAGTAAAAGATACTCAGAGCCAACAGATAGCCACAGACAGACAGAAAATGAGATGAGAGTGGGTGAAAGGGAGAGCTAGAGCTCCCTAGAATATCTTGCAGGGTTGTTTGAGCATGGTACCTCATGCTGTTGAAATTCTTGTTGCACTGTCACATTGTGTGTAGTTATGGGTGTGCTTGTCTCTATTTCTCATCTGCTGCAGCTCTTTGAGGGTGGAGACACTGTGGCATTCACTTGGACCTCCTGTACCTAACTAGGCGTCTGGTATATATACAATAGGTGCTTGGTACAGTTTTGAGAAATTGACTTGGCTTTTTGGTTTCTTTGTTCGTTTGTTTGTTTATACTTTAAGTTCTGGGATACATGTGCAGAACACACAGGTCTGCCACATAGGTATACACATGCCATGGTGGTTTGCTGCACCCACGAACCCGTCATCTACATTAGGCATTTCTCCTAATGCTACCCCTCCCCTAGCCCCTCACCCCCTCTACAGGCCCCAGTGTGTGATGTTCCCCTCCCTGTGTCCATGTGTTATCATTGTTCAACTCCCACTTATGAGTGAGAACATGCGGTGTTTGGTTTTCTGTTCCTGTGTTAGTTTGCTGAGAATGATGGTTTCCAGCTTCATCCATGTCCCTGCAAAGGACATGAACTCATCCTTTTTTATGGCTGCATAGTATTCCATGGTGTATACGCGCCACATTTTCTTTAACCAGTCTATCATTGATGGGCATTTGGGTTGGTTCCAGGTCTTATTAAAAAGTCAGGAAACAACAGATGCTAGAGAGGATGTGGAGAAATAGGAATGCTTTTACACTGTTGTTGGTGGGAATGTAAATTAGTTCAACCATTGTGGAAGACAGTGTGGCAATTCCTCAAGGATCTAGAACCAGAAATACCATTTGACCCAGCAATCTCATTACTGAGCATATATCCAAAGGATTATAAATCATTCCACTATAAATCACATGCACACATATGTTTATTGCAGCACTATTCAAAATAGAGAAATTGACTTGGTTTTAATAGCACTTAATTAGCTGGGCCAAGGGAAGGGGTGTGTTTGGGACCTCCCTCAAGGGCCATTGGTGGGCTTGTCCAGGCTATACCCTTTACAAGACATGTGTCAATGAAAACACCCCTTGCCTTCTTTAGACCTCATTTTTGTCACCATGAAATACATGCTTATACTGTATCATCTCTTAGAGGGTATCCAACTTTAATATTCTGTGGATTTATGGGGATTTTATTCCAAATTGCATGAGCCCCTTCCTGAATTGAGGTAGCTACTCCCCTTACCTAGAGGGAAACTGAGGTGCTACCAGAAGAGATATAGTGTATCCAGCCTCATTGCCTTGCCCCAGGGGTCAGCCCCTTCTTTTTCCTGTCTACCCTTTGCTTTATGTGTGGTTCCAGTCTACCCTTTGCTTTGTGTGTGGTCATTGTCCATTCTGCATAGCTTCACTCAGACTCAAGAGTGGCCTTGGCCTTCTCCGTCTGTCTCACCCCTCTTCAATCCCATCATCATGTCACTGCCAGAGAAACCACATTGGAGCTCAGCTCTGATGATTTTACCCCTCCTGCAAGTCCCTCCATGGCTCCCTATTGCCTACAGAATTAGGCTCAGTCCCTCATCCGGCATTTGAGGCCCTCCACAATGTGACAGCACCCTTCCTTGCTTTCCCACTCTCAGCTCCCTTTCTCATCTCCTCTTCCTCAGACCAGGTTCTTTTCCACCCCCATACCTTTGCTCATGCTAGTGCCTCTCCTAGAACACCCTCCCAGCCCCAGTATTCACTCTATTCATCCTCCATTGACCCAGTCAAAGACCATTTCCCTCTCTCTCCATGAAATTTCCCATAATTCTCCAAACAATTGGAACATTTGACCCAGCCCAGCCCCAGTGCTCTTTCTCTGTGTTTGTTGTGAACATCCTGGAGGGTATGTCAGGGGTTATCTCTGACTGATATTTGTACCCTCCATGCACCAGCAAGTGACCTGCACACAGTAGGTGCTTTATATCCCTGGTAGAATGAAGCCAGGCATGATGGCTCACACCTGTAATCCCAGCAATTTGGGAGGCTGAGACAGGAGGATTGCTTGAGGTCAGGAATTTGAGACCAGCTTGAGTAACATAGCGAGACCCCAATCTCTACAAATAAAATTTAAAAATAAAAAATAAAAATATATCCTTGGTAGAATGGGATGTCAAGGACTCCAGTCCAGGGTAGAAATAACCACCAACACTGGAGCACATGCACTCTCCAGGCACTGTTTTAGCTTTGTGGTATAACGAAAAATACAGTACAGATGCTCCTTGACTTACGATGAGCTTACTGGACAAAACTGCATGGTAGACCAAGGAATGTACTGAATGAGTATTGCTTTTGCACTATCATAAAGTCAAAAATTGTGACATCAAACCCCATCTGTATATTTGGTCTTTGTCCCTGGTGCCTGGTGCAGAGCCCCTAAAGCCTTTGGAATTTCCTGAGTGATACGAACATCTTTGATTATCCATAAAGAGCCCCTTTCAACCATACCTGAATTTATAGTAATGAGGTGATATTTGGGCCCCTAAATAGCTTCAGGACAGGAGCTGGTAGCCAGAGGAACCAGCCATGTGACCAGAGGGATTCGGAAATTTCAACCCCTTTCTCCAGCCTGCTGGGAGGGGAGAAGGGCTGATAATTGAGTTAATCAACAAAGGTCACAATCATGCCTATGTAATGAAACCTCCATAGAAATTTCTAAATGATGCAGTTCAAAGAGCTTCCAAATTGGCAAACATGTCTGCATGGCAGGAGGATGGTGCATCCCAACTCTATGGGGACAGAGGCTCCTGCGCTTGGGACCCTTCAGCACCTTACCCTATGAACCTCTTCATCTGGCTGTTCATTTGTATCCTTTGTAATAAACTGTAATAGTAAGTATAACATTTTTTTTTAGTTCTGTGAATTACTGTGGCAAATTATTGAACCCTTGGTAGAGGGATTGTGGGAACTCCTGAAATTTGCCCTTTGCAAAATTTTGTCTTTGCAAAAATTATAACAGTGAGAAAATTATGACAGTGAAAGAGATCTGACCTAACCAACCCCCATCTTGCCTTTGAGCTCCAAACTGCCCTTAGTCATTCCTGGGCTTGGGCCAAGCTATCTTTGGGAGAAATTTAGTTTATAGTTTAAATGATGATAGCCCTTCCCCAAAACTAAACCACCTTTGTAAAACAATGAAAGACCAACCAGGTTAGAAGGATGAGAAGAGCCTGAATTCTGCTAAGATGTAGACATAAACAACTACCAGCCATTATTATGGAGGTCACAAGATTTGTAACTTCCCCATTTACTCCTGCAGATAACATCACTATTGTAGAACCTAAAATTGGTCTTTTGAGATGTCTTTTCAGGCTTCTGCATTTCTGATGTTTGATAGCTCCACCCAGACCCACAACTCTTCACTCAACTGGTCTTGTGGCCCCTACCCAGAAGCCAACTCAGCACACAAGAACCATTTTCCACATCCCTTTGATTGCATCCACAACGAATCAGCAGCACCCATTCCCTTGCCCATCAAACTATCCTTGAAAAACTCTAGCCTCTGAATTTTCAGGGATGCTGACTTGAGTAATAATAAAGCTCCAGTCTCCCGTTTTGCCAGCCATAGGTACATTACACTCTCTCTATTGCAATTCCTCTATCTTGATAAATCAGCTCTATCTGGCCAGTGGGCAAAATGAACCCATTGGGTGGCTGATCTTGCAGCCAAGTCAGACAGAAGTGAGGGTAACCTGAGAAGCTGATACTTGTGACTGGCATCAGAGGTGTGGGTGGTCTTATGGGACTGAGTCCTTAACCTGTGGTGTCTGACAGTAACTCCAGATACTTAGTATATCAGATTTAAATTGAATTGCAAGACATCCAGTCAGTGTTAGAGAATCAGAGAATTGGTCGGATGAAGGGGAAAAAGCCCACAAACTCTTATATGTATTAACTTATTTTATCTTACAGCAATCCTGTGAGGCAGATACTGTTACTACCAGTACCCCTATTGTACTGGCGAGGATACAGTGGCTCAGGGACCTGCCCAAGGCCATAGAGCTGATAGCCAAGCTGGAATTAGAGCCCATGTCCTCAGCAGCTGCATCTACTGCAGGCCCTCCCCAACCCTCCAGGCTAGACACAGTGAGCTCCTGTGCCTCTCAGTTAAGAGGCATAAGGAACCCCAGCCCCTGCCGAGGTTTCTTAGAGTCACTCTTATAGAAGGGGGCAGTTTGGAATGTTGATCCTGAGCCCTGCATGGGAAAGATGCCTCAGAGAAGTAGGGCTTTCATGAGGTGGATGTTCAGCAAGTATTTGAAGGCTTTTTGTTGTTTGTTTGTTTAGAGACAGGGTCTCACTCTGTCATCCAGGCTGGAGTGCAGGGCTGCAATCATAGCTCACTGCAGCCTTAACTTTCGGGCCTCAAGTGATCCTCCCATCTCAGCCTCCTGAATAGTTGGCACTACAAGTGTGCACCACCACACTCAGCTAAATTTTTAATTTTTTTTGTAGAGATGGGGTCTTGCTTTGTTGCCCAGACTGGTCTTGAATTTCTGGCCTCAAGCAATCCTCCCACCTCATCTCCCCCAAAGTACTGGGCTTATAAGTGTGAGCCAACATGCCTAGCCTTCAACAAGTATTTGCTAGGAAAATGAAAGGATGACTAACTGGATGAATGAGTAAGAGAAAAGGTGAGTGGGGGAACGAGTACAAGGGCCAGAGGGATTGAGGAGGAGAAATGAGGAAGAGTGAGGGGCAGGTCCCTTCTCTCTCCCACCTTAAACAAAACCCTATTGCTCTAGCCACAGAGCTGGCCACAGTATGAGGAGAAACCTCCCCAAGGCATCCAAAGGGAATTTGACAGCAAGAATTCCTGCCTTCCCCCATTAGGGGCTTGTGGGACCCCAAGTGAAAAAGGGGGTTCTAGGAAAGAGTAATTAAGGACCCCCAAGACAGTATTTACCTGACATTCAATATCTGGATAAAAGATGAAAACTCATCATTGTCAGGATGTGTTTTTTCTCTGTACAAAACTCTAGGTATTTAGAAACATCTGGGTAAGGGGCTGGCTGATTCTGCTTTTCATCCAGATGTTCAACATTATCTACTTTCAGTCTGAGTGGAGGGGTTGAAGTGGAGGAGACCAGGGGCTGATGAGGGGGAAAGGACAGCAGTCGTGCCCTGTGGAACCTTCTGTCCCTTGGCTCATCCTAGTCTTCACCACCATTCAGAGACTTGCCACCTGAGCTGGGAGGATTTGTTCTCCCCCAACCCCATCACACAGCCCCCAAGTTGCAGGGAGCTAAGAGACATCGTCATTTATACATCTTCCACTGAGAAACAGCCGGCCTGATACAGAATTAACTGGCGTCTTCCTGCTCCCAGATTATGCAGGCAGCGACTTTGATCGAATCTGGCAACCAGATTTATGAATCAGTCGATATTTATTGCAGGGAAAAATCCATCTTCATGACTGGTCTGTGCACACAGAACCCTGCTCTGGGCACACCCAGGGGCCTTGATGCTAAATGTTGGAGAGGTCCAGTGAACACATCTGAGGGAGGGGGCAACAGAGAGGGCTCTGACACCAATCAAAAAGGAGACAAGTTATGATGTGGGAAGTGTCAGTTGTGGGGGATAGCTACCACATCCATCCATGTTTGTCCTGGTCTGCCCTTCCCACACCCTTTCCCACTCCCCAGACCATCTGACTCAGCAGGAGTCAACTAATTGTTAAAAGTATTTGAAGTCAAACATAATGCAAAATTTTGATGTGATGCATTCCCAAGTGAACTAAAAGTATATTGTTTTCTTCTAACATCTACTCTTTTGTTCCCTCCCTTGTCCACTGGCCCATTAAAGATAATTGAGCCTGAACTCTCAAGCTGTCTTCTGACAGACCAATCAGAGAGCTGAGGTTAAAACTCTGCTGGTGAGTGGCCAGGGAAAAGGCTACTCAGGATTCTCTCATTTGCATGCCTGCACTGATTGGCTACATTGCTACAGCCTGCACCAGAAAACTAGTTCCCAGTTAAGGCAGAGGGCACAATGACCATCCACCCAATGACAGGCAATCAGCTCATTTGGAGGACTAGGAAAGATGGTGTGTTGAGTAGAGCAAAACCATCCTGGGCTTCTCAGCCTAATTGGAAGAAAGGAGTGAGGGGCAGAGTTTAAGATGGTAAAGAGGAAGAAAGTAGAATTGTCTCCCAAACATGGTTTTCTACTGCTCCCTTCTCAGCCCTAACTCTGCCTCCTGCCCTGACAACCCCTTATTCCTCTGGCCCTGTACTTCAACATGACCACACTTTAGATACTATGCTCATGGCCCACCCTCCACAATCCCTCCCCTGCTTGGGGCCTCTTGTAGGAAGTACAAGGCCCACTAAGCGGCACTGGGGAGGAAGAGCAGAAATGTTTGTGGAAAGCTTAGTAGCCTCCCCAAAGCTGCAGAATGGAATTTCTCCCAGTGGGGACATCAGAGAGACCTTGACCTTCCTCATTTCCCCAGCCTGCATATGCCCCAGGCACGTGGAGGATGTTCTAGCAGTGATGCAGGAGCTGAGAGGCAAGGGCTGGGTTGGGGAGACATGCCCAGGATCCATCTCCACCCAGCCACAAGGCCTGGGCCTGAAGTTGGGCAGGGGAGCTGCTTTCTTGCCTTACAGAGTCATAGAACCATGGTGAAGGGCTGGGGAGGAACAGGCAGGTGAAAGGGGCAGCTCAGATGGCACAGAGCCAAGAAATGGGCCAAATGAGCTCCTTAGAGCATGTGTATTAGTCTATTTTCACACTGCTGATAAAGACATACCCAAGACTAGGTAATTTATAAAGAAAAAGAGGTTTAATGGACCCACAGTTCCACGTGGCTGGGGAGGCCTACAATCATGGCAGAAGGTGAAAGGCATGTCTTACATGGCAGCAGGCAAGAGAGAATGAGAGAGCCAAGCAAAAGGGGAAACCCCTTATAAAATCATCAGATCTCAGGAGACTTATTCACTACCATGAGAAGAGTATGGGGGGAAACTGCCCCCACGATTCAATTATCTCCCACTGGGTCCCTCCTATAATATGTGGGAATTATGGGAGCTACAATTCAAGACAAGATTTAGGTAGGGACAGCCAAACCATATCAGCATGATTGATGGGAAGAGATGGGGGCACCCAGAGGAGCTAAGATAATATCCCTCCCCCATCCCCACCCCAACTATGGACCAAAACACCTAGGCACTTGGGCTCTTAACCTAGCTCTGAGCCTTGGCTGATAGCTTCACTTCTCCAGACCTCTGTAAGATGGAGAACCATCTCTTCTCAGGCTTTTCCCAGAGTGATGTCAACAAGACAATTCATGTGAAGGGCTTGAATCTCTGTGGTTCCACAGGGCAGAACCAGGATTGATGGGTAAAATCACAGGGAGGCAGGCTATGAAAGATGTGCAGTCAGTGCCACAGGTGACATTTGGTCAACAACGGATCACATGCACTACAGGGGTCCCATAAGATTACAGCACAGTATTTTTGCTGTGCTTTTTCCATGTTTAGATACACAAATATTTACCATTGTGTTACAGTTACTTATAGTATTCAGTAACATGCTGTACAGGTTTGTAGTCTAGGAGCATAGGTTATACCAGGAAGCCTAGATGTGTATTAGGCTATACCAGCTAGGTTTGTGTCAGTACACTCTATGATGTTCACACAAGGATGAAGTTGCCTAACGATGCATTTCTCAGAACATATCCCTGTCATTAGGTGACACACGACTGTAGAAGCATGTAGAAGAGTTTTCTGTATTCAAAGTATCCAACAATAGAAGCAGTTAACATAATGATCTCTCTGTCACCAAAAGCATCCAAGCATACTTTGGATGACCATGTTTTGTAGAGTATAACTTCTGGACACTCCCACCTGAGATGGGAATTTTATCATAATGTGTTGGCTGCCTCTAACTCTTTATGATTCTATTATTCATTCAACAAATGTTTATCAGTTGCCCACTAAACCTTCCTCTGAGGCTAGTATGCTATATGACTACTATTTTTGCTCTTAGAACCCAGTTTTTTATACAAAAAATGAGGGTGTTGTGTCAGCAGACCTCTCAGGGCTGTTGCATCTCTGATGACCTGCCTTGCTCAAAATGACAGTGGGACCAGAAGGAACCATGAAGGCACATCCTCCTCTCCCTCCTCCCCCTCCTTCTTGGACTTCTTTCTGCACTGCCTGTTACTTAGAGTTAGGACAGAATGAACTTCCCCTGGCCTGGGATGCCACATGAAACAGATGGCCCTGTTGCCACAGAGACCAGGGAGGGCTGGGGATTGTCCTGGGGGGCTGGGGATTGGGTGGGGATGAAGGCAAGAAAGGGGATTTACTCCTGCAATAGCCCAGCCCAGAATCTACATGAATGTATGTTCAACAGGGGTGGCTCCAGGCACTCATTCAGTCAGACAGATCAGAAACCACTTAAGATGAAAGACCCAGAATATTTGTGCCTCTCTTCCCGAGAATGGTGCAACTTCCTCAGCTCCCCATTCCCACTGCAAAACCTTGGGCAGGTCCAGGGGATTTGACCCAATTCTCCCACAGGCAAAGCGGCACTTCTTCAGGAGAGGGATATAGGCAGCTCTAGAGAGGGGCCTGGAGATGGGGAGAGGCTGACTTATTGGGCTCATTCAGAAAAATAATAATAATAATAAGTTCCCCAGCAATCAGTGCTGTCCAATCACAGATGGGCTGTCCCATGTAAAAGTTGACTTCTTACTCCCCGAAACATTTGAGCTGGGCTGGGAGAATTCTCAGCACAGCTTTCCCTACAAATAGGAGATTGAGCTTGTTGACTTCCTAAGGTGGCTCTTCCAAGTCTGAGATCTTGCAATGGTAGAGGCGGTGGAATGCAATGGGTTTGAATATGTGTTTCGGATGCAGGCAGCCGGGGCTCCGGCCCCAGCTGCGCATCTTACTTGCTGTGTGACCTTGAGAAGGTTAACTTTCTCTGAGCCTCAGTTCCCTCATCTGTGAAGTGTAAATCAATACTGGCTTTATAAAAAAAATATTTGAAAGGATCTAAATGGGATAATGTATTTAAAGTGCTTAGCACAGAAACTTTTATGTATTAAATGCCAAGTAAGTGGTAGTTATAATTATTCTGCAATAGTAAACCCACAGCAGAATTTGGATTGGACTCAGTCAAGATGCCTGGCTTGTACTCTGCCATTTACTGTGTGACCTTGGTAAATGTGTTAATCTCTCTGTGCCTTGGTTTCCTCATCTGCAAAATAAGGCTAATAATTGTGCTTACCTCATTATTGTGAGGATTGAATTCCGTAACACATCTGAAGTGTTTAAAATAGAATCTAGCCAGTAGCAGTGTGCTATTGCAATGAACTAAATGCTTGTGTTCCTCCCAAATTCATGTTAAAAATCCTAAGCCCCCATTGTGATAGTATTAGGAGGCAGGGATTTGGGGAGGTAATTAAGTTACAAAGGTAGAACCCTCCTGGGTGGGATTACTGTCCTGATAAAAGGGACCCCTGAGAGTTCTCCTGCCCTCTTCTGCCATGTGACAGTACAAGAAGTCAGAAGTCTTCAGCCCAGAAGAAGGCTCTCACAAGAACCTGACCATGCTGGTACCCTGATCTCCAACTTCTAGCTTTCACAGTTGTGACAAATAAATTCTGTTGTGTATAAGGTACTCAGTCCGTGGTATTTTGTTATAGCTACCAGTACTAAGATAACTATCATCATCATTGTCATCATCCTCATCCTCATCTCTAAGTCACCTCTCTAATGCCTGGTACTTGTTAGTGCTTATTTAAAGAAAGATTGAGTGAACGAATGAGTCAGATATGAGGTACAATAATAAGCATTTGTGACGATCTGCTGTGTTTGTGGTCCTGTGCTGGCCAAGAGAATGCAGAGGCACTGTCCTTGTAGGGTTAACACTGAGTTTAAGCAACTAGCAACTTTGGGGAGAAATGAAACACCAGTAAGTTCTACAGAGCACCAAAGAAGAGCCATTGTATCCCTGATGGCACGACCAGACAGGCATCTCGGAAAGAGTGAGAGTTGCACGAGGCTTCAGGAAGGTGGCAAAAATTTGGCAAGTGTCCAGACATAAAGAAGGTAGGTGGGTAGTATTCCAGGTAGGGGGACAATAAGGAAAAGAACCCAGGTAGTAGTGCACATGGCCTTTCTGGAAGACAGTAACAGACACAGAAGGTTGGGTGGGCCCCAGGATTTCCATCCAGGGCATCCATGCCTGGAGATGTGACAGTACAAGTCTTCAGGGATGAAAAAGGAGTTAGGAAGCAAGGTAGAGCATTTCATGTGAAAGGCAGCAATCTGGATTCCATTTCTACCTGGTAGTTGCATGACCTTCAGCAAATAATTCAATATTATAAGCCTCAGTTTCCTTATACTTACAAGGAGGTTAATACATGACCCCTACAAAAATTAATATTAGTTACCCTACAAGGCTCATTTTAGTGCAGAATCTGGCATGTAGAAGATACCCAGCCAATGGCAGCTATTGTTTGTCCTGTGAGCAGCAAAGAGCCAAGGGAAGCTTTTTCCTGATAAGCTTCAGGGAAATTAATCATTGAGTGGTAGGAAAGACGGATTGGAGTGGGACAAAAGGGAAGGCCAAGAGATTGGTTTAGAGACAGTGGTTCATGAGCAAGGCAATGCTGCTTTAAGATGTAGTAGAGACAGCAGAGATCGAAAGGGAGAAAAAGATAAGGCAGTGCAACCCAAAGGACCTAGCAGAGCAGAAGTTGGTAACTAATGGAAGAGCAAGGAATCACCAGTGGCTCCACACTTTTAAGGAAGAGAGGGTGAGCGAGAGAATAGAAGAGGGAACTGATGGGGAAAAGCCTGAGTGATTCCCCATGGAAACCATGATCTTCATAAAATGCAAATGTTATGCAGTCAATAAACAAACATATCCTGAGCACCTACAATGCAGCAGGTACTAAAGATATAAATATGAACAGATATAGTTCCTGCTCTCAGGGACTTTGTGGAAGCAAAGATATCAACAAATGCATGCAATGAAGGATAACAGATGCCTTTATCCACAGTATCTGTCCAAGTAGACTGCAGAATAAGGAGGTAATTGATTTCACCAAGCTTCGTGGAGGAAGTTACTCATGAACTGAGCAGATGTTCTCCAGGGAGATTGTAGGGGGGAGATATCCTTCATATGGATAGGAAAGCATGAGAAAAATACCAATGAGAGAAAAAGCATGACATGCTGGAGACTTCCAAGTCACAGTGATACTCAGGGCTGTCAGAGCCAGAGCTGAGGCTGGAGATAGCTAAAGGAACCATTGCATGAACAGCAGTACAGGTTGTAATTTGGAAAGAGGGAAGGATCAAGAATATTGTATTGGAGGTGTTAGACCCCTAAAGGAGAAGGAGATGAGAGTTCAGGACATGGGCTTAAAGTCAGATATATATGGGGAGAGTTCAGATGGGAAAAATCAAGGACTATGCTTTCTTTAAGATAGAGGGAAGGGCCAGGCGCGGTGGCTCACGCCTGTAATCCCAGCACTTTGGGAGGCCGAAGCGGGTGGATCATGAGGTCAGGAGATCGAGACCATCCTGGCTAACAAGGTGAAACCCCGTCTCTACTAAAAATACAAAAAATTAGCCGGGCGCGGTGGCGGGCGCCTGTAGTCCCAGCTACTCGGGAGGCTGAGGCAGGAGAATGGCGTGAACCCGGGAAGCGGAGCTTGCAGTGAGCCGAGATTGCGCCACTGCAGTCCGCAGTCCGGCCTGGGCGACAGAGCGAGACTCCGTCTCAAAAAAAAAAAAAAAAAAAAAAAAGATAGAGGGAAGGAAGAAAAAAAAAATAAAGACAGTTTAAAGTAGGGAGTGGGGAGCTAATAAGCATGGGAGATCCACCTTGACCTTTGCATAAAAGCCAGAAGCAAGGGCATTAGTTAAAACAAAAAAAAGGATGGGCAGGGGCAGGGAGAGCCAGCCAAGCTAGGTTGATGAAGGAAAGAAGGAGCACAACTTACTGATATCAGGAATGAGAGAGGGATTATTACTACCATCCCTAGAGATATTAGAAGGATAATAAGAGAACAATAATAACAACTTAGACAAATTGGACACATTCTTTGAAAAACAAAAGTAACTAAAACTGACACAAGATAAAATAGAAATTTCAAATAGCCCTGTATCTATTAAATAAAGTAAATTTTTAAATCAAAAACCTTTCCACAAACAAAATTCCAATAATAGATGGTTTCACTATGAATTTCATCAAACATTCAAGAAAGAAATAATGCCCATCCTAAACAAACTAAGAAAATAGAAGAGAATGTTATGGTGCCAGATTAACCCTGATCCTAAAATCTGATGGACACATTACAAAAAAAAAAAGAAGGAAAAAAATGCCAGACCAATATTTCTCACTAATGTAGATAAAAAATTATTAACAAATCAAATCCAGCAATATATAAAAAGAATAATTAATTATAATCACCTAGGTTTATCCCAGGAATAGAAGATTGTCTGAACACCCAAAAACTAATTAATATAATTTATTACATTAATAGAATAGAACAGAAAAAATCATAGAATTGTTTTTATTAAATTTAATACTTGTTCATCGTTTTAAAAAATAAACTGAGCAAATTGAGAAGAAAAGGAACTCAGAAAATTAGGAATTTCTTCAATCTGATAAAATACATCTATGAAACACCTACAGCTAACATCATATTTAATGATAAACAATCAGATGCATTCCCCCTGAGATCAGAAATAAAGCAATGATGTCCACTTTCATTATGTCCAATAACATTTTATTGGAAGTTCTAGCCAGAGCAATAAGGCACGAAAAAGGAACAAAAGGCACATGCACAGATGACTGATTGTTTATGTAGAAAATCCTAAGTGATATACAAAAGAGCAATTAGAACTAATAAGTGAATTTAGCAAAGTCCCAGGATAAATGGGCATTACACATAAATCAATTATGTTTCCATATACCAGCAGCAAACTACTTGAAAATGAAATTTTCAAAAATTCTCTGCACAATCAGGCAAAAAAAAAATACTTAGGAATAAATTTAGCAAAAGATTGGCAATACTTACATACTGAAAACTAAAAGAATTACCGAGATTAATTAAGGAAGACTTAAATGAATGCTTCTGTACTAGAAAACTCAATGTTGTTAAGATGTTAATTCTCCCCAATCAATAACTCCCCTGTTAATTCTATGGATTCAAGATAATCTCAATCCCAATTTCCATCAGGCTTTATTTGTAGAAATTCATAGGCCCATTCTAAAATGGAAATGAAAATGCAAAGAACCTAGGATATTCAAGGCAAACTTGACAAAGAAAAACAAAGTTGGAGGACTTAACAAGACTTCAAGTCTTGTTGTAAAGCTAGTATACTGTCACCAAGACAGGTTGGTAGTATAAAGGGAGATATAATTTCATGGGAGATAATAGGGAGCCCAGAAATAAACCCACATTTATATGTTCATTTGATTTTCAATAAGAAACCAATGTAATCCTATAGGTAAAACAATCTTTTCAACAAATGTGGCTGGAACAACTGGTCATCCATACGGAAAAATATGAATTTTGACCAGTATCTCACATAATGCATAAAATTTAATTTAAAAATGAGTCATGTTTCTCAACATACAAGCTAAAAGTACAAAACTTCTAGAATAAAACATAGTTTAGAAAAATGAAGGACTAGTCACAAACTAGGAGGAAATATTTGTGAAAAATATATATTAATAGACATATCAAGAATGTACAAAAGAATTTCTAAAACACGATAATAAAAACACAACTCAGTAAGGAAAAGGACAAAATATTTAAGTGGACATTTCACAATAATGTATGTATACTAAATATATACCTACTCTATGACCCAGCGATTCCACTTCTAGGTATTTGCCCAAAACACATTAAAAGATATGCCAACCGAAAGACTTGTACAAAAATATTCATAGCAACTTTAACCACAGGAGCTGCTAACTGGAAAAAAACAAAAACAACCTGTCCATGAATAGGAGAGTGGATAAACAAATTGTGATCACTACTCCATGAATCAAAAGGAAGAAACATGCAAAAACATGGGTGAATCTCAAAAACACGATGACGCTGGGTGCAGTGGCTCATGTCTCCCAGTGCTTCAGGAGGCCAAGGCAGGAGGATTGCTTGAGCCCAAGAGCTCAAGACTACATAGTGAGACCCCGTCTCTACAGAAAAAAAAAAAATTAGTCAGACATGGTGGCATACACCTGTAGTCCTAGCTACTCAGGAGGCTGAAGTAGGAGGATCACTTGAGCCCAGGAGGCTGAGGCTGCAGAGAGCCGAGATTGCACCACTGCACTCCTGTCTGGGCAACAGAGTAAGACCCTGTCTCAATAAATAAATAAATAAATAAATAAAAGCATGATAAGTACATACTAGACAATTTCACTTATATAAGATCCTAGAAAGGGGTTTTTTTAAAAATGAGAACTGTGATTGCCTCTGCAAAGTGAGAACAGTGATTAAAAGGGGCATGAACAGATTTTCTGTGTGATAGTAATGTCCAATATCTTGAGAGAGATTTGGGTTACACATGTGTAAGCATTTGTTAAATCTCAAAGGCTACACTTATAATTTGTGTGTTACTGATGTCAATTTAACCTTCCCACCTCACACATACAGAACTACAAGCAAATATTGAACTCTACTTAAGGGCAAAGTATAGCAAACATCTACATCTTACTTTAAAAAATACCAAAAATAAGACTGAAGAATAGATATATACATAGGTATTTGATGAAAGACATAAGGCAAAATGTTGACAATTGTAGAATCCAGATACTGGGTATATGAGTATTTAAAATTCTTTCAATTGTTCTGCATGTTTTAAAATCTCATTTAAAAAGGCTTTGGGAAGAGGCAAGTCAGGAGAAGGGGTGCAGGGCTGGTCAAGAATGGGAAAAAAAAAAACTCAGAATAGCCTTGATATGAGGGCAGAAATGAGTGGTCAGGATTTCCCAGCAGGAATGATGGCTCAGTTAGGGTTCTATAGCCCTTATGTGTAAGGAAGTCAGTCAGTATGTATCCCAGAAGTTCTCCAGCCAACAATCACCCCCAGCCAGCTTGATCACCCCTATCCAGTTGGACATCTAGGAAAGAATGGTTCTATCACATCTGCATCTCCTGATGGAGAGTGCCTCCTCCATCAGACGAGAGGTTCCTCCAGGGCAGGGACTTAGTCCCCCACATCACATAGGAGTTTACTTTAAGCAGGACCGAGGTCTCCCCCATTACACTAGGAGCACCCTTAGGATAAAGACTATGTCTTTCCGTCAACTTGGGAGCTTCCTCGGGACAGGACTAATTCCATCATCAGAAGGCTTCTCTGGATGTATCTGCCATCTGGTAGGGGCTTCTCAGAGGGCTGGCAATAGTTTATCTGTGTGTCCCCCATGACTCCCACATGGGCTCTGCAGGCTGAATGCACTTAGAGAGAGTGAGGGAAAAGGGATTGACAGTACCCAAACAGGAGCACTCTATCTTCAATCATCCCAGGAGCTGACACTTATGGGTTTCACATTTAGCCAGGAAAAAGCAGCATTAATTCACTGTGGTGACTGAGATTTTACACATCCTAACGTGAAGAAATTCTAACTTGAGGTTCTCCCAGCAACTGTAGCTGGGCAACATAACCCCCAGGCACTTGCAGGAGGTCACAGCATTCAACAGCTCACTGGGCAGGGGAGAGCACAGCTGCCTTCACACACCTGGGTCCACTGGAACTGAGGATGGGTGGCACCAAGAGATCAGGGAATGGGAGACAGTGCTGAGGACCCAGGGAGAGAATGCCTACCATCCCAGTTTTCCAGGTTTCTGTGTGAGGGATGGTTCAAGCAAAATAAAGTGAATCGTATGGAGAAGTGTAAGCAGGAGATGAGAAAAGAAGAGCCAAAAGTGTGTTCTCTACTTTCCCTCTTTAGAACACACCATAGGATAAGTAGTGCATCTCTCCCATATCTTTCTCTCTCTCCCATCTCTCTCTCTCTCTTTCTCTCTCTCATATGCATACACAGATGTACAGCTTAAAGTATGACTCATGTTCACAAGAGTAAGTTCCTTAGCAACTGATGACACATTTCTAAGATGTTGGATGATTAAACACCTAGAGTCGACACCTGGCTGAGAAATGGAACAAACTTGGTTATTATATGGGATATGAGATATATTTATCTTCCATCCTTCAAGCCAGTTTCCCATGGGCTCCCCTTCTCACCAGACCCTTATAAGTTTGACTAACTTCCAGATTCTCTTTGAGACTCAAGTCCTATCATGATAACACAGCTTGTTTTTATTATTCTGGGTAAGGTGGAGAGGGGGCCATCAAGCCAGGCCATGAGGATTAATCACTCATCTTTTCTGTCAGATTTTTTCAAAGGGTCATTTTATATTCCTTCCAATGATTGTAGACTTGTAGACTAGACAACTTAAAGGCTCTTTTTACCTAAAAACATCCAACTTCTGCTAAAAGAAACTTAAGTACATCTCTTGGCTCAACCTAAGTAAGAGAAATATATAGTAATCCCACCCATCTCTCAAAATGTATTAAAACTAGGATGAGGAATAGTGGGCAAGAAGGCAATTCAACATGCAGGTGTTGGAGCGAGACACGAACACCTACTTTCACCACTGCTATTCATCATTGTACTACTAGAGCAATGAGACAAGAAAAATAAAGTCATCCAATTGGAAAGCATGAAGTAAAGCAATCTCTATTCATAGAAGATATAATCCTATATATAAAAACCCCAAAGAATCCACAAGAGCATTATAAGAGCTAATAAAAGAATTAAAAATGTTGAAGGTATAAGATCAATATGCAAAAATCAGTGGTGTTTCTATACATCTGCAATGAAGACAGGGAAATTAAGAAGGCAATACCATTCACAATAGCATCTAAAACAATAACACTTCTAGGCATAAATTTAACCAAGGAGGTGAAAGACCTCCACAGTGAACTCCAGAAAACATTGTTAAAAGAAATTAAAGAAGACATAAATAAATAAATGGAAAAGCAACCCATGCTCATGGTTAGGAAGACAATATTGTCAAATGGCCTACACTACTTGAAATGATCTTCAGATTCAATACAATCGCTATCAAAAACATCCAACAGACATCTTTTCTTTATTACTATCTTTTGGAGAAATGAAAAAGCCAATCCTCAAATTCACATGGAACTGCAAGGGACCTTGAATAGACAAAATAATATTGATGGAAAACAAAGTAGGAAGGCTAGCACTTTCCAATCTCAACACTTACTGCAAAGCTATGGTAATCAAAAGAATGTAGTACTGGTATAAGGACTGTCATATAGGCCCATGGAATAGAACTGAAAGTCCAGAAAATAAACTCATATTTCTATGGCCAATTGATTTTTTTACAAGGGTGCCAAGTCTTTTCAATACAGAAAAAAGAGTCTCTTTAACAAGTGGTGCTAGAACAACTGGATTTCCACATGCAAAAGAAAAGCTGGACCCCTATCTCATAGAATATACAAAAATTAACTCTAAGTAGATCAAGAACTTAAATGTAATAAAAATATAAAATTCTTGGAAGAAAACATAGGGAAAAATCTTGGACTTGGCAATGGATTCATGGGTATAGTACCAAAACTATAAGCAAGAGAAGAAAAAAGTAGATACATTGGACTTCATCAAAGTTAAAAATAATTGTGCATTAAAAGACATTATCAAGAAAGTGAAGACAATCTACTAAATGTAAGAAAATATTTGCATATCATTTGATAAAGGCTTGCTATCCAGAATACATAAAGAATTCCTACACTCAATAATAAAAAGACAAATGATCCAATTAAAAAATGGACAAAATATTTGAAGAGACTTTAGAGAGCATATAAAAATAACCAATAAGGACATGAAAATATGCTCAATATCACTAGTCATCAGGCAAATGCAAATTGAAACCACAGTAATATACCACTGTACACATACCACAATAGCAATAACAAAAAATAGTAGTGGAAAATAGCAAGTGTGATTGAAAATGTGGAGAAATCAGAACCCTCATGCATTGCTGGAAGGAATGTAAAGTGGTGCAAACTTTGCAGCAAACACTATACTGATTCCTCAGAAAAGCTAAACATAGAATAACCATACAATCCAACAACTTCACTACTAGGTATATATCCAAAAGATGGAAACAACCTGAGTCTATCAACAGATAAATAGATAAGCAAAATGTGGTATAAACAGGCAATGTTAATATGACTCATCTATAAAAGGAAATGAAGTTCTGGTATATATTACAACAAGGAGCAACCTTGGAAAAATTACTTTAAGTGAAATAAGCCAGACACAAAGAATAAATACTAAATGGTTCCATTTATTTGAAATATCTATAATAGGTAAATTTGTAGAGACAAAAAGTAGATCAGAGGTTGCCAAGGGCTGAGTGAAGGAGAAAATGAGAAGTCATTGCCTAATGGTAGAGAGTTTCTGTTGGGACATTGGTTATAGATAGTGATACTTGCACAACACTGTGAATGTAATTGATGCCACTAAATCATACACATAAAATGGTTAAAATCACAAATTTTAAATTTTTGCCACAGTTACTATATGTTGCCACACAAAAAAATGTAGTGATAAGTATTCCCTATGGACAGTTGCTGATATCAGTGCTTCCACTGATAGCAATATTAAACCCAAGAGCGGTGGTAAGGTAGAGAAACTGAGCCAGGGCTCCCACTTTAACCTGGGTTCTCAAAATGGTTAAATTGGTTCCAGAACAACAACATTCCCCTGGCTCCTGAAGAAGCAAATAAGTCTTCTTTGGAAAAAAGCATCTATAATTTAGGTTCCTCACATTCCCACACATCATGTGTACCCAAACATGAATTCACAAAGATTACAACTGTATAGGGAAATAAACCACTATGAGTGAGAATCAGCACAGGCAACCAACAACAAATTCAGGCTCTCAAGGGCTTCAGGTATTGGAGTTATTTATTAGAAGACAAGCTTCATAACAGCACGCATTTTTCTATTTAGTTTACTGCTGATTATCAATCTCTATAACAGTAACTGGTATATAATAGGCACTAAACAAACATTTGATGAATATTCAGACATAAAAACCAAATATGTATAAAACATTTGAAGAAATTTGAAAATCAGAATAATGAGCAAACAGTAATGGACCATAAAAATTATTGGAAATATTTATAAAAAGAACCAAATAGGAGCAAGGTATGGTGGCTTACATCTGTAATCCCAACACTCTGGGGGATGAAGGTGGGAAGATCTCTTGAGGCCAGCAGTTCAAGTCCAGCCTGGGCAACAGTGCAAGACCCTGTCTCTAAAAAAGAACTAAATAGTACTTTTAGAAATGAAGGGGATATAATAAATTAGACACACTGAAGAGATAATTTAGTAGACTGGGCAATCAGACTGAGGAAATTATTCAGAAAGATAAGATGTTGTAAAATAATGAAAGAGAGATTAAGAGATATGGAAGATAGAATCAAAAGAGATCTAGCATGCGTTTATCAGAGACCCAGATGGAAATAATAGAGTATCAAAGAAGAGGCCCAGATGGAGAGAATAGAAAGAATCAAAGAAAGAAAATATATGAATAAAAATAACTGAAATTTTTCCACAAGTGATAAAAGAAATGTATCCAAAGTATAGGAAGCACAATATATATCAAGTAGAATTTTTTTTAATTTATGTTTACACACATCATTGTGAAATTACAGGATACCAAAATGGTGTCCAGAGAGAAAAGAAATCAGATTCAAGAGCCGGAGAGAAAAGACAGATCATATATAACAGAGCTAGAGTTAGGCTGACAGTGGACTTCTCATAAACAACAGAAACCAGATGACAGTGGAGTGTCTTTAAAATTTCAAGAAAAATAATCATCAATATAGAAATGTGTATCCTGCAAAACTGTCTTTCAAAAGCAAACATGCAATAAATACATCTGTAGATGACCAAAATCTGAGATAATTTACCACCAACAGAACTTCACCAAACGGACTTCTCAAAGATCTACTTCAGGAAAAAAGAAAATGATTCCAGAAGGAAAACCTCAAATGCATAGTAGAAAGGGGAGGAAAGAAATTGGCAAAGATAAACATTAGTAAGTAAATTGGTAAATTAAAACATTGTCTCTTGGGAGCAATTACTATTCTAATGTCCAATGTTGGGACTAAAACAAAAGACAGACCAAAAGGACTGAAAAAAATAGCAATTCTCTTCTGTCGGCTGTCTGAAGTGAAGAAGGTCAACAATATTGCTGTGTACATAGCTGAAACTTCAGAAGTTGAGAAAAACATCAGTTTGAGTGACTAACTCTGAGCCTGTTTCTCTATGAGGAAGCCCATAATGGACATTATATTCACATCTCTTCATTGGACTGTGGTGAAGTTCACCTTTAAAAATTTCAGCTTCTAGATGGGCCTCTTGCTCCACTCAAAATTGACTGACTTAAGTCAGTCAAAATTCCTGACTTAAGACATCATCTGAACATGTTTAATAATAAATCTAATTGTGTATATTGGCCGTCTATACTGACCACTTTTGCATTGTGCTTTTTATTGATACATGTGTATTTTACTTCCAAACCTTCCTTTTTGAAAATTAACAAAAATTTAACCTTTTAAAGTACTTTAAAAATAATAAAAGTATATGTACTTTTATGAGGTGATAGACATGCTATGTACTCCTAACAAAAGTGTGGTCTACTGACCACCCACATCACATTCACCTGGGTCACTTGTTAAAAACACCACTACATCCCTGATGAATCAGAATCTCTGCAGTTGGGAACCAGCAACAAGCATGTTCAAAAAAAAAGCTCCTTCAATTATGCTTCCAGCTAAAAAATTTGGGACCCATAACTGTAGGTGATAAAGGAGAGAATACCATTAGGAGTAGAGAAGAGACAGTAAAGAGGTGAAATTAGTCCTTGAGAGGCAGCTTTGGGTACACATCTGTCACCACCAGAGCTGTTAAAGACTTGCTGGAGATCTCACTACGAAATGAGCTCACCCGTTCTTAGTGCCACTTCTCTCCCAACCCATCCCAAACCCCTTTCCCCAACACACACACACACACACACACACACACACACACACAAATGGATAATTTGTTCTGCAATGTCAAGAGAAGACCAAAACTATAAGAAAGCAAACAACTACTCATAGGCAGCACCTGCAAAATGAATAACAACAATAGCCACATTGGGGGAAGGGGTGTAGATTGTGTACGTCCTTGGATTTTATTCTTAAGTAAGATAAAAGTTATTGGTAAGTTTTGAAGAGGTAAAATGTGAACCATCGTATGTATTTATAGAATGACTTTGGGGACAAGGGGAGAAGCAGAAATCAGTTAGGAGGCTAACGAAATCACCAGGTGAGAGGTGATGGTGGATGCACCCAGGATGCAGCAGTGGAAGTGGTAAGAAGTAGCCAGATTCTGAACATGTTTTGTAAATAAACACAATAGGAATTTTTAACAGAATAAAACTAGTGTGTGTGAGAAGGAAAGGTGTTGAGGATGACATCAAGAATTTTAGTCCGAGCAAAGGATGGATGGAGTTGACACTTACGGAGATGGGAAAGACTGTGGGAGAAGCGTGGTTAGAAGAGGGAATATCAAGAGTTTCTTTAGGGATGTGTTAAGTTCAATTTAAGATGTCTAAGAGGAGATGCTGGGTAGGCAGCATCTGGTATACAAGAGTAGGCAGCTGGGGATATGAGTGAGTCTGGAGTCAGGTATGTGTCAGAGATTATAGATTCAGGACTGTTAAGATACTTGTCCAAGGTCACACAGCGAGAAAGTGGCAGAACCCAGAACTCAGTCCTGCAGCATCCGACATCAAGGCCTGGATTCTTAACCTCTATGTTATGCTGCTTCTCCAGGAACCCAAGGTGAACCAAGACCTAGTTTCTGAGAGAAGAGAACAGAGTAGAAGTTTTCAAACTGCAGACCTATGGCCTCGGTGACTATAATTCTTCCTGTCCCAACAAGAGTTGTTTCTAGGTTACGACTTTGTCTTTACTCCCTTTCAGCATGTACTTGCCTTTCGAAGAAATCATTTCCCAGGAAATGGGCACCCCATGTATTTCTGTGCATGTGGATAGAGTGGGAGGAAGGGAGAGTTGAGTTTTTGAGGGCTTTTTTCCCCCTTTCTTTCTTTTCTCCTTTTTTTTTTTTTTTTTTTTTTTTGGAAACTGTCTGGGGGCTGTGGTGTTGCTGCTGGTGGTGGCAGCAACTGCTACAATCAGAGCTATTTTGAACCAAAGAACTAATTTACTGCATGAATGACTTTAGCTCAAAAGAAGAAATAAGGACGATCAGGAGTCCTAAGGGAAACGAATAATAGGGTAATTTACACGGGGAGATGAGGGAGGTGAGAGGAACACACAGGGTAATTCTTTGGCTAATCTTTATTTTCTATTTTTGCCCTTTCTCCCTCTGCCTCTCCAGGGGCAGATCCTCAGCTCTGAGATGCTTCTGGCCATCCGCAGGATTGATACCTGAAAAGGATGAAAGGGCAAGGGAGATGGGGCTACTTAGAGTGGAGAAGAGAAGGTCAAAACGCAGTTTCATGTCCATTTTCTAAAGCCAGCTTCTACCAGGGAGATGGTCTGTGAGAGGCCACCATTAAGCCTTGGGACAGGTGAGGGATTGCAAAGGACAATATCATGTGCCCAACTGAGTGCCATATACACCTGTACCCACCAGCTTGGGATGGCCCCAAACTAAGAGTTCACTATTACCCCCTTTCTTAATTTCCCAGCACAGAGAGAATCGAGAATAGCAGGACTCTTGGAGAGAATTTAGTCCAAGGCCTATATATTCCATGGCAAGGAAACCCCAAAGGCCTGGATTCTAGATCTTACTCCAGCACATACTAGCTATTTGACCTTTGTCGGACCCTGAAACCCAGAGTTTCCTCATATATGCAATCAAAATTGTCATTTTCTTCACTGAGTAATAAGGATCAAAAGGCCGGGCACCATGGCTCATGCCTGTAATCCCAGCACTTTGGGAGGCTGAAGCAGGCGAATTACTTGAGGTCAGGAGTTTGAGACCAGCCTGGCCAACATGGTGAAACCCTGTCTCTACTGAAAATACAAAAATTAGCTGGGCATGGTGGTGGGCACTTGTAATCCCAGTTACTCGGGAGGCTGAGGCAGGAGAATTACTTGAACCTAGGAAGCGGAGGTTGCAGTGAGCTGAGATTGTGCCGGGACACCCCAGCCTGAGTGACAGAGTGAGACTCTGCCTCAAAACAAAGAAAAAAACAAATAAAAAAAACAATGTCTGACAAAGCACTTTGTAAACTGCAAAGCACCCTGTAAAGGTGAGTTATTGTTATTGGTACTTGTCAATGAAGGAAACTGAGTCCCAGAGGCATTATGTGACTCATCCAAAGTCACATTGCAAATAAATGCAGAATAAAGACTTGAACCTAAGCCTCCAGTGTTCCTTCCACAGGAGAAGTAGTGTGGCATTATGGTTAAGGGTATAGACCTTAGAGCTGTGAAAGAAGAAATTAGTCATAACTCTTGTCATGAATCAAGGCAGGCTTGATTCGAGGCTATTGTAATTGGTATAGGGACGACTGCCATGGAGTTTTGCAGTAGAGGAGTGAGATAGGGCTCAACTTCCAATACAACATGAAAATGTGGGAACTTATAGCCAAAGAGTGGGATGGAGAGGGGTGATTGATGGGTGAAAAATCACTAAGTAGACATTTGAAGGGGAAAGAGGGATTTCTGGCTAAACCAACCTAACCAGATTTTTGCTTGAGGCAGGCCAGAATGACCAGATATCAACTGGGGAATGGTAGAGGATGAGGAATTTGCTCAGATATAGATGGTGGAGGATCTTGCTAAACCGACTTAGCAGGATTCTTGCTAAAATCAGGCAATGCAAAGACAAAACCAAAGTCCAAAAGTCAAGGCCTGGTTGGGAAGAGGACTCAGGGGAGCCTGACTTAAGTTTGTTCAAGGAGGGGCTCTTCATCAGAGCCAGGCTACCTGGTTCACCGTTTGCCAACCATGGGACTTTGGGTAAGTTGGTTACCATCTTCAACCTACTTCATAGAGTTGTATGAGTTATATGCATACATGTAATGTATACATGGCTACATATATACACGGCTACAAGTATACATGTGCAGCATTTAGAAAATGCCTGCAAATGATGTCTAATAAATGCTAGATGTTGATCTTATTCAGGAAAATGGACTAAACCCAGGGAGCTTCAAAGCATGTGGAGATTCTCCCCTTATGGATTCTCTCAAAGACCAAGAAAAGAAATGAGAGTCAGATGCCACAGTAGGAGTTGAGGTTCAGCTGACATGGAGCTTCATGTATGGTAAAGCCAAACTACCTTGCCTTGGAGTCAGGAGTCCTAAGTTCTTGTCCCAGCTCTGCCACCTAAGGCAGACCCGGGACAAGAGCATGTCTAAGGCTCAGGTGCCTTGTCTATAAAATCAATCTAACAATCATTTCTCAACCTGTCCATACTACAGGGCTTTGGTTAGATCCAAGTCAAAAACTCATGAACTGTAAGGTTCTGTGAACATATTAATATTATTTTTGGCAGTACAGCTCTCTGAAACACGTTTTACAGGTGTGTGCATTGGGGATCAGGGGTGACTGGGAAAGGTACAGCATTTTCTGCCTCTGGAAAGCATGAACAATAGTCAGCCTCCAGAGTGTGTTGGGTTGCAGTTCCTTCTGACAGTGAAAGATCTTCAGGGTCTTTTGTGCACAATCCTAGCCAGGTACCACCCAAGAACAGACATGAGGGGGATGGAACAGGACAAATTAGTTGCATACTTTACACCATCCCCCAGCCCCTACAATGCTCCTACAGGTGAAACCAGGTTAATTGCATATATTTACATCTTTCAAAGCCTTCTGTCAGACACTCCCTTCAGAAAAACTGCCTAGAGTTTTCTAGCTGATGATCCTCTTATCCTTCCCAGGATGCTTTTTTTCCTTGCATACGTGGTTAACTCTCAATTAAATGGAGCAATGGAACATAGAGGAGTAGAGGGAAGCCACACATAGCCCTGAGTCACAAATAAAACAAGACTGCAGTAACCTTTCATTATATGTTATCAGATTACTGTGGGGAAGAAGAGCTCTAGACCTGGGGGTGCTCACTTCTCAGAAGGAGTTTGGAAACTGGGCCAGGGATGATGTGTATAATTACACAAAGGAATTAACCTTGGGGTCAGGAAGCTAGGGGTAGAGATAGAAAAGGGGACAGAAGTTGTTCCAGTTGTGAAGCAAGTAGGAGCCTATCCGACCCTCTGACATGGCATCACAGACATTTGCTCTTCACAAAGCAGGTTTCAATATACACTAATCACCTCTGCTAAGCCTCTTTGGGGGAGGTGAGCACATCTCAGCCTCTAAAGTATTTTAGCCACAGGTAATGCATTCATTAACCCTCATATAATGATAATAACCATGGTTTTGTTACTACATCTAGCACATTATATTGCAATTTGTTACCTTTACAGGTCCCACACCAGATTAGAAACTCTTTGAGGGAAGGGACTGTGTCAAATTCACTTTACACCCCTTGTGTCCAGAGCCTCACATACCATAGCTGCTTAGCAAAACTGTGTGGGGCAAATATTTGTTGAATTTACAGAGTTGAATGTGTCATTAGAATGCAGCTTATTGCCTTTTCCGGAAGTAGGGAGCAGCAGGAGTTTTACCCCATAAATCAGTCACTGTCTTATGTGCTGAATGGATCAGGGGAGGCCCTAGAAGCCATCAGCAGATTGGAAGGAAGGAGCCTAAACTTTAAGACCAGACTCAGAGCTGAGTTCTGAATGCTAACAGTGACCATGACTTACTGAATCAAGATTTTCTGGGGGGATAGGAAAGGAGAACCCAAGGAATACTTCAAAACATCATGTTTCCTAAATCCCTACGTAAGCACCACCAATCTGATGTAGATACCGGCACCATCATTCTTGGAGGCAGAAGCATGGACAAACTGACTTACGTCCTTGGTCATGGAATTCAACCTTGGCCACAGTTTTATGTACACTGACCTTCTCTGTCCCAGACCTCTTTGTTAATCCACTATAATTAAGCAGCCACAAATGCTGCATAAAGAGCCAGTTACTACCATAAACACAAGATCAGGAGTTATTCTCTGTTACCTGTACATAAATGTTCCCACTTAATGTGTAACAGTACCTATTCCATGATTGAATGGACTCTAGGTTTATGGCAGTAGCTGTTGCGTGCTGTAGCCTGTGGTTTTATGGCCCTAATTCCATAATAAGCCTTAGTTTTAATTTTTCTCCTTCTACCCTGTAGCCAGAGTCTCCTGGGTGTGGGGGAAGGGAGAGGGCTTCTGCCCAATGGCTCTAGGCAACCTGTCACAGAAAAAAATCTTCGCTAGAGCCAAATCAACCCACCTGCTCCTCCATCAAAGAAGAAGGTCACCTACCCCGTGGGGAGGAGGCCTGAACAGCCCAGATGCCCTCCATGTCAGAGGTCTGAGCTTTGAAAGTGGCAAATTTGTCCTGTAAATGTGCCAGGGCAGTGCCAGCTGTTCACTGCCCCAGGAGATGTCGTAGCTGGGGCAAAGGGAAGGAAGGAGTCAGGAAAACAGGCCAGGATTAGGAGGTCTGCCAGTTGGAGGACCTGAACCTAGCCATAGGGCACAGCATCATTAAGCAGGAACCAAGGGAAGGGGGTGTGCCACAAGCTCCATCGCTGTCCATGGTGCTGACTCATGCTTGCAAACTAGGTCCTGATTGTTTCTCCGAACCCTAGGATTCTGGAGAATCCTGTCCAACCTTCTTTTGATTATATTTCCTTTTCTGATGACAGTTTAGCATTTTTACACTGCTGCAGAATAAGCAGAATCATGACATGTGTTTCGCAATTGATGCAATTGGTTTCAAGTAATGTTTACAGTTCTATCATATTTCCAACATTTACAAGAAAGTTCCCTTGGGCATTTTAGGTGATCCTCTCCCTAAAACACCATTGCTATTCACATAATCTCAGCACACAGTGTAGAGGTGACAAGTGGAAAGAGGATAGCACCAGCAGGAGCTACTAGGTGAGTAAAGTTGATCCCAGCAGGACGCCTCCCCACCTGCAAATTTACTATTCTAGGGAGCCACCAAACAACCCTTGTGGAGCACAACATGTTGTTTGAACCATTCTAATTTTGTAAAGTCACTTAGCATGACAAAAACTCTTCCAAGAGACATATTTAAGAAGTAGGTGGCAAGAATAAAAAGGGAGAATCTCCATCCCAGCTCCACTCTCCAGAGAAGAAAAAGTAATGGACATACCCTAAGAAGAAATCTGGTATTTTACCTGCTATAACAAAGACAGGGGCTGCAGATGAGGAAAAACAGGAAATTTGGAAGAACTCAATATGAGATTATTTTAGGCCCATTTTCTTTCTACTCCTGGACCTGTATGCATTTTGGAGTGGGAGAAGTATAGGTCTCTTGTTACCTGGTGAGTCTGGGCCAAGCATTTAATCTCTCTGTACCTCTGCTTCTGTATCTATCAAGCTGATAACAACAATAATCCTTTGCTATGGTTTGAATGTTTTTGTCCTCTTCCAAAATTCATGTGTTGGAATCTCAATCCCCAATGCAATAGTGTTGGGAGGTGAAGCGTGTTGGGAGATGCTTAGGTTATGATAGCTCTGCCCTCATGAATGGATTAATGCCCTTAGAAAAGGGGTTGACAAAGGAAATTATCTCACTCTCTTTTTCCCTCCAACCTTCTGTTATGTGGGCACACAGTATTCCTCCCCTCCAGATGATGCAGCATTCAAGATACGTTCTTGGAAGCAGAGAGCAGATACTCATTAAACACTGAACCTGCCAATGCCTTGTTCTTGGACTTCCCAGCCTCCAGAACTGTAAGAAATATATTTATGTTCCATATGGATCACCCAATCCATGGTATTTTATTATGGCAGCACAAAGAAATTAAGACATCTTTCTTCACAGGGATCTTAGGAGGACTAAATGAAATAATAAACGTAAAACACCCAAAGCATGGTGAAGACTCAATAGATGATAGATTCTCCTCTACCCTCCCTTCTGTATCTTATTTTTCTCAAATATTCAATGAGACTTTGAACACCACCTCGGAAATCCAAGAAGGCAAAACCCACTTGAACTTCAGGTTACCGAAGCTCAACCCCCTTGCCTGCTCTAAATCCAGGAATAGAGGGGAAAGGTAAGACTTTTCAGGTCAATTCTCTTGTTAAGATATCTGGCCAGGTGTGGTGGCACATGCTTGTAAACCCAGAACTCTGGGAGGCTGAGGCAGGTGTATCACTCAAGCCCAGAAGTTCAAGGCCAGCCTAGGTAACATAGTGAACCTCTGTCTCTATGAAAAATACAAAAAATAGCCAGGTGTGGTGGCATGTGCCTGTGGCCCCAGATAAGGAGTCTGAGGTAGGAGTATCACCTAAGCCCAGGGAAGTCAAGACTGCAGTGAACTATGATTGCACCACTGGACTCCAGTCTGAGTGACAGAGTAAGACTCTGTATTTTTTTAAAAAAAGATATCTGAGGGAAACCTTGAGGTCATGGAGATCAGCTGGTGATAAGAGGACCATTGCCAGCCCCATGGAATCACACTCACACTCATCCCATAAAGAAGAAGGAGGAGCATATGACTAAATAACTTGCTCCCTGTCTTCTCCAGTTCCCCACAATTCCTCTTCATGACCCCTCTGCCATAGACACAGGAAATTTTGGGAAAACAGGCATCAATGGCAGTCCTGATCAGTGCAACCAGGGAGTAAATATCACAATAAAGTGATAGGACTGGACTAAATGTCCTCTAATCTCCTTTAGTCATGATCCTACTATATGTATATTCCGACTTGCACAAGCTGCTTGGAGGCAGAATTTCCATCTTAGATTTTGGCTATGTCACCCACAGCTCTGATTATAGACTTACCACATGCATGCACGAAATTTCAAAACATCATGTGGTTTACCATAAATATATGCAACTTTTACTTGTCAATTTAAAAATAAATAAAGTTAAAATTTTAAAAACCATGACAACTGACAAATGGGGGGAAAAAAGTGCAACTGTAATTCGGCCAGATCTAATATGGTTGATTCTCTCTGGGCCCAAGCTCTTCAGAACCGTGGACAGCTCCTGACAGCCGGGAGAAGGGGAAAGTGGTTGAGCAGAATGGCAGAAAAACAAAAACTAGAATGTCAGAAACTGGAAAAGACCTGAGAGGTTTTCTAAATCCAATCATTTATTTTGAAGATAGAAAACTGGGGCCCAGAGAAGGGGAAAGAATTATTCTGGAGTCATGCAGTGACCAGGTGGGTTCACTCATTTTCTCATAACTCAAGAAAGTGCAAAAGCAACTTCAACTCTTTAGAGTGAGACATAATATTTACATATTTGTTCCCAATTTGAGTGTTTCTGTCCCAAAAGACAAAGAACAGAACAAGAGAATCTGTCTCAAGATTTCCTTGTTACATTCTCTGTTGAACAAATTTAGAATAAGAGCTCCTTTCTTAGGCATGGAATCACACACACACACAGAAACACACACACACACAGACACATACAGACACACACACACACACACACATACACACCACACTTTTCCCAACTATGATCTCCTTTATTACTGTGCTCCTGGAGCGTGAGGGGCTTGACTCACCTCTCTCCAAGACAAAGGCCACCTGAGTTTAGGGACCACCCTCTTCCCTGTAGGATCCAGTTGAATACTCTTTTTTAGTCATCTTTCTGCATCGAACTTTATATTCAGCTCCCCTAACTCATCTGGACCAGCACCCCACCAACAGAAACCAGAATAATATCTGCCCCACCAGCCCAAGAATTCCATAAGGGAGATAGCCACAATATCTTGCCAGGTTGGTGCTCCTTCTTACTGGGAGCCACACTTCCCTCATCAGGTTCACACTTCCCATAAGATGAGAATGGGGTCTCTTCCAGCAGGCAGAGCCCTGTCTCTTCCTCTCACTCCACAATACTTGGGATGATAGCTCAGAAAAATGGGGCAATTATAAAAAAATTATACTGAGGCCAGGAGTCTTTTCAGGAACCAGACACCTTCCTTAAAGCGTGAAGAAAGTGCAGCATCTAGGAATCTGAAATCTCTCTCACTACATTTTTACAAGTTCACATCCTACCTCCCACCCTCCTCATCTCAGCTTCAGAAACCTCTCCATTATTCAGTGTCTCCAAAAGAAGGAAAATGTCTGGGAACTTTGGTGCTAAGCTGCTAATTGGAGTCTGTGGCTTGAAGGGAGGGGGCAAGGAAACAGAAGTTATTGTGCCCCAGAAACACAATTATTCAGATTTCCTTGCTTGCTGGAATCCTGAGGCTGGACTGTCCCTTTACTCCCCTCATGAAGGCAGTCACTTCTCTGCAGAGCCAGAACCAATAGCCAAAGTATGCAAGGTGCCTGAAGGTGGCAATGGCACAGCCTTGAAAGGCAGAAAGTCTCCTCCCTAGTTCACTGATAACAAAGATCAGGCTGAATGCCTTGATGTCTTTCCAAGCCATTCAGGCTTCTCAACTTTGGGTTTGGGAAGGTCTCCAAACTCTCAACTCTTTTTTTTCTTCAACTTTAAAGTTCTGAAGTACATGTGCAAGATGTGCGGGTTTGTTACATAGGTAAATGTGTGCCATGGTTTGCTGCACAGATCATCCCATCACCTAGGTATTAAGCCCAGCATCCATTAGCTATTCTTCCTGATGATCTTCCTCCCCTTGACCCTCTGACAGGCCCCACTGTGTGTTGTATTCCCCCATGTGTCCATGTGTTCTCATTGTTCAGCTCCCACTTATGAGAACATGCGGTGTTTGGTTTTCTGTTCCAGTGTTAGTTTGCTGAGGATAATGGCTTCCAGCTCCATCCATGTCCCTGCAAAGGACATAATAATCTCATTCCTTTTTATAACTGCATAGTATTCCATGGTGTGTGTGTACCACATTTTCTTTATCCAGTCTATCATTGATGGACACTTGGGTTGATTCCATGTCTTTGCTATTGTGAATAGTGCTACAATGAATATGTGTGTGCATGTATCTTTATAATAGAATGATTTATATTCCTTTGGGTATATATCCAGTAATGGGATTGCTGGGTCTAGTTAGATTTCTGCTTATAGATCTTTGAGAAATCACCACACTGTCTTCCACAATGGTTGAACTAATTGACACTCCCACTAACAGTGTAAAAGCATTCCTTTTGCTTGGCAACCTCACCAGTATCTGTTGTTTCTTGACTTTTTAATAATAGCCATTCTGACTGGTATGAGATGGTATCTCATAGTGGTTTTGATTTGCATTTCTCTGATGATCAGTGATATTGAGCTTTTTTTCATATGTTTGTTGGCCGCATGAATGTCTTCTTTTGAGAAGTCTGTTCATGTCCTTTGCCCACTTTTTAATGGGGTTGAACACTCACGTCTTAAGCATGGAAAGCCAGTACTAAAAGGGACTTTAGAAATCATCTCGTTTCATCTTCTTATTTTACAGATGGGTAAATATAGGCTCAGAGGGATTCACAAAGCAATTTAGCATTGATGTTCGTCTCTGAAACTCAGAACTCCCCACCCTGGTCAGGAAAGTGGCACCGTCGTAAAGTAGAAAGGGCTCTGAAATCAGACACGACTGGTGTCCAAATATTGACCCTGCCACCTGAAATGCTCTGTGTTCTTGGCAAAGTCACTTAACCTCTCTGGACCTGTTTCCTCAGTGTTTAAAATGGGGGTGAGGATAGGCTATTGTGAGGATTTAATGAGATAACATGTGTGGAAGTGCATCATATGTAACAGATGGTCAAAGGAGTGAATTTTTTCCCCCACTCTGATTCCTCTCAGCAGCAGTCTATCTGCAGCTCCTTCTTGACCTTCCCCAGCTCTTTTGTTTTCCCCCACAGCCTGTGCTCCTCAGCACTCTCTTTTCCTGCCCCATCTATATGCCCAACTCCCCTCCAGAGTGGGTGAGGAAGGAGGGGTTAATAACAAGAGTTCTTGGGTCCCCTCCAGGTCTCTGAAAGTTAGCAAAGTTCTCATGCAACCAAGCAGAGGCAGGGAACAGAGCGAGAGTAGGAGGAGACAGGCAAGGTCGGCAAGCTGGCCTCTTTGTTCCTGGAAAATGAGTGCAATTTCCATTCCTTTCCACGGAAGCTGAGTCCAGCACCAGTGTGTGGCAACAGGCAGCAGAGGTGTTGCCGTGGTGAGTAATGGTCCTGGCTATGGCTCTGCCCTCAGCTTGTACCTCATGCCCCAAAGACGAACTTAGGGCTAATGAGTCAGTGTGAGTGACAGCTTTGACTTGGCCCTGGCTGGCACAACAGTCCCTCAAAACCCCTGCACTATTTCTGTTCTCTAGGGAGCCCTCCAAACCCCATCTCCGGAGATGTTGCTGGTGCTCATTTGATTCACTGCACTGGAGGAGATGGAGGCCCAGAGAGGGGAAGCTCCTCTCTCCTGCAGAAGCTGTGAGCTTTCTGACACTCTCCAGGGCCCTGTCAGCAGCCCACACAATTACCTGCAGAAGACAGAATTAAACCTCAGACACAGCTGACTTAAGTGTCAGCTTGCTAGCTATGTGGCCTTAGGTAAATTACCTAACCTCAATGTTCCTGCCTGTAAAAGTGTTAATGATAGTATCTATGCGTCGTTAAAGGATGAAATGGGTCAGGGCATTTAAAGCACTGTGCACAGTGCCTAGAACAGAGTAGGCACTTTTCATGCATGATTCTCCCTCTTGTACTCATTCACAGACCCTTTCCATCTTTCTCCTCTCCACCTGCTTCTCCAAACATTGTCAGGGAGGCAAAAATATCCAAGATGAGACTCACAGTAAATGTGTTCTCCAGCCTCTAAAGGAAATTAAAAGCCAGAAACCAGGGAAATCATGTTTTTAGGAGAGGCCCAGGGGTTCCCCAAGCCTGGGTTCCCATGACAGGGTAAGAGAAGCTCCTGCTGGATCATGTCCTGATCTTTACCCTGAGCATCATTCGATGGGAGAAGAAACAGAGGACAACATGTTAAATCTTATATCTGTCACTTTCTCTGACCGCCAGGCCCTTGGAGGGGACACTGAGCTCTGTGGTCTACAAGAGTGGCCTGCAGGGGCCTGGGGTAAATAATGTCCACTTGCAGGCCAGAGAAGGATTTGATTGAGAGGAGCATAGAGGAGGGCCCTGTGGGACAGGGAGGAAGCCTCTTTCAGATCCTCTCCCTGACCGCATTCACACACACAGGTGCATGCACCTGCCTGCTTGGAGGCACATCATAAGCTGCAAGCCTGACATGCATGTTTTTTTTCCCAGGTAAGTAGGTGGGTGTGCACAGGCGGGCCTCCTCACCTGTGTCCAGTGCTTGCAGGAGGGGCTGCATGTCCCATCTGAGTCTTAGTCCCACCCAGAGAGGACCTTCAGAAGCCTGGGTCTCATCCCCCAGCCCACTGGCGGATGGCAGATCTAAAAAGGCCCAGAGGTGTAAGGTGGCCTATCAATGTCACCCAGGCTGGAAGTGGCAGAGGTGTGGCTCAAATCCATGTTTTCTGACTCCAAAGCTAGTGTTCTTTCCACCGAAGCATGCCCACAGTGCACACACGCATACCCACACACACTCTCACTGGCAAGTGAGCACACACGCATCTAGCAGAGGGCTCACTGTCACCAGCCCATTATATAGGGCTGCATTTATCAGGTTGAACCCTTCTAACACCTGTAGGAGGTTAAGTATGTATTATCCCTATTTTTTCGGGTGAGGAAACCGAGGCACAGAGAAGTTAAGTCACTAGTCCAAGGACACATAATTAGAGCCCAAATGTGAATTTTGAGCAGTCTGGCATCAGAACTTCTTAACTGCCATTATCTCCGCTATACTGCTATATCTGTGCACGAGTGCTCACACACTTACATTCATATACACACTCACATACTCACACATTGGTCTTGGGTGATCTGGGCGCTCACCCCTGATGCAGCAATGATGCCAAGACCAGAGAGAGGAAGCTGGCTCCGGCCTTAGGGTGGACCTCCTTCCTGGAGAAAACAGAAACATCTCTCCCAACTCTTTCTCTCCCCTTGCCCTGCCCCAGCACCTGCATGAGAAGAAAAAAACATCCACCATTCCCTTCCTCATTCCAACCCCATCTCTCTAAGCCCCCATCTGCTTGGTTCCCCAAGGGCTTCCGGTTGCATTGCAAAGATGTCCTGGCAGTAGGGAGGCAAGAACAGAATGAAATATATGTAACATCTTATTAGTAAAGGACATCTGAGCCTCTAATTAAAATTTGCCTAATGACCCAACTTCTCTGTCATTTTTGCTCTTAGAGAGATTAATTTAAGGTGACAGGTACTTAGGCAAAGGAAAATTAATTTTTCCTTTAAAAAATCAAAGAGGAAAAGAGTGGCCTGCTCCCTTATTTGTTTGTCTTTAAAATGTTTATTTATTTGTCAAATTCCCTCCCACTCTTTCCCAATAAAACCTAATGATGGAGAATAATTTGGTGAAGGGAAGGAGACTGAAAGAAAAGTGTCATGGGGTAGCCTGGTGGTACCCACTTGCCCTGAGGAGGGCTGTTTGTGGTTCCCCTGCTTAGGAGCCCCTGACTGCTCATTGACAAGCCTGCCGGCAAGCTGGCTAATGCTGCTCAGGTTCTAGGGGAACCTGTTTCCATCTAGGCTGTTTGACTTGGCTGTGCCAGTGGTATCTGTTTCTCTATGGAACAGATGGTGGTACCTCTCCCCCAACACCGGGCTGCAGCCCAGCTTTCCGCCTCAGCATATTTCCCCAAGCAACAGGCTGCAGCCTTGAACACACTCTGCTTTCAGGAAACAGGTGAGAAATTCGAGGGTTGCAGCTGTGGTCTTTCTGTGTGACTCCCCTCCCTGTCTTCTGTCCTCCCGACTCCTCTGGTCTCTGAGTACAGAGGAGAGGGCCATCCTGACAAGGAGACAGGGGCGTGGACTTCAAGATATTCCAATCTCAGAGTTCAGATCCTGCAAAAACCTATTGGGATGGGTCTAGAGATTACAGAAACATGTCCTTAGCATTCCCCCTCACAACCTTTTTCAAAAATAGTATTCCTGGCCAGGGTCAGTGGCCCATGTCTGTACTCCCAGCACTCTGGGAGGCTGAAGCAGGGGAATCGCTTGAGCCTAGGAGTTCCAGACCAGCCTGGGCAACATGGAGAAACCCTGCCCCTACAAAAATACAAAAATTTGCCAGGCATGGTGGCCTGTTCCTGTAGTTCCAGCTACTCGGGAGGCTGAGGTAGGAAGATGGCTTGAACCCAGGCAGTGGAGGTTGCAGTGAGCAGAGATTGTTCCACTGCACTCCAGCCTGGGTGACAGAGTGAGACTCTGTCTCAATAATAACAATAATATTCCTCTTTTGTCCCATAGGCTCCTCTTCAGACTCTCTGATGCTCTGTCTCTTCTCACTCTTCCCAGGGCATCCTACTCCATCCTCACCCACATTTTCATCCCCACCCCATCCCCACCCAGCTCTCAGATCTCACCCTGACCCAACCTGCTCCACTCCACTTCCTAAGGCCTTTCTGCTGCTCTTTCCTCATTCTTCAGGATATTAGCTTTGAATCAGGTGTTTCCAGTAGACTAAGAGTTGGAGAAGACAGGCAGGAGGAGAGGGAGAGAGGTGAAGAAGGAAGAGGAATCCTTTTTTCTAGAGACCTAAGTCCTGCTCCTAACCCCTCTCTCTCTTTATCTCCATTTCCCTCTCCAGCAGCATGACTGATGCTGGGAAATCTGTCAGGTTTTGCTTCCTGGGGAGCCAAGGGAGGCTTTTCTAGCAATTAGGCCAAGGCCTCTAATCCAAGAAAGCTCTAAACACCCGGCAAGCAATAACTCGGTCCACTGGGCCCTGTAGGGAGGACAGGAGGAGCAAGAGAGGTGTACTCAGGGTTCCTCTCCATCACCTGGCCACAGGGCTGGGGCCAACCCACAGGAAGGGGCTGCTGAGAAGGTGAGCATGGGTGGAGACCACTGTGGGGATAGATAACTCAAAAGCGCATCCATCCACAGGCTCAGTTCAGCCCCTGCCAGGCCACCTACACTGCAGTTCCCCCATCACACAAGAGCCAGAAAGGGAAATCAGTGGTGAGGCTGTGGGCAGGAAGAAGGCATGTATGCAGGGCAGGGTGAGGAAAGTGGGATTTGGAGTCAAAAGGACCCGTGTCTGAGCTCCACTTTCACCTTCCCATGTGCTCTTGAGCATGTCACTCCACTCATCTGAGCTTCACTGGCCTGCTAAGTAAAATGGAGATGATAGTAACACCATCCACTCAAGAGGATCCCTGGGAGGGACGGAAGAGCTGGTGGATGGCAGGTGACAAAGGACCCCTCCTCTACATCTGCCCACAGCCCCACCCTCCACCCACTGGCTGGGGAGAGCTGCAATTTCTCTAATGCACGGAGGGAAAAGACGGGCCAAGGTTTTAAAGATGCCTGTTCATCTCACTTTGCATATATTTGCATATTGAGTTCAAGAGGCTCATCCTAATTCTGAGGATGGAAAATAAAATAAATTAACAAATACGAGATTAACAGATGCAACTCCTGCAGCAATTGTCTCCTTGGCTGTTCTGGGCTTGACACCCTGGAGACAAAGAATGCTCTCAAGGCAATCAACTTTTAATCATCTCTGGACAGAAGCCCCAGACAGAGGGACCCTGTCCCTCCCACCCCCACTCAGAGGTCAGTGCTGAAGGATGTAGAGGAGAGGGGCCTTGGAGAGTGGAGGGCTAGGGCCAGACTCTGTGGCAGGCAGTGACCCTTGATTTGCTCCTTTATGAACTTGCAGTGCAAGGTGTGGTGGAAAAGAGCATGGCCTCAGGGCCACACTGCCCAGGTCTGAATCCTGGCTGCGCCATGTCCAGCTCTGTGCCCTTGGGCAAGTCACCTAACCTCTCTGTTCTTGGGTGGCCTCCTGAGTCAAATGAGAATAATAGTAACACCTACCCCATAGGGTTAGTGTGAGGATTGAATGAGTTGTGTTACAGCTGTGTTCAGCATATTGTAAATGCCTGGTAAGTACTGACTAGTATTACTATTTTTATCATCACTATCACCGTTGTTGTCATCATCATGGTTTATTATTATTATTATGTGATAGAAAATGCCTATAGGACCAGGAACCAGAGACGCAATTTTTATTTTCATCCCAGTCTTCATCCACTGTGTGGCTTTGGGGAAAATTCCCCCACCCCTTTGGCCTTTGTACTCCAACAGGGCTGGCCCAGGCACCCTTCAAGCCATGACAAACAGATCAGGCAGAGTGAGATTTCTGCTTGTTTCAAGGCTGCCTGAAAACAGACTTTGAGGCTGATTGTCATATGCAAAACATATGTAAAACATATGCAAATCACCCTCTCCATGGCATTCCTGAGCTCCTATACATGGGTAAGGCCCTTGGAGCCATCCCTGTGTAGCCCCTGAGAGCAGAGACACTGCCCAGCCACAGAAGCAACTGCACCCCTCAGCTCCCCTCAGCCAGCTTTCTTTGGGATCCTGAGAAAAGCTCAGTCTCCTTGCTTCCACCCCTTTTTCATCCTGCCCCCACCCCGGCACCTGCCCATCTGCCTTGACTGCTCTGAGACTCCCTCACCATCTCTGGAGGACTGAGGGTCAGGGTCCAATTCTACTTCCATGTACATCTGCCTTGCACTGGGCCTGTCACCCATTGTATCACATTTCTCCCTCACTGCTGTGAAGGTGTCAGGATCCCCATTTTACAGACGGGGAGATTGAGGCTTAGAATGAGGCAACTTGTAAGATGTCAACTGCTAGAAGAGTGAATCCGGACCCAGGAGACCCACTCCACCAGGCTACCTTCCCATGAGCTCCTGAGTCAGTCCAGGGCAGAGAAAGAAGAATGGGTAGGGGGAACTGGGTCAGCCACTTTTCAACTTTTGCACCCCTGAGGCAGAAGGCTTCCCCACTCATGGAGCTGGCACTGATACTCCAGGCAGAGAAGCAAAGCTGCCGCCTGCCAGATTTCCAGAGCCCCATCAGTTGATGGCATCTGAAAGAGAGCCACCACAGAGCGCCACCACTGTGGACATGATCCCTGACCTGCCCCAGAGGCTGGGCTTCTCCCCTTTCCCTCCTGCTCAGCCCCAGCACTGCCTAAGCTCCCACTGCCTCCCTAAGAAAGATTTGGGAGAAATCAGAAGTCAGGGGCCAGATGTTCCAGTTCCCCATAGGAATTCTTCTTTCCCTGGCCAAATCCAGGAGAGGCCACGTCTTTGGCCGGGTAGATGTTTAGGAGGGAAAAGGGTGAAGGTCCCAACCACCAACACAGCCCCCAGACTTCCACTAGCACCCTCAGCCAGCTGAGTCCAGCCCAGCCCACCTCCTACCCACACCCCAGCAACAGCAGCCTCAGCTTCCACCTCCATTTCTCCTACCTTCCTAGGACCCTGCTCCGCCAGAGGCCCATTAAGTTGATTAAGAGGCACATTCCGGAAAGAAGGAGCCATATTTCAGCTCCTAGAGAACCCTCTGCCCTCCTCCACCTCCATCCCTTCCCTCTCTAATGTTCCTCTCCTTCTCCCCTCTGCCAAGGTCCTCCCCAGCCTGCCCTGGCCCCATCACTCACTGTCTGATCTCCCAGATTCTGGGGTACAGAAATGTTGGCCAGACTCCGTCAGGACTTCAGGGCGGGGCTGGGCCAAGACTGGGCCCGCCTGACATTTGAGACACCAGAATCTATTGTATTGATCATGGAATTTAATCCTCTCAACAGCCCTTTCAAGGAATTATTACCCCCACTTTTTATAGATGAGGAAACAAAAACTGAGAGGTTAAGTAACTTGTCCAAGGTCACCTCATTAAGCCACAACACCCCAGCCTTTCTTAAAGGCAAGGACTGTGCTTCCCCTGCTCCCCTGCAAAGCCTCCCCCACATCCCACCACCACCAAGTCTGGCTTCTCCCACCCACTTCCCTTCAGACCACCCAGCCCAGCCTGCCCAGACATCAACTCAGAGATTAAATGCATCTGAATCACCTGGGAAGTTGGTTAAACACAGATTCCTGAACCCTCTCCCAGAGATTCCAGGCCTCCCGTGGGCCCAGAGAGCTGTATTTTAACAACCTCCCTTAGTGGTTCAGATTTGCTGATAGGTTTGGAAACCACTTTATTAATCCAAATCTTTCATTATACAGATAGAAAAACCAAGGCCCAGAGAGGATATGTAATAAGTCCAAGGTCACATAGGAAAAGCCCAAAGTAGGACCTAAGCCCCAATTCACTTTTTGCCCGGAGGTCCATCAGCAGAGAGCAGCCAGGCCCCAGAGCTTTTCTGGCACTACCCCTACCCTCACCCCTGGCCCCCACTTCCCTCCAAGTAACCAAACATGGAAAGCTCAGGCAGGGCATCCTGTGGGAAAGAAGTGATCTGATGACCCCACACCGCTTCCCTTCTGGGCCTGGCCTGGATGTGCCTTGTGGAAAGGTCTTTGCATTCTCTAAGTCTCCCTTCTTCCATCTGTTACTTGGGTCTCTGAGATGTGCCCTTTCTGCCTTCTGTAGGGGAGCCAAGAACCGAGAATGAAAACACAACAGGGGCCAGGGGCAGTGGCCTGTCATCCCAGCACTTTGGGAGGCTGAGGCGGGTGGATCACTTCAGGTCAGGAGTTTGAGACCAGCCTGGCCAACATAGCAAAACCCCATCTCTACTAAAAAATACAAAAATTAGCAGGGCATGGTGGCACACACTTGTAATCCCTGCTACTTGGGAGGCTGAGGCATGAGAATTGCTTGAACCCAGGAGGCGGAGGTTGCAGTGAGCCAAGATCGTGCCACTGCACTCCAGCCTGGGCAACAGAGCAAGACTCCATCAAAAAAGAAAGAAAGGAAAGGAAGGAAGGAAGGAAGGAAGGAAGGAAGGAAGGAAGGAAGGAAGGAAGGAAAGGGGAGGGGAGGGGAGGGGAGGGGAAGGGAGGGGAGGGGAGGGGAAGGGAGGGGAAGGGAGGGGAGGGGAGGGGAAGGGAGGGGAGGGAAGGGAAGGGAGAAAGAAATAAAGAGAAAGAAAGAAAGAAAGAAGCAAGAAAGAAAGAGAGAGAGAAAGGAAAAGAAAAGAAAAGAAAGAGAATACAACAAGTGCAAGAAGTGACTCTAGCCAGTTCCTGCGACAGTGTTGGGAATGAGTCACCAGGTAAGATGTCGATCCACCCCCAAAACTTTGGGGTTTGTGCTCAGAGGCACAAGCACTTGGCTTGCTCAGGATAAGAGCTCATGGCTGTGCCAGAAGGATCCTCCTCAGAGGGGCCCTTGACTGCAGGGAAGCCACTTGTTTTTGACAAATCCATTACACCTTCTTTGCAGCTGTTATCCCCACTGGATGGAGGAAACAAATCAGGGCCCAGAGACAACAGTCGGGTGGTCAACCTGCTCTCAGAGTCACCTGGGACGTTTCTATTTTTACCACTGAAGTTCCTGAGTCCCTGAAAATCATCAGTTTCAGAAAAACCAGACCGGAGGCCACTCAGGACAATGAGCAGCATGCTCAGGGTCACACCGCATGCGTCCTATGGGCCTCCTGTCCCCTCCCGCCCCAGGGGGGATTTTTTTTCTTTTTATGGTAAGGAATAGTAGTGATGTCCAGGCCTGCAAAACACAAATGACAATAAACAGCAACAATACTAACATAATGTTTCTTCAGTTCTAAGATGCCATTGATTTTAAGTTAAAGTCAAGTTAACAGCTTATCAGGGGCAAAATGGGAGCTGTATTACATTACATGTAAGATGCATCATGATCCCAGAATTTAAATGTTGGAAAGAAAAATAATGGGGGTCTTCAAATTGAGGAAATATTTCAGTGATCATAACACTAACAGTTGCACAGCCCAACACATGTAGGGGACTTGTCCATTGACAAAGCCCCACTGAGTGTGCAGGTGTTGCTATGATCTCCGCTGCAGTGAGAGGAAACCGCCCACGGTTTCCCATCTAAACTCAGGTGTAGGTCTGTCTGTCCTAGTGGACCCACAAACCTCCCCGTCCCTGAAGTTCTCCATCAGGCTCCTAGGAGCAGATGTCTCGGCCAAGAAGGGTGGAGTCGAGGGAGGCTCTCTGTACCCTTCTGGGGACTAACAGCATTAGCTCCAACTGTGTAATACCAATGGCCTCATAATTTATATAGCGGTTTTCATTACCTCCCTTTTCCAAAGGCTTGTTCAATAAATTTCCATTTTATGAATTCCAAAGTGCTCTGTGGAATATGGAGCTCCACCTAGCTCCAATTGCAGTGGAGAATGGAGGGGGCTAGAAAGACAGTAGGGGTCTCCCCCCAGATCCCCACAGGCCAGGGGCTAGACAGCTCACCTGTGCGGGGTGGGGGAAGACCCACAGGAATGGAGAACGCCAGGCTGGGAACAAGTCCTGGTCTCTCTCCACTTCCTGGCTTGGTGAGCTTGAGCCTCACCTTCCACATCTGTAAACACGGGAGGGGTCAGACCTCCTTTGTGGATTGTTTTGAGAAGTAAATGAGATAATGGGAGTGTAATACTATACCTGGCACGCTGCAGTTATATGGCAAGTGCTATTTTTCTTCCTTGTTTGTAACCATCTCCCTGTTTCACTCAGGTAGTCAGTTGCCCCTCCTCTGGGGAGCCCCCAGGATTGGCCACACTGAGGCCTCTCTTCCTCTGCTCTTAATACCTTCCTCAGCAATAGAAGGTATATTAGTACTTACCGATGTGGAAAATCTCCAAGACATATTGTAAAGTTAAAAATAAAAAAGCAAGATGCATTTCAAAATAACCAAGACAGTAGATTTTAAATGTCTCACCAAGAAAAATGATAAGTGAAGTGATGGATATGTTAGCATAATCTAATAAATTATGCCAATTTATCATTAATTAGCATAATTTAATCATTCCACATTGTATACATATATCAAAGCATCCCATTTTACCCCATAATTGTATATAATTATGATTTGTCAATTAAAAATAACATTAAAGAAAGGAAGGAAAATAAGATGCAAACCAGTTTGTAGAATATAATTCCAATTCAATACAATATATTTTTACATGGATGTATGTGCAAATACATATATATGTATATATAAAGAGAAATCATAGAAAAACCAGCAAGTAGATTTCGCCAACTATTAACAGTTTTTAACCTCTGAAAATGGGACTTAGTGGTGAGGAGGGAAATTTTAATTTATTTTTGTGTAATTTAGTTTAGTGGGATTGGGGGTGACTTTTACTTTGCAGTTGGTATTTTTTGTATAGTTTTCTAATTTAAAAGGAAAATAAAAAGATGACTCCTCCCCTGAAGAATATGAAATATCCTCCCCTTTTACTGCTCCAAGGAAGATGCTGCCAGAGGTTAGATGTCCAATTTTAGGTGCCATGGACACTTTGAAGCCAGAAATTTTGAGGGGATTTTTTTTGCCCTCACGTGAACCAGGCTCTGGGCCCTGTTCCCTCCCTCATATCCACTCCAGTCTCTGACCCCTGTCCCCTCCCCGCTCGCAGAGGTCTAACCCTGCTCTCCCCCGGCATGAGCCTGGTGAGTTTGGGTACCCTGAGTCTCTCTTGGAGGGTGACTAAGGGCCAATTAGGAACTGTAGCTGCGTCTCTTACCATCTTGGAGATGCACCTGTACCCGCTGCAGTCGCCACGGCAACACAGCTATACCGGGGGTGCTGCCCAGGAAACAGGTTGCCGGGAAACAGGGCTGAGGATGAGCAGGGTCTCACCAGAAAGAAGCCCTCTCCCCTGTTTTTGAGGAGGAGGCAAACAGAGGGGAAACCAGGCAAAGATACAACCCATCATCGGTGGAGGCAGAGAGGCCTAACAAGTCTCTCCCCAGCCCTGGCCTCAGTTTCCGCACTCTGTGAAGAGGCAACAGCAGGTGAATGATTCCTTAGGACCCTTTCTGGGCCTAGCAGTTGGTGAACTGGCTGGAGAAGGGTAGGCCCAGAGCCAGGGTAGGAGTCTGGGCTGTGGAGCAGAAAGCCTCTGTCTACAAATCAGTTCTGTCACGAGTGCTGGACTTCCCCTGTGCCTTAATTCCCTCAACTGTGTGAACAGGAATAATAGAAGTACCTACCTCTCCTGGTGGTTTTATAGAATAAATATAATTCGACTTGCAGGGTGTAAACTCTCAGATATTTCAGCTGTTGCGACTAAAATCCCTGGCACATAGCAAACACTCAATAAGCATGTGTGATCGTTAGTTATTCTCCCTCATCCTAGCAGGTCCCAGACAGCCTGCACCCTCAACTGATCCATCAGAAATTATTTGGTAAGCACTGACAGTCTGCCAAGCTTTGTTCTAGGCCCTGAGGATACAAAGATGGAATAAAACAAATAAGTCTTCCCATGTGGGACTTGCAGTCTAGCAGGGTTCTATGGCCTTCAGCCCATGGAGGGATGATAGTGACACTGTGTGATCTGTGCTGGGATGGCCAAAGAACAGAGCGAGGGGCAAGGGGGCAGGGAAGGTTGTCCTGAGGCAGCAACATCTGAGCTCAAGTTTGAGTAAGAACCTGGCCTGGGAGAGAAAGGCACTCCTGGCAGGGAACAGCATATGCAAAGGCACCAAGGTCAGCATGACCAGTGAGATTGTCTGGGGGAATGGCAAGGAGCATGGTCAGCTACAGTGGAGATTGGGAAATGGAAAGTGGAGAGTGCTAACCTGGAGAGGCAGGCACCAGGCAGACTGTGAATGGCCATGAAATGAATGCCATCAGTCTGAGGATGCAGAGAGCTCTAGGGAGTCTTAAGCAGGGGAGGGACAGGAGGACACCTGGAGGGGGCAAAGGCAGAGGCAAGGAGAGCAGCAGGAGGGCACTGGGCCAGGCAGAGGCCACAGGGAAACCTTGTGCTCATGGCCCTGCTGACTCACCCCCAACTCATCCCATGGGTGCTGGGCATGATTTGAAGAAACAGCCAAGTGCAGAGGCTGAAGCAATACCTTTGTCATTTCCTCATGAGTCTCCCAGTGACTCTAATGGCCAGACCCAAAGGAGACCTCCCAGACAGTCTGAGCAACTACAGGATCACTGGAATCAGTGCTGTGTCTCCCAAGAGAATGTAGGTGCAGCGGGAACGCTCAGTGAGATGTGCCGCATCCAATCTATTTGTTCCATAGAAAATCCAGGCACAGGGCTGCATAGTTACACCTTGGATTTGGTGTCAGAGGCTCAGAGGTGGAAGAGGACTTGGAGATCTCACTATCTGGCCCTTAGAGATGCTGCAACTCCCCTAGGAGGGAGTCACCTCATTTTCCCCAGGCCCTTTCTTTGGAGGCCAAGAGCGCTTTAAGCTCCTTGGCACGCTGGAGCTGCTGTGAGCAGGAAACGGGGATGGCAAAGTTTCTGCAGGCGGGAGCCCGGTGACACCCTCCACCCCTAGTTCTACAGACAAGGAAACAGAGGATCAGTGAGGAGTGACTGGCACAGTGAGTCATAAGCAAGTGGAGGTTTGCAGCTCCTGGACCAGGTCACCTGCCAGCCTCCTCCTCTATCCTTCTAAAGAACAAAGCAGGCTGTGTCTGAGGCCCATGTCACCACGGAATCTTGGCTCCAGCCTGAACCTGAGGCAGCCTGAAGAGCTAGACCTGCTCCTGTTCTTTCCTTTTCTTTTTTGTTGTAATCTTTTTTCTTTCAACCTGACCTTGAGCTCAGCTTGGTTTGAGGAAATAAAGTGAGGGTTCTGAATGGCAGGAGGGACGGGGATGAAACTCAGGGCTCAGAGCAAGACTCAGCCCTTTCTGGTTCCCCACGGGCCCCAGGATTTTTACGTTTTCAGCTGGACTCAAAATAGAAGGGGTTTGGAACAAAGCCCTAGAAAGGGTCATCACTCAACTTGGAGGCTAAGAGAAGACAAACACTGGGCATTAGGAACACAGGAAGCACCCACTTATAACCCCTTGGCCTGTGAGCAACCTACTTTAAGCACCAGCCAGCTGGAGCCCTCCTGAGCCTCTGTGAGTCTTCCCCTGTCCCACCTGCAACTGAGAATACAGCAGGAGGGGAGGGAGTAAAATGAGGGAGGGCTCCTCCCACTAGACCATGAGGTCCTGAAGGGTAGGAACTGGGGCTTATTCATGGCTGTGTCCTCAGCATCAAACACAATGAACTGCATTCCCTCTAAGTTCAATAAATATGTCATATTGGAAGAAAGAAATATTAATTAAGCACATATTATGAACCAAGCTTTCTACTAGGAGAATTCTCATATTTTGCCTCATTTAATCTACACTTCAACATGCTCAGAGAATTGTGGTTGTCCCCATCTGGCAGAAGAGGGTCTGAAGTTCAGAGAGGTTAACTTTACTTCCCAAAGTCACATAGCTCATGAGCGGCAGGGTTGAGATTCATACTCATGGCAGCCTGGCCCTGAAGCCTGTACTTATTCCTCCTCACCTTGCCACCCTCTGATGCAGGGGAGCTTCAGGGGAGAGAACACCTAGCTCTGGCAACCAGGCCGCAGTGGAGCAGCTCCTGGGTATGGAATCCTTTCTCAGCTCTGCAGTTCAAGCTTTCATTTCAGCCTGGTTCCGGGAACGGGGCCCTGAGTCAGTGCCTCATTTGGTGTTTGAGCATAAATGTTTACAAGGAAATGGAGTTCTTCAAGTGACTTTTTCTCCAAATCTGACCTTTAGGACTTGCTTCTAAAGGGCACAGTGTCTGCATGTCTACAAGAGGCTGGGGCACTACATTAGGAAGACAGGCTGGGAAGGCAAAGGTCCAGGGAGAAGGGGACAGTGTGACTCCCAAGTAGCCGCCTCATCCTCCTGCCACCCTGAGATTAGGATGCAGGTCCCTCAGTGAGGCCAGCCAGTGGGAGGAGAGGAACTTCATGCCTTCTGAGAAATAAGTAGGTGCCAAGCCCCTCGTGTGTCCCTTCACAGCCAGGGCTGCATTTAATCCTCAAATAGTCCTGCGAGGAGAGCGCTTTTGTCCCCATTTTATAGAATGCAAACTAAGCCTGGAAGTAGCAGAATCAGGCTTGGAACCCAGGGCGTCTGGCCCCAAGTCTGCATTTTTTTCTGCAGCATCACACTGCCTGAGGGCCAAATGTCCCTTTGTTGGCTGTGCCAGCAGCCAATGTGTCTCTCTGCTCTCTCTGGGGAGGGGGACATAGTCTCCTGGCAAATTATCAGCAAAATGGGCCCATGGAAGTGGCCCCCCAGCAGCAGTCAAACCCCTGCCACTTTCTGAACCCCTCCTTGCTCAGGGGTCTGACAGATTCTGAGTCCTGGGGATCATTCTCCCTGTCACTCCAGGGACCACAGAGCCCTGGGAAACTCAAAAAGCCTGGAAGTCTGCACCCAGAAGACCATGAAAGATGCTCTCAACCAATCCTCTCTGTGTTTGACAGATGGGGAAACTGAGGTGCAGAGAAGAGCAGGGACCTAGCCAAGTCCAGGAGCCCATGGGAGGCAAAGACACACTGGCAGGCACTCACTCCCTGCAACCTTTCTTGTGGGAGCTCCCAGCCCACACAAGCCCAAGTCCATTGAACAGGCTTGGGCACTTGAGCTAGTGTCAACTGGTGGCTCTATGGGTGAAGGAATAACTGAATTAATGCTTCCTTGGTCCAGTGGGCACTTGTGTCTCAAGGTCTGAGCAGGAGTTAGACGGCACAGCATCTAGAAAGGATGTAGTTCTAGGGACATTGTAGTTTGATCACTGTGATAAAGAGCTTAGTGTGTGCCAGGTATTCCAACACCATCTCAGGCAATCCTCTATTAAATGAGAGATCAGTGTGGTCACACTGTCATCGTATCAATGATGACACTAAGCAGCACAGCGAGGATCCCGGTTTCCTGTATCAGTGAACCAGTGGAGCTCCCTCCTCTTCTGCCTGTCGGCCAGAGTTGGTGAGGACTGAGCGCAACACCCCCACTCCCACCCCAGCACACCAGGTGCCTCAGAGCTGGGAAACAGGCTGAGCTGGAGCAGGCTGGGAGATGGAGCTGTCAGCTTCCCATCTGCGTGGGTGTGATGCCTGCTTCAAGTTTCCGCTCCCATTCAGGGATAGTGATTGAAGGCACTCGAGGGGAACCGTGCGTTTTCCAGGATGATGATGGTGATTTACTGGATAATGACTCTATGTCTATTCTTAAGCCGAAGGCTGATGCCAGGTGCTCCCTCCTACAGTGACCTGGGTTCTTCCTAGAGGCCTGCTTCCCACAAGTGCCATGCCAAGTCGCAGGGAACTTTTGCTCAGGCCCAGGGAGTACACTCGTAGACCATCAAGGGCTCAGCCTCTCTGAATCACCCCTGGGACTCCCAGGCTGCCCTTGGCTGGGGAGCTCCCCAGAGAACTCTCAGACCACTCAGACTCCACCATGTCTGTGTCAACTGTCAGAGGCAGGGAGTTCTTTCTTAAGTTCCACCTAGAATAGAAAGGTCACACACACTAGGCTAAGAGTCAAGGGACCCAAGGTCCAGTCCCAGCTCTGGGTAGTCATTGCCCACCCCTGGGCCAGAGGAAGAAAGCTCTGTCAGTTTACAGTTCAAAGAGGAGAAAGTCTGCAAATCACTCTCGTTTTGGTGATCAAACCCCAGTAGAGCCACGCAGCCCCTTGGTCACTTCAGTCACACCACGAAACATGAAGAGGGGGAATAATTTCATCTACTCTGCTCTCTGCTCTTAGGACCAAGGTCTACAGCTGTTCATTCCTGTGACGCTGTGCTGTGGTAAAGAATGTCCCCCTCCTCCTCCATAAAGAGCTGTGCCTTCCCCATCAGAATGGCTGGGTCTCCAACCACACGTAAGGGCCCCGTTTCCCACAGCAATGCTGCTTCTCCTCTATTCTCAGACCCCCTAAAACTCCTTATTCACTAGGCCTCCTCCATAGATCTCAGAGCACCAGGCTGGGGTGAAGCCTCTTAGAGCCAAACCCCTCACCTACCCCTAATGGAGGTGTTTGAGCTGGGCACATGAAAAGTGGGGAGAGGGCATAGAGATGCCCCAACCTGCCAAAGCTCTGAAAGCCATCCAGTCCTCAGAAGAGCCTCCTGGAACCCAGGGTCCTTAGGCCAGGCTGGGTGAGCAGAGAAGGAGGCCTGCAACTGCCCCTCCCTCCCAGCCATGAATCACTCCAGTCAAAGGAGTGATGCACCTGCTGGCTCTCAGCTCCCCCACAGCCTGCTTTCCTGCAGTCAGGACCAAAAGCGGGACTTCTCCCTCTGGAGGCTCAAGAGGAGTAGGGAAGGTTATGGGATCAGATTGGGGTTGTGAGGCAGGACAAAGTCAGTGAACTGGAAAGAAGGGGCCAAGGTGTCTTCCTGTGTGTTTTGCAAGAGTTCTCTAAGGAGGGGCGTTGAGGCACCAGTCTGTTCCAACAAGAGGCTGGGCAGCACAGCCCGCCTTTGCACACAATGCTGTCATTGTATAGATTACCTCAGATCAATAAAAACAGCCACACTTTCTCAAGTGCTTTATTCACACTTCATATGACATTGAGAAATCATCAATTTGCCCACATTACAAATAAGAACAGCAAGGGATGACTTTAGAGGTGGGTGGGAAGGTAGAGAGGCTGATGAAATTATCGGGGAGCTAAAGTCACTCTAGAAAATATTGGTGGGACATAGACTCCCTTCCCTTGCTTCTTAGACAAATGAGCTTGGTGAGTTTGATTGTGAAATCTGCCAGAGTTTCTCTCTATACCCTTCCTATGAAAGGCAGTTTTGGGGAAGCTTTTGCACAGTAAGTCTTGAATAAGTGTTTGTAGGCTGAACAAATGAAGAAGTGGGGCCTCCAGCCCCCAGGGCCTTTGGGAGCCAGGTCTCCAAAGACTAAATTGCTGGAGGGTGTACAAGTCTGTTTACTCCTTGGCAGAAACACAAGTCTCCCTGGCTTCAAAGAAAAGAGGCTTAAAAAGGCTTGGGCACCGAAACGCAGACATCAAAAGCCTCCTGCCCACTGCCAGCCAGATGTGTTAAGTGCAAATGAAGCTGAAATGTGCAGATTCAATTTCCCTTGAAACGTACCTGTCAGCCCAAAAGGAAAAGATTGGAAGGTAGAGGCTTTTCTTGGCCTACTGCATCTTCCCCTCCACCCAGCACCAAATCCCACAGCTTCCTCATCCCTCTTCATCCTTAGGTTGACTGCTCATTCTACGGGTGTTTTGGAAAGGGAAAGGTGTTCAGGTTGAAGGCAGAGAGATGGACAAAATGTCTATATAAGGATGTCAACTATTAAAGGTGAAGGGAGGATGCTGTTGTCTTTTTTTTTTTTTTTTTTTTTTTTGGAGAACAATGAGGCATCTGTCTAAGGATTTATCTGTCAGCCCCTTCCCCATCCCAGGGATGCCCAAGTCTTGGGGGAAGAACTCAATTCCCACACAAAGGAAGACAGCTCAACTGGGTAAGGAGGGCTCCCCTTGTTTGAGGGGACAGAAACAATTCATGCTGCCCAGGAGCCTCCACCTTGATAGAGATTTCCCTTGAAATGGAAATCTGAGCCCTGCCTCAGATGAGATCCTAGTCTGATGGGGGAGGTAGCTCTGCCCAAAACCCCCCTGTCTGATGGTCAGTTAGCTTTCCCAATATCTAATAAACAAGCAGAGCTCCCCCAGCCCTGCAGTGTCCCTGGATGAGCCTTTACCAGATTTGCCACAAACAAGGACAGCTGCCAGGCATCTGGGCACCAGATGCTCTCCTCATCTGTTTCCTGGCCATACCCAAGGATTCAGAACCTTTTCCCCATTCACACTTACAGTCTAAGCAGGGCCCAGCCTGAGCTGCCCTGATCACCTCACCCATTATTCCCCCTCCATCAATATTCCCAACTGCACATCCTGGGAAGCCTGGTTCTTGGGGCAGAAATAGTAATGTACCCTCACCCTGGCAACAGCACCTGAAAGTCAGCAACAAAATCAGGCAACAGCTATTGAGCGCTTACCATGTGGCAGGCATAGGTGATGTGCTGGGGATGGAATAGCCAATAAGACACAGTCTTGACTGTGGAGGAGTCCCTGTTCCGAGCCCAAAGTTGACATACCCTCTGGGTCCTGCTGTTTCCCCTGTACCTGTTGGAGTCCCATGAGAGCACAAAGGAGGGAGTGATTCATTCTCTTTGAGCTAGGGGTGGGGTACACAGGTTTCTACCCCAGAGGAGGGGACATTTGATCCAAGCCTTGAAAACTGAGCAGGAAGTTGCCAGGCTGGGGAGGAATGAGCATTCTGTCAGGGAGAAAGAACGGCTCGGGAAGGGACATATTTCCACTGCAGCCAGAACGAGTGAGACTCGGGGGTCAGGAAAGGGGCAGCCAGGTTGCCCAGCAGTGGTTCTCAAACTCTAGCCTGCATCACCGGAACGACTTGTTAGAACAAACACTGCCAGACCCCACGGTCAGAGCTTCTGATTCAGTTGGCCTGGGGTAGGCCAAGGTGATGTTGGTGCTACTTAGCAGTCCACAGACAACACCTTTGAGAATCATGGTTATAAAGGGTCATGGAAAATTGTGTTATTACTCCCAATTATTCTATTTCTCCTTGTAATAGTATTACACATCAGCTCCTTTTGCCATGTGACTTGTCTCTTGCTATTGGAGGAGGTGAAGTATAATTTCCTGCCCCACTGAGCTCAGCCACGTGGCTTGCTTTGGCCAGTGAAGGATTGGCGGACTCAACGTGAGCAGAGACTTTAAAAGTGCTTGCATAGTTTAGCTAGGCCTCTTGTGATCTGCCATTCTGCCTTGGGAAGGGCATGCTTTGGCGAGATGCTGGTCCCAGAATGAAAGCCACGTGGCACAGCCCTGAACCCAGCCTACCACTTGAAACAGAGCTGCCCCAGCCCACCTGAAGGCCCATGCATAAGAAACATTAGTATTTGTAGTCGTTAGCCATTGAGATTTAGGGAGTGTTTGTTGTACAGCACCATAGCAGAAGTCTGATGGATTCAAGAGCTTTGAATGACATGCTAAGAAATTTAGGAGTATAATTGCTAAATGCAGAGTAGATCTTTTTTATTTTTCTTTGTTTGTTTGTTTGTTTGTTTGTTTTTTGAGACAGAGTCTCACTCTTTCACCCAGGCTGGAGTTCAGTGACACGATCTCAGCTCACTGCAACCTCCGCCTCCCAGCTTCAAGCAATTCTTGTGTCTCAGCCTACCAAGTAGCTGGGATTACAGATGCGTGCCAACACGCTTGGCTAATTTTTGTATTTTTAGTTGAGACAGGGTTTTGCCATGTTGGCCAGGCTGATCTCAAACTCCTAGCCTCAAGTGACCCACTCGCCTCAGCCTCCCAAAGTGCTGGGATTACAGGTGTGAGCCACTGCGCCCAGCCTGAATGTTGAGTGTATCTAACTGGGTAAAACTGGAGGCAGGGAAGAGGCTGTCACCACTTTTCAGATGAAACACAGAATGAGCGTTCCAATGACCAGAGAGGAGGGGAGAGAGGAGGGAAAGAGCCAGACAGGTACAAAAATGCTAGGCCCCCCAGAACCTGATGACTAAGTGGCTGAGGCGAGGAGGGAGGCAGGAGAAGTTCACATCATGGCCACACTTCTGGCCTGGACAGCAGAGAGGAATGAAGCCATCCATGGAGATCAGGAAGGCTTTCTGTTCTGTGACGCCCCAGGAAGGCCCGTCATGGCACAAAAGCCAATAAACACCAGAGCTATGCCCCAGCCCCTCATCACTCCATCCTACACAGGTCCTGGGCAGGGTGCACACCTGGGCAAGCTGAGGTCAGCCCCACAGCAGCATCTAAGGGCTGCAGCGGGGGGACTTGCCAGCTGAGCAGCTGAAGCCACGGCAATTTATGCTGTTTTTCTCAGATCCATTTGGTTCTAAGTCAGCTGTAGATGAGCTTCGCCCACAACTGCTGCTCTTTTAATTTAATTGTGTGGTGCTGGGGTGTTTTTCCCCCTAGCAAATACATCAAAATTGTCATCTTGTAAATAAACAGCCCTCTTCCCCCACTCAGTACCCACCATGCACCAGCACTCCCCTGACATGCACGCACAGCGGCAACAGCTGGGAGGGAGGGCGGCCTGCAAGGGCTGTGGATCCCCAAGGAAAGCAAGGGAGGCGCCCCTGGAGGAAAGTGAGCAACAGACGTGCCCTAGACTGCCTTCAGAGCCAGAGAGAGCTCAGGGATAGAGCACTTCCACAGGCCTCCGCTGACGGGAGACTACAGGGAGCTGTGAACAGGCCAGCAGTAAACTGGACCATTGGGGCAGAGACTTAGCCTCTCTAAGCCTCAGTCTTCCTATCTGAAAAATGAGCCTTATTGTGAATCAAAATAAACACAGCTGCACCGAGGCCTGTAAAATGTAGAGCGTTTGACTATCTAATAAGTGTGTTGTTATACAGCTGTAGAGTAGCATTTATAGGTGCAGCCTTGAGCTTTATCCTGGCTTCCTTACTGGCAGTGTGAGCTTGGACGTATTACTTAACCTCTCTGTGCCTCCATTTCTTGATCTGTAAAAGAGGACTATGAAGGGTACCCAACTCATAGCATTGTTGTGAGAAGTAAATGAAGTACATTAAAGAGTTTAGAACAGAGCCGGCACATAGTAAGGGACTGACAGATGTCAGCTATTCATGTCATATGCAGAAGGAAACTTTTATTTTAGATGCTCAGCGCCCCTCCAGGTTCCTCAGCCTCTTAACTCCCAAGCTGTATAAAGACTGAGGGGGCCGGGCACAGTGGCTCATGCCTATAATCACAGTGCTTTGGGAGGTGGAGGCAGGAGGATTGCTTGAGCCCAGCAGTGCAAGACCAGCCTGACCAACATAGTGAGACCCTATCTCTACAAAAAAAAAAAAAAAAAAAGTTAATTAGCCAGGTGCAGTGGCAGATGCCTGAAGTCCCAGCTACTTGGGAGACTGAGGCAGGAAGGATCCCTTGAGCCCAGGAGTTTGGGGTGGCAGTGAGCTATGATTGCTCCACTGCACTCCAGACTGGGCAACAAAGTGAGACTTCCCTCTCCAAAATAAATAAAGAATGAGAAGGAGAGATGATTGGAGGTTCAGGACACCACAGCAAGAATTCTTTTAGCTGAGTTTTCACCCTTGAAAACCAGACCTCACTGTGGAATGTGTTGTCCCTCCATACACACACACACACACACACACGCCCGTGCGCGCACACACACACCCACACACACACGCACGCACACGCCCGCACACACACACACACGCCCGCACACACACATGCACACACACACACATGCACACACGGAAGAGTGACATTGCAGTGGTAGGTGGCCCAACTAGAAAGGAATAAAGAAGGGGAGAGAAGACACTAGCACATTCCCACATGGCAAGAAAGTGTAGAAGTCCCTTCTCTCAGGTTGAGGAGCCAACAGGAAGAAGGGAACAAAAATTCATTCATTCCAGAAATATCAATGATTCATCCCCTAGTGTTCTCGGTGCTGGGAATAGAGCTGTGAAGAAAACTGACAATGTCCCTCTTCCTTGGAAATTCCATTCTGGGTGAAGTGATGGAAAACCTGGGCTCTGGCATCAGCTTGGTGGCTTTGGGCCCCATCTTGTCACGTTTAAATTTTGTGATCTTCCACAAGTCATTTAATACGCCTCCTCACCCCAGTTTCCTTCTTCATAAAGAGGAATGATAATTCCTGCCTTGCCATGTTGGTGTGATGATCAAATGAGACTGCCTGCCTTTTAGGAGCTCCATAAATGCTTGTTTTTAGGTTCTACGTTATTTTAATTGTTTAAATCTGAGCGGCGGAGACTGTCAGCTGTCCCTGCTTTCCTAAGTAATGAACCTCTAGGTTTTAACTGGGCACCTGGCTCTCCAGAATCAACTACATTTCCTAGCCTCCTTTGCCACTAAACTTGGCCAGTGATGTGAGAAGTGACATGGGTACCTCTGGGTTGTGCTCTTGGAGAAGGTGGCCTGGCTGGCCCTGCAGCCCCACAGCTCCGTTTGCTCTCTCCCCTCAGCTAGAAGACAGACCCAGTGGACACCGTGGTGACTCCTCTTGGCCATGCCAAGGAGGGCAGCACCCTAAGGAATGGACCCAGGGACAACCCTACTCAGTTGGACTGCTTACGGCCAGCCTGTCAACCTAGGAAAGAAATAACTTCTGATCTTGTTTAAGTGACTGTTACTTTAGGTCTGTGTCACAGCTGACCCTGTATCCCAGTTACAGCAATCTGGGATCTAGACATGATAACACTATTTGGCCTGAGTCTCCACAGCCTGCCACTGCAGCTCAATAGTGAGGAGTGAAAAAGAACATGAGATGTAAGACCTTTGCACATAATGAAGTGACATGCACCTGTGAGCTGCTCCAGTAATTCTGAAGGGGTATGCCTGAGGGTGAGGAGGGTAAGAATGGACTGATGGGACATCAAGGAAGAAGAGACTGGGTTAGTTACTGATTGGATGAGGGCAATGAAAACACAAGTCTGTAAGGACTCCAAAGTATCTCATTTGGGAAATGAAAAGGATGGTGCTATACCTAGTCCCATGTCATCACTGGAGAGATAAGCCAATCTGGTGGGGAAAGGTGACAAGCTCAGTATGGGACACATAGAGTTGGGTGTGTGCATGGCCTCCAGATAGAGATGTCCCAGGTGCAGAGAGACTTGGGGGCTGGAGGTGTCATTCTTTTTGGCTGTCCAACATCTGAATCCCCTTCCCATGTTAAAGGAATCCCCACTCTTGTGTCAGGGCTAGCTTCCCATCGTCCAGATGAAGAGTACCAGTTGATCACTTTCCAGCCTCCCTTGCAGCTAGGAGAGGCACCTGACCTGGGCCAGATCACACAAGGTGTGCTGTGCCTCGTTTTGTCACACAGGACCCTGCCGTATTATACAGAACCCATGTGCATGATTGCTTTGTCATTGAGAATTGTAATCTCTTCAAGCTCTTAGAAAAATCTGCTTTGTTATGTAGGCCCCTACTGTATCCAGATCTCATTCAGTACACAGAGCCCCTCTTTGCCTTCTGGAAATCTGCTTTTTTATCCCCAAACACAGAACCATGCCATTGTTATACAAAACCCTGCACTTGACCCAGAACACTCTTTGTGGACACACCTGCCTGCTCTCCAGGCAGAACTCCACTGGTTCTCCAGAACTCCACTCTGCTTCAGGATTTTTCAACAGACTCCAATATTGATATCCAGAGATCATCTTTATTCTACATAACCCGGATTTGTTACACAGAAATTTACCCGGCTACACAGAATCCTGCCTTTTTCTTCAGAACTGTGCTTCATTGTGCCAAAGCCTTGGTAATTTTACAGAAATCTGAATTCACAGAATCCAGCTTTGTATGGAGAAACCTGGTGTGCTATGGTAGCCCTGGCCCATTAAAGAGAACTCAGCATCATTAAGCCAGCATTGTTTACTTAAACCCCTTCACTGGGGCTTGGGATCCTGCTGTTGGCCTGACTGCAGCCTGACAACTTCATTGCTCTAAAGAAACTGACTTACCTACACAGAACCCCCTAAGCATTCAGACCCCTAATTTTTATGTAGATCTACAGAACTGGTACATAGAAACCTAAGGGGTTACACTTGTTTTATACAGCTTCGTCCTGGTACATGAACAAGAATAGCGCCCAGTATCACATTGGTGTCTTTTTTTTTTTTAGACGGGGTCTTGCTCTTGTTGTCCAGGCTGGAGTGCTGTGGTGTGATCTCAGCTCAATGCAACCTCCACCTCTGGGGTTCAAGCAATTCTCCTGCCTCAGCCTCCTGAGTAGCTGGGATTACAGGTGCCTGCCACCACACCTGGCTAATTTTTGTACTTTTAGTAGAGACGGAGTCCCGCCATGTTGGCCAGGTTGATCTTGAACTCCTAACCTCAGGTGATCTGCCCACCTTGGCCTCCCAAAGTGCTGGGATTATAGGCATGATGGTGTCTTTTCTAAGAAGCTCGAACTTGTACAAGCCTCTGTGGGGCCAGCAATGCGAAAGAACAGCAGATGGATCCCCTTCGTGCCACCCTCACTTTAGGTGACGCTGGAAGAATCTGAGCTGCCAAAATCAGAGTTCAGGTCCCCTTTTCTCCCCCAACCTACCAGAGAGGACTCAAACTTGAGATGTGCAGAGTAAGGTGCAGGCAGAAACTGTAGCCAAGGCCTCAGGGACGGGGATGAGCACTCACTCTGCTTCTCCTTGGTGCTGGCCCTGGTCTCCTGGGCACAAATCTACTTGGACAGAAATAATCAGCCAAATTAATTTAGCTTTAAATAGCAGCACTGAGAATGTTTCCACAAAATTTTCTCCGAGGAGAGCTAAGCAGAATTAATGATGGCACAATATCAGAGAGAAATGTTATTTATTAAGGCCTAATCATTCCAGGGAGGGGGGAAGTCATCACACAAAATAAAGTGGAAATCAGCCAGCTCAGTCCAGCCCTGCTCAGCCCAGCAGCCAAGGAGGGGCCCTGGGAGGCTGTGACCAGGGGAGCCTCGTAGTCTGGTTTCCTGCAAAGCCAACAGCGCCTGCTGGGGTCTCCTTGGTACTTGAGGGCTGGGCTTCCCTGTTCCAACCACATTCCTCGCGGCTGTGTCCACACCAGCTCATTTGTTCCATGCTGATCCCCTCTAAAGGGAAACAGCCTCAACTGCACAAGACACCCTCAAGGAATAAAGTTCCCTAAGAGAAGAAATTGTCCCACCCCTCCGCACTTCCTGCTGCCCCCTCCTTAAAAGTTCCTTTGTTCATTTGTTCTTTCAACTAATATTTAGTGGCCAGGTACGGTGGCTCACGCCTGTAATCCCAGCACTTTGGGAGGCCAAGGCAGGTGGATCATTTGAGGTCAGGATTTTGAGACCAGCCTGGCCAACATGGTGAGACACCATCTTTACTAAAAATACAAAAATTAGCCAGGTATGGTGGCTTGCACCTGTAGTCCCAGCTACTTGAGAGACTGAGGCAGGAGAATCACTTGAGCCGGGTGGCGGAGGTTGCAGTGAGCCGAGATAGTGCCACTGCACTCCAGCCTGGGCATCAGAGTGAGAATCCATCTCAAAAAATAAAAATAGTGAGTGCCTACACCTAAGAGCCAAGCCCTGTTGTGGGTGCTGGGGATGCAACAATGGAGGACAGGCAAACAAGTAAATGAACAAGATGATGTCTGTATCAACAGTGTGATGAACACAATAAAGGGACGAGAGCAATGGGAGAGGGTGGGGATTTAGATGGCCTGATCAGGGAAGGCCACGGGGAGGAGACAATATGTGAGCCGAGATGTCAAGAAGGAGAAGGAGTTGGTTCTGTGAAGGTCTGAGTAGGGGCAGAACACCCAGGGAGAGGGCACAGCAATGGCAAAGGCCTGGAAGAGGAAAGAAGGCCAGAGGAGCTTCGGCCCAGTGGGCCAGGGAGATCATGGCAGAGGCTGGATTTGTTCTCTTCAGAGCAGTAATTATATTACAAAGAGGGCAGGGACTAGCCAAAGTTGGAGAACACTCAAAAGCAAGATGAAATCCAGGGGAGAAAGGGTGAGGGGCCACTTACTGGGCAACCCCTGTTCACCTTGAGGTCTTCTCCCATGATGCTATGGCCACCAACGTGGCCACAGATGTGACACTGTGTGTGTTACTGTGAGGACTGTTTGGTCCCTACCTAAAGGGGTTGCTGTCTACTAGAAAGGGCAAGACATTGGTTCCATTCACGAGACATTTATTAAGCAACTACTATGTTTCAGTTGCCATTTTCCTTAAGACATTGACACAGTAAAATAGGTCTGAAGGGAACTGGCTCCCATCTGCTGGGGGCGCACTGTATAGGGGCAGGCAGGGGCTCTGGGTCTGTCGTCCAAAATGCAGGTTCTGCAGTCATAGAGTCCTGGGTTTAAATTCTTACTAATTAACTATATTTCATGCTGGACCCCTCTTAACTTCAATAGAGATGGCACCAGGTTCAAGAGGCCAAAGAAAAGACCCAGAGCCAGCAAACAAGGCACAGTTGTGTTTTTGTTGTTGTTGTTGTTTTTGTTTCTTGTTTTTTGTTGCTGTTGTTGTTGTTTTTTGAGATGGAGTCTTGCTCTGTCGCCCAGGCTGGAGTGCAGTGGCGCAATCTCAGCTCACTGCAAGTTCCGCCTCCCAGGTTCATGCCATTCTCCTGCCTCAGCCTCCTGAGTAGCTGGGACTACAGGCGCCTGCCACCATGCCCGGCTAATTTTTTGTATTTTTAGTACAGATGGTGTTTCACCGTGTTAGCCAGGATGGTCTCTATCTCCTGACCTCGTGATCTGCCCACCTCGGCCTCCCAAAGTGCTGGGATTATAGGGGTGAGCCACCGTGCCCGGCCAATACACGGTTTTATTAGCAGGAAACTTACATACAGAGCAGCCCAGTGGTGGCAGGCTGGGCAGGAGAACTATAGCCACTTACAAGGAGCAGGCAGTTTATACAGCATTTTCATTTAGCATTCTCCTCCTGGCAATCTCTATCAGGCAACCTATATTTAACCCAAAACAAAGCACCTTGATCCCCCATACAAACCACATTTCAAAGGACAGGCTGGAGGTTCAGATGTTCCTCATAGATAAGAAATGAAACTCTAAGTTGGCCATTCCTGGGTTCCTTAGCTCGGAACACAGTCAGATGCATCTGCCATACAGGTCATTCTCGGGGTATGCTTAAGTTACTGCTGTCAGGTGCATCTGCCATATACCATACAACTGTAGGTAAGATGTAGAACTCCTCTGAGCTTCAGTTTCTTATGCTGTGAAATAGGTACTACTACCTACCTTGCAGAATTATTTGGAGTATTAAGTGGATGAGGATGGTCCTGTGGTACCTCATAAACTCTCCAGGATCACAGAGGTTGCCCTCAGTCAGAATCACAAGCCATCAATGGCTTGGGTCTGGAGTATGTGAGGAAGAGTAGACCAGACCTTGGATATGTTATATCAGTGGGTACAGGACTCAGTACCCATCCTGCTACAGGAAACAGGACTCAGTTTCTTCTCTATAAAGTAAGAATGGCAAGCCTTCCTTCAGATGGGTGCTTAGGATCACATGAGATGCTACTTGGGAAACACCTGGTCCAGGTAACTCAATTACTGCCACCCTCCCACTCTGTATTAGTCTGCTTAGGCTGTCATAATAAAATACCACAGACCAGGTGTCTTAAACAACAGAAATTTACCTTTTACAGTTATGGAGGCTGGAAGTCCAAAATCAGCATGCCGACATGGTAGGGTTGTGGTGAGGACTCTCTTCCTGGCTTGCAGAGGCCGCCTTCTCACTGTGTGCTTACAAGGCTGTGCACACTCATGGAGAAGGTGAGGAGGGAGAGGAGGAGGAGGGCGAGGAGGGAGAAGGAGATGAGGGAGAGGGAAAGGAGGAACAGGGAGAGGGACAGGAGGGAGAAGGAGAGGGAAAGGAGGGAGAGGGAAAGGAGGGAGAGGGAGAGGAGGGAGAGGAGGAAAAGCAGGAGAGGAAGAAGAGAGTCAGGGAGGAGAGGGAGAGGAGGAGAGGGAGAAGGGGAGGAGGGAGAGAGGGAGGTGGGAAGGGGGAGGGAGATGAGGGAGAGGGAGAAGAGGGAGAGGGCGTTCTCTGGTGTCTCTTCTTATAAGGATACTAATCCTATCAGATTAGGGTGCCGCCCTTATGACATCAGGTAACCTTAATTACCTCCTAAGGCCCTGTCTCCAAATACAGTCACACTGGTGGTCGGGGCTTCAACATATGAATTTCAGGGGGCACAACTCAGCCATATTGCGTCTTCCTCATGCTGCTCAGAGGCTGCCAACAACAGCTGCTCATGGCAACGGCAAGGGCTTTCCCTGGGCTGAGCGTCCCTGGGTCTGGAGGCCTTCAGTCAGCAGCTCGAGATGCTCCCCTCGGGCTTCTGAACCCCAGCTCCAGGTCCCTGTTAGACCTTATTGTTCTACCTGAGACCATTCCCTAGGAAGAAACTGAAGTCAGAAGCAAAATTAGAGATGAGAAACCTGATTCGCTTGTATTTCTTTACATCAGTTGCTCTAAACAGTGGATTCATCTCTTCCTTATTCATCTTGTTGTTCTAGATAGACTTGAAAATCCTTTCTAGTGTTAGATTTTTTTTTAACTTCAGAGAATTCTGGATGAAGACTTCCTGCTAGGCAGTTGTGGAAGTAAGTCTCCAGTCAGAATTCTTGGCCAGACATGAAGGTCTCTTAGCACTTTAAAAGGCTTCTGTTTTAGTCCATTTTCTGTTGCTTATAACAGAATACCTAAAACTGGGAAAATTTATTTAAAAAAAATTTTGTTTCTTACAGTTCCCAAAGGGGGATGTCCAAGGTTGAGGGAGTATACGTAGTGGGAGCCTTCTTGCTGGTAGGGACTGTGCAGAATCCTGAGGCAGCACAGGGCGTCACATGGCTAGGAGGCTGAACATGCTACCTCAAGTCCCTTTTCTTCTTCTTATAAAGCCACCAATCCTACTCCCATGATAACCCATTAGTCCATTAACTCATTAATCCATTAATCCATGAATGGATTAAGCCATTCATAAGGGCATAACCCTCATGACCCAATCACTTCTTTTTTTTTTTTAACATACACATGCACGAGTTTATTATTTGGAATAAAGGAAAGACATTATTTCCTTTCTTTTCAGGGTAAATTGGAAGCAATGTAACAGGAACAATTACAAATGCATACATTTATATGTATGTATATACTAAACACTTTTATTTTATTTTAAGTTCCAGGACACATGTGCAGAATGTGCAGGTTTGTTTCACAGGTAAACATGTGCCACGGTGGTTTGCTGCACCTGTCAACCCATCACCTAGGTATTAAGCCCGTATGCATTAGCTATTTATCCTGATGCTCTCCCTCCCCTTGCCCCCCAGGCAGGCCCCAGTGTGTGCGGTTCCCCTCCCTGTGTTCATGTGTTCTCGTTGTTCAGCTCCCACTTATAAGTGAGAACATGCAGTATTTGGTTTTCTGTTCCTGGTTAGTTTGCTGAGACTAATGGCTTCCAGCTCCATCCATGTCCCCACAAAGGACATGATCTTGTTCCTTTTTATGGCTGCATAGTATTCCATGGTGTATATGTACCTCATTTTCTTTATTCAGTCTATCATTGATGGGCATTTGGGTTGATTTCATGTCTTTGCTGACCCAATCACTCTTAAAGGCCCATCTCTCAGTACTGCCACATTGGGGATTAAATTTAAATATGAGTTTTGGAAGGGACAAATATTCAACCCATAGCAGCTTCCTTCTCTTAGATTCCAAAAGATTAAATTCAGTCATTTATAGTTGAAACAACATGGTAGACATGTATACAGCTCACATTTCAGAGGCAAAATCTCAGGCTGGCATTGGAATTCATTTCAGCCCCTGACCACTCTCACTGACTCCCAGGGCCATGAGGATTTCTCGCTAGGCCTCAGGAATGATCTTTGACATCCTGGCCTATCCTTCAACTACTCTGATGCATGGGAGGTGGACCTGCATGCCCTTTCTCCAGGTAAGAAGTTCTCTGTCAAAGCATGCTCTACTCCCTCCCTGCTACAGAGGATAAGTCTCCTGGATTACTCCTCATTAATCCTAAAAACATGTAGCCACATGGAGGCCTGTTGAGTGTGAAATGCTCCGTTTCTGTTGGGACCTTTCTGGAGCCTAAAACTAAACATAAATGAAGAAATCCTCCTATTTAGTCAGACTGGCTTATTAATTTTCCCTCTGAGTAAGCCATGGGGATTTCTGTGTCCTGAAACCTTCCCTCTGCTCTGTTCATGCCTAGGTCTCTTCTCTCTGCTGAAAAGGCCTCACTGCTACTCCACCAGACGGACATTTGGGATCATGTTTCTCTTACCGAATCAATCATCAATGCCTACATATTCTCCTTCCTAAGTATAGAATTATGCATTCCCTACCTTCCTGCAGTGAACATCTGTGGCTCTTGCCAGCCTAGCATCCATTCCTCCTTCTTCTGATAAGGCACCCTCATGTCGTTTGGAGAATGGCCCTCCCCAGCTCTCTGTCCATGTGGATTGATGGGGTGCTCTAGGTTGACCCCATAGCCCAGCTGCATGGGTAAGCATACGACCTAGACTCAGCCAATCAAGGTGGTCTACATCCCTGACCATAGTAATTGATTTGGGGATGGGCATTTGACCTAATCTAAGCCAATTAGAGTCAGATCCTGGACTTGTGTAGGATCTGTTGGGATTTGTGCAGGGCGCCTTAGCTGTTAAAGGTTAGGTGGACATGTTGATGGCCAACTTACCACCGTAAGGGCAATGATTATTTGAGAAGCAAGGCTGAGAGATGGGAAGAAGTGGTCTTGGAGTGTCAGTTAGCTTTTGTGGGTAATAACTGACCACGATACATCAGCTGCATACCACAATAAGCTTTTATTCTCATGGATGCGCAGGTCGGCTGCAGTTCAGTTGAACTAGGTCAGGCTCAGCCAGGCAGTCTGCTTCAGGCTGGGCTGGTTATGGTGGCTCTGCTCCACATGGTATTACCTACCTTGGGCCAGCAGGCTAGCTAGTTCTCATAAAAATGGCAGAGGGACAAGACAGCAAGCAGAAACACCTAAAGTCTCTCAAGGCCAGGACTCAGATCTGCCATTTCTGCTCCGTCCCATGGGCCAAAGCAAGTCACATGGCCCAGCCCAGCGTCAAAGGGAACTGAAATCCACTCTACTCCCTAGTGGAAGGAACTGAAATGTGCCATTACCAAAGGCATTCGTACAAAGAAGACTTAAGGCTTGGGGCCAGGAATGCAATCTACAACAGGTGGTCTCATTTGAGCCCTAGGTCTAGCTGAACCAGAGTCAGCTTCACCACTTGAGTCCAGTTGATCTCCTTCCCCAATCTTGCCCTGCTCATACCTTGACAGACTCTGTGTTTTGTTTAACCACAGAGGCAATTCTCTTCTAAAAGAAGAGCCCTAATTCGTATTGATTCCCCTATGTGATGAGCAATGTGCTAGGAGCTGTCATCCATTCTCACACTTGAATCTTCCAGTGGCTCTGTGAGGTGGCCGTGAACATCCCCATTTCACAAACAGGAAATAGGATCAGAGGGCTTGTGTAACTTGTCGGAAGTCTTATGGTGAGGAAGAGCTGAGTGGCCGGGGTTGCAAGTCCAGGTGGTCTACCTGAGAATGAAGCTCATGCTTTTTCCACTTTGTAATTGTGACTTTTTACCCTGAAAGTGGGTGGCACAGATCCTATGCCCCGTCCTACTCTCAGCCAGCCAAACTAATAATAATAACAGCTAATGTTTCCTGAGCCCCTGCTGTGTGCAAGATAATGTGCTAAGCATTTCAAATGCATTCACTTGGGCCATCTTTACAAAAGCCCTGAATGTAGGTATTAGTATCATTCCCATTTGACAGATAAGGAAACTGAGCCTCAGAAAGGTTAGAAACCACCCGGCTAGTATGTGGTGGGGCCAGGGCTCCAACCTCTCCTATGTGGCAGCAAAGCCTGGCTTCATGGCCTCTGTTCAGGCCAAAGGGAGGTTCCCTTAAAACCCCTTAAAATGCTGAGGGAGTGAAGGGGCAGAAAGGTCAAAGGCCTCTAATCTAAACCACCCTGCCTCTTCTCAGGAAACCAATCCTCCCACAGCTTTCCCAGCCCCCATGGGTTCTTGGGTCACTCCTCAATGCCTGGTCACCAGCCTCTGTGCCAATGAGCCAACCCTCCCTTTGGCTGCAGACGTGATAAATGGCTCCAATTATCCCCTCTGAGCTCTGATTTAATGTAATGTTTTATTAATGACAACTATCAGAGGAAAGCAAAGAGCCCACTGCATACCAGCCGCCTGCCTCCATGCAGAAGCATGCTCTCTGGGTACAGAAATGAAAGGGTGGGAGGGGAAAAGCACCACCCCCAACCCCAATCCCAAGGCAGGGAAACAGCTCACCACCCCTCCCCACGCAGGCCTCGGGCTGAATGAATGCCACTTTTTTGCCTGGCATATTCCACCCATTACTAATGCTTTGCCGCTTCCTTGACTGACAAATTAGGGGTTTGAACAAAATGTGGTGAGGGAGGGGGGAGATGGCAGCTGCCCACCCTGCAATTAAGAAGGGGGTGAGAGAAAAGGGGGGCCACCCTACAAACATTCCTTCATCTCTCCCAGCTTTGGCTGAGTGTTTCAGGAGTGGGTGTGAGTGACTCTGTGAACCACTGTGAGCTCTCCTCTCAGAACCTGCCTTCTAGGTCCTCCCACTGGTCCAAGGCTGACACTTGTCCCCCAGCCCTCAGATCTGTCACCTCAAAGCATCTGAGACAGACTGGACAGGTTTCATTTGTCCCATTGGACAGATGGGAAACTTGGGTCGAGAGAGAGGCAGTGTCTTCTCCCAGGTCACAGTGGGAACAAAGCCAGGACTGACAGTCAAGCCCCTGACTCAGGCTGGGATCCTCCTCCTACACAAAGCTACATTAAATGGCAGGGCACAGCTTTAGTGGAGAAGGGGCTGGATGTCTTCTCCCCTCTACCAAAGCAGAGTCTGAGTTATTAGGCACCGGCGAATTCTGCAAGGGCGTCTCTATGTGTGTGTATACGCTAAGACCCACCTGATACTGTGAAAGCTTCCTCGGTATTAAGGTGGTAGAAAGCAGCCTGACGTTATTCATTTAGCAACAGTTACTGAGTGCCCACCACAGGCACCTGCTTGGGAAATAATGAAGGACTTATTATTATTATTCCCAGACCTCACTTCAAAAACATTTTCAAAAGTTAATGAACCATCTCAATACCCTCAAAAAGTGCTGTAAAGGACACAGGCACAGAGGCCATGGGAGGCCCAGAAGGGGATACCTAAGCTATCCTTGGTGGGATGAGGTCAAGGAAAACTTCCCGGGGGGAGATGTCCAAGATGAGGCTGAAAAGAATAGGAATTAGCCAAGTGAAGGGGATGGAAGGTGATTTGGGCAAAGGGATAGGGGAGAGAACTTTCAAGGGGAAGAATGGATGGGGCTCAAATTTCTCGGAGAAGGAGGCATTGGCTAGAGAGCCCAAAAATGCAACAGAGTTTAGAGGGAGCCAGGTCCTACAGGGCCAGGGTAGGGAAGCTGTGCTCCCTTACCCTGCCCCGAGGAGCAATTACAGCTTCAAGCAGGGAAGCGAGGTCTGCACTTTAGCAAAAGCATCCCAGCCGCCTGTGGAGAAGGGACGGAGCCCAGCAGGACTGTGCTGGGTAATCAGCAAAAGGCTGTTACAGAGGTCCAGAGTAGGGAGCGGGAGGTCCAGGCTGTGGCTTGGGTTTGGGAAGGCGGCAAGGGAGATTCAAGATATGCTGAGGAACTTGTAGCCAACTGACCGAGGCAGGCAGGGTGGGGAAGAAAGCATCAAAATGCTGCTGCATGGTGGCTCACACCTGTAATCCCAGCACTTTGGGAGGCTGAGGCGGGCGGATCGTGAGGTCAGGAGTTTGAGACCAACATGGTGAAACCCCGTCTCTACTAAAAATACAAAAATTAGCCGGGTGTGGTGGTGGGTGCCTGTAATCCCAGCTACTCAGGAGGCTGAGGCAGGAGAATCGCTGAACCTGGGAGGCGGAGGTTGCAGTGAGCCAATATCGTGCCACTGCCCTCCAGCCTGGGCAACAGAGCGAGACTCCATCTCAAAAAAAAAAAAAAAATGCTGCTGCCTGGTTTCCCACGTGGGCAATTTGCTGGAGCAGCTAGAGAAGAGGTCTGTGAGGGGTTTAAGGAGACTTTAAATGCATAAAGTCAGATAAAGCTAGGCTTCCCGGGGCACTCAAGCTGAGTCAACTGAGATGGTGATAATGGGAATTGATGATCAAATGCCTCCTGGCAGTAAAACCTAGCACCTGCAGGACATGGCTCTGGAGGAGACCTCCTCCAGGTGAGGAGCCAGGCTGGACCTGTGATGTCACCTCCCTCTACAACTCTATTCCTTCCATCCCTGGGTTCTCCACCATGCTGGCCTGCTGGGCACTGCTGCTCTTTTAACTCTTTTTTTCTTTCCTTTTTCTTATTTGTTAACATAGTATAAAATTGACTCTTTTTTTGGTATATGGTTCTATAAGCTTTAACATGTATAGATTCATATTCTCCACTGCTACGGAATAGTTCTATCATCCCAGAAAACTCTCTCAAGCTGCCACTTTGTCGTGAAACCCTCCACCCCTCCTAACCCACAGCAATCACTAATCTGTTCTGCATTACTATTGTTTTGCCTTTTCCAGGATGCTATATAAGTGGAATCATGCAGTATGTGACCTTGGGATATCGGCCTTCTTCCACTCAGCACAATGCCTTTGAGACTCGTCTAAAATGTTGTGTGTATAAATCATTCCTTTTTGTTGCTGAGTATTTCATTACATGGATATACCACATTCACTCACCCACTGAAAGGCAAAGGTGTTGTTTCCAGGTTTTGGTGATTATGAATAGAGCTGCTATGAATATTCACCTACAGGTTTTTTGTGTGAACATGAGATTTTATTTCTCTGCAATAAATACCTACGAATATGATTGCTGTGTTGTACGATGTGCATGTTTAATAAGAAACTGCCAAACTGTTTTCTAGAGTAGCTGTACCAGTTGCATTCCCACCAGCAAAGTATGAGTTTCAGTTTCTACACATCTTCACCAGCAGCTATTATTGTCAACTTTTTTGTTTCAGCCATTCCAATAGGTGTGTAATGGTATTTATTAATATTTGTAGTTTTATTATTATTTATTTATTTTGAGATAGGGTCTCACTCTGTCACCCAGGCTGGAGTGCAGTAGTATGATCATAGCTCACTGCAGCCTTGAATGCCTGGGCTCAAGCAATCTTCCTGCCTCAGTCTCCAAGGTAGCTGGGACTACAGGTGGGTGTCACCATGCCCAGCTGTATTGTGGTCTTAATTTGTATTTCCCTAGTACCTAATAATGTTGAACATCTTTTCATGGCATCCATATATTCTCTTTGGTGAAGTGCTTGTTCAAGTCTTTTGCCCATTTTTAATTGAGTTATTTTCTCATTACTGAGATTTAAGAGTTCTTTATATATTCTGGATACAAGTCCTTTTGTCAGATGTCTGATTTGCAAATATTTTCTGCCAGTCTACAACTTGTCTTCCTATTCTCTTAGAAGTGTCTTTCACAGCCGGGTGTAGCAGCTCACGCCTGTAATCCCTCCCTTGGGAGGCCGAGGTAGGCAGATCACTTGAGGCCAGGAGTTCAAGACCAGCCTGACCAACATGACAAAACCTGGTCTCTACTAGAAATACAAAAATTATCTGGGTGTGGTGGCACACACCTGTAATCCCAGGTGCTTGGGTGGCTGAAGCACGAGAATCGCTTGAATCTGGGAGGCAGAGTTTGCAGTGAGCTGTGAATGCACCACTGCACTCCAGCCTTCTAGCCTGGGTGACAGAGCGAGACATTGTCTCAAAAGCAAAAAAAAAAAAAAAAAAAGAAATGTGTTTCATTTAGCAAGAGTTTTTCATTGTGATGAAGTCCAGTTTATCAAATTTTTGTTTTATGGGTAATGTTTTTGATGTCATATGTAAGAATTCATCTAGCTCCAAATCACTAAGGTTTTCTTCTATTATTTCTTCTAAAAGTTTTATGTTTTAAATTTAAGTCAATGATCCATTTCAAGTGAATTTCTACATAAGGTATAACGCTTAGGGTAAGGTTCGCTTTTGTGTATATGAATGCCCATCCACTTCAATATCATTTATTGAAAAGAAAAACTGTCCTTTCTCCATTGAATTGCCTTTGCAACTTTGTTAAAAGTTAAATGATCTTTTTTATAGTTGGCTGTTTCTGATCTTTCTATTACGTTCCATTGAGCTATCATTTTTCTCTCTGTATATGTGTCTTTATTTTTGCCAATATGACACTGCCTTAATTATTGTAGTTTTTTTTAAATTTTATTATTATACTTTAAGTTTTAGGGTACATGTGCACAACGTGCAGGTTTCTTACATATGTATACATGTGCCATGTTGGTGTGCTGCACCCATTAACTCGTCATTTAGCATTAGGTATATCTCCTAATGCTATCCCTCTCCCCTCCCCCGACCCCACAACAGTCCCCGGTGTGTGATGTTCCCTTCCCGTGTCCATGTGTTCTCATTGTTCAATTCCCACCTATGAGTGAGAACATGAGGTGTTTGGTTTTTTGTCCTTGCGATAGTTTGCTGAGAAATGATGATTTCCAATTTCATCCATGTCCCTACAAAGGACATGAACTCATCATTTTTTATGGCTGCATAGTATTCCATGGTGTATATGTGCCACATTTTCTTAATCTCGTCTATCATTGTTAGGACATTTGGGTTGGTTCCAAGTCTTTGCTATTGTGAATAGTGCCGCAATAAACATACATGTGCATGTGTCTTTATAGCAGCATGATTTATAATCCTTTGGGTATATACCCAGTAATGGGATGGCTGGGTCAAATGGTATTTCTAGTTCTAGATCCCTGATAATTATGGTAGCTTTATAGTAAGTCTTAAAGTTGGGTATGGTGAGTTCTCCAGCCTTATTCTTCTTTTGCAAAATTGGTTTGTCTATTCTAGTTCCTTTGCTTTTTCATAAAGTTTAGAATTAGCTTGTCTATATCTACAAAAAAATCCTGCTGGATTTTTATTGAAATTGCCTTAAATCTATAGATCTACAGAGAAAATAGGCATTTTTATTGTGTTAAATCTGCTAATGAATGCACATTATATGCCTCTCCATTTATTTAAGTCTTCTTTTATTTCTTTCACCAGCATTTTGTAGTTGCAGGATATAGAACTGCTACATGTTTTGTTAAATTTATATCTAAGTATTTCATATTTCTGGAGCTATTGCAAATGATACTGTTTCTAAATGTTGGTGTCCAATTATTCATTACTAGTATATAGAAATATGATGGATGTTTTTGTGTTGATTTTGTATCCTGCAACCTTGGTAAACTACATCTTGGTTGTAGTTTTTCTATTTGTAGATTTTTTGAAATTTTCTGTGTAGGCAAACATTTGGTCTGTGAATGGAAACAGTTGGATTTCTTACGTTCAGTCTGTATGCCTTTATTTATTTATTTCCTGATTGTACTAGCTGGAACTGCCAGTGGTGAGTGAAAATCCTTGACTTCTCCCAATCTTAGGAGGAAAAAAAACTCTGTGTTTCACATTAAGTATGATGTTAGTTGTAGGTTTTTTATAGATATCCTTTATCAGGTCAAGGTAGTTCCCTTCCATTTCCAGTTTTCTGAGAGTTATTATTACCAATCAATGTTGCATTTTGTTAGATGTGTTTTCTGCATTCGTTGATATGATTGTGTGGTTTTTCTACTGTAGATTGTTAATATAGTGGCTTACATTGATTAATTTTCAAATATTCAACCAGCTTGGCATTCTTGTGATAAACCCCACTTAGTCATGGTGAGTTGCTCTTTTTATATGTTTCTGGTATCAATTTGCTGATACTTTGTTAGGAAATATTGTGTCTATGTTCATAAGGGAAATTGATCTATAGTTTTCTTTGTCATGTGTTTTCTTTGTCTAGTTTTGCTGGCCTCATAAAATGATCTTGGAAGACTTTTCTCCTCTTCTATTTTCTGGAAGAGATTGTGTAGAATTGCGTTATTCTTCTTTAAATATTTGGAAGAATTTGCCAGAGAAACTAAGAGGCTTTTAAAAAAGAATTGTATCTACAAATTCAAATTATTTAACAATCATAGGACCATTTAGGTTATCTACTTTATCATGAATGAGTTTTGGTTGTTTGTGGTTGTCTTAGTTTGGCCTGGTATAATAATACCAAAGACCGTGTAGCTTAAACAACAAACATGTATTTCTCACAGTTTTGAAGGCTGGAAAGTCCAAGATCAGGGTGCCCGCAGACCTGGAGTCTGGTGAGGACACCCTTGGTTTTCAAATGGCCATCTTCTCCTTGTATCCTCACATGGCAGAGAGAACTCACCTCTCCTGTGTTTCTTCTTAATAAGATCACTAATCCCAATCATGAGGGCTTCACTCTGATGACCTAATTACCTCCTAAAGGCCCCATCTAATACCATTACAGTGGGGGTTAGGATTTCAACATGCAAATTTGGGGAAGACACAAACATTCAGTGCATAACAGTGGTTTTTGAGGAATTGGTCCATTTTATCTGTTGTCAAATTTATGTTCCTGGAGTTGTTTGTATTATTCCCTTATTATCATTTTAATGTTTGTAATGATATCCCCTCTTTCATTGCCGATATTGGTAATTTGTCTTCTCTCTCCCCTGCTTCTCTTTTCTTTATCAGTCTTGCTAGAGTTTGACCAATTTTCTTGACATTGCAAAAAATCAGCTTTTGATTTCATTGATTTTCTTTATTTTCTGTTTCCAATATCATTGATTTCTGTGCTCCATTTTTCTTCTCGCTTTGGACTTATTTTACTCTTCCTTTTCTAGTTTCTTAAGAAGGAATCTAACACTATTGAAACCTTTCTTCTGTTCTAATGCAAGTATTTAATGCTATAATTTTCCTCTAACTACTCCTTTAGCTGAATTTCACAAATTTTTATATGTTGCTTTCATTTTCATTTAGTTCCAAAATATTTTCTAATTTCCCTTGAGGCTTCCTCTTTTTCTCATGGGTGAGTTAAAAGTATGTTGTTGAATTCAATGCACCTGGGAGCTGCCAGGCATGGTGCCTCATGCACCCAGCACTTCAGGAGGCCAAGGCAGGAGGATCGCTCGAGCCCAGGAGTTCAAGACCAGCCTGGGCAACATAGTGAGACTTCGTTTCTACAAATAATACAAAAATCAGCTGGGCATAGTGGTGCGCACCTCTGGTCCCAGCTAATCAAGAGGGGGCTAAGGTGGGAGCATCGCTTGACCCCAGGTGGTCAAAGCTGCAGTGAGCCATGATCATAACGCTGCACTCCAGCCTAGGCAACAGAGCAAGACCCTGTCTCAAAAAAAAAAAAGTACCTGGGAGATTTTTCTGTTATCTTTCAATTATTAATATTTGGTTTAATTTCATTAAGGTCAGAGAACATACTTCATATGATTTTAATTTAAATTTATTAAGATTTGTTTTATGACCCATTATATCACCTATCTTAGTGAATGTTCCATGTGCACTTGGAAAGAATGTGTATTCTACTTTTATTGGGTTGAATGTTCTGCAAATGTCTGTTAGATCCAGTTGAGTTGATGGTGCTGTTCAATTCTATTTATTTTCTGTCTGCTAGGTCTATCAGCAACTGAGAAAAGAGTGTTGACGTTTCCAATTATAATTATGGATTTGTTTATTTCTCCTTTCAGGTCTGTCGGTTTTTGATTCAAGTATTTTAGAGCTCTGTTGTTAAGTGCATCTACATTTAGATTTTTATGTATTCTTTGTGAATTTACTGTTCCGTCATTATGTAACAACACATTTTATCCCTGGTGACTTTCCTTGCTCTGAAGTCTACTTTGTCTGATATTAACATAGCCACTCAGTTTTCTTTTGGTTAGTGTTTGCATGGTATATATCCTTCTATATTTTGACTTTTAACCTACCTATATCACTATATTTAATGTGAATGTCTCACAGGCAGCTTCTTTCTTTAATCCATTCTGATGACGTCTACATTGAAATTCGTATTAGACCATTTACATTTAATGTAATTATTGATATGTTTGGATTTAGATCTCCCATTTTATCAGTTCCTTATTTATTTTCTCTATTCACTTTTGTTTGTTTCTCTGTTTCCTCCTTTCCTGGCTTGTTTTAGGTTAGATGAACATGTTTGTATTTATTTTATCTATTGTATTCTTTACTATATCTCTCTGTATAGTTGGTTTTAAGTGGTTGCTCCAGGGATTATGATATACATAACTTTTTACAGTCTACTTAGAATTATTATGTTACCACTTCCAAGTGTAATATGGAATCTTGCCACTATAGAAGTTCCTTTAATCCTCACTCATTTATGTTATTCTTGTCTCATATATTATATCTATATATGTATTGATAACCTAATCAGGCAACTCTTTAGCATATTTAAAGAACCCAAGAGGAGAATAATCTATCATACTTGCCCAGATATTGGCCATTTCTGTTGCTCTTTCTTTATTCATGCTACTTTAAGTTACCCTCTGGTATAATTTCTCTTTTGCCTGAAGAACTTTCTTTAGCCATTCTTTTAGAGCAGATCTGATGATAATAAATTCTCTTGAGTTTTCTTCATCTGAGAATGTCTTTCTTTAATCTTCATTCCTGAAGGATATTTTCACAGAATATAGAATTCTGAGTTGACAGTTCTTTTCTTTCAGCACTCAAAAAATGTTGTGCTACTTCCTTCTGACCTTTGTGGTATTCAATAAGAAATTGTCTGTAACTCAAATCACTGTTCCCCAATAAGTAACGTCCCATTTTTCTCCAGCTGCTTCAATACTTGTCTTTGCCTTTAGTTTTCATCAGTTTGATATTTATATTTCTAAATGAATATTTTGGGGGTTAATCTTCTCATGGCTCAGTGAGTCTTGGATCTGTATGTTTATTTATCTGCCAGATTTAGGGAGTTTTCAGCTATTGTTTCTTCAAATACCTTTTCTGCACTGCACTCTTTCTCCTCTTTTTCTGGGATCCTATTGGCACAAGTATTTGGCCTTTTAGTATTGTCCCATAGGTCTTGAGGCTCTGTTTATTTATATTAAAACAATTTTTTCTCTGTTGTTCAGATTGATTCATTTCTGTTGACCCATCTTCAACTTCACTGACTCATCTGTCATTTCACGTCTGCTATTGAGACCATCTAGAGAGGTGTTTTTATTTTATTTGTCACATTTTTCAGTTCTAAAATTTTCATTTGGTTCTTCTTTATATTTTCTATTTATTTGTTGAGACTTTCTATCTTTTCATTTATTTCAAGACTCTTTGCCCTGATTCTTGAGGCATTTTTATAACAATTGTCTTAAAATCTTTGCCTAATAACTCCACCATCTGTGTTTTCTTGGTGTTAGCAACTGTTGATTGTCTTTTCTCGTGAGTGTTGACATTTTCCTGGTTCTTCATAGTCCAAGTCATTTTGGTTGTTATCCTGGACATTTTGAATACTATATTATGACTCAGAGTCTTATTTAAATTCTATAGGGAATGTTGATGTTTATGTTTTAATACAACCAACCCAGCTGGGTTCAGGTAAGTTTCAACCAGCCTCCTGTGGGTTGTGGTTCTAACAGCCATTCAGTTTTCAAAGCCTCTGCAGTGCTATTTAGATTCGTCCTGTGTGTGCACCACCCACTGGCAAGTCTGGGACCTGTGAGTTAGTCTGTTCTTTTCTTTAGTTCATTTCTCAAAGTCTTCAATACACTGCTTAGGACTGGACCTATTAGTGTTCATAAATAACTTTATAAGGTATCTTTCCCTAGCTCCTCCCTTTCCAAATTACCCTAGTACTTCCTAGTTTTCTGTGACTCTCCTTTTCAGTCCTTTAACCAGAGAGCTGAGATTTTAGTTACCCTAATCTGCCACTTATTTACCATGACTATGTCTGCATCTGGGGCCAGTTGGAACCACAGGTCCTCTCATCATAAGGGAAAGTTTTCCTCCCACAGAGATTTACATGATTGCAGGTCCCTACTACTACTGCTATTGCTGCTTCCATCCTACTGTCACAGGATTACCTGGGCTAGGTATAAGCAAAGGGAGAAAACAGGAGAAAAGACAATGGAGGGATTTTCCCCCACTTTCTATGAGTATCAGGAGTCCCCTTTCCCATTCCTCAGGCTTCTCCTGGTCTGCACCCTGTGCCCATTTCTGGATTTCAGGCTATCTTAAGTCAAGCCTAGGGCATACCAGAGAAAAAAATAAAACAGGAAACTCACCACAAGTCCAGAAGTACTTCAAATTCTGATCTTCTTTAATCTGCCTGCTATTATTTAATTTTCAGAGTCCTCAAGTAGCAGCATCAGGCATTCTATCCAGATTTTTTTCACTACATTCTGTGGGAGAGGGAGGGTAAAATGTGCTTGCTCGATCTTATCTGGAACTAGAACCTGCCCCTTAACTGTTTAGCCCTTTGGCCCAAATGAGGGCACAAACCCTTCCTATGTCTTGTCAGGTGGGACAAAACAGTCCTTTTCAGAGGAAAGTATGCATTCTAACATTTGATAATCCAGTAAGTTAGACAGCATTTGGATGTTAAGCTGGGATGAATCAAGGGACATAATGAGGATGGAAAGCAGGTAATAGAGAAAGGCCCTGGCAGAGGATCAGTTATAAATCCCTACTGCCATATACCATGTGCCATGCCCTGTTGTGAGCACTTTACATATATAATGTTGTTTTTCCCTCACAACATCTCTGAGGGAGGTAATATTGCCCTTATAAGGAGACTTAGGCTCAGAATGGTTAACCAACTTCAAGGTCACACAGTAAGTGAATAACAGTAAGTGAAAGCCAGGATCTCCCCCAGGCAATCTGGGGCCAAAGTCAGGAGCATAACTACTCCCTAAAAGAGCCCTCAGTTCTAATCTAGCTCAGTATGCAGCCCCATGGGCTGGGCTCACAGAAGAGTCCAGAGCTAGTTATAAAAAGCCTTGTTACCCAAAGACAAGAGGGTACTCCAGGTCAAGCCTATAGGGCTTCATCTACCAAGTTTTCAGCTGCTTTGAAGTAGGAAACAGCAAAGGTATAGGCCTGAAAATGATGCCCCAGGCTATAGGGTACCTCTTATCAACTGTTCCCTCATCAATAACAAATGAAAGTAAGCATCACTGAGCACTCATGGCCTTGCCCTTCAGGTCGGGGTTGTGGAGCAAATTTTAGGCTTGCTCATGGATGTAGGCCACCAGGAGCTCAGGTAGTGACCTCAGGATCAGAGGCAGGGACCCTATCTTAGTCCATCTGCACTGCTATAACAAAATACCATAAACAAGGTAGCTTATAAAAAACATAAATTTATTTCTCACAGTTCCAGTGGCTGGCACCAAGATCAAGGCGCCAGCAGATTCAGTGTCTGGGGACAGCCTGTTTCCCGGTTCACAGACAGTGTCTTCTCACTGCATCCTCTCAAAGTGGAGGGGAGAAGGCAGCTCTCTGGGGCCTCTCTTATAAGGACACTGTCTTAGTCTCCTTTAGTGTGGCTACAACAGAATGCCACAGAATTTATAAAGAAACATTCATTTCTCACAGTTCTGGAGGCTGGGAAGTTCAAGAGCATGGTGCCAGCATCTGGCAAGGTCCTTTGTGCTTCATCATCACAAGGTAGAAGGCAGAAAGGTAACTGAGTACGAGAGACAGAGAGAGAAAGGAGGCCAATCTCCCATGATAACAGCATTAATCCATTCATGAGGATGGAGCCCTCATTGCCTAATCACCTCTTAATGGTCCTGCCTATCAACACTGTTGCACTGGGAATTAAGTTTCTAACACATGAACTTTGGAGGACACATTTAAACCATAGCAGCTCCTAGTCCCATTAGTCCCATTCACAAGAGCAGAGCCCATATGAATTAATCACCTCCACAAAAGGCCACACCTTCAAATACCATCACCTTGGGGTTTAGGTCAATACATAAATTTGGGGGGTACAAACATTCAGACCACAGCAGAATCTAAGCTCCAAAGCCCTCCCACCCCAAGCCTGCCAGGCCTCCAGGGTCCTCAGCTATCTACCACCACCCTCTTCCTCCCTCTGAATTATCTCAGCCTCACTCTCCCTCTCTCTGGTCCAGCCTCTGCCCTCCTGCTAGATCTTTTCATTTATCTTTTGCATCTCCTCCCTTATTCCTCAATGCCTTTTCCTCATCTTTTCTCTCTTCTTCCTTCTTTCCCAACACTTCCTGTTCCTTCACTCTCCTCCTCTCACCCTACTCCTTCCCTCTCCTTCATGTCAGTTTCATTTAATCCTTCCTTCAACAGTCACCAAGTGCCATGTGCCCAGGGCTGGGATAAGTATGAACAATTTCAAAAGATGAGCATACTGCCTTGCCCCGGAGGAGCTCACAGTCCTAATAACAGATAAGTAAGAATGTCATTTGACAAGTTCTTAAAACATCTAGGCCCCTGGGCTGATTTGAAGAAGCTCCTGCCTCCTTCCCTCTTCGCTACCCTGAGTCTAAGCACACTTATTTCTTAGAGACAGCTTCTCAGCCTCTTCCAGGGACAAGAGCACCATTAACTCTTGTGAAACCTTTGTGCAAGCTAGAAAAATATATCCCTTTCTTTGGGAAAACAGGGCCGTATACCAGGATGCATGCTTTGCAGTGAAGTATAGGTTAGATTTCAGCTCCTGTTTCCCCTCTTGGCTAGAAGGCTTTGTGCAGTGTACAACATGCCCAACAGTTTATGCCAGCCCTGCTCTGGGGTCCATGCCTTAGCCAGTGAATGGCTCTGCTTCTCTGGACCTCCTTGGGCCTTTGAGCAGAGCTAGAAAAGTCTTTGCAAACTGAGTGGGGTACTTCTAACCAGATGAGGGAAGCTAACACAGTGTTCAACAGGAGCTGCCTGACTTCTCTGTCATCTTGGCTAGCTGCAGTTCTCCTCTTGCTTCTTTGGCTGAACCCCTCCTTCTCTGCTTCTCCTTCATCATCCAAGGCTGAGGAAGAGAATGCATCTCTTGCCTGTCATCTCTCTGAGCAGTTGGAATCGACAGGTCCTCAGGCAGAGGGACTGGCCCCTCCTGACAGCAAACTAGTTCTAGATAAATGAGTATTGGTTTTGCTCTGTTAGCTTTTCATTTGTAGCTATCCTTTGATTTTTCTTCCCCCTTGCAAAATTGGTTAAGCAATGATATTATGTGTCTGGTTCTGTGGTTGCATTGATTGGTCAGCTCCTGGAGTCTGGGTATTTGCTGGGTTTTCTGTTGTATTTAGGTTTCCACTCCACCTCCACCTCAACTACCTCCTCTATTTTTGTGGAAAAGGTAGGGAGGAAGGGAACTAACACATATGGAGCAGCTATTAATGCCAGGCACTATGTGGGTGACTTATGCCAATTGCTTCATTCTATCTTCCAAAAACGAAACAAGCCAATGTGGTGGGCATTATTTGTCCTATTTTGCAGATGAAGAAAATGGTGAGAGATTCGGAAACCCGTTCAAGGTTGCATGGCCAGAAAACAGCAGAGCCAGGTGTGGGTCCCCTGCTTCCCCACCAGACTCATGTTTTACGACTGGCCAGTTTACCAAGTGGCCCTCAGTAAGTGGTTCTGTCTAGACTCCAGGCTGCCACTCTGTGAAGTGGAGAGGCACTCAGACCAGCAATGTAATGGGGGGTTATTCCCCCAGATGAGGAAACCCTGAGATCATTAGAGAAAGGTCAAAAGCAAAAGGGCATGGTGACAGTGAAGGGGGAAAGGGGACATGGTGAGTAGAGGAGCTGGCAGAGGTGGAGAGGGCCCAGTGGGGAGGGACAAAGGAGCACGTTGGCATGCAAATGTGCTTGCTGAGTGGGCATGTTCCCAGCATCAGTCAGTCATGGTCTTCACAGCAGCAAATGGGTGGTCCAATTTGTTTTCTCTCCAGTCCTACCCCTTTCCTCTTGGTGGAGTCATCCAGTTGCTGGACATTACAGGAGCCCACCTTTAGGTCGACTTCAAGAACTCACAGCTAGAACAGTCTCTGTGGACTGGAGGAGCCCTTTGTGATTACATGGGGCTTAGAACTCAGCATGCCTACCACCCTTTGTTGGGATGGTTCTCTGTGGATTGGTCAAGCCTTTAGCTACATCTGATTGCTAGCAGGAGTAGAAGAGAGAGACGGGGAGGGGGGCCTCTGCGGGAAGCAGCAACAAGTTGAAATGGGAAGGTCACCGAAGTTTAAGCCCCTCCCATTCACACACCTCTTAGCTGTGTGACCTTGGATAAGTCACCACTTTTCTGAGCCTTAAAAATAACAAAAAGCTGCTATTTGAGTGCTTACCATCTTCCTGGCACTAATCTAAGCACTTTCCCCATATTACTCATTTAATCCTCAAGACAGCCCTAGGAAGAGTATTATCCTTATTTGACATCCATCAAATTGAGGTTTGTTGTAATGATCAAAGAGGTAAAAACAAGAAAGTAGTTTGTAAAGTGTGTGTGTGTGTGTGCATGTGTGTGAGATATTATTGCAGAAATCAGCACCGTCATAGCCCATCAGGGAGGAGCAGCTTTCTGGCCCCTGGCATCCCCTCAAAAAGATTCTGACAACCTCAGGAGTCACCAAGGAGGCTTCCTGGCCCTGGCCCTGACCCTGGCCTGACCACCTTCACTCTACCCACCATCCATTCACTCAAGCCACAAATATTTGAAGGCAGATCAGGGACCAGGCATTGTTCTGGGTTCTGGGACCAAAGAACAGACAGCATTTCTGCATCTGTGGAGCTTACATTTGAGGTAGAGAATCACACTACAATTTAATAAATGCACGGTCTGTAGCAAAATCTCATGCAGAGAAGTGCTCAGAGAAAAATAAAGCAGAGTTGGGGGTTTGACAGGGATGGTGAGGGAGGCCCTCTTGAGAAGATGACACGTACCCAGAGACCCGAATGAAGGGATGCAGGACCAGCAGGACAAGGCTCAGAGGTGGGTCCCAGCCCAGCTAGGCAGAGCAACCACAGGACACATGGCTGAGAAGAATGAGTGAGTGGAAAACTAAGTCAGAGCGTCAGCAGGGCCGCTGCCCACGCCTTTTGGGCTACATGAGGATGTAGGGTTTATTTTAAGCATAAGTATTTGCCTTGGAAGATTCTGGGTGACATTATCTTTTTTTTTTTTTTTTTTTAACAGAGTCTTGCTCTGTTGCCCAAGCTGGAGTGCAGTGGCACAATTTCCGCTCACTGCAACCTCCGCCTCCCAGGTTCAAGTGATTCTCCTGCCTCAGCCTCCCAAGTAGCTGGGATTACAGGCACCCGCCACCATGCCTGGCTAATTTTTGTATCTTTAGTGGAGACACGGTTTTGTCATGTTGGCCAGGCTGGTCTTGAATGCCTGACCTTATGATCTACCTGCCTCAGCCTCCCAAAGTGCTGGGATAACAGGCATAAGCCACCGCACCCAGCCTTATTATCTGATGATAGGGATGCAAAGGTGACCATATGCCCGACAGGTGATCTTTCTAAGACACTCATTTCAGCATCTCCACTCCTCACCCCTGGCCCTTCTCTAAAACCCCTTCGAGGTTCCTTATTGTGCTAATGTCTGGTATGGCCCTGCCCCCATGTCCTCTCGGTCACCCCTTCCCAAGCACCAGCCACGCCTCCAGGCTCACTGACCCCCGACCCGCTCTCTCCTCTAAGCCAGCTCGTTCTGCCTGGATACCCCTGCCCATCTAAGCCAGACACCCCCACACCCACATCCCTATCCTTGCAGCCTTTTTCTTTGGGAACTCTTTCCGGGCCACCTGGCCCATAGCAGTGGAGGGCCCTGCACTTTGCTCTCAGAGCCCCACACCGACAGCCATCAGACTGCATAGCACATGGAATAGCAATTATCTGCTCTCCCGTGAGTCTCCACCAGACCCTGCAAGCTCCTACGGCCTAGGCTGGAAATTACCCATCAGTGTGTCCCACCCCCCAGTGCTGAGCCTGACAGGCCATAGGAGGCGCTTAGCAAACACTGACTGCATTAATTACTATTAATTAATAATAGAGGATGGACCCAACCACAGCTGCCCACTCTGTCCTACTCCTACTCCATGAGGCCTCCTGGCTTTCAGGGTGGGAGTGGAGACCTGAGGAGATAATCCCCTTTGCCTGCCCCAGGGAGAGGCACAGCAGGCAGGGCCAGGCCAACCCTGAGGGGCCAGGAGCCAACTGCCAGGCTGACATGCAGAGGCAGCCAGCCGGCAGGGCTCATAAACGGCCCAGTTACATTTATAGCTGTGTTCTTATTAAGCACCAGGAGAGGAGAGATGAATCATACCCCCTCCTCCCACCCACAGCCTGGGGAGGTGGAGGCCACCAGCCGGCCTGGCCTTAAATCTCAGGAAACTTTAAAGTCACAAATGCTCAGGGCCAGCCCTGCATCACCAGGGACAGCAGAGAGGAATGCAGGCTGCTCCGGCATTCATGTCCCATGGGGTCCAGGCCAAGGGCAAGGCGTGGAGGAAGGCGGGGGCTCCCTGAGAGGTCCTGGGAACAGGATCCTCAATTCAGACGTGCACTCAACATTGTGTGACTTTGAGACAGTCAAATGACCCCTCTGGAACTTTGGGCAGCATGCTTTACCTTAATTAACAGAATCCAGGTGTTTCTGGGGGCACGCCCCTCAATCCTCCCATGTTACAGAAAGGCAAAGCAGAACCTGGAGGCGACCCTGGCCACCAGAACCCCAATAACTGTGCCCTGAAAGGTCAGTGGTGCAGCAGGCTGGCAGACTGTACATGGCCTTGAAAGGGAGGTCAGGGATGGCATTTATGGCCACGTCATCAGGGTGTTCTCACCCAACCCTGACTCAGGAGCCATGATGCCTGTCACCCTCCTATAGCAGGGTGTGCTGGGTGCTTGAAAAATGTCTGCCCCCACCACCATGCTCACTTCCCTGAATAGCAGAAAGGTGAGGAATGCTGTACCCATTTTACAGAGGGAGTAACTAGAATTCGAACTGTTGCCAAGACTAAAACGTGGATGGGGCCGCCTTCACACCTGGGGCCTCTTTAACTTTCTCTCTCTTTTTTCTTGTATGTGTAATTGATTTCAGTGAGATTTATTAGGATTTTTAAACCCTTTTTATTGTGAAATATAACACAAATACCAAAAATTGAATAACCCATAAATGTAGAGCTTAATAAGTTATACAAAGTGAACACCCAGGAAACCACCTCCCAGGTCCCAGGAAACAGGACTTTGCCAGTGTGCCAGAGCCACCCATGCAGCCTGTCCCGAGGCCAGTTCCTCCCTCCCTGCTCAGGGAACCACATCCCAGCCTTCATGGGAGGCTCCTACGGTAAGCCCAGGCTCCTGGAATTCAGGAGAATTGAGAGCACTGAATAGGAAGGCGAGAGTCACGGCTTCCAGGTCCACCTCCTCTCGGGGCCTCAGTTTCCTCTTCTGCAAAGTGAAGAATTGGACCTCTCCAGCCCAGTCTAGAATCCTAAACCAGCAAGAAGACAATTTGTCTGGGATGATGGGTACTGATCAGAGGGTGCCTGGATACCTGTTCATAGAATAACCAGCAAGAAGACAATTCGGCTGGGGTGATGGGTGGGGATCAGAGGGTGCCTGGATACCCCTTCATAGAATAACCGGCAAGAAGACAATTCGGCTGGGGTGATGGGTGGGGATCAGAGGGTGCCTGGACACCCCTTCATAGAATGCGCTTCCTTCCTCCTCATCCCTGGGAGGAGGTGGTGTTCTCTCACCACACCCAGAGGCTGTGACTAGGAGGAGCCTCTTTCTGCCTGCCACGGAGATGGAGTTTTGGGGTTTTCTGCTTGGAGATCTGTGGGGAGCCTGGGAGCTACTCAGTTCTTTGGGCTTATCCCCCACCCCCACCAGGGAGCCTAGTGTCTAGTTTTGAGTAATTCCCCAGAAGCCAAGCCGAGTTCATCCTTCCTGCTTCCCATCAAGACCTCTGATGTGACTTTGGGACCCCTGCCCGCCTGCACCTCTCCTGGGAGGGCTGAGCCAGCTGCACAGGGCTCTGCAGCCTGGGTGCTGGGAACTATATGCCTGTGGGGAGGAAGAGGAGAAAGAAGAAGGAGGAAGGGAGAGGGAGGGCAGGTTGGACCAGCATTCCCTGAGCCCCTACTGTGTGCCAAGCACCGCAGAGGCACTTGGCATTCATGATCTGGTTTCATCAGCCTCCTCATGTGGAAGAAATACTAATATCTTCGTCTTCCAAAGGAGGACACTGAGGCTGAGTTTAAGCATCTTGCCCAAAGTGGCACCTCTAGGAAAAGGCAGAGGCAGGCTTAGAAACAAGCCCCTCTGACTCCAGAGCTTTTCATTTTCACTCCACACCCAGCCCTGGCACAGAATCAAGAGAGGAAGTCAAGTGAGTCCTGAGGCCTCACTCCCTCCTTCCGTGGCTGTGAGCGCCATGGTGCTGATGAATGAAGGGGCTGGATAAATTAGCACAGGAAGTCAGTGATGATGAAGGTGAAATGAATTGGAAGGAAGAATGAGAGTTGGGGTGGGGTGAGGCAGGCGAGAGTTCAGAGAACAGAGCAGTTTCCAGCTGGGAGGACTAGGGAAATAGTGGAACCAAACTCCAAGACAGAGAAAAGCAGGTTAGGCCAGGCATGGTGGCTCACGCCACCTAGCACTTTGAGAGGCCAAGGTGGGAGGATTGCTTGAGCCCAGAGTGCAATATGGTGAGACCTCGTCTCTACAAATAATACAAAAATTAGCCAGGTGTGGTAATGCACACCTGTGGTCCCAGTTACTTGGGAGGCTGAGATGAGAGGATCACTTCTGCCTGGGAGATCAAGGTTGCAGTGGGCCATGTTTGTGCCACTGTATTCCAGCCTGGGTGACAGACCAACACCCTGTATCATAAAAAGAAAAGAAAAGAGAAGGTTTTGGGTGGCGGGTGTGCAGCAGGGGGTGCCAGGACTTGATTTGAAGACTTTCAACATCTTATTCACTTCTTTATCCCTTGCTAAGAACCTGCCTGAGAGGCCCTATTCACGTCGGATGGGCAGATGGGTAGGTGGAAGGTTGGTTGGAAGAGGGAGAGGTCAAGAAGTCAACATATTTATGGCCAAGGGACTCTAGGTTTTTCCTTGCATTCCAGGTGGAGAGAGAAACATACATTTGGAGTAAGTACCCTACAAGTAAGTCACATCACCCAGAGATGCTTAACTGGGGTCTTGTGGATCTCCATTCCTGGATCTCCTCCCCCAGTCCTCCTCCTTCTCCCACGCGTGCCCTCCCACCCTCAACCCCTATTTCCCGCCCCCCCCTTCCTCATTGCCCTCCAGAAACCAGAGGGGAACATGATTCTCAGAGACCAGGAACCATGGGTGTGAGCTCCAAACTCCTTTGCTCATACCAGCAACTTCAGCCTGGTGAACCTGGGGCTCAGAGAGTGCTGGCATCCTGGTTGAAGACCCCCAGCAAGACCTGCTGCCAAAGTGAGACCAGACTACCTGACCACTTAGCTTGTAGGGCTCGAGGCTGTGCTGGAGGAAAGGAGACCGCAGGGGCTTGCATTTTCTGTCTCTGGAAAACACTGAAACAAGCCAGCCTCCCAGCCACACTGAGCTCCTGCTGCCCAGCCTCAGTGAAGGCCATGGCTTCTCAGCAGCAAACTATGATTGCTCGTGTTGCCTTTCCTGCTGAATGATTTTAGTTTAATAATTTTGCATGATCTCGGCACAGCATGAAGAAAGAGTAGAGCCGAAGACACAGGGCTTATAGTGAGGGAAAAGGGGTAGAACCGGAATCTAAAGAGCTCCCTTCAATCTGACCTTGGCCAGTGACTGGAATTTCCAACCAACTGTTGCTGGTTACCACAAATGACAGCAGCCTCTCCCTCTGTGCATGGCTCTCAGTGGGTCCCCAAAAGGAAAAGGGCTCAGGGGTGGCTCACAGCCTCACGTGGTCATGGGTAGGTCCCACGTTGATCATCGTACCAGGCAGGCATTGCACTAGAATTATCTCACTGAATCTCCACCACCTCCCCACACCTACCGCCCCCCAACACCTACCGCCCCCCCCACCCAACACACACATACCCAGGAAACAGTCATTGTCATCCCCATGTGCAATGAGGAAATGCATGGCACAGACTTGCCTGAGACCCCCACCCAGTAAGGGCTCATAGAGCCAAGGTCAAGCTCAGATTGACAGACCTCAAACAGGATTGCCTTACACAGTTACACTTGGGTGTAAGTGAAGGCCTTACACCCAAACTGGGAGTGGAGAACTTTTTCCAAACTGGAAGGAGGCTCTAGGAGAGGAGCAGAGTCCAAGGGAGAAATTCAAGGTCTTTCCCTGGAAGAGGAAGAGTCAGAAAAGTAGGGCAGTTAGAAGATTTGGGAAAAAAGCTGAATCACAATTTAGAGCTGCCAGGACTCTCACAGGGCTTGAAATCATCCCCTTCACTTTGCAGATGAATTTCACCATAACCCCAGAGAAGTCAAGCACCTTGGCCAAGGTCACACAGCAGCAGATCTCTAACCACAGCCAAATGCTCCCAAATCCCATGACCTTACATGGGATTGGGCCTCCCCCACCCACAAAGCCAGCCCAGCTCTAGCTCCCACAAGGTTAGGTCAGGTTGGGCCAGAGGATGGATGGCAGGTGCCCAGGCCAGGTCCAGGCAGGGAGGGTGGTTTCTCCTGCTGTCTCACCCCGGCTCATTACTATTCCTGGCATCATCCCCCTCACACCCCTTCCCGTGGAAACCCAGTGATGCCAAGAGCTGGAATTTGGACGTTTTCCAAGCATTTGGGCTGTTAATTAAAACTAATAAATCTGCCACTTGGAGTTGAGTTGAAGAGGAGAAAGGGAGAGGTAGGGGAGGGAGACAGGGACTGGGGTGTAGGATCCCCACACACACCCCTACAAGGGTCTCTTCCTTTCAATCCTGCCTCCTGAACTATTTTCTCTGTTGGCCACTTATTCATTCCACACTTGATTCTCCCAGCTGTCAGACCCTAACCTCTGCCTGAGTAAGCTCTGGTTTCTTCTAAAGAGACACAAAAGACGTGCTTCCAAGTCAGGGGCGGGCCTGTCATTCCCTGCCACTCCATGGGACTGGGCAAAAAGCACGAGACCCAGGTGGGGCAGACCTGGGTTCAAATCCCAGAGTTGCCCTTTCTAGCCACGTGACCTCTGGGGAGCCACTTCACCTCTCCAGGTGTCCCCTTCCTCACCTTGAAAATGCAGACTGTTAATTCCTACTTGCAAAGATGTAGGTTCTTGCAAAGATGACATGAGAAAGTATGCAAAATAGCCTGTTGCTGACCATTCAGTGATCTCGCTCTGTGATCTGTTCTGATCTCCACTTCCTTTTTCTCATCTCCCCTGACTCTCAGAGGTTCCCATAAACGATTGCATGTTGTGAAATGATATGAATAGCAGTAATGTCACCTTATATCTGTAAAGCAAATTTCAAACTCTCCCATAGTTTAGAACTCTCTCTCTAAGCTATGGGGTGCCATGTCTACATCCATATAGCCCACGCACAAAGCCATGCACTATCCAGGCAATGACAGTGGTGTATTCATCTTTATTTTTTCAGTGCCCACCACAGTGCTAGACGCATAGGGATGGATGAAAGAAGTGCTTTCATACCTGGAGGGGACATCTGTTCCACTTGTCTGCCCAGTGCTCTGTCTCCTTCATCTAGTAACAAACAGCTCCCTTCTGCTTAGAGAACTGCTTCTCCTCTCTCGTACAGTGTGTTCCTTTTCTCTCCTGCTACACAGGTGGCCATGTGACCATGTTGGTCTAATCAGAGCCTTCTCTAGGATTTTTCTTCCTGAGACTGGTGAGGAGGCTTCTTTCCTGTTCAGACATGAGGACAGCGGGTAGGTGGAGCTGCCTGTGAGCATGCCTCCAGCCTTTCTCATGGCAAAGATGAAGTCATGCACAAAGAGACAGAGATGAGAGACAAAAAGCAGGTGCCTAGCTCCGCTGGCTTCAGCCCTCCTATGATCAAGTGATATGAGCCTATGAATTTCCTATTTCTTCATTAAACATAATTGAGCAGGGACTCTGCCATTCACAGCCTTTGACTCACACAATATCTATCATCTCATTTCATCTTCTCAATGACATCTCAAGCTGGGCCAGCAGAGATTGTTATTGCCATTTTACAGATGAGAAAGTCAAGTCTCAAGAAACTGAATTTATTTGCCAAGGCTGCAGAGCTGCTAATGATGGGATTAGAACTGATAACAAGTACTAATGTTTATTGAGAGTGGCAGGTGCTATGTTTAGGGGATACGCATTCTCCCACACCATCCTCTCAATAAGATGATGAAAGCACCAATATCAATATCTGCCTTTATACAGATGGGGCAACTGAGGTTGGAGCAGTTAAGTAAATTACCCAATGTCACAGCGAGTTATGGAGTCAGCCTAGGTCTATCTGCCCAGAATTGAGGCCACCAGCCACCCACCTTCACTGCCCCCACAGCTGCCTTTCTGGGAGAGGAGTATCTCTGGGCGGTGGAAGACTAAGAGCACAGAAATAATCAAATAACTGCTGCATGCACAGCTTTGTCCATGGGCTCAAGGATGCAGAAATGACCAGGCCAGGGACCCTACCCCAAAGGAACTCCCAGTCTAGAAGAGGGAACAAGGCATGTCCATAAATAGCCATGCTGTGAGGCTCAAGTACTTTGGGAACCCAGAGAACAGAGAGATGGCTCCAACTGGGGGAGAGGCAGGAGCAAGTGGCACTTAAACATGACCTTTCATATGGGCAGGATTTGGACCTGTGGACACGGTGTGGCCATGGCAGGGTGAACATCACAAGCAGAGGAAAATGCATAAGCAAACACCTCAGGTGTTTTGGTAGGAAATCCAATGATTTTGTTAGCAGGAGAAAATGATCCCATTTTTCTGAAGGGTAGTGTGCATGAATGGGAAAAGACAAACAAAAGACCAGAGAAATCAATTAAAGACAACAAGTTGAGTGCCTTGGATGCCAAGATTAAAAGTTTGGGCTTTATTTGGCAAGCAATGGGGAGCCATTAAAGGTTTTTGAGCAGGACAATGTCATAGTCAGACTGGAACAATAGTCTGGCAGCCACACATAAGACAGATTAGGAAAGGGCAAGGGCAGTTAGGAGGAGGCTATCAGGAAAGGCAGTAAAGGCAGAAGTAGGCCAGAACAAGGCATGGGGGAGGGAACAGAAAGATGAATCCAATGACACCACAGAGGCAGACCCATCAGAGAACAGTGTGGTGTGGTGGAAAGAGCTTATACTTGGGAATCAGGATGGACTTGAACCTGGACTGCCTGCCTCTAAGAGCTGATGTGCAGGGCACAGGGGACCATGAACAGGACAGCACATTGTGAACCGCAAGTGCACTCGCTGATTCATTGATGCTGCCCCAGGAGCTAGAAGTCAGCTGACACCTGGTAAGTGGTCAGTGAATGCCGAGGGCATGATGGGAGGATGGATGGACAAGTGACTGAGTGAGGAGATGAGTCAGAGAAGGCTCTGTGAATGAAGGAACAAATGAATGAATGAGTAAAAGCAGCAGGGAAGAGAGGGAGGGAAGAGAGAGAGGCACAGCAGCTTCCAGAGTGCTCCTGGAGAAGGACTTGGCTTCAGAAACCTTTCTTCCATCTCCTCCAAACCCAGTCCCAAAGCTGACACAGCCTGGGCTGAGCCACAGTTTCCACAGCTGCAGGGCCTTAGCGCAAGGAGGGATGGAGGAGGAGGGACGGAAGGCTTAAACACGATGAGCTGCTTGCATGGCTCTGGGGTCCCTCCTCCTTCTAAGAAACAGAATTACTTACTTAGAAGGAAATCTTACTTAAAACCTAGTCAGCACTGCTGTGATTTAAGCCCCACTATACCAGGTTCCCCTCCAGCCCTGCTGGTTTTGGGCAAGGATGGAGGCCACTCCCAGGGCTGTGACCTCAATCAAGCCAGGGACCCCTTGGAGCCAGCGCTTCCTCAGTGTGGTCCAGGCCCAGGGGAACAGTGGGTAGGTGAAGCTGCCTCTGAGCATGCCTCCATGGTGTCAGAGCCTGTGTGGGGCCTGGGAGCTCAGGTTGGCTGCCCCCAGGAAGCCTTCCTATTGGGACCACTCCTTCCATTTCAGACAAATCACTCACCTGCCAGTCAGTAATCAGCCCATAAATATTATTGGTACTGACATTGTATACACATTCTCTCACTCGGTCTTCACAAAAGCACCATGAGGTCTCTTCCCATTTCACAGATAAAGAAACCTAGACTCATGAACTAACATTCCCAACTTCACACAGTGGGTGGAGAATCTCATCCAACATGAGGCACAAACTGCTGATTGGTCACCTCCCAATGCCCTTCCCACATTTGTTCAACATAGGACTTGGAGGGGAGAACAAATGCAAATTAACATAACAATAAATCCCCCGCCATGAATGGAAAATGCCGTCCAGGCAGCAGGGCAAGCAGAGAGGTCCCCAAAACAATCATCACGATGACAGTTAACATCATTGAGGCTTTCTCTTTGCCAGGCCCTCCTGTGCACTTGAAGCAAATCAACTCATCTAACTCCTTGGTAACAACACTCAGTATGTCCCCTTTTAATGGTAGGTCTCCAGGAAGGTAAGTGACTGGCCCAGGGTCACATGGCCAGGATAGGGCAGAGCCTGGACTCAAATCCAAGCAGTTCCACTCCAGAGCTAGTGGCCTAAAAATCCCCAATCCCAAAATTACTCTGGGAGGACATCGTATCACTGCCCCTAAATTTTCTGGTTTGTTGAATGGCGATAGTGACAGTGCTTGCCACACGGTGTCTTTAGGGAAAGCTCATCAGGAATATGGCTGTGGGGTACCCCCATAAACTGCCATGTACTGTAGAGTGGATCTTACCGCTGTCCCTGGGGCTTAGGTGGCACTTTGGGAGGCATTTTTATTTTTAATTCAAAAGACAGGAGAGGAGTTGATGCAGGTGGATGGGAAGCCAAGTTGGGTGTATGAGACAAGAGAGGCAGAGACTCGGGAGGCAGCCGGACAGGAGGTGCTGTCAGAACTCAGTAGCCTGTGCTGATAAAGTGGTGAGTGGAGGCAAACAGAAGTTGCTTCAGAGCAGACTAAGCCTGGATTTCAGGAAACCTGCTGTGTTACCTTGCACAAGTCACTACCCCTCTCTGGTCCCGGTTTTCTCCTTTGGAAGTAAAGTGAGGCAAAGAGGTAGGGACAGCGAAGAGTGGTGTGAAGATTCTCTCTAAGGTCATGTTCCATGTCACTGCACTATTTCACTTTACCTGAGAGCTAGCCCTCAGCACAGTGGAATACAGGAAACAGATTTGGGGTGGGGGTATGATACAACAGCCAGCCCTCCACACGTTTTGCTTCTGGAGACCCAGAATCCAAGAAAAGGAAAATGCTCTGTTTCCACCCCACTCAGCTTGTACTCACCCCACCAACTCCCCAAGGTACCAAGAGGATGAGCATAGGAGAGATACCAGTTAAAGTCATGGATGTACTCACCCTCAGTTTCCTCACCTGAAAATGAAAATGACTATGGGGAGGGGGTGGTTTGGTTCTCTTCCAGCTCCACCAGCCTAGGGTTCTAGCATTCAAATGAAGCTGTTTTCCACTAGGTTATCTCTTTCTTTGGGGATAGATGTTGGGAGAGGGTGGGAGCAGTGCTAACTCAATTCTTCCTTGGGTAGAGCATCCTCTAGAGGGGGACAAGACTGGAGATGGGTGTGCTGTGGCTGCAGAGTACAGGATAAAGGAAGGGCTTTAATGTCTTCATGCAAATTGTGCATCAACTTGAGATAGAAATGCCACCTTCTCCAGGAAGCCCTCATGATTGTTCCCAGTACTGACTGTCTGAATGCATGTTCTCCCCTTCCTCCCATCTCAGCCCTCTCCTGTCTGGGTTCCCCCCTCACAAGTGTGTGTGCACGTGCACACACACATATACACACAGGCACCTCCACCCTGCAAGCCCATGTCCTCCACTGACTGACCACACGTTCCCACCAGGCCGGCCTCTGACCCTGGTCCAAGGCCTGCGGGAGAATCTGCAGAGTCAGGGCTCTGTCCTCTTTTCCAATTTCCTTCTGCTTTGATTTTGCAGGTTCTTTGATTGCCCATGGACTTTCAGGCTCAGGCAAAGGGCAGCTCTTTGCAAGGAAAAAAAATAATGGAAGAAAACCCTGGGAAATAAATGCAGACTCTGCTTCCTTCTCCAGCCCAACATTCTGACCAGGCTCAAAGAAAGATCCTGTGACCACGGGGTCCCTCAGAGGCCGCTTCTGATGTGCAAGGCTGCCAGTGTGTTAAAACAATGAAGATTTTGCCAAAATCAGCTTACAAAAAATTGTGCTATATATTACATCTTGAATATTAACAATTTAATGCTTTAACAAAAAAATTACAATGTAATATAATTGCTATGTTAACAAGATAATTACAGGTTTATTTTTAATTAATTCATAATATGCTACAGATGGTGTGGTCTGTTAATAGGACCAAGTTTAACATTATAGGATGAACTGTTTCTTTTACCCAACTGGGCAGCACTGAGACAGGAGAAATTACCTCATTTGAAGATAATGTCAAGAGTTGAACCTGAGACTGTGGCACCCAGACTGAAAGCTTCTCCTGTCCCTTCCGGCTCCCCAACTCCCTTCCCCCGTGACAAATCTCTGCTCCTGAACATGCCCACTCTCCCAGAGATACCTGAAACCACAGAGCCGGAAGGAAATTTCAGATGAACGGTTCAGACTCCTCCACTGTCCAGATGGGGAGATTAAGGCCCCATTCAGCAGTCTGGTGTCATAAGAGCTTATTTCCAAACACACCTCTTACACTTATTACGTACGTGGCCCTAAGAAAGTCAGGTCACCCCTCTGAGCCTCAGTTTGCTCAGTTATGAAATAGGCACAATAAAGCTTGCCTCTGGAGCTGGAGTGAAGTATTAAACAATACATACTGGTGACATGTATTTATGTCACCCTCATCTGACTCCTGTCCCATCAGGTGAGGGTGATGTGGATGGGACTGGCAGCAGGAAAGGCTCAAACGCAGGCCAGGACTCTGTGTCCCCTCGTCTCACCTGCCCCTCCTCCACTGAGCAGTAAGCAGGGTTGGAGCACAGAGCAGCCCCTAATTCCAAATCCAGGGGAGAAGCTGTGTCTCGTGGCACACATCATGCCCCCTGGATGACCTACGCCTTCACCCTCCACCATGAAATAAGGGGAGAGCTTGAGGTCAGAGAGGAACTGGCCATCTGAGAAGTGGAAGGCTGGAGCCCCCAACCCCCAGCACCATCGTATGCAACTCAAGCCATCTGCATCTGGCCTGTCTACGCGGGAGAGAAAGAGAGTCAGTCGAACTGAGTCCAGCCCTGGGGATTAAGTGACATAGGAGGTAGGTTGAGGCCTGGGCAGAAGGTAACCCCAGCAGGCCTGACTCTGGACCCCTGGCACCCAGAGACCTGCTCCCAAACAATCCCTCCCATTTCTCTTCCATCTTAAAACCAAAGAGACTGAGCCCCAGGATTCCAATAGTTGAAGAGGATCCCAGGCTTTTCAGCCCTTAATTGAGAGGTGAGGGAGGGAGGTGGGGAGCGAGACCATGGCTGGGTTAGGAACACAGGAGAACGTAGGCAGAGCAGCAACAGTCCAAGCCAGACCCCCTTCCTCACCACCTGCCCACTGAAACAACTTCTAGCAAGGTCACCAAGAACCAACACTTAGTAAAAGTCAGTTGTCTCTGCTCTCTCCTTCCCTTGTTTAGTCTCTTGGGAATGTCCAGCATGGTTGCCACTCCCACCCTCTTGAAACGATTGCTTCTCTTGCTTCCTTGGTAACATGTTCATCTAGTTTTCTTCCTCCTTCAGGGCCACTTCTCCAACTCCTTTCCAGGACTTCTCCTTTGCCTAAATTTTGGAGTGTCCCAGCTCCCTTATCCTCTGAATGAACCCTGTCTCTCCAGGGGACCTCACTCATTCATATTGCTTTCTATATCATCTGTGTGCTGATCACCTCTACATTTATATCTCCAGCTCTGGCCATGCCTTTGGCCTGCAGACTCATTTATCCAACTGCCCATTCAATATCGGAGGCATCTGAAACTCATTAAGTCCAAAAAGAGCCTTTGATTTCACCTACAAAGCCACTCCTCCCACTCCCTACAAGCCTTCCGCATCTCAGGAAGTAGCACCTCCATCCACCAGTGGCCCACATATCCAGAGTGATCCTTGCTTCCTTTTTACACACTGTACAGTGAGCCCTATTGGCTCCACCTCCTAAACATATCCCGAGTCTGAGCATTTATCAGCAACCCCATGCTGTGGTCCTACACTACCCTCTCACCTGCACCACCACACCTGTTCCCTGCTGGCCTTCCACTGCCAGCTGCTTATACAGCTGCTTTATACAGCAGCCAGAGCACCATGCCCCTGCTTACACTCTCCAACGGCTTCTCATCACAACCAGAATAAAACCAAATACCGTAATGTGCTGTCACAGCTCAGTTTCCCTGGAAAGATTGGAAAATGGTATGTAGGAAGTTAATTGGGATGTGCTCTCAGGATTACACCTGTGGGAAAGGAAGAAAGCAGAATTGGTAGGGGAAATGTTGAGCTACAATGCAGAAGCAACAGAGACCTCAGCCAATCCCACAGAAGCTCTAGAGCAGGGATGACCTTTCAGAGTTGTCCCAGAATAGGAAGTCAAGCCTTACACTCCTGCATCAACCTATCATAGATATGGGCTGCCTTCACCCAGGAATAGCGTGTGACCTCAATTGGACCAGGCAGCCCTCTTCAGCTGACAGCAATTCCTAGAGAGAACTCAGATGAGTGCTTTCAGCTGCTCGAGGAGGAGGGCAACCCACCACAGCATCTACTAGACAAGACAAACAAGACTTGGCATGATCTGACTCTCTCATCAATGCATCTCCCACCACCACCTGTTTTGTTTTGTTTTGTTTTTTGTTTTTTTAAGATGGAGTCTTGCTCTTGTTGCCCCGGCTGGAGTGCGATGGCATGATTCGGCTCACTGCAACCTCTGCCTCCCGGGTTCAAGCAATTATTTTTACTCAGCCTCCTGTGTAGCTGGGATTACAGGCTCCCGCCACCATGCCCAGCTAATTTTTGTATTTTTAGTAGAGACGGGTTTTCCCCATGTTAGCCAGGCTGGTCTCAGACTCCTGACCTCAGGTGATCCACCGGCCTTGGCCTCCCAAAGTGCCGGGATTATAGCCGTGAGCCACCAAGCCCGGCCCTCCCCCACGTTCACTGTGCTCCAGCCACAGTGACCTTCATTTGGCCTCCAAAACAAGCTCAAGAACTCTGCTCTTATTGCTTCTTCTGTGTCTCATCCTTCTTATGTGTAAAATGGAGAAAATCATACATCTGCTTCATAGCGTAGTTAAGAGGATTAAATGAGTCAATACATGTAAAGAGCAGTGCTTGGCATGGAAGGTGTTATATAATCAGAAGCAAATGATAGTGATGGTGATGATGATAATGATGGTGATGACAGTGATGATGATAACAATGGTTAAGATGATGATGGTGATGGTAATGATGGTGATGATGATAATGATGATGGTGAGGATGATGTTGATAATAATGATGGTAATGATGATGGTGATGGTGATGATGATGATGATGTTGTTGATGGTGATGGTGATGGAGAATGAAACTCCCTTCTCTTAAATCACTGTATGGCTACCGCTTCTCAACATTCAAGCATTTTCTCAAATGCCACCTCCTCAGAGAATCCCTCCCTGACCCAAGCCAGGCAGCACACTCCTAATCACTGTTCACCTTCCAACCCCGGTTTATCTTCTTCATGACACTTAACAGCACCTGATACTATCTTATTTGTTTGTTTACATCAGTGGTTCTCAACCAAGGGTGGCTTTTGCTCCCCAGGGAACACTTGGCAATATCTGGAGACACTTTTGGTTGTCACAACTGGGCAGGGGGAGTGCTACTACATCTAGTGAGTAGAGGCCAGGATATTGCTAAGCTTCCAAAGGGAAGCCCTACAACAAAGGTATCTGGCCCAAAATGTCAACAGTGTTGATAGTAAGAAATCTTGGTTTACTTTTTATTTTTTTTTCTCCTCCATGAGAAGGTCTGTCTTGTTCACCCTCATATCCACAATATTGACACCTTGTAGATCCTTACTCCATATATGCTGACTGTCAGTGCTTACAATAACGTTTCACATGGGGTAAGTGGTCTAAAACTGTTTGCTGAGGGAATATGTGCCAAGCCCTATGACTTAATAGCTGCGTGAGCTTGGTGAGTCACTTAACTTTCCTGAGCTTCTATTTGCAATTTGCTTATTTGTAAAATAGCATAAATATTCATTAATGAAACCGACAGTTACCAAGATCTCACTGAGTTCCTGTCCTGTCCACTCTTTAGAACCATTTTGGGGATTGCAGGAGGTCCATGGATTCATCCTGAGACTTGCTCAAATGTCACCTCCCCTGTGAAGCGCTCCCTGATCCTTGCCTTCCTCAGCTACCCACCATCACTAAGGCAAATAAGTCTCTCCTTTTCCAGGCTCCAAAAGCCCCTTGTTCACACCTATGTGGTAGTGAACCGTGCTATTGGCTTGAAATGCTTGATAAGTTCTCAGCCCTATCAGACTCTGTCCCTTTTATAACAAATAGTTTGTAATGGTTCCTTTACAATCCTGAAATGAAATTCATATACAGTATAACCTACCTAGACACATCACTGGAAAATAAATCAACATAATGCCCTAACTGTAAGATAAAAAAGTAAAATAAAGATAATTTATAATAAAATATGTATCTCAATATGTAAATGCTCAGGTTTGATGGCACTAGAAGACATAATGAAGTCGTCAGAGGTTTGTGTCTACACATTAGCTCACCCTGAGGGCCAGAGCCTCAAACACTCGGGAGGTTGTGTCTGGGACTCCACTGCCACAAAGAGCTTTGCCATTGGAAATGTGATTTTCCAGAAATGATGAATAACTCTTGGTAATGTTTCCAACGGAACAATCTTCCTTCAATTTACATGGTAGTTGTACTCCCAGAAAAATCAGTGTATATTAAATTCATGACACAAATACTTTATGTTTATATGTATAACATAGGTTCCAGGCTCAAATAATTATAAACAGGTTTTTTGTCTACTTGAATGTCGACCAAGATATTTGCAAGTCGCGTGGGATGTGGAGTGATGCTTCACTGAGCAGGATCATCCCTGCTTCGACGAGCGTTTAACATCCTTGGCCACTCCCACTAAATGCCAGTAGCATCCCCTATAGTGATTGTGAACATCGAAAATGTCCCCCTGCTTATTTACAAAACTGTCCCTCCACGATGGCACTGCCCTCATGGAGAATTTCTCTTCTAGTTTGTGTCTTTCACCTGCCTATGAGCTACCAGAGGACAGATGAACTTGTACATGACAGGTACTCAAGAAATTCTGATCGGCTGTAACACATGTGATCATACCCCATGCATATCCCCTCAGCCAGCCCTGGAGGTTGCCTGCAGAAAGACCTGCCAACGGTGACAGATGGGTGTCCTCCAGCCCCGGGAGTGTGCCAATCCATGTACTGATCAGGCCAAAAGCGCCAGGGAGCTAACAGCCCACAGACAACCCTCTGCCAAGGAGGGCTGGGGTTGGGGGATAAATTCCCCAACTTCCTCGCCCCTCCATGGGACCAAAATAAGGCACACTGGGAAGTATTCCAGAGAATCTGCCATGAGCCTGAGAGCCCCAGCTGCCCACAGACCCACAGAGATAACCCTCGTGAACACCCCATACCTGGCTCTCCTTCCTTCCTGTCTCATTTCCCCACTCCCTCAGAGCATTTCCTGGGATCACCTCCCAGATATACTCCTTGCACTCAGATTCTTGTGTCAGTGTGTTTCAGGCACTATTGTTACACAACAAACCACCCCAGAATCGCTTGAAACAGCAAGGATTTCTGATTTCCCCTGATTCGGCTGTTGGCTGGGCGGTTCCTCTGAGGTTTCACTGGGTCCCGCAGAGCCGGAGGGTCCCCTGAGCTGGAAGATCAAAGCTGGCCTCACCCACTGTTCGGCAGGTGGTGCAGGCTGTTGGCCGGGGAAGGCTCTGTCCTCCTCCTCCTCGAGGCTTCTCACCCTGCAGTAGCTGGACTTGCATGGCAGCCTCACAACAGTGCCCCAAGATGGCAAACGAGAAAGCAGCAAGCCTCTTGAGCCCACGCTCCAGATCACAAACAACATCCCTTTCTGTTACATTCCATAGGTCAAGGCAAGACACAAGATCAGCCCGGGTTCATGGTAGGTAGAGAAACAGATCTTGTCTCGGGATTGGAGTTGCAGCAAAGGCATGTGCATGCAGGGTGGGAGGAATTTATGATCATTAAAAAATCTGCCACTTGGGGTCTGCTGTGGGTAGGGGTAACCCCAAATTAAGACATCAGCCAAATCAAGCAATGACACGGGCAGACTAATGTCTGGCGGCATGACAGAGGGGAAGATGTGGATGTGTGAATGCACTTTGGAAACAGAGGCACAGCCCAAGTTGCTGGTGCTGACCAGGATGTGCAGCTCCTGGAAACACAGGCTGGGAGGAAGGCAAGACCATCTTAGCATCTCTAGTTCCACTGCTGAACTTGTGTTTTTCCACAAGACTGCATAATTCACCAAGGCACAATTACTTACGGAAGAACATAAACAGTGTGTGCCATGGGCCCGTGGGGGTTTGTAATTCAGACATGTCTCCAGGGATAATTAAAATCTCTCCTCGGAACAGGAAGTCTTGAAATAGTGCTACAGTGGTGTGCCCTGCTCCTGCTGAACCCAGGGTGGTGGCCAGGGACTCCTCAGGACAGGATGAGGAGCTGAGGGTGGGGAAGGAGAAGGTGGTCAGGACCTGCAATCCTGGGAGAACTCAGTGGACGCCCAACTGCAGCAGCAGGAGGGAGTTCAATGTCGGGGAGAACTTCTCTTATCACCAGGGCTCATTTTTAGACCATGGTAAGGGCTGTCCCCTTTGCCCGTGGATGGTAAGGACAGATGGAGGGAGGCCTGGTTTAGACAGAGCCATGGTACAGGTTAGATGGGCCCATCTAGTTGTGTTCTGTGTCTGAGTGAGGCTGATAATCAGGGATGGGATTCTTTCACGGATAAGGGAGAGGAAGGGAAGAGGAAGGGAACATTGAGTCTTAAAGACCTACTCCATGTCAGGCTCTATGCTAAGCACTTTACACCCCTTCTCATTCAACCTGTACCCATTTTCCAGTTCTGAAAGTGCTAAGCCCAAGAACATAAAGCCACTACGTGGCAGAGCAGGGACCCAGGCCTCTTGACTCCAAAGTCCACAGGAGTGTCTAGAGGAAGCCAGCAAATAAGGTGAAGTGTTGCACAGCAGACAGAAGAGAGGACACTCTCTAGAAGGGGACAAATGGCTCTGCCTTAAAGTCCTTGAAAGCCAGTAAGAAAAAGAGAGTTGAGCCTTATGGTGTGTATCTCCAAAGGCCAGGACCATGCCAGGAAATGGATGTGATCAGAAGACAGATTTCGGTTTGGTACAAGAAACAGCTTTTTAACAGGCAGAATCATCCCACTCTGGAATGAATGAGCCATATGGAGAGGTGGTGAGCTCCCCATCCCTAGACACATGTAAGCACAGGCTCAATGCCCTCCAGCAGTACTTCTGTAGAAAGGTTAGATCTGGTACCTCTGCAGTCTCTTGGACCCTAAGTTTCCAGGGATCTCTGGGAGGGGCTGAGTGCCTTGGGCGGGGTACCCTGATGGGCATAGGCAAAGTTGAGCCAGGAGAGAGTTCGTGACTAATGGAAGAGCTCTGGACCCTGCCTTCTCCCTTCCCTGCCCTCCCAGAGCCTCCAGGCTTCTCATTTGCTGCTCTCCTGGCAAAGCTACTGGCTGGTGGAGGGGAGGGATCAGGAGGTGCCCCCACCCCGCCTGCATGCTGAATGGCAACAAGTTAACCTGCTGACCCTTAATCAAAGTCTCCAAGCGCAGCAGCTGGATGGATGCACCATTTCTCCAGCTCCAATTACTCAGCAGGAAGTTCATCTGGTGGCAAGAAGCAGAAGGAGCTGAAGACGAAGAGAGCGAAGATGGAACGGTCCTGGGGGAGATCACAGCCATGGCCTCAGCCCAGGGCTGGGTCAGCTTCCAGCCCGGCCCAGGCCCACAGAGCTCCAGCCACCTGGAGAGGCCTGTGCTGAGGGGAGGGAGGGGAGAGGCTGGGGACCTTGGGACAGTCCAGGCTCTTCTGGTGTCAGGGAACTGGATCATAGAATCCTGAAAGATGCTGCTCCCCACACAGAGCCTTCCCATTTCAAAGGCTGCCAGCAGCACACAGGGGACATCTGAAGACTGTGGGGAGGCCTCTGTCAACCCTAGGTACCCCTTCTATCCCCCGTTCCACCCAACCTCAACACCCTGTGTTCCCTCTGGGACCAACCAGCCCTAAGAAGCCCAGAAAAGGCAGCATGGATAGAACAATTTCCCTGCAATCAACCCCCAGGCTCTGTCCCACCTCCAGAATTGAACTGGGATTGTTGCCATATATGGAGATATCCAGAACAGGGTCCTGCCAGCCCCCCTTCCTCTGTCCCCAGACATTCCTCCCCATTCAGGGGTACATGGACATGGAAAGGGGGTTCCAGGCCCTAAACCTACATGTTGAGAGGTATGAGAGGCTCCCCTCCGAGAAGCAGACACAGTCCCTGGGAGAGTGCAGTCTGATGGGGGAGACACAGACCCTATCCCGGCAGATCTGCCAGTATGATTTCTGAGTTCAAGAACTCCAGTCTGAGAGAGGAAGACAACACACAAAGATGGACTTGCAAATGCCCACCAGTGAGAAGGTCCCCTGACCTTCTGTCACACTCATGCATAAGCCACAGGCTGCAGAAGGAAGCGCTGGGGTCACCCCCGGGGGCTCCACTGAGGAGGGGTTCAGTTCTGAGGTGGCTTCACTTCCTCCAAACTCAGCCTCAGAAGGCGCTTCCTGGAGCACAGGGGCGCAGGTCTGTACCACTGTGGGAGCCAAGGAAGAGCAGCTTATTAATTTAATCCTTAAGCAAATTTACAAAATTGTCAGTGGATTTGCAGGAAGCCGAGGGAAGTGGCTTCCACGGAAGCTGGCAGCTGCTGTCCTGCCAGGGGGATTTGCCTTGCTGCGTGGGAGCGGGCAGGGATGGGGAGGCTTCATGCCTCAGAACCCCTTCCCCAGCACCTCCTGGCAGGGACCCTGCTTCTCCACATATCTCCTCTGTCAGTCTCTTCCCTAAAAACAGAACCTGAAAATTGGTCTGGGAGGACCTCAGCCACAACGGCCACTGATAGAAATAATTATAGATGCGGAGTAAGCACTTCCAGCGTGCCAATGCTGAACATATATGAATTCATCATCAGGAATGACACAGGTACTGTTATTGTCACTGTTTACAGATGGGAAAACTGAGGCACAGAAAGGCTAGGTTGCCCAAGGTCACACAGCTCATAAATGGCAGGGGCAGGATCCAAGCCAGGGCAACCATTCTCAACCTCTGTGCCCTTCTACACCCTTAGTCTCTTGCCTCTCTCTTTTGCTTTTGGCTTCTGTCAAAAGGAGACCCATCTTCCCACACCCATGGGGATGCTAAGCCAACTATTTCTCATGCTGTTCCTAAGGGCAGCCCCAAGTGTCATCCTGATCATTCCCCAGCCTCCAAATGCCCGAGCCACTCCATTCCTGGTAAATACCTCCATCTTCTACCTGCCCTGCCCTCTTTCAGCCACTTCTTCCGCCCCACGCCCCACGAGAATCGGTGCTTCCCTTCAAAATTGGAACCTCCCGAGAGCACGGACTTGGGTCCCAAGCCTTGGCACAGTCCATCTGGGTCCCTGAGTAAGGCATGGCTTCTTGAAGGGGTCCCAGGCCTTCAAGTCCTGCAGCAATTCTCCTGCCTCCTTGATAAGGCCTGTGCCCAACAGCCTTCGGGTTTGAGGAGAAGGCTGCTACGAGCCAGCGTGGCCCAGGCCCAGCTGACTGAATCTCCAATCTCCACAGAGACTGAGGCTGGTTAACCTGTTGGGAGAGTTCAATGATCACGTGCCGATAAGGAATTAGAAAAGCCCTGACCAGCTGGTGACCCTATCCAGCCACCGTCCCTGGTCCGGCTCCAGCACCCCTGTCCAGCAGATCTCTCATTAGCATCTTAATGTGAGGAACATATGCAATGAGGCATCTGAGAGAATCCCCAGCATTTAAATTCATTAACAGTCCCTGGAAGTCTTCAGTGCGGAGGTGGAATTATCGCTAAACTGCTTTTAACTTACCAGCTGTGCACTGAACGGCAGAGGAGCCTGGCTTTAGGGTTTGGGAGGGGAGTTGGAGGGGAGTTAGTTGGAGGGGCACTACTGTCTGGGGCCCAAAGCCCAAGCCCAGGGATGCTGAGGCTCCTGGCTGGAGGGCTGTTTTCCAGATTATGTTCAACACCCTAATGATGAGTGAAAAATTCAATCAATCAGCTGGCTTGTCCACTTAGAAACAAACAGCCGCCTCAACTGATATTGATGTGGCTGTGCGTTTCAGGTCAAGTTTCGTGACCCTGCCTCTCTCTGCTCAGTGTATGATGGATGATAGAGGAAATGTCTTTCCTCTCCCGGGAGTGGCCTTCCTCTGACTGGCCAGACCCTCCCTATGCTTCATAGCCCCATCAGGCGGCATTTCCTGACACTGTCCTCCTTTTCCCACCTGGTTTCTGTCCAGCATTTTCACCTCCCATCCCAGCACACAGCCCACAGTGCCATGACCTTACTAAGATCTGTCTCTTCCATGTGCCCAAGAATCCCGGAGAGCAGCATTGGGCCTGTGTGTATCCCAGAGTCCAGTCAGCCCCTGGCACAAAAGATACGCTCAACAGAGATTCACTGAATTAATTAATTGATTGATTAAATGCTCCTCTCTGCCTGCAGTGTCAATCACAGTGCCTGGCTCATTGTAGATTCTTAATAAATATTTGCTGAATAAATGTTGAATGACAGACAGATAAGTGGTAGATGCAAGGATGGTCTGGGGATAAGGAGGTTAAGATTTATGAATTCAATGCTTTATTCAACAAATATTGAATAACTAATCAGAATGATGGTTAATATTTATATTCGGCTTACTATCTGCAAAGCACATGTTAACCCATTTAATACTTATAACAACTCTGTAAGAGGATTCTAACACTGTCCTCATTTTACAGATGGGAAAACTGAGGCATCTAAGCAACTTACCCAAGGCTCTACAGTTAATGCTTCATGGAGCAGGGATTTGAATCTAGAGTCTAGCTCAAGGGCAGTGCCCTCCAATGGAAGTAAAGTGTGAGTGAGCCACATGTGTAATTCTAAATTTTCTAGCAACCCCATTCTAAAAAGTAAAAATAAATAAGAATAATTTCAATAAGATATTTTGTTTAACCAATATATTCAAAATATTTTCATTTCAACATATAATCAACATTTTTAAAAGTATTAATGAGATTTTTCACTTTCTTGTTTCCACACTAAGCTTTCAAAGTCTAGTGTATGTCAGGTGTGGTGGTGGCTCGTGCCTGTAATCCCAGCGCTTTGAGAGGCTGAGTCAGGAGGATCACTTGAGCCTAGGAGTTCGAGATCAGCCTAGGCAACATGGAGAAACCTGGTCTCTACAAAAAATACAAAAATTAGGCCAGCATGGTGCCAGGCACCTGTGGTCCCAGCTACTTCGGAGGCTGGTGTGGGAGGATTGCTTGAGCCCAGGAGGTCAAGGCTGCCGTGAGCTGTGATTGGGCCACTGCACTTCAGTCTGGGCAACAGAGCAAGACCCTGTCTCAGATTTTTAAAATCCAGTGAATATTTCACACTCACAGCATATCTGCTCAATGCCTGCATGTGGCACATGGCTGCTGGACTGAAGGATGCTGAGATGAAGCTGAATTCCTAACCACTGTTCCCTGCTACTTCCCACCTACCTGTGTCTGGATCTGTGCTAGACACTGAGGACACAAACAGGATCCAGCCACGGTCCCTTCAAGGAAGCTACAGTTTGTTGGGGTAGACACACGTGGCATAGCAACACATTATAGTAAATGCTGGTGACCTAAGATGTGATGAGATTATGATAAGAACGTAGTGTTGTATCACTGTACAGAAGGAGAATCTTGAGGGTAGGGGTCTTCAGGAAGCCAGAGAAAGCTTCCAGAAATCAGAGGCCTGCCTGAGGTTTGAATAGAAGTAAGCCAGGTAAGAGGTAGGGAATAGCACGTGCTAAGGTCCAGCAGTGGGGAGGTGGACAGCAAATCCCTGAGAATGCAGGCAGCTCATTTGGAAGGGCTGGAGTCAGGAGTCAGGAGGGGCAGGGTCTTGAAAGCCCAGGCTGCAGAGTGGAACGAACACATAAGCCTGCATTAAAAGGGTCTGGACTTGACCTAGAGGAACATAGGGAGACATAGGGAAGAAGGATTTTAAAGGAGAAAGTGATAGACTCAGATGTGCATCTGAGAAGCAAGGCTAGAGGGGCTAATACTGGTGGGATTGGTGGCCTTAGCAGGGACAGAGGAGGGGAGGAAATCAAGTCAACAAGACTTAGTAGCCATGCATGCTGGAGACTGAGCAGAAGATCTGACCCCTGGGTTTCTGGTGGGGCTAATGGCTGGACAGTGGGGCCACTGGCTGGACAGTGGGGCCATTTTTTGAGGAGAAGGAACTCAGAGGGATGGCAATAGGTTGAGGGAAGAGGAGGCTAAGTTTAGATTCCTGTGTAATGAGTTTTGTGGAAGCAGGGAAATGAGAGGCCTGGATGGATGCGCCTTAGGATAGCATGGAAGGCTGGCAGGGCTGGAGGTACAGATCAGCACTTCAGTGGATGAATGGTCACGTGGATGGGTGGCAGAACTCCTGGACCCTGCCATTTTTAGAAGACACACAGGATGTGGGCACAGTTCTCCTGTTGTTACATGTGGTTAGGTGGAAGGAAGGAAGTGCCCTAGGGACTTAGGGCCAAGGAGATCATATTAATAAGGGATCACAAATTGTCTATGTTCACTCAATTAATCTGTGTTAACAGAATTAGGGAGTAGACAATTGAGGCCCAGAGAGGTTAAGTGATTTGTCCTAAAGCACACAGCCAGGTAGTGGTCAAGCTGAGGCAAGAATCGAAGTCCTCTGACTCTAACTCCAGTGTCCATTCATCCATCCATCCATCCATCCATCCATCCATCCATCCATCCATTCAGCAGCTGCTTATTGAGCACTTACTACCTGCAATGCACTAGGTGCTGGGGATGCATAGTCAAGTAATGATGTTCTGTGTCCAGGATTAAAGGAAAAGGTAGGGCCTGGCAGTAGGGAGGGGTAAGTGTGTGAACAAGACCTGATGGCAGGAGCTACTGCACAAGGCACTGAGGAGGGGGCTTGAGTGAGCCGTGAATCCAGTCTGTGGGGCAGGCAGCAGTGAGCTTACTGTCCTGCACTGGCCTCATGGACCTAGATGCCTCATCTTTCCACACCATGCACAACTCCATCTGGCCTCTTATCCCAGCACACAGCCCACAGTGCTGTCACCTTGCTAAGATCTGTCTCCTCCATGTGCCCAAGAATCCCACAAGGCAGCATTGGGCCTGTGTGTATCCCAGAGACCAGCACAGACTCTCTGTATCTGTGATGGGAGATAACTCTGGGAAGATGGGTCTAGACCAGATAATAGATGGTCTTGAATGTTCAAGTAAGGAGTTTGGTCTTGACTTGGTAGGGACTAGGGAGCCGCCGAAAGTTCTTGAGCAGGGTAGTGAGGTGCCCAGATTTGCCTTTCTGCAATCTCCTGAATCAGGCTCCATTGCCTTTTCTCTGATCTCCCAAACTGTTCTCAGCTCAGTGCCTGTACCTAAGCCAGCAGAGGACCCAGGAGGGCATGAAGAAGCCCCATTGAAGTAACCAGGCCCTCTCATGCCCTGTTCTGCACAGCACCTCTCTCTGTGGCTTGCCCTGCTGTAGGATGAATGCGGGCAGAAACAAGGTCCAGCACTTGGAAGCAGGGGAGCTGGATTTGAGAACTCACACTGTGGCTTCACCTCCGTGTCCTCATCTGTGCAGCAAGGAGGCTAGACTGGAACTGCCCCTCCCCATCCCAGATGGGCCTTGGAGTCACCTCACAGCTTGTCAGTCACACAGATGCCTGAGCCCAGGCCTGGGGAACTGCTCCTTCCAGAAAAAGAGACTGGTCGGGCTTGGGAAGCAGGACCTTGTGTGACCTCAGAGGACACCAGGATCAGAAGAGGAGGGTGGGAGGCTGTCCAACCCAAACCTTAAAATCCATGGGCTTTCTCACCCTCCCACCTTGTCATTGGAATCCCTGTTTCATGCATAAGCAAGTTCAGGGGTGCACCGGTCCACATCCAGGGCAAGCCATCACCCTGGCAAGCCCATTTTCAAAGGACCATGTTGCCTTCCAGGTTTTCCAGACACAGAGAAATAAAACACAAGATGTCTGGCTAAATTAGAATTTCAGATAAACAGCTAATAATTTTTTTAGTAGAAGAATGTGTCATTTTACATGTTGGGTCCAACAATTAGATGTAAGGATCTCCTAAGCCTCTGGGCTTGGGGCCAAAAGAGAGGCCGTCCCCTGGAATTCTCGCTTACTGCCTGGGTGAGGTGAGCAGGGAGAGGCTGTTTCAGATTGAAACATGTGTAGATGGTTTTTGAACAAGGGTCTGGGTGTCAGCTTCAAGCAGCCTGCAGCACTGGCTTCTAGTAAGCCAGTCACTGACTCAGTCACCTCAAATCCCTTTATCACCCCAACTGCCAGCCCAGGCTCCAACAGCCCACAAGCCACAGAGCAGGGCTATTCAGAGAGGAAGGGCCTGGATGGGAAGACAAGCTCATTAGGACAAGGCTTTCGTGTTACCAACTGGAGGACCTGCCTCAGCTAGACCCAGGCCCAGAGCCCTGGACACAGGAGGAGGAGCCCCTCAGGGACCCCTGCAGCAGCTGGTTCCCACCCCCAGAATGATAGGCCATAGAGCAAGGCCCAGACCCAGTCCAGGTCAGGACTGAGAAGGAGTTCAAGATCAGTCATCAGCCGTAGGCGACTGAGTCATTCCCTCTCATCCCACATGCCATCCCTAAATACAGACATGCACACACGCATACATTCCCAGCACTGTGCAGCACATCCGGCCCCCTGCTCTCCCAAGCTAACAGGTGCCTCACTGCTTGGAGATTGAAAGCTGGTAAGCAGTGAGGCTGCCAGCCCCTCCCACATCCCCCACAGCCATCACCTTCGAGCCACACGGCTGCTGCCACAGCCACCAGCTAATTAGCTGCGGGGTAACGAGGGGCCCACGCTCCTGAAGGCAGGCACTGCGTTCTGGGACATTAGCTTCCTATTAGGAGCCACTTTCCACTGCAAACACAAACAGCCCCGGAGGAGGACTGGCAGGGTAGAGGCTGGCCTGGGGTGGGGAAGAAGCAGCATGCTTCAGGAAGCCTTTTATTAACTCTCTAATCCATTCCAGATGCTGCAGGGTGCCTGGCCTGGGAGCCCTGGAAAGGGGTAAAGGACGTAGGGAAAAGATATGAGATTCAAGAGAAAATCTTAGATTAGATAAATGTGAGTGCAAGAGAAACATCTGGGTTGTCCAGTTGGGGAAAATGAGGCCTAACGTCCAGATGTGGTGGGGATGGGACAGCTTCTGCTGATTTAGCTTCAGCTCAGACTGGGAGCCCTGATGATCCCTTATCTGGTTAATGGGTTTATCCTGGGAGGCGGGTGGGGCTGGCAGGAGCCGGGCAGGGCAGAAGGTACCCCCCTAGCTGGAATGGCTGTCTCATCTCAGGCAGAGACCAGAGAGGCTGGAAGGCAGGCTCCCCTAAAGTTGAACAATATTTCCTTCTCACTCGAGAGACTGAAGGCTACAAGAGGGAGTGCCTAGCAGCTGCTGACAACCCAGCCCCCAGGGCATGCCCAGATGTGGATGCACCACTGGAGGTGAATGTCTTCATAAGCACAGACACAGCAGCACGCATGGCTCTGCACACTCATGTCATGCACAGACACATGCCTACCACTCAGGAGACCATCAGCCTGACTCTCGCACACACACGCACACACACACTAACAGCAGTAGGGGTGGGGGGACCTGAAGCAGCAGCACTGCCCCCGGCAGCCCCCAGAACCACCACCTGGTCTCTGCCCCTGACCAAGCCAGGATGAGGCCCAGCCAGGAATTTTTCCAGCCTGGGGTTATTACCACTCCCTTTTATAACAAACATTTTGTAATGAAATTTATACAGTATATAACCTACCTCCATACATTATGTACCTGCATACATAATTTTGCCCAGTTATAATATCAAGGAGAAATAAACAGGGGTGAAAAGTTATGATAAAACACTATGTATTTCTGTATGTGAATGCTTGAGCACCACCACCCAAGAAGACACAGGAAAGAGTGAGAAGCTTGCACCTAAATGTTGGGGCACCTGAACACCCACAGATGATGATCGATCAGGTGGTTCTTTTAGGGACTGAGGCACCATGAGCAGGATTGCCATCCATGTAGTGGTTTTCCAACTGGTAAGCAATTCTTAGTAAAATGCTTATCAAAACCAAGTCCAGTCTTCCCTCAATTTACTGGTGGTTGCATTCCTGGAAAATTTTATATATATTAAATCATGCCAAAAAATAGTGAAACCTCCAGGCGCGGTGGCTCATGCCTGTAATCCCAGCATTTTGGGAGGCCGAGGCAGGCGGATCATGAGGTCAGGAGATTGAGACCATCCTGGCTAACATAGTGAAACCCTGTATCTACTAAAAATACAAAAAAATTAGCTGGGCGTGGTGGCGGGCGCCTGTATTCCCAGCTACTCGGGAGGCTGAGGAAGGAGAATGGCATGAACCCAGGAGGCGGAGGTTGCAGTGAGCCAAGATTGTGCCACTGCACTCCAGCCTGGGCGACAGAGCAAGACTCCGTCTCAAAAACAAAAAAAAACAAAAAAAAAAACAAAAAACAACAACAACAAAAAATAGTGAAACCTAAATAGCACAGCCTCAGCTTAGCATCTATACAGCCTGAGGTTCTCACCTCGGACAAACATTCACTGGTGTTTCACATATGTGACACCTGGCTGGACAGGTAACATTTTTTGTCCCGCCCACTAAAAGCCAGGGACACCCCCAAATCATGATGATGGCCCAAAATGCCCTCTGGGGATGGTACGACCCTCACTGAGATCAGATCTAAAGCCTCAGACCCTCTCTGAGTCTCATGTCCAGGGTCCTCATACCTCCCTCAGCAGGCAGAGACCAAGGACACGGGGGATAAAGGATGGAAACTGGTTTGCAAGCAGAAGAGCCCATTACCCAGGTGCGATGAGGTCATTACTGCTGAGAACGATGCTGGAGGCTATGGCTCAAGAATTGAGGGGGTGTAAAGGTCCAAGCACCCAAGCCAGGTACTTGGCACACGTTATCTGTGAGGCGGGCCTTGACATACTCTTTGCCAGGTAGGGAATGCAGGGGAATGAGGATCTGGCAGGTTAAGTAACTTGAGTCCAAGTTTATCTGGATCCAATCCCCTTCATCTTTCTAAGACCGCACTTGCCCTCAGGAAAGGTTCCAGCGAGGAGAGGGTATTTGCAACAAGATAAAGGACAAAGACCTTTCCAGTAGGTAGAGATGGAAGGAGAACAGCATCCCAGCTGAGGAAATAGTGTGAACAAAGGCATGGAAATTGTGTTCAAGTAGCATGACCTCTAGCTTTTCTGGGAGCATAGACTCCGTGTAGCTGTGATGGGAGATAACCCTGGGAAGATGGGTGTAGACCAGATAATAGATGGATGACCTTGAATGTTCATGTAAGGAGTTTGGTCTTGACTTGGTAGGGACTAGGAAGCCACTGGAAGTCCTTGAGGAGGGTAGTGAGGTGTCCAGATCTGCCTTTCTGCAGTTTCCTGAATCAGGCTCCACTGCCTTTTCTCTAATCTCCCAATCAGCTCACCACCTGCACCTAAGCCAGGCCTCTTTCTGGGGCTGGTGCTGTCGAGGAATTTCTCCCAGCCTCCCCAAGTAGTTTTCAAGCCATAATTAATTGCACAGTAACGAGGATCTAATTGCCTTCCCCCTGCCAGCACCCCAGAGATGACGGGCTGTACCTGGAAGAAGGTGTGTTCAGAAAAAAACAAGTTAATTAACACTGTGAACAAAGAGGCTGTTAATTGCATTGCTTCTAGGACTTGGGAAGACATTTTTCAGGAATGGGAGTCAACTGCCTTGGGCTCATTAGGGAAAACCACGGTTCTCTGTTGAAGAGGTCTGTCTCCCCTCCTCCCCCACAAATGAACTGCAATAACAGCCAAACTGACTGCAGAATGAAGGCCTCCACTTTTTTCTGGGAGAGCCAAGGACCCAGGAATCTTCTTGTCCTCATGTTATGGGTGGATAAAGTGAGACCAAAAAGGACACAAAGATCTGGTGGTTTGGCAGCTTGGACTCCCTTCCACGTTGCCCACGTCTACTGTCAATCTGACAAGGAAAGTGGAAAGGACAGGGCTGGACTAGGGCGGATTCTTCCCCAAAGTTCTGGCCACTTATGGAGGAGGAAGTGTTCAAAGAAGTGGGGAAGGACCCCGGCCCTCGGCCCCAAAAGAGAGTCAGAAAATCCTCCTGGGGGACCACCATCCTGGCCTGGGCTACAACCTTCTATTCTGGGGTCTGCATACCTCACTGGGAAGCCTGGCAGGCAACAGAAGGGTTTGGGCATCTGTGCTTGGGCAGCTGTCTCAGCCTGGCCGTTCTGGGAACATGTGGCTCTGAGACCACTCTCTTCACAGCCAACCTACAGCAAGTCCCTGAGCAGGAGCTGGGCTCCAATTGCTCCATCTAGACTCTAAAGAACCAGACAGAAAATATTTCACACTTGGCAGGCCTTACAATTTCTATACCAACTACTTACCTCTGCCGCTGTAGAGGGAATATTGCATCGGCCATATAGCAACAAATGGGCTGTGTTCCAATAAAACTTTATGGACAAAATAGGTGGTGGGCTGGACTTGCCCACAGGCTGGAGTTTTCCAATTCCTGGTTGAATGAAAACTCCCTGGAGGCAGCAACAGGACAATGCCTCCTATGAATCCTCCCATCCCTAGCACAGGGAAGCACTGGTGAAAAGTTTGCTCCATGAGAAAAGCAGACAGTAAAAGAAGGTCTGACAGCGAGCACGTGGGGAAGAGGGCGAGCACTTGAGTCTCTTGGATTGAAAGCCCTGAGCACCATGCCTCCTGTGTTCCTTTGGTTCCATCCACGGACTTAGCATCAATCCTGGCATTGGTGGCAAATCTTCCTCCTCCTTGACATTAGAACAGCATGGGAGGGCACTGCCCATATTGTTGGCTACTCCCCAAAGAGGCCTGTGAGGCCCAGCCCCAGAAGTCCCCACCCCACCACATTCACCTCCTGCAACACCTTCCATGGTTGACTGTCCAGAGGAAGGCTACCACCCTTTTGAAACCTGCTGGCCTAGAAGCTTCTGGGCCTGGAGCCCTGGCTTGATCTCCCCATGGGCAGGCTGCCTCTGGGAGGCTCTTCCACTGGTTTCTCTCCCCAGGCAGATGATCCCATGGCAAGGGAGGGTGGGCGAGAGGTCCTGGAAGGGCAGGCACTCTGGGGAAATCCACAGAGAGCGATGGATGAAGGGAAAGCCCAAGCAGCTGGACCCAGGAGAGCCTGGCTGCAGGCCTGCAGCCAAGGCAGGAGGGAGGGACAGGCACCGCTGGCAGGGGCTTGGCTCTGAGGAAGGGATCAGGGCTCTGCAGGAGCTGGAGAAAGTGTCCAGGGATCCCAATTCTAAAAGCGCGTATTTGCAGGAAAGGCTCCAGGACAAGGTGGAAGCATGAATGGAACACTGATCAAAGACTGGAATCAGAGCCAGAGGTGGGAGAGAATCCAACAGGCTGCCTTCATGCTAGGGATGGGCCCTGCTAGTCTCAGACTACTCCAACTGCCCCAGAGCCAAGAGGTTCTGCCAACAGGCCAGTGAGTATAGAGGGAAGGGAGGTCAAGAGAAGAGTGAGCAGATAGACAGAATCCAGAAGACATCAGGGTAGGGCTACTCCCAAGGAAGATAAGGCCTTTCCTGGACACCTTGGAGAACCCTGCCCCATTTATCCTCCTCAGAGGAGAGGAAACAGCAATAACTTGTGTTGTGAACATTCCATTTGAGAAGCATCACACCAGACTGGGAGAACACAAAGTTCTTGGAAAATGTTACTAATATTGAGTATTCTGGAGGGCCAGGCACTGCCATCATGTTTTACATGCATTATCTCATTTACACCTCTGGAATAACCTTATAAAGTGAGTGTTTTATTCCCATTTTACAGATGAGAAAACTGAGGTTCCAGGATATATTAAATCATCTTCTCGCATCCAACAAAGCCAACAAATAGCAAGGTTGGACTCAAACCCAGTTCTGTTCAACTCCCACATATTTCCTGCATGCCCAGGAATGAGATTCCAATCACTTAACAACCAGCATGGATGTCAACCAAGCAAAATGGATGCCACATGTAAACAATATGTACAGCTGAACTGAGAGGCCCCAGGCAACTCCCACATGGGATCGCCAGACGCTGCCTCCCCACAACCCCAAACCCCAAACATACAGCGCAACCCATCTAAAATACAAACAGCAAACCATCCTGACGTTGTCTCCACTGATGAGGAAAGGGACTCAAAACTCAATGAGTCTGAAACCCCAGTGTCCCCCAATCAAACAAGCTCACTATCGAGGGATCCCATCCCAGATCAGATCAGCAGAGACCTTTTAAGAGCATCTCGCCCAACTCCCTTACTTTACAGACAAGAAAACCTACGTCGAGAGGGGGGAAGTGACTGGCCCAAGGTCACACAGCAAACTGGTGGCTGATCCTAGTCCCAAGAAACAGAAACACTCATTCCCACCGCTCAGTTCCATCCGTGTGCACGCTGCTGGTAGTGCTACAACTTGAGTCTCTCCTTGCAAAAAGCAATCTGGCAATGTGGAATATGAGCTACAAAACTGTTTATACCCTTTGACCTGTTAATTCTCCTTTTGGGAATAAACCCTTGGGAATAATCCAAAGAAAAAGAAAAAAAAAAAGTAATTTGACAAAGATGTGCGTGGCAGCACTGTTTGCAAAATTGGAAATTTGGCCACCACCCAAATGCCCAACAATAGCAGTAAGCAAACAGTGGTTATATTAATGTGCTGTAGTTATTAAAAATGACAGCTCTGTAGACTAAGTGAGTACACTAGAAACATTCATGTAAGATACCGTTAAGTGGGAAAAGCAGAAAATGTCTTCACACGTTGGTTATAACGAAGCAAAACAAGTAAGTGTGTTAACAAAGGCTGGAAGAGATGAGGAGAGATGAAAATGGCTTATTGTTCAATTGGACAATTTTTTTTCCACTGAACGTTATTTAGTGTCAAAAATCATTAAAGATTTTAAAGTTATCCAACAGTGATGGAGAATTAGCAATCGGAGAACAATATTGCATTCAAATCCACCCAGCAGAGTCCTAAATCCCACCCATCTCCCTCCCATACTCCACAACTTCCCTGGAGACCTGCAGAGAGATCAGCATCTGTCTCCCTCGAACCATCTTTTCAGAAAGATGTCAACAAAATGCTTTGGTCATAAGTGGTGTTAGGAAGTTATTCTAGATGTCTAGCCATCTCCTTGAGACTTTAGCAGGAGTAAAAATAGGTTCCACTGAAGCATCTTGGCCATGGAGATGCAACCAAAGAAATGGAACCAAAAGTAAGAGAAAAGTGGAGAAATGAAGAGAAGGTGAGACAGAGAAACTGGGGAGGAGATGGTGAATATCAAGCTTCATCGAAGTGCAATTGAGAGAAATTAGATGCATAGTTGGTTCCAGGCCCAGGAGGAATTATGAAAATCCTTCTGAGCAGAGGGAGCCTACATATACATATAGCTACATATAAGCAGAGATATGTAGCCTACAAAGCCGAGCAGAGGTGCTGTATTTGCAGGAGAATTGGAAGACAGGCGACAGGCGCTGGTTAAGCTGAGTAAAGAACAAGGGGAATGCATTGGAGAAATCCTGAGAGAGGGACAGACCATCTCCTTGTAGCCCCCTCAATTCCTTCCTTCCAATGGAATCATACCAAAATTCATGGCTGTGAACCTGGTGCAACCCTATCATCCAAGGTCTTTTAGTCATTCCACCACTACCACCACATCAAACTCATGACAGCCAATGTCCTTAAGCAGAGGAGGGAACAGTTCTTTATTGAGCAATGCTGTGAGCCACTCACTCAGTCATACCTTGTGATGTCCATACTGTGATCCCCACTTTACAGATGGAAAAACTGAGGCTCAAGAAGATAATCAAGGTCACACTGGTAAATGACAGAGCCTGGATTCAAACTTGCCACTGCGTTTCTCACCGTACCACATTCTACGAAAAGAAATAACCCTACCAAGGGTAGGCAGGATTCCGGGAAAATCGTGATATGGCCCACTTCTTTAGGCCTTTGTGCCAGTCGAATCAAGGCTAACTATGGCCAGAATAACCATCAAGAGTTTCACCATTGGTAACAGCAGAAATTAGACAAGTTATAGGGGAAAGAAGCTTCTGGAGGGAGGGGGAGCTCTTAAAGTGGCCATCTGAACTCACCTCTGGTTATAGTTAAACTTAGGTCATCGTCATTCTTGGAAAAAGAGGAAGGCACCCACCATTGTGAATGTGGTTGTTGTACCCTGTTAGGCTGGGCCAGCTTTGGGGCTGACTGTTTAGAAAGAAGGGTGTGTGTACCTGCAACACAAGGCCCAACATCATAGACAAGCCAATGAAGGGACCACCATGCTTGCTGGCCATTGCACTAGGAGACCTGCACCACATGACCAGGTCACAGCTGACTGAACCAGGTGCAGGCTCCTTGGAGGTGGGCAAGCTGGGAAAGTCCTAACAGGGCTGGGCTAAGCTAGTCAGATTCTTTCTTTGCAGAATTTTAACTGGAAAATACACCAAGGAGGTAAAGAAGTGCAAGCCAAGGCCATGAGGCTGCCAGGGGCCACAAGGGACCAGGAGTGACTAGAAGTTAAAGGTAAATAGAAACGACAAGAACATTGAGAAGAAGAGAAAGCTGCTGATAGCAGGAGAAACAGACAGACCCAGAAAGGAGCCACCACCATGCAGGGCACAGCTGAGCCATATTCATGATGTCTCACTCAGCAGAGAGACACACAGCAAGGCTCAGTGCTGCTGGGGGAACAAGGAAACACCAAAGCCAATAGTCACCTTGGATCCTGACTTTTTTTCCTGGATCCCATGACCGATGCCTGAATCCTGTACTTCCCATGGGATTCCCACTTATCCTGCTGTTGGAGCCTTACAGTAAGGTCCATTTGTTGAGGAACTTGAGTGAACGTCTCTGTTTTTACAGTCTAAAGGTCTGAACACAGAACCGAGAATTGGGTTACATGCCCTTCCAAACATTCCCACAGCACTGCATACCTCCCCATCATAGGCCAGTATGACAATGCCTGCTTATCTGGTTGTCTCTCTCTCTAGACTCTAAGCTCCACGAGATGCTAGAGTCACCAACCACCATTTTATTCCCAGAATCTAACAGTATCTGGCGCGAAGGAAGGAAGGAAGGGAGGAAGGGAGGGAGGGAGGGAGGGGAGGGGAGGGGAGGAAAAAGTGACACATGAGTTTGTGTTGCTAACAGCCAGTCCCGCACATGGTCACATGGACCAAGAGCTGAAGTTGATCTTCATTCTCTTCAAACTAATCACTCCCTGAGCCAGAGCTAGCTATCCAAGCTGAGTTTCTCACTGGTCACCACTAGTATATTAGGGGAAATGGTTCTTCATCAGCTGGGATGTCCAGCACATTGCAGGATATTTAGCATCCCTGGTCCCCTCCTAATACCAGGAGTTCCCCCCAATCCCGGCCACTGTGAAAACTCAAAGCACCCCACGCATTTCTATTTCTGAATGCCCTTCTGGGCACTTCGTCTCTAGTTCCTTTGATCATGTCTTGCTCTCTTGGAAAATATTGCAATGGTGCTATGTTTTTTATAGAATAATTGTAATAATAATGGCTGACCAAGCAAGTGGCTCACACCTATAATCCCAGTACTTTATGAGGCTGAGGCAGGAGGATCACTTGAGCACATGAGTTGGAGACCAGCCTGGGCAATGTAGTGAGATGATGTCTCTCCAAAAACGTTTTTTTTTTAATTAGCCAGGCATGGTGGCACATTCCTGGCTAATTCCAACTATTCAGGAGTCTGAGGCCTGAGGATAGCTTGAGCCCAGGAGTTCAAGGTTACAGTGAACTACGATCACACCACTGCACACCAACCTGGTGAACAGAGTGAGACCCCCTCCCTCTAATAATAATAATAATGACTAACATCCATAGAGCACCTTCTCTATGCCAGGCACTATTCTAAACACTTTATATGCATTAATTCACTTGAACCTCATAGAAACCTTTATTATAAAGTGGATACTGCTGTTATCCCCATTTTACAGATGAGGAAACCAAGGCTCAGAAAAGTCAAGCAACATGCCCCAGAGCATAGTCCATAAGTGGCAGAGCTGGGATTCAAACCTATATGGTTCCAACTCTGGAGCCTATTATACTCTTCACACCCCCGAGGCTGCAGCTCCAAGCTGACATTGCCCACTTCCCCAGCCTTACCGTCTCTGCCTCTTTCCTCCTCGGTTATCCCACATGTGCATGCAGGCACATGTGCACACACATGGTACATCAGACCACTAGCTGTTCCCAAAATATCCTAGCTTCACTCATGCTGGCCCCTCCTCCTGAAATGTCCTTCCCTTGCCCACTTGCAGTTAGGTCTTTCCTGTCATCAGAAAGTCCTACTCAAGTAGTTCTTTCTCCATGAGACTTCCAAGCTTCCCCCAGGCACGATCAACTATTCCATTCCCAGAATCTCCCCCGGCCCTATGTCATGTCTCCATTAAGCATGCAATGCAGTCTTCCTGGGAACCCAGCTGCCTTGTGGATGTTTTGTCAATGGCTGAGCCAACTTGGAGCACCTAGAGTCTGCTCTCAGCATCTTCTGGTGGCCCAGCCCTCTTCTCCCCCAACCCTGCCCCCTGCCACCAGCTATCTTGGAGATCACTTCACAGTTCCAGCTCTCTAGGCCCTATGCCTTCTCCCAATTTGCCATTTCTAGCATAGCTTTGACCACCAACTCCCTCAGTCCCCAACCCTGTCACCCAAGATCCCAGAGCCACCACGAGGGGGATGTCAGTTAGCTGCAAGTCATCCTACCAGCCAAGTTCGTAAGGAGCAGACAGGACCTGAGGTTCCCTTACCCTTCCTCTGCCCTCCCCATGGGCTGCAGGTCCTGTCCCCAGCACAGATGGCCTCCACACCAGGCTAACGGCCCTTCCCCCTACTCGAGGTCCACTCCCAGCCATTAATAATAGCAGTACCATCGAGTGTTTCGTTACTTAGCAATTTGCAATCATTAATTAGTGGAAATTGCAGATTGGGGCCATGAAAGGAGGATGGTGAGATTAAGCTCGTTTTGAAATCAAGTTAATTGAGTGATGGAGAGGGATGGCTCTCTGCTCCGGAGCAAGAGCCCCTTCTGTACCTGCTGAGCCAGCCTCTGGCCTTGGACCAGGGCTCAGTTTCCCCATGAGTGAAACAGGAAGGTGATGAATGGAGATGCCTTGGGCTGGGTGAAACAGGAGCATCTAGAAAGATAGACATTGGCCAGGCACAGTGCTCATGCCTGGAATCCCAGCACTCTGGGAGGACAAGGCAGGCAGATTGCTCGAGCTCAGGAGTTCAAGACCAGCCTGGGCAACATGGTGAAACCCCATCTCTACCAAAAATACAAAAAAAATAGCCAGGCCTGGTGGTGCCCACCTGTAGTCCCAGCTACTCAAGAGGCTGAGGTGGGAGGATCGCTTGAGCCTGGGTTGGCAGAGGTTGCAGTGAGCTGAGACTGTGTCACTGCACTCCAGCCTGGGATACAGAGTGAAACTCTGTCTCAAAAAAAAAAAAAAAGGAAAAAGAACAAAAAAAGAAAGAAAGATAGATAGATAGACATTGGGATAGACATAAAAGACTAAAATGGACACCACAGCCACTTTCTTTTTCTTTTTTTTTTTTTTTTAAATGGAATCTCTCTCTGCCACCAGGCTGGAGTGCAGTAGTGCGATCTTGGCTCACTGTAACCTCCAATTCCCTGGTTCAAGCAATTCTTCTGCCTCAGCCTCCCGAGTAGCTGGGATTACAGGCACGCACCACCACACCCAGCTAATTTTTGTATTTTTAGTAGAGGCGGGGTTTCACCATGTTGGCCAGGATGGTCTTTATCTCCTGACCTCATGATCCACCCGCCTTGGCCTCCCAAAGTGCTGGGATTACAGGCGTGAGCCACCGCATCCGGCCACCACAGCCACTTTCTAAACTGATACTTGTTCCAACTTGCCTACAGGCCCCTTGAACTCCTATGGTTCTCCCACCTCCTCTGTGCCTTCCTAGCCCCAAGAACTTTTCCCCAGCCAACCTCTTTGAATTATTCCAAATTCCTTTTGCATAATTATGCATTATTAACCTCTGGGAATTGATTTTACAGACAGTGTTTAAGGGGAAAGGGTTAAACATTCTCCCCTACCCCACCCTACTCCGGAGGAAGATGCTGAGTAGACATCTCTTCTCCCAAAGCTGAAAGAAAGATGCTTCTGCCTGCACCCATATTTCTTCCCAAGGAGACACAATTATCTCCCCCACTTCCCTTCCCAGCGAGCAACAAGACAACACTGGCCCTGATATACGGGCGGCCGGCGGGCTCCCTGTGCTGGATGAGGACACATCTGAGAGCTGCCGTCCCTAAGTCATCTCCCCTCCCCCTCGCCTCTGGGGAGGAATCTCAATGAGGAAGGCAAAGCCAAGGAGGCTGGGAAATCCTGGACAGGTGCCCAGCTTCTCCATCCATCCAAACCTAGGACCCAGGGCTTGACAGTCCCTCCCCCAAAAAGTAGGATTAGGACCCAGAAGGACCTAATAGCTCCTGCCTGTTCCTACATGCTTGTTCCCTGATTCCCAGCTGTTCCTACCTCATTCCTGACCTTCCATTCCAGCCATAGTGAGCAGCTCAGCATCCCATCCATCCTCCATGCCTTTGCCCAGTCTGTGTTCTCTGCCTGGAATGCTGCTTAGTATCTTGGACATCTGTTCCTTCAACATGCACTAAGTAGCTATGTTAGCACTACTAATAAAACGCTGAATAAGACGAGATTAATAAGCCTCTGCCTGATGCAACAAGAGAAGACAGTCTCACCAAAAAGTAACTAAAATATAGTGTAGTGGCTGCTATGGTAGAGGGAGGGCTGCAAACGGCACCTGCAGCACAGGTTGGGTCCTGAAGTATACGTATAGAAGATTAGCAGGTGCATAAGAAGGCTGGAGGAAGGGTGTTTCAAGCAAAGGGAATAGCATGTGCAATGGCTCATAGTCATAAAGAACACACACGCATGGGGAGCTTGGAGGAGAGTGTAGACTGGGGGAATAATGCTGAGATGTGGAACCTCAGGGTCTGAGTGCCAAGGAGTATGCAGCAGGGCCACTGACAGCTGTGAGCAAATGCTTGCAGCTGAGCAAAGGATGGATAGGGGCAGGGAGTGGGGGTATGAGAGAGACAGAGTGATAAGCAAGTGTTAAGAGGCCACTGGAAACAAGGCAGGGTCTGTGAGCATAAAGAGAAGGGGTAGATTTGAGAGACATCCAAGAAGAATAGTCAACACATCCACTGAAATTCTACCCGGTCTTCAAGGCCCAATTCAAACACTCCCTCCTCCATGCAGCTTCCCCGATTTCCTCCACACCCGCAACAATTATGATCTCTTCCCTCTGTGATCCCAGACTGCTGAGCTCTCTATCAAACTGATCATCATGTTCTGCCTAATGTTACAGGAGTCTGCACAGGTCCCTATCCTCCCCAAATACTCCCTGAAGCAGGGATCATGTCTTATCTTCCCAGAGCCTAGCCTCTTGCCCTGCACAGAGTAGGCATTGATTTTGTTTGTTGAGTCTAATTTATTTGAAATATAGGGAGGCTGTAATCAGGATCGCTGCTAACCATGAGAGGTGTCCACACATGGAAAGGCTGGCCTGTGAGGGGGAAATTCCCAGCACTGGGAATGCAAGAGAGAGGACTGTTGCTCCCTCATTAGAGACCTTGCGGAGGGGAGTCTTGAACTGAGTGTGAGGTCAGGAGGCATGCTTACATCTGCTCCAACTCTCTGGATCTCTAGGTCCCCTCTAAGCCTACATATGTTATAGGGACTAGTCTTCCTTTCCACAGAGAGGGAGACTCCCTTACCTTGGGCTGCATAACAAGTCCCCCTAGGGATGGGGATGGGTACCTGGCCCAGGATTCTCCCCACAGTGGATTAAGACTGTGTCCAGGGATTTGGAGTCCCTTCTCTGAGGGCAGCATGGTGTCTGGCCACTACCCTTCCTCTGCTCGATCCCCAAGTGATGTGGCCTCAGCACACATTGTTGTGCATAGTAGCATGGGAGCTTTGCTGATCCTTAGATTGTAATCCTTCTTCCCTCAAGCTGGAAGAAGGGGAATAAAATCTGGAGAGAAACAGAGAGGCCAAGGTCTAGTGAACAGGGTGGATGACTTCAAGAGCTCAGATGCAATGACCTCTTCATGCATTGCCCAAACATTTATTGAGCACCTAATTCACACCATTCCCTGGAATTGTTTTTCCATCTCCACCCACTCATTGCAGCTGCACTGCCTCTATAGTGACACTGGAAACAAAAAAATAAGGATGGAGGAGAAACAAAACATACTGAGGCCCACTTACATTAAGCATTCTCTTGGGCGCTTTGTGAATTGGCATCTCTCAAACTTTAGAGTGCATAAGAGTCACTGGGATTTTGTTAAAACCAGATCCTGATTTGGTGGGTCTTAGTTGGGGCCTGACATTCTGCATTTCTCACAAGCTCTCAGATGACATTGAGGCTGCCTATCTGCAGACCATGTTTTGAGGAACAAGGTTGAATCCTTACCGAAAACAAAAAGAGAAAGAAAACCTGCAGAAGGATGTTGAGAGATTATTTTACAGGTTAGGAAGCTGAGGCTTAACAAGGTAAAGAATCAAAGAATGGAGTCCTCAGTCCAGAGACCCTGGTAGGGAGACAGAGCACATATTACACAGTCTGCTGGAGCAGGGGTATGCCCCATCTTCAGAGAGCCAAGTCCAAAGAGGGGGATATAACTTTATTCTGGGAATACACCCAACTGGATGACAGATATAAAGCCCTGCCCAGTGGGAACTGCCCAGTCTTGTAGGGGAGACATTGCTTTTGTCTCAGGGGACCCCTTGTCCTTCAGTAAAGGCACAGCCCCTACCCTTTGAGAGGTTGTTCTCAAAGTTGGCTCAGAGACCCAGAGAGAGGAGGAGAAAACAATACAACATCAGGGAGGCCTGTATTTCCAACATGGAGCCCCACTGCCTAGACCGGGGAGGAGATGTAAGGAACAGAGTGGGCTCATGGGGAGCCCCTTCTCAAGCCACTCAAAAACCTACCCCAGATGCACTGAGCTCCTGGCCCCAACATGGAGCTGGAAGGTGGCCCCCACGCAGGGGTGGGCCAGGCTATTTAACACTGTAAACACCACACTTTACTGCAGCCATTAGGTCCATAACAGCGGCCCATCTATCCTCACACTGGCCCTGCGACACCAAGCACTGATGGTGCAATTAGGTAGCAGAGAGCAGGCTGTAAATTGCTGGTACAGCCATCCCTCCACTGGGCACAGTGCGGATCCCCTGCCTGAACCTCCTGCAACCCAGGCTTCAGCGGCAAGTGGTAGTCTCCAGCCTCAGGACCCGCACAGGGACTACCCTCTGAGGCTGGGCCCCTGAGCACCAGAAAGCCTTTTGCCTGCTGGGGCCAGAAGGAACCATCAAATTCTTTGAATGGCTCCGCCCCACTGGCATTTTAGTGCCAGAAATTTCTGGGGTGCCACTTGTGCTTCCTTAGAGGTCCCTTGTACAATCTCTAACAACCATCGCACTGTGTCCTGGAAAGGATGGGACTGCTTGCCCATTAGACCATGTGCTTGCACAGGGCTGGGAACTTTTGAAAACATTTTTGTGTCCACTGGGCCTCACACATCATAGAAACTATAAGTTAGAGAATGTACATTTTACTTCATAATAATGTATGTTCCCTGACACCTTGGGCAAGTTTCACCCTCTCTATAGACCCCAGTTACCCCTCTAAAGTATAAGGACAATAGACCACAGAGGTTGCAAATCAGGGGCCCATTGACCCCACAGATGCACTTTGTATGGCTCACAAGAGGAGGGTTTGGGGTGTTGTTGTTGTTGTTTGAGACAGAGTCTTGCTCAAACTGGAGTGCAGTGGTATGATCATGGCTCACTGCCACTTCAATCTCCCCAGCTCAAGTGATCCTCCCAACTCAGCCTCCCAAGTTTCTGGGACTACAGCCATGCACCACAACACTCAGATAGTTTTTGTATTTTCTGTAGAGATGGGGTTTCACCATGTTCCCCAGGCTAGTCTTGAACCCCTGAGTTCAAGCAATCTTCCTACCTTGGCCTCCCAAAATGCTGGGATTACAGTCTGTGAGCCATAAGGAGGGTTTTTTTTTAATTATTCGATTGTTTTAAGATACACATACATCAGGAAATTTTACCTAAAAATCCAAATGTTCAGTGTCTCTTTAAAAATCAGAAGCCGTGACAGCACTGGGCCCACATCTCTCCATGGCAACAGTCATGTGTTGCTGCATAACTGTTGCCCCTCCAGTGTGCCCCAGACCTCACCTTTCCCTGTTGTGTATCCCTCAGTTTTCTTACGCCTGACCCACTTCACTCATTTCTGCTACCTTCCTGTGGGCCTTTAGGTTCCTATCTCATAACCTGGTCAGGAGGCTCCCTGTGTCCTACAATTCTGGATTCTTCAAATGAATGAGTGAAAAGATGAAGAAGATGGTTGACTAGAGAGTTTTGAGCCTTACCTTCTTTATGAGAAAATCACAAGGTTCTTCAGTTTTCTGACTTCCTAGGGCAGGGAATATCTTTCCTGCCCCTTGCTCCCTCAGAAGATGATGAAGAGAGTTTATAAAATATTCAGAATAATGACAATTGTCAGGGACACTGAAGTATCACGTTGCACAAAGGCCAAGGGGAGAGTGGTGTTTGTGGGGTTGAGGGAGAGGGACCCATTACCCACTTAATTCGAAGCCACAGCCAGGCTGAGATTCCCTCGCACAGTTCCCAAGGTCTGGCTGGTGGCTTAGTGGGCTCTCCTGATCAGCACCTAGGACAGCTCCACCCATCGCCCAGGATCCTCACTGCTCTATCCGGGCCCAGCCGCTTCTGTCCCACCTACCTCCCCAGCCTCCTCGCCTTTCCTTGTGCACCACGTGGGCTTTGTGTCCATTCCTCACTCTTGCCAAGCCCTTCCCCATCTCAGGCGCTTCTGATACCACCCCCTGGAAGTTTTATCCCACTTTTCACAGGGTTCCTGCTCGTTCTGAATATCTCAGCCTCAGCCTCACTTCCTCAGGGAGGGCTGCATCAAAACTGCAGTTCAAATTAAATCTCCATAGATGCTATCTCATTCCTTCATAGCACAGATTGTGGCTGTCATGATATATAGATATTTGTGTGATTACTAATGTCTCCTTCTGCATTAGAATAGGAACTCCAGGGGCAGGGTTCAGACCAGTTCCATTTACCATTTTATATCCGGGACCTAACATCAGACCTGGTTACACAGTTGTTGGATGAATAAATTAGTGAGCCCCTTCTGAATGCAGGAACTATGCTAAAATATAGTCCCTTTCATGGAATAACTTAGAGTTTCATTGGCTAGTTAAATTCCAGTTTAGCTGGAGTTAAAAATAATCTAATCCCACCCCCCCACCCCAATAAAGGAAGTCTTTATTCGACTTTATTCTGAAGCATCAAATCATTCTATGATTAGGTGATGGACCCAGGGATAGAATCCAGCTCCTCAGTTTTCCAGTCAAGCCCAGTCTCACTGTGGCTTCTTCCCCCTGTGGTTCTGTTAGTTTATCTGCCTGTTAATGGCCACACACATACCCCCTTCCATTATCCCATCAGCCCTGCTTGGGCATTGCTATTGATGGCATTTAACCCCCTGGGGTTTCTGTTTGCTCTGGCTCTACCCCATTGCTGCTTTCCCAGAGAGTCTGTCTGGGCCTCCTCAGCAGCTCTGAGTGTGGACAAGAAGGAAGATTTAATGTTACTGCTTTGGTCTTTTGTTTCTGCAAAGCAAACCCTTCCCCTGCTGGGAAACTCATCATCACCAAGCATCAAGCTCAAGCTGAGTTCCACTTAGCTGTTTGCAAATGGCAGTGGGGTGGGTGGAGGGTGAGCAGAAGGCTTGTAGTCCAAGGAGGGGGAACACAGTGTTTGTGAGAAAACACAATGGTAGGAGGACTGTTGGGGAGGAAGATGAGGTTTGTGATGAAGACTGGCTGACTGTGAGAAAAGAATACACCAGGGCACAGGTCTGCCTTGCCCACAATCAATCCCTGAATTGACCATCTTCTGATCACAAGCATGGACATTGGTCAGTACAGGCTTTGGCACAATTCCCATGGTACATCCTAGGCAGCTCTCAGCCTTCTATGAGTGGACTGATTATCTCACCAGCTGAGAGTCCCTGGGAATTCTTCTAATCTCTATGGGCTTCACTTTACTCATCCTGCAAATGGGAATGCTTGCAAAGTTGCTGTCAGTATATAACAAGATCATTCATACACACACTCAGGGAGGGCTTCACACATCATAGGATGCACAACAAACATGCTCTCCTCCCTGTAACAAGTATTTAGCCTCGCTTGCTCTCTACTTTGACCACAACTTGCCCAACAGCAGGGCTCACCCATTGTGGCTGGCCCAGGACTAGTGGAGAGGGATGGGGTAGGTGGCGGCCATGCTAGCACTCTGTGTCTTCATCTATCCCTGCACCTCCTCCAGCCCCATGCCTTCCTTCCTTGTTCATTCCAGTCATCAGTGTTCTCTGAACTGCAGGCAGAGTAATGTATTCCGTGGTCAGAACGTCTTCTGCTCCCTGCTGCTGCCATCTCTGTCTTGGTCTCCCTCCTCTCCACCCCATGAGCATGAAGACAAAATACCCATAGATGAGATGAAAAGGATAGAGGTAAAAAAGGACAGAGCAGAAGAAGGGGACCAAGTCCCCCCACCGTCTCAGCTTCCCTAATTGAATGACTCTCCTACCTGACTCTCCTGTCGGCTCCCATGTTCCTTCATTCTCCCTGATGGCCCTGAAATCATCTCCCCCATCTCATCAAATCTCTCCCCCTTCCTCCTGCTTGTTCTCTAAGCCGCAGATTACTTTTTCATAAAATTCAATTTCTAGCCATTCTCATTACTTACTCACTTAATGTGGCGGGGAGGGGGAGCAGAGGAAGACGAGGGAGGGAGATGGTGTCTGTGCAGCACTTATCCAGCCTAGTTACCAAGGCCCCTCGCTGAGGTGTATTAGAGTCTGATAAGACCAGATAATGGACTTCTGTCCCCACACAGGGAGCTGGCATTGGCGTATTCGGGTATTGCGGCATCATGTCGGAGGGTGGCAACACTTACAATTGTCATCCGTGACTCCTCTCTTGCTGGGAAGAGTCCACTGGGAAAGCTATTTGTTCAACAAATATTTTCAGAGAGAATTTTATTCACCTGTCACCCTACTAGGCACTGGGAGCACAGTCATAATAAAGAGGGGTCTCTCTCCCAGGCCCAGTGGTCAGGGAAGAATTCGGGAGGAAGAGGCATAGAAGAAGATCTGAATAGGAATTATATAAGCTCAAAGAAGAAAACAAGTATCTTAGTTTGGGTTCCCCTTTAAAAAGGAGCCTGAAACAAGGGCTTCGGGGCAGATAATTTACTTGGGAGATAATCCCAAGAAACCAGAGGGAGGGAGTCAAATGGGGAGTGAGACAGGGAAAAAGAGAAATCAGTAAAGATAGATTAAGTGAGTTACTTCTGTAGAAAACTCCAGACCCTCTGCATAACCACATTGAATATGCCACAGAATTATCCCTTAAGGAAGGAGGATAGGACATTATCCTCTGACTCCTGTCCCCATTGTTTGAGGGTTAGCCCCAGTGGTATTCATTTCCCTGCACTTTCATTATGCTTGTACAGGCTGAGCAGCCTTCTCAGACTTCTGAGAAAGCCCTGAGTCTGAAAAGCAGAGAGATACCACTTTGCATGCTTGGGATAAGATGCTGGCAGCATGCCCAGAATTGTCTACCACAGTTGCACTGAAATCAGATCAATGAAGGGAATGTGGTGTGGGGCACACAAAGTGTCTGCTACAGTCCACCCCTTGTAGAGCTCAGATCTGCCTGTGACCCAAAATAAGTTCACCTTGTTGCTGAATTTTCAAGAAAAGGCAGGCCTTAATCTCTATTTTCTAAAACGTTCTTCAGACAGGAAGGTTAATGTGTCAGGGTACAGTTCCAACAGCTACAGCAGGTCCTGAGAGATATCCATCCCCCATGCCCTTTACCACTTACTCTATATTTCCTTTACCCTCAGCCTACCTGATTCTGCCAGCCTGGGTCACTTGCTCAGTGAGGTACCCAGACCAACATCCATGAGACAGGTAAGGGGGGTGAGCCCCTGGTTGCCTCAGTCCCATTAGGCTGTTTTTGCTGCAATTACCTATTCACTATTATCATCAGGTATGGAAACATTAAGAGATGCGCCAGTGAACCCCCTGAGTTCCAGACAGAGTCTTCCCCATCCTGGTTAGGTAGCAGCAACCCCAGCTCTTTGTGAAAATCGTGGTCAATTACTCCGACCTTCTTTTTGCTAGTCCACTGACATGAAGGATTCAAAGTGACCAGGGATCACTCAGGGTCAGTCACAGTAGAACTCTACTGTGTCTCCCTGTAGAACCGGAACCTGGCCTCCACCAGAGCCTAGAGTTGGGGAGACAGAAAGCACATCTTCTTCTTGAAGGTTATTGGAAGTGATGATAGATGGACCCAACTTGCTTCCAACCCTTGTTTCCCAGATGTATATTCTAGCTCTCGGGGGACACAGCACCATGCATGAACCATTGGTTCAATGCATACCACATCCTGGAGGTCAGTACCACAACCCTGCAAGGTATTTTCCACAAACTGGTGTCTTCTCCAAGCCTTTAATAGGCTATTCCAGTATTCTATCAGGCCACCTGCTTCTAAGTGGTCTGGTGTATAATAGGACCAGTGAATTACATGTCTCATGACTATGTTGACCTCCTGCACCATGAAATAAATCTCTTGGTCTGAGATTATGTTTTTGTGGGATCCGATGCAGATAAATCAGTCACGTTTTGAGATCTCAGATAGTCATACTAGCAGAGGCACTGCAAACAGGAACAACAAATCAAATCGGATGAGGGTAAAGGCCAAAAAAGCGAATTGAGTAGAGATATGATGGAGACAACCACCCTGCATCTTTTACATCTTTCAGGGTGGCTCTAATCTCTGCAATTTCACCTGGATAGCTTTTGACTTTCTATTTTGGCTGGAGAGGGGAGCAGTTTCAAGAGATTCCATTTAGCTCTTCTTACCATAAAAACTCTTACTCCACAGGTGAGAGCACCAATGTGAGGGTCTGCCAACATCTAAATATATCCATCTCAATAATGCATACAAGGGTTAGGGAAGAATAGTCCAGGGACTATTAGAGGTACTGGAAAGTGAATGTAGGGTAGAACTCTACCACATTGCCTTCACAAACTCCCAATTTCACTGGGGAACTTTGATGGCATCACAGGCCAGGTCCCCTAGCATCAGTGATAGTCAGACCTTGTATTCAACAGTGCTCAAAAGGTCTGGGTGATCCCCTGTCTTTGGCAAATGGCCAAGGGTCCCTTTGTTGAATAAGAAAGGGAATATTTATTGTATACACTTTGGTAACATTTCAGGTTCTTCCTCAAGAGGACCTGGTTTTCCATCAGTGGATGGGCTCTGGGTCTGAGAACTAGCTCAGATCTGGACAGAGGACGAGGAATCATGATTTTCTATTGCAGTGGCTGATATCAGCCATTAGATAATCAGTTTGTTTTGTTTTAATTTTCTTGTGGTTATGCAAGTCATGGAATACCCTCGTTGGCCACCTATTATCTAGACCCTGGGAACACCATGGTGTGTTTTTCAGGACCAGAGCTCCTTGTATGTTAAGGCACACTGGTGGCCACTCTGGCCTTGCTTCCTACTACAGTAATTATGTCCACTTTGCCTCTGATTGTTAATGCCAACACCAGACCTCTACTAGTCCAGGTTCTTCTCTTCTCCATTGACACAGAGAACTCAACCCCATGGCTTCATCTCCTGTCTGCTCCAGCCTACAGAGGACAGCCACCACCAAGCCACTCATTGAGGCTGGAGCCTCCCTCACTAGTGCATTGCTTATCATTCTAATGGTGAGAGTGTCCTATTGCCCTTCTCTGGGTACATAGATTTACATGATAGGTTTTCTGGTTTTGTGTAATAAAATCCATTCTAATACACTCACTTCTCTAACAGTTCTGACATTTCCAAGGAGCTGTCCAAGCAGCATAAGAAGGCTCCAGGATTCCCTGCCAAAACATTAAATCCTGTCTTGGAAGAGTGTCCCCATGTCAATAAATGTCTTATTTCCAGTCTATATTCCACCCCACCCAAGTCCAACTTCTCGAATTCCATTCTTATACATATTTCCCAGTTTCAGCTGCCATGCAGTAGCCAGGTCCTCCTGCAACTCTTTCAGTGAATAAGCTATTTCCTCCCTTAACAGGGATTATACTCCCTCTCTTGAGCTATGCTAAGACCTGACCTGAGTTCTTTTTTGTTTTGTTTTGTTTTGTTTTGTTTTTTTGAGATGAAGTTTTGCTCTTGTCACCCAGGCTGGAGTGCAATGGCACGATCTTGGCTCACTGCAACCTCCGCCTCCTGGGTTCAAGCAATTCTCCTGCCTCAGCCTCCTGAGTAGCTGGGATTACAGGCGCCCACCACAATGCCCGGCTAATTTTTTTTTGTATTTTTAGTAGAGACAGGGTTTCACCATATTGGCCAGGCTGGTCTCGAACTCCTGACCTCAGATGATCTACCCACCTTGGCCTCCCAAAGTGCTGGGATTACAGGCATGAGCCACTGCATGTGGCCTGACCCAAGTTATTAATCTAGATATAGGTAGGGGCAGATCTTGAAGCTGGACAAGTATCATCTTGCAAGGCATCTACCACAAGAGAGGTTTCTGCATAAGAGAGGCAAGGAGAGGCTGATCTACTCTAACAAGGGGGAAGAGGCTGCTATTGTCAGCCAGGAGGGTTCAGGGGAAGCTGGAAGTTCAATGTTCTCAGATGTATCCACCCAAATATCCCCAGCTCATATCTCACAGTCCCACTCCTTCTCTAACAGGGATCTGACTTGAGCCTAAAAGACCTGTTAAAGCTGCATGTTAAACCCTCTTTGCAGCTTTGCCTTCCTTATCATTCACTCCTGGCCTTGGTTTTTAGCATTGCTGGTCCTGTACCACACCCAGTCCACCAAGTGAAAATCTCAAGAATTTAGATGCTCAGTAAATTAAAAGTTTCCACACACCACACTGGATGCCTGCAAAGGAGTCCTTATTGCCATCTGACTGGTTAATGATCCAGTTCCAGAATCCCATACTGAAGAGGAGCTTTTTAGGGTGACTTCTAGTATCAGCTGTCATAGTTGATCTCTCCCTAAAAGCAGAACCTGAAACAAGGTCAGAGATGCAGGTAGTTGACTTGGGAGATGATGCTAGGAAACTGGAGTAAGGGAGTAAGGACAGCAAGACAAGGAAGGAGAAAGACCAATAAAATGTATATGGTTGGTCTGGTTACACTGTGGGCTACTGGAGCTCAGTCCTGCTGCAGATCCTCTGAAGAACTACGTAGAACACACCTTAAAATTGTTTCTCCAGGAACAGAGGACAGAAACACTTGCTCACTAACTACTATCCCCCATTAGTTCCCCTGAGGATGTAAACTATCCTGCTCAGCAACTTTCCACCACTTTGGAGAAAGCCCTCCATCAGAAAAACAGAAAGACAATGTAGCCTGTGTTTCAGACGGGAATGCCTGGAAGTGTCCGCAATAGCTGTGCTGAAATCAGATGGGCTGAAAGGGTATGCCATGAAGCAAAAAAAAAAAAAAAAACAAAAGTGCTGCAAATAATGTTTCTGACAGCAGCAATAGCACATGCAAAAAAAAAAAAAAAAAGTGAGAGAGAAGATGGTTACAGCATAGGGGCTGGGGGTTAGGGACTTGAGGCAAAAGAGGATCATAAAGAATCTAGTAGGCCATATTAAGAGTTTGAATTTCACTCTGAAAGAATTTGAGAGCCATTGAAGTGTTTTAATCTGGAGAGTGAAATGACAATGAACTTTTTGTAGAGCTTTATTATACAAACCACTAATTGTCACCCAGTATCAACACTCCCTGTCTTCATCAGTGCCTCTCATCTTTCAATGGGCACAGGACTCCAGCCCAAGTCTCTCTTACATCTAGGAGTGGCCACAATGTTCAGTTTGGGCCAGTGGGATGTGAATGAAAGTAGTGGGTGCTATCCAAGAAGTATCCTTAATGGGAGTGTCCTCCTTCCTGCTGTGTGGACTGGGGATATAATAGCTAGAGCTGGAGCAGCCATCTTGGTCCATGAGGTGACAAGATAAAAAAGTCAGGGCATTAAAATAAAAAGGGGTTGCAGTGCCTGACAACACCATGGAGCAAATCCACCATGCCAGCCCTGAACTTCTCACCTGCAGACTTTTCATGTAATTTTGGGTCTCTGTTACTCATAGTTTAACCTAATTCTAACTGACACAGGGCTCTAGAGTGAATACCAACACATCAGTTAGAAAGTTATTACAGGTAAAGAATCTAGGCAAAGGGTAATTGTAGCTTGGACTGGGATGGTGGCAGTGAAAATTGAGCAAAGTGGGTGGATTGGAGGGATATTTTGGAGGTTAAATCTATGGCTTGGTGCTTGTGAGAGAGTATGAGGGGGTTAGAGATAAGGAGCCCTAGGGTTTCCCCGGTTCCAGACATGAGCAAAGGGATAGTGGTGGGACCTAGATTGGGTTTTTTGGTTAGGTGAACATATACTTGTTCCTTGTTTCCAAGTAGGGACTGAGATACCTGGTATGAGCCCCACAAAGGCCCCTGCTCCCATGCAGGAGACCCTGAACTAGCTTCCAAACACACTTCTAGATTTACCTCTTTGGTGAATCTTCTTGGATTATTCCTGCATCCCCACCCCAAAACCACTTGATTTATTCTATGCTCTTGATATGCCCAACATCTATTTTTCTTGTTTCATGTAGAACTCAGCAAATTTCACTGAGAACCAACCCTATGCTCTGTGTGTGACAGAGATGGCTTGATGGGAGCAGAGTTAACTCAGGAGCTGTGTTAGACACCAAGAATAAAAATGAAAATGAGCAATAAGCAACCACAGGTAGCTCACAGCAAAGAAGTTTGATTAGTAAACAAATATTGTCAGCACCATGGGATCCATCCAATGATAGTGTGCTCTGGGTGCTTCATTTTTCCAAGGAAAGTGGTTGTCCTTGGAACAACCTGCAGGGTTACAGAAGTCATCACAGATGACGGCGCATCTGGACCAGGCTTTGAAGCTAAGATGAGGGCAGACATTCCTGGGCAAAGGTACTCACCTATACAAGGACATTTAAGGAGGAATCCGTGTCATAATTTAAGAGAATTGTTAGCTGTTGGGTACTGTTGGAGTGAGAGTTTTCACAGTTTTTTGGCTTTTTTTGTTTGTTTGTTTTTATGGCAAAAGAATGGATTGGAAACTCAAGATGTGGGCAGGGTCCATGTCAGAGGGAACATTGTGAGCCACACTAAGTGGCTTGTACCATAGGCATGGGCAACAGAGGGGATGGGGATGAGGAATTTCAGTCAGGAGAGTGATAAGATATATAACAAAACAGAAATTCTGATTGCAATCATTGCTAACATTTACTGAGTGCTTTCTTATGTGCCGATACTGGTGCTAAGCAATTTACCAGATAACCTCATTTACTCTCCACCCAGTAAGATAAGTACTATTAGTATCCCCAGGTTCACAGTTGAGGAAACTTAGATCCAGGCAGATTATGTAACTAGCTCAAGGTCATACAGCTAATATGTGGTGAAGCCAGGATTCTAATCAGAGAGGTCCGCCCCAGAGCCCATGCCCTTAGCCATGATGCTAATGCTAAAATTCCCTCTCATTGCTTATGTAATGAGATGTGTAATGAGATACATTACTTTGCGACTATGCTTTAGAACATTCCATATGAGGAGGTAAGGAAGAGGGGGTTGCAGAGCGTTTTGTACAAAAGGAGTTTTCAATAAATACATCGGACCAAGGGAGAAATCGCATAATAAAGAAATATGGGATTTTAGATGGCTAAAATTAAAACACTTTAAAGAAAACATGCTCAACTCCCCATATTCCCAGGGAAGAAACTGAGGCTCAGAGAAAGGGTCACACAGAGAGTTGATGGCAGGGTCAACCTCTGGGGCCTGACTCTGATATTTTTCTTACACTATCAGGGCAATTTAGCAGTCTTCATAGTCTATTCCTACATAGCACTATCTTTCCGAGGTCCTGGCAAATTGTACTCGCTCTCTGGAAGGACAAGAACAACTTTGTTCTTTTTCTTTTTAAACAGCAGAGGTCCCAGAAACAAAGCCAGGATTGGCCCCGAGAAACTTGATGTGCACACTGCAAAGTCTGAGACAACAGAGAGTTAGTCGAAGGAAAAGCAAAAACTCTCCCCAAAGCCATCATTATGGGGAGGATTTTGACCACAAAAGAAGAAAAGAGTAACAGTTCAAATAAAGAACTCCAGTCCAAGTCCCCAAATCCCAAAGTGAGATCCAGTGAGTCTGCCCTGAACAGAAACTGCTTACCCTCCCTGGTCAAGGTAAAAGCCAAGGAGATAGGCACCCAGGCTTCCCATAGGGAAAACTGAGTTGGAACTCTGCACCCACCCAAGCCATGTCTCCATCACACACACACACACACACACACACATGCACGTCATCTTCCCTCATCACCCCACAGGGTGCCCAGGACTTTTCTAGTGTCTGCAAATGGAAACATATTAAAGGTGCAAGACATTTAGAATAATGCAAATGCCTAGAAAGGGCACACAATGTGGGCTTCTTTCTCCTCCCTTGACATATTGTGACTAAGTTGGTTAAATGTCTGCTCTGTGCTCTGTCTGAAAGGGTAGCCAGTGGTGTGGTGTAGAGGAAAGAGCACTGGATTGGGATCCATAAGGTTCTGATCCTCTTAGCATTTGCTGTGCTTCCTATTTCCACTTTCTGAGCCTCAGTTTGCTGATCTGAAAAAAACAAATAAACAAACCAAAAACAGTCTTTCCAGTTCTAGGAGCTGATTAAAATGGAGCAGCCTCTTCACTGCCCCCTCCCAACAAACACCTATTGCCCCCTGCCTTTGCTCCTACTGTTCCTCCTACTGGAAATGCCCTCCCACCTCCCCTCCACCAATTCAAATCAAAGCCCAGTTTTCTCCAAGAACCTTTCCCTAATTATCCCCACAACTATGTGTTTCTTACTTTGAAGCTCCTCAGCAAGTCTGTGCTATTTCTCACACACGTTGCCTTACGATCCTTCATGCATGAATGGATTATCCTTCTAATTGGACAGCAGTATGGTTTGGATCTGTGTCCCCACACAAATCTCATGTTCAGTTCCCAATGTTGGAGGGGGGGCTGGTGGGAAGAGATTGGATCATGGGGGCAGTTTCTTATGACTTGTTTAGCACCATCCTTCTTGGTCCTGTTGTCGCAGTAGTGCGTTCTCATGAGATCTGGTTGTTTAGAAGTGTATAGTAATTTTGGCCAGGCACAGTGGCTCATGCCTATAATCCCAGCACTTTGGGAGGCCAAGGAGGGCGGATTATCTGAGGTCAGGAGTTCAAGATCAGCCTGGCCTACATGGTAAAACCCTGTCTCTGCTAAAAATACAAAAATTAGCCGAGCGTGGTGGCGCGCACCTGTAATCCCAGCTACTAGGGAGGCTGAGGCAGGAGAATAGCTTGAACCCAGGAGGTGGAGGTTGCAGTGAGCCGAGATCATGTCATTACACTCCAGCTTGAGCAACGAGAGCAAAACTTCATTTCAAAAAATTTAAAAAAAAATGTATAGCTTTTTTTTTTTTTTTTTTTGAGACAGAGTCTCACTCTGTTGTCCAGACTGGAATGCCGTGGCACAATCTCTGCTCACTGCAAGCTCTGCCTCCCAGGTTCATGCCATTCTCCTGCCTCAGCCTCCCAAGTAGCTGGGACTACAGGCATGCGCCACCACGCCCGGCTAATTTTTTTTTTGTATTTTTAATAGAGATGGGGTTTCACCATGTTAGCCAGGATGGTCTCGATCTCCTGACCTTGTGATCTGCCCGCCTCGGCCTCCCAAAGTGCTGGGATTACAGGCGTGAGCCACCGCGCCCAGCCATGTATAGCACTTTTTAACAACCTGCTCCAGCCATGTTGGATGCCTTGCTTCCTCTTTGCCTTCTGCCATGATTGGAAGCTTCCTAAGGCCTTTCCAGAAGCAGAAGCCACAACGCTTCCTGTAGGGCCTGCAGAACCATGAGCCAATTAAACCTCTTTTCTTTATAAATTACCCAGTCTCAGGTATTTATTTATAACAGTGTGAGAACACACTAAAACAGACAGCGAGCTTCTCCAGGGCTATAACCCCATACCAGTGCCTTTTCCATTGTAGAACCTGTGCCCTGGGGTGTACCTGTACTTAGTAAGTGTCTGGATCATGCCACCCTCCCCCTCAACCCCCTCTGTTGGGTGAGGTTCAGGCTCCACGCTGTCTGCAGGATAGTGTCATTCATTTTCTCAGCAAATATTCACTGAACACTTACTATGTGCTAGATGGTGGTAGGTACGGGAGATGCAACAATGAATCAGTCACAGCCCCTGACTTCAAAGACCTCTCAGGCTGACATTCAAGGTCATTTACATTTGGTCCAGTCTCACCTCTCAGTATTCTCCTTCTCAAACCTCCTCTAGCTCAGGATGGTTCTTCTATCCCTCCTTGATTTTACTCATGCTAAATCCTTTGCTGGGAACCCCTCTCCACTCTTCACCATCCTCATAAATCCTAAAGTATGAAGAAGAGAAAGAAAAGAAAAGAGAGAGAGAAGAGGAAGTGGAAGAGGAGAAAGGATTATCAGAAAATATAAATCCAGCCCAACCTTCAAGGGTATAGAGAAACCCTGAAGTTTCCTATACCAAACTCTATCCTGTTGGTTAGTATCTAGATGCCTACTGTCTAGTGAGAAGGTCAGTGTTGGGGTCGCCTAAAGGTGAAGTCCAGGCAACTTCCCATTCATCCTGGAGATGACCCCCTGCCCTTACCATGCACACTCATCCTTCCTCCTGGTTCACCCTTCAGCCACTCAGGCTGCTAACTTACTCCTTGTGCCTTTCTGGAGGCAGTAAGCCAGAATGCCCAGGTGAATGGCTGGCTGAGCCAGTAAGTAACAGACAAACCTACCATACCTGGTATTTTTCCCTAATTGGATTAAGAACAAAATATAACTTCCCTTTGTTTCCTCCTAATGCACGCTACAGATCAGTGCTCCTAATAATTAGACCCCAGCACTTCCTATGCAGGAACACAGGGAGGCCAGTGGGCTGCATCTGGAGACACATCCCCTCTCTTTGGCCCAGCACTCAGCCCCTGTTCCTAACCACTGCCCAGCCCTGTATCTACGGCATGTTCTCATGAGAAGGTAAGAATGAAGGCTCAAACTGCAGGGGACAGAAGAGAGGCATCAGGCCTTTCTTTGTGGAGCATTCACTTCCCTTGACCTGCACTCACGTCCCTGAGCTCTTGGAAGGGAAGACATCGTGCTGGGGCATATAGACTCGAGTAGCTCTTGGCCATAGGGGTAGAGGATACCACCCACACTCCCTACAGATTAATCCTCCTCTCTCCCCTGATTCCCAGCCAAACTTCATCCATAGCCACCAATACACTCTGATGAGGGAGGTTGGATCTAAATCCTTCTCCGTTTGATTAGGAGTTCCTGATGGAAAAGAACGATGGCTCTGCAAATAACTGCAAGCCCCCGTAGGACCCAGGCCAAGACTCCTCATGTCTTCAGATTGGGGCTTCTGTGAGTGGAGGCCTTTATCCCTTTTTCGGGCTGGAGCACCCACACAACAGGGCACTTCCTCCCCCATCAGATTGGGAGTTCTGTCGGGAAAAGGTCTATTCTCCCTCACCGGCTGGAGGCTTCCCCAGAACAAGGCCTACTAGATTTGGTTAAACAGGTATTTGCTTAACTCCTACTGTGTGCTGATGTGCTGGATACTTCCCTGAACAAAGACTGAGACCTGGTCCTGGCCACAAGGAGGTGACAATGCAGAGGAGGAGACATGGCACCCTGCATAAGACCAGCAGCTGAGGTCGGGGCTCAGCTCTTCCCATCCTGACAGCCATCCGAAGGAAATAACTAAGAGATGGATGCATCCAGAACAGGGAAGCAGGGTCTGGCCCCTTTCTGCACTGGCTGGGCAAATCCTGTGACCTTAGTTTTTTAAACCATAAAATAGAAATGGCAGAGCCTGCTTCATAAGAGTCTTGTGAGGCTCCTGCAAAACAACAGGTAAAGCCAGGGGGTTGGGTGCTGACACAAGCTTGAGGGGCTGGGGAGGAGCCCTGGCTTGCAGCATGTGTCCATTTCCTTGATTTCAACACTCCCCTCAAGACTTGTTTCAAGATACAAATATGATGTCCCTGAAATGGGAGCAGGGAAGAGATGTGCCAAATTGGCTTTCAGGAGCTGGTGTGAGCCGGCCCCAGCACATCGCTCCTTAGAACATACTATATGCTCAGGAAATGGTGAGCTCCTATTAGTACCTGATCAGGCCATACCTAGCCCCCTATTTTTTCAAATGTCTGAGCATCTCCCTTAAATGGGATATGAACAAGCTGCAGCATTTTGGAGAAGGATGACCTAAGGATGGAACAGTAGACTGGCTATTCCCCAAACCGTGTCCCATTTCCTCTTGGGCACACCACCAGACTCTATTTGCAGCCTCTCTTGCAGGTAGGGCAGCCATGTGACTGAGCGCTGGCCAAAGGAATGTGGGCAAGTATGACGTGCGTCCCTTCCAGACACAACCCATAAAAACCTCCCAGGCAGCCTTCAGGTTCTCTCTTCCCCATGCACTGTCTAAATGGAGAGGAAAGAGCTCCAAGATGGAAGGAAACAGGGATGTGGGATTACTGCACAGAAGGTTGCCCACTGAATACCTGCACTGGACAAATACGTGAGTGACACATCAACTACTGGTAATTAAACCACTGAGATTTGCAGACAGGGTCTTTCTTACAGCAGTTGGCTTATCCCAACTAATACAGGTTAGCTCACAACCTCACCACATGACAAACAGCTGAGGAACTGTTGCCCTGTAGAGGAGGAGGTTCAGCAGAGAACATTGTACACTGTCCTTAAATACTTTATCCATCATCTTAGAGCAGAGTTGACCCAAGTGACATGAGACAGCAGCTCTAGGACCAGTGGCAGGAAATTCCCAGGGATGCAGATTACAGCTCCACACACAGGAAGGTAATGTTAACAGAGGCACAACAGGTGACCTTAAGAGACAGCAAGCTTCTACTCCTGGCTGTGCAAACAGGTGAGAATGTTGCAGAAGCCACATGAGCATCAGCTAGCAGCTTGACATCAGTGACATAACGCAAAAACATTCTCAAGACCTTAGATTCTGTGATCTTATGATCTGTCATCCCCAACTAGGATGCTGCCTCCTCCATCAGTCTAAGATCTCCCTAGGCCTGGGCTCGACACTCTCAGGAGACCAAAAACCCTCAGGACAAGAATGCTAACTCTTTTTCTTTTCTTTTCTTTTCCTTTCCTTCTTTTTTTTTTTTTTTTTTTTCTTTTCTTGAGACAGGATCTGGCTCTGTCTCCCAGGCTGGAGTGTGGTGGCACCATCTTGGCTCATTGCAACTTCTGCTTCCCGGGCTCAAGCCATCCTGCCACCTCAGCCTCCCAAGAAGCTGGGACTACAGGCACACATTATGATGTCCAGCTTATTTTTTTGTATCTTTTGTAGAGACAGGACTAACTTTTTTTCAGAATCTGCCCTAGCTGCCCCTGGCCTCAGCACCCGTTAAGAGCCCCATGTTCAAATGTGGGGGCCAGGCTTAGTGTTTAGGGAAGACATGGCTACTGGGGAAAGCTGGATTTGAGTCCCCAGATCCTACATTCCTGAGCAAGAATACACGGAGAAGTCTAAGTAGCAGAGAGGCAGAGGGAGGGGATTGATCTGAAAAATAATTTGTGGTGGAGGAGAGGAGGGCTGGCTGTTCCCATGTCCGGCAAAAGCAGTGATCTTCAGTTCTCTCAGCATTATCCAAGGATGAAGGCTCAGCAAGAGAGGCCTTGGCTCATCTCTCTGGAGGCCTTCTGACATGACAGTCTGGTCTGTGTTCTATCAACATAGGCACCTGTGCACATGCACGAACACACACGAACGCACACACACAAACCTTTTCACCTCTGTCCTGGCCTCCAGAGAGAGGCCTGCTATCTCCTCAAATATTTCCCAAAGCTAAGCTCCCAAAAGCACCCCGAGGTTTCCAGAAAATCTGGGGGCTGGGCCTGGGGAAGTGGCAGGGAAAATCCACAGAGAAGAAGGCTTCAGGGCATTTTCCTGTAAGAGTCATTAAGACATATTAAATTCTGACGCTTCCTCCCCCTGCCTATGCCAGCTTCACCTCCACGCAGGCCTCCCCATCGCCACGTACAGAACATTAGGGCTAAATTGAATTAGAATAATTAACTTTTGGTCACACTTTTAATTTGGTGCAGGAAATAAGAGAGCTAATGGAGATTAAGCAAGGCTCTGACTCCAGAGACCAGCCTGGAAGCTGCACGGGGAGGCCCTGGCTCTGGAGTGGGGGAAAATAAACAGCCAGAGAAAAGAGGCTGAGGCAGATGTGTGCTGTGTGAACTGGCAGGTATGTGCATGTTTGTTGATGCCTGTATTTGTGCTTGTGTGTGTGTGCCCTTATATATGAAAACATGCTCTGTAGCATGTAGGTAAACATGTGCATGTACACACGTGTCTGAAGGTTTGTACACATGAATGTCTCTTTGTACATGTGTGAGTAGGAGTGTGCGTGGGTGTACACACATTGCTTTAAACCCTGGGCAAGTAAAACTCCTTGATTTTTATAGAATCCTAGCAGCTCTGACTTAGAAGCCACCTTCATAAATATCTTCAAACCCAGTGTCTCCCCACCTGCAGCTAGAATCTCTTCTACAACATTTTCCCCAGGAGAGCACACAACATCTGCCCACACTCCTACACTGATGGGGCATTCACTACCATGGAAGACACCCTGTGGAGCTCTGATTGTTAGAAGCACTTCCTTCCTGCAACATTCACCCAGAGCCCTAGATCCAACTCCAGGATCACACAGAAGAAGCCCAATCTCTCCCCATGGCATCCCCTGAAGATGATGACTGTTCCCTTCTTCATAGTCTCTTCTCTGGGTTAGAACTCCCCCAATTGTCTTCTAGGACTTCACATGACATGTGACATTGGCACACAGCACCTAACACCCAATCACATGCCAAGCATGAAGAGTCCAGCTGGGATGGCACTCATGCCAGTGGGTGCTTAAGGATCATCTGCTCAGGCCATAGTCAACTCAAACTTCACATGCATCAGAACATCCGGTGTGATTTTTGAAAATGTAGATTCCAGCCAGGCGCGGTAGCTCACGCCTGTAATCCCAGCACTTTGGGAGGCCGAGGCGGGCGGATCACAAGGTCAAGAGATAGAGATTATCCTGGCTAACATGGTGAAACCTCATCTCTACTAAAAATACAAAAAAATTAGCCAGGTGTGGTGACAGGCACCTGTAGTCCCAGCTACTCAGGAGGCTGAGGCAGGAGAATGGCATGAACCCAGGAGGCGGAAGTTGCAGTGAGCCGAGATCACACCACTGCACTCCAGTCTGGGCGACAGAGCAAGACTCCGTCTCAAAAAAAAAAGTAGATACCCAGGCGCTTCTCCAGGAGCTCTGATTCCAAAGGTCTGTAAAGGGCACTGGTCCTCGACATTTTAAACAAGCAGCCAGATGGTTCTGATGCAGGAGCCTATGAACCATTATTTGCCATGGTCCCATGGTCTCATTTTACAGATAAGGAGACTGAGGCCCACAGAGAGGAAGAGATGTTCAGAGTAAGTTAGAACCTAAGCCAGAGCTGCATCCTGTCTTCTACTCCCTGGTGCTTGTTCCTAACACCAACCCCAGGATGGATAAACAGAGACTTCATCCCTGCAAGCCCACATTCCCCTGGGGGAGCCCATCCCCACCACCACCACAGAGACAGGCCCAGATCTAAAAGAGAAGCATCCTTCCGCAAACCCTACATTTCCATCTGGTCCCACAATTATCTCTGGCCAGGGTGTCAGGAAGAAAGAGACAGGGATCCGCAGCCCTGTGTCTGCTAAATAAAGTGTCCTGCACCCTGGAGGAGCTGAGATTCATGGAGGTCACTGCTACGTTGGAGGGAAATTCCCATCAGTATATCAGAAGCAGATTGGGGTCAGGACCCCAATGAGGATGCCAAGGTGTGGGGAAGGAGCCAGGTGAGAGAAGGCCAGTCTGGAGTTTCCAGTGCAAGAAGCCTAGACCTGCAGGGTCCGGTGTCAGCCAAGGCCTCATCCCCGCTGAATCCGTTACCTCCCAGAGGGCCTGGCCACATGCATTGGCCACACTGACCTGCTGCCATCCACCCAGGGGCCCTGATGACCTCTAGTCATAAATGGGGACTGAAGAGGAGAGGTGAGGCCTCAGATCACATAGCTTTTCAGTCCAGGCTCCCAGCTCCCAGTCTGTGTCCTTTACAGTGCACCACCCTCATGCCTTGTGCAAGAAGCCAGCACCAATGGGAATTGTCACAGGAGGCTAGACGATGAAGACAGACAAATAACAAGCCTAATGTCAGACCAGATCTGCTCCCAACAAAGTCAGGATAAAATCAAAGTCCCAGAGACCAGGACAGGAAAAACTGTGTTTCACCACCAGTGACCTTCCTCATTACCTGCAATCATTGTCTCCCTGTCCTGGTCCCCAAGGCTCCTCTCACTTTCTAGGATTAAGCGAGAGTAGGCAGGCATCTGCAAAATTCAGAGCCCTGTGGGTACTGAACACAGGAGAATAGAACAGAAGAAAAGGGAATTTTGCTTCTTTTGAGCTTGCTTCCTGATTTCATTCGACCTGAGGTCTGATTTCTCTTAAGCCAATGCATTCCATTTCCAAGGCTGTTTTGAAGGTGAGATTCCCCAGAGGGAAAGTGAGGCATCCCTGACTGCTTCTGGAGTCACTCGCTGTCATGATCACTCACCACCAACACCATTTTCTCCCCAGCCTTGGCCCCCCAGCCCTCTGCTTAAAATGTGTCTAGCGCTAGAGAGCTGGGAGCAGTGGGGCTCTGATGAAACAGTGAGCGAAGAGTGAAACGAGGGAGGGGACAGCAGGCTCCAGCCCCCTCCCCACCCCACTGCAACAGCAGGGGTAGAGGGCCGGGCTGGGTAGGTCTGTCTATCTCTCCAGCTGCTGGGAAGGGTGCAAGTGACGAGGGCAACGAGGGATCCCTGCCCCACCTATGGGAACCGGTTGGTGGCTTGGCGGGAGTGGGTCCAGGTGGGAAATGGGTGCTGGTGTTTCTGACCAAGTTCCACCCTCACTGAGTTCTTGGGAACAAACGGCTCATTTCTCAGGGTCTCACGTCCCTAGTTTTCTCCCCGGCCCTCTCTCTGGTGAATGTAGGGGAGGAAGATGAGAAGTGGACAAGAGACATCAAGGAATTGTAACTATCTTAAGGTCAGAAGGACAGGGTGCAGGCGCTGCCTGCAGCTCACTACGCACATGGCCCTGGACGGGTCCACTTGTCCTTGGAGCCAGTATTCCCTGTAGGTGTAGTGGTGGCTTATTGCTGACCCTTGCATGGCCTGATGCCTCACATTCTATTCCCCATCCACTGGCATCTTTCATTCCTTCCCTGCTTCCTGTCTTTGCCCCATGATGAACGTTGAAGTAAAATCCTGAGTGCTAGAAAAGGCATGTGCTCGGGACACTGACTTCTCCAGTGATCAGGGGAGGCCCCTGAGAAAGCAACTTGGTATCTGAAACCTGAAAGGTGAGTGGGCTTGCTCCAGAAAGAGGATTGCAGAGGAGTGTTCCAGGCGGAAGAAATAGCTTATTCAAAGCCTTGAGGCAGGAAATGGCTTGACTCATTTTCTCAAGCACTAAAGAGAGCCCCCAGGGTGGGGACTCTGCAGATGGGGCCAAAGGGTCAGGCCTCTGCCTGCTGGTGCAGGTCCTTGAATGTGGTAGTAAGGGTTTTGAATTTTATCCTGAGAGTGGCTGGAAGTGACTGAAGGGTTTCAAACAGGGAGAAACTGGAGAAGATTTGCATCTTTAATAGCCCACTCTAGCTGCAGCCTGAAGAACGCAGACACAGCAGACCTGTTAGGAGGCCGTGAGAGGGCTGGCTCGGTGGCTCGTGCCTATAATCCCAGCACTTTGGAAAGCCAAGGTGGGAGGATTGCTTGAAGCCAGGAGTTTCAGACCAGCCTGAACAACATGGCAAGACCCTGTCTCTACAAAAAAAAAAATTAAAACAATTTGCTGGGCATGGTGGTGCGTGCCTGTAGTCTCAGTAACCCAGGAGGCTGAGGTGAGATTCTCTCACCTTGAGACCAGCGGGGTGGAGGCTGCCATGAGCCATGTTCACGCCATTGCCCTCCAGCCTGGACAAGAGAGCAAGACCCTGTCTCAGAAAACAAAAGAAAAACAAAAACACAGAAAAGGAAGCCATGAGAACAGTCCTGGAGAGAGACAATGCCAGCTCAGACCCTGGTGGTGGTGGTGGAGGGAACAAAGAGGAATGGAGGGAACCAAGATGCTATATCCTTAGGAGGAACCAACAGGCCCTGGAATTTCCTAGATGCGGGAATAAGGAGAGGGTACCTGGGGAGACATCAGGCCCAGAAGCGCACATGGGGGTTGCACAAGCAGGCAGCGTCTGTTTGGACACCAAAGCTCCCACTTTCTGCATAAGCTCAGTCAAGCTCCTTAATTAACTACTGTGAGTCTCGGGGGCCTTGTCTATAAAAAGGGGAAAATGCCTTCTAAGCTGGTGTGATGATTTAAATTAAATTGTATTGGTATGAACAGTGCTCAGCACCTAATATGTATTTAACAAAATTGCTTTCCTTGCCCTCCCTCCTATGTCTAGCTCAGAAGCTTGCCTTGCAAGTTCAGCCCTTTCTTCCCTCTGGGGCGTACAGTGTGGCAGTGAAGGTCACCCATCCCCATGACCCCCTTACCTCCTACTAAATACAACTCTATGCCAGAGCAGGTACTGAGCTTTTTCATCTTGCCACCTCATGGAACCTCACTAATGTTGAAAAATGCATCTCCCTGCTCCGGTTCTTGCCCCCTTCACACTAGGCTCCACCCAGCCATCAGAGCCATGGTGTTAAGATGTAAGGTCATGGCACTGCTCTGCTCCAAACCCCCACAGCGGTCTCACTCAGGGTAAAAGCCAGAGTCAGAGCAATGGTCCACAGGGCCTTGCCTGCTGTGCTTCTTGTCTCTCTGTCCCTGTCACCTCCCACTCTCCCCTGCATCCTTTCTCCCCTAGCCACACCAGCCTCTCTGCTGTCCCTCACTCCTGCAGGCCTGCTCCTGCCTCAGGGACTTTGCACATGTACAGATACTCATATGGCTTCCTCCCCGCCTTCAGTTCTTTACTCAGACGTCATCTGCTAGGTAAGGCCTTCCCCAGCTGTCATCTTCAAATTGCACTGCAGATACCCCAACCCCTTTCTGTACTTTACTTCTTTCTCAACAACACTCATCCTCATTAATAATGCTGTATATCTTATTTATTTAGTTTTTTGTCTCTGCCCTCTAAAATGAAAAGTCCTTGAGAGCAGAGATTTTTATCCATTTGGTTCACTGTCATATTCCTCAATACTTAGTGCGGTTGCCTGACACATATTGAACATTTGAAAAATGAATAAGAGGGAGAGAGAAAGGGAGGGACGGAGAGAGGAAGTGTCTTCTTCTTAAAGTCCCTAGTTGCTATCAGAAGCACTGGGCATCTCATTTCATATAAGAGCAGGTGTCAGCCGGGCACAGTAGCTCACACCTGTAATCCCAGCGTTTTGGGAGGCCAAGACAGGAAGATTACTTGAGCCCAGGATTTCAAGACCAGCCTGGGAAACATGGTAAAACCCTATTTCTACAAAAAATACAAAAATTAGCCAGGTGTGGTGGCAGGCACCTGTAGTCCCAGCTACTGGGGGGCTGAGGTGGGAGAATCACTTGAGCCCAGGAGGTGGAAGTTGCAGTGAGCCAAGATTGCACCACTGCACTCCAGCCTGGGCAGCAGAGCAAGACTCTTGCAAAAAAAAAAAAGAGTAGGTATCCATTTGTGGTCAGGGTTTTAGGTGAACAAGAAGCACACAGTTAATTCTGAGCATTCAATGCTCAAAACTAACTGCAGTGAGCATTCTGACTCACAGAGTGGAGGAGGCAAGTTTCCAACCAGGGGCAAGATTTATACCGGGCTGGCATAAATCACAAATTTGCTGTACTTCCCGAGTGACCTCCACCGCCACCCCAGCATGAGAAGATATACTAGACACAGAATCCAGAGCATCTTAGCATGTCCCTGGCTCCTGGGGCCACTCAATGAAGGTGCTCAGTGCCATTAAGATGCACAGAGCAACGTCAACCTTGCTAGTGAGGCCAGTCCGGGTGCAAACACCATCCTGCCTTTGGCTGGCTCAGCGGGCTCTGGATTTTACTGTATCTCACTGACCTTCCACTTTCCTGCCTTTAAAATGTAGGTGATAATAGTCACTGTGCATTCTACCCCACAGTGTTTTGGCAAAGCTCAAGTGTGTATGAAAACATAAACTTCTACACAATTATTTTTCTAGTCCCCTTTAATCTCTAAATTTTGCTAAAGGAAAACACATCTTCTCTGGATCCCTTTGCTTGCTTTCTTGCTTTGTGTCTTTGCGTTTCTCTCTGTCTACTTTTTTTTTTTTTTTTTTTAGATGGAGTCTGGCTCTGTTACCCAGGCTGGAGTGCAGTGGTGCAATCTCGGCTCACTGCAACCTCTGCCTTCTGGGCTCAAGTGATTCTCCTGCCTCAGCCTCCCAAGTAGCTAGGATTACAGGCATCCACCACCACACCCAGCTAATTTTTGCATTTTAGTAGAGACGGGGTTTCACCATGTTGGCCAGGCTGGTCTCGAACTCCTGACCTCAGGTGATCCGCCCACCTCAGCCTCCCAAAGTGCTGGGATTACAGGTGTGATCCACTGCGCCTGGCTGCATCTCTTTTTAAGTCAATTGTTATGTCTGTCTAACTGAGCCTCCCTTTGTGTCTGTGTGTGTGTCCACAATTCTCCCTCCTCTGTCTCTGAGTGTCTCTGTTCCTGCTTTCCTCTCTCTCTGCCTCACTCTGTATATCTCTGTGTGTCCCTTTCTGCCTCGGATTTGCTGTTTGTCTTCTTTGTCTTCTCCCTCTTCTCAGTTTCTCTTTTGACTTCATCTCTCTGCCTCACTGTCTGTCTCTGTGTGATTATGTTTCTTCTGTCTGAGTCCTACCATCTCTCTCCCTCTCTGTCTCTGTCTCTCACTTTCTCTTTCTGTCTCTATCTGAATCTATGTGTGTATCTCTGTGTGCACTCTCTCTCTCTCGCCCTCTCGCTCTCTCACTCTCTCGCTCTCTCCCTACCTCACTCGCCTAATTGCTTCTTGTCTCTGCAGATCGCTGTGAGGATTTATGTAACACACAGACAGGGGTGGCAGTAGCCAATTTGAAAGGCTGCTGGCGGACATAAGAACTTAATGCTACACCAGTCTTCAGGAAAATGAGCTGCGATCCCCCCAAAGCCTCCTATGCTCAGCGCAGCCCAGACCATCTTCCTCCTGCTCCTGAAAAAGAGAGAGGCAACTCTTTAGACAGACCCCTCTTGTGCCCCTGCTGTGTTCAGAGAGCTTTGCATCACAGCATTTGAAAGGTCTGACCCTCCTAGGGAGTCAGATTCACAACAAAGCTCCACTTCTGACAGAGATAAAACTGGGCCTGTAGTCAAGATACCTGGGATCTCACCCCCACTTGATTGGAGGCCTCGGGTAGATCAGGACCCCATTCTGGGCCTCTGTTTCCCCATCTAGAAAATGGCTCCAGCACTCTAGGATTCTAAGAAACCTGGGACATCCTGCTGTAGGGGAATGAAGGGACCCTATATCACACCTGGCAAAACCGGTCAGTGCTTCAACAGACAGAGGCATTGGGGCTGATAGAATAACACAGACACAGAGAGAAGGTGCTGAGAGAATGACTCAGCAGCCAGAGGGGTGGAGAGTGGACTCCATGAGCAGAGACAACAAGGAAAGCCCTCTCCCTTCCCTGTGTCTGGGGCCTGCTTCCTGTTCCTACGCACATGGCATGTGCCAGTGCCACCCAGCTAACCAGGTTTGGTGTGGGTCATGAGTGCCTCTGGTCGTTTCTCAGACAGCAGCAGCCAGAGACAAAGTAGGAAGGGTGGGGAGTGCACGGGCACCTGAAGGAAGGCAGTGGGGAGAAATAAACATTGATTGAGCATCTGCTCTGTGGCTTGCTCTGAGCAAAGTGCCAGAACTGAGCCCTGCTCAGAGCAGTTAAATAACCTGGCTGAGATTGAAGCCCACGCCTGCTAGGCCCCCAAAAACTGTGCTTTTTCTGCAGCCATGAGGACTTTTAAAGAGAGAGAGAAACCTCCAAAAAGGAGAGAAGAGGCACCTTGCAAGCACACTTTGCCTACTGTACATGTCCCCAGCCATCATCCTCCATGAAGAAAGGCTGGGTAGGTGGAATTGCTTGGTCTGCAAAAGAGAATCTGGGAAGTATTTTCAGGGAAGCACTCAATTTCTGTTTGCAGGTGCTTGAAGGGTTTACATCAGGGAGGCAAAAAAAAAAGTGTCACCTAGTTCCACAAAATAGAGGCAATGGACTCAGACCAGCAAGAGAAACTTGGAGCAGTTTCAAGGAAGGATTACCTGCGTGTCAAAGAACTGGTACAGGCTTGAGTTCACCCTTGAAAGTTACCTAAGTAAAAGAGATCTTTTACTCTTGGTACTTTTTCAAAAGATCAAAATCCTCTGGAAAGGTGCTAACTTGTGTGGACACAGAGGATTGAGCCAAATGACATGTTGGAGGCTCCTACAATCTTGGGCATCTACTCTCAGTGTGTAGGCACCACACATATTCGCAGGCACACACACACTCAAAAGCTTGAACATCCATGTTTTTCCTGGATGAGGCTCTGCAGCCCACCTGCAGCTCGGCTTGCCAGTCCCCACCCTCAAATCCCTCTGCATGGACTGCCAGGGAGGGGCCCTCTGTAGGCTGATGGGCAGGGTGTCCCCACAGACAGGCAGGAAGCCAGAGCAGACATCACTATCTCCTCATCGCTCCAGGCAGCCACCTCCAAGCCCTCCTGCCTTTCAGGAAGCCAAATCAGGAAATTAACTGGGAGCCAAGACGCCTCCAGACACCTGCCTGGAAATTCAAACCAGGAGCAGGTGGGGGCTGGCTTGGGAGGAGGACAGAGTGGATAAGGGGGCTCCTTGTAGTGGGGCAGTGGGCCCATACAGGGAGTATGTGCCAACCCTTTTTAAGGGAGCCGGTGTCACAGATAACCAACATGAGCTGCCTGGGATGGGACCGTGAAGGACACAACCAGCTTATTCTGGGGAGTATACTCCACCCAATAGCAGGAGGACCCTGCGCCGGGAAGCCCTGGCAGCAACTTGGTGATTGGTTCTGCTGCTGCTCTACGTGAAATCCCCCAGGGGATGCAGACAGAGGGGACAGAATCAGGAGCTGAAAAGAGGCTGCACTATACCTCTATACCAAGGCAAGCACAGGCTTTAGAGCCAGACAAAAGTGGTTCAAACCCACCTTTTGTCACTTACAAGTCCCGTAACTTTATATCTCAGTTACCGTCAATTAAATGGACATAATCATAGCAACCTGCATTTGTCAAGGTAGGCCAACTGTTCCAACAAAAAATCCTAAAAATCTCAGTAGTTTAACATTATAACACCATATTTCTTCTTCTTACAGTCTAATATGGAGTTGGCAGCAGGGCTAACTCCACCTCTAGACCCAGGTTTCTCAGTCTCAGTACTGTTGACATCTGCTGGATAATTATTGTGGGGGCTGTCCTGTGCATGGTAGGATGCTTAGTGGCATCCCTGGCCTCTACCCACTAGACACCAGTAGCACTCCCCCAAGTTGTGACAACCGAAAATGTCTCTAGATGTTGCCAAATGTTGCCCCATAGGCAAAATCGCCCCCGGCTGAGAATCATTGCTCTAGATCCTTTGAGGGATCCTCTGCAGCTAGTCAGCAGAGGAAGGAGGAAAGGGTGCACAAGCCTCACACAGGAGGTCTCTGAGGGGCCAGCCTGCATGCCACAGCGTGCATTGCATCTGCCCATTTTTCACTGGCCAGATCTAGGTCACATGGCCCGAGCTGCAGGGAGGCTGGCAAGTGTAGTCCACTGTGTGTCTGGAAGAAAAAGGAACCTGGGTCTGGAGAGCACATAGTCACGTCTCTGCCCCACCACCTCTCAGGGTTGTCAGGATGATTTGACCAGCTGAGGAGTCTTGGTAAATAAAATGCATGCATGCCATAGCTCTCAGCACATCTAATGACTGATATTCTTTGAATGTTTGTCATGGCTCCATACTCTGATAGCACTTGGGATGCATTATCTCGCTGGATCTCCATTTGTTGGTGAGGAAATTAAGGTGCGGGGGTGGGAAGGATCACAGAGTTGGGTGCAGGGTCACAGAGCTGCCGGCTCCAGGATGCTGGCTCCAGCACCTGCATCTTGACCTCTGTGCTATACTCTGCTGATTGTTGCTCTCCTGGCCCAAATCCCACGTTTATGCTGTCACATGCAGCATGGTCACTCCGCAAATCATAGACTTACAAAACATTTATCTGCATAGAGGAGGAAACTCTGAGGGCCAGGAAGAAGTGATTGCCCAGGGTCGCTCCACTAGAAAGTGTCAGAGCCAGAACTAGAACCCAGATCTAGTGGTTGAAGACAAAGTACTCTCTCTGAGAAAGAGGCCACTTCTGTCCTCCAGCCAGGAGGTAGGGATACTGGCAGAAATCTCTGTTCTGTGCTCTCCCATCCCTGTGTAACTGGGTCTTCAGACACAAGTGAGAGATGGCTCCAGAAGGCAGGGAGCTAATTTTCCCAGACGACCACACTGGGGAGGAGTATGAAATACAAGTGGATAGCCCTGTCCCCCTTGGGTGCTTGGGGAGGGGACGGGAGCCTTGGAAGGGAATCAGGTGGCTCAGCTTGGAGCTCTGGCTTCGCCACTCATTTACTGGGTGGCCCTGAGCAATTCTTTTCCTCTCTGAGCTCCAGATTTCTCTTCTGGCATGGCATCTCAGGTGTAACAAGCACTTCTCAATCATATTCCTGTCTGTGGTCCCATTTAACCCCCTACCCCACAGGCTGTGTGGAAGGTGGGAATGTGGCCTCCATTCTGTACAGCACCCTGACCACACAGCCAGGAAGAGGCAGAGTTAGGGCTCAAACCCCGTCTTGTCTAGTACCAGACTCAGGGCTTCCCTTCAGGGGTCCCCCATTCCAGCGTTCTAGAATTCTGCCATTCTGTGGCCCAAGTCACCCCCAGCCAAGATCACCAACACTTGGCCCTCACCCCATGGAAAGTCTTTGAGGAAAGAGGCCCCCTCTGTTCCTGGGAAAGGTTTCACAAACTTGGGGCACTGGAGGCAAAAGACATTGACCTTGCTGTCATGAGGGAGTCCTCCTCTACTCTTTCTCCTTCACCTCCATGACCCATCGGACCCCAAGCTGCGTGGCCCAGTTTGGAAGGAGACAAAGGTGTGGTTAAAGGCATCCTCTAGCGAGGTGGCAGGCTGAAGGCCTGGCCCAGAGGAGGGTGAGAGGTGGCCACACACCCCTGCCTCTGCTCAGCAATGAGAACGATGTCATCCAACCTAGCGCTCCTGTCACAGGCCTCAACCTCCCTGGACCACTCCCACCTCCCATGATCCCCTGCTCAATGAACATCATGGCTTAGATGGCTCTGCATCCTCTCCCTCCCTCAGTCCCCACTGCCACACCCTTAGGTCAGTCCCTTGTTCTGTTAGGGCCTCCCCACTAGCCCCTAGACTTCACTTTACTCCCTCCAACACTTCCTCCACAATGCTGCCACAATGATCTGACAAACCTGGCCATGTCACTCTCCTGCTTGAAACCCTCCATGGCTCCCTGATCCTCTCAGAACAAAACCCAGACTTCTCGGTCAGGCCCACAAGACCCTGTTACCTCACCAACCCTCCAACTTCACTTCAGCCATGCTCTTCCTTGCCCTCAGTGCTGCAAGAACACCAGACTACTCATGGTTTCCCCCAAGCATGTCATTGTTTCAAGCCTCCTGTGACTTTGCCCAAGCTGTTTCCCCTACCTAAACTGTGTTCCTTAAAAGGTTCATAGCAAACTCCTATTCATCCTTCAAAACCCTGCTCAGATAGCACCTTTTCTCTGAAACCTTTCCTTACCACTTCCTTCCTCCAACAGCACTAAGTATAATACTTAACATTTATTTATACTTTACTAATTATAGTAAAACTTAACATTTAAGTATTACTTACTATAATACATTTGTTAACAACTATAATAATACTATACGCCAGGCATTGTCCTGGACCCTGCATATGTCTCCTTAATTAAATTATCCAAATCTATGAGGCAGAGTGACAGTTTTAAAACCATCCCTTCCGCGTAAACCTGGGCAGGCTTGTGACAGCCTAGACCAATAGGAGTGCAGTGGAAGGGATGCAATGTAGCATCTAAGGCTGGGCTATAAAAAGTCACATGGCTTCCACCATGGTCTCTCGAAATGCTCACCCTCCAGACATTTCCTCCCAGGATGTGCCTCCCAGAACCAGTGCACCACACTGGGAAAAGCCCAAGCCACACAGAGAGGCCACTCGTGGGTGCTCTCGTTGGCAGTCCCAGCTGAGTCCAGCCTTGGAGTCACATGTGAGTGAGAAGTCTCCAGATGATTCCAGCCACTCACATCCCCCTTAAATATTTGAGTCCTCCAGCTGAGGCCCCCCACATCGTGGAGCAGGGACAAACCACCTGCTGCCCTTCCTAAATTCCTGACCACAGGATCTGTCCAGGCATAGTAAAGTGGTCGTTTCTTTACATCTCTGAGTGTGAGGTATTTGTTACCCACCGATAATAGTCACAAAGAGCTTACAGTTCATCCCATTTCACAGATGCGAAAACTGAGGCAAGGAGAGGTTCAATAACGTGCACACTGTCCTAAAGCTAGGGGGAGGCTGAGCCAAGATTTAAACATAGGCAATCAAGTTCCAGAGCCAGCCCTCTCCTGTGCTTCTCTCATGATGAATATCACATGGTGGGTTGCCTGTGTAAGTATTCATCTCCACCATCAGACCCAGCTTCTTGAGGGCAGAGACTGCGGTCTCTCTCTATTCCCAGCACTAGCTCAGTTCCTGGCATGGAGCTGAGGCTGAGGCCAGGTTTGCTGAACTGACCTGAGCATCAAAGGGAAGCCTCTGCAGTGGGGTTGGGTGAGTGGGGTCAGGGCCACCAGAGCGGAGTTGAGCCTGTTTATGTCATGATCTCCCGACAGAGCTCCTCCAATGCTGCCCTGCTGACCCCCAGGCCCTTGCCCCACCCAAGCCTCTGACTCATCATCTGTGTAAATTGATGATTTTCTGCCCAGCCAGCTCCTTGTGCCCCGGGGGCCCAGCTGACAGCTTCATGAAAAACAGTTGCAGTCAGTACCTCTCAGTCCAGCAGAGCCTGTAGGCATGTGTCATAGCTGACCCCAAGCCCCCTGGCCACGACCCAACCCCTGCCACCCACAACACAGAGCACAGCCCAGCTTAGAGTCAAGCATTTGAATCTCCACTGGTTTTGACCATGGGTGCCCCCCTTCCTGGGTCTGGGGATCAAAGGGCAACCTCTTAAGTCTGATGCCCCCAAGTGGATGAATCCACCCTCAATGGATTCACTGCAGAGAAGAGTGAGATTAGGACCAGGAGTCAGTGGAGACAGGTGTATGCAGACCCTGGATCTCTGCTAGGGAAGTCACCCACCCCCTGACCTCTTCTGGGTCTGCCTTCCAGCTCCAAGAGGAAAATCTCCAAATGATTCTTCTGGAGTTGAACTTTCAGGGGCTGTGCAGGTCTCCCGGGGGCTGCTTTATAGAGAAAGAGACTTATCCTTCAGCCCCACTGTCCCCTGAACCCTGAAAACCCCCTAAACTCTCCCCTCGGTGACCTCACACAGGTCACTCAACTCTCCCAAGCCTCACCCTTCTCATAGGTTGGTGTAAGGCTGGACCTTTGTAAACACCATCAGCTGAGAGGTAAGACAGGCATGCAGCCAAGGCCAGCTCAGCTGAGGCAAAGAGGAAATAAGAAGGATAATAAAACAGCTGACATTTGTTGACATTTCTCTATATCCTAGACACTCTTCTAGGTTCTTTACCGGCATGAATTTATGTATTCATCCCAACAACCCTAATCAGTAAACACATTCATTTCCATTTTACAGATGAGGCAACTGAGCCACAGAAAGTCAAGTCACTTGGCCAAGTTCTCTCAGCTAGCAAGTGAAAGAGGCAGGAGCCAAATTCAGGCAGACCAGATCCGCAGTCCTGTCCACTTAACACTCACACCAACGTGAAGTACCCAGCACAGCATGTGGCATGCACTCTAGCAGGCCAAGGACCCTCAGCCCCTTCCCAGAGACGGGGAGAGTGGCTAGGACACATGGACCCCAGGGGCCATAGAGGGCCTCGCCCCCCTTCCTCCAGACCCTCCGTACCTGGGGGTGGGTAGCTGAGACCCACCCTGGCCCTGGCATTGGTGCAGGTGAAGAGGCCATCTCAGCATATCATCCTTTTGTCCTTTCACTTGTATGGGAAAGGGATCCAAGAGTTATTTACTGCAGAGATTTCATCGAGATGTTCTCACCCTTACTGTACATCCTTTAAAGGTGAAATAAAAATATCTAAAGGGGAAAAAAAGCATTTTATTCAGCATCGTAAAAGCCATTGGCAGACGTTCCCCTGGAAGGGGGAAAAACAGCATAAAATTCTGCAGTGACATTGTTCTGGATGAATCTTCATAGCCAGCCTGAGCAGGTGGAGGGGTGATGGGAGCTGGGGCTGTTAATAGGGGCTCCTCATGGCTTCAGGTGCCACTGGGTGGGTTCCTTGCTGCATCCCCAGAGCCTGCCACTGGGTCAGCACAGAGTGGGAGCTTAATAAATACTTGTTACATTCAAGAGTGAATAAAAGAATGGGCTCTAGAGTGAACCCCTTCCCAGTGGAAGGGGAGGGAGGCAGTGGGCCAGAGCATCGTGGCACTCGGGGCTGGACCACTGTCCCTGAGACCCACTCGTGGCACATCACTGATAGGTCACACTCTCTCTCACATTCATGTCTTTGCACTTGTGTTCCTCTGCCTGAAGGTGTTTTAACCCAGGCTGCTTGCCTCCACTTCCCTGTCCAATATCGACTCCACATCCAGCACTCCCAACCAGGACCACTAAAGGGCCTCCTCCTCCTCCAGCTCACACCCATCCTCCCCTCCCCTGTGCTCCTCCAGGCTCTCTGTGCAGCGTAGGGTACATGCCTGTCTCTGTCTCCAAGAGAAAGTGTGCTCCTCAGGATGGAGACCCTGCTCAGTAAGTGTTTCTCAGATGAATGAATGAATGATACTTGCATAAGCCTTGACGCTTTACAAAGCGTTTTCCCACAGACGGCTCTAGGAACTCTCAAAGCACCCACACGACGTGGTAGCCAGCTTTGACATCATAAGCCTCATTTTACAGGTAAGAAAGCAGCGATTCAGATAAGGCAAGAGCATTGCCTAAAAGTGTATGGGTAGTGTGGTCTGAATGTTCGTGTTCCCCCCAAAATTCATGTTGGAATTCTAACCCCCAAGGTGATGGCATTAGATGGTAAGGTCTTAGGCAGGGTGTGATGGCTCACGCCTGTAATCCCAGCACTTTAGGAGGCTGAGGTGGGCAGATCACAAGGTCAGGAGTTCAAGACCAGCCTGGCCAGCATGGTGAAACCCTGTCTCTGCTAAAAATAAAAAATAAGTTAGCCGGGCATGGTGGCACACATCTGTAATCCCAGCTACTCGGGAAGCTGAGGCAGGAGAATTGCCTGCAACCAGGAGGTGGAGATTGCAGTGAGCCGAGACTGCGCCACTGCACTCCAGCCTTGGCGACAAAGCAAGACTCCGTCTCAAAACAAAATAAAATAAAGAAGGTAAGGCCTTTTAGGAGGTGATCAGGTCATAGGGCCATAGCCCTCATGAATGGGATTAGTGTCCTTATAAAATAGGCCCTAGAGAGCTTGTCTGCCCCCTCCACTATGTGAGGACACAGAAAGCGCCATCTATGAACTGAGAAATGGGCCCTCAGCAGACATCAAATCTGCCCGTGCCTTGATCTTGGACTTCTCAGCCTCCAGGACTATAAGAAATAAACTTAAATTGTTTGTAAGTCTATGTATTTTCTTACAGCAGCTCGAGTGGCCTAAGAAAACAGGCATCCTTGAATCTAGGTCTAATTTAAATCCTTAGCTTTTCTTACTATGCCAAGTTGAAATTCACAAGCTGTAATTTTTGCTCCCTACCTCCCCACACACAAATACATTCACATGCATATGCAGATACATGTGCTCCGGATACACACATACATATATATGCACCCACATGGATGCATGTACATATCACATGCAGGTATGCATGCACACGTACCTGCATGCACATGAGCAGAAATGATAGGCATGAAGAGAAAAATAGGAGTTGAGAAGAGAGGGAAGGAGTTCCAAAGGCCTCCCTCAATGCCTACCATCCACTATCAGGCTTTGCCTTTGATTTTCTGCTTTTAATTTTCACATCATCAGTTACTACATCAAAGCAATTTTACTGCAGGTGCCCTGGACCCAGACTGTTTCTAGAAGCCCTGATTCCAAATTCCCCTTCCCACTGGGCCCTCGTCATCAATGGCATTTCACTTCTCATTAAATTCCATGTGGGGAGCATGGGGAAGCAGAGGAGACAGTAGTGAAATCACCTCTCACTTCTAACTCTTGTTCACTTGTGTTCAAATGCCGCTTAAGGATTTATGTTCCAATTTCTAGTTAAACACGGCAGATAAAACCTCCTACCCTGCCTGGACTACTGGGGTCTTGTGGAGACGCATGAGAGAATGGATGTGAATGGACTGTGTAAACTCAAAAGTGCTGTGCGCACATGAGGAAGGCATTCTCTAACTCTCTGCCTCCCAATCCCTCACTAAGTAACTGAAAGGGATTTCATTAAGAAGTAAAAGACAGAGAGAACAGAAAATGAGGCAACCCACAACAAAATGTTCAAGGCTGGGAAGCAGATGGATGAATAATAACTGATTTGGGAGCCCCAAGAAGGCTGAAACCTAAGTTAGCAGTGGGGGAAGCCCACGAACTAGCTAGTTCCTAGGGCAGGAGCCCAGAAAGTCTCACGTACTGGTGACTTCAGCTGCTTCTGAAAGAGGGGCTACAAATTCAGGCTGAAAACAGAAGCATTGCTGGGCACAATGGTGCACACCTGTAGTCCCAGCTACTCAGGAGGCTGATGGGGGTGGATCGTTTGAGCCCAGGAGTTTGAGGCCAGCTTAGGCAACATAGTGAGACCTCCATCTCTAAAAAAATTAAAAATAAAAACAGAAGCATTGATTGAAATTCTACATAAGAAGCAGTTAGATCCTCTAGAAACCACCCCACTCCCCCAGCACAAGAGAGAAGAGAAGTGAATCTGTAGGACTTTAAAATCCAGAACACAAATAAGATCTGGCTGAGGGTAAGATGCTGAATATCCTCCAGTTTCTACCATCCAATCTGGAGCTGGGGGGATTCCTCTCTGATGAAACAGTACAGCCTAGGGACAGATGGAGAGGGGCTGTCCCCTAATGACATCCTCCAGCCTGATCACCTTCCACCCCTATCCACCACACACCAGGCACATGCACAATGAGCTTCCAGGCAGCTGGAGCATCCAGCAGGAAAGATGGAGACCAAAAACAACCAAAACAAAACAAATGGGGCAAAGGGGGCTCAGAAGAAACAAAAGCAATGCAGGAAGCCGCGGAACATTTCAAAACCTTAAAGTTACCCTTGGAGAAATAAGAGAAGATACTGCATCTATGAAAAAAAGACAGGAAAAAAGGATGGATCCTATTTTTTTAAAATCAGGAGACAATGAAAAAGAACTTATAGAATTAAAAAGAGAAAATACTCCAATGGAAGGTTAATGAATAATGTTGAGGAGATCTCCTACAAATTACAACAAAAAGAATGAAAAAAAAACAGGAGAAAATTGATTAGAAATTCAGAAAATCTGTCCAGGTGATCCAACATCTAACAGAAGATCCAGAAAGAGAATGGAATCAGAGATAAGGCAATTATCACCGAAGTAACTTGAGAAAATGTCTTAGTACTGGAGGATGTGAGTTTCCAGATTAGTGGGCCTCCTGACACAAAGCCACTTAATTAGGAAATTTCAGAACACTGAGGATGAAGAAAAGACATTAAAGAAACCAGAAAGGAAAGAAAAAAATCTGGCTCAATACCAAGGATCAGGAAGCTGAATGGCATTAAACTTCTCATAAGCAGTCTCAGAAATGTTATCTCCCATGCTCCACCAGAATAAAAGCAAAAGCCAAGAAAAAAATGAAGGTGTGGGATCCAGGAAACATGGTGTCCAAACAGGAGAGAAGCTAAGGGGTTTCGCAGGGGGTGCTGAAGAAACCCCAGGATTGCAGCTACGCAGGTCAGTGCACGAGAGAGTGGAAGGATGGAGGGCTCCATGAGGGATGTTTTCAAGAAAAAAAAAAAAATGAAAGACCACATGATGCAGTTAAAAACAGGGGGAGTGGATGTGCACATCTGATACAGCGTTTGCAGCCTCCAGGCTCAGAAGAAGAGCTCTGACATGTCTTCTAAGAGACATAAGATGCAAAATTTCCTCACCTACCACCCCCTAACCAAAAGCAGTTTGTAGCTTATTGTAAATCTCAGCTGGTTGCTATGGAAATGATTATACGTATACACAGAACAAATACCTTAGGTGCTCGCTTCTTTCCAAAACTGGGCAGGGGAAGTTACTGAAGTAGTGCTTACTTGGGTAAGACGTGGGAGACATTAAATTAAGGTTTAGAGAAGATGTTTACTTATTTTTTCAGGATCCTCCACATCAGAGTAAGGTTACCTGGTAGAGCTGGGAGAAGGCTGTGCAAGAAGTTTAGGTGCAAAGCTTCACTTCTGGTGAAAAGAGAGAGGCCTGGAATTTAGAATGTTAAAAGAATTTCAACCATGAAATTGCAAAAAGTCCTAGACTCTGAGAGCAGGTGGGAAATGAGAAATTATGGAGTACAAGCCTTTCACTATACAGAAAGAGCTGACCAAGGTCACACAACAGGTTAGCAAGACGAGAACCTCTGCCAAGTGCTTCCAGAAACTTCTCTGTGGAGGTTTATCTCTGAGGTCTTGGGATAATCAGGAGAGTCTGATAGGAGAAAGGATTTGTTAACCCTTCCCCTAACCTGAGGTCTTGACTCCCCTGCTCTCTTAATTCTCCAACCTCCCAAGCCCACCCCCAACCACCCGGTCCCAGCCTGCAAGGTAATTATAATGAAGTTAAACCAAATTACACACGCAGGGTTTATTTTGTGTTTTTTTCTGCTGCTGCTGTTGCCAATTATGGTGCAATTAGACTGCCTTCATTAGCAAATGAGATTAGAATTAACATTGTTAATTACTCGTTCTGTTAAAAGGGGAAGCGGGGGTGGTGGGGAGGGCACTGGGTGGGTGGTGGGGGGAGACAGTCCACATGGCAGGGGGAGGTTTGGAGCCCCCAAGGGCTCCTAGGCCCATGGAAACTGAGGGAGGAAACTGATTTATAAAATGTCAAGGGACAGGTGGGTGAGATGAGATGGAATCTGCCAGGTCAGGAGCAGAGGGCTTTCCTCCTTATTATTATTATTCTTACTATTCTTACTATTATTTGTTGAGGACTTGGTCTGTGCAGCACTTTACATGCATTATTCACTTAAACCTTGCAACATTATCAGAAGTAGGTATTAGCATCCCCACTTGACAGAAGAGAAAAGTGACACTCAGGAAAGTTAAGTGACTTTCCCAAAGTCACACAGTGATAGCAAGTGGCAAAATCTAACATTTCATTCTTGAGCACCAGGACCTTTGGTTCTCATGGGAAAGGGCAGCCCACATATACATTGTATTTTATAGGGTGATAGTTTTATTTTTTTATTCTTTTATTTTTATTTTATTTTTGTTTTTTTGAGACAGAGTCTTGCTCTGTCACCCAGGCTAGAGTGCAGTGGCTCGATCTCGGCTCACTGCAAGCTCTGCCTCCCGGGTTCATGCCATTCTCCTGCCTCAGCCTCCCGAGTAGCTGGGACTGCAGGTGCCCGCCACCATGCCCGGCTAATTTTTTTGTATTTTTAGTAGAGACAGGGTTTCACTGTGTTAGCCAGGATGGTCTTGATCTCCTGACCTCGTGATCCACCCGCCTCAGCCTCCCAAAGTGCTGGGATTACAGGCGTGAGCCACTGCGCCCAGCCAGGTGATAGTTTTAAATCAGCTCATTTGATACTCAAATTTGCCCCATGAGGAAAACAAATTATTAGCCTCATTTTTCAGGTGAGGAAGCTGAGAGTTTAATCAGGGTTGGCAAACCATGACCTACAGCCTGAATCCAGTCTGCCCTCTATTTTTGTAAATAAAATTTTGTTAGAACACAGCTATGCCACTTATTTATGTGTTATAAATAAATATTTATGTTATTTGTGTGTTATATCTTGCTCTCAAACTAAAACGACAGAATTAAGTAGTTGCATTAGTGGCCGTATGGCTCATCAAACCTATCTGGCCCTTTGCGGAAGAAGTTTGTCAATCCCTGGTTTAAATCATTGATACAAAGTCATACAGTGCATGCAAAGAGGCCCTGACACTTGAACCTAGTCCTTTTGGCCCCAAAACCGGACTCTTCTTGCCTAGAAGGAAAGGGAACAGTTCCAGCTAAGCTCAGTTTCCAGTAAGCTCAAAAATGTCTTTATTACCCCCAAGGAAAGAATCACGGCAGACAGACGAATCTGAATTATTTTATCCTGACTTTGAAATTTGATCAGGTTGACTGTTTCCACAAGCAAACAACAGAAAGCCCAATTATGAATGGTTTTTAAAATAAGGCATTTATTATTTCACATAACAGGTCCAGCAGTAAGGCAATTCTGAATGTGGTTAATTCAGCTAGGTCCTCTTTATTCTCCTTTCCTTGGCATCTTATCTGCCCACCTCCCCACCGGCCCCGTAATCCTAATGCGGCTGCCACAACTCCAGACATCACATTCCCACCCAGCAACATCCAAAGGTGGCAGGGTGGGGCAACTACTTCTGGCAAGTCAGTTTTTTAGATCTCAGAAAGCTTTTCCTAGCAGGCACCACTTCCCCACAGCAAGCAAAATAGAATTATTACATTTGTTTTAGATAAATCAGGATTCATTCCTGGGGTAGAAAGAGTCCCAGACTCCCCTGAAAAATATGGCTGCTAGTATCTGAGTTCTGATACCAAGAAAGAATTGGGGGGTGGGTTGTTGGGAAGGCAATGGACAGAAATTTTAGGGTTGTTCCAGTTGTTCACATGTAGAGTCTGAGGTCTAGGGAGCAGAAATAACCCACATTCCCTTTTTTTTTTTTTTTTTTTGAGATGGAGTGTCACTCAGTCACCCAGGCTGGAGTGTAGTGGCGTAATCTCAGCTCACTGCAACCTCCACCTCCTGGGTTCAAGCGATTCTCCTGCCTCAGCCTCCCAAGTAGCTGGGACTACAGGTGCATGTCACCACGCCCAGCTAATTTTTGTATTTTTGGTAGAGACAGGTTTTCACCATGTTGGCCAGTCTGGTCTTGAACTCCTGGTCTCCAGTGATCTGCCCGCCTTGGCCTAACAAAGTGCTGGGATTACAGGCATGAGCCACCGCACCTGGCCCCCATTCCCCTTTTTTCAATGCCCTGTGCTTCTTCTGACTGTAGGGGCAGGGGAGAGGGAAGGGAAGATTCAAAGGGAAGGGTTAATCTCCCCAGCACCATGGCCTCTAATCTACCCATAATATAGGCACAAATTTCTCCCAAAGACCATTTGGCCTTTGGTCCTCTTTCCCGTAACTCACCTCCCAGACCAGAAAGGCAAAGGTTTCCTGGGCATTTTCCTTTGCAGCTTTGCCTCCTTAGTGCTTGTTATTTCACCCCAGTGTTCAGTGAACTCACAGCCATAAGCTGTGCACCAAGGCCCCAGGTGGTGGGCTAGACTGCCCAGGCTCCCCTTTCTGAGAGGTTCTGAGATCCCCTGCCCACCTGTGCCAAAGGCCAGCACCAAAGTGGCAGTGGCAATGGCCTGAACCCAGCCAGATGGGGCACGTTCCACGATATGAGGTCCCTCTCCCCTCCATCCTTGCCCAAACTAGCTGTTCATATCCTTTGCTTCCAGATTCCCACCAGACTCTCTCTCTCAATCTCTTTCTCTCTCTTTTCCTCTCTCTCTCTCTCTCTTTCTCTCACATATGCACACATGCACACTCACACTCTCACACTCACTTCATTTTAGACACTGGGTACCTGGGTTCATGCACCTTTACCAGGACTTCCTTCCTGCCACCTGGGCAGGATTTGTGAGGCAGAGAGGTCACTCAGGCATTTAAAGAAGATTCAAGGAGAAGGGTGTCAGGCAAGGTGGGTCCCATCTGGGTGCCACCTGTCATGCAAGGCTCAGGGGCAAATCCCACATGGCCGCATGGCCTGCCTTAATGAAGAAGAGTTATGGGAGGTGGGCTGTACATGGGGTCAGCAAGGGAAGGCCTGGGTCTCTTTCCTCTCATCCCCATGACAGTGTGCTGTGGCCTGGCCATGTGTTGATAGCCAGCATAGGTTTGCATTTCAGACAAGGTTGCTGACAAGCTCAGTCTTGAAGAGATCTCCATGGTGCAAGAGAGAGGAGGCATGTGCCTCCTACCTTGGGTCAGTTGGGCAAGTTATTCTTCAGTGGGAGCCCTGCGTTAACTACACACACCACACACAGGTGCGTGCTCACGTACACACACACACACACACACACAGTTCCTGCTGGCCCTTTGACTTGACTGGCTCCCCGGATGGCAGGGAACATTAACATTTCTGCCTCCAGCAAGTCCTCTAGTCTGGAGGTTTGGCCCAGAGGATCCTCATTTACTTTCCCTGTGCTGTCCCATCTCCATTGCTGCTGGGTTTTCTCAGAATGCCTCTGGGTGGTTTTGAAAGTATTAAGCTTCTCCAGCTGCTTCTCAGGGGGGTAGGGAGCTCTTCTCTTCCTTCCTCCTTGTTCTGTCTGAGTTGTTAGGACTCAAAAAAAAAAAAAGCCTTCAGATGATTAATGAGGCTCCTAAGATCCAAGCCCTCTCTTCTCCTGCCAACCCTAGCCATGGGTCACTTGTTCACTCTCCCAACAAAGACTACTCCTGTGAGATCCCAGGGAATTTACCCCAAATCTGGGTACCTTGCGGATGGTGACCCCAAAGGGAAAATCCGACTCACCCCTAAGGGGAAATGGCCAGCCCCATGGATTGAATGTAAACATGACAGATCCCAAAGAAAAGAAAAAGAAGAGGTTTAAATGACCTCATGCAAAGGCATAAGAATGACACAAAGGACTTCGGGGACTTGGGGGGAAGAGTGGGAGGGGACAAAGGATAAAAGACAACAAATATGGTGCAGTGTACACTGCTCAGGTGATGGGTGTGCCAGGTTCTCACAAATCTCCACTAAAGAACTTACTCATGTAACCAAATACCACCTGTACCCCAATAACTTATGGAAAAATAAAATTAAAAAAAAAAAGAAAAAATAAATGACCTCTCCCAGGTGCCTCCTTAGTGCCGTGGACAGCTTGCAGTCTCGTAAATGAGCTCCCTCTCTTCCTAGTTCATATCTGGAGAGGCCAGTTCCCCTGGTGAAAGGGTTTATATCCTTAAGTCTCCAGGGTTGGGGTTGGACTATGATGCAGGAATAGGATTGTTGGAAAGTAATTCTAGGTCCCCTTCTTCCCACAGGGTGGCTGCACTTAAGCTTAGCTTCCTAAAGTGCTCATCGTTCTCCCAGCCCATCTCTGACCTGCAGCTTCCCATGGGCCCCAAGGACCCCGAGATGCTGGGCAACCAACAGCTGGCAGTCAAATCCAGACTGCTTAGATTCAGTCTGTCCCCTGTAAAAACCGAGACAAGCCTGAGGTGGAGAGTCAGTATCTTCCTACAGGCATGCAAACTCACTCCAGTATCCAACACATAGCCTGGGCCGGAAGTCCTAGGATGATGGGACGGGGAGGGACCAAGCCTTCCCTTTTACTCATCCCTAGCTTTGTAAAAGTCCTCTTTCCCAAATGGAGCCTCACCCCAAATGCCTTCTGGTATTTGGAATTCCCAAGCCCTGGTGCAGGACAGGTAGCCACCCTGAAGATGTTCTACCAGGCCCAGCAGAGAGATTGAGGGAAATGAGGAAAAGTAGGAGACAGATCTTGCTTGAGCACCCAAAACATGCCAGGGCTTTTACATATGGGAGGCATGGGGTCTGAGTGGGCAGGGGTCTGACAGTTTGAGGATCTGTTTCCTCAATTACACAATGGAAAGAGTAATAAAAGTGTTGGAAGGCTGAGATGATGGAGTTTGGGAGTTATAACCACAGCTAAGGGGTATTGGAAAGGTCCCATTCAGAGAGGAATCAGCCCTCTGTATACCTGGAGAGAAGTAAGGGAGCCCGAAATGGTGCATTGGAGCCAAATCCCAGAGGGTTTTGAATACCAGATCAGGGACTCCTTATCTGATAGAAAATAGGGAGCCATTGAAGGTTTCTGAGCAAGGGAGTGACCTGTTAGAGCCATGACCCTAGCAGAGAAACAAAAGATGGGAAAGTTGGAAACATCCAAAAATAAAAATAAAAGCCAAGACTAAATGAAGTTTGTTATTTGCCATCTTACTGGAGAAACAATGCCAGTTCCAGGCAAATGAATTTAAATGACTAAAGACATTCCAAGGCGTGAGCGGAGTCAGAGCTGGGGCCGGATGATGTGGTGTCTCCCGACCACTGGCAAATCCATCTCCCATAGGTTGCCCGAATAAAATGTCAGCTCCGGGCCAGATCCCATCCACCTGACATTCCTGTTAATAACAAAGCCTAATTAGCATGGCTTTTAAGCATCCATTACATTAATTTAATGCGAAAATCTAATGGAGCTTTATTGGAATTTTTCTCGGCAAAATTAACCTTGCGGGTTTCTTACACATGTTTTCATTAGGGGCTGTGAGCAGTGGAGATACTCAGAGAATTAGAATGAGCCCTTGTGGTTTTCGCTGTAATCCAGTTCCTCTGTCTCTAAGCCCCCCAGTCTGTAGGTCTTTGTTTAGCAAAGCTCCTGTGCCCACACCACACGGTTCTCATAAAGACCATTGCCGTAATGAGAGATTCAAGCTCGAGGCTTGAGCGGGTGCCTGTCTGATTCAAACACACCCCATCTCAGCCCAAAAGATGCAATTCTGGGACCCTGAAGAATTTCAGGACGCCAGGACACGGTTCTCATAAAGACCATTGCCGTAATGAGAGATTCAAGCTCGAGGCTTGAGCGGGTGCCTGTCTGATTCAAACACACCCCATCTCAGCCCAAAAGATGCAATTCTGGGACCCTGAAGAATTTCAGGACGCCAGGACAGGATCCCTAGACATTCACCATCAGGGGGTTTGACCCAAACCTGTAATTCACTCCCCTTCTGGCTATCTTCCAGATGGGAGTGGCCACATCATTCATTCAGAACTACAAGCAATAGGAAGAAGCCTCTAAGGAGGGCATCCTTCCTTCAATTAAAAAAAAAACTAAACTAACTGGAAGAATGATCTCTGCCCATTCATCCTTTCTTCTTCTCCATGTGTGGAACATGGATGTAAGACATGGAGCAGTAGCAGCCATCTTATGCCACGAGGATAAAAGCCCCAGGTTAAGGGTGGCAGAAAGGAAACCCAGGAAGACTCTGAGCCCCAGATGCACCCTTGAGCTGCTAAGGTACCAATACTCATCAGTATATGCCTGGCTGCCTGTTGCGTGAAACAAATTTTACTTGCTTAAGCCTCTGTTAGTGAGTTTACTGTTACTTTTGCAGCCAAAAACAATCCTAATTGATCTACCTGGATTCTGGTCCTAGATTCTCTATGACTTTTGACAAGTCCCTGATGCTCTGTTTATCAGTTTCTTCACCTTCTAATTAGAAGGATGGAATAGAGCATGTTTTTAAAAATCTTTTTTTAGGCAATAAACCCTAACAACCCCACCCCCAATGAATTTGTGTCCCATGAGAAGTTAATAAAACTTAATCCAGGGTTGAGGTGGTGGCAGGTGGTGGGAGTTCTGGAGTTCTGGAGTTCTTCCTACTGGATTCGGCCCAACCCCACACCAGAGAAGCCATAAAGACATCTCTGAGAACCCCACTGCTCCAAAGGGCACAGTTTATGAAACCACCATCCTGAAGACCTCTAAGGCCCTTTTGATATCATGAGGTTCTGCCTCCTGTGGCTGGAATCTAGGAGCCAATGTGCTAGAAAGAGTTCTACAGTTCTCAACCTTTAATATGCTCTCGAATCTCCCAGGGGTCCTGATAAAATGCAGATCCTGATTGGAGTCTGGGTTGGAGCCTGATTTTCAGTAAGCTCCCAGGTGATGCCTACACTCCTGGTCCATGGATCACACTTTGAGTACCAACTATAATGTTGTCTCTGTCATCATTGTCATCACCTCCGGCCAGGCCACTGCTCTTGCCCCATAGCACATCCCCAAACAAGTGAACAGCCTGCAGCAGGGAGGGGAGCATGGTTTCAGAGATGGATAGATGGATTTAAAAGCTGACTCCATCACTTCACTGTGTGATTTGGACAAGTTTCTCAGCCTCTCTGAGCTTCAGTTTCTTTAGAAATGGTGAATACGGGCCAGTCGTGGTGGCTCATGCCTGTAATCCCAGCACTTTGGGAGGCCGAGGCGGGTGGGTCACGAGGTCAGGAGATTGAAACCATCCTGGCTAACACGGTGAAACCCCATCTCTACTAAATATACAAAAAAATTAGCCGGGCATAGTGGCGGGCACCTGTAGTCCCAGCTACTCGGGAGGCTGAGGCAGGAGAACGGCGTGAACCCAGGGGGCGGAGCTTGCAGTGAGCAGAGATCGCGCCACTGCACTCCAGCCCAGCGACAGAGTGAGACTCTGTCTCAAAAAAAAAAAAAATGGTGAATATGAGGGTCACACTGCACAGTTCCAGGCATATCATGGATCCTACAAACCTGAGTCTCACTCTAAAGCCAGGCAGGGGCTGCAGTTGAGGCCCAGCATGACCTTCCTGGAGAACTCAGTCATCCTTTTGGAACAAGGCAACTTGGCAAGACAAAGCCAGGGCTGACATTGGTCGGCAGCGGGGCATAGAAAGCAGGTAGTAGGAGAGGAAGTGGAACAGGGAGGTAGAAATTGGGGTGAGTATGTCAACATTTTGACAATTCAAAGAAAGTGCAAATTATAATCAAATGGCATTTCTCTCTAATGAGACTGTGATCAGATAAAGACACCTCTCCGTGAGGACGTCTCTCATCTCTGCAGCTTGAGAAGTGGGCCTGGCCCCTGGCTTCCTGCTGCCCTCCCAAATACCAGTCCTCAAGATGGGAAGAAAGTCATCACAGAACTTTAGCAACCATCCAATCCAGTCCTCTTCCTCCCATTTTGCAGGTGGAGAAACTGAGTCCCAGAGATGTTAAGCAACTTGCTCAAGATCACATAGCAAGTTGGTGGCCCTCCGGGCAGCACCCCAGGTCTCCTGTCCATGACTCTATATCAAATGGCAATAGAGAGTAGAAGGAGCACTAAAAAATCTAAGAAGGAGCCGGGCTGAAGGAGGAAGGAAGAGCATGACAAGATGCTGTCACTGGGCCAACTTACACAAAGCTCTTTTGTTAGGCTAAGCAGCCAAGACAGGAAATAAGGGTGTTGGGGCTCTTGCTCCCCAATTAGCGTCAGTGTTTTGCTTTTACCCAGTCCCCTGCAGGTGGCAAGTCTGGCTTCCCTTGGGGCCCCTGCTCCTCGCCAGCTCCTTGAGGGTTTTGGCAAGGCTAACAACTGCAGGGCTTGGGGATGGGGGTGGGACCCCACCTGCCACCTCTGCCTGCCTGCATGGTGTAGGGAAAAACACCTAGGCTTTGACATCACCTAAGCCCAGCTTCCAAAGCCCTCTCTGCCACATACTGGCTTGTGTGACTCTGGTCTTCAGGCTCCCTGGCCATAAAGTGGAAACAGAAATGGTACCACACCAGGAACATTCACCCCTCCTCCAAGGTACTATGTGCCTGACACAACAGGCCCTCAACATATGTGGCTTCCTGCCTGCTTCCCTGCCATCTGATGTTACAGACGCAGACCCTGCCCTCGGAGCGTTTCTAGTCTAATGGGGAGAGAAATTTAGTCTTTGAATAATTCAGAAGCCACTTACTCTTGGGGACCTGGGCTGATATCTTCCTAGCTCTAGCTGATTTCTTTTCTTTTTCTTAAACTGAGATTCAGCTTTACTTAAGCCAAGATCAAAATGTGTTTGCCTTTCTCAGCTCACAATGGAGGACAATTGAGGGGAGAGGAATGGCCAAAATTGAAGACTTAGAAATTACTAAGTGAAACTGGCCAGGAGTGGGCTCACTCCTGCCACCCCATGGGGCAGTGTAGGCAGTGGAAGAGCCTAGAAGAGGAGTGGAGGAGGCCACCCTGCAGGATATCAGAGCCTCCCTGGGCCTCACTGACCAAGGGCTATACAGCTGATCATCGGCCCAGGCCAGAGAGAAGGAGGGTCCTCCCACCCTGCTGTGAGCACAAGGGCCATCCCTAGCAAGGTGGGAGAAGAAGCTGAGGGTCCAATCAGTAGCTCCATGCCTCCTCGTCCCTTCCTGGGGTGGCCTGTTTCTGTGTCCTGCAGAGTGAGGCTGGGGGCTGGGAGCTCACCCTCCTCTTCACATGCACTACTCCGATTGCAGCCAAACTTCAAGGGTCTCTCAGGCCTCCAGGCCCACGGAGGCTGGGTCATTCTGCACTAGCTTTCTGAGCACTTCCTGCTCTGTCATTCCTCCCCTGAGCACAATAGGCTTAGAGGGTTGGGTCCACGTTTTCTCTTCTCTTATGTATGCCCCCTCCCCTAACCTTCCTCTCTTCCGTATACACACACTCCACCAGGTAAGTGTGGGGTCTGGCCATTCCACACTGACAGCTTCCCTTCCTCTCCACTCTCCCTCCTGACACCCTGGCACCCACCCTGCCTTTTGCCGGGAGACGGGAGTGTCTAAGTCACAGTGGCCCAAGACCCATCTAGAACAACCACAGTTGGGCATCTCCTGGGCATACCCAACAGGGAGAACAAAAGAGCCCTGCAGGGGAGTCAGAAGACCTGGTTCTCGCCCCAGTATTACTGCCACCAACTTGCTGTGTGACCTTGACCCCTTGCTGGCCCTCTCTGAGCCTTATCTGTAAAATGTAAGGATTACATGAGATGGTCCTAAGGTCCTTCTTTGCTCCAACATCCTGAGTCCCTCACCACCAAGGGAAGCTGAAAAGGAGAGAAGAGAGCTGGCCCAGACTGACCCCCGGGCATTGGCCACGCAGTGTGTGGGGTAATGTTGGGGAGGTGAGCAGAGCTGATATAGGCCTCTGCCTCTGCTCCAAGCCATCCAGGAAAGACATGGTCATGGGGGTAAGAAAGCAAAGCCTCACCCTGGTTTAATTGCACAGTTAATTGGAAATATAGGCCAAGGTTAACTTAAAGGAAAGAATGGTGCTTATTTGGGTGGTTATGCAAATTTATTGCTGCAAAGACTTCCAGGGAAACTGATTATCTGACTATGTGAAGAAACAAGATTAAGAATGAAAAGGGGGAAGACTCTATGTTCTGCAATTCTCAGGACCACCCCCTTAGAAACTGGATCCTCCATCCCTCTCCTAGCCCCACAGAGCAGAACAAGTTCTTCCCACAGCACAGAGATGGCAAACAGAGGCCTGAAGAGCATGGGCACACAGCCGGTTAGTGGCACAGCCATTTGAGACCTGCCCTGTCCCAGTGACCTAGGAAGCCCTGCCCTCCTTCTCCAAGGAGACAACTTTATCTCACCGTCCTGCTACGGGAGGTGAGGAGGACTTCTGTCTGCTCTTCCTTGGAAGGAGGGGTGTGGTGTCCAGCCTCCAAGACAGCCTGGCTGATCCTCATCTCCTGATATTCATGCCCTTGTGTGGTTCTCTCCCACAATGTGTAACCAAGGGGTTATCGCAAAATGACAGTGGGTGACATCCAAGGCCAGATCATTGCACTTCCACCTTGTTCTCTCTTACTGGCTCGGGAAAGCCAGCCGCCATGTTGTGAGGACACTCAAGCAGCTGTAGAGAGGTCCAAGTGGTGAAGGACTGAGGTCTTCTGACCATAGCACCACCTTGCCAGGCATTGAGTGAGCCATCTTGCAATGGAATGAATATCTTAGGGCAGATTCTCCAGCCTAAATCAAGCCCTCAGACAACTGCAGCCCTGGGCCAGCATCTTGACTGTAACTTCAGAAGAAACCCCAAGCTAGGCTGTTCCCAAATTTCTAACCCAAAGAAACTATGAGAGACAATAAGTATTTGTTGTTTTTTAAGCCACTTAGTTCTGGGGTAATCTGTTATGCATCAATAGGCAACTGATGCAAGGTGGTGTTTTAAAATGTGCATTTCATTATTTTTCAGGTGTGGTGAGGCTAACAGATTAGGAGTGGCTACCATTGAAAAGATGGTTTGTTACCGTTCCCAAGGGGAGGGGGTATGCCAAGCCATGCAGGGGCCACATGGGAAGCCAGGGCTGTTCGGCAGGCAGAGGGAGCAAGATGAAAACATGGGCAAATGCCTTTATTGTGGTCTTTACAGGAAGGGTGGGTGAGGCAGGGTAAGCAGGCTCAGGATTGGCTGGTTTGCATTATTTCAGCGAGTTCTGAGATGTAGGGGCCATCTCTAGTTGGGGTGATTAGGGCAGAGGAATATCAGCATAAGAGCATGATAAAGAAGGTGGTTGGGGTAGGGACTCTCTATGAGTTGGTTTGCATAGGAAATGCACCCTCTAGGAATTGGCTGGCAATGGGAGAGGCAGTCTCTCCAAGGTCAGCCAGGCCCCAGACCACAAAGCATCAGAAACACAGAAAATAAAAAGGGAGAATAGGCCAGAGCAGTAGGGACCCTCCTTCCCACAGCTTGGCTTCCTCTTCTTGGGAGTCCATGACTTCAAGAAGCTCAAGGGACTGGGATGGGGAGGTTGGGGGCAGGAGAAGTGGGGTGGGAGGCTGGGTTCTTATGGCCGGCTCCAGAGAGACAGCAGCAGCCCTGGACATGGGGTGATCTCCATTCCACTAGCTCCTCCTCAGCCACCTTCTAGGTCCTGTGGCCTGAAGATCAAGTCCATACATCCTAGTATAGCACACGAGGCTCACCCATAGCCTGTCTGGGGCCTGCCTCTGTGGTCTCATCCCTCTCCCACCAAGGATTCCAGCCCCAGCCCTCAACCCTGCCCCAGCCCATGACCCCTCCTGTCTTCTTCAATGGGCCTCTCATATTCCCTGAACAAGACAAGCCCTCCTGGCTCTCCCCAGCTCTACATATGTTATTCCCTCAGCCTGGCATGTGCTCCTCCCCTGTCACTTGGCAAATTCCTGATTGAAACCTCAGCTTGCAGGCAGTCCCTCCAGGAAGTCCCTATGGCCCCAGGTAGGCTAGGTCCCTCCACCTCAGCACCCACAGCACTTGGCGATGTATGGCTTCACCTCCTGCGTCTCTCCCTGTGGAATCCGAGTTCCTGACAGGAGGGACCGTGTCTTACTCATCCTTGGGTCTTCATCAACCTTGGGCCTTTATCATCCTTGGGCCTTTCTCACATGGCACTGGACCTGATATTCAGTCTGGCATTCCCAGTAAAGAACTTTGTTAAATGAATGAATGAATACATAAGCAAATGGGGCCTTGAGCAATTCACTCCTGCTCTCTGGGGCTCAGTGATTCACCTCTAAAATCAGAATCATCATCAACATCATCATGATCACCATCCCTTCCCTGCTCACCTCACAGCCTGTCATAGCAATGCAGTGAGACAAAGAAGGTACGTGAGCTATGTAAACTGTGAAGTGTGGTGCACCCATGAGGGGGGCTTTCCTTAACTCTCCTGGGACCTAGCATCACTGCACTCTGCATGGCTGCTCTCTCCCCTAGCCCAGGTTTCAGGGAACTTCCTAGGACCTTCTGGGAAGAAGGCAGAAAATTGCCTCCTCCGGTTCTCCCTCCCTCCCTGTTCTTGGAGCAAGTCTGCTTCTGCCCCTTCCCAGCTTCCTCAACAGCAAGTGGAGATCCCTGCAGCCACAGTCTCCCCTCTCCTTTCATTCTTCCCCTCTCTCTTTTCAACAAGCAAACTTGAGAAATGGTAACCATTTTCCCCATTATTCAAATGCATGGAAATTACCTACTTGGCATTCCTCTTTGACATGGAGCCTTTAATTAGCCACTGGCTCCCCAGTCCCCGGGTGTTTCTCTGGCTCTGCAGCTCCCTGGCTTCCTCACTCCCCTCCCTCCATTAGCATCCTAATCAGAGATGCCCAGGTTCCAGGGAAGACAGAGAAGCGACGGTAGTTTCCAGAAATAGCTCATCCATGGCTGGAGATGGAGAGCTGGGTTTGGGTCTCTGTTCCTGTCACCAACTCCTCAGTGACCTTAGACTTGTGTGGGGTCACCTACAAGTTGGGGTCAGAGCTGGACTCAGATCAGGGCTTTGGCCCCATTCCAGATCTCTACCCTCAATTCCACGAAGAATCATTGCCTCCACTTCAAAGACACCTCTCCCGGACCCCATCATCTTGGCTCCTGCCCTTCCTCTGCCCCCACCCTCTTCTGAGAGTTTAACTCCATTGCTCCCTTGGCCATGGCTTTGCAGTTCCCAAACCCTAGTGCCTCCAGGGATGTGGGAGTGGAACCCAATGGGCAGGGTCAGCTCTCAGCCTGGAAGGCCTCAGGCGGTGCCTTGTGGATGCCCAGTTCAAATCAACCAGGCTTGACTAGTCAGTGCCTGGTCCCAGCAGGTCATCCCTGTGGGGTGGATGAGAAGTGGCCAGTGCCCGCTGTCATGAGCCTACAGGAGTATGAGCAGCTATCCTGGCTCTCAACGAACTGGCAAACTGATTGAGAGGTCTAGACTGTCACATAAAATGCCACCAAGCATCAGAGAGGAGGCCCAGATGCTGGCCAAGCCACGCTACCTCTTGGGTGTGTTTGCTAAGATCACACTAGCTGCTACACAGATAAACCCTGAAATCCCAGGGCCTTCATTCAGTGCAAGCATGTGCCTTGACCACATAGAGTCCAAAATTGCACTGGGATGGGAGGAAGAGAGGGTGCCATTTACAGACCCAGGCTGCAAGAGGCTCTGCCATCTTCAACATGCAGCTTCCCAGATGGCCCAGGGCACAACGTTCAGCAGGCAGACAGCAGAAGAGAGGATGGAGAAGATACAGCCATGCCCTAACTCTTGGCCAGAGTAATAATACAACATCCTATCAGCTCACGTTCTATTGGTGAGAACCAGACTGGGAAAAGTCCAGTCCCTTTGGGGCAGCCGCTTCCCAACAGTAACTCTATACCACGGAAGGGGAGCACAGTCATTTGTCTCTGCCACCATAAGCCTCAGTTTTATTGTCTGTAAAACGAGGGCAGGGTGGACTGGACTGAATATCAGGACTGGAAGGAACCACAGAGTTCATGCAGTCCAACCTGCCATCCTCCCCCCTATTCTACTTGGGAACAAACCAAGGTCTGAAAAGTTAAATGTCTCACCCCGTGATCACAATGGCACACCCAAAATTCTAGATCTTTTGACTCTCAGCCAGCGATAAAAATAAGAGCTACCACTCATGGAGCACCGGCCTCACACAGGCCCTTTATGTATACTGTCTCCAACTGTCTCAACAATGGTGTGGAGTAGGTATCACTGTCCCTATTTTACAAATGAGGAAACTAAGGTTCAGAGAGAGCAACTTGCTTAAGGGCGCTGGACCAGCAGGAAGGTAGCAAGGCCAGGAGCTGACCCTGTCCCACACCGCCTCCCCCTTCACTACACCATTTTCTTCTCAAACAGCTAATTCTGAACTCCCCTTTGTGAAGGAACTGAGACCCCAGCCCTTCCCATGTTCTGTCCCCTTGGAGCTGAAATCTCCCTGCTGCCCAGTCACCCCTCCCGACTGCACAGGTCCAGCCAGCAGAGGTCCAGAGAGGCTGAGCCCCAGCAAGGAAGGGGCCACACGTGAGATGAAAATGAAATCTTAAGCTCCCAACCAATTGAATGAAGCCCTCTTGGCCAAGAAGATTCCAGAAAAACCTCAAAACCTAAGTTTTCCAGTAATGACAAGACAGGTCAATCCTGCTTCTTTATACCCTGTCCCTTGCTAACCACTAGTAGACTTTTCTTTTCTAAAAATTAAACAGAAACCAGCCCTGGAAACAAAGAACGGAAGACTCAGTCCTTCACTGACTTCAACCAACTGCCTGGCACCACTCCCTTTCCCTCTCACCAGCATTCCTTCCCTATAAGTGACTACCAACCCCAAGCTGGGTCTGGCAGTTCACAGAAGCTATGCCCAGGGTGCCTCTGTGTCCTCCTTGTGCCTTTTGACATATATAGCTTAATTTTACTACATTTTAATGTTGTCTCCACCCCACAGTAAACAAATAGAGGATGTATGTAACATATATGTTTGCTTTCCACACGAGTGTGACTTCCCCTCATGAATATTCGTATCTTCCTCCTATAACCTATTAAATATGTATGTCTAGCTAATCTACCAAGCAGAAAACTCCTGTAACATCTTCCCTCCCTCTAAGTGCCTGCTTTCCGTCCCTATGGGAGGCTATGCTTCCCAGCCTGCAGGTTGCAATCCTTTACAAGAAATAAAGTTCTCCTTTCCAAATTTATAGATTTTGTGATTGTAAGTTGGCATATATAAATCAGAATTGGGCTTAGCTGTCACATTCCAGATGAGAGCCCAGGGTTGTCAGGGTGCCTTCGGTGTCAGGGACTCAGCTCCACCCATTTTGTTGCTCCATAGCCTCTTCCCTAACCTCACCTCGTGGCCCACTCTGGCTGGTGCAGTGCTAATCATTACATCTGCATTGCAGCCAGCAGGGAGGAAAAAGCAGAAGAGAAGGTCCTCTCCTCCCTTTAATGACACTTCCTGGAAGTTGCAGAGACCATTTCTGGTTTCATTCCATTCTCCGGAATCTGGTCATATGGCCACACCTAGTTGTGAGGAAAGCTGGAAAAGGTAGTCTTTATTCAGAATGAAAATACCCCTTTTCAGCCGAGGGGGCCTATACAGGTACCTTAACCTGCCTGAGCCTTGATTTCCTCACCAGTAAGACTGAGTCATCATAACTGCCTCATGGGGTTGGGGTAAATATTGGATTCAATGATATCACACACATCAAAGTTCTGGCACATAGTGGGTGCTCAGTTAATCTTAGTTTCTCTTCCCTGCCCCTATGCCCTACCTAGAGTGAAGCCCAGTGAACTGGTAAGTGCAGGCCATGGCCATATCCTCAGGCAGTCAGTTATCTAGGGCCCATATATTCACAAGCAGGTAGCACAAAAGCACACAAAGGAACATGAAAATGACTTCCAACTACCCCTCCCACACCAACCCAGGGTTTATACACTTCTAGGAAAGCTCCTCTCCTTATTTTGCGCTTCAAGGCCATCATCCCATCTTACTCCTTGCTCACCTAGAAACATGGTAGGGTGGGTGTGGTTAGGGGCCACCATGCCTGTATCCTCAGCCCCATACACCACCCCTCCATCACAGTATAATGGTGCCATCCACCCCCTGGAGTTGATCAGAATTCCATCCCTCCACTTCCCAACACTGTCCCAGACCCTACATCCTATGGGTTAAGGAAGAATTGGGGTGAGAAGGAGGGAGGCCCTGTCAAGGTGTATTGGTGGGAGAGCTTTTGGCCTATCATGATGAAGACTGAGGGTGCTCTGAAGGCCCTTTAAAATGTTAAGACATTTCTGCCCCTCTCTGGAGAGAGCATCCAGGAGACAAGCTCTGGTCCTGCTTGTGTCACTACTGCAGAGAGGCCAAGGCCTCAACGCCTCATCTGCAACACAGGACCCTCCCTGTCCCTCCAACCTGACCATTCAGTGATGCAAGTGAGGACACCAGCGGCCACATCCCCTGCCTTTAAGCACCCAGCCTCCCTGTCACGAAGCCCCCCACTCTGTGTGCTGTGGGCAGGGTTGGAGGCTCACCCGTGGTAGAGCCTCCTGGCTGGGCTGCCCTGCTTCCTCTCCGGGCTTCCTGCTTTGTGGTAGCCCCCTCACTACACGCTGTCCCCAAGACTACCCTCCCAGCCTCGTTTTGATCTCGGGAGGACAAATAAACCTTAAATTGAATCCCCTTTTTGTGAAGTTACCCAGAATTGGTTTTCATTGCTGAAAGACAAATACCCCAACCAATACATAAGTCATTCCCGCCCCCTGGACACAGACATCCCCTTTCTTTAATGTGGGCTCTTGCCCTGCTGCCCATCCTTGGCTTTTTCCTTGCCCCTGCCCCCGTTTTTCATTATCAGCTAATTCCCTCTGGTCCCTCTTTTAAGGAAGAAAAAGGAGGGGGTAAATTCGGGATGAACAAAACTATTCAGATGTATAACCTTCAAGGTAGCTCCCATCCCTGCACCCCCACAACAACAACAACAACAACAAACTCATAGCCAACCAAACTGCATTGCTTTGAATTAGATTGTGTTTGTTGAGTGGCCCTTCCTGGAGCTGAGTGCCAGGCACTGTGCTAGGCACATGGGATGCCAATGAATAAAGACGAGCCTTCCCTGGAGCAGCTCACAGTCTAGCCTTCCCAAACTCATCAAAATCAAAGCCACTCGGCAGTAATAGCGTCCCCATGTTTTATGAGATTTTGCATTATGTGAATCTGACACTATGATATAAAGATATTAATAAAGTCTCACTTTATATTCAAAATTTGAAATAATATGTATCCCAAACATTTGCTTTTAAGCATGAAGAATGTTGAAGCTGGCAGGCCAGTGAATTGTAAACTTACTGTCTGCATGCTTACCGCACAGCAATGCCACTTTAACTGATAAACAGAAACACCTACCAACCTTTGTCAGGATTTGTTCTAAATTATGCAAGTTTCTAAATTACACAAGACCTTCTGGAGCATGTGTCTCAGACATGATGCAACGGGTCTGGTGTTCGGAGTTCTGGCTCTGGAATCAGAGTGCTGGGATTTCACTCCTGACTCCATCCACCGTGATCTTGGGCAAGGCATGGAGCCTTTCTGTGCCTCAGTTTCCACATATCTATGATCAAGATAATGGTGCTGATCTCTAGGGGGCTTTTGAAGATTAAATGAGTTCTTCCATGCAATCTGCTCAGAACAGCACCTGCAGCACTGCAGCAAGCGGGGGCTTGCAGCATCTCGCTGAGCTGTGGGTCGGCAGGAAGGGGACATCTGCTCATGCACTGTGGGGAACCTAAACCGCCATCCAGAGCTGGAGCACGTACAGCATTGCTTTGCATGTCCCTGGACCCTGAGGCCTAGTCAGTCGCACAGCTGCTGGAGACCCTCTTCACAAAGGCAGGCCTCCTCCTACTCCAGCGACGGCATTGCCCTTCCACGTGCGAGGGCATCAACCAGACACTTGACCCTGACGGTCTCTGTGCTCTCATTTCAGAGAATGTTCATAGACGCTCCAGACTCTTAAAGCTGACCCAGCCACATCTTCATCCAGAGTAGAAAACAGAGTTGGTGCCTCGGTGTCGCCAAACAAAGCCCCTGCTCACCACCCCAGTGTTCCAGAAGCCTATCTCTCCAAAATGCTCCATCACAATTCACTTTTTTAAGAGCCAATCTAATATGATAGATACCACCCTGGAGCTTACCCTGGGAAAGCACAAAGGGAAGCCCACTTAACGCAGCTTGGGGGTCTGGGGAGGATTTCCCAGAGGGAGAAGGAGTCACTGCACTTCACTTCCCAAAGAGCACCAAGGAGCCAGGTGATAGGGGGAGAGGTGGGGAGGGCAGCTGACCCAGCATGGGGAATAGGGGGAGGGGCGGGGAGGGCAGCTGACCCAACATGGGGAATAGGGGGAGGGGCGGGGAGGGCAGCTGACCCAGCATGGGGAATAGCTTGCACAAAGGTGTGGAAAAGAGAGAACTTGGCACATTCCAGGAATTGCCAGTAGCTCCATATAGAGTGGAAAGAGTGTGAACCAAGATCTAACTGACTCACTGCCAAATAACATGGTTTCTGGGGCACATGAGTGAGGCCCAGAGATACCCTCTAGGAGGTATTCATCATCTTCTTTGCACTGTGGCTGTCTTTGGTGAGCACACAGGATCCTTCTCAGAATTATGCCTTTAAAAGCATAAAATAAAATATATAGGATCAAAGTATCATCAAAATACTTTTTAAATGCAATCTGTAGTAACATATGTGCCTTTTTATCAATGTATTATATGACAAGATCTTGTGGTAGGAAGTAATTGATGAGCAAAAATTATTTTTCAAAGTATTAAAACATCTGTAATATAGTATGAAAACATCTATGATTCCTATTAGTGACAAATCCAAGGTGTGGCTAATTCTGCCATGGTTTGTTACCTGCTTTCATAATGAAAGGAAATGCTCAATTTCAGTTAAAGTTTAGTGAAAAGGAAGATGCAACTTTTTCCCATCCAAGGTCATGGACCCTCTGACTTTTCCCACACTCTCCTGCTTTACACAAAGACCCAGCTTTGTGCCTACAGCCCAGTGGTTAAGAGCATCCAAGCCAGACCTGTTTGCTCAGTTACTGCTGCAGTACTTGGGGCAAGACACTCAGCCTTCCAGTGCCTCTGTTTCTTCATAACTGTGAAGACCAAATGAGTTAATACACACAAAGCAGTTAGAATAATGCCTGCCACATAGTAGGTGCTCACTAAAGAAGGACAAGCTGTTTTCTTTCTTATTCTCAGCCCCAAATACAATGGAGAGAGAAGCCCACAGATGTGGGGCATTATTTACTAACCAGAGTCGTGCTAATAAGCTCACAAAGCACAATTAGCAGTCATTTCAATTCTGAGGTTTGCTTGACTATAAAAGCTTCACATTTCTTCCTCCCTGATTTCTCTGCTAATTACAACTGCCGCCGTCCATCGCAGCTGCCACACAACATGGGTGCTGACTGCCTCTAACGTAGTTGTTAAGGCGGCATAATGGGGCACAATGACTAATTGGCCATCATGCCCAGGATGAATGCGTCAGACAACAGCGGCTGGCCAGTTCCTGGCCTTGGGACCCCGAGCTGCACAGCCCCAGCACTCTCCCAGTGCACCCCTCCTCCACCTTCCCAAGCTGCCTGATGGGACCAGCCAATGAAAGGGTGCAGGGACAGGTGTGCAGAACTGGGAGGCTCTGGGGGCCCTCCCTGAGGCCAGCCCTGCCCCTAACTTGCTGTGTGACCATGAGTTAGCCACTGAGTGTCTCTGGGCTGCACTTTAATCATCTATAAAATGGAGGTAGGAGGAAGTAGGTCTAGATGCTTCCTACGGTCCTTCCAGCTCCCACTTACTCTACTTTGATTATTCCATGGGAGGTTCCCCTTCAAGTGCCTGCACAGCCACTCCCCAGCCACTAGGGCATCTCCACCTGCCTGAGGGTAAGAAAGGGCAGGTGGAGTTCAGCAGAAACAGCCATGCTCACCAAATATTCCATCTGGAACCCCACACTTCCCAGCCACCTTGCAGTTAGCTGAGGTCACGTGACAGCTCTGACCAATGGGCTGTGGGCAGAAGCAACAAGCACCATTTCCGGGCTGAAGCATGGAGAAGCAGAGAAGCATGTGATCTCCCCGCAGTCTCTTCCGGTCTTGCGACCCAGAAGGCCTTGTGGTGACATGGTGGAACTGAGCTGAGCTGGAAGCAGCCCAGGTTGCCAAATTGTCACTTGGAAGACACCCCTGGCAACCTTTGTAGAGGTACGAAAAGAACCTTATGCCATTAACATTTTCAGGCTATTGTCACCATGGCATAACCTGACCTATCTTGTCTAAATAGCTATTTTCCCAAAAGGACTCAAATAATGGGTGTTTTATATAAAGGATTTAGGAGGCAACTGCTTCATAGTGCAACTAAGTAAAGAGATCCATTAGAGCAAAAGAATGTGAACTTTCTAACAATGAGGCAGGATCAACAATGAAATGAGCAGTCATCCCAAGGCCCCCTCACTGTACTCCCCATAACTCTTCAAGTGAGAAGCTTAAAACCAAGTTTAATGAACCAGATATATATAAGAAGTCCGAAGGGCTGGTGACCAAGGTAGAGAATGAGATACGGGGTGTTCTCTGGCACCCAGGGGGGAATTTTCGCCTGGTGGTGAAAATGGGTCCAGTGAAAGAAGATTCATGGGGTAAATTTCAGGATTGAGAAGGAAATGTTTGGGGGTGGGTTTTACTCTAGGATTCCATCTATCAAGAGGATGTTAATGAAGAATTGAGCTCAATTTGGTTTTTCTCTTTCCCAGCAGCAAAATTTCACCCAAGGGGATCTCCCATTCCTCTTTCCTGGAAGAGACTCCAGGGTAAGCAAAAAATAGATCCCATCTCACCTCTACAGGGTGTGAGAATCCTACAGAACTCTTGGTGCATTTTGTAAAACCACAAACTTCTTGAGTTTGGAAAGAATTCTGGAGTCTTTCAGTCCTAAGTCACAGACCCCAGCATTGATTATGGAGTCTACAGCAGCACAGAATTCCAGAGTCACAGAAATCAAAGCTCCAGGACAGTCCTGGAAAGAAACAGGAGAGCGTGGCCACCCATCTGCCCAGCCACCAAGGCCTAACCCACCAGCGGGGCTATATTGGCTTCTTCTTGGGGACGCCCAGTACAGCAGGCCCCCTGGTCCTCCCTCCCCAGGCCTGTGTCTCACGTCCCCACAGTGGGATTGCAAGCAAGCTGTCCCCATGCAGCAGATAAATAAATAAATAAATAAAGAGCATGACTTTGTGTTTGAAGGACGAATGCCAAGTTTCCTCTCTGGGGCCCTCTCGCAAACCTCCATATATCACCTTCACATGACCAGGCTGGCAGGCCTGCCACCCCCAGCTCTGCTTGGCTGTGATAAACATAGAAGACAATGCATTGCCTACACCCTCAGGCCCTGAAATGAGGGAAGGGGTGGAAAAATCCATCGAAGCCATTCTAGATTTATGTTTGAAACATTCCAGATTTATGTTTTCCTTTGTCAGGGGAGAAAACAAGCAGATATTCCTAAAGGTGTACCTTATAAGCCAGCGCACGTGTGAAGGGGCATCGTGCTGTTTTTGGCAACCACGCTGAGTTCAGTTTTTGCACCAGGACCTGGACGTGCACACTGACAGGCCCTCATCCCATCACCTTTGGCTTCGCTGCATCCTTCCTTGCTTTGAATCACTTCCTCGACTCCTTCTCCAGGAATACTTCCCAGATTAGACTCATCTATTTCCCAGCCCTTCACCTCAAGCTCTGGGACTCTTCTCAGCCCCCAATGAGTATAGGTCATTCCATAATTGTTTGTTTCTTTTCATTCCATGAGTTCCTAGAGAATGTTGGCTGCCTTTCCCGCCCTCAGACCAGGAACTCCCCCAGGGAAGGGACATGCCTCCCATCAATCCAGGTACTCCTACGGACAGAATGACTGCCCTTCCACACTATCCTTTTGGTAGGTTAATTCACCCTGTATTAAAAAGAATGTGACTATACCGTCTAAACGGGTATTCCAAACAAGGAGAGACACTTGTGGAGCTTGAAAGTGCATGCAAAATGCTTGTCTATACTTACTGTTTTTTGGAAAGAGGACTATCGCTTTCAAGTGATTCCTAAATAGATCTGTTGAGAGCCAAAGTGAGACCTTAGGAAGCACCCAGCACTGAAAAGACTGTGGTGCTGCCCTACTAGCACCCACATAGGTAATTCAAGACAAAACGGCACTGAGCTGTGCAATGCCAAGCGCCCATGATGCCTAAGTTCATCAGAGCTAAACAGCTCATAATTTTGCTAATATTCTTAGTGCATGCTAAGTCCCCTTAGCATATAGGTGACTCCTGCCCTGGATTTGCCATGTAGAAAAGGTGAAAAAGCACAGTTTCTGGGGGAGGTTGAGAGCAAAGCTGGTGACTCCCAGGATGGAGATGGAGAACAGAACACGTCCCTCCCAGCCTCGGAGGTAGGCAAACAGGCAGGATATTAGTCTATATCTGCCACTGGAAACCTCTGTTTCCCCAATCGGGGGAGGAGCTAAGGAGGTGGAGTCATTTCTATGTTTTCCAAACTGGGATCAGACACAGAATGAAACTATAATATCAGCTGGGCTTTGCTGGGCTTGGAAACCACTGAGTTCTTACCTCCCCAAATATCCACGCCTACCCCTTCCCTGCCCTCCCTCTCTGAACCCAGGAAAGCATCTGAAATGCTCCAGTGAAGAAAGGACTTGAAGACCCTCATGAAATCCTCCACTGTCTTCAAAAAGCCATCAGCCCTGAATCTGGTCATCCTCATACACCCCAAACCCACTCTGCCATGGCCAAACCAAACACTCTACGCACAGCCCTGGAAGCCAAATCACCCAAGCCAAAGGATCAAGGTGAAGGCTGAGACCCTGCTTCTCAACTCTCTCAGGACTCAGAGACCATCAGGAGATGCACAGTGGATGTTGGATAATGTCTGGGGCTCCAGATTAGGAATTGGGAAAACCAGTTCCAGTTTCTGGCTCAGCCACTGCTGTGCTACTAGAAATTCTATCAACTGAAAATTACAATAGCACTTGACCCCCACACCCTGCCAACAACCCCAACCCCAGGAGAGCCTCAGAACTGAGGCCAGCCTCTGAACAGCAGCACCAATGGAGGGTTCAGAAAAGGATGAATGGCAAAGTGAGAAAGGGGAGCTGAAGAGAATAAAAACACAACCTAAGCCTGGAAGTGGGGCTGGGGCGGGGCGGGCAACAGGGCAATTGCCAACAGGTAGGAGGTGGAGAGGAGGTCGTCCTGCATACATGGGGGATGGGGAAGGTAATCTCTATCCTGTACCCCCAGCACCCTGAGAATTAAAACCACAATCCTGACCCATGCACACAACAGAACACTGCGGGGCCATAAACTACAATGTTGGGAGGATATTTATTGACGTGGAAAAATGCTTACATATATTTCAAGTGAAAAGGCAGGTTGCAAAATAATATGTACAGTATGATGCCATTCTTGTAAGGGGAAAAATATCTTTATACAAGTCTGGAAATATATACACCCAAAATTCCAACAGTGCTTATCTCCAGGTGGTAGATTGTGCATTTTTATCATCTTTACACTTACCTATATTTTCTAATTCTTTTATAATAATAGGCATTATCTGTGTAATTGGTTAAGGCTTTCTTAAAATAAGTAAATACATCAATAATTTTTGCAGGGTAGTATGGGCAGGAAAAGAACAGCCAGCCACCTGGATCCAGGGGGTGGGGAAAATGGGAGGTGGGAGGAAGGACTCACCTAGGAGGGGGGTGGGGGAGGACGGAGGGTGGGAGGATTCACCCAGGATGGGGGTTAGGGGAGGGTAGAGGGTGAGAGGACTCAGCCAGGAGGGGTTGGAGAGGATGGAGGGTGGGAGGACTCACCTAGGAGGAGGGTGGGGAGGATGGAGGATGGGAGGACTCACCCAGGAGGGGTTGGAGAGGATGGAGAGTGGGAGGATTCACCTAGGAAGGGGGTGCGGAGGATGGAGGGTGGAAGGACTCAGGATGGGGGTGCGGAGGATGGAGGGTGGAAGGACTCACTTAGGATGGGGGTGGGGAGGATGGAGGGTGGGAGGACTTACCCAAGATGGGGTGGGGGGAGGATGGAGGATGGGAGGACTCTCTTAGGATGGGAGTAGAGGAGGATGGAGAGTGGAAGGGCTCACCCAGGAGAAGGTGGGGGGAGGATGGAAGGTGGAAGGACTCACTTAGGATGGGTGGAGGGGAGGATGGAAGGTGAAAGGACTCACTTAAGATGGAGGTAGGGAAGGATGGAGGATAGGAGGACTCACTTAGGAGGGGGGTGGGGAGGAACGAGGGTGGAAGGACTCACCCAGGAGAAGGTGGATGGAGGGTGGAAGGACTCACTTAGGATGGAGGTGGGAGAGGATGCAGGGTGGGAGGACTCACCCAGGATGGAGGTAAAGTAGGAAGGAAGAAGATGCCTCCCTAATAGGACAAAGGCCTCGTTACAAAGACTAGATTGTGAGGCCCTGCCTCTTCCAACTTCTTTCCCTTCCCAAATCTCCACAGAGCCCAGAGGTCCTCCCACTCCTCAGAGGAGAGAAGTCTAGTCTGGAAGCCCACAGCTGCCCCATATAGGGCAGAGGCAAGGGATGCAGCAGCAGGAAATCCCAAGGAGAGATGCGGGCTTGTCAGGCTAAGCCTGGCGCATGTGAGACGAAGGCAGGCATCTGAGACAGTAGTGAGCTTGGGGAGGCTCCTGAGGAGGGATATCCCATAACGACCCCTCCAGGGCAGGCAGGTGGCCCAGGGTGACAGGAGAGGCAGCTTGGAGGGCCCTGAGAAGCAAATGACCCAGCAGTTAATCCAGGCCCCATTGGTTGGCAACTTTAGGGCTGGCTGGGCCGGGAGCTCTGTGGAGCTCTTGGCCTGGTGGGAAGAGGCAGGCAGGGAAGGTGAATAGCACTTCCCAGCCTTCTCCGATGGCAAGATAGGAAAGGCTGAGCAGACCCCGGTGGTCACTGCCTGTGTCACTTGGGTGTTTGTTATTCTCTTTGTTCCTGTCTATTTCCCCTCTGTCATTAGCAGTTGAAACCCTTAAAATGGCCAGGAGCCTTCTTGACTGGATAATAATCAGAGCTCCTAAAACATCCATGGACTGCCTTTATAGGTGGTGAGCTTCCTGTCCCCGGAGATATTCACACAGAAACTGGGCCACTATCCTGGTCAGCTCTCAAGGGTTATTGAGTCAGAAAGAGAGTCACACCTCTGAGGTCCATCCCATTCCTGAGATCCTCTGAGTCCATGAGAGTGCGTTTTAGGGGCAATGGCTGGGAAGAAGGCACCTGGCCTAAAAATTGAAATTGGTGAAGGCAGGCATTCCCCATCCTGTCCCCAGTCCTCATAGACCAGCATTTGAAGGACAAATGCATCTGCCTGCAGGACTGGCCCAGCAAGGACTCTGGTTCTGGAAGAGGTGCCTTTGCCCTGTATGACCACCTGCTTGGGCAGAAGTGGGGGTTTCTGGTCAGCCTTGCTAGATATCTGTACCAAGCAGGTTACATGCCTGGTATAAAGAGAAGCAGAAGCATTTCAGCTCCAGGTCATCTGGGGCAGTTTACAAGGTCACAGGGTTCCTTACACACTGAAATACTGGACCCATCATATTCATCTTTTAGCGAACACATCAATGTGAGAACACAAACCTTCCACAAGCATCCAGCAGCATGCGGAATCAGGGCAAACATCAGTATCATCGTCGTTCATAGAGGGGAATCAACAAACATAAAAAGAAAAAAGCTATGAAAACTTGCATTGGTCGTGCAAAACCTACAATTAGTAGTCAAACTGGATATTTCCCATTTCCCCCAAATGCAGCCTGGTAACCACTGTATTTGTTGTTAAATGGAGAGGATTTCTAGAAAAGCATACTTGGGCTTGCTCTAAGGGAGAGTTTCCCAGTAATGAGGGCTGCTGGACAGTGGGACCTGTTGCTCAGGGACGCTGTGCACTCCCTGTACCTGGAATGCTCGAGTGGAGACCAGCTGTGATGGAGGGCCGGCTGGGTCTCCTCCACTCCCCTCTCAGATCCACTCTGTCTTCACCCTGTTCCTGCCCAAGGAAGCTGACCAGCCTGGACCCCATCACAGGCCCTGACTCCTTCTGACTTCTGTCGGTCTGACCAGTGGGGAGCCATGGAAGGGGACCGAAGAGAAGAGAGGTGAACATTTCCCAGGCTGCTTCTCTGCAGGGCTTCCTTCCATAGAAGGTCACAGCTCCTCTCTGACCAGACTGCATCACACAGTCCCTGTGACATCTGGCTTGTGGTCATCACTCTCTGCTCTCACCAATCGCTGCCTAAGGAGGGTCACAGCCAGGTAATACTTGTTACTAACCCCAAGGGACTACACTAATCTGTGTGCTTTCTCTATACCCTGCCCACACCTTAATAAATTGTCACTGTACTGAAAACCCCCATGGAATTATCCTAATGTGAGTGTGCCATCTGTTTCCTGCCAAGATCCTGACTAATACACAGGATCCCTAATCAGACAAAAAAAGTAAACGATACAGTCTCTCTTCATTGTGCAGTTAAGTCAGTAGTTCCAGGAAATGTGAGTAAGATTCACTTGGTTGTCCGCTTCATTTCATTACGGTACTAAACTTGATGTTATCAGTTGTGGCTTGTGGCTCACAACTTCCCAAACCATTGCTCCCTATGCCCACTTGTTCTACAGATGGAGAAACTGAGTCCTAGAACCTTACCCAAGATCACAAGCAAACACAGAAGGCCAGGAACTCCAGGACCCCTCCCCAGGTGCCTTCTCCGAGCAGAGCAAGCCAAGGGGGCTCCGCCACCCTTCCCTGTCCCCCTCCCACAACTGAGACTGCCGCCTCTTCTCTCCCCAGTCCCCTTCCCTCCCCAGTCCCTGGTGGGGGAGGCCCTTGGGGAAAATGATGAGTTTTTTATAGCATTTCGTGGTAAGCACTTAATAACTCTCCAGGCTATAGATCTGTGCCTCGCATGGGCTGGGGATAATTCACAGTAAAATATGACTTTCCATTTATCACACTGACGTGTAATAAATACTTCTCAGTGAAGCTTGGGCTCAAAAGGGGGGTAGGGTGAGCAACCATCAGATGAGGCTCTGTGACTGAGTGTTGGGGTTCAGGCTCACGGCAGGCACACTCAGGGCCTGAGCAAACCTGAGCCTGAAGCTAGCAGAACCCTGGGTCAAGGGGCACTTCCAATGTAATGTGCCAAGGCTGCCCCTCAGTTCTCCACCAGCTTTGCCACCATTTCTGAGAAATCAAGTCCCCCGCTCCTGCAGCCAAACTCCTTGAGGACAGTGGGGCCTGTGTCCAAAAAGTCCAGGCAAATTTCCTCTTCCTCCCGTTCCCATCTGGCTCCCTCTGACTGGTCTCAAGGAGCTTCCTATTCCCCCAACCTTTCCAGCCCCACGGACACTGTGCTAATCATCGGACATTTGGGTTGTTTTCAAACTTTCTGCATATCCAATAACCACAACAGCTCCTATTCATTCAGCATTTGCCATGAATCAGAAACATTTGCTCAGTTAATTCTCAAAACCACCCAAGGCATTATCGCCATCCCCAGCTCTCAAGAGGGGGCACTGACACTCAGTGGGTTGAGTGACTTGCCTACAATCATATTGTGGTGATATGATGGGGTCAGACTCAAACCAACTACAAGACAGCCAGATTTGGATTAAGACTGATGCCACTGTCTTAATGACTATGTGTCTTAGGTCAGGCTCTCCCAGATACAGATCCTGAGACAGGATTTGAGTACAAGAAGTTTATTTATGAGGTGACTCCAGGAAGCACCAGAGGGAGAGGAGGGCTATGAGACAGGGAAGAGAAGGAAGTCAATAACCAGGTCAGTGACCAGGTTTCTATGGAGGACAACTGAGGAACTCAGGGACAGGAGAGAGCAGACTTCAGGGTTATCCACACAACAAGAAAGGAAGCTGGGGTACACAACCTCCAGCTCCTGTCAGTCAGGAGCAGAGGGCATGAGATGGCTGAGCAGGTTCCAGTAGCCAGAAAGGCCTTAGGGCAAAGAGTCTCAGGTTGCAAGCTGGCAGTTGGCAACCATATGGTCCTCATGCATGGAGATAGGGAGTGCCAAGGGGACATGGGCAAGGCACTGGTAGCATCTGCCTCTCTGCTCGGACCTCACCAGACTGCTGTTGTCACCTGCCTGGAATATGCTGTGGTCTCCTAGATGAGACCTGTCTTGGTCTTGCCCCATGTGGTACATCCTCCAGCTCCAAATAGGAAACACATTCCACTTTAGCCCACACAGCAAAGAATAGACTGGGAAAGTGCCCCCTCCACCAGGAAAGACACCTTACTGAAGCCTGCAGGTGCATCCCTGACCACACAAAGGCAGAGACCACCAGGCCTAGATTCTCTCTGAATCCTCACCCTGGGCCCAAGGAGTGTCTCATGCACAGTAAGTACTCAGTGACTCTTGCTGCATTTGAAATAAAACTCCCCAGGTACACTTTGTACTGAGGGGAGTGCTTCTTCCCAAGGAGCACCCTGCTCTATGGCCCCACCTTGCAGGGACAAGGGTGCTGAGTGTTAGGTGCTGGCCCAATCCCTTCAGCGTCTGAGCCTGCCCCTGTGAGCTCCCAGGGAGTGGAGAACCCTCACAACGCAGAGGACCTGAGTGGTGGGCAGTCTTATCTAGAAGAACTGGTGGAGGACAGGGACAATGGCAGGAGTGGCAAGAGCACTGTGCTGGGGGTTGGGAGGCCAGGGTGCTTGTCCCAGCCAAGCCACTTGCCCACAGTGTGAAGACTCAAGGGGTCTGTTTGCAATGAGCACTTAGGGATGAGGAGCATGTCCCACATGAAGAGCACTGCACATGGGATGGAGGGAAGAGTTTTGACCCCACAGTCCAATTCTGCAGTTAACTTAGAAGACGTGGCCACTTGGTCATGGTCCCCTCTACTTACACCTTCTTCATTAGGAATAATTACACTGTAATAATTCTAAGAAAATCCATATAGTATAATAACACTCAAGGCATCCTATATGACATGAAGGTCCCCTCCTCCAAGAAGCCTTCCCCGATATCCCCTCTCTACCACTTCTAATGAAGAATGGACCATGCCCTCCTCAGTAGCTTGCTCTGTCCACTGTATGCTGCCACCCCAGCCCCCAGTGTGTGGTTGCCTCCCCTAGTTAACTGTGAGATCCCTGGAGACTGAGTCTTAATCTTGTCTTATCATGTGCACATGCAGGCATATGCATGCATACACACACACTACCCAGAGCTGAGCCCGGAGCGTGACTCAGAATCAGGCTCACTACATGCTGGTCAAATGCATGTCTAAGTGATTGAATTAATGAATTGATTAATAAGTGGTGTCATAATCCTGACTCGAGAAATCCTTTGGACCAGCACCTACACAAGGTTGCTGAACAAAAGCAGATAAACTCAGCTAAGTAAAGTCCTCAGCCCAGCGACTGACCCACTTGTTTCTCTCTTCCCCCTTAGTGGCCTGATGAGCACAGCTACTTCCTACCATCTTGATCCAAAGACCCTGTACAGAGCTGATGCTCCCCTAAGCCCACGAAAGAAGAGACTTTGCAGGGTTGGGATGAATCCCTAGAAGAAGAGGCACATCCTCCTTCCCCCAAAACTCTTGAGACAAAGGAAATCTCCACTCACCCTCCTGTAGTTACCTACACCAGGGGTCCCCAAGCCCCAGGCCACAGACCAGTACCAGTCTGTTGCCTGTTAGGAACCAGGTCGCACACCAGGAGGTGAGCTGCTGGCAAGAGAGCAAAGAGTTTTTATCAACAGCCGCTCCACATGGCTCGAATTACTGCCTGAGCTCCGCCTCTTGTCAGATGAGCGGTGGCATTAGATTCTCATAGGAGTGTGGACCCTGTTGTGAACTGTGCATGTGAGGGATCTAGGTTGCAGTCTCCTTATGAGAATCTAATGCCTGATGATCTGTCACTGTCTCCCATCACCCCCAGAGGGGACCATCTAGTTGCAGGAAAACAAGTGCAGGACTCCCACTGATTCTACACTATGGTGAGTTGTGTAATTATTTCATTATCTATTACAATGTAATAATAATAGAAATAAAGTGCACAATAAATGTAATGGGCTCGAATCATCCTAAAACCATCCCCACCCCCACCCCAGTCCATGGAAAAATTATCTTCCTCAAAACCAGTCTCTGGTGCCAAAGAGGTTAGGGACTGCTTCTCTATACTCTCCCTCCCTGCCCGGCACCCAGGTCAGGAAATGGACCAGGTGAACCCCATCAGCAACATTATTCAACTCCATGATTGAGAAATTCTCTCAGGTCCTGAGTGAGCTCCACAACTCGCCATTCTTAGAGGGCAGGGTGTATGTGAACCCATTTCTCAGAAGGTGAAGCTGAAGCTCCAAGAGGGACAATAGCTCTCCAAAAGCCACTCAGCAGGTGGATGGGAGAGTGGGAACCTGGGTTCCCTAACACAGCCAGATAAGATGGGAGCATCTACGCCCAAATGTGAACAGGGATTTGCCTCCTGCAGCCAGAGGTGCTGCCCAACCCCTGCCTCCCACTCCAGATTTGAAGCAAAGAGCAATAAACAGTTTGTGGCATTTCTTGCCTGTCGGAGTGTATTTCTAGCTTACAGAGGATACATGGGTTTCTGAATAATTAAGTACGATGCTTGGCATCTAGGGCCCAAGACTCCAAAAACACAAAGAACTTGAGGCAGAAAATTCCCATCAGCAACCAAGTCAGAGAGAGTCCGTGACATTTGCTCCTCCCATCTGAGGACCAGGCAGACCTGGGCTCCACTTGGGAGCAAGAACCAGTCTGGAAGGGCCTTCCAAGATGATCTGGGCCCAGCACCTCATTTCTAAACAAGAGAACAGAGGGCCAGAGAGGAGATTCACCAAGGGTCACTGAGTCTCAAGGGTGAGTCTGAAGCCCTGGAACAATGGCGAAGGTTCCAGACATTGACCCAAATACCAAGGTGGATCCACTCTACTTCTTTCCAGCAGCGTTGCCATGGGCAAGTCACTTTATTCCCCTGAATCTCAGCTTTTCCCTTCTGTCAAATGGGAACAATAAAACCTTACACATGTTAATAACCCCATCTATTCTACAGATGCGGGGGGGAAAAGGATGATGAATGTGAAAGTTATTGGTGAATTTTAGGTAGATTTCCAAGGTGAGAAGCTAGGTCCTCTTCCTCTGGGGCCCACTATCATGCTCTCTTTTCTCTCTCCTCTGCCTTCCCCTCCTCTTCTTCCTTCTCATCTTCCTCTCACCCCTGCTGCCTCCAAGAAAGGACTGAAGGACACGTTCAAGAAGCAGCAGAAAAACAAGGTTAAATTAGAATTAAACAAAGTGCCAACTTTAGAGGAGCAACAGAACTCCACAGAGAGGCGCAGCTGGTAACACAGCCTACTGGGGAAAAACACAGGATTAAAGGTCAACAGACTTAAAGTTGGTCGCATCTCAGGACAGCGAATAAACATCATCACTAGCATTGACTCACTGCTAACTATGTCCCAGCACCATGCTGAGCTCCTTACATACTTTGTCACATTCAGTACTTACAACAATCCTATGAAATAAGGTAAAGTCTTCATTTTATAGAATGAGAAAACTGAGGCTGAGAGAGGTTAAGTAACTTAGCAAAGTCACACAGCTAGTAAGTGGTGGAGCCAGGATTCAAACCAAGAGGTCTGCCTCCAAGCCTGCACGCTGAAGCCCTCTACCTGCCTGTCTCCTTAGAGCATTACAGGAGGTCTCTCTGGACCTCAGGGTCTCCATGCAGCTCAGAGACAGCAGAGGGGCCTGTGTGAGTATCCAAAGGTATAATTTACTAGAGATGGTTAAAAAAAACAAAACAAAAAAAAAGAAAGAACCAAAAAATTCCTCCCATCTCTGCCCCTGTTGAGATACAGAAAAGGGCAAGGAAAGAAGAGGAAGAAATAAGTTGAGTAACTTTTGTTTTAGCCTTTCAGCTGCATAAATCATCCCGGGGCCAGAGAACTGAAATAATTCAGAGGGAAGATGAGCACGCATTTATCACGCCCTGCACATACTAAGTGTCCCCTATTGAAGTCCAGTCTCACCACCGGAGCTAGGATACACACTGTCCCACCACCTTCACCTTTGCTCTGGGAATAAGGCCTCCAGTCCAGAGGGCTTCTTTTTCTTCCCCAGACCCAAAACTCGCTGATAGACCCCCCAGAAAAATGGTAGTTAGATAGGAATTTCAGGGGCTAAGGCAGGACTCCCCTCGACTAGGGACTCAAGTCACAAAGGCCACCAGACCAGCTTCCCACAGCCTCTATTCCCACCCTCCATCCTCCCTCTGCGATCACTCCACTCTGGAGGTGGGGCTGCCTGGAAAGACCTCAGGAAGACAGAGAATCCAGCTCTCACTCAGAGGAGCCAGGTGGGAATGGCCTTAGCAATGTCCTCCTCCAACAACCCCATTTTACACAGAGACACTGAGCCCCAAAGCATGCAAAGCCTATCAGAGGTCCCAGGGCTCATTGGGAGCAAAGCCCAGAGGCTCCTGATCGAGTGCTCTCCTCTTTCACTAACCATCCCCCAGCCTCCAGTCATGGCTATGTCATTGTCCACCAGACCCTGCACTGTGTATGTGAGGCTGAGGTGCTACAGGGCCCACCAGATCCCTGCGGCTCCTCCACCCTGGGGCTGAACTGGGAAGGTGGAGAGAGGCAGCCTGGTGCAAAGGAACCCATCCAGAGTTTCCACGCCAGGCAGGCCTGGCTTCAAATCCCAGCTTGGCCATTGTATTCATTGTCCATTGCTGTGTAATCATTATTCCCAAAATTTAGCAGCTTAAAACAATACATCTATTATCTCACAGTGTCTGAGGGTCAAGAATTTGGGTGCAACTTAGCTGAGTCCTCTGCAAGCCATGGTTTCTCACAAGGCTGCAATCAAGGGGTTGGCCCAAGGTCTGCAATCTTATTTAATGGTTTGTGTAGGGAAGAATCTACTTCCAAGCTCATTCACATAGCTGTTGGCAGGATTCCGTTTCTTGCAGGCCGTCGCAATGAGGGCCTCCGTTCCTGACCGCATGGGCCTCCCCCTCATGGCAGCTTGCTTCATCAAAGCATGCAAGCCAAGAGGGCAATAAAGAGCCTGCTAGCAACACTGATGTCACAATCTTCTGTAACCTAATCAGAAAAGGGACATCCTACCACCTTTGCGACACTGTTGGTTAGAATCAAGTCACTAGGTCCAGCCCACACTCAGAGACAGGGAATTACTCAAGGGCATAGATACCAAGGGGCAGGAATTCTGGGGTTATTGGGGGACTATCTTATAAGTTTGCCACCCACAGCCATTTCCAGCTTTGTATCCCTGGCCACCTTCCTTAACCTCACTGAGTGTCCGTTTTTCCCTCTGTAACCATGGGGATGAAGACACTGTGTTCAGCATCAGGCATGTAAAAGGTGCTCAAGAAATGGTGGTTATTATGCTTCCAAGTGGTATCAGCAGCCTAGGAGGCTAGGATAGATGTGCTGGGCTTTCGAGCAGCCAGACACACACAGGGAGACAGAAGAACCTACACACTGTGCAGGGACGGAGGATGAGGTTCATGGGCCTCCCCAGTCTAGGGGGAGAAAGATTTGCTTAAGAAGCAGAGAATCATTTGCTTAGCGGGATTCCAGAGGCAGTGTCATAGGTAGCATTTGGGGAATAGAATAAGTGGGGAACTTGAAGATGCTGGCCCAGGAACCCTGAAAGTGAGCCACACAGAGCTCCCCTATACATCACAACTGCAGGAAAAGGCCTGGGACTGCCCCCCTCAGGAACAGGGATTTGAAGTCTCAAGGAGCTGGTCTCCTTCCACAGGGATCAGCTGCTGCGGAGCTGAGTCCAGCACACGCTAGCTGGCTGATCGTGCAGGACATTCCTAGGTCAGATGTTTGCAAGCCAGGTTTGCACCAAGCACTAGATGCTCACACCACCAGCCAGTGCTTGGTGAAAGATGGTACCTATGGAGAGCAAGAACTTTCCTGGAAAGCTCTGCTTCACCCTGTTAAAACAATGATCTGATTAAAACCATAGCCAGATGCTGTAGGCCATGATCCATGGAGAAGGAAAAGAACAGAATCCTTGAGTATCCAAGCTAGTATGACCTTAGAGGACTGCAGATGGGATGTCGAGGATCTGCGAGCCTCCTGAAATTATGTACAAAATTACATGTGTGTGGCTGCACATTTTCCAGAGGGAGAAAACCTGTCCACCACATACAAACAGATTAGGAACAAAAATCCAATTTGGCCCTCCCATTTTACAGAGGAAGAGACTGAGGCCCAGGGAGTACCAAGGACTCTCCCAGGCCATACAGTTGCCTTTCAAGGGAGCTAGAGAGAGAACCCGGGCCTCCAGACTGCAGGCCAGCCCATTCCACCTTTCTTGGGCAGACTTGAAGTCTACCCTTCACTAATAAAGCATTCTCCTAATAAAGCAGCCATGTCTCTGAACAATGTTTAATTATTTTGCAAGAGAATGACTGTAATGGGCCACATGAAACTTAAAGGATTTTTAATAAAATCTCACATGCTCTGAGGGCTCCAGCTCCCTCCATGTGCCCCCCTTTGTTATTTCTCCTGATCCCATGAAGATATAGCATTTGTCACTGTTTCATTAGGAGCCACGGTGCCCCATGTTATTTATGAGTTTGCTATTTATTGAAAATTGTATTTTTGAGGGGGATAAAGGGGGAGCTGAAGTTTATCACAAAGAAGCCTTGGCAAGAAAATTAGTGACATTTCAAAGTATCCAAATCTCTGCTCCTGTAAAGACTGAATGAGTTCACAGCCACCAGATTTCAAAGCATTACTGGAAGTCCTGTTCCAGGTGGGGGGCTGACTAGGGGCTCTTTGATGCCTTGATTGTCCTTAGGAAAAGATGATGGTTTTATAATCTCCTCCTAGATCTGGCCTGCATCCCTTTTTCTTTAAAAAAAAACAAAGTCTGTTTTTATTCAAAGTCATATATGCACAAGGTTAAAAACAGTTTCCTGTTAAAATACTTCTTACTCCCTGTTCTGTCCCCCCTAGACAGCCACATCTAACTTTTTTAAATGTCTTTTCTTATATTTACCTCCATTTTTCTAAATAATATGCTTCTACTGATATTTCTTGATTCATCAATTTTAGACACAATCTATTGACTTACTGCTAGAATAGACAAGGATTTATCTCACTCACACCACCTCCATCCCTCCTGCCATATCTCTATTTTTAGTTCTTCTATTGGTTACTTTTGTGATCTTCCATCCTCTACAGATGCACTTTTTAAAGAGAATTTGTACATTGTACAAAAAGAATATTTCTACCCCCATCCTTCCCTTCACCTCACCTCTCCCACTTCTACCTCCTAATGCTGTCTGTCATCTACACTTCTACTTTTACACTGTAAAAACTGATAATATCTACATCTACTCTGTAACCACAATAGTTCTTTCAGATTGATTCCAAGAGTTGAAAATCACTGAAAAGTATTTCTATTATTGTGCCTAGGTAAAGACTGTTCACTACAGAGCCAAGTAGTGTACTATAATCACAGTTTCATTTCAGATACAAATGTGTATGTGTGTGTTTATACGTTTTGAGTTGTCTTTCTTTATTCTTTAGTCCTAATTGTCTTTGTCACATTTCCAATTTTTTAAAAGTCTTTATAAAGCCCATTCTACCGAGTTCCCCTTTTATTTAGGGACCACCACCACCCCTGCCTGCTGGAGCACTCAGTTCTCTTGCTTCAATCTGGACTGGTTGTTCTTTATGCTTGTGCACAGCTCTTCTGATTTCTATGTATAGCTTTTTGCATTCCCAGTCTTCCCCTATTTTGTTTACTCCCTTACTTATTAAAAGACATCCTCAAGTTGCTTCCTTAAAAAGGATTTATGGGAGACAGTCTATGGGTTCTTGCAATTTGAATAATGGGTTGGTGGGATGTAGAAAGCTTAGGTTGAAAATCATTTCTTTCAGAATGTGAAAGTGTCTGATGTTGTTGATGACAGTCTGGTGCAGGTCTGATTCTTGTTCCTCTGAAAGTGACCTGGCTTCCTTCTTGGAAATCTTTAGAATATTCTCTTCTCCTGTGGCTCTTTTGACTCACAATGATGTGTGAATTGGTGTGGGCTCTTTTCATTTATTGTGTTGGATGCTTAAGGGGCCCTTTATTTCTTATTTTAAGCTGGAACTTACAGGTAGTTTTGTAGCTATTGTAACAAATTTTGTAACATATTATAAACTACACAAATACATATCAAGATATAAACATTTCCAGGACCCCAATGAGTCCCTTTATGTCTCCTCCTAGTTGATAACTTTCCAAGAGTAGCCATTGTTCTGACCTCTATGACCATAGATTAGTTTTTCCTTTTTTGAGTTTCATCTAAATGGACTTTTACAGTATGTATTCTTTTTTTGTTTGACTTCTTTTGCCTAACATTTCTCTGACATTCACCCATATTGTTCCATGTAGAGGTTTTTAGTTCTTTTTCATTACTGCATAATATTTTGTTGTGTGTACAATTTCTTTAAACAAAGTTGATGGACATTTGGAATTGTCCCAAGTTTTTTAAAAACTATGTTTAGGGGGTAAAATTGCAGGCCTCTTGCATACATATGTTATGTTGTGGTGAAGTTTGAGCTTTTTGTGTACCCATCACCCAAATAGTGAACATTGTACCCAATATGTAATTTTTCAACCCTCATCTCCCTCCCATCCTTTCACCTTCTATATTTTATCCAATGTCTGTTATGCCACCCTGTATGTCCACGTGTACCCATTGTTTAGTTCCCCCTTGTAAGTGAGAGCATGCAGTATTTGACTTTCTGTTTCTGAATTATTTCACTTAGTGAAATTGTCCCCAGTTTTGAGCTATTATAAACAGTGCTTCTACAACATTCTTGTACATGTCTTTTGGTGGAAATAAGTATTCATTTCACTTGAGTGTATATCTATAGATAGAATGGTTGGATCACAGGGTAAGCATATATTTAGCTTTTGTAGATCCTGCCAAACAGCTTTTCAAAGTGATTGTACAAACCTAAACTACCACCAACAATGTTTGAGAGTTTCAGTTGCTCCACATTCTTGCCAGTATTTTCAGACCTTTATTTTTGCAATTCTAGTAGGGATGTAATGGTATTTAATTGTGGTTTTAATTAGCATTTCCATGATGACTAATAATATTGAGCACTTTTTAATATGTTTATTGACCACTCTGTATTTCTTTTATTGACTTTCGTTGTAAAGTGCCTATTCAAATCCTTTGTTTATCTTAAAAGTAAAAATTTCTTCCTTTATGAATGAATTTATGTGGTTTCCTTATAGACTGTAGATACAATTCCTTTTTTGGATATATGTGAATAATATGTGTGTGTGTGTGTGTGTGTGTGTGTGTGTGTGTGTATACACATATACCTAAAAAAGGAATTTGATATATATCCTATATATATCAAATTCATAATACATATCAAGATATAAGCATTTCCAGGACCCCAGTGAGTCCCTTCATATCTCCTCCCAGTTGATAACTTTAAAAAAGTAGCCACTTGGGAAATTACCTCATATATATATATGTATATAAAATCAAATATTTTTCCATTTTTGGCTTGCCTTTTCACTATCTTAATATGGTCTCTTACTGAAGAGGAGTTCTTGATTTTAACAGGGTTGGCCGGGTGCGGTGGCTCATGCCTATAATCCCAGCACTTTGGGAGGCTGAGGCGGGTGGATCACTTGAGATCAGGAGTTCAAGACCAGCCTGGCCAACATGGTGAAACCCTGTCCTTACTAAAAATACACAAATTAGCAGGGCATAGTGGCACACGTCTGTAATCTCAGCTACTCAGGAGGCAAAAGAATCGCTTGAACCTGGGAGGCAGAGGTTGCAGTGAGCCAAGATCATGCCACTGCACTCCAGCCTGGGTGACAGGGCAACTCTGTCTCAAAACAAAACAAAACAAAACAAAAATTAATAGGGTCTTATTTAATGATATTTTCTTTTATAATTAATGGGTTTTCTAATTCTGTTTAAGAAGCCTTTGCCCATCTCAAAGACATGAAGCAATTCTTCTGGGGGGTGGGGCAGGTTTCCTTTGGAAACTTTATTGCTTTACTTTTTGCATTTATGTCTATGATCCATCCTGAATTAATTTTTGTGTATAGTATGATATCAGAACTAAGATTCATTTCTTTTTCACATGGATCTCCAATTGGCCCAGTCTTGACAGACCCTTTCAGTGTGTAGATTCAGGTTATTCCACGTAGGCAATTATTTGTATTGTTTTTTAATAATCTTTACCCCTTTGTTTTCTCTGTTTTGGAGTTCCTATTATTCTGATGTTAGAATTCTTGGAATATTCCTCTGGGTCTCTTTTCAACACACACACACATACACACACACACACATATTCTCTCTGTCTCTTTCTCTCTACCCTCTCCACACACACACACACACACACACACATATGCCCTGTGTGAAAACAGGACCCTGAAACTCCCTCTCTGTACTAGATACTACTATGGGGAAATAAAGGAATTGGTGCAGTGTTATTCCCTCATATCCATGACTCCCTCCTGCCATACCCACACTTACCACTGTAGCTGATAAATGAGATGGGGGGAAAATGGCTGGGGGAGAGGGAAGGTGAATGATAAGAAGGACAGGCCCAAGAGCTGTGTCCTGGACCAGAATTGTGGGATAGAGTTAAAACCAATAAAACTAGCATCTTTGCACCAAAGCCTCCCACCTCAACCCCCAGCTCAGCCCTGTGTCTTCTCAATGCCTCCTGGGAGCAAAATAATGTAAAATATCCTTCCAAGTAGCTAATCTGCACTACAAAGAGAAGTTGAGGGGAAAGACTTAGGCTACAGGGAAGGATTCAAATTGAAAATGCTCAGGGGGGCCCAATAATAAAGACAATAATTCAGCTCCTTACTGAGCAAACCCAGAACAAAGAGGAGAAATTGCCGAGCTCCTACCTGAGTGGGATGGAGGGACAGGGAGCAGTGAAACGGACAGGTTGGCAGACAGGACTTGAACCACAAATGCCCCTTTGAGTTTCTCTGGAGAAACTTAGAGGTCTGTAGTTTTAATAAACCCTGTTATGGGGCCAAAACCAAACTTTGCCCTGGCTGCTTAAGGCTCCCAAGTGGAGCTGTAAATATTCCTGCCACAGGGTAAGCTTGACCAGAGTCCTGGATTCAGTGGGAGTCTTCCTGCACCTCCAAGATTTGCCCGTCCAAAGAAAGGAGTGGGCACTAACGTTGGAATCAACAGTTACACGTCAGGAAGTATGCTAGCTACTCTGTTCCTTATTGCATACAATCTCCAATGGCCCAGTGATAATGGTAATAATAAAATAGTGAGCACTTACTGAGAGCTCATTATATACTAGAGGCTGTGCTTTATCTCATTGTCCCTCACAACAAAACTGAGAGGTAGAACCTATTAATAACCCCCACTTTTCCTTGGCAACAGCTTTGTGAAGATACAATTCACATACTGCAGAATTCGCCCAGTGAAGTGCACAATTTGATGGTTTTTATTCTATTCACAGAGTTGTGTGACTTATCGCCACAATTTTAGAACATTTACATCACGCCAAGAAAGAAACTCCTCTCCCCTTTAGTTATCATTTCACCCCAATCCTCTCATCCACCCAGCTCTAGACAACCACAAATCTACTTTCTATCTCAGTAGATTTTCCTATTCTGCACATTTCACGTAAGTGGAATTATACAATATGTGGTCTTTTGCAACTGGCTTCTTTCACTCAGCATTAAGTTTTCAGGGTTCAACCATGTTATAGTATATATTAGTACTTCATGCTTTTTATGGCCAAATAATATTCCATTGTATGGATATACCACATTTTGCTTACCCATTTCATAGCTGATGGACATTTGGGTTGTTTCTATCTTTTGACTATTGTGAATAAATGCTGCTGTGAATGTTTGTGTACACATTTTTGTGTAGATGTATGTTTTCATTATTTTGTGGGTATATTCGTAGGAGCAGAATTGCTGGGTCATATGGAAACTCTGCGTTTAACTTTTGAGGAACTTCCAGACAAAATGGCTCACCACTTTATATTCTCCTATAGTGCATGAGGGTTCCAATTGCTCCACATTCTCCTCAACACTTGTTATTATCTATCTTTTTTATATAGTCATCCCACCAGATATAAAGTGATAAAGTGGTATCTCATTGTGGTTTTGATTTGCATTTCCGTAAGGGGAATGATATTAAGCATCTTTTCATTTGCTTATTGGCCATCTGTGTGCCTTATTTGAAGAAGTGTCTATTAAGATTCTCTGCTCTTTTCTTTCTTCTTTTGAGACAAGGTCTCACTCTGTTGCCCAGGCTGGAGTGCAATAGCACAATATCGGCTCACTTCAACCTCCACCTACCAGGTTCAAGAGATTCTTCTGCCTCAGCCTGCCAAGTGGCTGAGATTACAGGCACGTGCCACTGTGCCTGGCTAATTTTTGTATTTTTAGTAGAGACAGGGTTTCACCATGTTGGCCAAGCTGGTCTTGAACTCCTGACCTCAGGTTATCTGCCTGCCTCGGCCTCCTAAAATGCTGGGATTACAGGTGTCAGCCACTATGCCCAGCCATTTGCCCATTTTTAAATTGAGTTATTTGTCCCTTTATTATTGAGTTGCAAGAGTTCTTTATATATTCTAAATACAAGTTCTTTATCAGATATATGATTTAAAATATTTTCTCCCATTCAGTGGGTTATTTTTTCACTTCCTTGCTAGTATCTTATGAAGCACAAAAGTTTTAATTTTGATGAAGTCCAATGTATCTATTTTTTCTTTTGTTATTTGTAATAACCCCATTTTATATATGAAAAAAGTGAGGCAGAGCAATTTAGCAACTTGCCTGAGAACATATAATAATAATGGACAGAGCCAAGATTCAAACCCAGGTCTGCAGACCCCAAAGCTTCCTTTGAGGGCATGGAGAAGTCCCCATGAGCAAGGACTGTGTTTCCTGTGATCACGACTGAACTTCTCCTTACTAGGAGCCCCAAGCCCTGGGGAAATGTCCACCACTGCCTGTGTGCATGGGGGTCAGGAATGGCCCCCATCAGGCCACAGCAATCAAATGGTGCTACCCTGTCCCAGAGGCAGTACTTTAACCACCGCTCAGAAAGGGCCACAAAGCACAACAAAGAAACTTTCCCTGGAAAGTTCTGTATAGTGTGGCCTAGGGTAGGTGAGCAGGTAAAAGAAATCTCTCCATCTGTGGCCCATCAACTCACCAGAGGCCAAAGGCTCACACAATAAATAATGTTGAGGTATTCTTACAAAGTCCTTCATGCTCCAGTTTAATATTTCCCATACATCACCTCATTTTTCTCAATAAATATTCATTCCTCAATAAATGTGTATCAGGTGCCCATTCAATGCAAAGCAGTAAGCTGAGAAACTGTGGAAGATAAAGTGTTTTTATCATAAGATTACCCTAGGAGAGCAGAGAAACTAATGTCTCTAGCCAAGAGATGAGGAAATGTAGGCACCAGAACATTTCATGACCTGACCAATGTGACAAAACCAGACAGTGGTGATCTAATAGAGCCTAGATCTCTGGCCTATAGATCCAGGCTCTGTCTACACCATGCTGAATGTCCAGTCAATGTAGTCAAAGGGGACCTGGAGCAGAGGACCATCTCAAGGTCATCCTTGCCTCTGTTTTCCCATCTCAGAATGGGACTCATCCATTAGAGAAATATCACTCAAGACCACAAAAGTGGAAGCAAGTGGGTCTCACAGCAGACATTCCTTCTGCCTGTTCTGCTGAGACAAAACGGTAGCTCCCCAGCTTCAGAAAGAAGCCACTGCCAGATGCTGACTCAGCAATCCAGCTTCCTGCCTTGGAAGATCAGGGCCAAAGCAATCTTTTGATTGTTATTATTTTATGACTAATTTTCCAGGCAAATCTTTTATTTGTGCAAAAGCCCATCCAGCCTTGAGCACATTCTTCTTGTCTTTGAATTTTATCTCTCTTTTTAATTAAAAAAAAAACACTCACATAAGGAGACACAAATTAGGTCACCATCAAAGACTGCTCTTCCCAAAGAGCATTTCCACAGATATTAACCCTGGCACTGCCACTTACTCAGGGGATGGCTGTTCACATCGCTTCACCTCTCTAGGCTCAGTGTTTTTGCTCTGTCCACCCCTCACATTCTAAGGTCCTGATTTATTGGCCTGAATCACAAAGACAAAACTCTATATACCTAGGATAGCATGACAGCCAAGTTGCCCAATGACCTTCAATGCAAACCAAAGGCACGCTTCCCCTGTTCTTGAGGATGACAGGCCCATTTGTTGAGCACCTGTAATGTGTCAGAAACCTCATCTTTAATCTTCGATCACCATTCGATCGGCCAAAAGAATTCTTTTTAAATATAAGTCAAAGCATATCATTTATCTGCTCAAAACCCTCCAAGGCTTCCTTTTCACTTGGAGTCAAAACCAAAATCCTAACAATGCCCCACAGAGCCCTACATGACCTGCCATCTTGCCAGCCCTCTCTTCTCCTGCTGACCCCTACTCACTGCACTGCAGCCATGCTGGGATCCTCACCGGACCATGGCACGCCAAGCATGTGCTCACCTGTGGGGCTCTGCTCTGGCTGTTCCCTCTACCTGGGATTCTCTTCCCCCAGACCAGTGGTTCTCAACCAGGGGACAGTGTTGCCCCCAAGGGACATTTGATGTTTTTGGTTGTCGCAACTGGAGAGAGGGTGCTACTGGCACCTAGTGGGTAGAGACCACGGATGCTGCTAAACATCCTAAAATGCACAGGACAGTCCACATCACAAAGAATTATCCAATCAAGAATGTCACTAGTACTAAGGTGGATAAACCTTGACCTAGATGGTCTCCTGGCTCACTTCTTTCAGGTGTCTACTCTGTCCACTTTGTGGAAAATAAAAAGCTGCCTAACTCAGCAGTCCCTGTCTCCTACTGCCTTATTTTTCTCCATAGAACTTAACACCCTCTGACTCCAGTCATTTCTCTTTTCCAGCTACCGTGTAAGCAGGGGCTTTGTTTTGTTTGCTGCCATATTCTCTAGCACCTGAAAGAGATTCTGAACAAATAAATCAATTCTCTCCATTTCATAAGTGGAAACTGAGTCCCCACTTGAGCTAAGCGCCTTGCTCAAGGTCACTGTGGTGGATACTGTGGTATGCTGCCAAGGTCTCCCCCTAAGGGCTGAGGCTCTCACTTTCCCAGCTGCCAGGTCTGCTGACAACTGAGGGCTCACAGCTGAGTCCCTCTTCAGGCATTGCCTTCAGTCAAAAGCTGCCTCACCCAAGCATATGCCCCTTCCCTGGAAAGCCCACCTCCAATGACTGTTCTACAAGAGTTACAAAGGTACAGCCTCCTTTTCCTCAGTCTGGGATAATGTTCAAGTGCTATTCTAGCCCCAGAACTCCCCCAGGGGGTTGGCTGAGGCCTCTGCTGCAACAGCAGCAGAGTGATTCAACTTCTCCCTCCACCCCATCCTGCTTCCCTCACTCCCTTACAGGTATTTTTCCTGAGTGCACACCCCTGTAAACCTTCTGCACACAAATTTAGTTCTCCAGAATCTGTTTGCAGGAGAAACTGACCTATGGCAGTCACAGAGCTTGAACACAGCGGAACTGGGATTCTAATTCAAATGGGATTGACTCGGACACCATTACTCTTTCTGTTCTTCCACAATGCCTCTGCCTTGCCTTTGATCAGTCATGGTGGGTTAGGGTCTGGGGATCCCCAGGTGAATATGACACAGGCCTTGTCTTTAGGATATCCTATTCCTCTGGAAGAAGCAGTTCCTCAGGAACAGGGTGCCAAGGGCAGAGCAGATGCTGGAGGAACCCATGGGCAGCCCCACTGGCATAGGCTATCTTGGGATCTAGACCACAGCAATGCCCCTGCCAAAGGTCAACAAGACAGGTCCTCTGCTCCAGGCTCAGAGCCTACAACCTCCAGAGAGGATCTCAGCCAGCAGGGCTTACAGCAGGCACTGCTACATGAGTCCCCTGCGGTAAACATGGACCAAAAGCCACCTAGGTGTCTGTTTTTTTGGAAAAGGATGTAGAATTCCCAGTCCCTGGCTGGGTCCCTGCAGGCTCAGCTTAATTCTCAGCTCCTTGAAGGCCTAATATCCTCTTAAATGTCCTTCTTCCAGCTTCTCCTGAGGTTTGGCGCTGCTCTGATGACCACCTTTATCTTTTCTGCAGTTTCTCTCCATTCTCTCCTGTGGCTCCGCCTGTTCCTGGGAGTCTCAAGAAACTCTCCAAACATACTCGCCCTGTCTCCTATGATTCCACTGCCCAGTGCCACTTCCCAGGCCTCTATCACGCCTCTCAGATGCTCAACAAGTATCAGAAAGGAGAAAGGGAGACAGGAAGGAAAGGAGGAAACAGAAAGGGAGGAAAAGGGAAGAGCAGTTGTTGAGGGAAATGTGAAGAAAGATCAAATGATAGGGATGCCCTATATTTATCTGTTTTAATGTCTCAGGCCTCCAAAGCATCATTTAGTGTTTCTCCAAACACTGTCATCCTCCAAGGCAGGTCCCTTGCCTTCAGTTCACAGCTGGAAACACTGGGCCTCAAGAAAAAGGGAGAAAGCTTTCCTGAGTACATTCCGAAGCAGCAGCAAGTGATTCAGATCTTGGGCATCCTAATTGCCTGGCAATGCTGAGACCCTGGGTGTGAAGTACTAATGGGCAGATTCCACCCACGTAATGATCAGAGAGTGGTGAACAGATGCTTGCAGGCAGATCAGAGCCACATCAGCAGGAGCGGGAGTCACTCCAGGCATTCTTCACATCCCCTGCTGGCTTCAGGTAAGGGCCGCTGGGCCTCAGGAGAGGCACAGTTTCTGGGGGAAACCACAGCCCTGGTGCCTTCAGGGAACAGAGAGTACATGCACTCTCTGCTATCCAGCGCTGGCTTCAGAGGCTAAAAGGCTGAGGCCTAGCTCCAGCTCGTCCTCCTATTTGCTATGTAGCCTTGGCCAAGTCTCTTTCCTATTCTGGCCTCCGTCTTCCTGCCTGTAAAATGTGAAGGGTGGATGCAGTGGTTTCTGAGGGACCTCCAGAAGGGAGACCTCCAGGATCCAGGGCCCACCAGGTGAGAGACACACGTGGACCAGCCCCACATTGAGGCTCACTCAGTCCCCTCATGGGGTTGAACACCAACCTCGAAAAACCAGAGGCAGCTGGAGCCCCTCAAGGTACCTGGCCTAGTCCCCCTCGATTTCCTCCAGGTCTGTGCATCTAGACTCCTGGTTCTGGGGCTGGGCCCTGAACCTCTCTTAGCTGTAGAAGAGGAGGAAGAGAAAGACTAACACTTGCTAAGCACCTCTTCTGGGCTGGGCACAGAACCATTGGCTTTTACACACATTTCTTGCTGGGATCCCCCCAGTGAGTGGTCTTATCCCCACCTGAAAAATCTAAGGTTCAGGGAAGTTAAGTAACTTGCTCAACATCACCCAGCTCTTGGTTGCCAAGGTCAGAATTCCAGCCTGGAGCAGTGCATGTTTACCTTTGCATTGTCAGAGAAGTCATTTGCCATCAGATCCCATCCCTTTCCTCTCCAAACCAAAGATCCCCTGTGCATTTTGGAAGAGGAAGACAGCATGTTGCCCTGAGAATCCAGGTTTCAGGGCTCATGTGAGAGGAGGTCAGACATAATGGAAGAAACCCAGGCTCTGGGGGCAGCAGCCTTGAGGTTGGGTCCTGACTCTGCTACCTGCTAACTAGGTAAACTTGAGCAAGTTATAACCTCAATTTTCTTATCTGTAATGAAAGGATATTAATATCTGCTGCATGGAGTTGTTGCAGTAATTGAGCCTGACAATGGATATAAAAATATCTGGCATAGAATATGTGTTGGATAAATACAACCCTCCTTCCATTTCTGCACAGCCCAGCTTCTCTTAGGCTCAAGTTCTGATTCTCTCTCATATTTTAAGCCCTGAGGGATGGGCTTGGATACATTTACTCTAGCAAAATGTCTCTATCATAAAGGCAAGCTCAAGAAAGTGGTTTTCTTCCTCTGCCCCCGGCCACAGAACCCCATCAAGGAGGCACAGTGCAGGCAGTGGCCTCGGAAGCAGAGCTGGCCATAGCAGGCGCTGCCTTCCTCCCCCAAGCCTCAGAGCTTGCCATCTCTATGCCTTCCCCTTCAAGCTGAAAGCTGGCACACAGGCACCACAAGCCAGATGTTTGAGTTTTGTTAAGAGCAGCTTAAATAAAGCTTTTAGAACAATAATTCTCAGCCATCAAAGGGACATTTCTCTTCTGGCTTCATCTCTGACACACAGGAGATTTTTAAAAGAAGAAACAGGGGAGGAAAACAACGCCTCTACAAAGCAGGAACATTTTTAAAAGCACAGCGATTTTGCCATCATGCTCTAGCCTTTCTGATATCTCCAATGAAAGAGGAAAGGAATTTCGTGGAAGAGCCAATTTTTCCCAGCTCTTGGCACACATCTGGAGCCCCAGAAGTGTCTGGGGGAAGCTGAACAGGTGGTGGCCATCTGACAAGCCCCCTAAGGCAGAGTTTAAAGAGACATACACTTGGATGACATTGCCAAGTTGGGAAGTTTGCCTCTCTCTCCCTTCTGACACCTCTTCTTCTCCCAATCAAGACTTTGCCAAGAGTGTGCTTTAGGAAGGGACAAAGCCCACCCCTCCAACTCCATGCAAGAGGGCACCTGGGAGAGGGACCTGAGGCTGGATGCCCCTTGTAGCCTAGAGTTCTCCTTCCCAAGGAAGGTGATAGTAAAGGGAACACAGAAGGTAACACCACCCAGAAGGTTGGCATACACATGGTTGCAAACGCTTCCAAGAGCCAGGTACAACACATCATTGTCATGGTATAAGTATCTACTGCTAGGAGTTGAAGACCAGATTCCTAGAGACTCTGCTAAGCCTGACGTAGCTTTAAAACAAACCCTGCCTGGTAAGAGCCATTGGAGGAATCACCTGCTCAAAAATGAAACAAGGCTTTCAATAATGATCAAATGGCTACCATCAGATCTGTCCTCCCTCAGATAACAACTATAAACTCTGGAAAAGATATTTTAAAGCTACTTAAAGGCACTGGTGAAACAAAAAGCAGGCAAAAATGGAAGGGAATTGACACTTGGAAGAATAGCAATGGGTGGACTTAATGTTTTTAAAGCTTTTCTCCTGAGGGCAGATCATAATCAGTGTCACATACTGTAGCTAAGTTTATAGGAAATCCACAGTCTTAGTTGCTTGAAGAATCAGAGAAAATGTGGGTGAACAAATCCAGTGGAAAGTGATTTGAGAAATCCTATAAGGGAGAGAGTCACAGAGATTAAACCCCAATTTCTATGTATAAACTGCCCAAATCTCTGGCTGATCCTTCAGCATACATACATAGGGAAGGCTCCAACCCAGCTAAGATTAAAAGAAATAAACTGAGGTTTTGGCTACTGTGCACCAGAGGTGAGACAGAGTTTGAATTCTGAGTTCAGCCAATTTTTTTTAAATCAACACTCTTCAGAGGAATACAATAGAACCCAGAGTCTCTCCAATATATCATTCACAATGTTCATGATACTATCCAAAATTACTAGACATATGAAGAAACAGGAAAATGTGACCATACTCAAGAGAAAAGGCAATCAATTGAGACCATGGTGACTTGACATTGTGGCTTCAATGGAACAGAAGTGGGCCTGGAATAAGAAATTGCTTTGCAGGGGAAGCTCTAACTATGAGGTCAGATAGGCCTGGGTTTGTGTCCCACCTCTAACACTCACAGCTATGTGACCTTGACAATTAGTTCCTTTACTTATCTGAGCCTCAGTTTTCTCATCTGCTAAAAGAAATCTGCCAAAAGAAAATAACACTGCCTTCCTTTCATGGTTATTATAGAATCAAATGAAATAATGAATATGAAGGTACCTGGAATGACATTTGGCATATAAGATAAGATCAATGACTATTTATTGGCTCAAAATAATGATTTTCAAATCAACAGTATATCCCTATCTTCTCTACCACAACAGTCTTTAAGTCCTCTGACATTCCATCTCCTTCACTTATTTCTTTTTTGTTTGTTTGTTTGTTTGTTTGTTTGAGACAGAGTCTCACTCTGTCACCCAGGCTGGAGTGCAGTGGTGCAATCTCGGCTCACTGCAATCTCTGCTTCCCAGATTCAAGCAATTCTCCTGTCTCAGTCTCCCAAGTAGCTGGGATTACAGGCGTGGGCCACCGCACCTGGCTCATTTTTGTATTTTTAGTAGAGATGGGGTTTCACCATGTTGGCCAGGCTGGTCTCAAACTCCTGACCTCAGGTGATGCACCCACCTCAGCCTCCCAAAGTGGTGGGATTACAGGCATGAGCCACCACACCCGGCCCATCTCCTTCATTTCTTAAAATGGAAATGTTTTGAATCAAATGTCCTGAGTTCTAGAGAAATCTCAATACAACCTAAGGGACAGCCCCTCCCATCTGTACTTGGTCATAATAATGCATGCATTCAAACACATCTTCAGGAGGACCCTAGAAGAGATTAAGAGAAGAGAAAGTAGCAAGGCCCCTACCTAGAAATCATTTTTGTTAAATGGTTGTCTGAACAAAGTCCTCCCTCCTCCAAACCCTAGAACCTGGAAGCCTCACCTGCAACTGGAAGCATGTTGATCAGGAACTGAGGGACCACGATAGTCATAGGATCAGATGTTACTCAGGGTAGAGGGAAACTGAGAGTTGACTTTGTCTAATCTCTTCCTTTCAGACATGGGGAAGCTAAAGCCCAGAAAGGAGCTGTCGTTGTGGCAGATGCCCGTGGAAAATTAGTAGAAGAATCCATCACCTTCATACAGCACCTTAGAGGATACCAAGCACATATCCATTTATAATTTTATTTCATACTACACTAATACTACAGCTTTATTAGCTATGAGGAAGGGCTGATGGAAGGGAATGCTCTTCCCATTTTTGAGATGAAGAAATTGAGATTCTAAAATGCGATAGCGATATGACTTGCTTCATGTCACCCTGACAAGCAATGGCTACTTGGAACTCATTCTAGGTCTCTCAATCCTTGATCCTCAGACATAGCCATTTCTATCAAACCATGTACCTGAGAATGCTCTTCTTGGAGTCCATCCCAAGCAGAGGAAATTGGACAGAAAGTAGGACAATCCCAGGAGGATCCACCTTGGGAGGGGGCAGGGACCAGCCTCTACTGGTTAGTTATGGGGGGCAAAGCCAGTCAGATTTGAACCCCACTTGTTCTAGGCCCATAAAGCTCTGGGGCTTTGATCTTGGGGACAGCCTTTGGGACATCTCTCTAGGCTTCTGGGGCTGGATTGCTGTAGGGGATCTCACCACCCTTAGACTGAAAGGACCCCCTGGGAGACTGCAAAAGTCTCAGAAGAAGCCTTTTGGACAACTGGGTCTCTCTCTCTCTCTCTCTCACACACACACACACACAAACACACATACACACACTCCTGAAGAAGGCTATGTTTGCTCTGGAAGGCCAGCCAAGCCCCTTGACGCTGGCCTAGTGCCCCCTTCCCTCTGCCCTCACCCTCTTCTCCTCAGTACCCAGCCCAGGCCTGGTCTACAGTCAGATTAGGGTTTGTGAGTAGCCCCTCCCTCTAATGCCTAAGGACAGTCCTTGCTTCCTCATTGGACCACGCTTGCCCCATCTGTCCAGGGCACAGACAACTTCCCCCAAGGCTCATAGTCTGGGGCTGAGGCCCAGGCCCCCTACACTCTCTCCAGCCCCACTCCCACCTCTGCCTCCCCGCACTGTGCCCCCGGCCCTCAGACCTGTCCTCCATCCCTTCCTCATCCCCACGTGCCACTATTCTGGGGTGCTCATAAATCGCCAAGTTTGACTCATTTTTCTTCATAAATCCAGAGCTTCTGGCCTCCTGTTTGATTTGTGTTCCTGAATTATCCATGAAATTTTCAATAGCTTAGCGAGCAATGGTTTCAATCTTCAGGAGCAGAGGTCCCCCTCAGCCCCTGAGAGATGCTGAGCTGGTGATGGTGGCGTCACCAAAGGGGGTAAAATCAGAAAAGAAACGGACTTAGCAGGGCACACAGTCTGCTCCTGGAACAACGACGCGTCCCCTCACATTTCTTTGAGCCCAGGATCATGAATCCCCAAAGCATGAAGTCTGGAAGGAAACTTCAGACTCACCTGATGTTTTAGAGGTTTCCTTTTTTATTGTGGTATAACATGCATACTGTAAAATTTACCATTTCCACCATTTCTAAGTGTACATTTGAGCAGCATTAAGTGCATTCACATTGTTGGGCAACCATCACCACCCTCCATCTCTAGCGCTTCCCTTGATTTTCCAGACTGAAAAGCCAATTGCAGAAAGACAAAAGCCACGCCTCAGGCTGCACAGCATGACCTAGCAGAGGCCAGCTTAGAATCTGTCCAGCCAAGGGTTGCCGAGAAGCCAGCCCCGGTGGGGACAGGGCTAAGTGTGTACTCCCAGAGAGAAAGGGCTTGTCCCTACAGTCTTCTCACCTGCCCCTTGCCTGGGGGCCCCACCTGACAGGGGACCCCCACCCCCAGCACCTACTCACCCCCTTCCTCCTCTAGGAACTTGAGAAATGGCCCCCAGCTGCAATGGAGCCAGCCTGCGGTGGGGATTGAGGCCCCCAGCTGCAATGGAGCCAGGCTGTGGCAGGGGCTGAGGCCCCCAGCAGGTTTATGGAAGCCATCCATCCCCAGCTGAGAGCTTAAACACATCTACATAATCAGCTCCTCTCTACCCGCTGCTCCCACCATTTCTCATGAAACCTCACTGAGGCACTAAGTCTTTTCCTTTTTTCTTTTTTGTTTTTTAATAGAAAACATCAATCGACAGAGAGCAGTCCGGAAACCTCCTGCCTCCACTGCCAACCCTTCCCCTCCCCTGACCAAGTGGCTGGGTAGGGGTGGGGCTCTGTGTAGACACAGGACTCTGGTGTGACACAGGCTAGATGCAACCCTGGGGTAGGAGGGGGACAGTGATAAAATGCATCTCCCCGGCACACACAGACACATGCTGTGCACAACAGGTGCACGTGAGTGTGAGCATTTAATTGCCGTGGGAAACCATTTCCTGACAATAAATGCCACCCCATCTCTGTCCCTCTCGGCTCTTGCCAGATGACTTTTGCTGAAATATTTGTCCCCATAATGAGCCCTCAGCCTCTATGTGAATAATTCATACCTGGGTAGAACTGGGTCTCATTGGGAGGTTTGGGATGAAGTGGAGGAACTGGGGAAAGCAGCTCCTGACAGAGATGGGGGCTTAGGCCAGTCCATCAGAAGTGGGAGGGAAGATCATTCCCTGAGAAGGTGACATTTAAGCTGACAGCTGAAAGTTTTAAAAGATCCAGTCATGGGAAACAGGGAGGGGAGAGCATTTCCAGGCAGAGGGACCACAGGTCTCCAGCCCTTGCCCGCCGACACCTTGTCCAGGTGTCTTCCAGGTAGGGAGTGTCCCTCTGCCCTGCTCACCACTACCTCCTATCCAGGAACACAGCCACCCTGTGTGATGGGACCAGGCAGACATTTTAGAGAGGAGGAAAGTGCAGCTTAGAGACATTGAGGGACTTGCTCAAGGCCCTGTGGACCAGGACAAGCCAGCCTTCCTACCTCTAGATCCTGTTCTATGTACTTCCCTGGAGGCCCCAAACAAACTGAATGGGACCGCTGAGGCCAGCACAGGTCCCAGCTCCTCCCCAGGGCCCCTTCATTCCACTGTGCAGCACAGAGAGATGCTGTCCTGCCGAGCAGCCTCCCAAGAAAGGTCCGGGCTCCAGAATCAGACCACCTGGCTGCGCATCCCACTCCCTGCAGCAAGCTCCCTTCACCTCTCAAGCCTCACTTTCCTCATCTGTAAAATGAGGTCAGTAATGTTCCCTACGTGATAAGGTTGCTCCATAGTGTCAGTGCTTACATAGTAAGCACTCGAAGAAAAAAAAAAAAAAACGTAAATCGGATTAGTACTACTCAGGTTCAGGCACCAGATAAGACTAAGTGTTTTCATTTGCCTTAAAAATGAAACACACGCAGTCCAACCCTCACATCCACAGTTTTTATGGAAACCAACACTTTCTCTATCCCATTCCCCCTATTTCCCACCCCCTACGAATGGCCAAAACTATTGATCATTGCCCCCATGGGAAGAAAACATCAGGTGGCTGTGATGGTCCATTAAGACACATGCAGAGTGGCTTTGCACACTGGAAGGGGCTGCACAAATGGTCTTTGCTGATTACCATGCTCTTGGAGTACCAACCTCATTATCTGATGCTCCTGGGCCCTGACACTCCCTCTACTTCTATTTTTTGTTTGTGAGCAAGCAGCCATACAGTTGCACCCTAAGTCATGAACAGACTTTTTGTGTTGTAATCCAATAAAACTTACCACAAAGCTAATCAGCCACACATGGGTGCTGTGCATTATGATTATTCTGCTTCTTGGAGATAAGCTCCCAATAGTAAGTAACGGCTCAGATAAAACGTAGGTTTGTGGCTTTTTCTTTGTTGGTTCTTTGGAATCTTTAAATGGTGCTGGTGTTAGATTTAAGCCATATCACAGACACATATGCTGAAATTCACTTTCAGGAAATTCCAGAGGCTCTGGATCCATCAGCCAGGGTTCCCTGATGACCCTGACAAATCCAGCCACACGCAGGATGAGGTTCCCTGGGCCCTGGAGTATGTCTCTTTCATTCCTCCCATCAGATGTCTGAAACACAAGCCTGTCCATCAGCCTCAGGGAGCTGTGCTAGTAAGATCATGGATGTTGTCTTACATTCAAATCCTGGCTCTGCCACTCACTAGCCACATGACCTGGTATAAGCACTTTTCTCTTCAAAACCTAGTTTCCAGCCAGGTGTGGTGGCTCACACCTGTAATTCCAGTGCTTTGGGAGGCCAAGGTAGGAGGATCACTTGAGCCCAGGAGTTCAAAACCAACTTGGGCAGCATAGAGAGATCATATCTCTGCATTTTTTTTTAAATTAGCCAAGCATGGTGGCACATGCCTGTAGTCCCAGCTATTTGAGAGGCTGAAGTGAGAGTATCCCTTTTGCCCAGGAGTTCAAGCCTACAGTGAGCTGTGATGGCACCACTGCACTCCAGCCTGGGAGACAGAGGAAGAACTTGTCTCTAAAAACTAAAAACACCTTGTTTCCCCCTCTATACATTATACATGGCGTCAATGTAAGGATAAAGGAAATCACATATGTTTTAACAGGGTGGCATATTGTACACTGTTTCAGTTCAAATACCAGCCCAGCTACTGGAAGGCTGTGTGGCCTTCGACAAGTCATTTGACTTCCCTCAGCTTCAGTCCTCATCTGTAAAATCAGAATAGGAATAGTACCCATCCCACAAGTGTTTGTGGGTATTCATAGTGATATTACATTTAAAGTGCATAGAAGAATACCTGACACATAGAGAGCCCAGAACAAATTATTGGAGTGGTTGTCAAGCATTGTTACTTGTCCTGTGCTTGGCACGTCTTAGGCACTCTTCTCAAACATGTCGGTTCCCCATGTTTGCTCCCCGCTGGAAGAGACAGCACAGGAGTCCTGGGCAATGGCAGCCTAGGCACCCACAGCCACCGCTGTGTAGCCAGGTAGGCAGCACTGATCCTGGGCTTAATTTGGAGTAAGGATGGGGATGGAGGGGGGTACAATCTGGACAGGGAAAGGGCAGGGAGGAGATCAGACTAGTGGGAGCCCAGAGCTTAGGCAAGGCAGGCTCCGGATCTCAGGGCTGTGACTTAACAGAGCTGATATACCCAAAAATGTGGGTCTTCACCCTTGGCAATTCTGAGAAGAGATGCCCAGCAGCCCTGACTTTGAAATGTGCTCCACTCAATTGTGAATGAATAATTTACAGTCTTTGATCTTATATTGCTGAGAAGGAGAGGGAGAAGACCATGAGGGCATCGGGTACAAGAAGATGAGAAAGTAAAAGAGGAAATAACTTAACCCTCTCTGGCCTATCTGAACTTTCAAGTCTCCCTGAGAGACGACTGGCAGAGTCTGGCACTGGAAAGCCTGCTGATTCCTTCCTGTCGGGGCCCGTGCACCCCGGGTAGCAAGAGCCACGTGAACACATTTGGGTTAGTGTGTCAATAAGATTAGCAGGAAAGAAAAAGGAGAAGTTGTCAGCATGTGAGACATAAAGGTGTAAAGCTTTTATCAGTATTGCCAAATGGCTTCAGTCTCCCCGACCTAGATCCCATCGCTCCTGCTGACAAACCACTCTTTTTCTTCATTCAGAAAACACTGATACAGCCCTTTTTCCACCAGCCTGTGGGTGTGAATGACATGAACAACACCCAAATATTGCAAGTTCCAAGCACCTATCTGCCAACTCAGGGGATCTCAATCCTTTGCAAACCCCTCTCCCACTCCTGGGAGCCCCAAGAGGCCTCTCACCACGGATTGGGCTGGGTTTCCACTCTCTAGTTTGCTCTGCATGTGGCTTTGTTCTCCCAAGACATCTGCAAATTGGCTATGACAAAAAACATTCACTAAATGAGCTTGTTAAAAGTCATAGTATTATTTTAACCAAATAGTTTTGAGCACCGACTTTGTAGCCGGCACTGGGCTAAGAGCTCAGCCTGCTCCTCCAAGGGAAAAAAAGTCACCCATGCCCTGTCCAGGGGCTGCAAGGAGGGTGCCCACCAGGGTGCTGCTTGGGCACCAAAGGCTTAGAGAGTTGATGAAATAATGTTTTGTCCACACACACAGCTTTTGCTCTCTGGAGACGCTTGGCACACCAAAGTCACTTGGTTTAGAGGGGTTCACACACCCATTCCCAGAATGACTGCCCCTCTGTTTCTCAGGCAGTCTGCAGCAGCCAGACCTCAAGGCTAGACCTTTTCAGCCCCCATGATGAATTCTCTCTCAGGGACCCCACTGTCCCCCAGCACCCTGGTCTCCACTGCCCCTCCCTCTTGTCCAGCAGACACAACTCTAAATATGTGTCACCCTATTTTGTGTCACCCTATTTGTAGACAGAATTCAGTGCTTGTCCCCCACAAAATCTTTTTCTTCCACGAATCCATGAATGCAAACAGGTCCTTGGGCTAAGAGGGGTCATTACCATACATGCCAGCTTCATCAGAATCTCCGCTCTGGCCTGGCCGACCCAGAGCCTGCTGCCTCCCTCAGCACCAGGAGCTCTGTCCTGATTGACAGGCCCTAGTGGGAAAAAGCCACTGGGGCTCAAGGCTAGGATGAAAGCCCACTTCAACGACATTGCCTCTCCTCCCAGAGCTGGGCCTGGTCTTTTCTGAGCCTTGCAGGAACTCTGTGTAGATGTGCCTGGGATGCAGGTGTCCCTGGCATGGCCACCTTAATCTGGTCCTTCCAGCTGGAACTCAAGGTGAGCAGGAAAATGTGTTGAGAGGGGATTGAAAGGTTGGAGGGGTGGTGGTAACCCATGGGCCAGCCCTATACTCCCCAGGCTGGATGACCTAGAGGTTCCAACTTTGACCTGGATCTGGGTTCCAACCAACGGTTTCTGTGGCCTCCTGCCTCCTTGTTGAGGCCAAGTCCCACTTGAGGCTCCCATTCTGATACCTGTGACCAAATCCTTGGGCCTGAGACCTTGCTTTAATAGCAACTGAATAGTAATTTAAAATTCAATAATAGCCTGTAATCCCAGCACATTGGGAGGCTGAGGAGGGTGGATCACTTGAGGTCAGGAGTTCGAGACCAGCCTGGCCAACATGGAGAAACCCCGTCTCTACCAAAAATACAAAAATTAGCTGGGTGCAGTGGTGCACGCTTGTAATCCCAGCTACTCGGGAGGCTGAGGTGGAAGATCGTTTGAACTCAGGAGGTGGAGGTTGGAGTGTGCCAAGATCGCGCCACTGCACTCCAGCCTAAATGACAGAGACTCCATTTCAAAAATAAATAAATAAATAAATGTCAATAATAATAGCTAGCATTATTAAGCACTCTGAGTATTCCTGAGCCAGATACTGTTATCTATAATTCATTTAATCTTCACACAACATTGTGAAGTATTATTATTAACCCCATTTTGCACATCTAAAAACTGAGGCATGTGCCTCAAGGGCTGATGGTCTTACCTAGTAACCCATCCACCTGCTAACAGACCTCTCCTCCCCTGATACCTCTCTCTCTGCATGACATTATCTAGGTCAGCTCAAGTCAAAGCTGAAGACAAGACTGCCAGACCTATGCTAGATGCCTCATGGATATCTTATTCCGTCCTTAAAACAGCTGTGGATGATGAGCATTACTCCCCCAGTTTGCAGATTCCAATACTGAGGCTCAGAGGCTTAAAGGACATGCCCAGGTTTGCACAGCTGGTAAGTGGCAAAGCTATAATAGTAAGCCCCTCCTCATGCTTCCTGCCACCCAGCATCTCTTCTACACAGACATCCAACATCCATAGCTGCAAGCAGGCACCCCAGGCTTACCTCTGCTCCCTCTCCCAGCTCTGATCCTGGAGTCTCTGTTCTAGGTGAGACAAGAGGCAAGGGGAGGGGGAGAAAGGCCCAGGTAAATGTTGCAGGGATGAAGATTTGGGGGAATTCTCTGGACAGGTGCACCCTTCTCCCTTCCACCCCTTTCTTCCCTAGGAAATCTTGGTGAAGAGAAATACTTGGAGATGGAGGCCTCTTGTAAAACTAATTAAAGGTCCTCCAAGCTCCACAAACAGGTTCTTCACTCCCCTGAATGCCAGGCTCCCAGGTTCAGGCTGGCAGGTGCCCCTCTCTCACCTGGGATGAGTGTCTCTTAACATCCTGCCCACCCTCATCTCCAGAGCCACAACCCCAACCAGAGGTGAGATATAGGTGATACCTGTTAGCCCTCACCCCCTGACCCAGCACAGGAGGGGAAGAGAGCACCAGTGGGTCTTGCCTTCCTCCTCTATCCCCACCATCCATTTTGTTTTGTTAAATAAACCTCCTTCTGCCAAACAGAAGTACCACTTCCCAAGCTCCCCAATCCTGTTGCCAGTCTTGTAAAACCTGGCCTCCCAATGCCTCTTACAGGAAGCCTTCCCTGAACAGCCCCACCCAGCTCTGCATCCCCCATACTGGAATGTGTCCCTTTGCTCTAGCTAGAGCCTTCCTAGCTAGAGTGTTCCTGTAAGAGTGGGGAAGCTATCTAGACTCTGCCTCCAGGCCTTTGTAAATGCTGTTTCGTCTGCAAAAAAAATCACTCCACCTCCCCTTCCCAAAAATCTTATGCTTCAATACTGAGTGCATATGTCACCTCCTCTGTGAAGCCATTTACAATCACCCCTCAGGGCCCATTATTCCCTCATCAGTGCCCACGACGATGTACCCCCTTTTATCATTCCCTGGGATATACTCATGGCCCCAGAGACTGAGCTCCTGGACAACAGAGCAGAGTCTTACTCAGCTTGGCATGCACAGGGTCAGTGCATAGTAGGTGCTCAAGAAAAGCTGAGTGGAGAAGCCCTTTCTCTGGAGTGGGAGCTCTCAGGCAGGGTGGCTGGGAATTTTTTGCAGATCGAGCACTGAAGTGGGGCCAAGGGCAGAAACTACCTGGAGCTGGACACCGCACGGGTCCTCAGAGCATGCCACAATCGGAGATGATGAGTAAAGCCAACATTTAACTGGCACTTACAAGGGTGCTGGGTGCTGTGCTAATTGTGTGTACTCTTCATAATAAGTGTCTCGTGGATACTATTAGCCCCCTTTTCAGATGGAGAAATGGAAGGTCAGAGGGATTAATTAAGCTGACCATGGTGACACAGGTATTAAGTGATGTGGCTGGAACTCAGATCCGCTCCGACTCTAGAAGGCAGGCAGAGAACACGCCCTGTACTGTCTACCTGTGCCTCTGGGATCCACACTACCCTCCATTGAGCAGTACCCCCTCTTGTTTGGGTTTGAGTTCATGGCCAAAAAGACCGGAGGCTGAGCTGAGTTAGAGAGGGCCGCTCCTGCCCCCTCCCCTGCCAGGATTCAAACTACCAGTGGACACCATCAAAGGTAAAATACCCTGGTCAATTAAAAAGTCAATTCTCCACTAAGGAGATAAGCCTCACCGTTAGTCAGATGGAAGTCCTTACCTGGGGCACCCACCACCTGCAAATGCTAATCAGAGAAAAGCCCATCTCAGAAGTGACTGAAACCCCCACTCAGCCCCTCAGGCTCAGGACCCCCCACCCTCCCCTTGCTCCAGCCACCCAGGCCCCCAGGTCCCTTCTGGAAACCTTGAACCTGCCTCCCCTGTTTCACCAAACCCCCATGCATGGTAGCCCTGCCCCTCAGCAACCTGGAGGAAGAGAAGCCATCTTCCCTCATCCAGCGCTAGAGTAAAGTGGGTACTCTGGGCCTGGATTACTGGAGGTACCAGGCTTGGGGCAAGCAGTGAGGTACTCAGGACCATGCATATGCTGAGAAGAAAGTAAGGGGCTGAGCGCAGTGGCTCACATCGGTAATCCCAGCACTTCGGGAGGCCAAGGTGGGAGGATCACTTTAGGCCGGGAGTTCAAGGCTGCTGTAAGCTATAATCACACATGCCAGCCTGGGTGACAGAGCAAGATCCTGTCTCTAAAGAATAAAAATAAGTAAAGAAAGAACTTAAGTGTCACTTTTTAAATAAGGGGAGGGTATGATCATGAGCAGTTTGCTTCATCTTCTGAGCCTCTGTGCGTTCATCTGTAAAATCGGTGGGACTCCTGGTGGACATGTCTCTGAGGCTGCTGTGGGAAATTCAAGCAGCTCACTTAGACGAAAGCATTGTAAGGAGCCCAGGATTGGGCAGAGGTAGGAGAATGTGGCAGTTATTGATAATGAGGTCAGGTGCAGTGGCTCATGCCTGTAATCCCAGTACTTTGGAAGGGCGAGGCAGGATCATCACTTAAGCCCAAGAGTTCCAGACCAGCCTGAACAACATAGCAAGACCCCATCTCTACAAAATAAAAAATTAGCCGGGTGTGGTGGCAGGCACCTATGGTCACAGCTACTCAGGGGGCTGAGGCAGGGGGAATCCCTCAAGCCTAGGATGTTGAGGCTGTAATGAGCCATGATTGCACCACTGCACTTCGGCTGGAGTGACGAACAGAACAAGACCCTGTCTCTAAAAAAATAAAAAACAAGTAAGTAAATAAATTTTCTTAAAAATTACAAAGGATATAGTGACAATGGTACACACTCTTACAGAGCCCTCGCATGGAGCAAGCACTGTTCTAAATGCTTTGTGTGTATTAACTCCTTTCACCCTCAGAAAAACCCTCTGAAGAGGGAATTATTATTACCCATTTCACAGAGAAAACAAGGTACAGGGAGCTTCGGTCAATTGCCTGGGGACACATAGAGGGTGTGTGCTGAGCCAGGCTTGTAAAGCCAAGCACTGTGGCTCCAGGCTGTGCGCTTACTGTGGGGCTTGCTGCCTTTCTAAAGCTGTAGCTTGAGAAAGTCCACTTCTCCGGACAAGGTGGCCAGAGGCAGCTGCCCCTAGATGGACACCTACTGTGTGCCAAGCACTTTCCTCACCTTTTCATTCAACACAGCAGCCTCAGGGGCCAGGCCTTCTCATCACCAGGAGACTGAGGGCCAGAAAGCCTAAGGCCTCCTTGCTGAAGCGATTTGAGTCAAGTCTTGATTCCCTTTTCCTATTACTTCCACTCCACCCCAGCCTTGTCTTCCTAAGCCCAAAGCCCTCACCACCCTCATGCATTTCTGGGCAACGGTGACCAGACATCCTTTGGGTGGGTGGTGAGGTGACCCCAGGGTGAGTCTGCACAAGGTCACACCCTGCCTGCACTGCACTTCCTGACACAGTGCCTCCCTCTCTTCCCGCCCAGGCAGCCATCTGCTTAGCTCCCCACCTCCCCACCCCACTCCCACCTCCACACTCCTGCCCAGAGCACCCCCAGGGCCCTGCTGAGGGGAGGCTTGTGTGACCACAGCCTGGCACTGGAGAGCTTCAGACATGGGTGAGGACCCTTCCCCTGCAGCAGCCTGAGTGGGGTCTCAGCACTCCTGGATGCCCACCGACATGCCCCGCACCCCAGCTGTACCCCGGGCCACCTTCAGGCCATGACATCTCCCTCCCCATGGGGCCAGGAGAGGAGAGGAGGGGCCCAGCCCTTCTCCCCCTTCCTTCTGGCTCCCCCACCTCACCCTCAGTGCAACTGGCCACCACCGGGCTCTGCAGAGGGTGCGTGGGGTAAGGCTGCCCCCAACAGGCAGCCTGAGGAGGAGGCTGCTGTGCTCGGAAAACATGAAATCCTTTTGCCAGAATGAGAGGGAGGAGGACCAAGGCTGGAAATATCAGAATCTCTTTGCTGGGAATCTCTGGGATCCTGAGCCCCACCCCCAAATGCTGAGGCTGGGAGAAATCCATTATTTAAAAGGCTGTCAGGAGCAGATTCAGAGCATGGGGTCAGGAAGGAGGGTGGAGGGGCTCATGGTCCAGCATTTGGATTTGTCAGGGGGTAGCAGAGATAACTCCTGAGTCAGAGCCCTCCCCTAGTGCAGGGTCAGAGGGCATGTGCCAGCCTCCACCACCTGCACCCCCTTCACTGTCCCTCCTGCTGACTCTGGGCCTTAAGAAATCCCCTCCCACCTCCATCCTCCACTTTCCCACAACCCCCCATTACCTAGAAGTACTTCCTGGGATCCAACCAGAATCCCTCCTGCCGCAACTGAAGATCAGGTCCCAATGCTCCAGTCCTGGTCAGTCCAGAGTAGAGGGATATGACTGAGTGGACACAGTGTCATGCCCTTAGGGCAGCCTGGAGGGGAGAAACTGGAAAGGAGCCAGTGGGGCGGGAGGAGCTTCAGGCCAAGGGCAGCAACGTGAAGAGCATGAGCATCTCCTTAACACAAATGTCTCTGCTTCCTTCAGCCCAAAGCCCCTTTTCCAGAAAGACCTTATGCCTACTGCTCTTTTTCTTAATTAGAAAGTGTCTGTAGCAAGGAGTGTGTGCCCACACCAACCAGGAAAACTGCTAACCAGCATTTAAAAGCTAGTTTGAGTGGGGACTGGAGTCCGCTCACTCCTTGCAAGCCAAGCCAGCCCAGGGGCTTGGCGAGGCAGTTTCTTCTCGGCTTTGCCCTGGGTTTGAATCCCAGCTCTACCACTTCCTCCCTGAGCCATCTCAGGGTCTCAGGGTTTCCTCATCTATAAAGGAAGGGAAATAATTCTTGCCTCATTTGGTGTTTGTAAAGATTGAAAGGGGACATCACTTCTGAAGGCTTTAACACAAAGCCAGGTACATACATATTCAAAAGCAAGTCCTTCTAGGGATGGACTTGACTGAGTTCCAAACTCATCTCAGCCAACTCATGCAGTGATTCTTGGATCGTGTATAAAGCTCCCGACACACAGTAGGTCTGTGCAGAGTAAGAATGATCAGTAACCAGATACCACCAATGAATTGTTAGCCAGCTGAGGGATTTCGTGCTGGGCCCTCCAATATTCAGGTTCCCCCATCCAACAGTCAAACTCTTCATAACTTAGAGCTCTGGATTCCAGGTCAAAGCTCCTGATCCTTCATTAGAAGAAGCAGCGAGAAGATGTCCCCACAGATTGATGATGGGGGTCACTGGTGCACACAGTGTAGTGTAAACAAGTCAGCTCTCTGCATCTCAGACGCCTCACCAGAGTGTTGGGCTCACTGCAGACTCCAGCTCTGGGACCCCTTGCATCAACCACGCTAAATCTGTCTGCTTGAGTCCAGGAACCACTAAACAGACGGGAAGCATGGACTTCTTCCTGGCTCTGTGGGGGACTCCAAGAGTTGGCCTGCCCTTGACTTGGAGCCCCCATATCTACAGGAGTCAGGCTATGCATGGGGGCCTGGACTCCTTTTTAGGAAGAACCACGGGGCTCAGTTCAACAGGGTCATTCACATTTAGGACAGAGAAGACAAGGGGCTGGCTAGGGTCAAAGAGTGAGTCACTAGGGACAAACTTGAAACCAGATTTCAAGCCTGCTGAGTCCTAGGCTGGGGTACTGTCCCTGCATGCAGCTTTGTCCTGAGGCCAGGAATGGTTTCACCAAGCCAGGGAACCCTTGACAGAACAGTACTTAGTGCTGAAGCATACAAGTAGACCTGAGTTCAAATCCCCAATCTCCCACTTCCAGGCTAAGGCGCCTCAGACAAACTGATTTATTCTCTGAGCCTGTTTGTTTTATCTGTAAAAGAGGGTATGATAGCTTACCTCCCAGGGTGGCTAGGAGGATTCAGAGAGCTATTGGAGATGAGTTATGTAAAACGATGTAGCAAGTTCCCGGCACGTGACAAGCATGCACTATGGAGAAACAGTCATCATGGCCACCCCTCTGTGAGCTATCTTCTTATACACACACACACACACACACAAACACACACACATGCACACACACACCCACTCACACACACAACACATACTGAAAATATTACTAAAAGGGAAGAAAATTAAAATCTCAAGACAACAATCTGGGACTTTGTTCCATCCCTGCATACTTCTGGTCTCTATGGCACTGGATGAGGGGAGAAGGGAAGGGGGAAGAGAAGAAGAACAGAACCCTTAAGGGCACAGGAATTCACCCAGAAGTGAACAAGAAAAGGGACTGGGTTTCCCACTGCAGTCCTGCTTCACCTCTTCCAACTGGCCCCTGCTGGTCACCTAGCAACAAGCATCTCTCCCGAATCCTTCATAAATCACCAAGAGTACCAGCTGCTCTCGCCTAGAGATCCACACCTCACACATCCCCCGGGGTCGTCTCCCAGGGCCAGAACCATGGACAGCACTGGTGAGAGCCTCAATCACAAGGTACTCAGGTGTTCAGATGACTGGGCATTCTGTGTGGAGAGGAGGGCCAGCGGGCTTGGGCTGGGCAGGACCAGGGCAAAGGAGTGGGGCCACAACTCTGCCCTGAGAAGCAAAAAGGGATAAAGGCCACTCTGAACCATCCAGACAGGGTTCAGAGTTGTCTGAGATCACTTTTCAGAAGGCACAGCTGTAAGAACCCAGAGTTCTTTAATCCCAGGGACTAATGGCTTGGGGAAAGCCAGGGTCAAGCAGAGAAAAGAATTGGAGAGGAATCAGTGGCTGATCCTGAACTGTGTGCTGAACATTTCATACATGTCATTTCAATCTTAAAACCCTGTAAGGTTTTCAGGACTGTGAGCCCCATTTTACCAACACAGCAGTTGAAACCCATGGAAGAGACGTCCTTTGCCCATGGTCAGAGAGAAATTGCAGCAGCCAGCCCTGGGATTGGACTTCAGATCTGACCCCAGCACACTGTAATTTCAGGGTTGGTGCCAGAAGTCCATAAGACAGAGCCTGCTCAAAGACAGGACTTAGCAGAGAGCCTGGCACCCAGAGGGCCATTGCCACATGAAAAACACCTCATGGACCAGCGCACACAGCAGTCGGCTCAGCTCCTTTCCATCCTCCTCCCAAGACTTCAGGATCTTGCCTCTGCTTCTCAGTAGCCCTGGGCTCTGGGCTGCCTGGTGAGTCATTGGGCCCCTCCAAGGGTGCCCCCAGGACCCAGGGTCTCTGACAGGCCATGAGACACACTCGGTCTACCCCATGAGGCCTCCATGCTGCTCTGGAAGCCCTGAGCTCCCTCTGAGTGCCATGGGCTCTTTATGACTGATCCAGTGCTCTTCCAAGTGGTGGGGCTCTGCACACAGCTGGCAGCGCAGCTGACAGCTCCACAGAAAGGCAGCGATGGGAACGGAAGTATTCCTTAAATTCCTGCCCCTTACCGAGGTGGCTAGCACAGCAGGATGGGTGCAGGACATGGGGTGGCCTACCAGCATGGAGGCTTCCTGCCCAAGACAGCTGGGACCTGGGTTGCAGGGTCTGCCCAAGCTCCCCCAATTTGCAGCCCTCATAGCTCTTCCTGCTTCATCTGTCCACTGCTTCACAGTCCCTGTGGTCTGGCTTGCAGCCCCCTAAACATGCCTGCCTCTTTCCCACCTTCATGTCATCCCTTGTCTTAGCTCTTATCCCCTTCCCCATCAACCTGGAATGCCTGCTCCACCTTTCTTCCTCTAATTCAGCAGCGCTCAGTGCTGGCTGCACAGCAGAATTACCAGCAGAGATTCCAATTTGATAGGTCTGGGTGGCCCCAGGCATCAGGTTTTTTGGAAGCCCCCAGGTGGATTCTACCAAACAAACTTGAGAACCTCTGGTGGAAGAGCTGCTTCTTATGATACCTCAGCTCAGAGGTCACCTCTTCTAGGAAGCTTTCACTAGCCATCATCTCATCACTTAGAAAACCAGCCTCAGCTATATGCCCTTCTTCTGGGCTCCCAGGGCCCCTAGTACCTCCAAACATCAAAGTCCTTATCACACCTTGTTACAAGTGTGTCTTGCAAAGACTGTGAGCAACTCCAGAGCCAGGACTGTGTTTGTTCATTTCTGTATCCCTAGCACCCAGCACAGGACCTGCTACGAAATAGCAAATTGATGAATGAATGAATGAAGGAACCAAGGTGCTAGTGTTCCGCCCACTGATGTCTCTTCTCCTTCCTCAAATAAGTCTCCAAGATTGCTAAGATGTCCAAAGTCCCTCATCACAGTCCGGCTTCCCAGCCTTTGCCTATGCAGGATCAGAGGCCTGGGGTGCCCCCAACATCAACCTGGGACCTCTCAGATTGCTCTAATTGCTCCAGCAAGCCCCCAAGATTAACCACACAGACCCCAACAATTCTCCTTGATTCAGAATCCCCTGGTCACTTTCCCTCCACACTTTCCCCTACACCTGGTCTTGGAGGATCAGACAGGACTGACCTCACAGGTTAGACTTAGGAGCAAACCTGGGTAAGAGCCTTGAGTTCCTGCACCAATTTCCTGTGTGATCACAGGCCAGTCACTTAACCTCTCTGTGCCTCAGAGTTTCCATGCACAAAACAGGGGAAATAATAGTACCCTCCTCACAGAGTTGTTGTAAGGGTCAAATGAGTTGATAGATCTAAAGCCCTAAAGTAGTGCCGGGTACAGAGTAAGAGCTATTACCGAAGTGTCTACTCCCTGCTCTTATCTACCAACTGGGAGAAGGTCAACCACTGGGCTTGAGCCTTTCCAGCCTGACACATTATTTTACTCCATCCTCTGGCCCAAGTCCCCACCCATGGGCAAGGCCCCCAGAAAGGGACAGTGACAGGCTCTGGGTCTGAGTCTGGTGATGTTTCTGTGAACACGGCCGTATGCCCAGGCCACCACCCAGCCATGACCAGGGCTGAAGGATAGTCCCAAAGGACAGATCTCAGAAGTCAGACCCTCCCCACCAGGACTGGGAGAGGAGCCTTTTTCAGCCCCTCAGTTGTTTTTCCCGCTCACTTTCAGCCCCTCTTTCCACTCAATGAAGCCCAGTTTGATTCCCTCCACTCTCTCCCCCCTCCCCTTAAACAGACAGGAGCATCAAAGCACAAAAAACACTGAAATTGCCAAATGCAGTTTCTCTCCAGAGACGACAAATTTGCTGCAATTTGTATTTCCAAACAGGAGCTGCAGCTCCTGAGCTGCTCCCAGGCAGGCTCCCCACCCCTCACCGACCATCTCCTCCTGAGCATGGCACTCCTCCTCCCCTCCTCTTCCCTCTACCGCTGCAGAAGAGGGGGCACTCACCCCATCTTCGCCTAGGGTCTGGGGTGCTACAGTGGGGAGGAATTAAAGCAAGGGTGGGAGAGAGAAAACAGAAACAGCCACATCTGTCTGCCAACATCAGGCAGAGCACCCATAAGGAGTCCTTGAACCAGCTTCCAAGCCTAGCTCTGCCTGTAATTAACAATAAAAAGAACAGAGCCCGCCTCACTTTGCAAGCTATGCCCATCTCATCATTTAGAACACCTCACTCCTTGCACCACCCTAAGATTTAGGTGGTCTTCCCCCCATTTTACCTGAGGGGGGATGTGGGACTGGATCAAAGTCATGCAGTTACTAGGATATGAGGTTGACCTCTAGCCTCCCTGACCCCCAAGCTCAGATTCTCCCCAATCCCACCCCATGACCTTGGGCACCTCTTCAGATCTCAGTTTTCTCATGTGCATGTGCAAATTGAAGAGATTGGACCAGTGTTCACTAATTTTTTTTTAATCTATGCCCCTTAAACAGGGTATGATGTTAATTTTATCTGTCAACTTGACTGAGCCACAGGGTCCCCATATACTTGATCAAATGTTATTCTGGGTGCTTTTGTGAGGGCATTTTTGGATGAGATTAACATTTAAACCAGTGGAATGGGTAAAGCGACTGCCCTCCCCTGTGTGAGTGGGCCTCATGCAATCTGTTGAAGGCCTGAATTGAACAGAAAGGCTGACCCTCACTGAAGTAAGGAGAGAGAATCCCTCCTGTCTGACTGCCTTTGAATCGGGACATGGGCTATTTTCTGCCTTCGGAATTCAGGGAAATATTGGCTCTTCCTGGGTCTCAAGCCTGCAGGTCTTTAGACAGGAACTACACCATTGGCTCTCCTGGTTCTCAGACCTTCAGACTTGTACTAGAATTCCACCTTTTGGCTCTCCCAGATCCTCAGTTTTCAAATTCACTCTGAAGATCATGGGACTTGCCTCCATAATTGTGTAGGCCAATTCCTTATAATAAATGTATACAAACACACACACACACGCACATCTGATTGGCTGTACTCCTCTGGAGAACCCTGACCAATACACAGGGACAACATCCAAATCTCATACCCCTTCTATGATCTGTATTATGAAAAACATACAGGGTTTTTGTTTATTTGTCTTCCAAAGGGAAGATTCCTTTCCAATCATTGTTAACATTGAATGTGCTTCGCCATGTGCTGAATCCTCCTTGCCGCAGGAGAGTCAGATGTGCCCCAGTGTCGGGGCAGGGTCTCCAGCGCTCAGCCCACCCCACCACACCTGTTGAGAAGCTCTGGGCTCAGTCTCCTGGGGGCTGTTGTTGCTCACATTCTGTGAAAGGCAGCAGAGCCTAGGAGCACTCCCTCCACAGCAAGAGCCTGGGCAAGGCACTTCTCTCCAAACCTCAATCTCAACCATGGGAATAATAATAGTTCCTGGTGGTGTTGTGAGGATTCAATGTGCAAATACCTGTAACACACTGAGGATGCTGCAGGAAGTGCTCAAGAAATGTTCGTTGTCATTATATTCTATGGAGTTTTAATCCCTTGAGGAGTCATCATTTGCCTGCCCCCTCCCAACCACACCCCCCACCCCCACTCATCCCAGGAAACTCCTGGAGCTACTGCCGTCCCCTTCGCTGGGTCCTGGGAAATCACTTTGTGGACATGTCTGATTACTGCAGCCTCTGAATGATAGGGATCATCCAGGATTATTGCAAATCCTATGATTTGTGTAAACCCAAATAAGTCACAGCCTCTGCAGACTTCCATTTCTTTGTATTTGAGGAAGTAGCCATCTGGGGAAAATGTTAAGTTAGATCTTTACCTCACTCCATACACCAAAATAAATTCCAGATGGATCTCAAATTTAAACATAAACAATGAAACCATAAATGTACTAGAAAAGAGAGATAAATCTTAAAGTGAACAAAACACCTTTTTAAGTAGGACACAAACTACAAAACCCAGAAACCATAAGAGAAAAGATGGGTAAATTTAGCCACATAAAAATGTTTTAACTTACCTGAAAAACAGTAGACATAAAGTGAAAAGACAAATGATGAGTTCAAGGAAAATACATTTAATTTGTATTTCAGAAAAAGGGCTAATTTCTTTAAGGTGAATGGAAAGTTAATGAGAAAACATCAAAGACCCAGTTTTAAAAAGGGATAAAGAACACAATCAGACAATTCACAGAAAGGGAAATGAAAATGGCTCTTGGACATATAAGATCTTCAATCTCATTAAGAAGGAAAACACACATGCAAAAGCTACAGCAGGATACCTGTGGCTTTTCATCACTTAGAATAATTCTGTTTGGTAATATTCCATTGTGGAAATGTTAGAGGCGTGTGAACCAGAGCAACTCCATCATGAATAGGAGATGGGTAAAATGAGGCTGAGACCTGAGACCTACTGGGCTGCATTCCCAGATGGTTAAGGCATTCTAAACACAGGATGAGATAGGAGGTTGGTACAAGATACAGGTCATAAAGACCTTGCTGATAAAACAGGCTGCAGGAAAGAAACCCACTAAAACCCACCAAAACCAAGATGGCATCAAGAGTGACCTCTAGTAGACCTCTGCAACACTCCTACTAGTACCATGACAGCTTACAAATGTCATGGCCATGTCAGGAAGTCAGCCTACATGGTCTAAAAAGGGGAGGCATGAATAATCACCCCTTGTTTGGCATATCATCAAGAAATAACCATAAAAATGGGCAATTAGTCCATTTTGGAGTAGCCATTCTTTTATTCCTTTAGAATGGGCATTCTTTTATTCTTATGGAGTAGCCATTCTTCTAATCCTTTACTTTCCTAATAAATTTGCTTTCACTTTACTCTGTGGACTTGCCCTGAATTCTTTCTTGTGAGAGATCCAAGAACCCTCTCTTGGGGTCTGGATCGGGACCCCTTTCTGATAACAGAAACAGGAAGTCTCATGTTTTGTTGGTAGGGATGAAAATTGATAAAATGTATATGGAAGGCAATTTAGCAAAATTTGACCTCAGCCCTTCCACTTCTAGGAAATTACCCAACAGGTATCTTTCCACCCATGCAATATGTACCAGGCTATCATTGCCGTACAACAAATCCCACACCAGTGGGCATAATTAACCAAATGTGGGACACTGGGCCAAGTTACTTACCTTCTCTGGAGCTCAGTTTCCTCATCTACAAAATGGAAATAACAACAGAACCTACTTCAGAGGTTGTTTTGTCACATATGTATGTAAACTCTTAGAATAGTGGCCTGGTGTGTAGTAAATGTTTGAAAAGTGTTACTGTTCATATCATTACTATGATTAATCTTACTTTCTGGGACCCAGCCAGAGACTGACCCTGACCATGTGAGCAAGGAGTTTGGGAACAGCCAAATCACTCATCATCCTCCTTTAAGGAGGAAACCTCCCGCAGCAAGACGAGATTGCAACTGTAACTGAGTAAGTAGAAACTTGTCATTGCATTGTGCCTGATGTCTACAGATATTTGGTCAGCAATGGAAACAGAAAGAATGGCTTTCCCAGAAGCAAATCTTGACGGCGCCTATCCTAGCTCTCTTACCCTGGAAGAGAGCATTTTGGCTAAGGAGATTGGACCATTCCTCCTTTCAAATCTCCTCAAGTGATGAGTGAAAGCCCTGCTTAATTAAGATCTTGCTTAATTGCTACTAATAATCACAGTAACAGCTAATCTTTTATCATGTGTTTTCTAACTGCCATCCAGCATTAAGCACTTGATATACCACAGTGCATTTTACCCAACAACAGCCCTATCAGGCAGGTATCATTTTTCTTCCCATTTCACAGAAGAGAAAATCGAGGCTCCAACTTACAGAAATTTGCACAACAGTTAAGAGTCAAAGCCCATATTTAGACCCGTACCTTTGTTGTGCCACCTGGCAAGGTGGGCATTCCATCCACCTGGCATTTCTCTGTGTAAACCACAGAGTAGCCTTCTGGCTTGTGTGCATCTGCTTCTTGTAGGTCTCTGTCAATGTGAATTGGCCTCAAAGGCACGACCTCTTGAGTGTAAGGACAAAATTTGGTTTCTGAGCCTAGCAAGTCATGGGCCAGGTCATGGGACCCAGCCAGCCCATGTGAGGCATGCATTTCTGTCCTTACCATATTTTGAGAGAGAGAAACAGAGGCTGTATGTGGCCCACCCAGCAACAGCAGAACCAAAGTTGCCTGTGTCCTTCCTACTGCATCTCCCCAGGCACCTCAATGTCTAGGAAACCTCAGCCAAGGCTGTGATGGCAGGGAGGGATTTAGGCAAAGCTGGACCCCAGGTGAAGTAGGTCTTCCTGCATGCTCCTACAATGACAAGCGGTTCCCAAGCAGAATCAGAATTCCCTTCAAGCCATTGAGCCCCATCTCCTCCCACACAAGGGCAGACACATGTGGACTGCCAGCTGTCCTGACTAATTATCTCCCAAACAAAGGAGAGGTCTGCACGGGTGGGTGGGTGGGTAGTCAGTGCCTGGCTTCCTGGAATCCTTGTAGTCCCTTTAACACAAGATAAATTGTTGCCTCTGATTCAATTTCTTCCTCCCTCTCCCCCACCCTGCTCAGTTTCCTAAAACAATAAGAAAACACATTTCTCATCCCTGCATTTAATCCTTCAGACAGGGAACAGGAGCTACACATCTGGTTCCCAGCATAAAATGAGGAGGGAGGGAGCCAGCCAGCCAGGGGCAGTGGGTGGGCCAGTGGACTCCAGGGAGGAACTCGGAAGGGAAGGCAGCTTGAGAAAAAATTCTTGGAAGAATAGGTCGCAGCTCTCTTTACTATGTCCTTAGTGAGTTAATTATTTGTTCATTCAACTAGTATCCATTGAGGCAGGCCTGCTCTACATCAGGGAGACAGAAATGAGAAAGATACAGTCCAAGGTTCCCCATGCAGTAGGGGAGCCATACCTACGAACCACTAGCTGGATTACAGCATCACACAAACTCTCAAGGGAGTGTTCTGGGTTCCAAGGGAAGAAGGATGTGGGAAGGCTTCACTCTGGCTATGAAAGGTTTTGCAGTAGATTAGGCATTTGTGCTAACCCTCAGAAATTTGTCAGGCAGATAACCTGGGGAGGAAAAATGTCATTTTAATAATGGCATTCTAACACTGCAATGGTTCATTTTAATAATGTCATTCTAACACTGCAATGGTCCTTATGGTGAACATGTATACAGAGCTTTACCATTTGCTAAGTGCTGTTGCACACTTCATCTTATTTACACTCACATCACCCTCATAAAGCGGGGGTTGTTCTGTCATACCCATTCTGCAGATGAGGAAACAGAAGCCCAGGAGGTGAAAATGGCTTGCCTAGGTCTCCCCAGCCAGGCAATGGCAGAGCTGGAATTCAAACACAGGTTTGTCTGGCTCTAACATCTGTGTTCCTTCTATGCCTCTAGAGATGCCAGTTTGTTTCCCAGGAGAAGGGTGCTGCAGGAGAGGCAGCGAGGGTAGAGTGGGCGCAAGGTGGGGTGAAGGAGAGAAGATGGACAGATGGTGCTGGCTCCCTGAAGCCAGCCAGCCGCCACCCCCGGAGACCCCATCCAACATACACACATTGCCAGCGTGATGTTCTCACCTAGCCAGCAGCCATGGTGGGTAGTGCATGTGGGTAGTTTTCTGAAAAAAAGGATGTCTGGTCTGTTGGCTTGGATTGGTTCTATAATTATGGAATTACAGATACGTATACAGACAGTCCTTCATTTACAATTTTTCTACTTTACGATCATGTGAAAGCAATACCCATTCAGTAGAAACCACACTTGGAATTTTGAATTTTGATCTTTTCCCAGGCTAGCGATATGCCGTACAATGTTCTCCAGCACTGCTGGGAACCATTCTGTTTTTCACTTTCAGTATAGTATTCAATAAATTACATGACATATTTGACACTTTATTATAAAATAAGCTTTGTGTTAGATGATTTTGCTTAACTATAGGCTACAGTAAGTGCTCTGAACATGTTTAAGGCAGGCTAGGCTTAGCTATGATGTTAGGTAGGTTAGGTGTATTAAATGCATTTTCCACTTAGGACACCTTCCATTTATGATGGGTTTATCAAAGCACAGCCCCATCAAAGTTGAGGAGCCATCTGTCTGCGTGTGTGTGCGTGTGTGTGCACGCGCATGTGCATGTGTGTGTGTGTAATCCACTGCTATGTTGAAAATGGATTGAAGGAACAAGAATATGACTTTTTGCAGCACTTACAAAGTGTCACAGGCCATGCTATGTTATCCATCTCATCAGTTGCTCTTGACAACCCTGTCCAGGGATATACTAACATACTACAATCTCCACCATACAGACAAGGAAACTGAGTGTCAGAAAGGAAAAGCTACTTGCCCCAAGTCTCTGACCTGCCCCTGAGCCAATGCTCTTTCCTCTGCACCATAAATGTCAGAAAAAAAGCAACCAAAGATCCTCAGGACCCCAGGAGTCTGAGGGCCACTGTGTAGCATCCTCCTTTGTCCCCAGGGGCCTCCAGAGAGTCCCCTCCCCTTCATTTTAAGACGATCAGTGTCAACAATGGTAATTATTAGTGCTAACATTTATTTATCAGAGCATGTCCCTAGGAATGCTGACCACAAAGTTAAACCAAACCCCAAGAGAGAACCAGATTTCCAAAGGATGCCATCTCTACATCTAGGGAAGTGTGACTCTAAGAAAGAGAAAGAATATAAACAGAATTGTAGTATGCCCTGAGAGCTGAAGTTTTTTGGAGCCTGGAAACAGAAGGATATTCAAATATCCCAAGAAGCCAACAAATGCAAAATCCATTCGTGTGCTGTGGTGGTCTAGGAGGGGGCTGCCAATCTCTGTGAGTTGACTAAAGAACTGAGAATATTGGGGCGTGGATTGTGCATGAACACCACCTTTTTTTTTTTATGGAGTCCCTGACAAAGAGCATCTAAAAAAGGAGCTTAGTGGCTTCCATAAATGCCACTGATAAGAATCCAGCCGACATTGTGGTCAATAATTCTGATTACTATGCAACTTCAATTGTCTGAGAAGGTGACCCCCAAAACTACTTGGGAAGGTATAATTATCTCCTTAGTGGTAAGGCTCTTTCATCCTTAAATATAGAAATATTTTAGATTCTCAAACCCACAGGATGAATATTTTTAGATGTGAAAGAGTCTGAGAGTATTTGGTACCTTAAGTGTGTATAATGTTTGAGAATTTGGCCTACTTGAATATTGGTCAGCCTTTAATTCCAATCTAAAATATAATTTTACAATTGAGTTAGATTTGTGATTTTTAGTTAAAAAATCATATTAACTTTATACATGCTTAAGTTTCTCTTAGATTTGTAAGAATTACTTGGAAAAAAAGTAGTCAGTTGGGTTAGTATAGTGTTTAAAAATGAAATATATTAAATTTATAAAATGATATTTTAAATATGTGAAGGTATTTTATTAAGTTTGTAAATGGAACAGACGCCATCCAAACGCCCCTTTAAAATTACTGCTAAAATTTAGTTAATCTTTTTTTTTTTTTTTTCAACAGGGTCTCACTTTGTCACCCAGGCTGGAGCACAGTAGTACGATCATGGCTCACTGCAGCCTCGCCCTCCAGGGCTCAAGCGATCCTCCCACATCAGCCTTCCAAGTAGCTGGGACCACACGTGCACACTACCATGTCTGGCTAATTTTTGCATTTTTTGTACAGATGAGGTTTCGCTATGTTGCCAAGGCCGATCTCAAACTCCTGGGCTCAAGCAATCCACCTGCCTCAGCCTCCCAAAGTGCTGGGAGTACAACCATGAGCCATTGCACCCAGCCCAAATTTGGTAAATCGAACTGGGTAAGGAAAAACTAGATTTTTATACAATGTATAACTTTAATAAATTAGACATTCCTTCCAAAAGCCAAAGCAACTTCTAAAATTTTTTTCTGTGCTTAAAAACTGTCTTTGAGGACTGAAAATACCTCACCCCGACACAGAGCACTTCCTACATGCTCAGAGCCAATGCTTTAAATGAATGATCTCATTTAATCCTTACATCAATGCTATAAAGTCGGTACTGCTATTATCTCCATCTTCTGGGGCTGAACACTGGAGCCAACGTTCTGAACTGAGACAGTAGGAATTTTAGAGTTATCTGTCTTAATCCCTGGTACACCATATAAGTACCCCTCGATGGGGCTGGCTTAGAACATTATTGAAACAGCCTGGTGGCTGGCCTCTTCTTCCTGTGTTCATTAGTGTTTGGGCCACAGCTCCTGTCCTCATCTCTGGACTTATCTCCACAGCTTTGCTACTCACTGTGTGGTCCAAGAACTCAAAACATGGGTGTCACCTGGGAGTTTATTAGAAATGCAGGGTCTGCCAGGCACAATGGCTCACATCTGTAATGCCAGCACTTTGGGAGGCCAAGATGGGCAGATCACTTGAGGTCAGGAGTCCAAGACCAGCTTGGCCAACATGGTGAAACCCCATCTCTATTAAAAACACAAACATTATCCGGGTGTGGTAGTGCATGCCTGTAATCCCAGCTAGTCAGGAGGCTGAGGCAAGAGAATCAATTGAACCTGGGAGGCAGAGGTTGCTGAGATCACACCATTGCACTCCAGCATGAGTGACAGAGCAAGACTCCTTCTCAAAACAAAAAACAAACAAAAAAAGAAATGCAGAGGCCAGGCGCAGTGGCTCATGCCTGTAATCCCAGTGCTTTGGGAGGCCAAGGTGGGTGGATCACCCAAGGTCAGGAGTTCGAGACTAGCTTGGTCAACAAGGTGAAACCCCGTTTCTACTAAAAATACAAAAATTAGCCAGGTCTGGTGGCTCACGCCTGTAGTCTCAGCTACTCAGGAGAATTGCTTGAACCTGGCAGGCAGAGGTTGCAGTGAGCCAAGATCGCACTACTGCACTCCAGCCTGGGCGATAGAGCGAGACTTCATCTCAAAAAAAAAAAAAAAAAAAAAAGAAATGCAGAGATGCAGAGTCTTGGCCCTACCCCAGCCTTTCTGAATGAGAATCTGCATTCACAGGAGGCCCAGGTGATGTGGCTGCCACCAGAGTGTGAGAAGCCCTGCTCTGCAGTGCTACTTTGGATCAATCTCACCTGACCAGGCAAAACAAGTTGCTGAACTGCTGCTCCAATGTCCCTCCTCCCAGAAGACCCCTGGCCTCCTGGGAGCAAATACAGTGTCAATAAGAGGGGTGGCAGACGCCCCGTCCGGGAGGGAGGTGGGGGGTCAGCCCCCGCCCAGCCGCTGCCCCATCCGGGAGGTGGGGGGCACCGCTGCCCGGCCGCCCCTTCTGGGAAGTGAGGAGCCCCTCTGCCCGGCCACCACCCCGTCTGGGAGGTGTACCCAACAGCTCATTGAGAACGGGCCATGATGACAATGGCGGTTTTGTGGAATAGAAAAGGGGGAAAGGTGGGGAAAAGATTGAGAAATCGGATGGTTGCTGTGTCTGTGTAGAAAGAAGTAGACATGGGAGACTTTTCATTTTGTTCTGTACTAAGAAAAATTCTTCTGCCTTGGGATCCTGTTGATCTATGACCTTACCCCCAACCCTGTGCTCTCTGAAACATGTGCTGTGTCCACTCAGGGTTAAATGGATTAAGGGTGGTGCAAGATGTGCTTTGTTAAACAGATGCTTGAAGGCAGCATGCTAGTTAAGAGTCATCACCACTCCCTAATCTCAAGTACCCAGGGACACAAACACTGCGGAAGGCCGCAGAGTCCTCTGCCTAGGAAAACCAGAGACCTTTGTTCACTTGTTTATCTGCTGACCTTCCCTCCACTATTGTCCTATGACCCTGCCAAATCCCCCTCTGCGAGAAACACCCAAGAATGATCAAGAAAAAAAAAAAAGAGGGGTGGCAGAGAACCACCTGGCCCAGCCCTTAGTATGAGGCTCCTCTACAATGAAGTTTTTCCAAAATCAGCTACTGGGAAAGGTAAATTTTGTTGAACTGCCCAAGGACACACTAATCTTTAATTATCCTGTTAATGTCTGTCTCCCCCCAGGTAGCCATTACACAGGCAGTTACCACGATGCCCTGGCTTTAAACAGCTTGCAGATTTCCTGACAGTATTAATGGAAGTTTTGCAAATTGATTTGGGGAGATTAGATGGAGGGAGGCTGCCATGACTTAACATGAAGCCCATTCTAATTGGCTCAGATCCTCCTGTCTTTGATCCCTGGCCAGGGCAAAAGGAAAGAACAGGAGTCAGGGGACCCAGGTTCCAGGCCTGGCTCTCCTGAAGGAAACTTGTGACCTTGGGCCTGCCACTTCTCACCGTGCCTCTTCCTTAAAATGACTGGGTTGGACTAATGTAGACTCATTAAGTGGTCTCTCCTTTCATGATTTCTCTGATTTCTATGAATTAGAGGCTGGCAGAATGGCTCACCTTAGAGGAACAAGCTTCCTTCCTTCCTTCTTTCCTTCATCCATTTATTCACTCACCTCTTCACTCCATACATATGATTGAGGATCTATATGAGGCTCTGCAGGAGGCACCAGGAACAGAGATGAATTAGCTGCTTCTGGCTGGCAATAAAGACATGCTCAGGAAAATCAAAGGCAAGCAGTGCCCACCATGGACTGGGCTAGGTTGGCATTCTGGGTTCAGGGTATACTGTCCCTGCCTCCACCATCGCCTCTGCTCCAAAAAGACCCAGAGGAGGGGAGAACCGGAAGAGAAGTGTGATGGGAGAATTGGCCTTGGTGCCAGAGGCCTGGATGCTGGAACCAGCTCTGGCTTGAATCGCTGTGTGATCTGGAGCCACCTTCTGTTTCTAACCATCAGTTTCCTTCCCTGAAAATGGGGAAGTGGGGATGATAATTCTTATTCTGCCTCACTGCAGGGTAGTCAAAAAGAGCGTAATTAGTGAGCCCCAGGGCCTTTTGTATATGGATTGGGGGAGAAGGGCTACCATCTTTTCCATTGCCAGGGAGCTGCCCTGTCTGTCTCCAAGGAATCCAGCCACGAGACAGAGTACCCACAGGCCAGGCCCTGGGCTGAAATTTCCACCACACCCAGCCCCCATCTCATAAGTGACAGTGACCTCAAACTTTTAAAATATTCCCAGGGAGACAGGCAGGACAAGAACAATGGGGAATGGTCCTAGAGCCGAGGAAAGCAGAGTGACAGCCAGGAGAAAGGCCCGGGGTCTGTCCTGCTCCCCACAGAGGGCCCTTGGTGGGGGGCCCGGACCCTCGAGCACATCCCCAACACTAAACCATCCCATTGCTGAGAGCCAGGGGCCCATCTGGACTCTAGTAACCCAGGGAGGTGAAGTAGCTCACTTGGGGAAGTGCCCCTGGTCCCACACCCAGTGGGGGCAGAGTTAGGATTCTCAGAGTTAGGGGCCCTCTGGCTCCCCCCATGCACAAGGTGTGCTCCTCTAAGCTGGGCCCTTCTATGTTTCTGTCCTTATCTTTCTAGCAGCCAGCATCTACGTCTCAGCTCCTCCCTCCCGCTATCCGCCAGAGGCTGGAGTGCCTTCACTCCAGCAAGCTGGCAAAACCACATGCCTCCTCCTAAATTCTGCCAACACCACGGTCCCCAACTCCAGAGCTTCTGCTGGCTCTGGGCTCATCATACTCACCTCTCCACCATCACTGCCAACAGCAGCAAGAAGGGTTTATGGGGCTGGGTTTTATTCGAAAAATATGTTTTCAATTAAAGTTGAGAAGTATGAGAGAATGCTGCCTTAGGCAGGCAGCCCCTCTCTGAGGCTTCCTTAAACAGACGGTTTGTAGCATTTTTAATTAATGAGAGGTGGTACAGATGGGGGCCCTTAATAGCCTGCAGCAAAATGTGGAGGCTGGGGAGGGGAGGGAGGTGACACTAAGCAGGCTCTGGGCCAGGGAGGGAGCCCAGCCCTTCAGCCCTGTCTCCTCCACACTGGCCTCCCTGGCGGCCTTGAGAAGAAGACCGCGCACCCTGGATTCTCTCTCCCCTGCACCCGCATGCGAGAAACGAGGGAGGTGGAAACATGCTGCTGTGCACAAATCAAACGGTCCTGAAGGGTGTTTGCAGACCTTGCTTTAAGAATCTCACACCCCTCTATCCCCAGATCTCTACCTTGAGCAAGCCTTAGTATCCTCGTGGGCAAGACAGGATTGGGGAATCCTAAACCTCCAGGCTTGAAAGGATTACAAAGTCCATGTAATTCAACCCAGGCACTTGCATAGCTACCAAAACTCTCCTGCCAAGAGGTGGCCTGGTCTCCGAGGCCAGGGTCCTCATTACTTCCCAGAGTCATTCCAAAGCCAGTGTTACCTGCGGTCAACTCTTGTTAGAAAACAAGGGGAACTCTGCCTCCCTGAGTTAATTATTATATTTGTGAAGATTAAGAGAAGACAATGTATATGGAGTTGCTTTGAACACTGACTGAAGCTATTTTTAATTATTGAAGCAGAGGATCTGGAGCCAAGAGAGGAGAATGTAGGAGTCCGCTAAGACAGGGGCTCCACACAGCATCCCAACCTTGGCTGTGGAAGCCCACTGCAACCAGCCTCCCCGACCCTATCCCACCCTAGAGTCTGTCCACACCTCCTGGAGTATTTGCTCATCCCTCAAAAAGAAAGCATGGCCAGAGATGGAGTACGTAGGTCAGCCTTAACCATTTACTCAATCAGTAAAATTCCCCAGACGTGCCAGGGAGAAATCCACTGGGAACAGAGAGCATATTCCAATCTGATTTGGGGGGAGATGAACAATGAACAAATCCAGGATTTTATTTAATAGTGATGACTGTTCCAAATAAAATAAAGCAGAAGATACAGAACATGGCAGGAGATGGAGCTGTTTTTTTAAAAAAGAAAGGGTAACTAAGTTGAGTTGGGGGAGTAAGCCCTGTGAGAGTCTGGGGAAAGAGTGTTCTTGGCTAAGAGAAAAGTTGGCTGGGCACGGTGGCTCATGCCTGTAATCCCAGCATTTTGGGAGGCCGAGGTAGGAGGATCACCTGAGGTCAGGAGTTCAAGACCAGCCTGGCCAACATGGTGAAACCCCCCCTCTCTACTACAAATACAAAAATTAGCTGGGCATGGTGGCACGCACCTGTAATCCCAGCTACTCAGGAGGCTGAGGTAGGAGAATTGCTTGAATCCCAGAGGCAGAGGTTGCAGTGTGCTGAGATCATACCACTAAGCTCCAGCCTGGGCGACAAGAGCAAAACTCCGTCTCTGAAAGAAAAAAAAAAAAGTCAGGGAAAGTTCCCAAGACAGAAACAAGCTTGACAGGAGGAACAGCAGGAGGGCCAGTGTGGCTGGAGAGAGTTGGGAGGGTAAGAGATGATGAGGCTGGAGAGGCAGGTGTGGGGCCTCTTAGGCCATTGTGATGGGTGGGAATGGGGATACGGGAGAGCCTTCCTGGCAGAAGCCTTCCTCCCATTCCTGCCACAGAAACACCCGCCTCCCAGGCCCATGCTCTGCTGCTGCTTAAGGTTTGGTGAGGACATGGAGGTGACAAATATTTGTCATCCACTGAGGCATCCCAGAAATGGGATGGTGAGGAAGGGCTCACTAGATGGCTGTGGCGAGGGAGAAAGAAGTGGTTCATTACTCATGGGAGACAAGAGAATATGGATTTCTGTGGAGAAGGGAAAAGATTGTAAAATTTAGACAAAGCAGACAGAGAGAAGGGAAGATGCCAAGTAACAATAATAATAGCAGCTAACACTATGCACCAGGCACTGCTCTTAAAACTTTATTTGAAGTCCCTTCATCTTCCCAACCCTGTGTGGTGGATACTGTTATAATCTCCATTTTATAGATGAGGAAGCTGAGGTACAGAGAAGTTAAGTGACTTACCCAAAGAGTCAACCAGTTAAGTGGCAGAGCTGGGATTTGAACCAGGTAGGCTGGCTTCAGAGTCTGTGTTCCTAATTATTAGGATGCACAGGACAGGAGCCTGGACAAAGATGGCTTGAAGAGAAGCAGATAGAGCAAGGGGTAGGTGAGAAGGCTCAGGGGACAAATGTTGCCTTTCATACTATTTTCTTTCCTTTTTTTCTTTTTCTTTCTTTCTTTTTTTTTTTTTTTTTTTTTTTTGAGACAGAATCTCACTGTGTTGCCTATGCTGGATGGAGTGCCAATGGTGCCACCTCAGCTCACCGCAACTTCTGCCTCCCAGGTTCAAGCGATTCTCCTGCCTAAGCCTCTCAAGTAGCTGGGATTACAGGGGCACGCCACCTCATCTGGCTCATTTTTATATTTTTAGTAGAGATGGGTTTCACCATGTTGGCCAGGTTGGTCTCAAACTCCTGACCTCAGGTGATCCACCTGCCTCAGCCTCCCAAAGTGCTGGGATACAGGGGTGAGCCACTGCGCCCAGCCTATTTTCTCCCCATAAAATTCAATGGTGATGCTATCCATTTGGTGCTTGGGAAGTTGACACAGTGCCTTTCTATCTGATCCTTTCAACGACTCTGTAGAGTAGGTATTATCATCATCAATTTATAGATGAGGACATTGAGATTCAAGAAGTTAAGTAACCTTACTAGGGATGGCAAAGACAAGATTCAAATACAAGGTTTGTCTGTCTCTCCTTCCCATGCTCTTTTATTCATTCAAAAGGCACTTATAGGTACCTGTTTAGTGGCAGGCAGTGAGCTAAAAGTATTTGAACATGGGAAAGACACTGCCCTTGGAAGGATCCCTTGGTGGTGCCCCTCTCACTTGCACCCTACACACAGACCCATAAGGAACAGTCATCTTACTCTTGGCTGAAGCACATGAGCAGGGGTGAGGTGGGTAGGGGCAAGGGAGCATTCATGAGATCCTACTGTGTGCTTGGCATTTTTCTTGCATTCCATCACTGACCCCTTCCATTAGCTCAGCAGGGTAGATGAGGCTGAGGCTGCTTTACCTGTCTGGCGTCCTTCTTCCTACCTTCTCAGCATGAGAACCCTGGTTTTTTTGCCAATGAGCCTAACTAAAGACTACATTTTAAAGCCTCTGTTGCAATTAGGTGTAGCCATAGGGCTAAGTTCTGGATAATGAAATGTCAGAGGAAGTCATTGTGTGAGACTTCTAGAAAAGCTTCTTAAAAGGAAGTGAAGGCCGGGTGTGGTGGCTTACGCCTGTAATCCCAGCACTTTGGGAGGCCTAGGTGGGCAGGATCACCTGAGGTCAGGAGTTCCAGACCAGCCTGACCAACAAGGTGAAACCCTGTCTCTTCTAAAAATACAAAAATTACCCGGGCGTGGTGGAGTGCACTTGTAATCTCAGGTACTCAGGAGGCTGAGGCGAATTGCTTTGAACCCAGGAGGTGGAGGTTTCAGTGAGCCAAGATCACGCCACTGCACTCCAGCCTGGGTGACAGAGCAAGATTCTGTCCCCCTGCAAAAAAAAAAAAAAAAAAAGGAAGTGAGACTGCTGAGGTGGGCCCTTTCTATTCTGTTATAATGGCTGAAGGTCCAACAGACATTGCAGATCATTAAGGCAACTCTGAGGATGAAAATTATGTGCCCGGAAGAGTGGAACAAAACAATTAGAAGCCTGGGCCTCAAATAATAGTGAGAAACCACTATACATAAATCCTGATTTCCCTGTCTCTGAACATGAGAGAAAAATAACCTTTTTTTTTTTTCGAGAAGAGTCTTGTTCTGGTCACCCCAGGCTGGAGTGCAGTGGCATGATCTCAGCTCACTGCAACCTCTGCCTCCCAGGTTCAAGCAATTCTTGTGCCTCAGCCTCCTGAGGAGCAGGGATTACAGGCACACATCACCATGCCTGGGTAATTTTTTATTACCCAGAGACAGGGTTTCACCAAGTTGGCCAGGCTGGTCTCGAACTCCTGACCTCAAGGGATCTGCCCACCTTGGCCTCCCAAAGTGCTGGGATTACACGCATGAGTCACCATGCCGGCCCCGAGAAAAATGAACTTCTGTGTTGCTTAAGTTAATATCATTCCTGATCTCAACTTCAGGCAGCCCAATGCATGTCTTGACTTATACAGTAGCTTTACCATCATTCCCATTTGGAAACAGGCTGACAGGTTGCCCAAAATCCAACAGTTAAGAAGTGTGATTCAAACTTGAATCTTTCTGGTTCCAAAAGCTATACTCCTCCAATCCTTCTGGTAACAGCCCTTGGGAAAATTCACTCTCTTTAACTCATGAGAAGGCACAAACACTACAGTAGAGTTTAGAACAGCTGAAAACCTTTACATCCCCTGCTCTTGTCTCAGAGATGCACATCAGAGCAGACTGTCTTACACCTTACCTATGCACTCTAGTAGGTAAGTTAACCATATACCAGACAGAAGGGAGATTTTTAATTTCCCAGTTAACATCTCCTCTGCCTCCAAATTCCAAGTTGCCAGACTCTTTCAGGGATCCCATAGAAAATGCTATAAACTCACTCTCATGCAAACTTGACAACATGCTCTTTTCTCAGGAATACTTATATTTATGAATTCCTTAGAATTTTCTAGACACTGGATCATGTTGTCTGAAAATAATTTCCCATTCTTGCCTAATGGCACTAGCTAAAACCTCTAGTACTATGTTGAAGAAGTAAGAGTGGGCAGCCTTCCTTTGTTCCTGATCTTAGGTAGAATGCATTCAGGCTTTCACCCTGAACTATGATGTTTTCTGTAGGTTTTTTGTAGATGCCTTTTATCAGGTTAAGGAAGTTTCCTTTATTCTAAGTTTGAGTTTTTATCATAGATTTTGTAAAGAATTTTTGTGTGTATATTGAGATAATTGTGTAGTTTTATCCTTTATTCTACTAATTTGGTATATTATATTAATTGATTTTTGGATATTAAACCAACCTTGCATCCCTGGGATAAATCCCACTTGGTCATATTATATAATCTTTTTTATATGATGCTGGATTTAGTTTGCTCATATTTCATTAAAGAATTTTGTTCACATATTGTTCTGTAGTGTTCTTTTCTTTGATATCAGGAATACTTGCTGTGTCAGAAGCCCACAAGACCACTTCTGGGTTCAGTGGATCAGAACTCAGCATGTAGTTATACTTATGGCCATAGTTTATTACAGAGAAATGATACAAAGCAAAATCAGCAAATTATCCCATCTGGCACATGGGATGAGTCCAGAGGAAAGTTAAGTGCAAATTTCCAAGGTCCTCTCTCGTGGAGTCAGGCAAGATGTTCTTAATTTTTCCAGCAACAAATTGACAATGTGTAAAATGTTGCCAACCAGGAAAGCACATTAGAAACCCAGAGTCCAGGATCTTTTTTAGAAGCTGATTATATAGGAACTACATGCCTACATACCCAAATGTACCCAAAATTCCAGACTTCCAAAAGGAAAGCAGGTATTCAGTATAAATAATACTGACAGTCTGAACATAGGGTAGTGAGAACACTCCCAAATCCAAATTCCCAGATATCAACCAAGGACCAACCTTGAAAGCAGGCCTTTCAAAGGATAAAACCTGGGCCTGCTATAACTCTTTTCTACATACTTGCTTTTAAAACAAAAACCCAGACCAAAAGAAATACTAATGTTGGAATTTTAGCCACAGGAGGTAGGAAGTTTGAATGTCGGGACATTCTTGGTACCTTCAAACTATAGTCCCTTAGCTTACCCCCATATGGGTGTAAGGTTAAGCCTGCATCTCTAGAAAGTTTAATGTGATAATAATAAAGCAACAGAAAAGGGATCTCACTTCATGTCACGCAGTGCTTAGGCAGAAATATTTTTCCTGAACTGTAGGAAAAATGGCTTTATAGGCCTTGTGGCCTTTTGGCAACATTAGGCCCCCCAAACTGCACATCTCATCAGTCACAGTTCTGGGGCAGAGATTGAAAGAATGCCAAAGGGGGAAACAGGAAAGCACACACGTATTTGGCAAACCCCTGTGGCACACTCACCAATCTGCCTCCAGGCAGCAGGATCCTGGTCCCACAGCCAAAGTAGTGTTGACACTTCTCCACTGCTAGAGGCAAAAGTTTGCAGAGTTATTGTCATTAGTTGATTTTGCTCTATTTATGTAACAAACTGCATGCCCAATGCATACTGATGCATAACTATTGATCATAATAAAAATAATGGTAGCTAAGCAGTCGTTAAGTACAAAGTATGGCTCAAGCACTATGTATAGCAATCAACACATACTGACTTATCCTCACAACAATCCTGTAAGATAGGTAAAATATTATAATCCATTTATAGATGAGAAAACTGAGGTTAGGTGACTAGCCCCATGTCAAACAGCTGATAGATGGTAGAGGTGGAATATGGTTCCACACACTATGGTTCCAGAGCTAACATTCTTCTTTTTAGTTGTTTTGTTTTGTTTTTGTTTTTGTTTTAGAGACAGGGTATTGCTCTGTCACCCAGGCTGGAGTGCAGTGGCACAATCAAAGCTCACTATGACCTTGAACTCCTGGGCTTAAGCGCTCCTCCCACCTCAGCCTCCCGAGTAGCTGGGACTATAGGTGCATGCTACCATGCCTGGCTAATTTTTTATTTTTTCTAGAGATGAGGTCTTGCCATGTTGCCCAGGCTGGTCTTGAACTCCTGGGCTCAAGCAGTCTTCCTGCCTCAGCTTCCCAAAGTGCTGGGATTACAGGCATGAGACACCAAGCCCAGCCTCAACATTTTTAATTGCCAACACAACCCTGTTTCACAAAGACAACTGCATGACAGAGGGGTTTCCAACATTGTCCTCCCCATAGGATAGTCCACCACGTTCTCCAACCTAGATTGGGGCATAGGGTAGAAAAGAGTACTTTTAAGACTAAGGTTTAGTGAAGACAAAGAACCAAGTAACCCAAACAATATACTAGTAGGTAGACTCCTGAACAGTTAAAGTTTTCTTCAGTGGTACCATCTTCCTGAGCACATCTGGAAACACAAGGTACGTCTGGCTGTCACAAAGAATGGAGGGTGGTACTGGCCTTTAGTGCCTGGATGCCAGGGGTGTGAAACATCCAACTATCTCTAGAAAGTTCTACAATTGATAGAACAGTCAAGCACAATGAATGGTGTGCCCCCACTAATACTGCATGACCAACTGGCCCTTGTATACAGCTCTAGGACTACAGAAGAAAGAAGCAATAGGAAAAATCATTTTAAGCTCACTGCTCTCAAAGCCTTTCCTTATGCATTTTGAGCTTTTGTGAAGCTCCTGCCAGGCAAGCATATGGCCCAAACCTGTTTCTCAACCTCTGCATCTAAATTTATCTCCAAGTTAAGGGCAGAAGCCAGATACAGGCCCACAGGATATTTGTCCAACAAGGCACTTGGCTTCATCCTGGCCCAGGCAGCAAACAGACACAGGGCTATGTCGGTGATTCTTGGACTAAGCAATTGAGAAATATTGAGAAAGTCTCAGAAGGAAGGAGACTGTAGTCATTGTTCATTGTGACCATCATTAGCTCAGTTCTTTAATGCCAAGAACTCTGCCAAGCATGGAGAAGATGGCAAGTCAGGCCCATGGGAAAACCATTCTTACCATCTGTGGGCTCTAGGGAAATACCTGCACCCCGGCACTTCCCTTCTCTCTCTGTCCTCAAACATAATATCCCTCAGTAAAGGCCCAACTCGGGTCCCCAAGTGTTCTCTTTAAAGAAGGGCTAATATTTATGAAGTAGCTAAAGAGCAGGGTAGTCAGGAATCCACAATTAATTCAATACTATAAGGCTATCTTTATAAAATGTTTAGCAGCATATGTTTTTGTTTTTGTTTTCACAAAAGCCAACCAAAAACACTGATCTTCCAGGTTCCCATCTCTGTCCCTTTCCTATTAGCCTAAACATCAGGCCAGAAAAAGTATGATTGAAGATTAAATCTAATTCTGGGGCACTTGATTCCCTCATTAAAGACTTCAATCTAGAATAGAATAAGGAAAGCAAGACTATTTACAGAGTCACTGGGGATGTCCTTAATGATTATATCCTTGTTCCCCTAGATCTCTTTGACAATTATATAGGCAGCTGTAAAGGAAGAGTGAATGGATTGTTACAAGGCCTTAATACCTAGAGATATTAAACTGAATTACGTTCAAGAGCCAAAACCCTGGGATGGCAGTGGTATTGTGGGAGGCTGGGAGGGTAGTAATGTATGACTATGAGACAGGATCAAAACATAAAGCAATAGTGATGGCACCAATAAAGTGATCGCAAAGAAATAGTTATTGTTACAGAAAGGACTGTAAAAAAAGATAGGTTAGAAACAAGCAGTCAGGAGAATGGCAGACAGGGGGATATCGATTCTTGGCTCATGATATTTTAACTGTAGCTGGGAGATTTATGAAACAATCTTAGGATAAAGTATTTTTTATTTTTAAGGGAACTGTCATGAATTTTTTATGTACTTAAAAGTTGGATATTCTCCAACAGACAGAAAAATTAGTTAAGTAATTTGCATTGATATGGTTTGGCTGTGCCCCCATCCAATCTCAACTTGAATTGTATTTCCCAGAATTCTCATGTTTTGTGGGAGGGACCCAGTGGGAGATAACTGAATCATGGGGGTCAGTCTTTTCCCTACTATTCTCATGATAGTGAGAATACTGATCTGATGGGCTACAAGATCTGATGGGTTTATCAAGGTTTCTGCTCTCCTTCTTCCTCGTTTTTCTCTTGCCATTGCCATGTAAGAAGTGCCTTTCACCTCCCGCCATGATTCTGAGGCCTCTCCAACTATGTGGAACTGTAAGTCCAATTAAGCCTCTTTTTATTCCCAGTCTTGGGTATGTCTTTATTAGCAGTGTGAAAATGGACTAATATAGTAAATTGGTACCAGTAGGGTAGGGCATTGCTGAAAAGATACCCAAAAATGTGGAAGCAACTTTGGAACTGTGTAATAGGCAGAGGTTGGAACAGTTTGGAGGGCTCAGAAGAAGACAGGAAAATGTGGGAAAGTTTGGAACTTCCTAGAGATTTGTTGAATGGCTTTGACCAAAATGCTGATAATAATATGAGCAATAAGGTCCAGGCTCAGGTGGTCTCAGATGGAGAGGAGGAACTTGTTGGGAATTGGATCAAAGGTGACTCTTTTTCTGTTTTAGCAAAGAGACTGGCAGCATTTTGTCCCTGCCCTAGAGATCTGTGGAACTTTGAACTTGAGATAGATGATTTAGGCTATCTGGTGGAAGAAATTTCTAAGTAGCAAAGCATTCAAGAGGTGACCTGGGTACTGTTAACAGCATTCAGCTTTAAATAGGAAACAGAGCATAAAAGTTCAGAAAATTTGCAGCCTGGCTATGTGATAGAAAAGAAAAAACCATTTTCTGGGGAGAAATTCAAGCCGGCTGCAGAAATTTGCCTAAGTAGCAAGGAGTCTAATGTTAATCCCCAAGACCATGGGGAAAATGTCCCCAGGCCATGTCAGAGACTTTCACAGCAGCCCCTGCTATCACAGGCCCAGAGGACCAGGAGGAAAATGTGGTTTCATGGGCCAGGCCCAGGGTCCCCATGTTGTGTGCAGTCTAGGGACTTGGTGCCTTGTGTCCCAGCTGCTCCAGACTTGGCTGAAAGGGGCCAACATAGAGCTCAGGTTGTGGCTTTAGAGGGTGGAAGCCCCAAGCCTTGGGAGCTTCCAAGTGGTAATGAGCCTGCAGGTACACAGAAGTCAAGAACTGAGGTTTGGGAACCTCCACCTAGATTTCAGAAGATGTATGGAAACGCCTGGATGCCCAAGCAGAAGTTTGCTGCAGGGGGCAGGGCCATCATGGAGAACCTCTGCTAGGATGGTGTGGAAGGGAAATGTGGGGTTGGAGCCCCCACACAGAATCCCTACTGGGGCACTGCCTAGTGGAGCTGTGAGAAGAGGGCCACCATCCTCTAGACCCCAGAATGGTAGAGCCACCAACAGCTTGCATCTGCACCCGGAAGAGCCGCAGACACTCAATGCCAGCCCAAGAAAGCAGCCAGGAGGGAGGCTGTACCCTGCAAAGCCACAGGGGTGGAACTGCCCAAGACCATGGGAACCCACCTCTTGCATCAGCATAACCTGGATGTGAGACCTGGAGTCAAAGGAGATCATTTTGGAGCTTTAAAATTTGACTGCCCCACTGGATTTTGGACTGGCTTGGGCCCTGTAACCCCTTTGTTTTGGCAAATTTCTCCCATTTGGAATGGCTATATTTACCCAATACCTGTATCCCCATTGTATCTAGGAAGTAACTAGCTTGTTTTTGATTTTACAGGCTCATAGGCGGAAGGGACTTGCCTTGTCTCAGATGAGACTCTGGACTGTGGACTTTTGAGTTAATGCTGAAATGAGTTAAGATTTTGGGGGACTGTTGGGAAGGCATGATTGGTTTTAAAATGTGAGGACATGAGATTTGGGAGGGGCCGTGGCAGAATGATATGGTTTGGCTGTGCTCTCACCCAAGTCTCAACTTGAATTGCATTTCCCAGAATTCCCATGTTTTGTGGGAGGGACCCAGTGAGAGGTAATTGAATCATGGGGGCTGGTCTTTCCCACGCTATTCTTGTGATAGCGAGTAAGTCTCACAAGATCTGATGGGTTTATGAAGAGTTTCTGCTTTTCCTTCTTCCTCATTTTTCTCTTGCCACCGCCATGTAAGTGTCTTTTGCCTCCCACCATAATTCTGGGGCATCCCCAAACATGCAGAACTGTAAGTCCAATTAAACCCCTTTTTCTTCCCAGTCTCAGGTATGTCTTTATCAGCAGTGTGAAAATGAACTAACACATGCATTAAAAATAGATAGATCTGGCAGTTCTAGCACATAGCAGTCTAGCTAATGTGGACCACCCTCCACCTCACCCCTAATTTACAAACATAAAAATGCTAGAGGAAATGTATGGCTTGCAATGAGATACCATTTCATACCCAATAGGATGGCTGTTATCAAAAAATAACAAATATTGGTGAAGATATAAATTAGTGCCCTTGTGTACTGCTGGTGAGTATAAAAATGTAAAGAAATTCCTCAAGAAATTAAAAATAGAATTACCATGTGATCCAGCAAATCCACTTATTTGTATATATTCAAAAGAACTGAAAGTAGGGACAAACATATTTGCACACCCATGTTCATAGCAGCATTATTCATAATAGCCAAAAGGTAGAAATAACCCAAGTGCCCATCAATGGATGAATAAATAAATAAAATGTGGTAGGTACATATATTGGAATATTATTCAGCCTTAGAAAGAAATTCTAACACACACTACAATATTAATGAACATAGACAACATTACGCTAAGTGAAATAAACCAGTCGCCAAAAGACTGTATGATCCCGTTCATATGAGGTACATAGAGTAGTCAAATTCATAGAGACGGAAAGCAGAATGTGATTAACAGGGGCCAGGGGGAGGGGGAAATGAGGAGTTATTGTTTAATGGGTACAGAGTTTTAGCTCTGCACGGAAAAGAAGTACTAGAGACGGATGGTAGAGATGGTTGCACAACAATGCACACATACTTAATCCCACTGAGCTATTACACTTAAAAGTGGTTAAAATGGTAAATTTCATGTTATATATATTTTACCATTAAAATAAATAAATAAGGAGCATACAAAACAGAAACAAAAACTATATGGCTGAGCTTAAAAAAGAGAAAGGGAAATTATCTTCCAAAGGAAGTCAAAGCAGAGTGACGAACTCTGAAGGTGAACTATAGAAGCCAGAGAAAATAAGAAACTAGATGTAAGATCTAGTCTAGATGTCAGGCTTTTAACACTCACACAGAAACAGGACCACACTTGCAGGAAGGAGTTGAAGCTAAGGCCCCTAAATGAAACAAGAGCCTTAAAAAGGCACATTTACGGAGGCCAATGCAGAGGCTGGATGCACTCCACCCACCTGCCAAGTGAAGTAATGGGAAAACTTGCTCTGCTCAGGATGCCTATGAGAAACTGAAGCTCTAGGCCTACACCATGCTCAGGTGTGGATTGTGAAATTATACCACCTGAGGGTTTCAAAAAAAAGGTAAAAATGGTCCCATGTTTATAACTTGCCAATGAGAGTGCAAACTGGTATAAACCCTATGGAAGGGAATTTGGAAATATGTGCCATAATAACAAAGCCTGTACAATAGCAGAAAACAATGAGATAATATTTTCAAAGTGCTGAGAGAAAACAATGGGTAACTTAGTAAATTATCATTCAATAGTAAGGAGCAATAAAGACCTTTTGAGGGCAGCAAAACTAAGAGAGTATTACTACCAGATGTACACTAGAAGGAGAAAGAATATATAGCAGTAAGAAAGAAAGTGAATCCAGAAGGAAGAAGACAGTTGCAAGAAAGAGTGGTGAACAAAGAAATGAATAAACATATGGAAAGTCTAAACAGAAACTGACTTTATAAAATAATAGTGATTCTCAGCCTGACCAACATGGTGAAACCCTGTCCCTACTAAAAATACAAAAATTAGCCAGGCGTGGTGGTGCACGCCTGTAATCCCAGCTACTTGGGAGGCTGAGACAGGAGAATCGCTTGGACCTGGGAGGCAGAGGTTGTGGTGAGCTGAGATTGCACCACTGCCCTCCAGCCTGGGCGACAGAGTGAGACTCCATCTCAAAATAATAATAATAATAATAGTGATTATTACTATAACTAATTTAAGAGATTTAAAAACAAGAAGGAACTAAAATATTGAATGAGAACACATGTAAACACAGGAGGAATTACTGTATTTAAAATGTTTTAAGGACTTTGTATTGTTAGGGAGGAGCAGAGTTACTATGTTAAGTATGCAAGTTAAAATTTTTAAATTAACCCTACAGTAATAAAAATAGAATATATCATTTCCAAACCATCAAAGAGAAAAAAATGGGAAGTAGACAAAATTGAATCAATCTAATTGAAGGTAGTAAAAAGAGAAAGCATTTTTTAAAAAGAAGAGTAAACAAAAAGTATCAAAATTATATAGTAGAAATAAATCTATCACTAATCATCAAAAATAACTAAACTCACCAGTTAAAAGATACTGCCCAATTACTCCTGCAATCTCAGCACTTTGGGAGGCCAAGGCAGGAGGATCGGTCCAGCTCAGGAGTTCCAGACCAGCCTGGGCAACATAGCGAAACCCCATCTCCACTAAAAATAAAATAAAATAAAAAATAAATGAGCCGGATGTGGTGGTGCTCACCTGTAGTCTCAACTACTTGGGAAGCTAAAGTAGAAGAATCCCTTGAGCCCAGGAGATCGAGGTTGCAATGAGTTATTAAATTAATAAAATCTAGCAATAATGTGTTTTTAGAGACACATTTAATACCTGAAAACAAAGAAATTTCATAAAAGGATGGGAAAACATACTAGAAAAATAATATCCTTTCCCTATCCCCTGCACCAAAATAGAGCTGGCATTGCTAGATGAATATAAAACAAAATAAGACTTTAAGGGAAAAAGTATCATTTTATAAAGCATTTCTATAAAAATATAAATTATCAAAACAGCCTCGAAAGGAAATAGAAAACATGAGACCTAAAATAATAAAGAAAATTGAATCAGTAGTCAAAAATCTATCCTTCCCATCTAAAAAACTACTAGACTCAGACCAAACTGTCAAGAAATAGATAACCCTCCATTTTACCAATCAAACTTCCACAGAAAACAAAGAGTAATAATTCCTCAACTCATTTTATGAGGCTAATATGTCACTGATGTAAAAATTAGAAGAGGAAAGTAGAACAAGTAAAATTATAGGCCAACAGTGCTTATGAACACATGTAAAAACCTAAATAAATATTAGCATTGAGTCCAGCAGTATATAAATAGTACCATATTTCATTGAATCTAAAATGTCACTCATTATAAGATGCACCCATTACTTCATAGACTAAAAGAAAATGCTATCACTTCAACCATGACATAATACTTTATCATTCATACATTTTTTATATTTACTGTAAGAGCTTTTTAAACTTACATATACAATTTTTTATCATATATCGTTCCTATGCATTAATAACATAGGCAAAATAATAAGGTAAGATACTCTTAAGACTTCATAATCAAGAGTCCAACTCTTCTAAATCACTTTTCAACTTAGAGTCTCTGACACTCATTCTCACCATCAAGAAGTGGTAATGCAACATTTCATGAAAAAGTCTCTACTACTATCTCTGGCATTTTCTTCTAAGCCATTGACACATATTCTGAAAATTTTGATGTTGAAGTTTTTTTCTTTAACTTCCTGGAACATGACATTGTAGTACAGAAACATACTGAAAGCCAGGTGGGGTGGCCCCCACCTGTAATCCCAACACTTGGGGAGGCTGAGGTGGGAGGATCACTTGAGGCCAGGTGTTCAAGACCAGCCTGGGCAACACAGTGAGGCCCTGTCTCTACATACATACATACATACATACATACATACATACATACATACATACATACATACAAGAAATATACTGGAATATGCCCTGCTTAGATTTTAAAAGTATAAGCATAGATTGCAAATCCCACTTGATGTAAACAAAACTTTTAAAACACATTTTATATATATATAACTTATTATATGAGTCCAGATTCAGAAACTTGGGGTAAGGCAGTTCCAGATAGTTTCATTTCACCTGTAAACTGTGTCACTTTGGCTGATATTGTAATTTGTAAATGTATCATATGTTTACAGATGTGGCCTGCATTAATGTTCCTATTTTGGTTTTTGTTGAATCTCCTGTCTGCTTGCCAAAACCTAGGATGCTTCAGGCCCATGTACAATCAAAAGCAGAGGCATCCTTGAGCGTTAAAGCATTGAACTAACTGGAAAATGCAATATACCATATAACTGAAGTGAAAAAAGGCTGTATTTTTGTGTTTTTTTAAATAAAAGTTTGTGTAACTTTTTTTAAAAAAAGAAATACACTGGAATACTCCAAAACTGCTAAAATGAGTGAATGGATAAGTCTCAAAACCATTAAGTGAGAAATAAAAGCACAAAAGTATATCTACAGAGCGATACAATTTATACATTTTAAAAACCCAAGAAAAGGCTCGGTACTCAATAATCCCACCACTTTGAGAGGCCAAGGCAGGGGGACTGCTTGAGGCCAGGAGTTCAAGAACGGCCTGGGCAACATAACAAGACCCCATCTCCACAAAAAAAAAACAAAAAACAAAAAACAAAAAAAAAAAAGAAAGAAAGAATGGAAAAAAAGAAAAAAAAAGAAAAATTCACCAGTTAGCTAGGTGTGGTGTCATGTGCCTATAGTCCTAGCTACTCAGGAGGCTGAGGTGAGAGGATTGCTTGAGCCCAGAAGTTTGAGGCTGCAGTGAGCTGATTGTGCCACTGCACTCCAGCCTGGGTGACACAGTGACACCCTGTCTCTAAATAAACTAAATAAATAAATACCCCAAACAAAATTTTTATGTTGTCACAGGTATGCAAAAGAATAAAGAGTGGCTGGGCGCAGTGGCTCACAACTGTAATCCCAGCACTTTGGGAGGCCGAGGTGGGTGGATCATCTGAGGTCAGGAGTTCAAGACCAGTATGGCAAACATGGTGAAACTCTGTCTCTACTAAAAATACAAAAGATCAGCCAAGCGTGATGGCAGGTGCCTGTAATCCCAGCTACTAGGGAGGCTGAAGCAGGAGAATCACTTGAACCTAGGAGGTGGAGGTTGCAATGAGCCGCGATCGTACCACTGTACTCCAGCCTGAGCAGCAAAACTGTCTCAAAAAAAAAAAGAATAAAGAGTGGGAAAAATAAAAGTGAATAGGCAATAAAGATCACCTCTAGGGAAGAAGGGTGGAAAAAGCATGATGGGGAGTGGGTGGGGGAAGTGGCATCTTAACATTTTGTATTTTGGTATTTCTTTAAAGAAAATCTGGCTGGGTACAGTGGCTTATGCCTGTAATCCCAAAACTTTGGGAGGCCGAGGCAGGCAGATCACTTGAGGTCACGAGTTTGAGACCAGCCTGGCCAACATGGCGAAACGCCATCTCTGCCAAAAATACAAAATTAGCCAGGCGGTGGCAGGCTCCTGTAATTCCAGCTACTTGGGAAGCTGAGGTAGGAGAATCGCTTGAATCCAGAAGGTGGAGGTTGCAGTGAGCCAACATGGTGCCACTGCACTCCAGCCTGGGTGACAGGAGGGAGACTCTGCCTCAAAAAAAAAAAAAAAAGAAAAAGAAAAGAAAAGAAAATCTGAAACAAATATGGCAAAATGTTACTATTTGTTAAAGCTAGGTGGAGGGTACAAATGTGTTTATTATATTACTTTCTGTCTTTTTGGTATATTTTAAATATTTCAAAATTTAAACAATGTTACACAGAAAAGATCTGGCCATATGCATGGTAAGCCCATTTTAAAAGGCCTATCCTATAGAATAAAGACAAGTTTAAAAAGGAGATCTTTCTTTATAACAGCAAAAAAAAAATTGAAAACAGAATTAGTAAAATAAATTGTGGTATAACCATACAATGCAATGCTATGTAACCATAAATAAGTGATGGTTCAGAAGTCTGAATACTAGGCCAGGTGTGCTGGCTCATGCCTGTAACCTGAGTACTTTGGGAGGCCAAGGCAGGCAGATCACCGAAAGTCAGGAGATTGAGATCTGCCTAGTCAACATAGTGAAACCCCTTCTCAACTAAAAATACAAAAATTAGTCAGGCGTGGTGGTGTGCACCTGTAATCTCAGCTACTAAGGAGGATAAGGCAGGAGAGTCACTTGAGCCTGGGAGGCAAAGGTTGCAATGAGCCGAGATCATGACTGCACTCCAGCCTGGGTGAAGAGTGAGACTCCATCTCAAAAAAAAAAAAAAAAAAAAAAAGAAGAAGAAGAAGTCTGGATACTGCCTTAGAAAGATGCTGACAGCATATTAAGTGGAAAAAACAGGCTATAAAATTATAGGGTTAAAGGAACCTTCTCCTATATGCACAAACAGGCCAAAGTTCCATTAATGCACCTGCCATATTTTAGTCTCTTATCAACTACCATCCACGGAAAGAAGTTAACCACAAGAACTCTAATAAAAATAAAAAGCATAATAGATTAATTCTAGAGTTTCAAACAAGAAAGATATTGCTATAATATCTATACTGAACAGTTGTATTATAAGCCAAAAATAATTATTTCCCACCATTGGTGTCAATAATTCTCTTTCCAGATGAGACCTGTTCTATCTCACCATCTAGACAGAGAGCTACCAGAGCTAGCACAGTGGCATAAATTGTTGATCATACATACAAAAACAGCCAGATAAAATATAATAAATGATATACAAAATAAATTGAGTCAGATATTATAAACAATGCAACCCAAAGCTACACGCCATATTTATAAGAGGAAAGAGTGGCAGCAAAAAGTCACTGAAAGAATTTTGAGAGAAAATGAAACATTCTGTCCTACTATATTTATACCCTCTGATAAATTGGAAATTTACTTGGGTGTACTAAAACCTCTATTTTGTTAATTAAAACTTGTCAAAAGGTCTAAGTATCATAAAGATCCTATGCTATAAAAACTGCAATAGCATATAACAAAGAGTGGGGAGTTAGGACTCTTGGGGAAATATTTAAATATTATTCCTTTACTGTAAAAGTATTTATTGTGTTCTTTATACCTTGATGAAATATTTTTGAGACTATTAAGACCCAAAAGACATAAACTGCATTTATTGTGTAGAAATTCAGAATGGCTCAGGCTACACAATAGTAGTCAGATGTAAAGTGTACTAAATTTCATCTTCTAGAAGGGTTGATTTTGAATTCAATCATCATTTGAGAGAAGACATCCCAGCTCGCATAATTTCATCAACCAGGAGAATGTTGGTGGCAATCACTGTGCTAAGGAAAAAGATGAGAGGGTGAGTAAAGCCTACTAACCCACTCTTAGCTTTTTTCCCCAGCAATCTTTACCTATGTAGGGTACTTTGTTCTTTAATGATGTTAGTATGATGTTTTATGAGACAAGGCTATTATAAATACAAATACAAATGTCACCTTTTTTTTTTTTCCCAAGATGGAGTTTCACTCTTGTTGCCCAGGCTGAAGTGCAATGGCAAGACCTCAGCTTACTGCAACTTCTGCCTCCCAGGTTCAAGCAATTCTCCCGCCTCAGCCTCCCGAGTAGCTGGGATAACAGGCACCCACCAACACGCCTGGCTAATTTTTGTATTTTTAGTAGAGACAGGGTTTCACCATGTTTGCCAGGCTGGTCTCGAACTCCTGACCTTAGGTGATTCACCCGCCTCGGCCTCCCAAAGTGCTGGGATTACGGGTGTGAGCCACCGCACTGGCCCAAATGTCACCCTTTGTATTATAATTTAAACTCCTTTGCTGATAAAGTGCATTCCTGATTTATATTTCAGCAAAATTGAGCTTATTTTTACAATATCATTTGATTTTCTCCATCATGCATGTGCTATTATTTCAGTAAATTTCCCCTTTTCTTTCCCCCTCAAATAGTAAGGTTAATTTTTCTTAGAACTTAACACTGCTAGATCTAAAATATAAAAGGGACTATGGACTATAAAATGACAGAAGCTAGTTCTAATAACTGAATACCACACCTTTCATACACTTGACAATTTTTCCACTGTACAGGGACAAAAATAATAGAAAAAATTTCATCTTAATATTATCAATTATAACTCTACAGGTCTTTCACTTTATGTTCATATGAACTTACCAAGAGTGAAGAAGTTGTTTTTTTACACAATAATTATCCCAAACTCCTGCATCTGCTGCTACCATTGGCTCACCTGAAAAGTAAAAACAATTTTCATACCAAAATCTTAGTATTTGCTATTAATATTAATTGATATCTTCTAAAAATATTTAATACATTACCAAAACTACTTTTGTCAAGGTCATCAATGACCTCCATATTGTTAAATCCAATGGTTGATTCTCAGACCTCATCTACCAGTATTTAACACAGTTGATCACATTCTGCCGCCTACTCTATGTTATCTTCCAGGATACCACACTCTTCTGGTTTTCTTTCTTTTGCATTAGTGGCTCCTTTTCTGATTACTTTGCTGCTTCTTCCTCTTCCTCCCTGACCTCTTAACGTTGGAGTACCCAAAAGTTCAGTCCCAGCCTCTTTTCTCTCTACCCTTAATCCCTAGGTGATCTCATCCAGACTTTTAGATTTAAACCATACACATCTGATGACTCTCAAGGTTTTTTGGGTGTTTTTGTTTTTTGTTTTCTTTCTTTTTTTTTTTTTTTTTGGTGTTTTTTGTTTTTGTTTTTGAGACAGAGATCTTGCTCTGTCACTCAGGCTGGAGTGCAGTGGTGCCATCTCGGCTCCCTGCAACCTCCACCTCCTGGGTTCAAGCAATTCTCCTGACTCAGCCTCCCAAGTAGCTGGGATTATAGGGGCCTGCCACCATCCCCGGCTAATTTTTGCATTTTTAGTAGAGATGGGGTTTCACCATGTTGGCCAGGCTGGTCTTGAACCCTTGACCTTTAGTGATTCACCTACCTTGGCCTCCCAGAGTGCTGGGATTACAGGCGTGAGCCACTGCGCCTGGCCTGACTCTCAGGTTTTAATCTCCAACCCAGACCTCTTCCTTGAACTCCAGACCCATATATCCAACTTTTTTAATTAAAAGATTACAGATGCTTCAACTTTGACTCTGCCAAAACTGAATGCTGATGTCCTCTCACCCACAACCTGCTCCAGCCAGTATTCTCCACCACAGTTGATTGCAACTCCAACCTTCTACTTGTTCAGTTGACTTCTCTACAAAGTGGAGAGTGGCCAGAGTGATTCTCTTAAACATAATTAGGCCACATGCCTGGCCAACATGGTGAAACCCTGTCTCTACTAAAAATACAAAAATTAGCCGGGCGTGGCAGCAGACACCTATATTCCCAGCTACTCCGGAGGCTGAGGCAGGAGAATTGCTTGAACCTGGGAGGCAGAGGTTGCAGTGAGCCAAGATCGTGCCACTGCACTCCACAGCATGGGTGATAGAACGAGACTGTCTCATAAATTAATTAATTAGGCCATGTCACACCTCTGCTCAAAATTGCTCCCTGCTCCTCTAAAGTAAAAGCCAAAGTCCTGAGACTGGTCCAAATGCCCCTGCATGATCTGACCTTCTGTCACCTCTCTCACCTCCTTCCTCAGAAACATCAGACACTGGCTTTTCCACTGGCTGTTCTCTTTCCCTAGAACACTTAACCCCAGTTGCCTACATGGCTAATTTCCTCACTTCCTTCCACTTTTTTTCAACAGACATCTAGATGATGCCTACCCTGACCAACCCTTTAAGCTGTCATTCTCTCTCCACCCTCCTGTACTAGCATTCATGATCATTATTATAGCACTCTTTTTTCCATATAATTCATTACTTTTTCTAAAATGCTGAAGGAGTTTATTTATTAAAGTTATTATTTACTGCCTACCTTCTCCCACTACAACATAAGCTCCCAGGGGCAGATATTTTTGTCTGTTTTGTTCTGTGTGAAGCCCAAGAGGAAAACAAGCACTCAATAACTATTTCTTAAATGAATGAACATTTTTTAAGAAGCTCAAAAATAAACTAAAGGCATCCAAAATTTAAATATTAAAGTTACCCAAACCTCTACTCCTTTACCATAAGATCTGGGTAACTAAAGAATAACCTCTTTATTAAGCAGCTAATTTTCCTTCACTTTCTTACCTGTATTCAAATCTACGCCCACAAGTTGTTTTGACTCGACATGCTCAGCCTGAACTTTTACTAATGTTTCCTGTGGGTCATAACCAGCATTCTGAGCAAGAACCTTTAGGAATAAAAATAATAATATATATTATATATATATGCATAATACCTTCACATATATCAAATATAAAAATACTCTTTACTCTTGTAAAAACACATCCATAACATGGCAATCATCTCCTTTTGAAGAATTCCACTTTTAATCTAAATCAAATTATTATTTCATCTATCTAGTAGTTTTTATATTTACTTAAACATTTCCCCTATGCACGTCACACTAAATTCTGAGGACATCAGAGTTCCCCCATTTTTACCCTACTACATTAATTTCCCTCCTTGCAAAAGGTTTGTTTTGTTTTGTTTTGTTTTTAGTATGGAAGGAAGTAGAATGATATTCTTGTTTCCTCTAGTGCCGCTAGCCACATGCCCTCCAGTTCTTCATAGGCACTTGCTAAGGAAACCAGAATATTTGCAGCACCTTTGTGCCCCTCATCTTCATGAGGAGAGTCACGACCTGTGGTAACAGGGTTGGAGATACCTGCACTCCAAACCAGGCTCACTTCCAAGTGGCCCCAAATCACCAGCTGATGAGGAAAAAGGTACCACCAATGTAATGTGTACTGGGGTTACCAATTTCTGTCAGCAGCAGGATCATACTGACTTTGCTGCTCTGGGGAAAGAAAAAATAGCAAATCTAATTCACAAAGATTTCACAAATTATGAAAAATTTTAATAAAAATTAGCAAAGAGATTTTGCTAACATTGTTAATAATGTTTTAATTCATGGTAATAGCATCTTTGAAGTAGTTTTACTATATTTCTAAGGTGGTTTGAAACCAATTAAGGCAAAGACAAAGGAATGGTCGCTTTCTGTCCTTAGGTTGCCACATGGAAAAATTCTGTTTTCTCTTTTTCTAGGAATTATAATGATGATGACAAATGTAAGGTTGTATCTAGGAGTGCTAAAGAGCCTCAAGCCCTCCCTCTCCACAATTTAAATTGATTACATTTGGATACCACTAACAAAACAAAGATGTACCACAAAATCTAACTAAATTTTAAATTCTAAACTTTTTCATTATGATTAGTTAATCATGAGTCATTTCTGAAGGAAATTTTTGGAGCTGCTTTAATTTTTGGAACTCAGAGAAAGAAGCAAGGGGGTAAGTTGGCTATTTCATGAGATCGTGCAAGGATCCTGGGCTGTTATCGCAAAAGTTTCCCTGCTTTAGTTGTAAAATATCTAAGAGAAAACTGTGTAAGGAAATGCACATAAATACCTGTCTACTCCATTAACTATCAGATAATATGGGCAATTTGTAATTAAACACCTTTATGTCTAAGCAGTTGTTATTTGGCCGAAAGGGTAGTTGTACCTTGGGAATAATGAGTAAGGCATCAGCAAAAGCTTGGACTCCAAGACGAGCTCTTCCTTTTATACTGTTCTTATATGTAACAAGAGCTTCAGCCATTGCCACTTCAATTGCACCAGCTCCAGGAACCATACAACCTATTGGAGAGAAAAAATATGATTGGCAAGACATGCCATAAAGACCAAAAGAGAGAGAGAGACAGAAAAGCAATTCACTATTTAAGTATGTTCTATTATCTACAGAAACCAAATAAATTGCACAGCTTAGTAATTACTCAGTTATCTTATGAAACATCCTGAAGTTATATGTCATTAAATAAATAGGCATAGTACAGATAACTGGCTGCAAACAGCTTATTTTGCTCCTTACCCTCTGGTAAACAAGAATAATTTATTTTTACCTTCATCTTACTCTTTTATAACTACTTTTTTTTTCTGAGATGGAGTTTTACTCCATCACCCAGGCTGTACTGTAGTGGCATGATCTTGACTCACTCCAACCTCTGCCTTCCAGGTTCAAGTGATCCTCCTACCTCAGCCTTCTAAGTAGCTGGAATTACAGGCGTGCACCACCACACCCAGCTAATTTTTGTATTTTTAATAGAGATGGGGTTTCACCACGTTGGCCAGGCTGGTCTTGAACTCCTGACTTCAAGTGATCCACCCACCTCCGTCTCCCAAAATGCTGGGATTACAGGTGTGAGCCACCACACCCGGCCTTATGACTACTTTTAAGAGGTATTTATAATTTATATTGACAGGTAACTGATTACAATATCTGACATGAAAATTCTTTAGACCAAGATCATTTGTCTAGTTTTTGATAGGGAATTCTTGGAACTCAATGAAGTATTTGTTTTTTGTACTGCAGCAGAACTCAAACTGCTATCTAAGAAAAAATTTAAGTGGTATTATTCTAAAGCAAGAGTTTTGGTTAAACACATCAAATTTCACATCAGGATATCACTTTTATATCTGCTACTTGTATGGTTTCATAAAGTTTATGACTCTTATTTAAATCAGAAAACTTGCTTTAAAACAAAACAATACGAAAACAATCTCCCCTTTTATCTCACATCATTTTAAAATTACTACCCCCTTTCACTGCTTCACTTCACAACATAACCGCTCAAAGAGTTGTTTACCCACCAGATGATTACATCATTACCTCCCATTCACATTTTTTAAAAGTTCCTTGTTAAATACAGAATATACTCAAAAGAATATTTATATGTATGATATAAAGAATAAATGCACAAATAAACAAATGTATCCATGTACCTACCACCCAGCTTAAGAAAGAGATTACTAGAACCTTTGAAAACTTCCCTGATCCCATTCTCTGTGAAAACACAACATATCAAAATTTTAGCATCCCTAAAGCAGTACTTAAAGAGAAATTTATATCACGAAACACCTATATTAGGAACGAAGAAAGTTCTCAAACTAATGACCCCAGCTTCCACCTTAAGAAACTAGAAAAGGACAGGGTCTGGTGGCTCGCTCCTATAATCCCAGCACTTTGGGAGGCCAAGGCAGGTAGATCACTTGAGCCCGGAAATTCAAGACCAGCCTGGGCAACACAGTGAGACCCCATCTCTACAAAAAACACAACAATTAGCCAGGTTTGGTGGCACACACCTGTAATCCCAGCTACTTAGGAGGCTAAGGTGGGAGGACTGCCTGAGCCTGGGAAGTCAAGGCTGCAGTGAGCCGTGACCATGCCACTGCACTCCAGCCTAGGTGACAGATCGAGACTCTGTTTCAAAAAGAAAAAAAAAAAAAAAAAACTAAAAAAGGAAGCACAAATGAAACCTAATATAAGCAAAAGAAAGGAAATAATTAGGATGAAAGTGGAAATTAGTCAAATGACAAATGTCAGAAATGAGAAAATTTATATCACTACAGATTCTACAGATATTAAAAAGAATAACAAATGAATATTATGATCGACTTTATGACAATAAAGTTGAAACTGTTGATCAGAAGTTAGTAAACTTTCTGCAAAAGGCCAGTTAATATTTTTCAGGCCATACCATTTCTTTTCCAACTATTCAACTCTGCCACTGTAACACAAAAATAGCCACAGACAATATATAGACAAATGAGTATGGCCACATTCCAACAAAACTTTATTTACCAAAACAGGCAGCAAATCAGATTTAGCTCATAGATAGTAGTTGATGATCCTAACTTAGATGAAGTGGACAAATTCTTGAAAGACTACAAACCACTAAAGCTCACTCAAAAAAAACAAAACCTTTATAGCCCTACGTCTATTAAAAAAATTGAATGTGTCATTAAAAGCTTTCCCACAAAGAAAACTCCAGGCTCAGATGGCTTTATTGACAGTCTACCAACATTTAAGAAAGAAATAATACAAATAATACCAATTCTCCACAACAACTTTACACTTTCAGAAATTTGAACAAGAAGAAAAACTTTCCAATTCACTCTATGAGTACAGCATTGTTCTAACACCAAAAAAGATAAAAGCATTACAAGAAAAAATATACACAGACCAATACCCCTTATGAATACATATGTAAAAATTCTTAACAAAATTTTAGCCAATTAAATCAAATAATACATAAAAAGGAGAATACACATAGTACCATTATTCACAATAGCCAAAAGGTAAATGCAACACGTTTCCAATAATAGACAAATAAAATGTGGTATATACATACAATAGAATATTATTCAATGGTAAAAAGGAAGGAAATTCTGGCACATGCTACAACATGAATGAGCCTTGATGACACTATGCAAAGTGAAATAAGCCAGACAAAGGACAAAAACTGTATGATTCCAATTATATGAGATACATAGAGTAAACTCATAGAGACAGAAAGTAGAATGGTGGTTACCCAGGGCTGGGGAGGTGGGTAGGGAATGGAGAGATATTGTTTAATGGGTTCAGAGTTTCAGTTTTGCAAGGAAAAAAAGTTCTGGAGATGGGTGGTGATAATGGTTAGACAACATTGTGAATGCACTTACTAACACTGAACTGTACACTTAAAAATTGTTAAACTGTAAATTTTATGTTATGTATATTTATCACAATTTAAAAAATAATTTTAAAAAAATGTAATCCATTAATTTTTTAAAAAGTAAAATGCATTATAACTAAGTATGGTTTATCCCAAGAATGTAAGGTTTGACATTTGAATCAATCAATGTAATTTACTGTACGAGAAAACTAAACGAGGGCTGGGTGCAGTGGCTCAGGCTTGTAATCCCAGACCTTTGGGAGGCCAAGGCAAGCAGATCACCTGAGGTCAGGAGTTCGAGACCAGCCAGGCCAACATGGTGAAACTCCATCTCTACTGAAACATACCAAAATTACCCTGGCATGGTGGTGCATGCCTGTAATCCCACCTACTCAGGAGGCTGATGTAGGAGATTCGCTTGAACCTGGGAAGCAGAGGTTGCAGTGAGCCAGGATTGCGCCATGGCACTCCAGCCTGGGCAACGAAGTGAGACTTCATCTCAAAAGAAAAAAAAAAAAATCATATGATCATCTCAATAGATGCACAAGAAGCATTTGGCATTTATTCTCGTGTGTGTGTGTGTGTGTGTGTGTTTTGACAAAAAACAACAACAACAAGAAGTTTTACTCTTGTCGCCCAGGCTAAAGTCCAGTGGCACGATCTCGGCTCACTACAACCTCCACCTCCCAGGTTCAAGCAATTCTCCTGCCTCAGCCTCACGAGAAGCTGAGATTGCAGGTGCCTGCCACCATGCCCAGCTAATTTTTTTATTTTTAGTAGAGACAGTTTCACCATGTTGGCCAAGCTGGTCTTGAACTCCTGACCTCAGGTGACCCATGCACGTCAGCCTCCCAAAATGCTGGAATTACAGGTGTGAGCCACCACGACCAGCCTGGCATTTATTCTTGATTAAAAACTGTCAGCAAACTAGGTGCAGAAGGGAGAACTTCCTCAACCTGATAAAAACCTATAGCTAACATCATACATAATGGAGAAAGATTGAATGCTTTCCCCCTAAGATCAGCGATGAGGAAAGGATGTCCATTCTCATTATTTCTAGTCAACATTATACTGGAGGTTCTGGCCCATGAAATAAGGGAGAAAATTTTAAAATATCCATATTGGAGAGCAAAAAGTATAACTGTATAGCAGACAATGTAATCACTTATATAGATAATTCAATGAAGCCTATAAGAAAGCTAATTGTGATTTAGCAAGGTTGCAGAATTCAAGATCAATGTACAAAAATAAAATATATTTCTATATATTAGCAACTAACAATCAGAAATGGAAATTTTAAAAATAGCATATACAATAGCAACAAAATACATAAAATATATAGAGATAAATATGGAAAAAAGTATGTGAGGCTCATATACTAAGATCTATGAAATATTGCTGAGATAAATTCAAGAAGACTCAAATAGATAAGATGATATTCATGAGTTAGAAGGCTCATTATTAAAATATCAACTATCTCCAAATTGGTCTACAGATTTAATAAAATTCCAATCAAGCAGGGTGTAATGGCTCACACCTGTAATCCACGCACTTTGGGAGGCCAAGGCGGGAGGATCGCTTGAGCCCAGGAGTTTGAGACCAGCCTGGGTAACAACATAATGAGACGTTGTCTCTACAGAAAATAAAAAAAAATTAACCAGGCATGGTAGTGCATGCTTGTGGTTCCAGCTACTTGGGAAGCTAAGGTGGGAGAGTCACTTGAGCTCAGCAGGTCAAGTCTGCAGTGAGCCATGATCACACCACTGCACTCCAGCCTGAGTGACAGAGTAAGATCCTTTCTAAAAAAAAAAGTTCTGATCAAAATCCCAGCAGCAGTCTTTTTGGTAGAAATTGACAAGCTGATTCTAAAATTCATATGGAAGTCATATGGAAATGCCAAAGACTTAGAATGACCAAAATAACTTAAAAAAAAAATGAGAGTTAACAATACTGATTTCAAGATTTATTATAAAGCTACAGTCGTCAGGACAGTATGATATTAACATTAAAATAGACAAATGCATCAGTAGGACAGAAAAAAGAGCACAGAAATAGAACCACACAAATATGAAAAACTGATTTTTTATACACGAGAAAAGGCAATTCGGTGGTGAAAGTAAAGTCTTTTCAGCAAATAAGACTAAAACAATCTGATACCTTTATATGAAAAAAATGAACTTGTATCCATACTTGCACCATATACAAAATTTAACTTAAAATGAATCACAGACCTAAATGTAAAACATAAGACTGTAACACTTTTAGAGGAAAATCTTTATGACCCTAGGTTAGGTAAAGATTTTTCAGATACCACACCAAAAGCATAATCCATGACAGAATAAAAATAATAAATTAGACTTCATCAAAATTAAGAACTTCTCTTTGAAAGGCACTGTTAATAATAAAATAAGCCACAGAGGAGAAAAATTTGCCAATTATATATCTGAAAAAGCACTTGTACCCAAATTATATACAAAGAACTCTCAAACTCAACAATAGTATACTAACACAAATTTTTTTCTTTTCTTTTCTTCTCTTTTTTTTTTTTCTGGAAACAGGGTCTCACTCTGACGCCCAGGCTGGAGTGCAGTGGTGTGATCATAGCTCACTGTAACCTCAGACTCTTGGGACTCAAGTGATATTCCTGCCTCAGCCTCCTAAGTAGCTGGAACTACAGGTACAGGCCACCACGCCTGGCTATTTGTGTGTGTGTGTGTAGAGGCATGGTCTTGCTATGTTGCCCAGGCTGGTTTCCAACTCCTGGGCTCAAGCAATCCTCCCATCTTGGCCTCCCAAAGTGCTGGAATTACAGGTGAGAGCCACTGTGCATGGCCAACAATCCAATTATTTAAAAGGGCAAAAGATTTAAACAGAAAATTCACCAGATATACAAAGGGCAAATAAACACATTAAAAGATGCTCAACATGGGCTGAATGTGGTGGCTCGTGCCTACAAATCCCAGCACTCTGGGAGGCTGAAGGGGGAAAACTGCTTGAGGCCAGGAGTTCAAGACCAGCCTGGGCAACATAGACAGAACTCATCTCTACAAAAAAAAATTAAAAATTAGCCAGGTGTGGTGGCATGCACCTATCGTCCAGCTGAGGTGGGAGGATCACTTGAGCACAGGGGTTTGAGGCTGCAGTGAGCCATGATTGTGCCACTGCACTCTAGCCTGGGTGACAGAGCAAGACCCTGTCTTGAGAAAAATATATATATGTGAGGTTTGCAGCCAGGCGCAGTGGCTCATGCCAGTAATCCTAGCACTTTGGGAGGCCAAGACAAGTGGATCCCTTGAGCCCAGGAGTTCAGGACCAACCTTGGCAACATGGTGAAACCTCATCTCTACCAAAAATACAAAAATTAGCCAGTTTCAAAACCTGGTCTCAAAAGAAATAAATAGATTAAATAGATTAATAATAAAAATAAAATTTAAAAAGACTTAAAGGCCAGGCATGGTGGCTCACACGTGTAATTTCAGCTCTTTGGGAGGCCAACAAGGGCAGATCGCTTGAGCCCAGGAGTTCGAGACCAGCCTGGCCAACATGGCGAAACCCCATCTCTACTAAAAATACAAAAAATTAGCCAAGTGTGGTGGTGTGTGCCTGTAATCCCAGCTACTTGGGAGGCTGAGGCAGAAGAATCACTTGAACCTGGGAGGCAGAGGTTGCAGTGGGCTGAGATCGCACCACTGCACTAAAGCCTGGGCAACAGAGGAAGACTCTGTCTAAAAATATACATATATACATACATAGGTGTGTGTGTATATATATATACATATATACACACATATACATGAGGTTCATATCAATCACAAGAAAGAGCTTACCATCTTCAATGGCATTTTTGATAGCACGAAGTCCATCTCTTATGGCATCCTTGACTTGTGTGAGAGTATGCTTATTTGGTCCTTTAACCAACAAGGTAACAGAGCAAGGGTTAACACACTCCTCAATAAAAGTGAACTTTTCTTCACCCTAAAGGGTGGCACAAAAATATATAACTTTAATATTTGATGTCATTATAAAATCAACAATTTATACTAGAATACAATCTTCATTTGAATTTTTCTTATCAAGCATAACTAAGGGAGTTAAGTTATATCTGAACTCTTAACAAACATTTAGGTAAATAAACTGTAAAATCTGTTCTGTGAATTAGATCTCAAAACACAAAACATGAAATAAAAGGTCAAGTAGTATTTTTCTTTAAAAAAGGGGGCTTAGTATTCACTTTATAACCACTGTTCATAGAAATACTCACTAATGTATACTCATACACAAGACCAGCATGTCCCAAGCAATCTACAGTGAGATCTTCAAAAGAATTCACGGCCATTCCACCACAAGCAAGAGAGAGTCTGAAATTACATATATGTCACCATAGCTTGATTATGGAGAACATTAATACTAATTTCTCAGAGAGAAGATATCTAATGCAGAAGACTGTATTGTTACTGTATTGTATTGTTTTGGGTTTTTAATTGTCTAATAAAATTGTCTATATTTATCGAGTACAACATGATGATGTTTTTAAATATGTATACACTGTGGAATGGCTAAATTGAGCTAATTAACATACATATTGCCTATGTGAGGCTTGATTTAGCCATTTGTGTGATAAGAACACTTAAAATCTACTCTCAGCATTTTTCAAGAATCCAACACATTGTGCATTCTCGGGTGGGTTTGCAAAAGATTTTTAAAAAGAACAATATATTGTTATTAACTACAGTTGCCATGTTGGACAATAGATCTCTTGAATTTATTCCTCCTAACTAACTGAAATTTTGTATCCTTTGACCCACATATTCCCAGTGCCCCTCCCCTCCCACTGCCCCAGCCCCTGGTAACCGCCATTCTACTATCTACTTCTATGAGTTCAACTTTTTTAGATTCCATATATAAAAGTGAGATCATGCTGTATTATGTTGTATTGTTTTGTTTTTAAAATCTGTTTTAAAAAGATAAAAACTTTCCTTATACTTCAACAAAGTTCTGCAGTAGGTTAACAACCTTGCTTTTTGACAGTTCAATTATTTACTGAAACTAAAAACAAAATTTGGATTTTTTTATGCCACTGTTTTGTTCAACAACATTTACACATAAGCTAAAAGGAAAACACATGGGATAGTTTCCATTTACTCTGTTAAAAACTTAGGATATATAATTATCTGCAAGCTTACCTTTCCATATTTCTTCTTTTTGCTCTGCGAAGAGCTACTATTCCATGTTTTGCAAGAGAATCTAAGGAAAATGGATCAATTCCCTATAATCAAATTAACATAAAAATTATAAACATGTTTTAAACCAGTATTTCTCAAACCTTTTGGTCTCAGCACCACTTTACTCTCTTAAAAATGATTAAGCACCCAAAAAGCTTTTGTTTATGTAAGCTCTATCTATAATATTTGTATTATAAAAACTGAGAAATTTTTAAAATATTTATTAATTCATTTAAATAATAAGCCCATTTTATGTTAATACACATAACATTTTAAATGAAAATTTACTACACTTTTGAAAACAAAAATATATATAGTGAGCTAGCAGTGGCATTACTTTACATTTTTGCAAATCTCTTCAATGTTTATCTTCATAGAAAACAAATGGATTCTCATATCTCATTCAGTATTCAATTTGGAATGATATGTTATTTTGGTTCAAGTTTATGAAGAAAATCTGGCCCCACACAGATAAATATTGTAAAGGGAGTAATATTTTAATAGGCTTTTCAGATAATTATGGAAATTCTTCTTTGATACTATACCAAAACTCAGTAAGTAATAGTTTCTCAAAGGTTAGTTTCACTATGGAACCATAGCAATGAACTTTTCATACTATCTCACATTAAAACACATTGCTGTAACTTGCACACTGAATGGATTATTTATCCATGTATGATTTTATAAAAATCATGCATTTTTAGTCATGTAGATAGCATCAGTTCACTGAGTTAGGCAAAGTTTCCACATGTTGACACATTTCATATATAAAATGTTGTGTTATACATGTAGAAACTGTGTCATGTTATGCATGTGGAAACTTTGCCTATCTCAGTGAACAAAAACTCACATTTGTTAATATCACTACTATTATCAGGAAAGTCTTTTAAGTATTGGAAAGCTGTCAAGTTCACATGGCAGATACAAGTTTTCTGAAATTCTAATTTTTTAAAAAAGTTCAAATGTTATTGACAACAAATACTGTCAGTTGTTTTAAGTCACAGAATTTCCTCATTCATTTTTGAGAGAAATCTACCAAATACCCATATCTAGATAACCACAGTTTGTCTGTCAGTCATTCTTCCAGGTAAAAGTGGCATTCCATGAAAAAGTGGCTAGTTTACCTTGCAATTTAAACAATTACACAAGTGCTCTCCTTCAAGACAACCATCATATTTTGGTATGCAATAGAAGAGCTTTGAAGTTCCCAGCCCCATAATCCCAACACTTTGGGAGGCCAAGCCAAGAGGATCACTTGAGACCAGCCTGCACAACATGGCAATACCCAGCCTCTACGAAAAAACTTAAAAATTAGCCAGGCATGGTGATGCACACCTGTAGTCCTGGCTACTTGGGAAGCTGAGGTGGAAAGATCACTTGGGCCCAGGAGGTCAACGCTGTAGTGAGCTATGATGGTGCCACCCAAGCACTCCAGCTTGGATGACAGAACAAGACCCTGTCTCAAAAGAAAAAAAAAAAACAGTGCTTTGTGCATACTTCATATTTTGTCACACATAATAATAAAAGGATGCATATTTCAGAATCAAAATTTAATAAATTAATAAGTTTTACCACTTCATCAAGACACTCTTAAATGATACTGCCTTTTTTTTTTTTCACTGTAAGTTTGCAGTGGTATAGCAATAAAGAATGCGATGACTACTAGTATAGTTTGGTGCTACTTCTTTGACTTGTACTAAGGTGCCAGCAGTTTTACAGATTGCTTTTGCAGCATCATTGCAAATGTCAACACAATGTAAAAGGTGTAATTATTATTATGAAAATAGTTTTTGACCTCACAGACTCTCTGAAAAAGTCTTAGGGATTCTTAGGGGTCCACAGACCACACTTCAAGAAATGCTTAAGAACATTTACAAATAACTAAAATCTAAACTTTCTTTCTCACCTTTTGATTAATGACGACAAATCCTTTATTTGACTGAGCACAGACTTTGTCCTTCAGGTCTATTATTTTTTGTACTCTATCTTCAATAAATTTTCTTTCAGCTTTTACCAATTTCTCTTTCTCTTCTGCAGTCTTATAAAAGAAACCAGAGTTCACCTCTCTAAAAGATTAATAAAAACCAGCTAGTAAAGGCAGGAGGAAAAAGGAAAAAAGATAGAAGTAGTCTACACCAAACATCTGGAAGGAAAAAGAGATTTTAAAACACCTTTAGAAAAAAAAATTCAAAAGTTATAAAGAGAAAGTAACACGCACGTTTTTTCATATTCCAGTGAAACGTTGCAAATAAGGATAAATGCATCTTCTACTCGCTTCTTCATATCTGGATGACGGGCACCATGATCCAAAACTAATCCTTGGATCAACCTATTAAAAATATTAATGTTTCTTACTTTGAATATATACTCTAAAATTTGGTATAAAATTATCATTGTACTATTAAAGTTACATCAATACTTCCAGGACACACATTGTTTCCTTGTACCAATTTTAACAGTTTTTGGTGTTTTTGTTTTTTGTTTTCAGAGATGGGGGTCTTGCTATGATGTCCAGGCTGGCCACGAACTCCTGGGCTCAAGCAATCCTCCTGCCTCAGCCTCCCAAGTAGCTGGGACTAAAGGAGTGCACCACCTCACCCACCTCCTTGCATTGACTTTAAACCTAACATATAATTAGTAAAATTAGGAAAGAGAATCTACTTTAACACAGTGTGACTATGAAGTCACAATAAAAAGTCAAGCCAGAATTATTTTCTAAGTTATGTGATTCAAAAATATGACACAGCTTATCAAGTAATGAAAGGTACGTATACAATGAGTTTCTTAGGAACATTTATTCAAAATGATTATATGGAACAACTAAAAATTGTTAACCTAAATGTCCAACAATAGGGTATTATTCAGCAAATAATGACCCAACTATTTGATGGTTATAAAAAGTATGTAATAACATGGAAAAATATTTATAGGGCTAGCTGATAAGCATAGAATGACAAATTGCATATGAAGCATGCCTATAACTGTTCTTTTTAACAACAGACAAGGAAGGGGAACATCACACACCGGGGCCTGTTGTGGGGTGGGGGAAGCGGGGAGGGATAGCATTAGGAGATATACCTAATGTTAAATGATGAGTTAATGGGTGCAGCACACCAACATGGCACAAGTATACATATGTAACAAACCTGCACGTTGTGCACATGTACTCTAAAACTTAAAGTATAATAAAAAATATAAATAAATAAATAAATTTAAAAAAAAAAACAACTTGGCATTAAAAAGAAAAAAAATGGGAGGGACCTAAGAGTAGGGGTTATGCCTGGGTAGTAGGAATATAGATGATTTGGAAAGGAGGTGTTTCTTCCTGTTTTCCAAATAATCTTTCAAGAGTCAATATTTTTATAACTTTATAAAATTCATTTACAAAACATTCAGGGGATGGAATTTCTACTTATGAATCCTTTATAACTAATTTTTGTTATATATTTTTAAACTATTTTAGTTCAACATAATTATAAGGAAGTTTTCAAAATTTTACTTTAACTAGATTACTCCACCTCTTAACAGAATGTAAACATATCTAGAAACAATAACACTATGTTCAACATTCCTCACTCTTCAAGCCTCCTTCACTTTCCTCCCTCCCTACTGTCAGCAAATGACATTGTTTCTTTGAGAAAATAGAAACATTGTCCCATTACTACCTCTACCAATCCACTTGCACTTGACCCTGAACCTCCTACTACTATGAATGAGCTGTCCATGTTCCTCTCTATGGGTAGCCTCTCTACTTGTGTACTGGATTCCATTTCCCTCTCTGTTCTTGCACTGTCCCCTAGTCCCCTATATCAATTCTCACCTAAAGAACCATCCTTACCAGCATACAAACTTGCAGTAACAATTCCTATCATTAATACAAAAAATCCTTCTCCCTCAGCCCCATTCCCATATTCCCTTCTAGCTACTGCCCCATTTCTCTGTTCTCCTTCATAACTACACTTCTCTCAGTTACCATTCTCTCTTGAGCCACCTTCAATCTGACTTTTATTTCCACCTCTTTATTCAATCAGCTCTCATTAAAGCCACTAAAAAAGTAAATGTTTTCCAGCCAGGCGCGGCGGCTCACGCCTGTAATCCCAGCACTTTGGGAGGCCGAGGCAGGCGGATCATGAGGTCAGGAGATCGAGACCATCCTGGCTAACACGGTGAAACCCCATCTCTACTAAAAATACAAAAAATTAGTCGGGCCTGGTGGCAGGCACCTGTAGTCCCAGCTACTTGGGAGGCTGAGGCAGGAGAATGGCGTAAGCCCAGAAGGCAGAGCTTGCAGTGAGCCGCGATCGCGCCACTGGACTCCAGCCTGGGCGACAGAGCGAGACTCCGTCTCAAAAAAGAAAAAAAAAGTAAATGTTTTCCAAATATAACAATCAACTCTCAGTTCACGGCAATGTACTCAAACTTTCAGCAGCATATGACACAGCTGATTATTGTCTCCTTGAAAGACTTTCTTCCTTTGGCTTCTGGGACACCACTCTCCCTTGGCTTTAATGCCTCCTTGACTGCCCCCTTCTCACTCCCTTTTGCTGAATCCACCTCATCTTTTCAAACTCTAAACATCCAAGTTCCTAGGGATCATGCTTTAAACTTCCTTTACTATATTCACTTCCCAGATGGTCTCATTAACTCATGGCTTTAAGTCATTTATACACTAATGATTCTCAAATACATACTTCTAGTGCAGACCTCTATTCTGAATTCGAGACACATCTCTCCAAATTCCTAATCAACATCTCCATATGGATGCCTAATAGGCATCTCAAACATAACATTCCCAAACTGAACTCTTGATTTATCTCCCCAAATCTGCTCCTCCTAGTCTTCTCCATCTCAAGAAACAGCACCTCCACTTTTCCTGCTGATCATGAAAAAGCCCAAGAGATATCTCTGACCGCTCTATTTCTGTCATGTCCTATGTTGAACCCTCAACAAATCCTATTGCCCTTTCCTTCTAAGTACATCCTAATCCAAACCATTTTCATTTCTCACTTGTAGTATACCAACATTCCTAACTGGTCTCTGGTTTCTGCCTTTGGCCCTCTTTTATCTCCCAATCAGCCGTTTTGTGTGTATTCCCCACACAAAAACCACAGATAACCTTCTGAAGTATAAATCAAGAACTTGTTATCCTCAGCAATAGTAGGCTAACTGAGATCAGTCCTACTATCAAAAACAACTAAACATGCTGGCTTAAAAGCAAAAAAACCTTAGCAACATTGAAGAGCTATAAGATAGTATATAATCACAAGGCCAAAACTGAAATAAAACAGAAACTCCAACAGGTAAGTAGAGAACTGCAGGATCAGTAGGTTCTTTTATCTTAAAGTCATTTGACAATCCAGGCAAATCTGAACTTCGGTTTCAATGTCTTCACAATGAGAAGAAAACAGAATGAAAAGCACAGAGCTCATCCAAGGTGGAGTGTTTACAGGAGACCCTCTTCACATTAAGTTGGAACCACAAAGGGCTACATACTCAGGATTATCCAGAAGGAAGAGCTAGAAATAATCAGCCCTCACATGGACTTACAATCGGAATTCATATCAAATGGATATTCCCAAAAACCTAAGCTGTGAATTTAATTTAAATTAGTCCCTAGGGAGGCAACAAATGCAAATCCTCTCTGCAGAAAGGCAGCTTCATTCTAGGTCTCAAATTATTTCTACCAATACGTTTTTCAAGCACAATGAATGGCACATATGAACACAAAGCATGATGAGTGAGAACCAGTAAAATATAATAAACACCAGAAAGGGACAAGTCAAAACTTTAGATATTATAATTATCAAACATGAACATATTAAACATATGTTTAAAGAAAGAAAAAAGGGCAAGTTTGGAAAGATTTGCAAGGAATAGAACACCATAAAAGGTAACGTGGCAGATTTAAGAAAGAACCAAATAGAACTTCTATAAATAGTAAATAAGGATATCCACACATATACACACAGATATAAAAAATTCAAGAAAACAACAGACATAAATCCATATGTCTAATAAAAGAATATTACAATGTTTATAGCAGCACTATTAATAATGGGCAAAAAATGCAAACTACCTAAATGCCAATGAACAGCAGAATGAATAAACTGTGGTATATTAACACAAGAAAATACTAAATAGCAAAGAGAATGACCAATCTACTAATCACACAAAAATACAAATGAGTCTCACAAACAATGCTAAATGAAAAAGGTCAGAAACAAAGAGTACCTACCTTATGATTCCTTATACAAGTACAAAACATATAACAATCTATGCCGCAGAAATTCAGACTACTCTAGAAGAAATATGGCTGAAAGGAAGCAAAAGAGGGGCTTTTAAGGTACTAGTAGTTCTGTTTCTTGTGAGAGTGCTGATTACACAGATACATTTGGAAAATTAATCAAGTCATATTGCTATGATAGTTGCATTTTTCAGTGTGTGTTACACTTCATTAGAAAGTTTATTTTTAAATCAAGGGACTGGTTTTAAAGTAGAGTAGACATTGTTTAAGAGAAAATTAGCAAACAACAAAATATATCACTAGAAATTATCCAGAATGCAACACGAAAGACAGCAAGACAAAAAGTACATAAAAAACTAAATTAAGAACATCAAGCATACATTTAACTGGAGAAGGAGAAGAAGGGATGAACAAAAGAAATGTTTAAACAGATAATGGATGGAAATTTTCCAGAATCAGATAAACGATAGCACTCAAAAAGCCAGAAAATGCCAACCAGAATAAACAAAAAGAAATCCATACCTAGCTACATCATAGTAAAAGTATACAACACCAAAGACAAAGAGAAATATCTTAACATCACCTAGGTAAATAAAGGACTCATGGCTATAAAGGACTCATGGCTAATTTCTGTACAGCAATAATGAAAGCTAGAAAGCAACAGAACAATATCTTCAATCAGCTGAAAGAAACTAACTGCCAACCTAGTAAACACACAATGAAAGTATCAAAGAATAAAGATAAAGGCATTTTCAGGCAAAGAAAAACTGAAAGTATGCCTCCAACAAACTATCACTAAGGAAAATCTACAGGATGAACTTTAGGCAGAAGAAAAGGAATCCCAAATGGAAGGCTGAGATGCAAAAAGCTACACAGATGGCTGGGCGCGGTGGCTCACACCTGTAATCCCAGCACTTTGGGAGGCCAAGGTAGGTGGATTGCTTGATGTCAGGAGTTCAAAACCAGCCTGGCCAACATGGTGAAACCACGTCTCTACTAAAATACAAAAAATTAGATGGGTGTGGTGGTGCACGCCTGTAGTCCCAGCTACTCGGAAGGCTGAGGGAATCACTTGAACCTGGCAAGCGGAAGTTGCAGTGAGCCGAGATCAAGCCACTGCACTCCAGCCTGGTGACAGAGTGACACTCCGTCTCAAAAAAAAAAAAAAAAGAAAAAGAAGTAAGGCTAAGTAGAAAGTATAAAACAAGATGGCAAACTTTTTAATTTGCTTTTTTTATTGTAATAGCTTTTTGGGGAACAGGTGGTGTTTGGTTACATGACTAAGTTCTTTAGTGGTGATTTCTTAGATTTCGGTGCACCCATCACCCAAGCAGTGTACACTCTACCCAATGTGTAGTCTTTTATCCCTCATCCTTCTCCCACCCTTCCCCCCGGGGTCCCCAAAGTCCACTGTTAAGATGTTAAATTTTAAATCAAATATATCCATAACTGTATTAAATATAAAGGATTAAATGCTCCTGTTAATAAAGAGTATCAGATTTAATATTTTAATCTACCTATATGACACAAAAAATCATGTAAAGAGAGAAAGACTGAAAGTAAAAACATACACAAAGATATGACAGGCAAATACTAATTAAAAGAAAACTGGGCCGGGCACAGTGGCTCATGCCTGTAATCCCAGCACTTTGGGAGGCCGAGGAGGGTGGATCACTTGAGGTCAGGAGTTTGAGACCAGCCTGACCAACATGGTGAAACTCCATCTCTACTAAAAATACAAAATTAGCTGAATGTTTTGGCACATGCCCGCAATACCAGCTACTTGGGAGGCTAAGGCAGGGGAATCACTTGAACCCAGGAGGCAGAGATTGCAGTGAGCCAAGATCACGCCATTGCACTCCAGCCTGGGTAACAAGAGTGAAACTCCATCTAAAAAAAAAAAAAAAAACAAAACAAAACTGGATGGACCTGGCATGGTGGCTCATTCTGTTCTGTAATCACAGCACTTTGGGAGGCCAAGCAGGTGGATCCCTCCAGCTCAGGAATTTGAGACCAGCCTGGGCAACATGGCAAAACCCTGTCTTGACAAAAAAAATATAAAAATTAGCCAGACATGGTGGCGCATATCTGTAGTCCCAGCTACTCAAGAGGCTAAGGTGGGAGGATCACTTGAGCCCAGGTGGTCAAGGCTGCAGTGAGCTGTAATTGTGCCACTGCCCTCTAGCCTGGGTGACAGAGCAAGACCCTGTCTCAGAAAAAAAAGAAAGGAACGGAAAGGAAGGGAAGGGGGAGGGGAGGGGAGGGGAGGGGAGGGAAAAGAAAAGAGAAAAGAAAAGAAAAGGAGAAAAGCATAGAAAAGAAAAGGAGAAAATCATAGAAAAGAAAAGAAAAGGCCGAGCACGGTGGCTCATGCCTACAATCCCAGCACTTTGGGAGGCAGAGGTGGGCGGATCGCCTGAGGTCGGGAGTTCAAGACCAGCCGGACCAACATGGAGAAACCCCATCTCTACTAAAAAAAAAATACAAAATTAGCTGGGCACGATGGCGCATGCCTATAATCCCAGCTACTAGGGAGGCCGAGGCAGAAGAATTGCTTGAACCTGGGAGGCAGAGGTTGCGGTGAGTCGAGATCACACCATTGCACTACAGCCTAGGCAACAAGAGAGAAACACCATCTCAAAAAAAAAAAAAGAAAGGAAAGGAAAGGGAGGGAGGGAAGAAGGAAGGAGGGAGGGAGGGAGGGAAAGGAAGGAAGGAAGGCAGGAAGGAAGGAAGCTAGCTAGCTGGTACAACAGCTTTTAACATGTAAAGATTTTTTAAATATAATTATCAATATCAGATAAATTATACTTTTAAAGACATTACTAGAAAAAAGTCACTTCATATCAGTACAAAAGTTCAATGCACCAGAAAATATGTAACAGTTTAAAAACTATGCATCTAAAAAGATTGTCTCAAGATATATAAAGCAAAACTCTCAAAACTAAAGTAAAATATAAACAGGTACAAAATAATATTGAAAGATATTTATACATTTCACTCAGTAATTGACAGAATAAGCAGTCAAAACATCAATAAGGATATAGAAGTTCTGAACAACAGGATTAACAGGATACCTTGATCTTAATGGACATGTATATAAAATTGTACCTACCAACTGCAGCATACATTCTTTTCAAGTACATGAAACATTAACATAACAAAAGCTGACTATACACTGAGCCATAAAGCAAGTGTCAACAAATTTCAAAGGAGCAAAAATCTCATAGAGCATATTCTCTGACCACAATGTAATTAAGCTAGGTATCAGTAATAAGATAACTAAAATTTCCCCATGTTAAGAAACACACTTCTAGTTGAAATTAGAAAATATTTTAAACTGAATAAAAATCATAAGATTACATATCAAAACTTGAAGGATGCAGCTGAATAGTACTTTGAGAAAAATTTAAGGTCTTAAGTACTGTATTCAAAAGCAGGAGACTGAAAATTAATAACCTAAGTAGCTATCACAATAAAACAGAAGCAGCAAAAAAGTCCCCACAAAATTCCAAAAAAGTAAATTAAATAATAAAGAGAAAGACACTGTGAAATGAAAACAAACCTCTGGGAAAAAATTATCACAACAAGGAAAGAAAGGCATAAATAACACCAGAAATAAATGGTGATACCACTACAGATCCTGCAAACAGGATCCTTATAAAAATTTTATGCCAGTAAGGATATTTATGAACACTTTATACCAAAAATTTCAGAGTTAAACAAAATGGACAAATTTCTAAGAAAACATTACTTACCAAAATGATTCAAAAAATAAGTAGAAAACCTAATTAGTCCTATAGCCATTAAGAAAATTGCATGAGTGGGGCCGGGCGTGGTGGCTCACGCCTTTAATCCCAGCACTTTGGAAGGCCGAGGCGGGTGGATCACAAGGTGAGGAGTTCGAGACCAGCCTGGCCAACATGGTGAAACCCCGTCTCTACTAAAATACAAAAAATTAGGCAGGCGTGGTGCCACACACCTGTAGTCCCAGCTACTCAGAAGGCTGAGGCAGGGGAATCACTTGAACCCAGTAGGCGGAGGTTGCAGTGAGCCAAGATCACGCCATTGCACTCCAGCCTGGGGGACAGAGTGAGACTCCATCTCAAAAAAAAAAAAAAGAAGAAGAAGAAGAAGAAAATTGCATGAGTAATCAAAAATCTTCCCACAAAAACTCTTCAAGACAAATAATCAGACTTTTCCAAAATAATTATCAAGGTGAAAAACAATGAGAGGAAGAAAGAACCTACAAATTAACAAATTAACAGAGACTAAAAGAGATATCACCTAAGTGCACTATACAGACTGTGCGTAGATCTTAATCCAAACAAAACTGAAAAAAATCTGAGACAACTGTTAGACAAATTAGACTATAAACTGGAAATGTGATAGTATTAATGAGTTATTCATTTTTAAGGTGTTATAATGTTTTGTGGATATATTAGGTAAAAGCAGGGGGTTTATGTTTTATGGATTATATGATATTTACAGGTGGTATATGATGTCTGGATTTGCTTCAAAATAATCCTAGGTGGGAGGGGGAAAGAGGGAAGGGTATGCTTCATATGTTAGAAATTGATAAAGATAGCTAACAGTTATGTGGAAATTCCCTATTCTGTTCTCTCTATATATGTTCACAGTTTTCTATAATACAAAGTTTTAAAAGAGTAAATCCAAAATCAACATGGTACTCCATAATCTGGTCCCTTTTGCCTCACCTCCTCTCCCTGTGCTCCAGGCACACTGTAACAACCTAGTCACACTTCTGCCTCAGGACCCTTTCAGAGGTCATTCCTTCTGCTTAGAACCCTCTTATTCCAGATGTGCACATGGCTAGCTCCCTTGTTTCTTCAGAGACCTCTTAGCTCTCCAGGTTCTTATCAGAGTAGTCTTCCCTGTCCACTATAAAATCACACACATGATTTTTTTTCTATTTCAATTAGAAACATAAACTTCTTGGGGAAAGAAATTCTGTTCTGTTTACTCTCATTCCCATTACCTAGAGCAGTGACTTAATATATGGTGAATGAATATATTTATGTTGAATAAAAGTAAGTAATGAATTTAATAAAAGAATATCTTTAAAAAATTCTAGAACCCATATGTTGTCAAAGCTTATGTAATTTACTTTGTATCTGTTCCTAATTTATGCTTCATCTCCATTATTTCTACCATGAAGAGATCAATAGGGTAACCTGGTCTTCTAACAGCCAAAACAGAATCCACCACAACCTGAAAGAGAAATGAATGAGAACAGTTAAGTTATTTGGACTACTAAAATAAACCAAGGGCCCAAACAATCTATCACCAGACTAAGGAGATAAAAGCCTTCAGGATTCAAAACCTAGGGCAAGACCAATATGTGCCACTTTACTATGGATGCTAACAATAGCCAATGCCAACAGACACTTTAGAGTCTAAAGAAACTTCAGAGATCATTAGGTCCAAACCTTTTATTTTACAGATAAGGCAACTGAGATAAGACCTTAAGAAGTCACAGTTTTTAAATAAGATCTAACAGCTAGTAACAGGGCCGGGACTAGAATTCAGGGCTCCCTAACTGCCCAGCGACTACTCTTTCTATCATACCAAGACTATCCAAACTTTTCCACCAAAGGACACCTTAATGGAAAAGAAGGAAAGGTAATCTAAGGTAATAGCTCCAATTTGCTGGCTGTAATAACAGGAAACGTTAAAGTCTCATGTTTTATCGTGAAAAGTTTCCATGTCATCCCATAATATGTTTATCTCAATGTAAAAATAATGTTTTCCCCCAAAATTGTAAAGTAAAATTGACACTCCAGAAAGCTACGTCTCATTTATTCTGTCACATATGACCAGGGATATACAATTTAAGAAGCATAGCACAACACGTCTTATTGCTTAGCTCAGAAAATGATATAAAAATAATAAATAACTGCAGAAATTAAGGGCTAAGTTATAACTACCCTAAAATATACATAAAGCAGAAAAAACTGTATCTTAGAAAACTTTGCCTGAGGTGACATAATATTTTATTTTAGAGGCAAATAAGAAATAGGACAAAGGCCATTGGATAGTGAGAATATCACTGTTTCTGTAACTCTAAAACAGAATGGGTGCCCTAGCAGCATGAAGATTTGGGGCCATTCAAGTACTCTAACAGCAGAAAACACAGCAGAGCCTTTCTTCTGACTCTGCTCATCAAGAAATTGTCTGATCTTAATCTGATTTCCCAAGTTGTTTTTTTTTAACGGTAAGGAGAATCGATCAGAAACAACTCAAGTATTCCAGTACATTTGGCATTTGTAGTTCTCAAAGTAAATTATTAAGGTAGTATTCTGCTTTGTATGTCAATGTCTTGTGAATTTGTTTCCTAAGAATTTATCATTCTTCCTGGTAAACAAATATATTCAAGTTTCAGAAATTACAAAGCTGAAAAACAATAATGATATCAAATCATTGCCACCTGATAAAAGCCTTCCCAAAATATCCAGCCAATCTTGTCTTTATATAAAATATATATATATATATATATATATTTTTTTGAGACAAAGTTTCACTCTGTCACCCAGGCTAGAGTGCAATGGCATGATGTCAGCTCACTGCAACCTCCCCCTCCCTCCCAGAGTGATTCTCCTGCCTTAGCCTCCCAAGTAGCTGGGATTACAGGTGCCTGCTAACATGCCCAGCTAATTTTTGTATTTTGAGTACAGACAGGATTTCACCATGTTGGCCAGGCTGGTCTCAAACTCCTGACCTCAGGTCGTCTCCCCACCTCGGCCTCCTAAAGTGCTGGGATTACAAGCATGAGCCACCATGCCCAGCCTATATAACATATATTCTACCTTTAGAAATAAACAAAACACTGGCCAGATGTGGTGACTTCATGCCTGTAATCCCAGCACTTTGGAAGCCCGAGGTGGGTGTATCATTTGAGGTCAGGAGTTCAAGACAAGCTTTGGTAACATAGTGAGACCCCATCTCTACTAAAAATACAGAAATTAGCCAGGCGTGGTGGCACGCGCCTGTAATCCCAGCTACTCGGGAGGCTGATGTAGGAGAATCGTTTGAACCTGGGAGACGGGGGTTGCAGTGAGCTGAGATCATGACACTGCACTCCAGCCTGAGTGACAGAGTAAGACTCTGTCTCAAATAAATTAATAAAAGAAATAAACTAAACAAACATACATTTCCAATATGTGAATATTAATATATTAATATATCATATCACATTTCATTATATTGGTAACCTTATCTACAAGGTACACTGCTAAAACAACTATCTTGTGTGTCACCTCACATAATAAAATATGGACTGCTAGATTTAAAAAGACCAGTATACTATTCAAGAGCTTCCACAGGAGATGATCTGCAGGCAGCCAAACCTCTCCCACCTTTCAAGTCACGTTTAAAAAAAGGCCTAGTATGATACTTCTGAAAATTACAAATACTGTTCTGACCAGTCAAATCTAATCTACAGTTAGGCCTATACAATAATTGTCTGTCTTCCATATTTTATGCCCAAAAAACCACATGAAATACTTGATTATCTTACAGAAAAAGAAAAATATCACCATGCATTAGGCTATATTTGTTCTGAATGCAAAAGTTTAATAACATACCTCTGTTAAGACATCAGCCAGTTCAGCATGAACTTTAGTTTGTAATGATGTTCTAGCTACATCTAAGAGGATTTTTCTTTTCATCTCCTTTGTCACTTTAACTTCCTCCAAAACTTCAAGTGCTTTTATCTTTGCAGCTTCAAATCCTTCAGCTATTATTCTAGGGTGCAGGCCCTGTTACATCAACATAAAATTATAAATTATAAAATAAGTCACCCAATGTAAAAGTAACCAACCTGTCTGATTATTATGTTCAAAAAAAGTTACTCACATTAATGCCATGAAATATAAGTGTACATAATTTATAAAAGTCATTTTAGTGCTTCATACTTGAAATAATCTCAACCTTAACAGTAAGGCTTCAAGTCTAGTATTAAAAATTACAGAAGTCCTTTTTATTTCCAAAAATTATGACTACATTGTTGTTATGTGGTGCCCTTCTGAATGGGCACACATAAAAAGATTCCTTTCAATGCAGAGGAAAAGAACCACCACTGAATTGGGGAAAAGTGGCAGATAGAACACTGTGGTGTCTACCACTTCACCAAGTGATCAAAGTTAACATCACAATAATGAGACAGACAGGCATCACATGCCTGCTGACATGATGCATTCAGTAGAACACAACAGTTCTATGGTATTTTGGCCAACAATCTGTAACCTAAGTTTAATTGAGGAAATAGGCAAATCCACACTGAGGGACTTTCTACAAAATAAATGGCTTAAAAGTAGCAATATCATGAAGCATAAAAGGCAGCTCAGGAACTAGTCTAGCTTAAAGGATACTAAAGGAACACGACAACTGAGTGCAATGCATGAACTTAGATCTTTTTTTTCTATAAAGAGCACTATTAATATAAGTGGTGAAGTTTGAATAGAATGCAGATTAGATAACAGTAATGTATCAATGTGTTAATGTTATTATTAATTTCCTGGTTTTTATAACTATACTGCAATTATATAATTCCCTGGTTTTAAGAAATATACACTGAAATATTTAGATCATGTCTGCAACATACAGTTTAGAAAAGAATAAGTACACTGATACTAAGGAAGAGAACAGGGCAAGCAGGCAATGAGAGAAATGAAAATGCTTGAAGAATCTGGGTAAAAAGTATACAGGAATTCTTTGTAGTATGTTTGCAACTTTTCTATAGGTCTAAAATTATGAAAAAATATTTTAATAGTATTTTTTGTTCCATAAAATAATACACAAACTTTGTGAAAGCTAGCACTTGGTCTAATTCATTCCCTTACTACTTTTCTTTACATCAATCCTTAATAATCTTTAAAAGTTGACATTGAGTATTTGTGCTGGACATGACTAAGAGTTTTACACAAGTTATTTAATTCTCTAGCCACATCATGAAGTGGGTATTATTATTATTATTTTTCCTATTTCACAGATGAGAAGACCGAGGCTTAAAGGGATAATGTAATTTGCCTTAGATCACCAAGATAATAAGAAGTGAAACCAGGTTGTTTAAACCCATGAGACCTGACTTTAGAGCCTATGTTATTAACCATTTTCAAAAATGTCTTCAAGCTAGGACCCCACAATCTCTCATCCAGACTATCATGAAAACCTCTGGTCTAGACTCCCTTAAAACCATCCCCCAAATACTTAAAATGCCAACCTGACCATATCAGTCATTAGTATGTTTCTATGTTTGGTCTGTAATACCACTGGATGAAATCTAAGCTTCTTGGTTAGCATACTACATGCCCTCTGATCTGGCTCCCACTTCCCTCTCCAGCCTCTTCTCCACTACTGTTCACATCACCTGAAATTCCAGCAACACCAAAATGCTTGTAGCTTCATACAACACCATGTTGCTTGTCTTCTCTGTGACTTTGCTTATGTTGTTCCTTCTGCCTGGAAAGCCATTCTCCTCACCCCTTGCTCTTTTGTCTGGTTCACTCCTCCTCATCCTGAAGATTTAGGCCAGGCCTTACTTCCTCCAGAGAGTTCTTCCTGACTACTTCAGGCTAGTTTAGGACGTCCCTCCAGCCTCAGTGATTCCATCATATACTGTGCCCGGCTCTATCACTGCACCACCACAGAGTTTCATAATGTCTGTTAGCATCTCACCCTTGCCAAACTCCTTTCTTCCTAACCCAACCCTAATTCAGTTTGGGTTTCCCTCTCCCACTTGTGCTTTGGAGAAAGCTGATCTTATCCCCAGCTCAAGGAGTGGATCCTGATTAGTCTAAGTCAATTCCCATAAAAACTGTTACTGGCTTGGGATGGACATAATACTAAAGTTGGCCCAATCATACTAAAGAAAAGCCTCCTGAATGGCTTTATCTTGCCCTCTGCCTAATTTCCTCTGACAGTCTTTCTTCGCTCTCCTCTGTCCTCTCTCTCCTCTCTCCTCTCTTCTCTCTCTCTCTTTCTTTTAGAGACTGGGTCTCACTCTGTCACCCAGGCTGGAGTACACTGGTGCAATCATGGCTTACTGCGGCCTCCACCTCCTGGGTTCAGGCAATCCTCCTGCCTCAGCCTCCCAAGTAGCCAGGACCACATGCAGCATGCCACCAAGCCTAATTTTTTTTTATTATTTCTAAAGACAGGGTCTCACTATGTTGCCCAGGCTGGTCTCAAATTCCTGGGCTCAAGTGATCCTCCTGCCTCAGCCTCCCAAAGTGCTGGGATTACAAGCATGAGCCACTGTGCCCAGCCAGTCTTACTTTCTTTTTCTTTCCTTTTTCTTTCCATTTTTTTTTTTTTTTTTTGAGATGGAGTTTCACTCTTGTTGCCCAGGCTAGAGTATGATGGCACAATCTTGGCTCACTGCAATCTCCACCTCCTGGGTTCAAGCAATTCTCCTGCCTCAGCCTCCTGAGTAGCTGGGATCACAGGCGTGCACCAACACGCCTGGCTAATTTTGTATTTTTAGCAGAGACAGGGTTTCTCCACGTTGGTCAGGCTGGTCTCGAACTCCCGACCTCAGGTGATCCACCTGCCTCGGCCTCCCAAAGTGCTGGGATTACAGGTGTGAGCCACCGCACCTGGCCTCTTACTTTCAAGATGGAAATACTCTTAGGATGAAACAGCACTGTGAGTGGAAGAGGTAAGAGACAAAGAACCTGTGTACTTGATGACTGAATTTTGTTATCACACAACCTGACAGTCTCCCTTATCTCTCAATTTTCTATTATGGGAGATAATCATTTCCTTATTGTTCAAGTGAGTTTTAGTCAAGTTGTTTACAGCCAAAAGCATCCTAAGTTGCAAGTACTGAATTAATAGAAAATTCCCAATACTAAACGAAACACAGAGAATCATTTTGACTAGGTTACTCTTTGCTGAAATGGTCCCTGAAAGAGAGAAAACATTCAGATATGGAGAAAAGAGATACTTAATTAGAGAAAGGTAAAAATGTACATGATGTTTTCAGAGGCCAGTGAACGGAGGAGTCTGGCTGAAGTAGATGATTTATAAAGAAAATGAAACTAGAAAGGAAGGTAAATTCACAATAAGTAAAACCTTCAATAATTTTTCTCCAGTGGTTTTATAAAGGTGCATAATTTGGTTTCAACTTTATCTATGGTGTTTTCTTTCTTAATTACCCATGGATACATGGGTAATTTTTTACTTTTTTAGGTCCGTTAAATATTTCATTTTTAAAAGAGGTATATAATTCCAACGAAAGGCATTATTTTGGCCAACAAAGTTCATTATTATTTCCATTTATAATTGTCCAAGAATATCTTAATTAAAATTAACTGTCTAGACCAGGCACGGTGGCTCATGCCTGTAATCCCAGCACTCTGGGAGGCCCAGGCAGGTGGATCACCTGAGGTCAGGAGCTCAAGACCAGGCTGGCCATGATGGTGAAACCCTGTCTCTAAAAAAAATACAAACATTAGCCAGGCATGATGGCGCATGCCTGTAATCCCAGCTACTCGGGAAGCTGAAGCAGGAGAATTGATTGAACCTGGGAGGCGGAGGTTGCAGTGAGCCAAGATTCTGCCACTGCACTCCAGCCTGGGCGACACAGTGAGACTCCATCTCAAAATTAATTAATTAATTAATTAAAACAAAATTAACTGTCTAAAACTCAACCATTTTACTAGTTAAAAAAATAATTTGCCATTCAAAATAACATATAAACTGTGAAATTCTAATACCTCAGAAATGTACAGGTCAGCTTGTTTTAATAACTCTCCAATAATTAGAACATTTGAAGTAGTACCATCTCCTGTGACGTCATCCTGAGCTGTTGCTACTTTTGCTATCAAGGAAGCTGTTGGATGTTGAATTTGCTGGAAAAAGCAAGCAACAGATTTAAAAAGACAGGATGAGATAAGGAAGTAGGTCACCAAAAGCAAGATAACCTAGGGGTCAGTAGCAAAATTAAAAAATGAAATAAGCTTCATTCTACAAGTTTACAAGTTTTGTATTATCAATACCTAAATGTCAAGTCCAAAATTTTAAAAGTGACAGGTAATGAGGCCTGAACATTTCATAAAAGTCTTTGCTTCAGAATGCAATGACATTTCTAAAATAAGATTAAATCATTCAATCTCAAAATGAATACATGTATTAAACTTGCAAAGGATATTTTTATTTTTCCATAATTACAAAGAACATAAGGCAGTGCCCTTAAAAGATATTATTGATTTATAAGTATGCCTAAGTATACAAAGTATGTATAAGTATACAAAGACTTGGAAACAGCCAAAAAAAAAAACTTTTTTTTTTTTTTTTTTTGAGACAGGGTTTCACTCTGCCACTCAGGCTGGAGTGCAATGGCACAATCTCATTCACTGCAGCCTTGGCCTCCTGGGCTCAAGTGATCCTCTCACCTCAGCCTCCAGAGTAGCTGGGACTATAGGCGTATGTCACCACACTGAGCAAAATTTTTTTTTTTTTTTTTTTTTGTAGAGACGGTTTTCACCATGTTGCCCAGCCTGGTCTTGAACTCCTGGGCTCAAGCAATTTGGCCACCTCAGCCTCCCAAAGTGTTGGGATTACAGGAGTGAGCTACCACACCCGGCCAAAAAAATTTTTTTATTGAGGTCTAATTCAACAGTCTTCAGCATATCTCAAGACTGCAGTATTTAGCTCACAGCCTTGGCTTAAAGATACACAAGTTCTACTATGCTTCTAATTAAGGCTTATTAAGGTTTATTAAAGTCAGCAGCATCAGCTCACCATCTCATCGAGCAGCACATTGCCATCTTTGGTGAGTTTGATGTCACCTGCACCAGAAACAAGCCTGTTCAGAGAAGAATGATATTAACTTCATGTGGTAGGAAGACATTCCCAGTGCTTGCCACTCCATTATCCTTAATAGAGGGAACTGGGCTCGGAAAACTTCCACTGTACCATGGGAATATGCCATGGTAATTACCACCATTTGCAGCTCACAGAATCATTTCTCCCCAGATGGACAGATTATGGAGATTTCATTCCAAATGGACTATTTACAGGTTTAAAGATAAAAGCACTTGATGAGTTACGAACTGTGGTTTGGTCAAAGAATACTTGGAAGTCTACAAAGCACAAATTCGCAAATTTCCTGCAGGTTTTAATTTTGGTGAATGTTTTCATTCATTCAGTCACTCAACTTAGTTTCCCTCATCCCTGCATTTATTAGATCACCAAGTTCTATCAATTCTACTACCTAAATATCTCTTGAATCTGCCACCTTCTCTCCATCTCCACTGTTATCATCTCTACTTTGGATGGCATCCGGATATCTCCAAACTTAAATATACCCTCCACACATTTTTCTTTCTAAAAGGCAACGTGATTCAGTCAGTTCCCTGATCAAAAGTCCTCCAATGATTTTTATGTTTTCCATCATTTTCAAGTTAAAATCCAAACACAGCAATGACATACTTGACCTTTCCCAATATCTTCCCTGCCTCATCTACTTTTCCACAAGCAAATCTTCTGGTTCCCTTAATATACCATGTTTTGTTTCGTTTCTGTTGGATTTGCACCATTGGTCTTTCTTATTCCTGAAATTACTTTGCCCAGGCCTTTACTCCCTCTTCCAACTAGTGAAGTCTTATTCTTCTTTCAAGACTGATCAAACATGTTACTTAAGATGCTTTTCCTTCTGCCATCAGTCCCTTTCTTCAGCATAATTATATGCATCTATATATAATTAGCACATCCTACTCTACCACATCCGTCTCTACCACATCTCCTTAAGAACAGAAACCGTTATCTTGATCATTTCTGTGTCCCAACAACTGGTACCTAAGTGACTTATTTTACCATTAATATTATTTTGTTCATTACTATGAGGATGTGTCTCTCCTCTTATACCCTTTTGCCCTCACTGGTCTCTTTTCCTCACTCTTGTCTATAGAAAAGGGTGCTTAATATATACTGAAAAGATGAATAGATCTGAACAACCATAGACACGGGGTATTCAAGTAGAACTTGGATTTGACCCCATGCCTTCCTGGCTCCAAAGCCTGTGTCCTCTCCACTACAATACATTGCCATACAAAAAACAAAACTACTTGTTGAATTTATGGACCAAGGGTATACAGTCTTAAGGAGCAGAGGAGTTAAATGCTTTGTTTCCAATGAGACACTAAATTAACTGACTTTCTAACTGCATATGAACCTTGACGACAAGTCGGGGGTCGGGGAAGCGCCACAGCTTCACTCCCGGGGCCCTCTACTAGGGGAGGCTTTTCTCCTCCACCTGCACCAGGCGAGAAATACCCCCAGAGCAGGGATGAGAATGAGGGAAATCAAGCTCGCAAGAACATCCACAGCGCTACGCGGACGCCTGCCTCAGAGGGCGACAGGACACCAACGGGCCCCTAGCCGCGTAATGGCCGCTCCAACCGCTGTCTCACATTTTCATGGTGCCTTTAGGACCCAAGTTGGTCCGCAGCACATCCTGCAGCCCTCGGGCGGCGCATATATTGACAGCCAAAGCTGCCCGGGCCCGCGCCACCTCAGCCTTGGAGTTGACGGCCTTTATCGCAGCCATAGCCTAACCGTTCAGAGGGAGAAAAAAAAAAAGCCTTAGTCGCGATTCTGAGCAAAAACGGCAATGCGACGCCACGCTCTCTTGAGCCTCGGCCAATCATCGCCCTTACAGGAAGTGACGTTATCATGCCTCGCCCGACGGAAACCAGAATCGTTTTGGGTCTGGTCGCCAAGATGGCGTCCTCCGCCTCCGCCCGGACTCCGGCAGGGAAGCGAGTGATAAATCAGGAAGAATTGCGGCGGTTAATGAAGGAGAAGCAGCGTCTGAGCACCAGTCGGAAACGGATAGAATCTCCATTCGCGAAGTACAACCGTTTGGGGCAGCTGAGTTGTGCCCTGTGTAACACTCCGGTTAAGAGCGAGCTCCTGTGGCAGACTCACGTCCTGGGAAAGCAGCACCGAGAGAAAGTGGCCGAGCTGAAAGGCGCGAAGGAAGCCAGCCAGGGTTCGTCCGCCAGTTCAGCGCCTCATTCCGTCAAGAGGAAAGCGCCGGACGCAGACGACCAAGATGTCAAGAGAGCGAAGGCCACCTTGGTGCCTCAGGTACAGCCCTCCACATCTGCGTGGACCACCAACTTTGACAAAATAGGAAAGGAGTTCATTAGAGCGACTCCCAGTAAGCCTTCAGGACTCAGTTTACTCCCCGATTATGAAGATGAGGAGGAGGAGGAAGAGGAGGAGGAAGGAGATGGAGAAAGAAAAAGGGGGGACGCCAGCAAGCCGCTCTCCGACGCACAGGGCAAGGAGCACTCAGTTTCCTCTTCACGGGAGGTAACAAGTAGTGTGCTGCCAAACGATTTCTTTAGTACTAATCCTCCCAAGGCCCCCATAATTCCTCATTCAGGGTCAATTGAGAAAGCAGAAATACATGAAAAAGTGGTGGAAAGGAGAGAAAACACCGCGGAAGCGTTACCGGAAGGTTTTTTTGACGACCCTGAGGTAGATGCAAGAGTACGAAAGGTTGATGCTCCAAAAGATCAGATGGACAAAGAGTGGGACGAATTCCAAAAAGCCATGAGGCAGGTCAACACTATTTCCGAAGCCATAGTTGCCGAAGAGGATGAGGAGGGACGGTTGGACCGCCAGATTGGGGAGATCGATGAGCAGATAGAGTGTTACCGACGGGTGGAAAAGCTACGGAATCGCCAGGATGAAATAAAAAATAAACTTAAAGAAATCCTGACCATAAAAGAACTGCAGAAAAAGGAAGAAGAGAATGCTGACAGCGATGATGAGGGGGAACTACAGGATTTGTTGTCTCAGGATTGGAGGGTGAAAGGGGCATTGTTATAGGGTTTTAAAGACCCAAGGTTTCTAACAGCCTCTGCTGTTGTATAAAAAGTGCTGTCTCTCAGTAGTATAGCGGTTACTTCATGCCTCAAGATTTGGGTACCTGGATTGCTAAACTGGATTGTTGAGATAAAATGAGCCAGTGAGCTACAGCACTTTGGAAAATTTGTGTAACATGTTTTTGAGGTAAAGTTGTTTTTGAAATTTCTGAAGTGTTATATACCAAAATGCCAACATTTCCACGACAGACTTAACTGTATAATTTCGTTGTAAAATCTGTAAGTTGTAAATATTGTACATAGTTAAATCTGTATTCTGTTTTGAATTTTTTTAATTAATAGAAAGACCAACCGGCAAACTTTCAGATGAATGCTTACTGTGGTATTTGGAATGTATGTATCTTCTGAACCCTACATCAAGTTGAAAAGGTTTGTTTTCTTGTTTCTTTGGTTTTTGTATGGTTTTTTAGAACACTTCATAAACACATAAGTCATTGTAGGTTAATCAGTTCTCTTAGTGTGCTTTATTTTAAAAACATAAGAAAACTATATGCCAAACATGACCAAACCAATGATGGTCAGATGTGGTTGCACATGAGAGTCACCTATGAAGCATTAAAATAATTAAAGTGTCTGAGGCCTTCCCCTTCAATAAATCTGGGATTGGGCCCAGGCAACTGTGTTTTTTAAGCACCCAGGTTATTCTAATATATGCCAGGGTTAGAGAGTAACTGCCCTAAATCCAGAACCCATTTATGTTTTTCAGGTTTTTTCTTTTTCTTTAAATAACACATTCCATAAATTTGCTGTTTCTTGAATGAAGGAAAAAATATTATCTTTTATTTATTTCATCCAGCCTTAAATTTTGTTATTTGGTGGTAAATTAGGGTTCCTTGTTTGCAGGTCCTATCTATTGTAGAAAGAATATTTAAGTTGTCTTTCCAGCAGTAACAATTGGCTCTTGCTGGTCATTGATAGTTTAAATCACTCCTTCCTTTAGAGATTGAGGTACTCAAATAGGAAAAGGGAATTAGCAGTGTTCTGGAGTTGAAATGCATACAGCATATTCAAATAAAAGTGAGCAATAATAATAATAGCTAAGACCTATATATTTCTTAGTATGGGCCAGGCATGGTTCTAAGTGCTTTACATATATTAACTCAATCTAGTTTCCCTAAAGTCTTTTTTTATGGAGAGGAGTACCAAGAGACAAGGTTTGAAAAGCCTTGAATGCTAAGTGAAAATTTTTGATGAAGTTCATATGAAAATGGAGGTTTTGAGCAAAGAATTACATCTGCAAAGAAGTATCATGGGACATTATTAACAGTATATAGAATGGAATGAACACGGAGGGTAGAAGGAAGCTAGGAGCTATTTGAAAACTATATTTTCAAAAGCAAGGTGACAAGACTGATTAGCTGAGGATTGGGAGAAAAGGAATAGAAGTGAAAGCATGTCATAGGAATAGCTAAATTCTTTTGTTGTTTGTTTTTTTTGTTTGTTTGTTTTGAGACGGAGTCTCGGTCTGTCGCCCAGTCTGGAGTGCAGTGGCGGAAACTCGGCTCACTGCAAGCTCCACCTCCCAGGTTCACGCCGTTCTCCTGCTTCAGCCTCGCGAGTAGCCGGGACTACAGGCACCCGCCACCACGCCAAGCTAATTTTTTGTATTTTTTAGTAGAGACGGGGTTTCACCGTGTTAGCCAGGATGGTCTCAATCTCCCGACCTCGTGATCTGCCCACCTCGGCCTCCCAAAGTGCTGGGATTACAGGCGTGAGCCACCACGCCCGGCCAGAATAGCTAAATTTTAGTGACTAGAAGTGGAAGAAGAAAAACAGGAGGGATAAGTATGGGATTCAAGATTTTGTTTGTATTTAGTGTCACTGCCTAAAAGGAGTTATCTAACACTTACTGAACAGTTGCTGTGTACCACAAATTATTATTAATAATTGTCCTGCTGCCTTTGGCAGTCTTCCTCCTTGAGCTGCTAGCTGATCAGTGATAGCAGCTTCTATTTGATGAGACACGGCTTGCTTGCCTCAAATGTGTGAACCCAGTGTTACTCAGAATTTTCCCTTCATTCATCACTATTACTCTAGCAAGAAAGTACAAATATGGGTTTGAATGGTGGGCCCAGTACTGCCTTGGCCAACAATCTAGTGGAGTACTGTCCACTAAAGATAAAATGCGACTGGGTGTGGTGGCTCATGCCTGTAATCCTAGCACTTTGGGAATCCGAGGCAGGTGGATCACTTGAGCTCAGAAGTTCAAGACCAGCCTGGGCAACATGGCAAAACCCCATCTCTACAAAAAATATAAACAAATAATCCAGGTGTGGCATTCACCTGTAGTCCCAGCTGCTTGGGATGCTGAGGTGGGAGGATCACCTGTGCCAGGGAAGGTGGCGGTTGCAGTGAGCTGTGATTGTGCCACTGCACTCCCTCATGGGTGACAGTGTGACCCTGTCTCAAAAAGTAAAAAAATAAAATATAATGCAAGCCATAGATAAATTTTACATTTTCTAGTAGCCAAAGTAAAAAGAAGTGAAAGTAGTTTTAATGTGTTTTATTTCATCTATGTCCAGAATATTAATGTTCCAATATGTAATATTTAAAGATTGATTATTTTTACTACATTTTTGAAATCTAGGTGTATCTAACAGCACATCTCAGTTTAGACTGGCCACACTTCAAGTACTCGATAGCCATATGTGACTAGTGGCTACTATAAAGAACAGCGTAGATCTAAAGAGTAAGGTATCCAGGTGAAAAGATAAACATGCTCAGGAGGTAGTGAGCATCCAATTTAACTAGAGCAGAGGGTTCAGTCCTGGCAACAGTGGGAATTATGATTGAAAAGGTAGATTAGGAACATGTGGAGGAGCTTGAATGCCAAGCTCTAAGGAATTTGAACTTTCTAAGTTAACAATTTATCCTTGTAAATTGAGTCCTTAATTGTAACACAGTCAAAGAAGTGCTTAAGAAGTGCCAGGTGTGTGTTACTACTCACGTGAACCCCCGTTGGGCTTTTAGGACGGCCAAAAAGCCCTCAAAATCTGATTCTCAATGCTCTGTATTCCGGAGCAGTAGAAATGGGGCCCTGACCATAATCAGTGCTCAAATGAATCCTTGTTGAATTTGAGGTCAGCGTAAGCAGCTATAGTAGCTAGTGCATCTTTCCTGATCCACTTATACATTGGAAAGCTCCATTATTATACTTTCTCTGAGCTAAGTCAAATAGGTTTCGGCATTTGACTGAATACCATCATTGTTCCTAAATTGTAAGAATTGGTCCCAAGGACTCCCTCCAGTCACTTCTCTTTTTAGAATGCCCCCTAATTCAGCCGTCATCACAATATAGAAGTGTAAAGGCTATAAAGGTATCCTCTCACCCAACTTCACTTATCGATTTAAATCAATACCCCTAACTTGAAAGAAGAAAAAAAAATGCTGATCCAACTAGCCTTCAAATATATATGTGTCCAGTGCCTTACAATTTTCATTTATTGATGGAAGTAATGACTGCTTTTTACACACCAGGGGACAAAATAGGCTATGAAATTAAAATTGCAGGAGAAAATGTAATTTAGGCCTAAGATCTTTAATAGTAACAATCACTAGATTAGTGTGTAGTAATGCAAAGAACCATGGAACAGAAGACTTGCATTCAAGTTTCCACTCTACTTTTTAATGGTTAATGAGCTTGGCCAAGTCACGTCTCTGAGCCTCAGTTTGCTCCACTATAAAATGAAGATATGTAATTCCTCACAGGGGTATGGTGAGAGTCCAGCAAGACATGGACTCATTCTGATGAACACAGAATGGAAGGTCTTAATGGAAATAGTGTATTTCCTGTCAAGCACCAATTGGCTAGCTGTTTGGCTAGATGTTGTGCCGGGGGTTTGAGTAAGTATTCATAGGAATGATGACTAGATAGATAACCTTAGACTGCTTTTTCAAACTAATAGTCTATTAGCCTGCATAATACCAGGAGTATAGAAGATTTAAATTTGAACAAGGGCCGGGCTGGGTGGCTCACGCCTATAATCCCAGCACTTTGGGAGACCGAGGCAGGCGGATCACCTGAGGTCAGGAGTTTGAGACCAGCCTGGCCAACATATAGTGAAACCCCATCTCTACTAAAAATAAGTAAATAAATGAATACAAAAATTAGGTGGGCATGGCAGTGCACGCCTGTAGTCCCAGCTACTTGGGAAGCTGAGGTGGGAGAATCGCTTGAACCCAGGAGTCAGAGGTTGCAGTGAGCTGAGATCGCACCAGTGTACCCCAGCCTGGGCGACAAAGCAAGACTCTGTCTCTCAAAAGAAAAAACAAAGTTTGAACAGGGAAAAAAAAATCTCAGAACTCCTCGCATTCAATTTTATATCTACATTTCCTTCCTCAGTGATCTGATCCCTTCCTATGGGTTTTAATATCACCTATGTAGTGAAGATTCCCAATTTATACCTCCAACCTTGGCCTTCCACCTAAGCTTCTGGCTTGGCTCAGTACCTACCTAACATTCCACTTCAAGGTTTAATAGGTGTCCAAAATATAATAACTCTCAAACAGAGCTTTGATTTTCTTCTCAAACCTGTTCTCAGGTTTACTGAGAACTTGTCTCAGTAAACTTTACTGAGTAAATTTTACTGAGACTTGTCTCAGTAAATGGCACCACTAGCCACCCAGACGCTCAAGACAAACCCTGGGGGCCATCATTCATTCTCTTTCCTTTCCCTCAAATCTAATGCACTAGTTAAGTCCTGTCCATTCCACCTCTAAAATATGCCTAAAATCTGTCCACTTCTTTCTCCACTGGCCCTAGCCACCAACATCTCATTCATTGTTGCCTGTCCCCCTACCCTCATCACAATCTATTCTGACAGAGTAGTCAGAATGATCTTAAAATTTTAGATCAAGTCACTCTATCATTTAAAACCATTCATTATATGCTTCCATCACACTGGGGGGCGGGGTGGTAGGCAAGAAATCCAAGCCCTTATTAAGCCCACATGGTACTCAGGGATTGCTAATTCAAATGTCTACTACTTACAAACTGATGACAGTAAGCTCCATTAAAGTGGCGTGGAAGGGGACAGGAGAGCATAACTGCTCTATGTTGAAAGCAATTGTTATTCAGGAATAATGGCCTGGCATAGTGACATGGCCAATTTGTTTTTTGTGGGTTTTTTTTTTTGACGGAGTCTCGTTCTGTTGTGCAGTGGCACAATCTCGGCTCACTGCAACCTCCGCCTCCCGGGTTCACGCCATTCTGCCTCAGCCTCCTGAGTAGCTGGGACTACAGGCGCCTGCCACCACGCCTGGCTAATTTTTTTGTATTTTTAGTAGAGACAGGGTTTCACCATGTTAACCAGGATGGTCTCATCTCCTGACCTTGTGATCCACTTGCCTCGGACTCCCTAAGTGCTGGGATTACAGGCGTGAGCCACCACACCCGGCCCAAATTTTTTTTTTAACTTAAGAGAAATTGCAAGTCAGGATTGTTTTTTAGTGAAATATCAAAAACACTGTGGGCTGAGTGTGATCTGTGGGCCCCCACCTTGTGACATACCTCTCTGACTTCATCTACTACACATTTCCCCTTAATTCTCTATGTCCCAGTTCACTGGCTAGCTTTCTAGCCATCAGATGTGACATCTCAGGGCTTGTGCACTTGTGGTTTTCTCTGCTTGGAATGTGACTTCAGATAGCATGGCAGTCTTCTCAGTCATTCAGTTCTCAGCTCTAAAGTCCCTTTCTCAGATGGCATAAACAGCCACCCGTCACTCACAATACTTTATGAATTCACTAAACTTATCACTATCTTAAGTTAGCTTGTTTATTTGTATCTAAGTTAACATCTCTCCCCAATAGAATGTAAACTCCATGAGAGCAGGGATTTTGTCTGTCTTAGTTGCAACCTAAAATAATGTCAGACACATAATAGAGCTCGGTAAAGACCTGTTGAATGAATACCACCCACATAGCTGGAAGTTGCTTGGGAAAGTGGCAGAAAGATCAAGCTGACTACAGAAATCAGAACCAGCATAAAAGCCAGTTAGCAGCTTGAACAGAGGGCTGAGGTACTTTTTTCCAACTATGTGTCTTCCTTACTTCTCTGGCACATGAAGCCTTTACCTATTCTGAGCACACAACAGGGCAAGGAGGTATACACAACAGCCTCTAGGGTGCAATGGGCCACCTTCACAGTTAGCTGACAAGAATTCCTCATGGCACCAAATAGGCAAAGAGGGACCTCCATATGTCAGTGGGAGCTCTTGGGCAGCCTTGATACCAGAAGGAGGAAAGTTACCCAGTGGCAGGGCAAGATCACAAAGCCAACAAGCACTCACTAACCCCCAGCCATGCTCAGCCCTCACCATTTCATTTGGCTCACCCCTTGTCTCTTGGCAGTCAAAACCTTTCAGAGTGCATCTATGCACTCAGCCATCCTTCACTGTAAGTACCCCCAGTCTCTCAGAGGAGGAAACCAGGTCCATCTGGCTGCACCTCCATTTTGCTAGCAGCATTTGTTGAGCTTCAAGCACACTGGGAAGCCAAGAGTCATCTTTAGGGGAATGAGGAGGACCACACGAAGTGGTTGATGATGGTAGTGTTTGTTGTTTTCATTGTTGTGTATTGTTTGTTTGCTTGTTGTTTTGCCAAGTGTAGTTACAAGGTAGTATCAATCAAGCCAGCTGATCGGGTTATTAATAATAGCTACCATTGACTGGATACCTACCATATGGGTGGCACTATGCTAGGGTTTGGTATACACCATGTCACATCCTCACAACCCTGTAAAGTATATGAAATCTTCATTTTACAGATGAGGAAGCTGAGGCTCTGAAGTGAAACAACTTACTCAAGACAACAATCCCAAAGCCCTTGTTCTTCCCACTATTACACTGCATCATTATTATTTAATATTAATATATACTTGCATAGAGTATTTTTTACTCACCAACTGATATGGTTTGGCTGTGTCCCCACCCAAATCTCATCTTGAATTCCCACGTGTTGTGGGAGGCACCCAGTGGGAGGTAACTGAATCAAGGGGGCAAGTCTTTCCTGTGCTATTCTCGTGATACTGAATAAGTCTCAGGAGATCTGATGGTTTTAAAGAGAGGAGTTCCTCTACACAAGTTCTGTCTCTTTGCCTGCTGCTGTTTACATAAGACATGACTTGCTCCTCCTTGTCTTCCACCATGATTGCGAGGCCTCCCCAGCCATGTGGAACTGTAAGTCCGTTAAACCTCTTTCTTTCGTAAATTGCCCAGTCTCGGGTATGTTTTTATCGGTAGCATGAGATTGGTTTTTTTTTTATCTCACCACCCCCCACCAAAAGTGAAACAACTATTATCACTTCATTTTAGATGTCTAATGACTTGTCCAAGGTCACTCAGTAAGTTAATCACTAAGACTAGATGTAACTTGATTTCCTAGTCCAATATATTTTCTATATTTAATAATAAAATGTGCAAAACATGACAGGATCCCCAAAATAGCAAGAATTAAGATGAGGGAAGTTTGCTGTCAAGGTTAAAGCAGTCCAGTGCTTTTCACAATCCCTTGCTAGGCTGGGAAGTCCTCTTTGTTGCAGGGTGTTATCCTCAGATTTTCTCCACACACTCCCACAATACTCTGCCTTACCCTATTTCGCCAGCAATAAAGTGTGTACTCCTTAGTGGTCTCTGATGGGGGGAAGAATGATGATTTCAGTTCTCAGAAATCCCAATGGGAAACAACAGTTACAAAGTGCCCTGTGATCCACCGCTTTTTGACAAGGTGACCTTGGGCAAGTCACTTCACTCTTAGTTTCCTCAACTATTAATATAATCCAAGGAGAGTAATAGTTCCTGTCTCCTAAGATTAAATGAGTTAAACGCATGTCAATGCTTTTAGTATAGCACCTGAGCCATACAGTAAGCACTCACTAAGTGTTGCCTGTTATTATTGTACTGTATGGTTTCCGTATTCTAGGAGACTGCCCTTCCTCCATGTGACCATCCGCAGAGGGTATCTGAGGGAAAATGCTTTTGCTCTTTTGGGGATAATTTAGAAGTAGAAGAGGCACTGGATTAAGTAGAGTTATTTCCCAAGGTGGCTTAGACCCACTTGCTTCCATTCACTCCCTCTCATTTGTATATGTGACATTTATTGAGAACCTACTCTATGAGAGTTCCTAGGGATTCAAAGATGAATAAAATGTGGCCCTGAACAAAGGGATCTCAGTCTAGATCAGGGCTTTTCAACCCCATCACTATTTTTGTTTGGTTGGTTGGTTGGTGGGTTGTTTTTCCGAGACAAGGTCTCGCTCTGACGCCCAGGCTGGAGTGCAGTGGTGTGATCATAGCTCATCTCAGCCTTGAACTCCCAGGCTCAAGTGATCCTCCTGCCTTAGCTTCCTGAGTAGCTAGGACTATAGGCACGAGCCACCACACTCAGCTATTTTTCCCCCTTTTTTTGGTAGGGACAGTGTCTCCCTGTTACCACGGCTGGTCTTGAACTTCTGTACTCAAGTGATCCTCCTGTCTCAGCCTCCCAAAGTGCTGGGATTACAGGCATGAGCCACCGTACCAGGCTTCCCTCTACACTATTGACATTTGGGACTGGATAATTATTTGGGCTGGGGTCTGTCCCGTGCATCATAGGATGTTTGGCAGCATCCCTGACCTCTATCCACTAAATGCCAGTGGCACTGTCACAACCCCACCACCTCATCGTGTTAGCTAAGAGTAGCCCCCAGTTGAGATCTACTGGTCTGTTTACAACTAACTATAATATAATATGATAAAATATGTTTGTGCAAAGTGTTGAGTGGGCAGTGTGTTGGAGGAGCAACTGACTGCAGGGAGGAGGGTTCAGAAAGGCTTCTGAGGAGGCAAAATTTGCACTCAGCATTGAAGGATGAGAAAGACTGTGCCAAGCAGTGAAGGAGGGAATGAGTATTGTGGACTAAGGTAACAGTGGCACAGAGACATGGAAAGTATGCAGTGCTGGGGAAACTGTCGCCTCAAGTACATGGAAGGATGTGGTGGAAATAGGACAGGAAGTCCACTGGGACTAGATTTACAAAGAACCTTGCATGTGAGCCTAAGCAATTTAGACTCCAGCCTGAAAGCAGAAATCCAGCGTGGGAAGGAAGAGAAAAAAGCACATTCGTTTCTTGGAAAGACTTACCATCCTCAACTGGGAAAAGATAGAGACGATGGACAAAAATGAGTAATTCCTTCTTTTAATCTGGATTTTCTTTCCAGTTATGGATTGGCTCTTCAGCCCACAGCTTCTATACTCCTCGAAATAAGAGGGAAGAAAAACTAGAGAAGCCCTCCTATTTTAGAACACAAGATTCACTCAAGAAAAAGACTCAATTTTACTCCTCCAAATAGTCCTTGAAGCTACTTGAAAACCTCTCATAGCAGAAACTGATATATTCTTTTGGTTGATGTCTTTTTATTTTAATTTTCAAAAAGTTTAGGAAATAGAAGCACACAGGGAAGTACAGAAAATAATATAACAAACATCCTGTACCCATTACCCAAAAATTTCTTTAAGAAATAGAAAAGTACAGAACACAGCTAAAACCCAAGTTAAAGAGAGTTTAGGTTTTAGATAGATACTTGGGCAGGAGGACACCTGGCTAACATTTGCAGCATCAGACATCAGTGTGCAGGTTCTGGATGAAGGGCTGTCCCACCTAGTCTGTCCAAATGGGCCCATTTCAAAGACAATGGTTCCCTAACCCAACTATATCCAATGCCCTATGCTGACCTACTCAAGGAGATTCTAGGTCAGTGGGTCTAGGTTGGGGCATCGGAAACAGTATGTTAAACAAGTTCTTCACGTAGTTCTGCAGTGGCAAAAACCAATGCTTGAAGCAATAACATAACCTGTCAACCTATTCATCTGTTGATAACAGATCCTGCCTCACAAGTTTACTGTGAAGATTAAATACATACACACAAATTGCTTAGCACTGGCTTATAAGAAGCCCTCAATAATACTTATTAACAATAATCAATGTTCACTGAGTACTTCTTTAGTGTACACTACGGTACAAGGGTCTGCAAGAAATTCAAAGGTATATATCAACCTCTCCCTGAAGGCAGAGTCTGAGTTTATCTTACTCACTCAATGCCCTGCACAAAGCAGACACTCAAACAATACTTATTGAATAAATGAGTGAAAAAGTGGCCCTGATCTTCAAGGAAATTACAATCTGGTTGTGTTATAAATAGTATATAAGAAACTGGGCAGGGGCCAGGTGCAGTGGTTCACGCCTGTAATGTCAGCACTTTGGGAGGCTGAGGTGGGAGAATCACTTGAAGCCAGGAGTTCAAGACCAGCCTGGGCAACATGGCGAGATGCCATCTCTACATAAAAATTAGCCGGGTGTGGTGGTGCACTCCCAGCACTTTGAGAGGCTGAAGCAGATGGATCACCTGAGCTCAGGAGTTCCAAACCAGCCAAGGCAATATGGTGAAACCGCATCTCTACCAAAAATATAAAAAAGTCAGTTTTGGTGGCATGCACCTGTGGGTCCCAGGTACTTGGGAGACTGAGGTGGGAGGATCGCTTGAGCCTGGGAAGTGGTGGTTGCAGTGAGTCGAGATGGCACCACTGCACTCCAGCAAGACCGCAACTCCAAAAAAAAAAAAGAAAAAAAAGAAAAGAAATTGGGCAGGACCAAAATATTAAACTACTGGTTATACGCAGTGTAAAGAGGGCTAATCAAAAGTCTAGGGTCTGAGTCCCACTTTGCCACCAATTAGCTGTGATATCTACCTGGTCAGTTTACTCCCTGAGCCTTAGTTTTATCCTCTTGGAGTATTAGGCTATGTCTGGGTACTAAGGACCCTCCCAAGAGGATCCATCACCAAGATCAAGACAGGAGCTGTAGGCAGGGGAGGTGGCAGCATGGGTGGTCAGGAATGCTTCAAGAGGGCTAAAGTGGCACATCTAGAGAAGGAAAGAAAAGGGGTAGAGGCTCTCCCAATATACAGGAATGGCAGGAGGAACAAGAGAGGTAAAGTGTTCAGCCCAGTCTTCAACCTCTGCCACTGCACCAAAGCTAAAAAACCAACTATCATCAAAACTACCTTATCAACCAGGCCAGAGCCCAGTAAAGGAGAACTTTAAACTCCCAGTAAAGGGAGTTTACCTCCCAAATAGGCTCATCTCTTCATAAAATATATTTTCCTTTGAAAATTATTAACTTGTCTCCTGAAAAACATAACCACCAGGACTTCACGCTAGAAAACCCAACCCAGGAGCTCAAGGAAGATGGTGGCAACTTTGAGTTTTCCTCACACCACATCTGTGACCTCAACCCTCTTCTTAACCCTGTCCCAGAACCTCTCTGTCATGGATCAGCTACTCCCAAAGGCAAGTATGACTTCTCTCAGCTCTGCCCTTTCTCAACCTGACAGCTGTAGCACAACATATTCAAAGGAGAGGCCAAGAAACCCCCCTGGTTAAGAACCAACCTCCGCAGCCTTTATTGAGAATGAAGAACGATGAGCTGATTTGAATTATTATATCTTTCTACAGCTATTCCCTTTTAAATATTTATCCTGGCAAATACCAGCACCGTTTTTTACAACTTATTTGAATTGTGTGACTATTAAGCAAACCAACCCATAAAATCAGCTCTTGCTGCTGGGGTTTATGTGATTCATAGACCACAGCTTATTAAAAAAGGGAACCCACTGAGAACAGACTAGCCTCACAAGTGCCCCTCACTATCTCTAGGACAGTGTCAAGCCTTTTCCCAATTCTTGCCTGTGGCTCCCAAACTACCACAGTTAGTAGCATAGAACATGAACAGAATCTACCCATTTCCTTATGGCTCTTTTTCTTTGTAACAATTCTGATGAGTCTTAACTGGAAGTCAGGGTTAGAACAGACTTAAAGGAGACAGTCAAAACTCTTAAGAGGCTCACAAACAGGATAGATGCCGTAGAGGATTTACAGTCAACATCTGTGGAAAGAACTTAATTGAGGACTTTGAATAGCTAGGAACAAGCATGAGATATCCTGATTATTCACCACCAGCTTAGTTCTTGTTTGGATCATAAAACTGCTTTGAGACTCCATAAAAGCTCTTCACCAAAAATGCCCATGCACACAAATGTTTATATAAAATTTCAGGAAATTCAAGGACACCCCTGAGCCCATCCACAGTTCCCCTAGGGGTCTATAAGCCTCAGTTATTTCTTACTATCACTGTTACCACCCAAGCTGCCTTCATCTCTCCCCTAGATTATTAACATAGCTACCTGACTCATCTCCCAACTTCTCTACACAACAACCAGAGTGATAGTGATCCTGTTAAAGCTTAAGTTAGATCACATGACTTCTCGGCTCAATACAATCCACTAGCTTCCCTTCTCACCTGGAATAAAAGCCAATGTCTTTGCAATGTCTTACAAGACCCTACAGGATCTGTCTCCTTGCTCTTCTCAACCTTAACTCCAGCTGCTCTAGCCACATGGATCTCCTTGCTATTGTCCTAAATGACAGTCACATTTTTGGCCTCCAAGCCTTTATCTAATGCTCCATCTACCCTCAATCTGCATGAGGCTGACTCATTTCTTCAAATCTTTTCTCAGTTGTTACTTGTCAGTGAGGCCTTTCTGACCTCTATTTAAAACTGCCACCCTGCCCCTACCCCGCATGTCCCACCCTCCTCTGCTTTCTTCTTCTCCATGGCACCCACTGACTTCTTACACCTTATACATTTTACTTCCCTGTTTGTTATTGATCTCCCACACTAGTTTGCTCCATGAGGGCTGGATTTTTGTCTGCTTTGTTTCGCTACTGTATTACACTCCTGGAATTGTGCCTGATGCAGAGTAGGCACTCAATAAATACTTGACTGACCAATCAATGACTGAGTGATTACACTCTGTAGTGGTATGAATGTATCCAGGCTGGGTGGTGCAGGAGAATGTACATTTATTGAAATGCCTCTAAGTGCCAAGCAGTTTGCAAGCTGACATCAGTCATCTCATTTAATTGGCACCTACAATCCCAAGAGTTATTTTTATCCTCATTTCACCACCAACCCAAAAATGAAATACTTAAGCATAAATCTAATACAATATGTACAAGAGGTGTATGAGGAAAACTACAAAACTCTAATAAAAGAAATCAAAGACAAACTAATCAATAAATATTCCATCTTCATGGATACAAATACTCAATATTGTCAAGATGTCAGTTCTTTCCAATGTAATCTGTATATTCAATACAATCCCAATCAAAATTCCAGTAACTTAGTTTGTGGATATTGGCTTTAGAAACTGATTCTAAAGTTTATGTGAAAAAGCAAAAGATTCAGAATAGCCAACACAATATTGGAGGAAGAGAACAAAGTTGGAGGACTGACATTATCTAAGTTGAGACTTGCTATAAAGCTACAGGAATCAAGACAGTGTGGTACTGGTCAAAGAACACACAAATAGACCAATGGACCAGAATACACAGCCCACAGACAGATTCACATAAATATAGTCAATGATCTTTGACAAATGACCAAAAGCAATACAAATGAGAAAACAGTCTTTTCAGAAATGGTGTTAGATCAACAAGGGATCCATATGGCAAAAATTGAATCTAGATAGATCTTACACCCTTCACAGAAATAAACTCAAAATTGATCCGGGACCTAAATGTAAAACTATCCCCATTTCACGGTGAAAACTGAGACCCGGAAAGTTAAGAAAATAGATGAAAGTTACAGACAGCTGGTAGTGGAACATAATTCAAACCTGTCTGTGCAAATCCAAAGCCCTGCTCTTCCTACCACACTTTGCCTCATTCTCCTTGGTAGAGTAGTTCCCACTTTTCTTTTTTTTTTTTGAGACAGAGTCTCGCTCTGTCTCCCAGGCTGGAGTGCAGTGGCGCGATCTCGGCTCATTGCAACCTCTGCCTCCCAGGTACAAGCGATTCTTCTGCCTCAGCCTCCTGAGTAGCTAGGATTACAGGTGCACGCCACCACCTGGCTGATTTTTGTATTTTTAGTAGAGATGGGCTTTCACCATGTTGGTCAGACTGGTCTCAAACTCCTGACCTTGTGATCCGCCCATCTCGGCCTCCCAAAGTGCTGGGATTACAGGCGTGAGCCACCACACCCAGCCAGTTCCCACTTTTCTAAAGAAGTGCAACTGCCGGCTTTCGTACCTAGTTCCATTTCTTGTGTACCTAGTTCTATTTCACAGCAGGGGACCTGAATCAGAGAGAATCAGGGGGTTCAGGGAGCTCTCATCAAGCAAAAATCATTTACAGCCTAAGTCTTTGCAAGTTTATATCAAATATTGTTATGATATAATAAACATCCTTCTAAGGGATCTTATCACTTCCAGAGTTTTATTCATTCATTCCATTCACTCATGAGTTTCATTCATTATTCACAGATATTTGTTGAGTATCTACTATGTGCCCAGCACTGTTCTAGGCACTGAGCATATAGCACAGATGCCACCCTCTACATGTAGGTTTGAAATCTAAGGCAGTGTACTCTAACAGAAATGTAGTGTAAGCCAAACGTGCAGTTTTATATTTTCTAGTCACCACATTTTCAAAAAAGTAAAAATAAACAGGTGAGATGAACTTTACTATATTTTATTTGACATAACATATCCAAAAAAATCATTTCAATAAATAATTAACATAAAGATAGGATAGTCGTGAGTTGTTTAACAACAGGATACCTTCTGAGAAATGCATCGTAAAGTGATTTTGTGATGGGAATATCATAGTGTACTTACAAAACCTAAATGATATGGCTGACTATATACCTAAGCTATATGGTATAGGCTATTGCTCCTAGGCTATAAACCCATACAGCATGTACTATACTGAATACTGTAGGAAACTATAACACAATGGTAAGTATTTGTGTCTCTAAACATAGGCAAAGCACAGCACACACACACACACACACACACACACACACACACACACACACACACACAAAGGTATAAAAGAAAATGGTCCAAGGTGGGTGGATCACCTGAGGTTGGGAGTTTGAGACCAGCCTGACCAACATGGAGAAACCCCGTCTCTACTAACAATATAAAAAAATTATCCAGGCGTGGTGGTGGGCACCTGTCATCCCAGCTACTTGTGAGGCTGAGGCAGGAGGATCACTTGAACCTGGGAGGCAGAGGATGCAGTGGACTGAGATTGTGCCATTGCACTCCAGCCTGGGTGACAAGAGCGAAACTCCATCTCAAAAAAATAAATTAATAAAACCACACACATAAACAGCACAGTTGTATAAAAATATTTTTCTTTTTTTAAATAAATATTTTTATTTCTTATAAATATGTTGCCTAGGCTGGTTTTGAACTCCTTCTGCCTCAGCCTCCCAAAGTGCTAGGATTAGAGATGTGAGCCACTGTGCCCAGCCAATATTTTTGCTTTATATCCTTATTCTATAAGCTTTTTCCTATTAAAAAAAATTCCTTTTACTTTTAAAACTTTTTTGTTAACAAGACAGAAACACACACATTAGCCTAGTAAGCCTACAGAGGGTCAGGATCATCAATATCACCATCCTCCACCTCTACATCTTGTCCTACTGGAAGGCCTTCAGGGGCAATGTCACACGTGGAGCTGTCATCTCCTCTGATAACAATGCCTTCTTCTGGAATACCTCCTAAAGGACCTACCTGATGCTGTTTTACAGTTAGCTTTTTTTTTTTCAATAAGTAGTAGTATACTCTAAAATAACAATAAGGCTGGGCATAGTGTTTCATGCCTGTCATCTCAGCACTTTGGGAGGCCGAGGCAGGCGGATCACTTGAGGTCAAGAGTTTGAGACCAGCCTGGCCAACATCGTGAAACCCCGTCTCTACTAAAAATACAAAAATTAGCCAGGCGTGGTGGCGGGTGCCTGTAATTCCAGCTACTCAGGAGGCTGAGGGAGGAGAATTGCTTGAACCTAGGAGGCAGAGGTTGCAGTGAGCCAAAATCCTGCCACTGCACTCCAGCCTGGGCGACAAGAACAAAACTCTGTCGCAAAAAAAAAAAAAAAAAATTATTAGCCCATTGTGGTGGCAAGGGCCTGTAATCCCAGCTACTTGGGAGGCTGAGGCAGGAGAATCACTTGAACCTGGGAGGCAGAGGTTGCAGTGAGCCAAGATCGTGGCACTGCACTCCAGCCTGGGCGACACAGCGAGACTCTGTCTCAAAAATAACTAAATTAATTAATTTAATTTAATGACAATAAAAGGTATAGTATACTAAATATATAAACCAGCAACATCGTCCTTTATTATCATTATAAAGTTTTATATACTGTACATAATAGTGTGTGCTATGCTTTTATACAACTGGCAATGGAGTAGGTTCGTTTCCACCAGCATCTCCACAAACACATGAGTAATGTGCTGTCACTATATGATAGGGATTTTTCAGCTCCATTATAATCTTATGGGACCACCCTCATATATTTGGTCCATTGTTGGCCTAAATGTCATTATGTGGTACATATTATTAATGAGATATTTTACTTTTTTTAGTATGAATTTTTTGGTGTGTATTTTCTTCACTTATAGCACATCTCAATTCCATGCAACATTCAAGTGCTCAATAGTCACGTGTGGCTAGTGATTACAGCATTGGAAAAAGACAGATACGGTTGAGGAAACTTAAAAAAATGTAGCAAATGTAGTTGTAGAGACGTGCTCAAGATCACTCAATTATCATAGCTAGGACGTGAGTCTCCAGCGACCTTCCAATTGCCTGGTTGAACCAAAGCCCTGGTTCATTCTGCTGCGCATTAAAAGCAGGCTTTACTCCCCTCCAAACAGTAGAATCGCAGTTAAACTTAGTCAAACAAACTTAATGTATCCAATACAAAACTCATCTTTCTAACCCTAACACCTCCTCTTCCTCTCTATTTTCTATTTCAGTTGATGGTACCATTATGTTTCTGCTCACTCAAATTATTATTATTTTATCCATAAACGAGCACTTTATCTAGAAGATCATTTAAATTCTAAATGATCTTCAAAAACGCACTTTACTCTCCACCCTAACTAGCTGAATCATCTCCCACATGGGTCACTATGAGAGCCTTCTGATTTGTTCCCTTGCCTCAGTCTCTCCCCACCCAGCTTCAGCAGTATTCCCTAAGACTCTTCATGGCTCTCCGTCCTCTACAGAGTAAAGACGACACTCTTCATCACACAGCACAGAATTCTCTCGGGAACCTGTTCTTTGCTTACCTAACAAGGCCCAGTTGTTTGCTCTTCCTAGACTCTGAAGAGGTCACTTACCCTCAGGCTGCTACATTTGTAAAAATCGCCATCCCAACTCTCAAAGAGCTGGCTTCAGATTTGAGATAATACACTTTGAATGATATACAATCAAGGAGTTTCTCCTCCATCACTCCTTTACATTTTATATCTATCTGCTGTTTAGTGCCTCGTCTCAATTCCATGAAAGCTACTGAATACAAACTATTTACTAGGGAGTCTGCGGGACACAAACAGAGGGATTATATTTAAAAAATAGATTGACGCGATCTTTGCCTTCCCCGACCTCATTACAATATAGTTTCTCCACCAATATCTTTAAAAACAGATCCTCTCTAACAGTATGAGAAAATCAAGGGGAGCCTCGGAAGTTCAGGCCAGGCTGCGTTCCGAGGAGCCGCCACGTCCCCCCACCTCCGCTTCCCGGGCCGCGATTGCAGGTTGAAAACTACTCCCAAACATCACAGGGCAGGCAGAATGCAACTACGACCCACGTGGCAGACGGGGGCGGGGACCGGTCGCGTGGCCGCGGCCTTGGCTCTTGCGCCTGCGCGCTGCCTCCCGCTCTAGGACCCGGATTTAAAGAGACAGGCGCTCCAACCGTCGTGGGCTGCCCGCGGCCTGTAATGAGCAAGTTCCGAGGCCTACGGTGAGCGCCGGAGCCGGAGAGGCAGGTGAGGGGCTACGCGGCGCGGCACGGCGCGGCGGGGCCCGGCGTGGGGAAGGCAGCGGGCCCGGGGCGAGGAGCTCGGCGCGGCCGGGGAGCCAGCCCCCCGGCTCCTCCCCCGCCCGCCTGCGGAGCCCCGGGGCACACCCTCCGTGACGTGGCGGCCCTCCCGGGAGCCCAGGGGGAGGCTCGCGGCTCCCCGGGACCCCCACGGGGCCGCGTGAGGCGGGGAGGCCGGCGCCCGGGCTGTGTTCCCTGTGGAACCCACGGGGCCTTCTCGTACCCTGGCCCGGCGTGCGTCCTCCTGCGCTGAACCGGGAGCGCTCGGGTGGGACTCAGGGAGCCTTGATCACTTCCCGCCTGCGTCCCGGACCCGGTGGAGGAGCGCTCCTTTCTGCCTCGCCGGGGGTCGCGGCCTACGCCGCCGACCCCACTGTCCCCGCCACTCTCCGACAGCGGCGCGGGAAGCCCTTCGAGAAAAGCGGCGGCGGCCAGGCCTCAGCGATTTCCTTCTCGGGCCCCTGGGCTGCGGCAGTTGTGAGGGTGCGGAACGAGGGACAGACGGGTTTCCTCAAAGCTGCATTGTGCCTCCTCGTGGCCCAGCGCCTCCCGAGCCTCCCTCAAGTCCACTCCTTTCATTATTGGGGCCCTAGAGGTTGCTCTGTAAATTGATCTTCTAGGAAAAGTGTTGAAACTCACTTGTTCTGACCTCCTTTTATGGGTCTGCCGTACTTCCACTTACCTCACCTCTGTGGTTCTTAAACTTTGGGAGTTATATAGCCCTTTGTGAATATCACGAAAGTGATAGACCTCCTCCAAAAAACCGTGCATTTTTATCGAATGTACATTTTGTATACATTTTTAGAGAGCTCAGAACAGCCTCCCTCCCCCACAACCAGCGCATTCATGGATTCCTTGTAATTTTCCCAACTACCCTGTGAGGTAGGTATTATTTACCCTGCTTTAGAAATAAGAAAACAGATGCAGATAAATTAAGAGTTTTCTCCGAGGTAACAGTCAGTAAACTGTACAGTCAGACTTGCACTCCCATCCCTTATTCCAGGTCCACCAGCTTTCCTTCACATCATGTTGCACTACAGTAAGCAAAGCCTGCTTTTTATTATAACGTGACAGCAATTTTGCTTCACAGCGTGTGCAGACTGAACATAATTCCAGTATACTTAAAACTAGGACTATAAAATGCTTTAGAAAACATGAATATAAGAAGATGCTGATATAATCTTTTTCCATTTGGATTGATTTATGAGTTCCTGTGAGTCTTGCTGCCCAGTGACTTCAGCATTCTCTGATTCAAGTTGCTGAATGATAAACAGGTTAATTGCACATCGGAAGCCTCTTCTTGAAAGATAACGACGTCACCGATCATAATAGGAGCTGACGTTAATGAGAGCTCTTGCTGTGTGCCCAACTGTTTTAAGGGTTTTACTCTTAGAACAGCTCTTTAAGTTAGGCCCCATAATTAGCCACATTTTACAGATAAGGAAGCTCAGGAACAGAGGTAAGAAACCCATCAAGGTTATACAGCTGGTAAGTGGCTGAGTTAGGATTTGAACTCAGGCAGTCTGATTCCAGGCTCTGCTTAGTTGTCTCTCAATATAGGGATTCTAACTCAATTCCAAATCTATATAGTGGCTTGATTTCTGAGGATGGCATATGTGTTAAACTTCACAATAAAAACTTCATGAACATAATGTAATTTTTACTGGTGATTAAAACGAAACTTCAGGGCCAGGCACGGTGGCTCATGTCTGTAATCCCAGCACTTTGGGAGGCCGAGGCGGGCGAATCACCTGAGGTCGGGAGTTGGAGACTAGCCTGACCAACAAGAAGAAACCCCGTCTCCATTAAAAATACAAAAAAGTTAGCCGGGCGTGGTGGCGCATGCCTGTAATCCCAGCTACTAGGGAGGCTGAGGCAGGAGAATCGCTTGAACCCGAGAGGAGGAGGTTGCGGTGAGCCAAGATCGCGCCAATGTACTCCAGCCTGGGCAATTAAAGTGAAACTCCGCCTCAAAAAAAAAAAAAAAGAAAGTTCAGGATCTTGTAATACTTAAAGGTCATCATCCATTATGAGTATCATATGTTGCTGATGGCCTAAAAAGAGCTTTTATGTTATTTGGATTTTCTTCATTGTGATGTACTAGATGTACATGTGTGCATTAGATAATTGAACATCCTGCTGCGAGCTGGCTTTTCCTGTATCAGAACTCTTTCATGCTGTAGAGTAGACTATGAATGTAATACTTTGGAAAGTGTTTGATTAGTCATCATGGACTATATAAGACGCTGGCCTTTGGAAAATTGGAAGCCTATCTCCTTGTTTATATCTTTTTTTTTTTTTTTTGGCCTCCTACTCTTTCGTACAGCTATATGTCTTTGGCTTTCAAGATCTTCTTTCCACAAACCCTCCGTGCACTCAGCCGAAAAGAACTGTGCCTATTCCGAAAACATCACTGGCGTGATGTAAGACAATTCAGCCAGTGGTCAGAAACAGATCTGCTTCATGGACATCCCCTCTTCCTGAGAAGAAAGCCTGTTCTATCATTCCAGGGAAGCCATCTAAGATCACGTGCCACCTACCTTGTTTTCTTGCCAGGGTTGCATGTGGGACTCTGCAGTGGCCCCTGTGAGATGGCTGAGCAACGGTTCTGTGTGGACTATGCCAAGCGTGGCACAGCTGGCTGCAAAAAATGCAAGGAAAAGATTGTGAAGGGCGTATGCCGAATTGGCAAAGTGGTGCCCAATCCCTTCTCAGAGTCTGGGGGTGATATGAAAGAGTGGTACCACATTAAATGCATGTTTGAGAAACTAGAGCGGGCCCGGGCCACCACAAAAAAAATCGAGGACCTCACAGAGCTGGAAGGCTGGGAAGAGCTGGAAGATAATGAGAAGGAACAGATAACCCAGCACATTGCAGGTAAGGTAGAGAACACTGCTTTCTCATCTTACTGGTGCTGAGAGAAAAAGGGATAAGGAGTTCAACTGCTTTCTTTCTCTTTTTTTTAACTTTGCTCTTTTAGAGATGGGGTCTCACTCTGTTGCCTAGGCCAGTGTTTAATGTTGCATTCGTAGCTCACTGCAGCTTTGCACTGCTGGACTCAGGTCATCCTGACTCAGCCTCCCAAGTAGTTGGGATTACAGGCGCATGCCACCATGCCCAGCCTTTAACGTTTTATTTGGAAATAATTTTAAACTCACTGAAGTGTTGGAAGATTAAAAATAGTACAAAGAACATTCATATTCCTTTTACCCATATTTACCTATTAACATTTTACTCTATTTGCTTTATCATATTTGTTCATGTGCTGTCTCTCTCTACATACATACACACGTGTGCGTGCACTCACTTTAAACCATTTGAGAATAAGTTGCATACATCATGGCCCTTTAAAATTCTTCAGTGTATATACCTTAAGAATAGGATATATGACCCTTATGCGACTATAATATAGCTATCATCTTCAGAAAATTTGTCCTTGATGTAATACTTAAATCTACCATCTGTATACTATTTTGTCAATGGATTGAGTCATACCTTCAGTAGCCTTTTCCTGCAGTATAGGATCCCAGTCTAGGATCATATCAGGTGTTGCATTTAGTTGTCATGTTTCTTTGGCCTCCTTTAATCTGAAATATTTCCATAGTCTCTCTTTTATGACATTGATATTTTGGAAGAATAGAGTACTGATTACTATCCTCTTTTACTTTTTTTCTTGTAGCATATAATTCATTACTGTACTTAACTAATTTGATACTTAATTGTCCCATATTTGGCCAATTAGGAACCCCTTTACACTGTCCTCTGTGTCCTGTATACCTTCATTAACTTTTTTTAATGTACTTCTTTACTCTTGAGCATAGCAAGATGCTTTTAGTCTTATCCCGTATGTATCCTTCCCCAGCCCTGAAATTGGTAATTTCTCTGGGGATTCCTGTTAGTGGGAAATGCCCCTGTTAAAGAGTAAAACCTGGATACTATGTGTCCACATTGTCATGGGGTATCTGTTTCTTCTTTTTTTTTTTTTTGAGAGTCTCACTCTGACCCAGGCTGGAGTGTAGTGGCACTATCCTGTTAGTGGGAAATGGTATTAAAGAGTAAAACCCGGATACTATGTGAACACATTGTCATGGGGTATCTGTTTCTTCTTTTTTTTTTTTTTGAGACAGAGTCTCACTCTGTGACCCAGGCTGGAGTGCAGTGGCACTGTCTTAGCTCACTGCAACCTCTGCCTTCCAGGTTCAAGCAATTGTCCTGTCTCAGCCTCCCAAGTAGCTGGGACTACAGGCACTTGACACCACACCCAGCTAATTTTTGTGTTTTTAGTAGAGACAGGGTTTCACCATGTTGGTCCAGCTGGTGTTGAACCCCTGACTTCAAGTGATCCACCCACCTTGGCCTCCCAAAGTGCTGGGATTACAGGCCTGAGCGCCCAGCCATGGCATGTCTGTTTCTAAGCCCTTTCAGCAGACAGAGCTAGAAAATATGTGCGTGTATATGCATGTAAAATTCATACCTATATATGGCTATATATAACATGTTTGCATGTACATGCATATTTACATATGCATATTTTAGAAATTTTATGCCAATACCCCCAAATCCAGTTAGTCCTCTTTGACCTTCAGTGTCTGTAAAATAATGTTCATATCTTCAACTTAGTTCTGGTCACCATAGGAAGACAGTTAACAATGGCTCTAAAAATGGGTATCTGTCCTTGTTCTTTGAAAGGAAAAAAGACTTCCGGGAAAGAAAACTGTGCTTCCCATATACTTTATTCTCAGGCTCCCCATCCCACCTTGCACTGCCTTAGCTATTGGCCTCGGCCTTTGTTACTTCTTGACCCATCTCTCATTTGGAGGAAGAGAAATACAGGTAGAGTTCATGACTCAGATAACTAAGCATCTGGAAATTTTCCTTCCTATGCTAGGTTGACATGCTCTGTGATCCTCATTTACTTTTTGTTCATCTCTAAATTGAAGCTAATTCTGTGGGGTTGGGGGTTCCCTAAGTTTTATCCATCAAACTATGATTTCTGATTTCCCCCAAATTGTTATTTCTGGAGACTTACATATGGGATAAGAAGTGGAGAATGTTGATGAAAATTTAAGGTACTAATAGAGATAAATGGTAACTGGATCTTTTGTCTCCAGCATATCCTTCCCTTCTGTCCCCACAATACCCTATTACCTACTACCCCCACTCAAAAAATACCAGCCACCAGCCAGCCTTGGGCTAGTGCTAGGGTAGTGACTTAACAAGCAAGGCCCTAGGAGCAGTTGATAGATTCTTTGGATGTTTTTTTCAGAGATCGTTCACTGAAGGATATTTTATACTCTTTTGGGATCCTACAGATCTGTCTTCTAAGGCAGCAGGTACACCAAAGAAGAAAGCTGTTGTCCAGGCTAAGTTGACAACCACTGGCCAGGTGACTTCTCCAGTGAAAGGCGCCTCATTTGTCACCAGTACCAATCCCCGGAAATTTTCTGGCTTTTCAGGTAAGATAGGTTAGGGCTACTTTAGCTGTTATAGTGCTGCTTTTATTTTGTATTCTACCTAGGATTCTGGCTAAAGAGTGAAAATTCTGTGCTATCTCATCTCATTAATAATTTGCTTCTGTCTGAGCAGAGACTGGTAATGGCTAATTCTAAGCCTTCCGCTTGGTTTTTGTTTGTTTGTTTGTTTTTTGGTTTTGGGGGTTTTTTTGAGATGAAATCTTGCTCTGTCATCCAAGCTGGAGTGCAGTGGTGCATTCTCAGCTCACTGCAACCTCCGCCTCCTGGGTTCAAGCGATTCTCCCACCTCAGCCTCCCAAGTAGCTGGGATTACAGGCACCTGCCACCATGCCTGACTAATTTTTGTATTTTTAGTAGAGATGGGGTTTCGCCACGTTGGCCAGGCTGGTCTCAAACTCCTGACCTCAGGTGATCCACCTGCCCCAGCTTCCCAAAGTGCTGGGATTGCAGGCGTGAGCCACTGCGCTCGGCCAGCATTCCACTTGTATAGCATTTCTTTGTATACTTTAACCTCTATCGCAGCGGAAAGATTTGTTTTGTCAAGACTTTTTCCCCTTGAAATAGTTACCTGGGCCAGACAGAGATTATTAGAACCTGTCTTTTACTTCCTTGTGTTTTGATAATGAAAGAATTTTGAGAAATTGTTTCCCTGAATATGCCTAGAAATGAAAGTATGAAAGAAGGGAGATGTCATGCATGGATCTCCCTTCTTGATTCTTAAAACTGTTTATTCAAAACACTGGAACTTCATGGAACACAAAGGAAGGAAAAAAAGATCTGAAGGATATTGCTATTTGTTGGGAGGCAGTACAGCCTAGGGATGAAGCTTGCAGACTTTGGAATCAGTGAGCTCTGGGTTCAAATCCCATCTCCTAAAGGGGAGGACTGTGGCTATTATTTGTAGGACAGATGAACAATAAAGTGTTAAGTTTCCTGTTCTCTTCACTAAAATACACACATGCACACACGTGTATACACACATATATAGTTTCTTTTATATAAAATATAGAATTACTATTTCATAGACAGGGATTCAGGAAGACTTTGCTGGGGCATGTGGTATAGATAGGAGTTGAGAAGATCAGGATCATTTATTGGCCTTACGTAAACAGACAGCATTGGACTAGGGGCTTTTATATATGTAGTTTCATTTCTTCTTCAGTTAACCCTAGACAGTACTTTTATTTAGGAAGTACTTTTTATTAGGCCCTTTTTATGACTGAGAAAGTTGACGTTCAGGGTTATCATGGAGTTAGTATTTGTACTGAAGTCTGACTTCAGTACTTGTGCTCTTTTATACTACACTGTGTTGCTGCTTTTATTGTTTGGAGACATTCTTGTGATTGACTCAGCTGAAGAAAATAAATAAAGCCAAACCACTTGGCCTTATTTTAGAAGTCATTTGGAGATTGAAAGACATTTTATGTGATTGAAAGAAGCCTAGACCTGAGGTCAGAAGACTTGGGTTCTGGTCCTTGACAGCTCAGATCCCTGAGCACGTCCTTACCTCTCTTTAGCCTCTGTCTATGAAGCAGCAGTGGCCTCTCCTACCATAGTGCTATGCACAGGGTGCTATAGGAGCACAGGCAGCAATATATAGATTACTTTCCCCTCTGCTTCAGTGAGTTTGTGTATTTATTTGTTTAAGCTTCATCATATCTCCATGCCTCATCTACCCCATAGTGTTCTCATGAGGACTGTAAGAGATAACATTGCAAAAACGGTGCCTGGCTCTATAGGATTTTTATTATTTAAAAATTCTGGGCCGGGCGCGGTGGCTCACACTTGTAATCCCAGCACTTTGGGAGGCCGAGGCGGGCGGATCACGAGGTCAGGAGATCGAGACCATCCTGGCTAACACAGTGAAACCCTGTCTCTACTAAAAATAAAAAAATTAGCCGGGCGTGGTGGCAGGCACCTGTAGTCCCAGCTACTCAGGAGGCTGAGGCAGGAGAATGGCATGAACCCTGGGGGCAGAGCCTGCAGTGAGCCAAGATCGCGCCACTGCACTCCAGCCTGGGCGACAGCGAGACTCTGTCTCAAAAAAAAAAAAAAAAAAAAAAAAAATTCTGAGGTTGGTTGGTTTGTTGTTTGCTGGTAGGCCAAAGATAGAGAAGAGTCCAGGTGATGATAAGGACAGCATGTTTCTGGAAGGGCTCCGGTGTTGGGGATGGAATTTGGGAGGAGTTGAGAGAAAGAGAGTGTTTTAGTTCTTGCAACCTGGTTGAACATTGACACTTTGGAGATTTTGTCCCCTAAAATCATATTTAGATTCCGGATCAGAGATGAGGATGGATTTATAATTTACAAAGCCCAGACAAGAAACAGTGTACAACAGCAGTTAGCTTAGTAATGGCTCTGCCACAAGTTTGCCGAATAAAATTTGCTTTTTAAATGGTCACAAGGAGGTGAAAGGGAATCACCGATGAGTTGCACATAATTATTTTTAAGTGTCTGGAGGAAATCCCTGCCCCTTGACCACCTTTTGTAAAAATGTATTATTTTTTTTTTATAACTGCTCCTTGGGGAGCAGGGTTTTATTTTGACAATAAGAAAAGAAAAGTTGAAGCAGCGAGGGGTAGGGATGTTGAGTGTACTAATGGAATCTGACTTTCTTAGTAGTGTCTTTGTCCTGGCTCTTTCAACAAGGAAGTGGGCCAGGAAGTCATTTGCTCTTCTCAGACCTCAGTCCCCTTATCAGTAAGAGAACATTGAACTAGATAATCTTTAAGGCTTCTTCCAGCTCTGACAACCTGTGATAGCAGTAATTTCACATTGTCTAACACGTACTTGATTTCTTACCCCTTTCTCATGCCAGCTTTTCTGGGATCAGCTTTACAATTGCTCTGAGATCCTTCTGACCACTTTTTTTTTTTGAGGCAGGATCTTACTATGTTGCCCAGGCTGGTCTCGAACTCCTGGGCTCAAGCAGTCCTCCCGCGTTGGCCTCGCATAGTGTTAGGGTTACAGGCGTGAGCCACTGTGCCCAGCCAGTCCTGATCATTCTTGGCATGACTTTGGTCTTTATTCTTCAGTAAAGTGCTCACATAAAGAGATGCACATCAGTCTGGTCTTTTGCTTGGGTCTAAGGAGGCCATTGTTCCTTTAACATTATTTATTAGCTGTAAGATTTGGGAAAATTACTTGGCCTCCATTTCTTTATCTGTAAGATGGATATAATGACATCTACCCCAAAAGTCTATTCGGGGAGATTAAATAAAGCTAAATACCAGCAGAATATCTGTTAGTTTCCTTCCTTCCCTTTCTTTCTTCTCAGAAAGGCAGAATGAATTCATCTCTGTTGTTTCTCCAACAGCCAAGCCCAACAACTCTGGGGAAGCCCCCTCGAGCCCCACCCCTAAGAGAAGTCTGTCTTCAAGCAAATGTGACCCCAGGCATAAGGACTGTCTGCTACGGGAGTTTCGAAAGTTATGCGCCATGGTGGCCGATAATCCTAGCTACAACACGAAGACCCAGATCATCCAGGACTTCCTTCGGAAAGGCTCAGCAGGAGGTGTGGCATGAGCATCCTGAATAGGCCTTTCCTCCGGAGAGCTCAAGGCCATGGCTGCCTTCCTGGGCATGTGAGCTGTATAGTTGCCCGGGATCCCATGCTTGGTTTAATGCTGTACTGTAGTGCTATCTGGAAATTCTTAATAATTTTGAACAAGGGGCCTCGCATTTGCATTTTGCACTGTACTCCACAAATTATGTAGCCAGTTTTTCTCAGAGCACTTTGGCATCTGTCTTCCTCTCCCCTTATTCTGCTCCTAGGAGGCCAGAAGAACCCATCCTATTTGACTAGTTAGAAAATTTACTGTCCTACATATTTAATTAGGTTTTTGTGAACCATATACACAGTTTGGAATAGAATCTTCCAACTCTGTTTCTTTCATTTATCTAACAAATTGTCGATGAGCATCTCTGATGTCCTTGTCACTGGGCACGTGAAGTGAAACTAACCACTCTGTCCAACAAGAGTTCATCTGTAGGCTAAAGGTGAGGCAGACACAATCCACCAGCCTCTGAACTCCATGCTGTCTCCTACTATAGCGATATGCACAGGGTACTATAGGAGCATGGGCAGCGATATATAGATATCTTTTGGTCTCTGCTTCTTTGAGTTTGTTTGTTTGTTTATTTATTGAGACAAAAAATGTGGCTGTGTTGCCCAGGCTGGAGCGCATGGGTGCAATCTCAGCTCACTGCAACCTCCGCCTCCTGGGCTCAAGCAGTCCTTCTGCCTCAGCCTCCCAAGTAGCTGGGACTATAGGCATGTGCCGCTATGCCTGGCTAATTTTTGTATTTTTTGTAGAGACGGGGTTTTGCTGTTTTGCCCAGGTTGGTCTCAAACTCCTGGATTCAATTAATCTGCCTACCTCAACCTGCTAAAGTGCTGGGATCACAGGCGTGAGCCACCATGCGCGGTCTGAGTTTATTTTTTTATTTATTTTTGTGTGTGTGTGTGAGACAGTGTCTTGCTCTGTCGCCCAGGCTGGAGTACAGTGGTGTGATCACAGCTCACTATAGCCTCGACCTCCTGAGCTAAAGCAACCCTCCTGTCTTCTCCTGCAAGTAGCTGGAACCATAGGCATATGCCACCATGTCCAGCTAATTTTTTAATTTTTTGTAGAGATGGGGTCTTTCTTTGTTGCCAGGGTGGTCTCAAACTTGTGAGCTTAAGCAATTCTCCTGCTTCGGCCTCCCAAAGTGCTGAGATTACAGGTGTGAGCCACCTTGCCCAGCCTTCTTTGAGTTTATATATTTATTTGTTTAAGCTCTATTTCTCAAGAAGGGTTCCTTCTGTCTCCAGATGGTTTCCACGGTGATGTGTACCTAACAGTGAAGCTGCTGCTGCCAGGAGTCATTAAGACTGTTTACAACTTGAACGATAAGCAGATTGTGAAGCTTTTCAGTCGCATTTTTAACTGCAACCCAGATGATATGGCACGGGACCTAGAGCAGGTCAGAGGAACGGGAGGGAGGGTAGGCTACATTCCAGGTGGGGTTTTGCCAAGCCAGGCACCTGCAGCCTCTTTTTTTTTTTCTGGTTGGGACACATACTGTTTTAGGAAACTGAAACCCATTTGAGCAAGCTTCCGTTATAGGGGGAGCTGAATGTGAGGCTATAGCTCTTAATTTCTTAAGTTTCTGAGGGTGGAAACCATACAACTGCTGAACCACAAAGGCCTGGTTCTCAAAAGGCAGAATTTGAGACTTGCCCCCTCTGTCTCTCCTGGGGCTTTTATTCTGGACTCTTTTTTTCTTGCTTGTTTTCTCCTATAACTTGGCTTTACCAAGCTTTGGTTTGTCCGTGACTCTATCCCTGGTACCATGGCAAGTTTCCATCCCCTTCTAGGAATTGTGGATGGGCTAGTGTCTCTAAGAAGTGGGCTAGATATGTTGAGTTGGGATAGGAGCTATGATTGAAATTTCTTGATTCATCTTCAGTCCTGGGTCTTGGGGGATACACTTGGCCACCCTAGGGTTGCAGCAGTGGCATTTTGGTTTTTGGAGACAGGGTGACGTGTCAGAGACAATCAGAGTCTTCTTTGAGCAGAGCAAGTCTTTCCCCCCAGCTGCCAAGAGCCTCCTTACCATCCAGGAAGTGGATGAGTTCCTTCTGCGGCTGTCCAAGCTCACCAAGGAGGATGAGCAGCAACAGGCCCTACAGGACATTGCCTCCAGGTGGGGGAGCTGCCTCCGTCAAACCATGCCCATAGAGAGATGAACTCTCTTGGGAAGGGAAGGTTCCCTTGGGGTTCCAGAGCTCTTCAAGACCAAGTTAAATGTGCTTCATCCCCCTAGGTGTACAGCCAATGACCTTAAATGCATCATCAGGTTGATCAAACATGATCTGAAGATGAACTCAGGTGCAAAACATGTGTAAGTAGCAGCTCCGCTGACAGCCTGAGCTGTCATTTGTTAGCTTTGTTTGTTCCCAACTGGTGTCAGGACTTTTGAGTCCCAGTCAGGATTTGAATCCCCCTTCCACCTTCTTACTTTCTGTGAGACCCTGATCTGTCACTTGACCTGTCTCTGCCTCCATTTTTTCCCATATAAAATGGAGATAACAGTACCTTTCTCACAGAGTTCTTACAGTTGAAGTGTGGCATACGTTCAGTGAGTATAGTATGAGTCTCTTGCCTACTCCAGCCCCCTCCTCGCTAAGGCGGCATCCACATAGGCACAGTATCTCAAAAGAGCTGAATTTTCCAAGAGCTTTCTCTCCTCTTGTGAAAGTCTTTAGACAATAGAACACAACCCCTTCCCTACAGATGAGGATTTCTTCTGTGAGGACAGATTGCTGTCCAAAGCCATGGAGTCAAACAAAGGCAGTGGTTTTGTTTCCTTGTTCCTGTACCCCTTGGCAGGTTAGACGCCCTTGACCCCAATGCCTATGAAGCCTTCAAAGCCTCGCGCAACCTGCAGGATGTGGTGGAGCGGGTCCTTCACAACGCGCAGGAGGTGGAGAAGGAGCCGGGCCAGAGACGAGCTCTGAGCGTCCAGGCCTCGCTGATGACACCTGTGCAGCCCATGTTGGTGAGGAGTGCTCCCCTGCCTCTGCTTTCCAGCCTCTCCAAGCTCCACATCCTTTGGGCTGAGATCAGATAGGGTATGAGTGTTGAGAGCACTTGCAAATTGACTGGAGAAGTTTAGGGAAGGAAGAGGGAGGTGCAAGGGGGTATTTCTCTGTAGGAGGCGAAGGCAAAGGAGAAGACAGAGGATCTAGTGGAAAGACCTGAGTTGTAGGCCCAGCTACGCCACCAAGATGCTGTAGAATCTTAGATGAGTGACTTGCCTCTCTTGTCCTTCAGTCTCCTGTGTGGATGACGTCTGAGACTGCCTGAGGCATCCCCCTAGAATGATTTATCTGTTATCTTACCTGAAGACGGATGTATTAAGTAACCCCTGAGATTCTGTGACCTACTGCAAAGTAGATCTGAGAGTTGGTAGCAGAGCCAGGCTTCCTGTGACAGGGTGACTTGGGAAGAGGGAGGACACATAAGGAATGAAGGCTGACTCTGACAGACATCATCTTAGGCCTCTGCTCATTTCGTAAGAAATGGGGTTTCCTTTCCAGTGTTGGTTTTCCTGTGTGACAGGGCCCACCACATATGGTGCCATGCCTACTGTGAGATTCTTTGGATTTTTGAGTGATGTACAGTGCTTTTTTTGAAACTGTCTTGTTTGTCATACTAAAACCTTGGTTTAGGGTTTTATGTTTGAGATAGGCAAGTGTTCTCTCCCTGCTAGGAATGTGGGATAGCCAGCATCAAAACAGTGAGATCTCCATCCCAGAGATGGGACTGCGGCCACCTGCAGTAGTGGCCTTTCTGACTTTTATAAAAATGCCTCCTGGAGTCTGTTCTATAGTTTGTCATTTAAAGACTGGCATGGGTTATATAGCTTAGTGGTTAACCACACAGGTTTTATAGGTGGGCCTAGATTCAAATCTCATTCTTGCCATTTTTTAGTGTAACTTAAGCAAGCACCTATTCTCTCTAACCTTCAGTTTTATCATCCAAAAATGAAAACAATATTTGTCACATAGGATGTCACATCGGGGATGAAATGAGATTATGTATGTGAAGCGCTCCCAAAATGGTAGCTATTGTTGTTTGAGTTAGGCTAGCACAGGTAGGCATGTAAGTAGGTGCTCCAATATCTGGAAACCCTGTTTGTTGTAGGGACCCACGATCACTCACCCTGCCAGCCTCACTGTCACCTGCACTCTTTAACCTTAGCTTCACATACCTCTTTTACTGGGAGAACTGATGTGTTTTATAATAAGCCAGAGGTCTTGCAAGGCCTGAATTATTGAGAAAAGAATTAAATCTTGTTTCACTGGGCTTTTACTTGTTGTACAATGAATAGCATTCATATTCCTCAAAAGGCAAGCTCCTATGTCAGCTCAGGTGATTATTTCATAGGCAGAATACAACATTGCCCAGCCCTTTCCGTTCCCATCACCTCTTCACCAGCCTTCCCTGAGCGTTAATTGTGGGCAGTCAGTCCCAAGACCCAGGTAACTACCCTCACTAACCCAGTTGCAAGGTCTCTGGCTGTCGCTGCTTAGCAGCCCCTCATTGAAAGTCTCCAGGCTTTGCTTTCCCCACCCCAAGGCGGAGGCCTGCAAGTCCGTTGAGTATGCAATGAAGAAATGTCCCAATGGCATGTTCTCTGAGATCAAGTACGATGGAGAGCGAGTCCAGGTGCATAAGAATGGAGACCACTTCAGCTACTTCAGCCGCAGTCTCAAGCCCGTCCTTCCTCACAAGGTATGAGTGCCTTCCTTTCTGCCAGGACCGTCTTTCCCCTTTCTGCCTCTAACAACCTCAGGGCCAGAGTCCCATAGCCATTCCAGCTGTGGTACACAATAAGGGTTTGTTTTTTATTTGTTGAATGAATTAATTCATTTATTCATTTTTGGAGTCTTCCCATAATGAAGGGCTGCTCAGCAGGGAGAGCCAAAGAGCCCTGACTTGGGTTCGTGAGGATAGAGCTCCCTGGAACAGTGATACTTCTTTTGCCCACAGTGATATTGGGACAGTGAGCTCAGTTGGTGAGTTGCTGTGTGTCTTTTGTGTTTCCATGTCCCAGATGCTTCCTGTGAGCTAGACTAAGGCTTATATACCAGGGGCTATTGGGCTGTCATTCATTAATTTGTTCAACAATTATTTATCAGATGCTTACCCATTGTTACAGCTGGTGGGGATATAGCAGTGGAAAAAATGGACAAAAGTTCTGGCCACCATGAAGTTTACATTCTGATGTAAACACAGTCTTATGGGGACATCTAGGAGCCTAGATTCCTGTTCTAATCAGGGGTGGCATTTGGAACCTTATTCCTTAGCCCTTCTCCACTCCCAAGGATACTGTGAGCCTTTGGGAGTGTCTTCAGGGAAAAGCAGCTGGAACATCTGGCTCCGGTAGCTTGTGAGCAGATGGAATTCCTATCTTTGCTATCCTTTTCTTTCCTAACTCAGACTCAGTTTTTCAGAGCCTCAGGGGGTTCAGGGGAACATGTTGTGTGGCCTGTGCTTACCTCAGCCTTGCCTTCCTGCTGGAGCATTGGGAACAAAGCAGTCAGGCCATTTGTTTCATATGTTCAAGAGGAAGGCTAAGCAGTGGCCTCATTGTGGAGCTTTAATGCAGGTTCACGTGTTCTGTGAAGCACTGCAAATCACTCAGGAGCTGTTTCTGGTGAGGTTGGTGTTAAATAGACACCATCTGTGACCCAGGAAGAAGTCTGAGCACACTTTTCCAGATTTAGTCCTTTCCTTAATTTTCCCTTACCCAGTATTCACTCATCCTTTGCCTCTCCTGTGATTTGGGTTCTTAAAGGGCTAGGTTAGGGATTGAAGGGGAATGGCATGGATGTGCTGGCCTTTCCTGTTCCTGCTCTAAGCATCCTGGGTAGTGATGGCTGTGGGTTCAGGGCTCCCACTCAGAGAAGACACTGCTCAAGTTTCCTTGCTGCACCTGAGGGAGTTCATTTCTACCTTTCTGGTTTCAAGTAGTCTGTTCTCCCCTAATCCAGTCCCCAGCCTGATAGTCACACATCTTCTGCAGTAGGCACTAATCTCTGCCCACCTACCCTCCTCCTCCTCCCCCGACAGGTTTAATCTGTTTCTTCCATTTTCCTCAAAAATTGTACCTTCTCTACAGCCCATAGAAAGTGACCCAGCATGGGTTGACCTCTTCCTGGGCCCGGACAGAAGTACTGAAACAGATGGCCTCTCCCTCTTGTCCAGGTGGCTCGCAAGGCCTAGCTATATGTTTTGCACATTAGCTGGGCCTTCCACATGTTGTTCTATATCCTGTCTGGGCCCGGGCTTTGCCCTCCATGGCATGGTTTGAGGTCCCTGCTGCCATGTCATCCCTCACCAAAGCTCCCCTTCTGCTTTCAGGTGGCCCACTTTAAGGACTACATTCCCCAGGCTTTTCCTGGGGGCCACAGCATGATCTTGGATTCTGAAGTGCTTCTGATTGACAACAAGACAGGCAAACCACTGCCCTTTGGGACTCTGGGAGTACACAAGGTACTAGCTCAGGGCCATATGTGCAAGAATGAATGAGTGTGAGTGAGTATGTACATGTGGGTGCACGCTGCGGTCTGAAAAGGGAGGAAATATCCCTTAGTGTGGCCCTTATTCTTCGCTTCTGACCTGTTTCTGGTTTGGATTTTTGTCTTTTGTTTTTCTCCTAAAAAGGGGCTGGTATTGGGAACCAGTTTATAACTGGGTTGGTTTCCATTTAGCACTATCTGCTCAGTGCCCTTATGGCCCAGGGGCTTCAGAGCAGAAATAGTACTTTTTCATCCGGTGCCTCAGGGGGCCTCCAGAAGTGGACTGGTACTCCTTATTTTTTCACACTGACTTTTGTCCTATGTGTACCTACTACCTCATTTTCCCTTACAGAAAGCAGCCTTCCAGGATGCTAATGTCTGCCTGTTTGTTTTTGATTGTATCTACTTTAATGATGTCAGCTTGATGGACAGGTGAGTTGGCTAGCATCTTTAAACCCAGAAACTGCCAGGAATCTGTTTTCATTTCCTGGGTGAGGAAGATGGGGGCTTCAGGTTGGAAAGGAGGGTACAGGGAACCAGCTGGCACATACGTTTGTGCTCAGGAGCTTGCCAAAGGCAATGGCAAGAGGGAGCTGAGAGGAAGCACAATTGCTACATGATCAGTTCCCCATTCAGTGTAAGAAAGAGCCCATGTGTTGACTCCATCTCTTCTCTGAGAGCTTAAGTCACAGAAGAAACCCAAACCCCCAAAGAAGTTTCTCTACTAAAGCAAAATGGACTATTGCAGAGAAATAGACTGTGAGCATATGGGGTTTCAGTTTATTTCTCCAATGGCACCCCTAGGGGCTCCAGTGGCACCCCTGGGGGCATAAGGCAGATGGTTTTCAGCTCAGAGGTTTTGATTTCAGAAGAGACTGACAACAGGAAGCTCCGGATTATAGGGGAGGCCATGGGTGGGACCATCTTGGAGAGAATTAGCAGTCTTGACTTAGCTGCATCCATATGCTTGTGCCTGAGAAACCAGTATCAGCCCTTTCCTCACTTAGAAATGTATCTCTACCCCTGTTCCTCCTGCAACAGCCACATCCTTGATTGGGGAAGGAGAAGGAAGTAGAGAGGGAAGGAATTGGTGGGGGTAGGATTTGGGGTTTGGGTCCCAAGGCCTGTCTCAGCCTGCCTACCCCGGGGTTGGCCTTGGGATCGGGGCAAAGCAGGGTGCAGGGGATAAAAAATGAGAGTTGGAGTCGTATTTCAAGTGGGACCAGAATTTATACAATCTGGGCTACAGGCCAGTTCTCCCTTGGCTCGCTTGATGAAGTAGAACTAGGAACTACAACTATGAACTGGCTCTATGCCACAGCTCACAATTTTCCATCTTCGGTCACGATGGAGCCCTTGTAGCCCTTGACAGCAGAACTGTTACACATGAGGTCTTTGATCCATGGCAAACCCTTTCTTGAAGTAGCAGTTTTATCATTGTGGCCCTTCCTTCCTCAGAATTCCTAATAAGGGAGGGAGGATCCCGGCCTAACCTCAGCTCTCCTGTTCTCCTCAGACCTCTGTGTGAGCGGCGGAAGTTTCTTCATGACAACATGGTTGAAATTCCAAACCGGATCATGTTCTCAGAAATGAAGCGAGTCACAGTAAGTGAAGACCCTATGCTAGGCAGTGTCCTAGAAGTTTGAAAGCAGGGCAGAGAACTCCTTGGGTCAACTGCGACTGGAAGAATAAATCTTAATGTCTTATGGAGCCTCCTGATAATGTTGGCCTTTGACTATTGCATATGTTGCCTGCTAGTCTTCACCCAGAAGGGTAGGGCATGGAAATCCTTCCTAGGTAAGCCTCCTGTGTTTCAAAGCCACAGCAGCCCTCTGTTTGGGATGAGAAGCAACCTGCTTTCTAACCCTTTGTCCCTTATATTTCAAGTAAGGGTGTTTCCAGTGGACACTTAACTAGTGTGTGAAAAGGAACAACCCCCACTCACTCACCACCTTCTCCACTCTCACACCAACTTCAGCATCTCTCTTGTCCCTCAGAAAGCTTTGGACTTGGCTGACATGATAACCCGGGTGATCCAGGAGGGATTGGAGGGGCTGGTGCTGAAGGATGTGAAGGTAAAGTGGCCTCGCTTGGCTTCTCCTGTCGACTCACTCGCAGCCCTCTCCCCTGAGCCTTTCCAGCCCTGACCAGGAGATGGCGGTGGCAGCCTGCAGTGGTTGGGGTGGCTGCTGGGGAAGTGTGGGCAGATGTGTCCTGGATCTGGAGGACTGCTTTGTGTGTCTCCTATAGTGCCTGGAGCCTGAGGGCTCTTACCCTGAGGGAGGGGCACTGGGCTAGATCTGGTGTGTAGCAGTGAAGGGGTGAACCCATCCTCATGGAGTTGCCTTTCTATTCTGTGGTCTCTCTTTTGCTTCCCTTCAGGGTACATATGAGCCTGGGAAGCGGCACTGGCTGAAAGTGAAGAAAGACTATTTGAACGAGGGGGCCATGGCCGACACAGCTGACCTGGTGGTCCTTGGAGCCTTCTATGGGCAAGGGAGCAAAGGTCAGGGTGGCCTCTGCCCCCTGGGGTGGTACTGTTTTAGAAGGTACCGCTTGAGGTACAGGCTGGCCTTGTTACTGGCTTGATCTGCCAGCATGGCCAGTTATGACTTCCGAAGTCCTAGGATCTAGGGCCCCAAGCTGGCCTGAGTCACCTCAGGCAGAGCTGCTTACTCGGTTAGGGAGAAGTCAGAATAGAGTACCCTATGCTAGCCTAGCAGAAGGACGCTTACCACCAATTATTTCGTCAGGGCCTGACAGCTTTCTCCTCAGGCAAAATCTCTTTCCTGACTGGAAAGGAAGCTGGAGTCTGAGGAACTAATACTTTTAAGCAATCTATCATGTGTCCAACACAGTTCAATGCCCCAGAGCCCAACAGGTTGGGTGTGATTATCCCTCATTTACAGAAGAGGAAATTGGGGCTTATAAAGGTTAAAATTACACAGTTAGTAAGAGGTAGCTCCAAGAGGTAAACTCTGGCACTCTGACGGCCAGGACCCAAGGTCCTCTCCCTGGCCCTGGGCTCTTGGGACTGGCAGAGATGGCTCCTCCAACCCACACTCATCTCACACTCCCCTCCCAGGCGGCATGATGTCAATCTTCCTCATGGGCTGCTACGACCCTGGCAGCCAGAAGTGGTGCACAGTCACCAAGTGTGCAGGAGGCCATGATGATGCCACGCTTGCCCGCCTGCAGAATGAACTAGACATGGTGAAGATCAGCAAGGTGAGGAAGGGACCTGGTTGGCCATGGCCTCTGGACTGGCCGCCATCACTGAGACAGAGGCTGTGCTTTGGGGACTACAGGTATTTCTGTCTCCCCAGAAAGAAGGGTTGCAGCTTGCTCAGGGGAGCAGGATTAGGCCTTATAATCTCTGAATGCCTTCTTGTGGAAAATGGCTTGCATGCCTCTAGGTCATACCCACTCTGGGCTGGGAGGATCACATGGCTCAAACATCAGCTGTTTAAGTGGCTTCTTATAATCTCATTACCAAGAGAAGGGATTTAAGCCTTGTTCCAGGTTGGGAACAGCCCAAAGTAGCATCTTTTCTCCTCTAGGACCCCAGCAAAATACCCAGCTGGTTGAAGGTCAACAAGATCTACTATCCTGACTTCATCGTCCCAGACCCAAAGGTATCAACCCAGTGGCTTGGGGGCCTCCAGCTCATAGAATTAGCTTGCAGGTTCTCTAGTGCCATAGAGAATCCATCTCACCTCGCTGAAAGTCCACCCAGGGATAGGGGTCTGGATTTCCAGCTGAGTGATAGGCACAGGGACAACCAGACAACTCTGAGGAATTTTGAATAGAATTCTTTCTGCAATACAATTGCTTTAAAAAAAGAGAGAGAAGAAGAGAGTACCTATCCCCTCAGCACAAAGGGTGTGTTCTAGAAGTAATCTGGCCCAATCCCTTCTTGTACCGACCAAGAAAGAGATCTAGAGAACAAACAGGACTTCCCTAAGGTTATTCAGCAACAGCAGCAGCAGAACTAGGACCCAAGTTTCCCAGCTGTTAGCCAAAGCTTTTTTGGTTTTTGTTTTGTTTTGTTTTTGAGACGGAGTTTCACTCTTGTTGCCCAGGCTGGAGTGCAATAGCGGGATCTCAGCTCACCACAACCTCCGCCTCCCGGGTTCAAGTGATTCTCCTGCTTCAGCCTCCCAGGTAGCTGGGATTACAGGCATGTGCCACCGTGGCCAGCTAATTTTGTATTTTTAGTAGAGATGTGGTTTCTCCATGTTGGTCAGGCTGGTCTTGAACTCTTGACCTCAGGTGACCTGCCCGCCTCAGTCTCCCAGGGTGCTGGGATTACAGGCGTGAGCCACTGCACCCAGCCGCCTTTTTGGTTTTAATTGTTCTGTATTGCTTCTAGCTGGTTGGGAGATACTTTTTTTTTTTTTTTTTTTTTTTTTGAGACAGGGTCTCACTCTGTTGTCCAGGCTGGAGTGCAGTGGCATGATCTCATCTCACTGCAGCCTCCGCCTCCTGGGTTCAAGCAGTTCTCTCACCTCAGTCTCCCAAGTAGCTGGGATTACAGGGGTGCCACCACCCCCAGCTAATTTTTGCATTTTTAGTAGAGATAGGGTTTTACCATGTTGGCCAGGCTGGTCTCAAACTCCTGACCTCAGGTGATCCACCTGCCTTGGCCTCCCAAAGTGCTGGGATTACAGATGCAAGCCACCGCGCCTGGCCAATACTTGCTTCTCCCTTTTTTTGAGACAGTCTCGTTCTGGAGAGCAGTGGCATGATCTCAGCTCACTGCAACCTCTGCCTCCTGGGTTCAAGCGATTCTCATACCTCAGCCTTCTGAGTAGCTGGGACTACAGGCGTGCACCACCGTGCCTGGCTAATTTTTGTTATTTTTTGTAGAGACGGGGTTGCGTCATGTTGGCCAGGCTGGTCTCAAACTCCTGACCTCAAGTAATCTGCCCACCTCAGCCTTCCTAAGTGCTGGGATTACAGGCTTGAGCCACCACGCCCGGCCACTGATACTATCTTCTTAACCAGTGATGACCTGCTGGCTTACTCCTGACAGAAAGCTGCCGTGTGGGAGATCACAGGGGCTGAATTCTCCAAATCGGAGGCTCATACAGCTGACGGGATCTCCATCCGATTCCCTCGCTGCACCCGAATCCGAGATGATAAGGACTGGAAATCTGCCACTAACCTTCCCCAACTCAAGGTAGCAGCTCTTAGGCTGTATATGTATTCTCCACCCCACTGTCCAGGCCTTGGAGCCTTGGGCATCTAGACCATTCACATGTCCTCTGTCTTCTCCTTTCCCCCATTCTCCTGAGGCAGAGCAAGGAGGGCAATTAGAGAGGGAGACAAACTGCTGCTGGGCCAGGGGCACAGCACTAGACCTCCTTCTCCCTCCATCTCTGAGTAGAGAACCTTGCATTTGCAAGGCCCCACTGAGCAGCCTTTAGTCTGGGGAATAAGAGTTTGCTCCTGTTGCCCCAGCAAAGCCTGCTTTGCTGTACAGAGAACAATGATTTGTACCCTGATTACTCAGGCTATAGGGCCATACTTTGGAATGGTGCCAAGGGAGCCAACTCCTTTTCCTTGCTCTTTATCTTTCTCACATCTTTGTTCCCATATGCGCCTAAAATACACCACACACACCACCTCTGAGGCCAGACTGGGAAGGCAATGAAACCCTCTGACATTGTCCCTCCCCGCCTCAGGAACTGTACCAGTTGTCCAAGGAGAAGGCAGACTTCACTGTAGTGGCTGGAGATGAGGGGAGCTCCACTACAGGGGGTAGCAGTGAAGAGAATAAGGGTCCCTCAGGGTCTGCTGTGTCCCGCAAGGCCCCCAGCAAGCCCTCAGCCAGTACCAAGAAAGCAGAAGGGAAGCTGAGTAACTCCAACAGCAAAGATGGTAAGGATAGGGAGGGGGCTGGTATGGTGAAGAGGGCGGTGTGAGGGGCAGAGATCCAAGGGCAGGGACCCAGTCTCACATTCCAGCCCTGAGATCTCATGATTATCTGTGTCCACTGCAGTGGACACAGACTACATTCCTGGTGTGTGTCCAGCCATGGGCCAGAGACCCTTCTGCTGGGCACCCTGTATCTGCTCAGCAAACCTGAATGGAGCAGTACCCTGGGGACAGCCAGTCTGACCAGGGAATAAGCTACCTTTGAGTAAAGGGCTTAGCTGATAACTCTTCACTCCCCTCTCACCTATGCTCATAGCAGAGAAAGCCCCTGGTCCTTCCCATTACTGCCCCTGACTTCAGGGAGCATTATCAGCAATCCCTACCCTCTTAGTTCTTTTGTATCATATGTTTTTTAGAGACAGGGTCTCACTCTGTCATCCAGGCTGGAGTGCAGTGGCACGACCATAGCTCACTGCAGCCTCGAACTCCTGAGTTGAATTGATCCTCCCGAGTAGCTGGGACTATAGGTGTGCACCACCACACCCAGCTTCCTCTCTGTCCTGCAGGCAACATGCAGACTGCAAAGCCTTCCGCTATGAAGGTGGGGGAGAAGCTGGCCACAAAGTCTTCTCCAGTGAAAGTAGGGGAGAAGCGGAAAGCTGCTGATGAGACGCTGTGCCAAACAAAGGTGAGGGTAAAAACAGCAACACACCACGTGGGCCAGTTTAGCCCAGGTTGTGTTCCCAACCTTCTGTACAAGAAGTTTGAAAGAGGATGAGCAAAGGTGTTTGGGGAACATCGGCTAAACCTCTTCCCTGCCTGCAGCCACTCCTCTGTCGTGGGCAGGGTCAGCAATGCTGCTGCTCACCCTATGTCCTCTTGTTGCCTTGCAGAGGCGGCCAGCCAGTGAGCAGAGAGGAAGAACTGTGCCAGCAGGCAGGAGATAGAACAGCCCGGCCTAGCCAGGAGAGACTGCAGGGACTCACTCAGCTGCTGGCCCCAAGTCAAAATTTACATTAAAGGGAAAAGACCAGTCTGGGTGTGGGAATGCAGCATTGAGTTTGTGGTCAGGGTGGAAGCAGGTCCAGCAAGCAGCGAGTCGGGGAGAGGGCACTGGCTTGGTGACTCTCCTCCCACCTGAGGAGCCTTTTCCCTGTTACATTTTCTTGTCAGTCTTGGGTTTGGCAACATCTCCTGAGCAATTCTTTTTTTTTTTGAGATAAGTCTCGCTCTGTTGCCTAGGCTGGAGTGAAGTGGTGCAATCACAGCGCACTGCAACCTCCGCTCACTGCAACCTCCGCCTCCCAGGTTCAAGCGATTCTCCGGCTTCAGCCTCCCGAGTAGCTGGGAGTATAGGCATGTGCCACCATGCCCGGCTAATTTTTGTATTTTTAGTAGAGACGGGATTTCACCATGTTGGTCAGGCTGGTCCCAAAGTCCTGACCTCAAGTGATCCGCCTGCCTTGGTCTCCCAAAGTGCTGGGATTACAGGCCTGAGCCACCATACCCGGCCTCTTTTGAGCACTTTCTGATGCCAAGAACTAGGTTTAGTACTGGCTCAACTCTGGGGGAGCTGATGCCTCAAAGGACAGATAGAGAAGTAAACATATGATTGACACCCATGTCATTGCGCCCCCACGCTCCCCACCGCCATCCAGGAGTAAGCATAGAAGTCTCACAGCACAAGGCCTGAACTCGGTCCCCAACAGACCTGTAGAAACCTTTCCCCTCTCTCTTCCCAGCCTGAAGTCCTTGAACCCATTGAGAGTAGTAAGCAGGACTCCTGACCCCTCAGTCTAGCAGGTTGTACAGAGTAGACTGCTTGGTCTCAGGGGACATCACTGAGTCTGGGGGCACTGAGTCAGAGCCAGCTCCGCCTGCCCACCATGACTGGGTGGCTCTTATACACATGTACTCTTCCCATCTCCAGGTCCCAGATGTCGAGGCCTGTCCACTCTCCTTTTCCCCTAGGCAGGGATGGAGGGGCGTGTCAGTCCTGTATAATTTGGAGTGACTGGAGGGGTGGGGGTATTGATGCATGGTATTCCAGTAAACTTCTCTGCTTGTGTCCTAACTCTAGGCTCCCTCATTCTGTCCCGTGCTCATTTGGGTGAAGACCCATCTGTACCCAGTGTAGGTCTGACCCCACCCTGACCCCTCTGCATTTGCAGGTATTGCTGGACATCTTCACTGGGGTGCGGCTTTACTTGCCACCCTCCACACCAGACTTCAGCCGTCTCAGACGCTACTTTGTGGCATTCGACGGGGACCTGGTACAGGAATTTGATATGACTTCAGCCACGCACGTGCTGGGTAGCAGGGACAAGAACCCTGCGGCCCAGCAGGTCTCCCCAGAGTGGATTTGGGCATGTATCCGGAAACGGAGACTGGTAGCTCCCTGCTAGGTTTGCTGTCTTCCCTCTCCCTCAGGCCATACTCTCCTTTACCATACTACTGGACTGGACTCAGGCTGGAGGCAGATAGACACAGTATAGGGGGAATGGGCTTGCTTCTCCCAAACCCACCAGTTCTCCACTGTCTCTTCTGGACCAGGAATTAGTTGCTGTGGGTGCCACAGCTGAAGTCAGTTTGTCTTGCTGGTTTAAATAGATCTTTCAGAGCTGGGTGCTGGGTTTGCCATCTTTTTGTTTTCTTTGAAAAGCAGCTTAGTTACCCTTTTTATAAATAAAATATCTTGCAGTTATCTTTGTCCTTTCCCCACCTACACCCCCAATAATTTCCCTAGAGATTAAGGAGTAAAGGCTGGGCTATGGCAGCTCTGTCCACAAAGCCTTCTCTCCCATCCTTGCCTGTTCCTTTGTACTTCCAGGCTCATTTTAAAGTTGTATTTAAAGGACTGCCCTCGGAAATGCTTCTGTTTAGCGGAACTTGTATTCAGCCTGACACGCTTTGCCAGGAACAAACCTCATGTGAAAGAAAACAAAATGAATTTTTTTACTTTCTTCTCTGTGTTCTCCTATTACATGGTGAGGATCCCCAGTTTGAAGGGAGGGGACTAGGGTCAGGTAGGAAAATGGGGCCTTTATGAAGAAAGGGGAGGTTATTTGGGCCACTCCTCTGGAGGGATAGAGGGCTCCAGGAAGATCTGCATCCCCAAAACCTGGAAACAAGACTGTTCTTTAAGAATAAAAATCCACATGGGGCTTGAGGCCAAGAACAGCCCTTGTTGCCACCAACATGGAGACTTTGTACCATATCCCATTCTTAGTGCTCGAGTGTTCCAACCTGAAGTTGAAGAAGCCACCCTGGCTGCACATGCCATCAGCCATGACTGTGTATGCTCTGGTGGTGGTGTCTTACTTCCTCATGACTGGAGGAATAATTATATGATATTGTTGAACCCCCAAGTATTGGCTGATGAACGTGGGCATCAGAGGCCAGTAGCTTTCTTGGCCTACAAAGTAAATGGACAGTATATTATGGAAGGATTTGCATCCAGCTTCCTGTTTACAATGGGAGGTTTAGGTTTCATAATGCTGGACCAGTCGAATGCACCAAATATCCCAAAACTCAATCGATTTTTTTTCTTCTATTCATTGGATTCGTCTGTGTCCTACTGAGTTTTTTCATGGCTGGAGTATTCATGTGAATGAAACTGCCGGGCTATCTGATGGGTTAGAGCGCCTTTAAGAAGAAATCAGTGGATACTGGATTTGCTCCTGTCAATGAAGTTCTAAAGGCTGTACCAATCCTCCAATATGAAATGTGGGAAAGAATGAAGAGCAGCAGTAAAAGAAATACCTAGCGAAAAAAACAGGAAGCATATTGAAGCTCGGACTAGAATTTCTTCTTGGTATCAGAGAGACAAGTTTATCACAGTATTTTTTTTTTTCCTGCTGACCTATTGATAATACCAACAATGTTGAGTGGCATTTTCTTCTTAGTTTTTAATTTCTTAAAGAAAATATACTCCATATCTGCAGGGAAAAAAATAAAAATCCACACCTGAGAACAGATCCATACAACCTGCTTACAAAGAACAGCTCCTGTGCTACCTGAGGCTGATTTATTTGAAGAACAAAAGGAAGAGAGACAATTTAGTGTAGACAAGTGCTATTCAATAGAACTTTTTGCAGCAGTGGAAATATCCATAAATCTGCAGTATCCAACCAAACTAGCCACAGACAGCTGCTGAGCAATTGAAATGAAGCTGGCACAACTAAGGAACTGAAGTTCTTATTTTAATTCAACTTCAAATGGTCACATGTCACTAGTGACTACCACACTGGACAGTGCAGGTGTAGACGGAGTTCAGATCAGACTCCTGAAACTTAATGGCTCTAACCTTAGGCAAGTTACGTTAACATCTAAGCCTCAATCCCTCCAAGTAGAATGGGTGCACCTAAATCATAGGGTTGTCCTGTTGTCCTGAGCAACATTATGTAAAGCACTTAGCCCAGAGCCTAGCACATAGTTATCTAGAGTTGGGAACGTCACTCCTGGTGTGCATGTCCAGACCCTACCCGGGAGAAGGGCCTAACCTATGACTTTAGAACCCTCAGTTGCAGGTGTGCATGTTCCAGCCAACACTCCACTCTGAGTGCAGGCTCATCAGGACACCATATGGTTGTAAACTGGCTGCCATGTCCCAATCCTTCCAGCTCTTGAGGGTCAGTTCTCACCTTATGAACAAATTAACAGGCTCTGGACCTATAAGATCAAGGACCACTGCGCCCCCTGGCCACCCCACCGCCCCCCCCCAACTTTGATCTGATTGACTTTGGCTTCCACCTACTGTTTAAAATGTGTATGTTGGGGGAGTAGGGACAGCACGGGGGAGGGGTTTACTTTCCTGACTCTAGCCCAGGACATTTGGTGTTTTTGAATAGGCACCATTCAGCCTTGCTTCAGTATTAGGAATAAGATACTTTTTATTCCATCCTCTATGGAGACAAAAAGCTGCTCCTCCTTTGAGTACTGACCTACATAGATTTCCATTTCTCTCTTCAGCCTCAGGCCAAACAAACAACCGGACAGGGCAGCAGAACAAGGCTGTCTCCTCAGGATCCTGCCAAAGGCACTGTCCTCTCCAACCTGGACCCAGCCCCACTTGCCCTTATTGGTTGCTTACACCCAGAGTGCACACTCACAGGAAAGGGCCTCTGCTGGCTGCAGGTGATCATCTTGTCCCTTCTCTGCCTTAGTGTGTGTTATTGCCATTTCAATGTCAGTGGTTTTTTATGTATTTTCTTCCAGTCTTTGCTGCTGAGATCTGACTGTATATACTATTTTGTATCCTTTCATGTATTTCTTTCATGTATTTCAATGCAGCCCTCAACATCATCATCATAAATCTCTCCAGCAGAATGCTGGAGGCCTCCCTCTTCTGAACCTCTACATGCTGCTGGCTGGCATCAAGCAGAGGTCATCACTGGGTGCTGAACAGGTCAGCTCCCTAGGGCAATGTGAGCAAAGTGTTGTGGCTCATCCTCGATCCTTTATGCCCTTTTGGCAAGATTCCTTTCTCTTCTCAGTCACAGCAGATGGACACATAATCTTGTTCTCCCAGGGGCTGCATTCTCAGTAGTCTTTTCCCTGCTCCTTGGGCGCCTGGTCAGGGAGGTTTGTACAAGCCTGCGCACACACAGCAGTCTGTCACGAGGCTGGGCCAACCTTTTTTTTTTTTTTAAACAGACTCTTGCTCTGTCATTCAGGCTGGAGTGCAGTGGTGCAATCTCAGCTCACTGCAACCTCTGCTTCCCGGGTTCACAAGCAATTCTCATGCCTCAGCCTCCCAAGTGGCTAAGACTTAACAAACAGGCACACACCATCACTCGCAGCTAAGTTTTTGTATTTTTAGTAGAGACCACGTTTCGCCATGTTGTCCAGACTGGTCTCAAACTCCTGGCCTCGAGTCATCCACGCACCTCAGCCTCCCAAAGTGCTGGGATTACAGGCGTGAGCCATGGCGCCCAGCCTGGGCCAACCTTTTCTGAGCCATAGTCCAGCTGTACTACAGCTGTATCCAAAAGGTACCATGTATCTCCCAGGGTAACCTGAAGACCTAACTGGGCATACTAACTGTCCTCAGATTTCAGTTCTTTAAGGCCCATCTCTTCTAGATCAGTGTAAATATCTGAACTCACTTGGTGCTTCAACCCAATTGGTCTTGGGATTCATCCTTTACCTACCCAGCTCTCATTCTCTTCTAGGTTGTTCCATGGCCTCTTCCATATATTACATTTGTGGTCTTGAGCAAGTTAGTTAGTTACAACAACACTGAGCATCTTGACCAAGGTCACTTGGCCCAACCACAGGCTAATCCCAGGCCATGTGCACATCCCAGGATTAGCTTGTGGTTTATCAGTTGTCAATTTTTTTTTTTTTTTAATACAGGGTCTCACTCTGTCACCCTGGCTGGAGTGCGGTGGCGATCAGAGCTCACTGCAGCTTCAATCTCCTGGCTCAAGTGATCCTCCCACCTCAGCCTTCCAAGTAGTTGGGACTACCCACATGCACCACCATGCACGGCTAATTTTTTGGTTTTTTTGGGTTTTTTGTTTGTGTTTTTTTTTGTTTTGTTTTTTGAGACAGAGTCTCGCTCTTTCGCCCAGGCCGGACTGCAGTGGCGCAATCTTGGCTCACTGCAAGCTCCGCCTCCCGGGTTCACACCATTCTCCTGCCTCAGCCTCCCGAGTAGCTGGGACTACAGGCACCCGCCACCACGCCTGGCTAATTTTTTGTATTTTTAGTAGAGACGGGGTTTCACCGTGTTAGCCAGGGTGGTCTCGATCTCCTGACCTCGTGATCTGCCCGCCTCAGCCTCCCAAAGTGCTGGGATTACAGGCGTGAGCCACCGCACCCGGCCCTTGTTTGTTTTTTTAAGTAGAGACAAGGTCTCACTACATTGCCCAGGTTGGTCTCAAACTCCTGAGCTCAAGCAGTCTTCCCACCTTGGCCTCCTAAAGTGTGGAAATTATAGCATGAACCACTGTCAGGCTCTTTTGTCAGTCCTATCAACCTCTAACATCCTCGCACCAGACAGGACAGGTGTCTGTATTGAAACTTTATTACAAAATTATAAAGCAGAGCTCTGTAACAAAATAATACACATTTGGGTTTGCTTTAACCTCCAAGTAAGTCTGAGAAAATCTTAATAAAAGCCACTTGAAGTAACAATTCACATCCAAGAGATTTCCACAAATTTATACAATGTATATTGAGCACTAGTTCCTGTACAGCTTATTCTTATTAGTTTGGATCCAACTATTCCAATGTATTATGAACCAGTCAGCTATCTGTCTTTTGAAACAAGTCTTAACTGAAATCTCAGAGTAATCAGCAAAAGCTACGGAATAATTCTAAGAATTAGATGTTTCCATATCATTAAAACCAAGGATCCATGAGGGGCAGAAGGGAGGATTCAAAGATTTAAAAAAAATCAAATTTTAGACCTTGGTTAAATATTAACTGGAATGGGATCTTGGAACTCCCAACTTTAATTTGGTGTAATAAAAATGATGCAAAAAAAAAAAAAATCAGGGTTGTTTGACACCTTTTTTCCTAAAGGGAAACCTTCACCAAAAGGGGATAAAAGATTTAAAGGCAAAATGAGTAAACAACCTCAGTTTTAATTCTTACTGAGGTTACTAACCAGCTATCAGTATATTATTTTCGATTTGTGTCTAGGAGGGAAACTGAAGAGGAGGTAAGGCTTCAGCAGAGAAAGCAGGTTGTAAGTAGAGAGCCAGCTTCTGCCCTTAAGTTACTGCTAGATCTTAGCTGAATTGCACATACATAGACCTGTTTTACAGAGGAACTGAGTAGCTGAATGAATGATCCTTTGCTAATTGGTAGGCATTGTAAACTATAGTATTTACTGCCCATGACAAAAGTGGAAAGGGATGTCTTCATGAGCAAATCTGATTCCCCCAACTCCTGCAAAGGCTGTGGTTCAGAATCAAATCATCCAGGACTTTGTATAACATTGAGGTAAGTGGCCCAGTGTTCAGTTGACTAGTTTATGCAGTTATTTCATTCCTCCAAAGGGGTTTAGTGGTTGGTGATGGAAGAAAGCATAAATATGTCTGTACCAATGTAATAAGTCCCTTTAGAGGTTTCCCTCTGCCATCCAGAGTCATGATTGGTTCTAGTCTCAGATTTTTCAGCTGCATGGGAGGGGTAAGGGGTGGGAGGTGTCTGCCAAGGCGTTTAGGGTTTGCATAGTTCATCCATTGGTAATGGGAAAACACTCTGCTTTCCTGATCATGTGTTTTGTGCTTGGCCACGCTTCTGCAGCAAACTCTTAAGTCCTCCAGCTCCTCTAGGGGTGTAAAGACTGTGAGGGCTCAAATACATCACCTACTCATTGCATGGTCCTTCCTAAAGAGCCTAGAAAATGGTTTCTCCTGCTGGGTGTGGTGGCTCACGCCTGTAATCCCAGCACTTTGGGAAGCTGAGGCGGGCGGATCATAAGGTCAAGAGTTCAAGACCAGCCTGGTGAACATGGTAAAACCCCGTCTCTACTAAAAATACAAAAATTAGCCTGGTGTGGTGGTGGGCGCCTATAATCCCAGCTACTCTGGAGGCTAAGGCAGGAGAATAGCTTGAACCTGGGAGGTGGAGGTTGCAGTAAGCCAAGACTGTACCACTGCACTCCAGCCTGGGCAACAGAGTGAGACTCAAAAAAAAAAAAAAAATGCTTTCTCCCTGACCTGCCCCCAAAAATCAGTGGGCTAGGAAAGGGAATGAAAGTAGGGTCTCCTCACTCCCCACCAACCTGGGAAATAAAGACTTGAACTGTCGGCTTACAACAGAATCCAGTCTCATTCAGTACCTCCTGAAAGCTCTTAAGTGCTCTGTCTTAACATTTGCTCTCCAGGAACTTCAACAGCAGTCTGGCCAGAGAAGAGCACAGGCTCTTTGCCTAAATCTATTTCTTCAATGAAACCAAATTTAAAACTACCATGGATAAGGGAGGGATTTCATTTTCAGCGAAAAGTGGCTTAAGACTTCTAGTTGGGAAAAGGATCAGAAGCCAAGCCAAAATTAAGGAGAAGGCCACTGCCTCCACCCATTGCTTCCCCTTTCCGCATAAACTAAGGATGGTGCAAATCAGGTCCCAAGAGAAGCAGCAGCAGGGATTATGCACGCACTATCCCTTGCAGACAGAAACAAATTTCCCAGCAGTTTGGGAGCCTGATGTTTTGTTGGCTCCCAGAGTCAGGTCAGGAGACCAACAGCTTCCAATCCCAGCATTTAATGAAGTGGCTTTTAACAACTTTGAAATTTTTCTATAGCATTTGTATTTCATTTCTCACCAAAGATAAGTTTACTGGTCTAAAATCTGTCCTAAGGACCACTATCGGTCTGGTAAACTAACATTTTTGGTCCAAAGAAACAAATGGATTTAGGCAATGTAGCAAGAGACTTTAGCAAAGATAGTTAAAGCACAGAAAGCCGGAGAGACCAGAAATTTAAATCCGAATGTGCTGGGGAGGAGGACTTCTGATTGATGAAACACATGGGCAAGCATCTCCCATATGGGGTGGGGATGGGTTGGGTACAGGAGGAGGGGTGAAACTGTCTAGGTTCAGGGAGGAAGACAGGACCCAAGTTCTGGAAAGTTCTCTGTTCATCAGTTACCATCATCACTCCAAGATCACTGAACCAAGAACATACCCATGTGATTTATACAAGTTCCCACTGGCCTTGGGCTTTGCCAGCCAAGAGGTACACCCCTGGGAAGACAGGCATGCTCAGGGGTGACATGGCATCTTGCTTGACCTGGTTTTGGGAACCCTGCAATATTTCTACTAGCTTGCTCCTCTGCAAGCTGGCCAACCCTGAGCCCAGACACCCCAGGCTATTTCCCTGTAAGGCACTGAAGAAACCGATGCAAGCTCTCAGGACCGGAAGACATGCACAGCTCGGATTACATACTGCCGGCAGATGGGACATTCATTCATGCGCTTGCCACACTTGGTACAGGTTACCATGTGGCCACACTCCAGAAGAACACAGTCAATGGGTGAGTCCATGCAGATCTTACACAGGTTCTCCTCCAAGCCTGATGGTACTGCTCCCCCTGTACAAACACACAGGGCAGAAAAAAAGGGGCAGAGGAGTGAGGAGAATGTCTTAAGTGTATAGGGGTGACTGGGGGAGGGAGGTGGGAGATAACAGGTACATTGTAAACAAAGTCTCAGTGCACATGCTTCCCTCAAATAGAGCTCCTCCGAGGAAACATTTCCTCAATAACCAACTCTGGTTACTTGTTTAATCCACACTTCATCCCCTCCAACAGGTAAAGATTTGAAAAGTACACAGCACTTGTGGATCAGACACATCCCAGAACATGAGAACTAAGGCAAAGTTCTCAAAGCTTAAAAGAAATAATTTTCAGACTGTTGGGGCTGTAATATAGTGAGTGTGTGAGTGGCACGTAGGGACTCATTATCCCCTGAGGCAGAACAGGCTAAAAAGATAAAACTGGTTCAGAAAAGTTTAGATAGAAATGGAACTGTGATGAATGGTTCATTAAGGATCACAAGGCTTTATCTATAAACATATCCTCCATTTAATAAAGTCAGGGATCATGGGGGACCCCTCTGCTATCTCACAAACTACTCCCAGGTTTCCTGAGGAAACTTCCTGGTGGAGAAACTTGGCAGAGATTACTGCTCCCTCTTTCTACCCCCACAAAACTTTTTTATACCCCCATGACTGCTTATCACATTGGATTAAAATTTTGAGTTTGCCTACTTACTCCCAGAGTAGACTATGAGCTCTTTAATTCAACATATTCAATCAATTTTTACAATTATATGCTTAGCATTTATTCCATGCTCCAAGGTTAGATATTCATCTTTGAAGCCCCCAATGCCAGTTATATGGTAGGTACTCTAAATGTCTGATGAATGAACATCTTCCCAAGGGAATGACAACATCCCACATTTACTGAATGCTTACCGTGTGCCAGGCAGGGTCCTGAAAGCTTTGCATGTGTTAACTCACTGAAGCCTCACAAAAACTATAAAGTAGGACCTCTTGTTATTTTCATTTTATAGATGAGGCCAACTGGGGCAAAAAAGTTAAGTGGCTTGCCCAAGGGCACAAAGCTGCTAAGTCGAGGAGCCAGGATTCAAACCCAGGCAGGCTGGCCCCACAGCTCCTGCTCTAGAATGGCCTTCTGCCTAACTGCCCTAAGAGTAGAAACTATCCAGACAGTATCAACTGCTGAGTGCACAGGGTTCTCAATAAATGCTAACTGGCTTGTGTCACTAGCAGAATATAGTGGGCATGACCAGTATCCTAGTAGAGCTGACCCAAACAGAAAAAATAATGTTCAAAAGCCCAGCCATCTCCAATATGTCTTAAATTGTAGCCTGAAGTAGGTACCCATAAAAAGGAACTGATCTCACAGAAGTCACCTCTACCATCTGGGGGTTGGCCAACCCATAGAGGAATTCTCCCTTATTGCATCTATACTTTCTCTTTTCTGGACTATTAAAAAGTCAAGAAATACTTCCCCCTAGGAGGTAGGCTGGGTGTGAAAGGGAGTGAAACCCATTTGCCTCTTTTGAGGTGCTGTTGGTCCTAACAGAGGTTTGGAGACTATACAAATACCTAAGATGAATGGGAATAATTTATAATTTTCAGTTACTCATTCTCTCAGAAGTAACAACAAACACATTAACTCAGTTGTCAGCATTCTCCCAGGGAATCAGAAAAAGAAAGGAAGCACCAAGTAGATCAGCCTGATCTTGGTACCGGTGATGCTGGGGGGTTGGAGGGTGGAGGTGGGTCTAGAACTCCAAATGGTTTTGGGGAATTGAGAAAAGCTCAACTGTTTTTTATGTCTGATTAGAAGTAATCAGACATAAAATTGCCCATTCTGAGCAAAAGGCCATTTTACTAAATAAATTTGGGAAATCTTCTGAAATAAGTTTTAAAATGCTGCAGGCTAGTCCAACACTACTCTTAGAACGTTCTCTCTTGGAAGGGAGTTCACAACCATATACCCTTGAGGCTTTTGAAAACACATAGCATATTTTAGAATGTCCCCACAGATGGTCAGGAGTTCTGCAGTGTGTTCTGGGAGTACCTGAGGGCCCAGTGGTGGTCTTTAAGTGAGTGGCAGCTGAGCTGAGATATATAGCTTGTGCCCAGAGAGTAGCACATGTGTTAGCTCCAGAGTAGCTCTAACCATTACCAGCCCTGTACAAACAGGGCTGTCTCAGGTCACCACCCTTTCTTTTTGGTTAGTACCAGAAGCTGCTAAACACCCTGATTCCCCAGAAGGTGTACACAGAGACCCTCCCTACCCAGACCAGAACTGAAAACACCAAGATTTTAAAAAATGAGCTGAGTGTGATACATGCCACCCCTCCTCTGTTTCAGTGTTTTACAAATGTTGGCTTATGAGCTCAGGTAGCCCAGGGACATGCACATCAGTCAGTCCGCCCCTACGTATGCTCCACTCTGCTTCCTGCACAGCGAGCAGAGAGAATTTCTAAAGATGGTGAGAGGCCCCCTGGGTCTCAGTGAGTTTCCCACACACCCTCTCTCTGGGGGCTCAAATGCTCAGAATTCTTAGATTACTAAAGGGATTGGGGTTGAAGGAGGGGAAGGACAAAAGGGCCTAAGCCCATTCCCAAACAGAAACAACTACATACCGTTTTGGTCTTCGGCACCACTGACTGAAAAGGAAAGAGAAGGATGTCTGAATAGGTAAGGCATGATGGTACAAATACAGTCTCTTACTGCCCTGACATCATTTCTGAACTCTTACCACTCCCTGCTGGGAACCAGGCTTGCCAAGAGCCTAGATGGACATCTGCCCTCTACTCGCTCTACATGCTCAGAACTCACACAAAGCTCCTACTCGTGCATCTGGTCTACTTTTATTTTTTATTTTTTTGAGATGGAGCCTCACTCTCTTGCCCAGGCTGGAGTGCAGTGGCATGATCTTGGCTCACTGCAACCTCTTTCTCATGGGTTCAAGCGATTCTCCTGCCTCGGCCTCCTGAGTACCTGGGGACTACAGGCACATGCCACCACTCCCGGCTAATTTTTTGTTTTTGGTGGAGATGGTGTTTCACCATGTTGCCTATGCTGGTCTTGAACTCCTGATCTCAAGTGATCCACCTGCCTCAGCCTCCCAGAGTGCTGGGATTACAGGCATAAGCCAACACACCCAGCCTGGTCTACTCTTAGGAAAAGGTATTCCACCAGTTTGCACAAACTGCCAAGTAGAAGGATACTGTATATGTGCAATATCCTTTTCTATTTTGAAGTCAGCATTAAAGTCAAGAAAGAATGAACTATCTAGCTGTTTCAGTCAGTCAGAGAATCTGGATAAAGTTCCCACGTGGAGTCATCTGTTCTGTTCCCCAGGTCCTGACGACTGGAGAGAAGACTCTTGAAACAATCCCAAAGGGAAAACAGACTCCATGTCAGTAGGCCTCAGTCTGTAATCGGGTGAAGAGTCAGTCAGATGACCCCTAACACTGATGAATTTGAGCTACTGGTAGAAGAGAGCCTGAAACCTGACTTCAACCACTCTTACCAAGCAAGGAATCAGTATGTTGCTCTGTAGGAACCAAATCAACTGGGGATGGGAGGAAAGGAGAAGATTCTGTGGTGAAATAATTTCAGGAAATGCTAAGTTCAAAACAGCCAAAACACATTTCTCTTCTGCAGGACTTCTCTGCCTTTAATATAAAAATCTACCATAAATCAGTAATGAAGATATGAGGTATTTTTCCCTAAACTCATTTAACCACAGACCCAGATATTTTCCTGGGCATCTCCTGAATGATACAGTGTAAAATGCTCTGGGAAATGAACAAAAGGAAGAGCCCAAGTGCAGATGGAACAGCTATCTTCTCCTGCCATGTATGTAGATTCACTTTCTACCTCCCAAATCTTCAGAACAAGCATTCTTATTCTAAGGTAAGAAAACTTACAAGGTGGTGGTGAGTAGGGAGGGGATAGCATATGGTGAGAAAGGCTATGGACTTAGACCATAAAATTTTCAGTTAAATTTTACCTTTCAGATAAAGGGGTGATGCTAATAATGTCTATTTCATAGGTTGCTCTAAGGAATAAATACATACATGCAATGCCTAATCTAGTTTTGACACTCAACCACAAATGACAGCTATTATTAGACGGTGCAAATATGTAAGGTGTCTCCTTCCATGGCTTAAGTGTGGAAATTGAGTCAGGTCAATACCATCATGCTTTGGAGTGACAGCAAACACTCCTGAGCTCTGTAAAGCTACCATGCAGATAGCCCCTCACCCAGGTGCTGGAGTCCTTTCTGATCCTTGTATAGCCGGGTCACTCTCTCCATCAGCTCCCACTTCTCACAGCAGCCCTTGTAGTTGACAAAGTTGCGAGCCAAGATCTCTTTCAGCTGCCGCACTGTCAGGCCTTCAATGTCCTCCAGGTCAGTCAGGTCAGACAGAGAGGCCCTTCGGCCTGGGACAAAGCTGTCCTCTGAGTCAATAGACTGCAATGACAAAGATGAGATCAGTGTGCTCAGCTCTTACCTCCCCAAGCTCTTTCTCCAAGGACCCCAAAGCAGTCACCACATCATAATTTTGGTGACTGACCTCATGAAGGGTAGGAACAGAGACAGGATGAGTACCTGGCATGGTGCTCTGCATTGCAAAATATACTAGAATCTCTTCCTGACCCACGATTCTGTGCTCAGGAGCAAACAGACACAGACCAACCAATCAGTGTGATATAGTACTAGATAGAAGTATAGTAGAAGGAGTGCTGGTTTGAGTCATATGACCCTAATTTTGAATCTTGACTCCTCTGCTGTTAATGCTAAATAATATCCAGCAAGTTGCTTACCACTCTGAGCCCGTTTGCCCCTCCATTAAGGGGAGAGAGCAGTCCTACCCCACAGGGGTCCTGTAGAGGTTAAATATGGCCGCACATGAAACCCAGCATGGTGCTGGCCCTTCTCCCCTGGAGACTTCTGCTTGCCCACAAGAGGCACATTTCCCTGGCAAGTACTCCTCTATACACAACCTTGGCCACAGCTCCCTGGTCTGTGCTCTGGACTGGCCCTGCCTGGCTAATTGTCTGACCTCCTTCCCTTGACAATGGCTACAGTGTGCTAGAAGCAAGGAAAGAACAAGACTTTAACAGCAGGACCACAAGCCTGCCCTCCGGCAGCTCTTAGAAAGTCAAGAGACTGGAAATACAATGGGCCATGAGGCTTCTCCGTCTCCACTGTGACCTCACAACTCCTTATAAATACACTGACCGCTTCACTAGTTAACCTGGAACACTAACACTAAACCCTACCCCAAAAATATAATTTCGGAAGCACTATCATCACACATTTATTCTCTCTCCACTCGACTCTGCTAAGAGGTTCCGAAGAACACCAGTGAAAGAGGAAAGGTGAAGACACAGACCCAAGCAGAGGCCCCACCTGGGTCTCATCCTCAGCAGGTACTCTGGCCACGCTCTCCAGGTAGACGGGTTCCTCTTGATCCTGAGACACATGGCCATTGGCCTGTGGGAAGAGAAAAGTAACATCACATCTAGAGATGTCCCAGAGATCTGCATAGCATGGGCCTCTTTTCAACTCACACAATGTCCAGAATGTACTCCCATCATGCCCAGAAATCCGGAGCCTCTTACAGCATCATTACAAAAGCCTGCTCTCTCATACCAACTTTGTCAAGCAGAGAAACAACAAAAATACATTTCAATAGACAAAGCTGCCCTCTAGAACAAAACTGCATTAATTCTGCACACACCAGGATGGCAGTAGCCACAACTCATCATCAATTTAATCTCAGCTTGAGCACCACAGGTGAAGGGAAGGTCATTGTGTCCATTCCACTGCTGGACTGCTCTCTATCTGGCATCAAGGTTTTTCTTGACACTGATCCAAAATTGCCATCCCTATCCCTGGTTCTGCTCCTCAGACCATAGTCTCCTGGGGTTTTTGTTTGTTTGTTTTTTGTTTTTCCCAAACTGTTTATACCATGTTTTCCCCTCCTTCACACTAAATCTCCCTGGCTTCCTTATCTGACACTGATGGGACAAAGTTTCCAGATCATCACCACCCTAGTCTCTTTCTTTTCTGCCTAGTAACTACTCTCACATTCTGGAAATGTGCTCCCCATGTTGAGCACACTATTATTAAGTGCTATGTCCAGACCTAGTCAAAGAGTATTTTAATGTATCTAAGAATCTATTAGCCTAACACTATATAAAACACTGCCTATGCTTACGGAATTTCATTATGCTTAGAATTCTCACTTCTCAAAAGGTTCCTCCTGAGTACTCTTTTAGGAGGTTTGGCCAAAGAGTAGGCAGAACTGTTAGCCTCCTAATTCCATCACCATTTAAGCCACAAACCCCTTAAGTAGATCCTCTTCGCCCACTGCTCCCTGCAGGCAAAGGGCCTGCTGTGAGCTCAGAGCAAAGAGGTGTCTGAGCTCACAGGCCTTTTCCACCAGATTCTGGGGATGCCAGTGAAGGGACAATCTGGGAAACCAAAGACACCCACCGACCCCAGCCACTCACCCCACATTAGGATTCATAATATGGAGCTAATCAAGAAGAGGCAACCAACTGCAATGGAAATGAAAAGCAGAAGTAACAAAATGCCAAATCAAGGCAAGATCAAATGCATAGTACACATGTATGGGGATGGATCCAAATCAATGTCTTCATCAACAACGTTTTCTCTTAGCTTACTGTAGATCCTCACTGGTCTCTCAGGTAGTGTTACCTTGGAATTACCCTGGAATCCTTCAGAGCCTAACCTGTTCCTAAGTAGCTATCTTTCAGATGTCCTGTTTCCTAGAAAGAGAAACGACCTCATGCTGCAAAGCATGCTCTTGTCTTTCCAGTTTGCCCACTGGCTAAATAAAAATCCAAAACTAGTACCTGTCCACAGTTGTGCTTATTGTATATACTTCCTTGCCTAGCAACTATTGATTGCTAGGGCACTAAAGGTGAAAGAGAGAACTCTGGTTGAGCAAGTATTATAAGGAAATTTACATTCTAGGTGCAGCTCACTTATGAACTTGTCAGACAGTACTGCGTAAGTTACTTAATTCTTCCATGCCTGTTTTTCCTGCTTGCAAAGTGCAGCTCTCACCAGAACAGGGGATGTAAGCAGACACTAAGGTCTCTTGAAAATCTCAGAGGAAAAGTACCCACTTAGATCTTGTATGTAGGGTGACCTTTAGGTGCAATCTGGAAATTTCTGGTTAATGACAGGAAGCTTATCATCTTTCATTGAAAAATCTACCTGAAAAGTTTGCTTGGTTTTTTGTTTTTGTTTTCTGAGACAGGATCTCACTCTGTTGCCCAGGCTGGAGTGTGGTGGCATGATCATGGTTCACTGCAGCCTCGACCTCCCAGGCTTAAATGATCCTCCCACCTCAGCCTCTTGAGTAGCTACAGGCACCCACCACCACGCCCAGCTAATTTTTGTATTTTTTGTAGAGACAGGTTTTTGCCATGTTGCCAGGCTAGTCTCAAATGCCTGGGCTCAAATGATCCGCCTGCCTCAGCCTCCCAAAGTGCTGGGATTACCAGGCATGAACCACCACGCCCAGCCAAGGTTCTTTACAGAAAAAGAATTCCTCAAGTTCTTCTCCTGGCTCCTTATACATAGAGTGGAAAAAAAAAAAACACAAGCAAAGGGAAGAATATATAGCAGGAGTTTAAATCTGTCTAGCAGACCAAGAGTCAGAGCTTAGGAAAGAATTAAAGTCCAGCTGCGGAGAAAAACATGTTCAGGCCAAAAAGGGAGTTAAATGATTTTACTGCAGTTAAATTATGCTATCACATTGGCCTTTATGCCTCAGTGGTTGTCAAGAGCTGAATCAGGGGGCCCAGTCCTGGCAAAGGAGGTGATCATAAACAAGTGGCAGCAGCCATCCACATCATGTGTGGGAACCAACAGCACTAGCACTATACCAGCTCTAAGTAACTCAGAGCTCTTTTAGACATGGTATCACGCATTCAGGTCTCTCAACATCCTGGCAAGATCAAAAGTGGTCTGTGATTACTAACCTCATTTCATTGTTGTAGGCTCAACATTTGCCCAAGGGGATCAAGAAGTCAGTGACAAAAGTGGATGTGGAAATTGGATCTTGTAGTTCCTAATTCCCCCATATTGCCCAAGCCCTATAGATCAAGGGTCCCCAACCCCTGGGCCACAGACTGGTACTGGTCCATGGCTTGTTGGGAACCCGGATGCACAGCAGGAGGTGAGTGGCTGGCAAGTAAGCATTACTGCCTGAGCTTTGCCTCCTGTCAGATCAGCGGTGGCATTAGATTCTCATAGGAATGTGAACTCTGTTGTGAACTGCGCATGCGAGGGATCTAGGATGCATGCTCCTTATGAAAATCTAACTAATGCCTGATGATCTGGGTAGAATAGTTTCATCCCAAAACCAACGCACCCCAGTCTGTGGAAAAATTGTCTTCCACAAAACGAGTCCTTGGTGCCAAAAAGGTTAGGGGCCGCTGCTATAAATAACAGAGTCACTTAAGGCACTTATGCAACATCATCACTTCTTATACAACAATTATGTCCACTGGCCTCACTCTAATCCAGTAGTTAGTTGGTCTACCTGTCTACCTTCCCTCTTCTGGGGGCTTTTTGAGGACAGAGACAGTTTATTACTCATTTCTATACTCCCCAGACCTGGGTCATGATTCAGTTGATGTGCTGCTCTTAGCTTACCACTTCCAAGCCCCCCAGGATAATGAAGAAGCAGCATGCAAGTACAGCGTGCCAACTACTCCTGCTTCCAGCCAGTGACTGGTAAGAGAAGCAGTGTCTTTGTCTGTTTCCCCACCCTCCCTTGCCTCCATATAGCCCTTTGCTTTCCTATATTCCTTGTGATGGTTACTAAGGAACTAAGTTTCCAATCCAGCCAATGAAGACTGCAACAAAGGAGTTAAGTTGAAAGACAAATTGGAACAGAACTAAATTTGATGGCTTAATGGTTACTTTTCTCAAAATATTTCTGGAATGATGAACTTTAAAAAATGTCTAACTAGGATATGTGTGTATTAAAAACAAAAAACAAACAAAAAAATTGGTACTGTGCATATCACCTCTGAAGAAAGCCAAAACATGAGTCTGATACCCAGAAAACACTTGGTGCACCAGTAGTCAGAAAGGCTTCACATAATCAAGACACTTAGCCTTATACCCCATTCTCACAACAAAGGCAGGAGAGGAAAATGAAAATGAGCCCTCAAACTGGCACAGACTGGCAGAGACTACAAATGGGCCCTTACCTGCTGATTCTCCTGAACCTGGGCTGGGGGAACAGAGGTGGCTTGTGCAGATGAAGAGGGGAGGTTGGGTGAGGTAGGTGGAACCATGCTGGAGTGAGGCTGGGTCAGGAAGGCCTGCTGCTCAGGAAAGTCTGGGGACAAGGTGGAGGCACGAGTCCTGTCCTCCTGGGAGATTACAGGCTGCTGGCCAAGGACCAAGAGCACCAGCTCTTCTTTCTCCCGGCACATTTCGGTAGAGATGTCATGGAGGCTGAGATAGTCCCTCAAGTCCTTCACCTTCATCTTCATGAGCTCCTCTCGCTGAAAGGCTGTAGCTCGAAACCGTTGGCAGAGAAGGCAGAGGCGGGGCCCATTCCCTACTTGGCTCGAACAGGTCATGCAAAAATTTTTCTTACAGTCCAAGCAGGTCTGCTGCTTAGAGCAAAAGACACAGGAAACCATGTCAGATTGAGAGAACAAGACAGAGAGTGCGATGGGAGCTTCAGAGCTGCCAAGCCCAGCAGGATCTCCTCCAGTCACTCTTACTTTTACTAAGCTCTCTCATATATCTAAGGGTGCAAGCCACTTTCAGATTTTAGATTAAAAGCCACTCGGGTGGAAGACCTCCACTATGTATTGTGTATATCCATGTACAGGACACTTCACATTTATTATTTAATTTGAGGCTTACTTTATTTACTCCTGAAGCACCTGAGGTATTAATTAAGACTACCAGCATAAGAATCAAAAAGCTCTGCATTTTTATTAAGCCTCCCTCCCTTATTTCTTGCAGTATCACCTTGGGTGTGTAATTTAGCCTCTCTGGTGCTCAGTTTCCACATCTGTAAAATGGGGGTGATAACAGTATCTACCTCATGGGGTTGTTGTGAAGATTAAGAGAGAACCCATTTAGCATATCTAACACAAAATGAGTCCTCAACAAGTGTAAGCTGTTTTATTATAGCTAGGAAATATTACCTAACGGTGACAGCCAGGATTCAAATCCTAAACTGTAATTATTTCTGCATGAAGGTTATGGTGGTGGTGGTTGTTACAATTAATATTAATTTATTGAGGTGCTTCTATATGCTAGCTTGTCATTTAATTCTCAAAGCGACATTGCAAAGTAGGTATTAGTGTTCTTCCCTGATTCACAGACAAAGCAACCGAGGCTTAGGGAGATCAACTGTTGTATTCAAGGTCAGGCAATAAACAGGAGAGCGGGTATTCACACTCAAGGTCTGTTGGAGGCTAATGCCCATGATCACATTCTTTCCACCAGGCCATACTGCATAGCTCAGTTCCATTCAAGTACAGAGCAGTTCTGAGTCAAGGGCCTGGCTTCCATCTCCAAATTCCCCACCCACTGCTCCATCGACACAGGCTCCCCACTCCAGGAAGGCCCACTCAGAGTGCTGGGAACCCAGTGGTGCTTACAAGCATATCCAAGACAAATATTTAGACAGCAACGGGAGGCTGTCTGGACATCAGGGTACTCTCGTTCCTGAAAGCACAGAGTGTCTCAGTTAGGCAACAAGAGCGCCTGATGGGCAAGCTGGTACTGCCTGGCAGCAGCTAGTCTGGCAGTCGCTGACAACACAGGAAGGCTTACTCAGCCCACAGGAAGCAATCCTCGGCCTCTCACCCCACAGGCTGAGTGAGCACAGTGACATCCGGCTGAGCTCTGTTCTGGCCAAGAGCATGTCACATCCCCAACAAGAGAGGTAATTCCTGAGCACACTGGGATTGGCCTGGAGGGCACCCTCATTAATCCTTTAAAGAAGTTAAAAACTTTTCATCCTGTGTTGACTTAAGTAGTAACTTAAATATTTCTGGTCCATCTTTTCGAAATATAGAAAGATATTCAAGCTAAAAAAGAAAGCTCAAGAGACAAGATTCTCATAGTCAAGATCACAGACACTCTGGGCTGAAGTAAATGTCTGCATAGTTAAGATAGTTATATAAGTTTTGTCTAAGTATCATTCACATAGTAAAGGGAAAAGGAAATAATATTTACCACCCAGTTTTGGCTATTAAGACTTAGAAGGCATTGCAAAGGGACATATATCAAGCTCCCTAATTCTCCATACAGTTATAACCAAACAATACTGTTCAGAGATGGACTTAAAAGGATGCATGGCTGCACTAGCATTGTAACGGTTCTGGGACCAGTAGCCATGCAGGCAGAAAATGGATGTTTTCAGGTATTTGGGGTTCATTCACATCTAAAGCTTTTCTATTGGGAAATGAAGTCTGTTTAGGATGACTGAGACTGAAACAAAGAGGCTTCAATGCCATAAACCTGTGGGCCTGACATGGAATATTACTTAAGTCGATGCAGTCTGACAAGACCTAGCTTGACACAATTATAAAGCCTGCGTTGCTCAATCAGCCAGATCCAAACAACTCTCTATTCTTTCTTCAAATGTGTGTGGCTTGCTGGATGCAAGATCAGAATGCAGACAACAACCTAGCTTCTATGCACCCGCTGGCTCACAGGGAACTCTGAAATAAGCTGGCATCTGAAACACACCCTACAGGAACAGGATAGGGCTTGAGGCTAAAACCCCAGTTTGCAGTGGCAGAAGAAAACAAGAAGAAAGGAAAAAAGGGCTGTCAACAAATGCAGGCAGAATGAGCAAAGGACACACTTATGTATAAATTCTGCCGAATGGTTCAAAACAACTCAGTAACCAGGTAGCATGAAAGATGAATTAGTGGAGGCAACCAACATGCCTGCAGAAATGCCCAGGGTGTACTGAGATATCCAGCATCACAGAACTGGCCGTGGCGCCTCAGGCCGACACCACCCTTCAAGGATGCCGTGTGCAGGGTTCTGCTGGCTCCCGTTTGCCAACTGCCCTTCCCTTGCTCCTACTCCCTCCCACCCTATTCCCTGGAATATGGGAAGTATTACATGAGAGAATGTATATAAAACCTTAGCACAAAGTGGATGCTCCAGAAAAGGTAACACGGTTACCTTTTTCTTTCCCCTTACCAGCACCTAAGACCCAGTCCTCTCTTAACACTCTGAGATCTGAATATCACTTCCATGGCTCCAAGCATAACCTCATCCTCCAACTGGTCCAACTAAAGAGGCTGGGTGCCAGACTCCCTCCAAAACCGTCAGGGTCGCTGCTAAACCACAGGGAGGTATTACCAATAGAGATGGGGTATTTGGCTTGTGGCAAAAGTACAGCCTGCCATTTCTCTTTAGGACTGAAAACTCAGGGAATGCAAGGGCCACATCTTACTTATATTCTGTCTATAAAGTCCTGAATGTTATCTGTGCTTTGCACCCAATAAGCATTCAGAAAGTACTGACCATAATGAAGAATAAGGAAAAGAAAAAGATAGTAGGATCCATGGAATCATTTCAATTCAAGCACTTCTAGAAAAAGACATTTTGAAAGCCCCTGGGTGTTAAATGCCAAACCCTTAAGATAAGAATGCTGATCCACTTAAGCATGAAATTACAAATGAAAAATTCTCATAGATGAAAACACCCTTAATATTCACAAAATTCACTGTAAATTGCACAAAATTAACTCATACTTTTGTAGCAAGAAAATATTGTAGCAAGAAAATATTGTACCAATAACCATCTTTTACCATCCAAACTGGAATTTTTCTTCCCCTCCAGAAGCTCTTGTTACACACACTTTTCTTTTGTCACATCGTATGGTGTGCACTGTCCTCACCTCCCTGTCCAACTGCAAGCTCCCCGTTAAGCAGCAATGGCCTTCTTCATCTCTGCCTCCCTAGCCCAGGCAATTCCTGATACACAGTAGATATTCAGTAATTCATTTTCCAATAAGTAAGAAAAAAAGCACCTTATTTTAATCATTGCCATGCTTTTCTAGGCACCCAGGCCTGTAACTGTCATCTTCTACTCGACATGCTGAATGTCTTCTGGGAGGGGCTTTGGAATCAAGGACCTGGGTTTGAATCCCGGCTCTGTCATTTAATAACTATGTGATCTTGAGCACTACTGAAGTCAAGGGAAAAGAATGAGTATTTTAATATCTCTCATGCTATTTGTCAGGAATTTAACACATTCAATGTTCTTCTTAAATTTTAAACCCTAAGCCCTAGTTTCTCATATGTAAAATGGGATTTGGGAGATTCTAAAACCTATATCATAGCTATTGTGAGGATTAAATGAAATAAAAAAATTTAAATTCCTTAAACAGTCCTTTGCACATAGCAGATGGTTTAAAAGTATGATTTCCTCTCAAATTTCCCATGATCACCATTTTAACATCATATCCTATCACTTATTCTGAGCTGCAAACCTCTCATTCTGCAGAAAAATGCAGAATGCAGGAGTTCTTTATCCAGGTGAGGGTTTACCTTCTGCCTAGTCATGCTTGATCACAGATAACTCACTGCCTCTGGAAGAGGGAGGGTGCACACCTAGACACCATTATCTAGCCAGTAATTTTTTTTCCAGCTCATTCATTTGGGAAGCATGGCTCCCAAGCATTTCAAATGAAATCTGCTACAGTAAATAAGCTCCAGTCTTTGTTATGGTCTTCATGTACCTGAGGCATCCTTAACGTTGCTTTTGATAAAAAGAACAAGTTAATCTGCAATCAGGCCTTTGTGATGGTGGCTAATGATGGAAATAACATCAAGTGCCTACGACATTCTAAGCATTGTGCTAGGCACCTTTCATGGCTTTCTTGTCTCACTTTATTCCCACAACCCTGAAAGATGAGGACTACAATCATCCCCATTTTATAACAGGGAAACTGAATCTCAAGAGAGGTTAGATCATATAGCTAGTAGGTAGCAACGCTGATAACTGAATTTAGGTCTACTGACTCCAAATCTATGCTGACATGCTTTGCTTTTGCTTTTACTCAGTTAGTTCTTCTTGAACATTTTTGTGAAAGGGACAGCTCTGGGTCACCAGCATCACACAGGGAAAGGAAAGGTTGCAGGCATTCAGAGGGGTCAGTGGCGCTTGCCCATGGTCCATAGGCTGCAGTGGCAGAGCAGGCCAAGAAGTCAGCACTCACCTTCCTGGCCGTGTTTGCAAAGTGAGCCCCACAGGACTTGCAGCTTGGTTCCAAGCCTGTTGGGGAAGGGAAGGAGCTGTACCCAGGGTTGGAATAGGCCTGCATCCTGGCTCCCTGGGGTGGTGGGACCTCCTCAGGCTGTCCATCCAGGCAGAACCAGTTGCAGCAGGTTGCCCACATGATAAAATCTGGTGCAAGGGAGGAAAGGGGAAAAGGTCAGAGTTAAGACACACCTCTACTGTCCTTTTGATGTCCGAGAGCACAGGTGAGCAGTGACACTCAATGCACGCATGCCACCAAGGTGGAGGGGAGGATGTGTTTTCAAACAGATTTTGTTTTTCTTCTTTTTGAGATGGAGTTTTGCTCTTGTTGCCCAGGCTGGAATGCAGTGGCGTGATCTCAGCTCATCACAACCTCCGCCTCCTGGGTTCAAGCGATTCTCCAGCCTCAGCCTCCCAAGTAGCTGGGATTACAGGTGCCCGCCATCACGCCCGGCTTTTTTGTATTTTTAGTAGAGATGGGATTTCACCACATTGGCCAGGCTAGTCTCGAACTCCTGACCTTGTGATCGGCCCACTTCGGCCTCCCAAAGTGCTGGGATTAAGGCGTGAGCCATGGCGCTGAGCTGGGGAAGACTATTGTTCATTGCTTTATATAAATGATGCAACCCAGACTCAAAGAAATCAAATATATAGCCAATATATAGAGAGCTAATATACAGAGTTGAGATTCTACAAACCCAGGTCTTCTGACTCCAAACCTAACATCCTTTTCCCTATACTATGTTGTCCATTCATTGATTTCCCCTCCTGCCAGCCAGTAAAACTACTCTTACATTTGTACCCCCAATCCTAGATAAACTTCTATCACAGCACCTATTATACTTTCTTGCACAGTTATATCTTGCTCTTTATTTTCTACTACTAAGCCATAAATTCCTCCAGGGCAGGGGATATTTATTCATTATGTACAGTACTGTTCCCTAGCACTGTTGTCCATGTAGAAGCTCAACAAATATTTGCTTCCTTACTGAATCAGAGCCTCTGTAGGTTTATTAAGAAGTGTTCGGAGCCAGGCGCAGTGGCTCACGCCTGTAATCCCAGCACTTTGGGAGACTGAGGCGAGTGGATCACCGGAGGTCGGGAGTTCGAGACCAGCCTGACCAACATGGAGAAACTCCATCTCTACTAAAAATACAAAATTAGCAGGGTGTGGTGGCGCATGCCTGAAATCCCAGCTACTCGGAAGGCTGAGGCAGAAGAATGGCTTGAACCCGGGAAGTAGAGGTTGTGGTGACCCCAGATCGTGCCACTGCACTCTAGCCTGGACAACAAGAGTGAAACTCCGTCTCAAAAAAAAAAAAAAAAAAAAGTGTTGGGCCAGGTGCAGTGGTTCACTCCTGTAATCCCAGCACTTTGGGAGGCCAAGGCGGGTGGATCACCTGAGGTCAGGAGTTCGACAGCAGCCTAGCCAACATGGTGAAACCCTGTCTCTACTAAAAATATAAAAATTAGCTGGGCGGGGTGGCAGGCGCCTGTAACCCCAGCTACTTGGGAGGCTGAGGCTGGAGAATTGCTTGAACTCATGAGGCAGAGATTGCAGTGACGGGAGATCGTGCCATTGCACTCCAGCCTGGGTGACAAGAGCAAAACTCCATCTCAAAAAAAAAAAGAAGCGTTGGCCAGGTGTGGTGGCTCACGCCTATAATCCCAGCACTTTGGGAAGCCAAGGTGGGAAGATTGCTTGAGCTCAGGAGTTCAAGACCAGTCTGGCCAACATGGCAAAATCCCATCTCTACAAAAAAATACAAAAATCAGCCAGGTGTGGTGGCACACACCTGTAATCCAGCAACTCAGGAGGCTGAGGTGAGAGGATCACTTAAGCCTGAGAGGCGGAGATGGCAGTGAGCCGAGATCGTGCCACTGCACAACTACACTCCAGCCTGGGTGACAAAGTGAGACCTTGTCTCAAAAAAAAAAAAAGTGTTGGTTTATTACTCCCATAGTACATATCAAATGCAGGTACTGGGGACAAAGGGCTGATGATTTTTACGATCACAAAACAAAGAGGATCTGGATCCAATCCCTCAAATGTCAGAATAACCTAACAATTGTAAGAGGGCCCACTCAAATGCCAAGCATTGATGTGAGATATGAGTATGTTTTTCTCAGTAGACTAAAGCAGCCCATGTAGATACTTTGAGCCTGAACTCTTTGCTTACAGAGACAATAAATGAAACATTTAGTGTTATTATTTGATAATCAGTTCACACAATAGAATGCTCTGCTGTCTCCTGACTCATTGTTTTAACAAGGGCACTTTCATAAGCTAGAAGGAACTAAGAAGCCAACTGATTCAACCTGGGTTATTTCATCGAGGAAAAAAGAATGAGAACCAGCAAGGGGAAGTAACTTCCTAGGTCAAATAGCTCATAACCTCAGGCCTCTTCACTTCTCTAGGTCCTTTTTAGCTTTCCAACACTGCCTCCACTGCACCTGTGATATAATTCGCTCCCTTGCAGGGGTCTCTGATTAACACCTGTCTCCCCAACTGGCCTGTAACTTGCCTGTAACCCCCACGACAACAGGGATTGTGATAGTCTAACAGTGCCCAATTAGACAGGTAGCTCAACAAGAACTAGCAAATGAATTAATCATATACAATATCTAAGTCTTAACTAATCACACATTTGTTCAATCTTCAGCACATCAGAAACATTTCTCTCTGACTCAATATAACCTGTCTGAGGGTTCTAAGTTCCCAGGAGAGGAACTTAGTTCCCAGGAACTTAAGTTCCTAGAATAAGAATTGCAAGTAATCTGCCTTTACTTGCAATTAACAGTTCACATGGAATAATGAAGTAAAGAGTTCTTCACAGAGTGTGTGTATGATAAAGTAAATGAGTTCTTTGCTGCCAAGAGAAATGGGGACAACAGAGGAGGAATAGCCCTCTGAAATATTTTGTAGTTTTTTTTTTTTTTTTTTTTGAGACAGGGGTCTCACTCTGTCACCCAGGCTGGAGTGGAGTAGCATGATCTCGGCTCACTGAAACCGCCGCCTCCCAGGTTTAAGTGATTCTCCTGCCTCAGCTTCCTGAGTAGCTGGGATTACAGGCAGCTGTCATCATGCCCAGCTAATTTTTGCTTTCTTTTTTTTTTTTTTTTTGAGACGGAGTCTTGCCCTGTCGCCCAGGCTGGAGTGCAGTGGCATGATCTCAGCTCACTGCAAGCTCCGCCTCCCGGGTTCACACCATTCTCCTGCCTCAGCCTCCCAAGTAGCTGGGACTACAGGCGCCCACCACACCTGGCTAATTTTTTATTTTTTTTTATTATTATACTTTAAGTTTTAGGGTACATGTGCACAGCGTGCAGGTTAGTTACATATGTATATATGTGCCATGCTGGTGTGCTGCACCCATTAACTCGTTATTTAGCATTAGGTATATCTCCTAATGCTATCCCTCCCCCCTCCCCCAACGCCACGACAGTCCCCAGAGTATGATGTTCCCCTTCCTGTGTCCATGTGTTCTCATTGTTCAATTCCCACCTATGAGCGAGAACATGCGGTGTTTGGTTTTTTGTCCTTGCAATAGTTTACTGAGAATGATGATTTCCAATTTCATCCATGTCCCTACAAAGGACATGAACTCATCATTTTTTATGGCTGCATAGTATTCCATGGTGTATATGTGCCACATTTTCTTAATCCAGTCTATCATTGTTGGACATCTGGGTTGGTTCCAAGTCTTTGCTATTGTGAATAGTGCCGCAATAAACATACGTGTGCATGTGTCTTTATAGCAGCATGATTTATAGTCCTTTGGGTATATACCCAGTAATGGGATGGCTGGGTCAAATGGTATTTCTAGTTCTAGATCCCTGAGGAATTGCCACACTGACTTCCACAATGGTTGAACTAGTTTACAGTCCCACCAACAGTGTAAAAGTGTTCCTATTTCTCCACATCCTCTCCAGCACCTGTTGTTTCCTGACTTTTTAATGATTGCCATTCTAACTGGTGTGAGATGGTATCTCATTGTGGTTTTGATTTGCATTTCTCTGATGGCCAGTGATGGTGAGCATTTTTTTGTGTGTGTTTTTTGTATTTTTAGTAGAGATGGGGTTTCACCATGTTAGCCAGGATGGGCAAATCTCCTGACCTCATGATCTGCCCACCTCAGCCTCCCAAAGTGCTGGGATTACAGGCGTGAACCACCATGCCCAGCCAATTTTTGTATTTTTAGTAGAGACTGGGTTTTGTCATATTGCCCAGGCTGGTCTCAAACTCCTGACCTCAAGTGATCCACCTGCCTTGGCCTCCCAAAGTGCTGGCATTACAGTTGTGAGCCACCATGCCCAGCCAAATTTTGTAATTCTTTAAATCACACGTTGACAGACAAATCTGAGACAGTATGTAATAATAAAAAGAATATAGAATCTGGAATAAGAAGGCCTCAGTCCTAAGTCCTGCTCTACTTACTTAAGGGCTGTGTTACCTCCCTCTAACAAGTAATAGACTTTCTGTACTTCATTTTTCTCCTCTGGACAGTCTGTATGCTATAAAGCACTATATAAACATTAGTTGTTGTTATCCACATTATAACAATGCTTTTAACTACAATTTTTCTGGGAAGGCAAAGGTACAAAATAAACCTAATAAACCTACAGATTTCACAACAATTACCATCTGGCTTTCTGGGCTTGTCCCCTGCAAAGAGGACAAGGTTGTAGGCAATTCACTAACTTTTTTTTGGGATGGAGTCTCCTTCTGTCGCCCAGGCTGGAGTGCAGTGGCATGATCTCAGCTCACTGCAACCTCTGCCTCCCAGGTTCAAGTGATTTTCCTGCCTCAGCCTCCCGAGTAGCTGGGATTACAGGCGCCTGCTACCATGCCTGGCTAATTTTTGTATTTTTAGTAGAGATGGGGTTTCACCATGTTGGCCAGGCTGGTCTCAAACTCCTGACCTCAGGTGATCCGCCTGCCACGGCCTCCCAAAGTGCTGGGATTACAGGCGTGAGCCACCACACCTGGCCAATTCACTAACTTCTGTTAAACTCTCTACTCATTCATGATGCATGCAACTTTTACTGAAACCAGTGCCTTGCTGTTTCCAGTGCTAGGTAAGGAAGGTTAAGTACCTACCCTCAAGGAGCTCATGGTCTAGTCAGGGTACTAGAAATGTAAACCAAATATTGAAATTTCAGGGTGATCAGTGCTTTAACGGAGGTTTGCACCATGTATTATTGGGAGGCTACACAGAGGGAAATGATCAGCTCTACAGGGGAAGAGGGGTGACCAGAGAAGACTTTTCAAATGAGGTGCCGCACATCCTATCATGATGTGGGAGTAACTGGGACTTTACCAGAAAGTCAAGAAGAGAAGGAATTTTCAACAGAAAACAAGTAATATGCACCATGGCATTAAAGAAACTACAAAATGCAGCTGGGCGCGGTGGCTCACGCCTGTAATCCCAGCACTTTGGCAGGCCGAGGCAGGAGGATCACGAGGTCAGGAGACCAAGACCATCCTGGCTAACAGGGTGAAACCCCGTCTCTACTAAAAATACAAAAAATTAGCCAGGCGTGATGGTGGACGCCTGTAGTCCCAGCTGATCGGGAGGCTGAGGAAGGAGAATGGCGTGAACCCAGGAGGCGGAGCTTGCAGAGAGCCGAGATCGCGCCACTGCACTCCAGCCTGGGCGACAGAGCGAGACTCCGTCTCAAAAAAAAAAAAAAAAAGAAAAAGAAACTACAAAATGCTTGGTTGGGTCAGGGAGCAAGGCAGGGAGTAGATGAGGGTACAAGTAGTAAACAAAGAGCCAAGAAAAACCTTTTATTCCCTGGTAAGGAACCTGGACTGGATCCTATACGTAATGGGACACGATTAGGGCATTTTGTTGTCTCATTTGCATATTAGAGTGCACACTTATAAGCAGTGTGTGGGACAGATCAGCAAGGGGCCAGCTGGAAGCAGGAAGTTGCTGCAGTAGAGAGGCAAGATGGGTAAATATGGAAATTTTAAAAAGGTGCAGATCTGATAGAATGAGCAGAATGAACTAGCAGACGAGAGAAGGGGGAGAGAAAAGAGAGTCTAGGACAAAGTCTAGGGTCTCTGAATTACACAACAGAATAGATGGTGGAATTACTTACTGAAATGAAGCCCTCAGGAGGAGGCATGTATCTGTGTGTGGAGAATAGGGACGGGTTAAGATGATGAGTTGAGTTTTGTACTCATGGGACATGCTGATGTATACACAGGTACATGTTTGGGCTGAAGATAAAGGTTTGGGAACACATGGCCCACTGGAAGTACGTAAAGCCAGAGTGGGGCCGGAGGCTGATTAGATGGTCTGGGTCAGAAGAGAAGAAGGCATGGGAAAACCACATCTATAGGGCAAGCAGGGGAAAGCCCACAGCAGAAAAGAGGAAAAAAGAATGCTCAGAGCAGGGGGAACTGGAAGAGTGTTTTTAGTTTCAAGAAGAAATTATCAACGCTGTCAAATGTCTCAGAGAACACAATACAATGAAGAATGCAAAATGCCCAATGGACTAAGGTTTAGGAAAGTGTCCATGTGTGCTCTTTGCCTAAGCAGTTTAGGAAGAAAGAAGCTGATAATCATAGCTTGGAAAGTGAATGAGAAGTATGAATTCACACAATTCCAAGGATAAATTATTATTTCAAGAAACTTGACTGTAAAATGAAAGGAAGAGAGGAGGCAGTTGCTAAAGAAGATCCAGTGTCACCAGGATAAATGCAGACATATTCACAAACTGCTGAGGAGTCCCCAAAAGATTAAGAGACTGTAGAGGAAGTGAAGCTGACAATAAATGATTGGAATAGGAGTAAAGGCTGGAGTAGAAAAAGAAGTGATATGGCTGGGCATGGTGGCTCATGGCTGTAATCCCAGCACTTTGGGAGGCCGAGGTGGGCAGATCACCTGAGGTCAGGAGTTCGAGACCAGCCTGGCCAGCATGGTGAAACCCCATCTCTACTAAAAATACAAAATTACCCGGGTATGGTAGCACGCGCCTGTAATCCAAGCTACTGGGGAAGCTGAGACAAGAGAATCACTTGAACCTGGGAGGTGGAAGTTGCAGTGAGCCAAGATCACACCATTGCACTCCAGCCTGGGCATTTTGAGCGAAACTCTGTCTCAAAAATAAATAAATAAATAAATACATAAGAAAAAGAAGTGATCATGTGATCAGATTAGGGGGTAGGTCTATTCCCGGGCAGGATAAAAGTCACCTCATTCACCAGACAGTGGGGCAGAGGTGAAGGCAGGTATAACCAAATATAAATTTATAGTATTAGCAATAGAAAAGTGAAAGTACAAAATAAACAGGAAAGGGGCTGGGCACAGTGGCTTACATCTATAATCCCAGCATGTTGGGAGGCCAAGGCAGGAGAATCGCTTGAGGCCAGGAATTCATGATCAACCTGAGCAACACACTGAGACTCCATCTCTATAAAAAATAATAATAATAGGCCAGGCACAGTGGCTCAAGCCTGTAATCCCAGCACTCTGGGAGGCCGAGGTGGGCGGATCACGAGGTCAGGAGATCGAGACCATCCTGGCTAACACAGTGAAACCCCGTCTCTACTGAAAATACAAAAAAATTAGCCAGACGTGGTGGCGGGCGCCTGTAGTCCCAGCTACCCGGGAGGCTGAGGCAGGAGAATGGCGTGAACCCGGGAGGCGGAGCTTGCAGTGAGCCGAGATCGCACCACTGTACTCCAGTCTGGGTGACAGAGCGAGACTCTGTCTCAAAAAAATAAAAAATAAAATAATAATAATAATAATGATAATAATTAGCTGGGCATGGTGGCACGCACCTGTAGTCCCAGCTATGTGAGAGGCTGAGGACAGAGGATCACTTGAGTCCAGGAGGATGTAGTGAGCTATGATCATGCCACAGCACACTCTAGTCTAGGCACCACAGAGCAAGTTCCTGTCTCAAAAATTAAAAAAATAAAAAAGGAAAGGGGAGATAGATTTAGCCACATGAAAAAAATAAACTTTTGTTCCACACAAGGAATCTACAGGTTGTAAATTTTTCCTAAAAGGACTTTGCACAAAATAGGCAGACCCACCTGGTAAGGCACAATCAGTAGGAAAAACTGGAAAGTTGTATATTGTTTAAATCCACGTTACTTTTTTTTTTTTTTCCTTGAGACAGAGTCTCACTCTGTCACCCAGGCTGGAGTACAATGGCGCGATCTTGGCTCACTGCAACCGCCACCTCCCATGTTAAAGCGATTCTCCTGCCTCAGCCTCCCGAGTAGCTGGGACAACAGGGAGTTACCACACCCAGCTTATTTTTGTATTTTTAGTAGAGACGGGGTTTCTCCATGTTGGCCAGCCTCATCTCAAACTCCTGACCTCAGGTGATCCACCTGCCTTGGCCTCCCAAAGTGCTAAGATTACAAGTGGGAGCTGCCACGCCCAGCAAAAATCAATGTACTTACGAAGCACCAGCTATATTGTGGGTACTGGAAACACCAAAAGTGATTTCGACTAGGTCTTTGTCCCGAGGGGATTTGGAGCCTTGAAAGGCATATAGCTCAACTTGAACATCTTGATACAAGACAGAAGAAAACTCTTCTTTAGCTGGAGTCAAGAGAACCCATCTTCCTCCACACTATTTTTATTCTCTTAACTTTGGTTCTAACCTTAAGTGCCTCTTCTGAACATCTCTGAAAGAAGAGCTATCAGCCTATTCAAGTCATCTGGCTACTTTTAAAAAGAAGGCTGGCTGGGCGCGGTGGCTCAGGCCTGTAATCCCAGCACTTTGTGAGGCTGAGGTGGGTGGATCACAAGGTCAGGAGAGTGAGACCAATCCTGGCTAACATGGTGAAACCCCGTCTCTACTAAAAATACAAAAATTAGCCGGGCATGGTGGCACATGCCTGTAGTCCCAGCTACTCAGGAGGCTGAGGCAGGAGAATCACTTGAACCCAAGAGGTGGAGGTTGCAGTGAGCTGAAATTGCACCACTGCACTCCAGCCTGGGCAACAGAGCGAGACTCCATCTCAAAAAAAAAAAAAAAATTGCCATTCTGCCACCCCACAGTCTCCAAGTTTAGGTGGAGAATGAAGTCTTATGCTAGGAATATACATATGTGGGGAAGGGGGTTATTACAGGAAAGATCAGGTAGTGGCAAGATTCTCCAGTGTTAACATACCTTAGACCTGCTCAGTCTAACAGAACAGGTTTGCCAAAGTCAGCCGACTAGGCTTTTACTCTTTATATACCTATATCTGTATCTATATCTATAGATATTTATATCTATATATATATTTTACTCCATATATATATGTATATATATATAAATTTTTTCTTTTTTGAGATGGAGATTCACTCTTGTCACCCAGGCTAGAGTGCAACGGCAAGATCTCAGCTCACTGCAACCTCCATCTCCAGGGTTCAAGCGATTCTCCTGCCTCAGCCTCCTGCGTAGCTGGGACTACAGGTGTGCATCACTACACCTGGCTAATTTTGTATTTTTAGTAGAGACGGGGTTTCACCATGTTGGCCAGACTGGTCTTGAACTCCTGACCTCAGGTGATACACCTGCCTCAGCCTCCCAAAGTGCTGGAATTACAGGCATGAGCACCATGCCCGGCCACTCTGACAGATATTTAAATACCAAAAAAGAAACATGTCCTAATGTGGTCAGTTAGAAGTACTCTCCTGCCAAACTGGAAAGCCCTAACCCTAAATAACAACTACGTTCAGGGTTATTTCAGAGGGCGGAAGGAAAGAGTTTGTAACTAACAACGCTATATAAGCTAAAATACTTTTCTCTTGGGAATATTTTTTTCATTCCTCATCCCTAAATAGATATACATACATGGCATTTGATAATGCTATTAAAGGACTGAAAGTGGAACTAATTGTGAGGTGTAGAAAGAATTCTCCCTAAGGTGATAAATGAAAAACTTTTCTCTCTTATCTACAAACCTCCTTCTGATCTTGAAAGAAAATTATTGGATCTTCACTCAGGGCTTGAACATTCCTTCCCAAACTCCCCTCACCCTCTTCTTAAAAGACAGACTTGGCAATTTAGTCCTCAAAAACAGTGTCTAACTGCTGTCCTACAGAGCTTGCTTGAAGCCTGCTAGGGTCTCCTCTTCCACTTTCCCTAAAAGGGAGAAAAATGGGAGATGTAGGGCCAGTAGTGAATAAAAACATTTACTATTCCCTGTGGAAGAACCTTGTGATATGAGGCAAGAATGGCTAGCTAGCATGTAGGATTTTGTCAGCTTGATAAGTATGCTAGTATTTCTTGGGAGAGTTAGCCCTGCTGAACAGGAAAATAACAGTGTTAATAACAGAATAAGATAAATTACCTATTCCAGGTGGGCTTGGTACAGTCATAGTTAGAGGCAAGAGGGTAGATAATGTGATTTCTACCTATTAAGTCCTAGATTCCTAAGTAGTTTCAAAACACTTCTCCGCTTGTTCACCTGCCCAAGGCAAATGATTTAAAGCAGATCAGTGGTTGTCATGGGTCTTCCCATGAAGGGGAGAGAGGAGTAGAAGGGCCATGCTGGTTTGCAATGTAACTCCAAAGACACCAAAAAACTAAGGCAGTAAAAAAATTCCCAAGGTTCTCATCCAATCTATTCTGATTTTAATTAACTGCTCTGTGCACCAAGGTAGTTCTGCAACAACAGGCTTTACACAAAAGCATAGACAGCTACATCTTGGAATTAACACACTTATGGTGCACCATTGTATAAAAGTTTACAAAAATCCTTTTAAAATACCTAAATAAAATGCCCCCAAACCTTAAAGAAATGCCTTTCTGACATGACAAATCAGAAAAGGGCTGGAAAGCAAGCCTTACAGAATCATGTCCAGTTTATTGAGGGTGGTACGCCTACTGTCACTAACGTATTTCTGGAATGGTTAAAAGCATCTATGTTGTTAGTGCATAAAGAAAAGTATCCCACATTATGAATCATTAGTACAGAATGGGCTTAGCTTCATCTTGTGTATTATCATTAAAAAGCAATTAAAGACAATTGCAATGGTTTTGAAAGGAAATTCTGTGAAAAGTCTATCAACAGGGCTTAGGCTAAGCCTCTCTAAAATAATTCATAAGTAATTACATATTTTGAGAAGTAAAGAAGAAAGTAGCCACTCTCTGCTGGAAGAATGCTTATTTGCCAGGCACTGAGATAGGTACTTTTACCTAGTGTTATCTCATGTGATCCTCACAATTCTGGCAAGGTAGATTAGTTCTTCCCATTTTCAGGTGAGAAAAAAAGGTTCAGAGAAGTTAAGTAACTTGTTAAAGGTCACAGCTAGAGGATAGCAAAGCCAAGCTTTGAACCTTGGTCACTTAGACCCTGAAGCGTACCCTCTTGAGATGTAGTCCTGATTTAATTTAAAAAATCAATCTGTCTACCCTGTGGCCCATCCCCTCTGAGCTTTTGCTTTCCATCTCTACAGGAACTTTCCTATCATCATACAGGTATGCTCCAGAATCTCCCAGGTGTTAAAAACTCTTCTTTGTCATAATGGAAGTACAAATTATGACCACAAAGTGTTACCACCACTGGAATAGCTAAAATGAAAAAGAGATACTAGCAAATGTTGATAAGGATAAAGAGCAACTGGAGCAGACGGGCATGGTGGCTCACACCTGTAATCCCAGCACTTTGGGAGGCTAAGTCGGACGGATCACCTGAGGTCAGAAGTTCGAGACCAGCCTGGACAACATGGTGAAACCCCGTCTCTACTAAAAATACAAAAAATTAGCCAGGCGTGGTGGCACATGCCTATAATCCCAGCTACTCAGGAGGCTGAGGCAGAAGAATCGCTTGAACCTGGGAGGCAGAGGTTGCAGTGAACCCAGATCGCACCATTGCATTCCTGCCTGGATGACAGAGCAAAACTGTCTCAAAAAAAAAAAAAAAAAAAAGGAAAAAAGAGCAACTGGAACTCTAATATTGCTGGTGGAAGTGTAAATTACTCCAATTTGGAAATTTTGTGTGTGTGTGCGCGCGCGTGCATATACACGCGCACCCACATCTCTTTCCATGGCTTTGCAATTCTGCTTCCAGGCATATACCCAACAGAAATACATTCACCCAAACAGTATACAGGAATATCCATGGAAGCCCTACTGTAATAGCCTCAAGCTGGAAACAACTGAAGTGTCCATCAACGGTAGAATTATGATATGTTCACAGAACAATGAGAAAAAACAAACAACTGATACATGCAATAGTACAGATGAATCTTATGTTGAGCAAAAGCAGGAGGCATAAATGAATACATGGGAAATGATTCGTTTTACATAAAATTCAAAAACAGGCAAACTATGGTGTTCAAAATCAGGATAGTGGTCATCCTGTGAGGTAGGATTACAGATGGAAGGCAGCCCAAGGGGCTTCTGGTAACATTGTTTCTTACTCTGAATGCTGATTATGTAGATATGTTGACTTTGTAAAAATTCATCGAACTGTACACTTATAATTTATATACTTCTCTAGTTACATTTGAATTAAAAGTTTATATGAGTGTTGTGTTTTGTTTTGAGATAGGGTGTCTCACTCTGTTGCTCAGGCTGGAGTGCAGTGTTGCGACCATGGCTCACTGTAACCTGGACCTCCCAGGCTTACGTGATCCTCCTGCCACAGCATGCCGAGTAGCTGGGACTACAGGCGCGCACCACCACACCTAATTTTTTGTATTTTTTTGTCTAGATGGGGTTTCATCAAGTTGCCCAGGCTGATCTCGAACTCCTGGGCTCAAGCAATCCACCCGCCTCAGCCTCCCAAAGTGCTGGGATTACAGACATGGGCCCCTGCACCCAGCCCATATGACAGATTTTTTTCTTTTCTTTTTTTTGAGACGCAGTCTCGCTCTGTCGCCAGGCTGGAGTGCAGTGGCGCAACCTCGGCTCACTGCAACCTCCGCCTGCTGGGTTCAAGCGATTCTCACGCCTCAGCCTCCCGAGTAGCTGGGATTACAGGCACGTGCCATCACACCCAGCTAATTTTTGTATTTTTAGTAGAGACGGCGTTTCACCATGTTGGGCAGGATGGTCTTGATCTCCTAACGTCATGATCCGCCCACCTCGGCCTCCCAAAGTGCTGGGCTTATAGGCATGAGCCACAACGCCCAGCCAATGACAGATTTTTTAAAGCACCTAGTCAAATATTTGTAATTTGTAAAAAATAACAAAAAAATAAAAAATAAAACCCCATTTTGACCCCACATTCTCCCCCTCCCCAGTAAAGCTCTTTTTCTGTGATCTCCTCTAAATCAAATTTCTCCAAATATTTGACTCCACTTTTTTTTTTTGAAACGGAATTTCACTCTTGTTGCCCAGGCTGGAGTGCAATGGCACGATCTCAGTTCACTGCAACCTCTGCCTCCCGGGTTCAAGCAATTCTCCTGCCTCAGCCTCCCGAGTATCTGGGATTACAGGCATACAACTCCATGCCCAGCTAATTTTGTATTTTTAGTAGAGACGGCTTCTCCATGTCGGTCAGACTGGTCTCAAACACCCAACCACAGGTGATCTGCCCACCTCGGCCTCCCAAAGTGCTGGGATTACAGGCATGAGCCACCGCATCTGGCCGACTCCACTTTCTTAACCTCTAATTCACTCTTAAACCTTCTCCAATCTAGCTTGAGCCAACCACCATTCCTAATCTCTTCAAGGTCACCAAGGAATTCCAAGTGGCCAGATCTAATTGACACTTCTCTATCCTCATCTTAATCTCTCAGCAATGCTGGACACAAGCGACTCTCCCCCTCTAAACATCTCTTAGCTTCTAGCACTCTGCCCCCGTGGCTTTCCTCCTACCTCAAAGCCTTTTTGCTGCTTCTTACCCCTCCCTCTGTTCTTAAATGTTGTGAGTGTCCAGGCTGTCTTAGGCCTCCCTCTCCAACCACACCTCAGGTTGCTTTAAATACCTTTCTTGGCCGGGTGTGGTGGCTCACACCTGTAATCCCAGCACTTTGGGAGGCCAAGGCGGGCAGATCACTTGAGGTCGGGAGTTCAAGACCAGCCTGGCCAACATGGTGAAACCCCGTCTCTACTAAAAATATAAAAAATTAGCCAGGCATGGTGGCAGGCACCTATAGTCCCAGCCACTTGGGAGGCTGAGGTAGGAGAATCACTTGAACCTGGAAGGCAGAGGTTGCAGTGAGCTGAGATCATGCCACTGCACTCCAACCTGGGCGACAGAGCGAGACTCTCTCTCAAAAAAAAAAAAAGTAAAAAAAAAATAAAAAATACTTTTCTTAAATCAAAGATGCATAAATTCCTACCTTCATCTCCCCTGCTCCTGCTGGTGGGTTAAAACATCATCTTTCATATATTAATCACATTTCCCTCCTTAGGCCCTTTAGATTTGTTGTTTGTTCCTTCTGCCTGGATTGGTCTCCCTAGAACTTCCTATGCTTAGCTCCTTCTTGTCATCCAAACATCAGCTTTAATGTCTTTTTTTTTTTTTTTTTTTTTTTGGTGTGTGTGTGTGTGTGTGTGTGTGTGTGAGGGAGAGAGAGATAGGGTCTCTCTCCAAGCTGGAGTGCAGTGGCTTGATCATAGCTCACTGTAATCTCGAACTCCTGGGCTCTAAGGATCCTCCTGCGTCAGGCTCCCAAAGCTCTGGGATTACAGGTGTGAGCTACCACGACCAGCCTTTTAATGTCATTTTCTAATTTCACCATAACATTTGGTATTAGCTGATATTATTTGCTTATTTATTAACTGCTTTCCCTAACTAGAATAGAAACCCCATGAGGGCAGGGACTTTGTGCTCTACCGAATTTCCAGAGTCTAGAATGGCTTCTTGGGTAAAAGAACAGCCTCCTAACGGGTTTCCTAGCTTTAATTCTTGCCTCTATCCACCTATTTCTCCACAAGGCATCACCCACTGCCCTCCTCCCCTCAACACACACACTTAAAGCTCTTTAATGTTGCTTGTTCCTAGAAGTGATCTTCCTTGGATGGATTATCCAAGGCATCCACCCAATGAAAGAAATCATGTTAACTCTTTGTACATAAAAATGTTTAAAAACTCTTCAAAAAAAAGTTCTTTAATGGACTCCTATTGCATTTTAGAATAAAAATAATCACTTCTTACATGGTTAAAGACCCTGACCACTTCTCCAATTCATGCCGTGCTACTTTTCTCACTCGTTAACTTCAAGCCATAGTGGGCTGGTGTGTGAAGAACCGAAAGGTAGTGTGACCTTTCGGTTCTTCACACCGAGCTGGTGTGTGTAAATGGGGGAGGACTCCTCATGTCGGTGATACTTGAGATGAGACCTGAAGGCTGAGAAAGGATTTTTTTTACCGCATCCAGCTAAAAATTATAATTCTAAAATGATGGCTGGGCATGGTGGCTCACTCCTACAATCCCAGCACTCTGGGAGGCCAAGGCAGGCGGATCAGTTGAGGTCAGGAGTTCAAGACCAGCCTAGACAACATGGTGAAACCCCGTCTCTACTAAAAACACAAAAATTAGTGGTGTGGTGGCACATGCCTGTAGTCCCAGCTACTCAGGAGGCTAAGGGAGAAGTATCGCTTGAACCCGGGAGGCAGAGGTTGCAGTGAGCCAAGATCACACCACTGCACTCCAGCCTGGGCCACAGAGCGAGACTCCATCTCAAAAAAATAAATAAAATAAAATGCCAATGACCTACATGTTTCATAGGCATTACTGGCTGGAAAGCCCAAGGTCTCTCTCCTCTCTCTGGTCACCCAAAGCTTGGGTTTCTTACCACCCAACGCTCTTGGTGGGACAGGCCCTGACACAGCTGATTTATACCAACAGCATAATTAAAAAATCACAATGTCCTGAGAACTCACCTGAAATTTAAAATCATCTCTTAACTTGGAAGGCTGCTTACTTTTAAAAGTAAGTTAGTCTGGCAAGCAACTTGAACTCCTTTGAAACTGTTTACTGGAATTTTCCAGCAAACCTGCCTGAGGTACCCACCCTGACTTGTAAAGATTTAAAATGCTGGTGACAACACAATGAGCATAAAATAGGACAACTGTTGCATTTGTAAGTAAGCAGCCTGCTGAGTAAACCATACTACTAACTGGTCTCATATGCTGGGGGTGGGACAATGAAGCATGTTCTCTGTGATACTATTTCTGAGATATTTATTTTAGAATAAATAATTCGGTGGCCGGGCGCAGTGGCTCACACCTGTAATCCCAGCACTTTGGGAGGCCAAGGCAGGCGGATCACCTGAGCGCCCAGGAGTTCGAGACCAGCCCAGCCAACATGGTGAAACCCCATCTCTGCTAAAAATACAAAAAATTAGCTGGGCGTAGTGGCATGCACCTGTAGTCCCAGCTACTCAGGAGGCTAAGGCAGGATAATTGCTTGAACCCAGGAGGCAGAGGTTGCAGTGAGCTGAGATCACATCACTGCACTCCAGCCTGGCGACAGAATGAGACTCCATCTCAAAAAAAAAAAAAAAAAAAAAGAAAAGAAAAAAGAATTCAGAATACCTAAGTCATAGAGAAGACATGTATATGGTAGAACTTTAGAATCCAAGGCCTGAATTAGGATAAAGAGCCCTGCTGAAGTGGTGCATGGGCTGGACATAAACAAGGAATATTTCACAGGCCAGAACTCAGGGGAGGAAAACATTTCCAAAGCTTTTAATACTAATAGACATTTTCTATCCTCCAAGGCAGTCCTTTGGATATGGGTAACAGATAAATGCATATTTCCTAGGTAAGAATTTTATTTTAGGTCTAAAGTTTAAGAAGACAGAACAGTTGGAGAGAAAGGTGGGGGGAAAAAAAGCTGTTCCCAAGTATGTTTTACTTTGGCTTTAAAATCAGTCAGACCTGACCTTAAATCCTGGCTCTAACACTGAATAAATGAATGAGCTTGAGTAAGCTGCCACTAGGAGCTTCAGAGTAACAGGAATACATTCCCTACACCTCACAGGCTGGACATAGAGGTGGTGCTCAGTATAAAGGGGGATCATAACTTCACTGGACTTTTCAATCTTACATCAAGAGCAGAGGGCAGTGTTAGACATTCAGTAAATAGCCGTCATTATAATAAGGCATGGGCTCATGAGGATTAAATGTTTGCCTCTCTCCAAACCAGCTTCCAGAGCCTCCTTTCACACAGAGATGTCAGTAACATCAAAGACACAAGGACTAGAGCCTCTTCTCTCCTCCAGTCCCCAAGTTATACTTTAATGTAAAGGATCAAAACTTTAGACATGACATAATCTTCTGTGCTATTATTTCAGATGGCAGACACGGGGAAAATTGGGGGAGTTATTCAGAACTTGGGGTTCCTGAAGTCCTTTCTCAGAAGATTACAAAGTAAAAACATTACAAAACACCTAAAATGTGCCAAGTTAGTTGTTATGTTTGCATCTGTTGTCTTATTTAACACAATAATCCTACAAAAATCAGAATTAAAATGGTCTGATTTTTGTAGGATTCAATAAAAAGTACCTTAAGCACCTTGTAAAAAGTATAATACATAGAAAAACCATTCCTGGGACTACAGAACTTTAATTTATACATCCCATAAGTCATCTGCATTTCTAGTTTCTACAAGTTCAGGGTACCAGTGATACAGACCCCCAACCTTCTAAAGATAAAGCCTTTAACTGATATTTAAGGTGTATTTCAGTTTCTCTTCTTACTTTTGCTCCAGTTGAGATTTTTCTGACTTAATTGTCTCAACTGCAACTAATGCTCTATTTCATTGATTCATTTATTGAGACAAGTCTCTGTCACCCAGCCTGGAGTGCATTGGCACCATCATAGCAAACTGTAGCCTTGAGCGATCGTCCCACCTCAGCATCCTGAGTAGCTAGAACTGCAAATACCCACCACCTTGCCCAGCTAATTTTTTATTTTTATTTTTTTTGTAGAGACAGGGTCTATGTTACCCAGACTGGTCTTTGAACTCCTAGCCTCAAGCAATCCTACCTGGGCCTCCCAAAGTGCTGGGATTACAGGCAATGAGCCAGCGCACCTGGTCTACCCTCCTTTTAATAAGTGTTGTCAGCCAGGCGCGGCAGGCTCACGCCTGTAATCCCAGTGAAACCTTGTCTCTACTAAAAATACAAAAATTAGCCAGGCATGGTGACAGGTGCCTGTAATCCCAGCTGCACGGAGGCTGAGGCAGGAGAATCGCTTATCTGGGAGGTGGAGGTTGCAGTGACTCGACACTGCACCACTGCAGTCCAGCCTGGGAGACAGAGCGAGACTCCATCTCAAAAAAAATAAAGTAAGTGTTGTCACTGGGTAACTAGTAAATAATAATGAAAGCAAATCCTTAGTGCTCAGGGCCTTACTCCTTACTCTATCCTATTCTTTCAGTTCTTCAAACACCAAGGTTATTTTGGCTTTAGGAATCTCCCTCCCTCAAGCTATTCAGCTATTCTCTCAGCCTGGAGCACTGTTGCCACCTCACCTCCCTTACATATCATTTATTTCCTCAGGGAAACCTTTCCTGATCCTGTCTGTGCTCTCATAACATTTTTTTTTTTTTGAGACAGGGTCTCACTCTGTCACCCAGGCTGGAGTACAGTGGTGCGATCACAGCTCACTGCAGCCTCGATCTCCCAGGCTCAAGTGATCCTCCCACCTCAACTTCCCAAAGGATTGGAATTACAGGTGTGAGCCACCATGCCTGGCCTCATAGAATCTTATACACTTCCTTATAACCATAATTGATTTATCAGACTATTTAGCATGAATCTCCTGTACCTCTGGAGAACGTAAGAGGAACAACAACAGGCAAGGTCCTTGAATCTCATAATGATTACATTCTGGGGGAAAGAGCATTCTAGCAGTACTGTATCTAATCAACTGGCTAACAGTTTGTATAATTCTTTTTTTTTTCTTTTTTTGAGACAGAGTCTCACTCTGTCGTCCAGGCTAGAGTGCAGTAGCATGATCTCAGATCACTGCAACCTCCACCTCCCAGGTTCAAGCAATTCTCATGCTTCAGCCTCCTGAGTAGCTGGGATTACAGGCACGTGCCACCATGCCTGGCTAATTTTTTGTATTTTTAGTAGAGATGGGGTTTTACTATGTTGGCCAGGCTGGTCTTGAACTCCTGACCTCAAGTGATTTGCCCGCCTCAGCCTCCCAAAGTTCTAGGATTACAGGCATGAGCCACCATGCCCGGCCTATATAATTCTTTTTAAAGTATTTTTCTTCCATATTTAGGGTGTGGAAAGTGAAACAGGAAACAAGAGTAGGTCTATTTCACAGCTTTATTCTCAGCCTTAATGCCAGGTAATCAACACATATTTGTTGAATTATTAACTAATGATAACAGCAATAGAGCGCTTTTTAAAAAAAAAGGACAGAAATTCATGCTTAAAATTGCACAATTGGCGAGGCACAGTGGCTCACGCCTGTAATCGCAGCACTTTGGGAGGCTGAAGCCGGCGGATCACCTGAGGTCAGGAGTTTGAGACCAGCCTGGCCAACATGGCAAAACCCCATCTGTACTACAAATAAAAAAATTAGCTGGGCGTGGTGGTGTATATGCCCATAGTCCCAGCTACTCGGGAGGCTGAGGCAGGAGTATCGCTTGAACCTGGGAGGCGGAGGTTGCGGTGAGCCAAGATTGCACACTGCACTCCACCCTGGCTGACAGAGTGAGACTCTGTCTCAAAAAAAAAAAAAAAAAGGACAGAAACTGCACAATTATGATTCCGGGATGATCAGTAAATTAAGGATTTTAAACACACATAACCACAGCAATACCTTGAACGAAAGACTGAAGAGAATTTCTTTGTCTGCTAAGATTACTTGAAAAACAAAAGAAAAGAAAAATGGTTTAAATTGTTATTACAGAAGGACAAAACCAGAAAAGGAGAGCCTGGAAGAGGAACAAGACGGTCACTTCCATCTCTTCCTAAAAAGACACAGAAGGCTTCAATGCCTTCACTGTTGTTTTGGATTGGAATGGTGCTGCAATGGGAACTGCAAATACAAATAAACATGAAAACAACAAATGCAGATGTAAAATAAAGACATGCTAGAAATCAAAGAAACCGACCTCTACCAGACACACCCAGGTCTGGGTGTACCTTTGCCTGTTCTTCCCGACTTGCACAGCCCAAGCAAGGTGGAAGGAGAAACATAACAAAATGATACAGGAACCAGAGAGCAGAGGGTCTTGGAGCATAAACTGTTAAAATAATAATATGAATAAGGGGGAAAGGAGAGAGATTTCACTTCCCACTAGCAATAAGTGAGCTCTTTTTCTTAAGCGGTAACTGTTAACAACTGAAAGACATACATAATAATCACAAGTTATAAATGTTCTCAGAAACTCCCTGGTTTCAACTATTCTATGACAAATATCTGCAGAGGGACCTCAGCATCTGCTATGAAGTTCAGGGAAAAGTAATTCTAACCAATGGAGCTGTGCCAAAATATCACCCCTGGGGTCTGACCAATTAAATGGCTGCTTCTTAGTGTGGAGTTTAGGAGAGATGACAGATTGAACACCGCAGCAGAGAAACCTACGCTTTCATTTCAACCCAGGCATTCTGCCCCAAAGGGTGAGTCAATCAGGAAACAAAGCAATTCAGAGTAAAGTCTTCTAACAACGCTGAAAACAGAATAAATGGACCTGCAGTTTAATTACAGCAGGATCCTTCTTCCATCGAAACTGATGACAAAGCTCATCAAGAATAAAGAGACTCTGATCCCCCTACTACTCTGGTGCAGGAAAGAGGATTTACCAGATAAGCTCTTCTGGACCTTCTACTGAAGAAGCTGCTTTCACAAGATATTATCACAATGACTGACTAATGGGTAACCAGGATTTTTTTTTAAATGAAGGCAGGGACTAGGTGAAGGGGTTTCTGGCACTCCAATGCACCGGGAAAAGAAGGCATTTCCAGACAGGAATTCTATCTAGGCTCAAAATTATGCAATTTACCTTTCCAAAGTGGACTGCACGAAAATTACTGCAGCCAAATGTACCATGGTATAGAATGAATTCTGGTGTTATTTAACTCCTTTAATTAAAACCTGCTACATTGAAAAGATAATTGAAAGGATTAAAATAACGCATGTCAAAGCATTTAACCCAGAGCCCAGCAAATAATGGATGTTCAACAGAAATTGGCTGTAAATAATTTAAAGAAAGTACTTTGTTAAGGTTGTTTTTGTTGTTGTTGTTGTTGTTTTAACACAGAAAGGCCCATTAAGGTTCTTAACTTTTTTATTTTACTTAGTTTTCAGACAGGGTCTCCCTCTGTTGCCCAGACTGGAGTGCAGTGGCATGGTCTCACTCACTGCAACTTCTGCCTCCTGGGCTCAAGTGATCCTCCAACCTCAGCCTTCTGATTAGCTGGGACTACAAGCGCAAGCCACCATGCCCAGCTTTTTTTTTTTTTTTTTAAATACAGAGTCTCCCTCTGTCACCCAGGCTGGAATGCAGTGGCGTGATCTTGGCTCACTGCAGCCTCTGCCTCCCAGGCTCAAGCGATTCTCATACCTCAGCCTCCCAAGTAGCTGGGATTACAGGTGCCCACCACCATGCCCGGCTAATTTTTGTATTTTTAGTAGAGACGGGGTTTCACCACGTTGGCCAGGCTGGTCTCGAACTCCTGACCTCAAGCAATCCATTCACCTTGGCCTTCCACAGTGCTGGGATTATAGGCGTGAACCACTGCACTCAGCCCATTAAGGTTCTTTAAAAAGACGTTTATCAGTTCTATTCCTCTATCTATCTGCTTTTTAAAAATTTAGGGGCCGGGCACGGTGGCTCATGCCTGTAATCCCAGAACTTTGGGAGGCCGAGGTGGGCGGATCGTGAGGTCAGGAGATCAAGACCATCCTGGCTAACACGGTGAAACCCCGTCTCTACTAAAAATACAAAAAATTAGCCGGGAGTGGCGGTGTGCACCTGTAGTCCCAGCTGCTTGGGAGGTTGAGACAGGAGAACGGTGTGAACCAAGGAGGCGGAGCTTGCAGTGAGCCGAGATCACGCCACTGCACTCCAGCCTGGGCGACAGAGCGAGACTCCATCTCAAAAAATTAATTAATTAATTAATTAAAAAAATAAAAATTTAGGTATGCCAATACCTCTAATCAGGTTCAGTTTAGTTTTTGAACCACTCCTCTAAGAATTAAATGACTACAGTTCTTCCACCAGTTCTTAATTATATAATCCCTTGAAAAACTTCTCAGAGGTGGTCAGAGTGGTTTATCCTCCTTGCAGCCCCAGGCTGTTAAATCTCTTCCCAATTCCACCCCATTGCTAATGAGTTTGTTACTCCCCACAACCCTGCAGTCCAGCCAGTTTAGAATTTCTCCCTTAGCTCCTCAACCCTTCTCTGCCAAATTCAAAGAATGAACGTATGCCTCCGGCCTCCACCTGATGCACTGTAATTGCTTGCACTGCACTGAAGTCAGATAGGATTTGGTGATAAATCCAGGATGAATTCAGACTAAGCACCCCCTTCCTCCCACAGACCTTTAGCTTGGTTTGATGTTTGATCTCAATCTGAAAATTATGCTGACTTTCTGAAATGTTTTCTGCTCCTGCCAGGAGGATGTGATCTACCCAGTATCTACGCCAAGCAGCAGAAATGAATGGTGATTTCTAGTTCTCTTGGTGTCACAAAAACCTTTGTATTTTCACCATATTCTCTCCTTGCCAAGAACACCTGTGTTCAGCCTATCTTCAAGGTTTTACTATTTGCCTATATCCCACAACAAAATGCAAAATGCCTCATATTCCCACCCTTTGATAAGAGTCAAGAAAAAAGACACCTGTGCTGATAGCAGAAAGGCATGTTGTTCTCACTGCTTTCACACACAGTCACTAGACCATCCACACTGAGATATGCTGCTACTTTACCCTTTTGCTCCTGGAATTACAAAGTGGAAGGACAGATGATTTTCTCTGCAATATGGTAAGGGTACAGAATGCACACACACACACACACACAAACACATTATCAAAACCTTTACCTGTCCCATATTATAGTATGAGACCAGCAGAATGGACCTGGTTCAAGTGGTTGTGATAATCTACAAAGATCCTGAGATGACTCGAGCAGATGGTTATCCTATAACCAATCCAGTCCTCTAATGAATGCAATAGAGCAGATTTCACAGTAGGAAGCAATGGGAAATGGGAGGTGGGTTCAGAAAATAGGGGCTGCTGAGATTGTTTATCAGCTGAGTGACCCCAAGCAAATTACTTACTTAATCTCTTCTCCAGAGACTTGCCAAGGGGTGAAGCAATTCAGCAGCTAGCATTAGATGCAGCCTCCAGTACTCAAAGAGAGTTTGAATTCAAAGACTAAAAAAAGTTCACAAACACCCGGTAGTTATTTGTAAACCACCACACTCAGAAAACACTCAAAAGATAGGCTAAAAATTCTGGAAACCAACAAAAGCAGACTGTTATTTAAAAGAATGGGCCAGGTGTGGTAGCTCACGCCTGTAATCCCAGCACTTTGGGAGGCCGAGGTGGACTGATCACCTGAGGTCAGGAGTTTGAGACCAGCCTGGCCAACATGGCGAAACCCTGTCTCTACTAAAAATACAAAAATTAGCCAGGCATGGTGGTGGGCACCTGTAATCTCAGCTACTCAGGAGGCTGAGGCAGGAGAATTGCTTGAGCCATGGAGGCAGAGGTTGCAGAGAGCTGAGATCACGCCATTGCACTCCAGCCTAGGTGACAGAGTAAGACTCCATCTCAAAAAAAAAAAAAAAATGGGCCTGTTGTAGTGGCTCACACCTGTAATGCCAGCTACTGGGTGGCTGAGGTGGGAGGATCACTTGAGCCTGGGAGATCAAGGCTGCAGTGAACTGTGATTGCACCACTGCACTCCAGCCTGGGTGAGAGGGAGACCCAGTCTCAAAAAATAAAAATTAAAAAATAGAAGGTGGTGGCCAGGTGTGGTAACTCACACCTGTAATCCCAGTACTGTGAGAGGCCAAGAGAGGAGAATCACTTGAGGCCAGGAGTTTGAGACCAGCTCGCAGCCTGGGCAACATAGCAAGACCTCACTCTGGTGTCAAGGCTGGACTGTAGTGATGCACTCTTGGCTCATTGCTGCCTTGACCTCCTGGGCTCAGGTGATCCACCCACTTCAACCTCCTGAATAGTTGGGACTACATGCACATGCCACCATACTCAGCTATTTTTATTTTTGTAGAAACGGAGGTCTCACTATATTGCCTAGGTTGGTCTCAAACTCCTGGGCTCAAGCGATCCTCCCGCCTCAGCTTCCCAAACTGTTGGGATTACAGGCATGAGCCACTCCCCAGGCTCTACAAAAAAAAAAAAAAAATTAATTAAAATAAAAGGATGGAGGCCAGGCACAATGGCACATGCCAGCACTTTGGAAGGCCGAGGCGGGCAGATCACCTGAGGTCAGGAGGTTGAGACCAGCCTGACCAACATGTAGAAACCCTGTCTCTACTAAAAATACAGAATTTGCCAGGTGTGATGGCACATGCCTATAATCCCAACTACTCTGGAGGTTGAGGCAGGAGAATCGCTTGAACCTGGGAGGCGGAGGTTGTGGTGAGCCAAGATCGTGCCATTGCACTCCAGCCTGGGCAACATGAGTGAAATTGTCTCAAAACAATAAAAAATAAATAAAAAATAAAAGGATTGTGAATTATAGGCTAAAATTTCCCATTGTTATTTAAAAAAATAGCCAAACACAGACTGAATCCCATATCTACCAAAAGTAACATCAACAGTCAATTCAGTGGCTTCATTTTATAAACCATATGGATGCAGTACAGTATAAACTAGGATAAACAACCATGCCCAGGAAGAAAGAATGGTCCCTACAAGAAAGACATGCATATGGGTAAAGGCAAGGGCTGTAAAGGACTAGTTATGTTAGCTTCTTTTCAAACCCAAAATGGAGACTTCTTCAGCCAAGCTCAAATACTAGAAGTCTTGACTTTTTAACAGCACCAAGTTTCAAAACACAGGCACACGAGTTACAGCAGACAAACACATCCTGTTTGCACTTGACTTCCTGTTTTGGGCTATCTGATCTCTTTCCACCGCTGTACCCTAGACCTTCAACAAGTAGGTAACCTTTCATATCTGCTGCCAACTGGTTCACTAGACAGTATTTCAGTGACAATAAAGTACATTATTATATGAGTCAGGTAAAAGATTCACCTAACAAGCACCAAAAACCAATCATGAGTGTCTAAGACACTTTCTGGATTTCCCATGCTTCGTACTGACATCTGACTTAAGCAATAAAAACTTAACACAAATAGTGCTGAGATAAGGAAATAAAGCCTGAAACAAAACTTCGAATATGAGGGCTGGGAAAAAGAGCAAGAAAAATTGAAAATGTTTTAATAATTAAACGCTGGCCCCTTTTCAAATGCAGAAGGAACAGATTCCCAGAAGGGAGTGACTGAGACAGTTAAACAGCCCTTTCGTGAACACTGCCTCAAATCCAACCTGCTACCAACTGGACAAAGTCTACTTTTCAGCATTGCAAAAGCCTTCAATTTTAGACACCTAAAGCCTCCACTTCAAGTGTAACTTTCCACTACTTTCAAAGATTTGGTGGTTTCCCAGGCCACATTCAGTTCTAGAAGTAAACACTGGGCAACAAATACCCCAGCTTAATGGACAAGTCATTTAGCCTCTTTGGGTCTGTTTTCTCATCTGGAAAACAGGAAGGTTGAACTACATTCATCTCTAATGTTTTCTCCAGCTGTAGAAAAATTTGAGGATTCAATATTAACGGTTAGCAGAAGTTTCTGTGGTTTCCTGCATTATTTCTTTGGTCAAATAAGATGCCTTTGACATCCCACATCCCACACTGTGAATAAAATGCCCTGATCTACCTCCCCAGTACCGGAAGATTTTTTTTCCCTTTCCCTTTCACTTGAAACATGCATTGGAAAATTTCCCTCTTGAAAGCAATATACTGACAAATTTTAAGTACTGTTCTTTATACATGGTCTTTTATTAAGATGTTAATGTAATCACCAGTCAATTCCTATGCTGCTCATCTGATTCATGGGGGAACTCAAGCCACAAAAGGATGGAGAAAATCTGACCAGCAGCATGTGGCACACCCACATAGTGACTGCTAATGAGGAGAGAATGAGGCAAAATCTGGGTAAAAAAAAGGGGGTGGTAAAGAGAAGTTCAGTGAGTCAGTGCAAGGGAAAACACAGGTTAATAGAAAAGAAAGAAAAGGAAATGTGAAAGGAAGAAGAAAAGCAAAAAAGGGAGGGAATCTATAATAAACAATGAGTAGAAACTTAAAAACCTGAAATTCTGTTCAGTTATTCATTCATTCATCCAATAGATATTGAATGCCCACTATGTGCAGGGAACTGAACTAGATACTAGGAGAAAGACAAAGGTCAACCAGACAGATCTGCTCAGTGAGGCCATGGTCTAGTAGGAGATAGGTAGGTACACAAACAACTATAATAGATGGCAGAAAGTGTAATGTGCCACAAAGGAGACATAAAAGAGAATTCTCTGCTATGAGACTCAGGAAGAAGTGATTACTCCCAGTGAGGGATCAGACTAGGGAGCCTTCATGGGAAGAATGACATTCCAAGCCAAAAGCACAACAGAAACAAGGGTACTCAAGTAGGAAATCAAGATCATACAGGAGCAGTGAGTAACTGGCAATAGCTAGTGATCCAGAGAGCCATGTCTAAATTGGATAGGTGGACTGGAGCCAGACTGAGTATTCAGAAATTGGCATTAGTATCTGAATTTAAGTCTAGTGGAAGAGGAAGGGGACAGGAAGGAGTTGATGGACTAGGAGCTGGAAGAAACTCAAAAACTTAACCCATAAAATTAAGATAATAAAATCAACACAAAATCAATGTGCACAGATATGTAAAGTTCCTCCAAAGAGACAGAGTATCTTCCAAACCAAAAGCAAGAAGAGGACAAAAAGGCTTGGATGACTATATTAATACACGGGTATTTAAACAAAGAATGTGACCACATCTAAGACTGGTTAACAAAGAAATCTGGAAAAATCTAGAAAAAACAGGGAGGGGCATTTTGACTCCAGAACTGCCCAAAGCCAAGAAATACTAGAGATAGGTGACACAACATCTTCTCTGCAGTGGAACAAGGTTATTTCACAAAGCTTAGATGGGTACAGCATATAGTAGCAGCTAGGGGTAGGGGCTCTTAGGGGCAGAGGGACTTGGTTCAAATCTCAGTTCAGCATCTTATCAGCTTGAAGAGAGCTTGGTTTCCTCATTTGTAAATTGAAGATAATTGTACCTACTTTGCAGGAGGATCACTGGGACAATGAAATGCCCTACTGTATGCAAAGTACTTAATACAATACCAGGCATTATGGGAAACAATAATCTTTTTTGTAACTATATTCTCCCCCACAAACCATTCTATCTTATAAATCCATGCTCACCAAGCAAGCTTGATATTATTAAATTTGATTGCCAGATCTCTTGATATTGAAAAGCAATTATCCTAACAAATTCCAGAATCCCGTTAACGGAAAAGGAATCCTTCATTCTAAAATAATAAATTGGCATTCCATTCTGAGCTCAATCACTCAAGTCTGAATACAATCCTGTCTTCAAGACTAATTATTTCCAGGTTCTCCACAAAATACATTTTGTGACCCAAGACTAGACTGACGACACAGTGACCAAAATCCTGAGGGGTCATCCTGAGAAGCTAGATTGGCACCACCCTGGCCAGCCCTACCTAATGCCACCCTCGCTCTACAAGCTAACTTGTATAATACTTTCCCATACTTCTCCACCTTCCACCCCTGTCATACCCTTCAATCAAGCACTATAGTGAAGCACTTTACCTTCCTCTCTAACCGTGTAGAGGTCAAATACACCATCTTATCCATTTTTGCATTTTCCTCCATATCCCAATATAACTTGCATCAAAAGAACCACAATAAATATTTACTGTAAAACACAATTTTGCTTAACAACACAAGCCATTGCATTCCACCATTCCCACAAGCTGAGGCCTCTTTCTGATTTATTTTTCCCACATCAGATGGGTAATGCACTGACTTTGTAGTAACAAGGCTTGATGGAGGCACATCTCATACATGTGCATGAAAATCCAATCATTACACTTATGAACAACAAAATAATCCCCTTTCTAATTTACTGAACTCTTACTCTATCTTTTATCTTCCCCTCCCTCCCCCACCTCTCCATTCCTAAACTGCCAGATTACTATAGAAAAATCAGAAGACTTTATTTAACTGGGTTGCTAACAAATTCATACAGCTGGGGTAAGCCATCACTGGGCTCTAAAAACCTTTCATTCCTCTCTAGCTGATGTCCTGATAGGGCTTTCCAAAGAGCAGTGTCATGCAAGGTTTAGGAGCATGGGGCCTGGGTCAGACAGAACTCATAGTCTTCTTTCTGTGTGACCTGTTAAGGTGATTAATTCCCTAAGCGTCATTTTTCTCATCTGTAAAATGAAGTACCTAAAAGAGGTCATTCACACAAATCCTTAACACTAACACAGTGACAGGCTTAGAGTAGGTGCTTAGTAAACACCGATCCAACAGCTTTTTTTTTTTTTTTGAGATTGAGTCTTGCTTTGTTGCCCAGGCTGGAGTGCAGTGGCGCGATTTTGGCTCACTGCAAGCTCCACCTCCCGGGTTCACGCCATTCTCCTGCCTCAGCCTCCTGAGTAGCTGGGACTACGGGTGCCCACCAGCACGCCTGGCCAATTTTTTTGTATTTTTAGTAGACACGGGGTTTCACCGTGTTAGCCAAGATGGTCTCGATCTCCTGACCTCGTGATCCACTTGCCTCGGCCTCCCAAAGTGCTGGGATTACAGGCGTGAGCCACAGCGCCCGGCCAATGGTCACCAATGATCTTCTGATGGATAAATGTGTGATTCTTTCCTATGTCCTCAACCTTCATGACTCCCTGAAGCCCCATGCACCCAAAACCTACCCAAATTCTTCATTATGAAGCTGTCTTCAGAGGGTTACCAAGAACTATGGACAGAAATATAACTTTAATTAAGCATTAGGCCAGGTGCGATGGCTCACCTGTAATCCCAGCACTTTGGGAGGCCAAGGTGGGCGGATCACCTGAGGTCAGGAGTTTGAGACCAGCCTGGCCAAAACGGTGAAAACCCATCTCTACTAAAAATACAAAATTAGCCAGGTGTGGTGGCACACACCTGTAGTCTAGCTACTCAGGAGGCTGAGGCAGGAGAATCACTTGAACCCAGGAGGCAGAGGTTGCAGTGAGCCGAGATCATGCCATTGCACTCCAGCCTGGGCCACAAGAGCAAAACTCCATCTCAAAAAAAAACAAACAAACAAACAAACAAAAAAAAAACATTAATCAGGCTGGATTTTGACACATTTCCTTGTAACTGAAAGTCACACAGCGCTAGATACTGACCATTTGCATCCCTATTGTTTCTAAAGATAGTATCTCTGACATTAGAAGCATAAGGCTTTTTTTTTAAGAATTGCTTGAGATATTTTTCAGATCCCAAATTCTGGTAAAACAGCTGATGCCAACCAGTTTGAAGACCCTCAGAGAGAAATAAAATCAGCATAATACAGTTTTTTCATCTCCGGGTCCCATTACTTCACCTTTCTCTCTCTGACCACCCAACAATCTCCACATTCCAGCCCACTCCAAAATCCTTAAAAACCCTAGCTCCAAACTCCTCAGGAGGACGGATTTGCAGTTCCCTCTCATCTCCTCATTCTGCAGCCCAACAAATAAACCCCGCCCCCAGGTCTTGGGTATTGACTTGCCACACATCAGACAGCACACTTACTCTGGATACACTTGAATTCCCCTTACAGACTCCTTCTCCCACACTGGCTCCCACTGCAAGCGTGGTAGCCTGACTTACCTTTGACATCAATGACCACTCTTGCTCCCTTATTTTCCTTCCCTGGTTCCTTCTTTTGCCCCCTACATAGGCCCTAGGGTTCTGTACTCCATACTCTTCCTTCTTCCTTTCCTTCTCTAGTGAATTTTACTTCTACTTTTTTTTTTTTTTTTTTTTGAGACAAAGTTTTGCTCTGTTGCCCAGGCTGGAATGCAGTGGCATGATCTCGGCTCACCACAACCTCCGCCTCCTGGGTTCAAATGATTCTCCTGCCTCAGCCTTCTGAGTAGCTGGGATTACAGGCATGCACCACCACGCCCGGCTAATTTTGTATTTTTAGTAGAGACGGGATTTCTCCATGTTGGTCAGGCTGGTCTCAAACTCCTGACCTCAGGTGATCTGCCCACTTCAGCCTCCCAAAGTGCTGGGATTACAGGCGTGAGCCACCATGCCCAGCCTGGTTCTACTTTTTAAATGCATCCTGCAACTATCCCGTTCTATGTCCACTGCCATATCCTGCCCTATCTGCGATGATCCTTCTCAAGAAGGGAGACAAACACTTCCTTACTGGTCCCTTCTTTGTGACTCTCTATTCTCTACAGAGTAGCCAGGGTAACCTTTTATTTAGAAAAAGAATCTTTGCTTGTCACTTTCTGTTTTAAGCCTTCAATGGTGTCCCACCACCCTTTTTTTTTTTCTTTTTCTTTTTTTTTGAGACAGAGTTTTCACTTTTGTTACCCAGGCTGGAGTACAGTGGTGCAACCTCGGCTCACTGCAACATCCACCTCCCGGGTTCCAACAATTCTCCTGCCTCAGCCTCCCGAGTAGCACGGATTACAGGCATAAGCCACCATGCCTGGCTAAAATTTTTTATATTTTTAGTAGAGATGGGGTTTCACCACGTTGACCAGGCTGGTCTCAAACTCCTGACCTCAGGTGATCCACCTGCCTCAGCCTCCCAAAGTGCTAGGATTACAGGTGTGAGCCACCATGCCCAGCCCCACCACACTTTTGAGTGAAGGCTAGACTCACTATCTAGCCCACAAAGTCCCCATGTGATGTGGGCTCTGCTTGCCTTTTCCACTTTACCTCATGCAGCTCTCCCACTTCACTCACCTTGCTCTGTCCTTCGGTCACCTTCCTTCAATTCCTCAAAAATTATAAATTATTTATTGCCCCAGGGCCTACAAACTTGGGTTCCTTTTCTGGCTGAAACATTCTCCCTAGCTCTTTTCACAAGACTGGCTCCTTCTCAGACTGCAGTTCACCTTCCCTATAACATAGCTGTCTGGCACACAGTAGGAGCTTACCAGGTATTTGTGAAAGGAACAGATTTCACATTCTCCAGTCAGGTAACTCCCAAAAGTGAATATCTGGAATCAATCTCACCCTTCAGATCAGTGCTTCATTTCTAAATGCCTGCTAAATTTCCATACCTCAAACTTAGCATACTAGATATAAAACCAACTCTTCCATTTTCCCAAACCAGTTTCTCCAGTTTTCTGAAATTACATGAGCAATATGATCCAGTTTCCACTTCAGAACAATAAATTTCCCATTCATTTGCTCTACCTGTCCAAAATTCCAATCACCTTTAAAGCTAAATTCAAATATCACTTCATTCAATCATGCATTCAATCAACCACTTATTCATTCAACAAGTACTTACTGAGTGCCTTTTATGAGGCAGACACTATGTTAGATACTCGAAAGCAAAGCAGATGTATTTTTGTCTATTATACATCAAACAATCATATAAATATTGAATTATGAACTAAAAAAAAAGTAATGAAGGAAAAATGCCAGAAAACATGAGAAAAAAATGAGAGGCATCAAGAAACACTGTTCTGATGATGGGCTGATTTAATGAAATATAATTTACACTAGGCAGACTGGAAAGAAGAGCATGCTAGATAGGATTCAATCAAGTCCTAGAAGCAGGAGAGATGAGATCTATCTCAATGTACATATCATCTTGCCTTACATATTATATCTATCTATCCCCCCCCACCATACTCATTTTACTGATAGTTACCTGAAAGAAAGGACATAGAGTGTCTCTTATGTGCCAACACAACACCCCCAGGAGACACTGAGTCACTGGTCTGGTACCTAGGAGCTTATGCTTGTAAAAAGCTCCCAGATGACTCTATATGCAGCCAAATTTGTAAATCATATGCCCAAACTACCCATTTAATAAACATATATTGATTATTCTTTCATGAAAAATCTCTAAGGTCAGTGTGGTAAATTGTATCTAAAATTGGTGGTAGGCCAGGTGCGGTGGCTCACGCCTGTAATCCCAGCACTTTGGGAGGCCAAGGCGGGCAGATCATAAGGTCAGGAGTTCAAGACCAGCCTGACCAACATGGTGAAACCCCGTATCTACTAAAAATACAAAAATTAGCCAGGCGTGGTGGCAAGCAACTGTAATCCCAGCTACTCAGGAGGCTGAGGCAAGAGAATCACTTGAACCCGGGAGGCAAAGGTTGCAGTGAGCCGAGATTGCGCCACTGCACTCCAGCCTGGGTGACAGAGCGAGACTCTGTTTCAAAAAATAAAGTTGGTAGTAATAATCCCAATCACATTGCATGCCCTTTTGCAATGTGATTTTTACCCTCTATCCTTTAGAGGTGAAGTCAATGTCCCCTCCTCTTGTATCTGGGCTATAATTGTGACTTACTCTGACAAAAAGAATGGGGCAAAAGTGATGATGTATGACTGCCAGGCCTAGGTCTTATGAGATCCTGCAGCTTCCATTATGGCCCAGCCACCATGTAAAAGAAGCTCGAGCTAGAATTTTTTTTTTTTTTTTTTTTTGAGACGGTCTCGCTCTGTCACCCAGGTTGGAGTGCAATGGCACAATCTTGGCTCACTGCAACCTCCGCCTCCCATGTTCAAGCAATTCTCCTGCCTCGGCCTCCCAAGTAGGTGGGATTACAGGTGCCCACCACCATACCCAGCTAATTTTTGTATTTTTAGTAGAGACGGGGTTTCACCATGTTGGTCAGGCTGGTCTGGAACTCCCGACCTCAGGTGATCCACTCACCTCGGCCTCCCAAAGTGCTGAGATTACAGGCATGAGCCACTGCGCTCGGCCACTCGATATAGGTTTATAAGTGATGAGAGACCAAGAAAGAGAACTCACAGAGAACCAAGATATCCCAGCCAACAGCTAGCTCCAAAGGTACAGACATGTGCAGCCTTCTTGGATCCTCCAGCTCAATCAGCATCATATGGGACAAAAAAAAATATGTCCTCCTTTCCTGAATTACTAACCCACAAAATCATAGGCAATAAAATGGTTGTCATGTTATGCCACCAAAAGTCTTCGGGTAATTTGTCACACAATAGACAACTGAAACAGTCAGAAATTCAACACTCTCTTGGGCAGTCATTCAAACATTTCCCCACTTTGATGATCAAAAAATTCTTTCTCGTATTCATCAAAATTGCTCCTCCTTCAATTTAAGACCATTTCCTCTTAAATCTTTGAAGTTCATGAAGAATAATTAATAAAAATCCCCCTGGCAAAACTATTCTTGTATTTGAAGATGATAATGAAGTTATCTCTTAGCTTTTCTTTCTCTAGGCTAAAATCTTTCCCCCCTTTTTAAAACTTATAATGATAAGACCTGTTTTTCAACCTTTTAATCATTTTAATTATCCTCTCAAGTATGAGAGACCCAAAATTGAACACCATATGCCAATATCTAACAGAGATTATTTCCTAGCTCTAATGGTTCAGCTTTTTATAATGGAATTTCTCATAGTCCCAAATATGGCATTTTAGCACTCCAAAAGTTGTGAAGTGATCTAAAAAGTTAATTACTTACTATAACTGTAAAAGGTTTTCTGCCCTTAACACTCAGCTTACTCCATTTTGGGATGACCGCTTTCACTCACCAGCCTGGTTTGATACTCCACCAGGGCAGCAGGTTTTCACAACTTCCAGATATTTGAAGTATAAAAGAAAAACCTGAGAGGTTGGAGTACGCACACCATTAATTTCAATCAAGGTCTCTAACCACAACCAGGGCCTTCCCATAGGTCAGGCAGGTTCAGAGTACCTCCTCCTCCTACCTTGATGATAAAGTGGCCTTGTAAAAGGCAAGACCGTTAGCACTTGCCTATCGAGCAAAGGCACCATTTCTGTGGAACCTGATAGAGTATATTTAACTACTATATTAAGAGACAAACCAGCTGCTTAATGCAGTGTAAGAACCATGTTTTCTCTCTGAGTCTTACCTAAATGTATATATGCTTTGGTATCAGACTAGCTTTATAATCACTGGTAAAATAGGGATAATAAATAAAGCCTACCCAACGCAAATAAAACCATATGAGGGAAATAATTTTGTAAAACACCATAAAAATGTCGTGATATTGCGGGACTAGATCTCAGCAAACCCTTTAAATCTTCAAATTAACTTTGAATGATTACTTGATGGTGGCAGGTAACACATACAAAATAAGCAGCCATGGGCTCATGTTCATCAAATAGGAATGAAAAACCATGCCATCTAACAAAAAAGCTTCTAATATTGCAAAGAATAACGGTTTGAGCCCGGAGATCCACGTCAGCCACTCTCTCTGATGGTGCCAAGCTCTAGTCCAGGGACACCAAGTTCAGTCAAAGAACTCAACAGTCTAGTGGAAGAGACAGACAGTGCTGTCTGTCAGAAAAGACAGAGAAGTCAGAGAAGATGCATATATGAACTAAGTGTCCTGAGGGATGAGTATCTTGCCAGTTAGAGAAGGGAGAGTCCATTGGGAAAAGGCAGAGTCCTAAAAGACATGGTATATCCATGGAATGTTAACATGAGAAGTTCAGTGAAGCTGGAGAGGAGAGAAATGGCCAGGGGAGAGGGAGATGAGATGGTTAACAGCAACATGTAGGAAAGAATCCAACTGTGAAAGCTTTTAGAAGTCAAGCTAAGTGGAAAACAGGGAACAAATGGCACCTTAAATGAAAAGATTAGATGTGGACTTTAAAAAGATAACTTGGGCAACAATATGGAGAAGATAGGAGCAAGGAAAGACTTATGGAGGAGTGGCCATTTGATAAGGGTCTGAACTAGGAGTTACAAACTCAAATTCCTAGAGGCAATGCAGGTAAAATGCTAAGTCTTCAGTGTGTAAGATGTCAGAAAATGGTGGTATCCGTAATCTTTGAAGAGTACAGGCCTTCTCTCTGATGGTGCCTAAAAGTATTCACACACAAAATTTTAAGCCCTTAGGCTGACTGATTGATTTTTGGGATGGAGTCTTCTTCTGTGCCTAGGCTGGAGTTCAGTGGCACAATCTCAGCTCATTGAAACCTCCACCTCCTGGGTGCAAGCAATTCTCTTTTCTCAGCCTGCTGGGTAGCTGGTACCACAGGCACTGGCCACCATGCGTGGCGTGCCTTTTTTTTTTTTTTTAAATACAGACAGGGTTTCACCATGTTGGCCAGGATGGTCTCAAACTCTTTTTTTTTTTTGATATGGAGTCTCACTGTTGCTCAGGCTGGAGTGCAGTGGTGTGATCCTCGCTCACTGCAACCTCCACCTCCTGGGTTCAAGTGATTCTCCTGCTTCAGCATCCTGAGTAACTGGGATTATAGGCACGTGCCACCACGCCCAGCTAATTTTTTGTTTTTAGTAGAGATGGGGTTTCACCATGTTAGCCAGGCTGGTCTCAAACTCCTGACCTCAGGTGATCTGCCCACCTCGGCCTCCCAAAGTGCTGGGATTACAGGCGTGAGCCACCGTGCCCAGCCTGACTTTAAACGTCCAGTTTTGACCTCTGGTAAATTAAGGCAATGACAGTGGGAATGAAGAAAAGCCACACATCAAACAGTACTCCAACAAAATCAACAGGGTTTAGCACATTTAAAGATGTGAGCATAAAAAGAATGAACAAGGCCGGGCGCGGTGGCTCACACCTGTAAACCCAGCACTTTGGGAGGCCAAGGCAGGTGGACCATGAGGTCAAGAGATCGAGACCATCCTCGCCAACATGGTGAAACACTGTCTCTACTAAAAATACAAAAATTAGCTGGGCGTGGTGGCACGTACCTGTAGTCCCAGCAACTCAGGAGGCTAAGGCAGGAGAATCGCTTGAACCAGGAAGGCAGAGGTTGCAGTGAGCTAAGATCACACCACTGCACTGCAGCCTGGGTGACAGAGCAAGATTCCTCTCAGAAGAAAAAAAAAAGAGTTGATGAGAGGATCAGAGTTGAGAAAGTACAGTACAGGCTCTTGCTCATTCTACCCTTACTGAGAACCTACTATGTGCAACGTACCATGGATACAATTCTAGCAAAGCAGACCCTGATTCTCAATACATACTATGATTGGAGTAAATACCAGGTTCTCCTGAGTACTCAACCCTGGTAAGTAAGAAGAGGCTTCATGGAAGAGGTGACTTCTAGGCTGAAACCAGTTGGCCAGATTAAGCTTGGGGAAGGTGTGTAAAAGAACGCTTACATATGCTAAGGTCTGAGGTGAAAGAGAACGTGGGCAATTTGTTGGAATTATAAGGAGCAGAAACGTAATTTGGAGGGTGACGACTACCTAGAGATATCATAGTCTGATTAGGTGAAGGACTCAAAAGTTTGGCGATGAAAAGCAGGAGGGAGATAGAGTAGTAGCCTAGTAGAATTAGAGATGAGGGAGGTTCTTCCTATTAATTCAGAAAGGAATATGGGAACAAACTCACTGATAAGACAGTGTTCTCCACAACTCAATATTTAGTTATTAGGAAGGCAACCAAATGCCTTCACTTCTTTTCCTTTAACAATGGCTTAGTTTGACTAAAGTGTTTCTCACAAGATACACACAAAAAAACAAAATACAAGAGCAAATGACGGATAAAGCTGTAAACCTAACGTTTTACTTTTCTAAGATTTATATAATCAGTGATTTAATTGGACCTAACTCCACATCCAGAACTCAAATGAAAGAAAACTTCTGGCCGGGGGCCGTGGCTCATGCCTATAATTCCAGCACTTTGGGAGGCTGAGGAGGGTGGATCACCTGAGCTTGGGAGTTCGAAACCAGACTGACCAACACAGCAAAACCCTGTCTCTACTAAAAATACAAAATTAGCCGGGCATGGTGGCGCACATCTATAATCCCAGCTACTTGGGAGGCTGAGGCAGGAGAATCACTTGAACCCGGGAGGTGAAGGTTGCAGTGAGCCGAGATCACACCATTGCACTCCAGCTTGGGCAACAAGAGTGAAACTCCGTCTCAAAAAAAAAAAAAAAAAAAAAAAAAAAAAAAACCTGACTCACTTCTGAAGACAGGATTTTCCCAGTTTCTAATGCAGCTTCATCTAGCTAATGAAACTTAAGAAAACAGTTTGAGGTTACCTGATTTTGCCAGTTTCAAAACATTGCCACGACAGAAAGCAAGCTGTCTCTAGTTCCTGTGGCTGAGGTCGCTGGAGCCATGTTCAGATGAGATCATCTCAGGAACCAAGAGCAGCGGCTTTCATGTGAAGTGAATGGTGCCGCCTGGGGATGTATCTTTGGTAAGCAAGATTGCAACACAGCAGGGAGTTTACCCAGGGCAGTGCTGACTCACGCTGGGCAAAATTTGTACTTCCCAAACAACTCAGCCTGAACCAACCGCAGTCAACTGCAACCTAGGAAAGAAGAGGCAGCTCACTGATTGTTTTAAATCAAGTGCTGATTACTGGGGGCAGGTAAACCTCATTCCCCCACTACTGGTAACTTGGCCACCTCCAGAGCCCTTACCCAAAAAGTTCCAGTGGCCAGTTTCTAAAATTTCATCTGAGAACAGGCTGGGGCTGGGGCCAGCAAGATTACTGAACATAGCAGGTTCACAGCTCTGAAGATTTCCCCAGGAGGCTGATAAATAAGTCACTTTGCATTTACAAATTAGAACATCTGGGTCAGTGGACTCAGGGAACTTGCCCAGTCATCATTAGCCAGTCAAATCATTAGGGTGAATTTTTGTCAGTTCTAACCAGGCTCATTGTTCTTTTTTCCCACTAGGCCTCCTCTGACCTCTCTATTTCTTCAGACAACTCAAGTTCTCTCATTAAGATAGATGCACTGGAATTTTTTTTTTTTAATCAGCTGCCACATTCTCTATGCTAAAGCCAAATCATTTACCATCACACCTACTGGATGCATAGGGAATACAGAAGACTATGAAAATCACCTTAACACTTGCTCTGAAAAGAGACATCCCTAAATTTATGTCAATTCTCATTTATTAGCCTGCTTATTTAAAAAATCAATCTAGAATGACTGGCTCATCAACAGCTATTAATTACTGAATTTGCCCTGACAGGCTAGAATTGACATTGGTGTTATACAAAAAAAAAAAAAAAAGATCAAGTCCTTGCTTTTTGTGTGCTTTAATTTGACAAGAGAGAAACTAAAGTTCCTATTAGATCCTTCTGTTTCCTGCTTAAAATGTATGACAGTTCCCCAAGGCCATCAGCTATTTCTTAGCAGGGCATTTGAGGCCTCTGCACCCAGCTTCGTTCATCCTTTAAGGTAGGTCTCACATGGCATGAACTCTGGATGTAGCTGCCAACTCAGCTTGTCATTCAATAATGTTAGGTTAATTAAAATGTACGTGCAGACAGAATTTGAGTTTAAAAACTATACTACTTAATTTTCTATTCAAGGGGCTAGTTTTAAAAAGTTATTTATCCAACTCACTTAATTCTCCTTAATTACATTATTCCAGTAGGATAGCCACGCTGAGCTTTGATAAGGTATTATAAAATGTTCCCTGTTTTATTTCCTCCCCTTCAGTGTTTTCCTTTCAGAAAATGGCTTTGTTTAAAGAAGTTTCCCTATAGTACATGTTAATTAGTCCTTTCTGAATGATAAACACATCTTTATAGCAGCTGACAACCATTATCTCTTCAACCACACTTTAAAAAAAATTTCTGTAGTTGATGATAAGTTACAAATTCTAGTATGAAACAACTCTCAAGGTACAGACAAATATGGAACCTCCTTCAGAAAAAAAAAAAATGATTAGAAAAGCTCCTGACCTGTTCTGTATTTGCGAACTTTAAATAAGAGGGCCGGGCACAGCGGTTCACGCCTATAATTGCAGCACTTTGGAAGGCCGAGGTGGGCGGATCACCTGAGGTCGGGAGTTCAAGACTAGCCTAACCAACATGGAGAAACCCCCATCTCTACTAAAAATACAAAATTAGCCAGGTGTGGTGGCACATGCCTGTAATCCCAGCTACTCGGGAGGCTGAGGCAGGAGAATCGCTTGAACCCGGGAGGCAGAGGTTGCAGTCAGCCAAGATTGTGCCATTGCACTCCAGCCTGGGCAACAACAGAGCAAAACTTCGTCTCAAAAAAAAAAAAAAAAAAAGAAAGAGAAAATCCAGACAGTACTATGCCCAGGAGACAGATACGAACTATATAAAGAGCAGCCTGAAGGCCAAAGGCATGGAACTCCTAAGTTGACTAAGAGAAACACCATTGAGCAAGTGAACAGAGCTGCTGCAGCTTATCATTCCCCTCTTTGGGACTCTGATACAGTTTTAACCAACTGCCCCAAATTATAGCCACACTCCATCCTAGTTCTTCCTTTTAAAGTGGAAAGGTTGAGGATTACATTTTAGAGCTTAAAAAGGTACTCGTTTGAACTAGTGGTTTCAGGCACTTGAGGATTTATGAGGTTACATGAAAATTATGAGAATATGAGGCTATGGGAGAAATAATAACTGTGGCTTTCTGACTAAGTTCTTTCAATACATTATTTTAAAATTAGCCAGGCATGGTGGCATACACCTCTAACCCCAGCTACTCTAGAGGCTGGGGCAGGAGAATCACTTGAACCCAGGAGACAGAGGTTGCAGAGCCGAGATTGCGCCACTGCAATCCAGCCCAGGCGACAGAAGGAGACTCCATCTCAAAACAAAAAACAACAAAAACAGAAAATACGTTATTTTAAAACTCAAGTAACTTAACACCCAAAACTATTTATGCTTTTTTTAATAGGGTGGTCTCAACAGATATTTAATGAGTGTGCATATGTGTATGTGCCCATTGTTTCATTTGAACAGACATATGTGATGTCATTGACATCCCAGATTTACTTTCTTTTCTGCAATAGATCTTGACATTATAAACAATAAGCAGGTTTCAAAAGAGAAATTAAAATATCCATTTCTCAGGATTCTGTAGTCTTCCAAATCCACAGAAAATTACCAAATACATACAGAAGATCTGGGAGGATGCACACAGCAGGGAGAGCACTGTAATGGGAATAAAGATCAAATAGCTATGTTTAGCTTTATCCAAATTACCCCCCAAAAATCATGAATTTTTTTACAACAAGCATATATTCAAATATGACTTGGTAGTTTAAAATTCAGTTAAAATTTTAAAGTTTGTATCACTTACAAACTGCTTTACTCTCTCTTCACACTCTTTCCTCTCAACATCTCCCTTTTATCTACTTCCCTACCCCCAGCATCCTAAATGATACTGCACATTTCTTGTTTTTAACAAAATTAATCTTACTTGTGTCCACATCCTTTTTCTAACTGAGAAGTCGGTGAATGGATAAATGCACATTTCCAGGAATCAGTGCCTGTCTCACCTTGTTGATAATTAATGATTGCCAAATTCTAATCTTGGTGTTCAGTGACCTCACAGCCTTTTTTTTTTTTTAACTATAGAACATAGTATTTAAGAAAAACAATATGATGGCAACCAAATATTTATCATCTAATAAATCACAGAAATTAAACATGAAAAATGAAGTAAACTTTATGATACTCAACAATTAACTCTAGGGGTACTTAAGAATCAACAGGGGTGCTTATTGAAAATGAACATTTCTCATCCCAGTCCCTCAGACACTCTGAATTAGCAGACATGGAGGGAGGCCCCAGAAACTGAATTTTTTTTTTTTTTTTTTGAGACGGAATCTCACTCTCATCGCACAGGCTGGAGTGCAATGGTGCAATCTCAGCTCACTGCAACCTCCACCTCCTGGGTTCAAGCAATTCTCCTTCCTCAGCCTCCCAAGTAGCTAGGATTATAGGCGTATGCCACCATGTCTGGCTAATTTTTGTATTTTAAGTAGAGACAGAGTTTTGCCATGTTGGCCAGGCTGGTCTCGAACTCCTGACCTCAGGTGATCCACCTGCCTCAGCCTCCCAAAGTGCTAGAATTACAGACGTGAGTCACCATGCCTGGCCAAAACTGAATTTTTAATAAGTATCTCTCTCTTCCAAGCCTTTTTTTTTTTTTTTTTTGAGACAGAGTCTCGCTCTGTCGCCCAGGTTGGAGTGCAGTGGCACAATTTCTCGGCTCACTGCAACCTCCACCTCCGGGTTCAAGCGATTCTCCTGCCTCAGCCTCTCAAGTAGGTGGGATTACTATGCACCACCAGGCCTGGCTAATTTTTGTATTTTTAGTAGAGACGGAGTTTCGCCATGTTGGCCAGGCTGGTCTTGAACTCCTGGCCTCAAGTGATCCGCCCGTCTCAGCCTCCCAAAGTGCTGGGATTATAGGTGTGAGCCACTGCGCCCGGCCTTCCAAGCAATTCTGATACAGATGGGCCTTGGATCATGTTTTGAGAAAAAGGACACAGCTATGTTCCCTAAGCACTGTTTAGAGTAAAATGAAAAAAAGTTTTTTCAAAGACCTCCAAGCTGAACAGTAGTCACACTGAGCAGGTCCTAAACATAAGTCCGCTCACCCACAAGAACCACAAAAAATACAAACTGTATTCACTTTGTTGGTTGGACCATTATTTTCTTCAAGCCTTCAGAGACAATTATCCTAACTACCATTAAGGATTTCACCTGTCACCCACAGTCTTGTTATACTGAGACATTTTCACACCTGGATATGATACAAGGGGCTTAATGGAATTTTTATGGCTAAAAATTAAAGTTCATTTGACTCAACAGAATAGTCAAATAAAACAAAGGAGAAAACCCAAAGGAACAGGTTGAAAGTAGAGGCTTTTGACTTCCTGATGAGCCAATTTTGCCCAGAAATTCAAACCATGGGATGCTATATAGCTCATATGTCTTGAGAGTGCCCAAATGTCAACTTATCGCCAGAGTATCAGCCAGTGCAGGCTTACAGTAACATTTGGAAGCACAAATGTGCTGTATAAAATGGCCTCTCCTGGGAGATAGAGGCTGTCGCCATGGCAGAGATCATTCCATCTTGGGGCCAGAAGGACCAGGCAGTCCCTTTAATCTTTAACAAGCCACTTTCACATTTAGATACAGGAACTGGCACTGCATGAGGCTCAACCTGCTTCACAGCACTTTGCTGCAAAACAACCCCCCAGTTGTGTGAGGGCATGCTAACCCAGTCTGTCCCCACTGGTGCAGTTACCAGAATCTATTCTATAATGCAATTGTGAGTACTTTATTATCCACTATGGTGTAATACTTCATAGCTCAGAAAAGGTATCCAATATCAAGAGGCTAGCAACTGCCTACCTCAGGCACAATGAAATACTAGGTTCCTGTATGTCAGTAATTGAAAAAGTAGCAAGCATGCAGGAAAAGAAAGAATCCAGAGGGGTCAGGACCCAGCCTGAGGACCCGATGGAGGAGGAGGAGGAGAAAGGAAGTCAGCAAGAAGTCAGCAACATGACCAAACTGCTATCTTGGGCAGCTCATTTCAGAAACCCAGCAACAGAAACCTTGGAACCATTTGATGGGTATAATTTTCTATATAAGGCTATTTCTTAGTTTTCTGTTTTTTTTCCCTGAGCAGCTAATACAGTAGAAGGGCAGGGAAAAGACCCCTGTCATCAAACTCCATCACCTAAATTCTAATAGCTTCATAATGAAGTGACTTAGCAGGCTCATGTCCTATTACTACCTTGCCGCAGTAACCATACTCTCAGAAAAAAGATTCTGTAATTCAACTCTGAAGATTGCCTGAATTCATCATTCTTCTTTTCTGTATACCTCTGAATTCGTCTCTTCTCCTAATACACACACTCACATGCTCTGTCTCCCTGACACACATGCCCTGCCTCCAATAAGTCAAACTTCCTAAACGTCTACCCTGGTTTCCACTAATAATGCCCCAAGATTAACTTACCTTTGTTCATGTCCCCAAGTCTAGGGGGCCTTTGTCAACACGTGTTTCATCTTGAAGGGTGATTTCTAGCCAAGTAGATAAGATTACCTGTTCACCTACAGTTAATCTTCAACCTGGTTTCTGCAGGCTATAGAAATAAAAGGATACGACTGCACAGCTTGAATGTCCCATCAAGGTAATCAAAGTAATGGAAGAGGGAGAGAAGGCAGAAGGAGAGATTTCAAAATAAAGACTGAACTGTGTACTTCAGTAGTACTTAGGAAAACACTCCATCTGACTAAGCAGCTGATGAGTAGACAAATACCCAAAGGACTGTGCATTCTCTGAAGATTATTGTGCTCACAGTTCTCACTTCCCCCAAAGTTCTGCAAGAGATCACATCATAAAATCAGCCTTGCATTATTTATAATAAAGTGGAGAGATGCATCCTAACATCCAGTATTCTACTGATTTACTCACAAATAAAGCTAAAACCTTATTTCAACTGAAACCCATGTAACAAGGAAGAAAACGTATTTTCTTTAGGTCTTTCAAAGGTACCTCTCTCATCCCTTTTATAACAGAACAGACAAGGGTTGGAGAAAGGAACCCAAAGCTCCATCCCAGGTCCTAAATGCTTTAAAAAATTCACATTAAAAAATGCTCCATAATACATTACCCATTTGAAAAAAAGCACTGTGAACAGCAGGGGGGAATATATATTTAATTATATATGATAGATACACACATACATATATATACATACACACCGAGAGAGGGAGAGCACGCGCACGTGCAAAAGAGCGAGCGAGCACGCACACATATACTAAAACCATTTAATAGCAGTTATTCCTAGTAGGGATGGGGGTCTAACTTCTACTTTATGCTATTTTAGCTGGGTTTTGTTTTGTTTTTCTGAGACAGTTCTCACTCTGTCACCGAGGCTGGAGTGCGGTGGTGTGATCACAGCTCACTGCAGCCTTGACCACCCTGGCTCAAGCAATCTCCCACCTCAGCCTCACGAGTAGCTGAGATCACTGGTGCATGCCACCATGCCTGGCTAATTCTTTTATTATTTGTAGAGATGGGGTCTCAATATGGTTCCCAGACTGATCTCAAACACCTAGGCTCAAGCAATCCGCCTGCCTCAACCTCCCAAAGTGCTGAGATTATAGGTGTGAGCAGTTTAAGTTAATCGTATTAGAAATAAAGTACCTAAGACCATTTGATAACATAAACCAAAACAATTTGAAAAAGTTTTTAGGGCCTTTGGAAGCCAAATTTTGAGTACATTTAAAGCTACAGTCATGGAGGCAAAAGTATAAAAAATTAACAAGAAATTCACAGTTTTGAAATTGTATTATTTGTCTATGGGCAGTACTGTACTGGGAGTGCTGTGCTATCTATTGCTGGGTAAAAAGAGTTTGTCTAGGGTCTTGCTGTCAAGGAAACCATGGCAGGGGTGCTAAAAAGCCAGTCAGCAGACCACTGTGACACTGTATGGAGGCAGATTCATTCAGAGAGCTAAAAATACAACTCAAAAATCTTCTATCTTTGTCAGTCGAATCAGTTTTACTAAGTAATCTGATGAACTTAAAAACCAGATATAACACCTATTAGAATAGCTAAAATTTAAAATGGTGGCCAGGCACGGTGGCCCATGCCTGTATTTGCAGCACTTTGGGAGGCCACGGCAGGTAAATTGCTTGAGGCCAGGAGTTCGAGACCAGCCTGGCCAACAGGGCGAAACCCAGTCTCTACTAAAAATACAAAAAATTAGCCAGGCATGGTGGCACATGCCTGTAGTCCCAGCTACTTGAGAGGGTGAGGCAGGAGAATTGCTTGAACCTGGGAGGCAGAGGCTGCAGTGAGCCAAGATTATGCCACTGCACTCCAGCCTAGGCTACAGAGCAAGACTCCAACTCAAAAAAAAAAAAAAAACAAAAATTTAAAAATGATGACAATATCAAATGCTGGTGAGGATGCAGAGAAACTGGATCTCATACACTGCTGGTGAGACTGTAAAATGGTACAGCAACTCTGGAAAAGAATTTAGCAATTTTGGCCCGGTGCGGTGGCTCACCCCTGTCATGCCAGCACTTTGGGAGGACATCGTGGGCAGATCACTTGAGGTCAGGAGTTCAAGACCAGCCTGGCCAACATGGTGAAACCCTGTCTCTACTAAAAATACAAAATTTGTCTGGTAGTGGTGGTGCACACCTGTAGTCCCAGCTACTTGGGAGGCTGAGGCAGGAGACTTGCTTGAACCCAGGAGGCAGAGGTTGCAGTGAGCTGAGATCGCACCATTGCACTCCAGCCTGGGTGATAGAGTGAGTGAGACACTGTCCAAAAAAAAAAAAAGTTTAGCAATTTCTTTGGAAAACTGAACATACACTTACTTACCTTAAGAACCAGCAATTTCATTCCTGGATGCTTAACCCAAAGAAACTAAAACTTGTGTCCATACAATCACCTGTACACAAATGTTCATTATGGCTTCATCTGTAATAGCCCCAAACTGGTAACAACTAAAATGCCCTTCCGGTGAATAGTTAAACAGCCTGTGGTATATACACACCATGGAATACTACTCAGAGATAAAAGGAACAAACTATTGCTGCCACACAATAACTTGGATGGATGGTGTGACACTAAGTGAAAAATGCCGGGTTCAAGACCAGCCTGGGAAACACAGTGAGACCTATCTCTACAAAAAATACATTCGAGGCTGGGTGTAGTGGCTCACACCTGTAATACCAGCATTTTGGGAGGCTGAGGCGGACAAATCGCTTGAGCTCAGGAGTTCAAGACCAGCCTGGGCAACATGGTGAAACCCTGTCTATAAAAAAAATACAAAAATTAGCTGGGTGTGGTGGTGCACACCTGTAGTCTCAGTTACTCAGGAGGCTGAAGTGGGAGGATGGCTTGAGCTAGAGAGGCAGAGGTTGCAGTAAGCTGAGATTGCGCCACTGCACTCCAGCCTGGGCAACAGAGCCAGACACTGTCTCAAAAAAAAAAAAAAAAAGTTCCAATTGTTCTATGCATATAAAAGTAAAAAACAAAAAACCCAGTCTTAAAAGGTCACATATTGGGTCACATACTGTTATGATTCCATTTCCATAATATTTCTGAAATGACAAAATTATAGAGACACCGAACAGATTACTGGTTTCCAGAGATTAGGACAGTAGGGAAAACGGATATGCATGATAATAAAGGAGTAGCACAAGGGGGATCTTTGTGGTGGTAGAACAGTTACACAAATCCATACATGTGATAAAACAGCAGAAAACTACACACACACACACACACATGCACACACACACAGAGCACCATGTCAGTTTCCTGGTGTTGATATTGTACTATGGTTAAATGAGACATAACCAATGGGAGAAAAACGGGTGACGGGTACATGGGAACTGTGTAGTGTTTTTGCAACTTCCTGTGAATCTATAATTACCTAAAAATAAAGTATAAAAAAAAAAAAGTGGTCGGGCGTGGTGGCTCACGCCTGTAATCCCAGCACTTTGGGAGGCCGAGGCAGGTGGATCACCTGAGGTGGAGAGTTCGAGACCAGCCTGACCAACATGGAGAAACTCCGTCTCTACTCAAAATACAAAATTAGCCAGGCATGGTAGCGTGCATCTGTAATCTCAGCTACTCAAGAGGCTGAGGCAGGAGAATCACTTGAACCCAGGAGGCAGAGGTTGCAGTGAGCTGAGATTGTGCCATTTCACTCCAGCTTGGGCAACAAGAGTGAAACTCCGTCTCAAAAAAAAAAAACATGAAATTATTCAGTCAACTGTCCAGCCACTACGGGGAGCTAAAAAAGGCAAAATGTTTATAAAGTATAGCATGTTTCATACTATTTTGCAGTCTCTACTATGCAGGAGAGATGATTATTTAAGCATAGATTGGTTGTTGGCCCAACTATCTGAAATACATTCAGGCACTACCTGTGCCCTATCCATCACAATATTTTTATCGAGCCTCACCAAAGCCATGAGTAATGGGCCAGAAGGCTGCAGAAGTAACTAGTCCAGAATGAATGAACTCTCACTGCAATTTTAGCTCAGCAGACAGTGCCTGCTATCAGAAACATCCAAAAACCACAGCAATTAGACAAATAAGTTGTGAAAGATGTGGTTTCCAGGTAAGATGTGACAGGCTTCTTACCGCAAATAGTTTTTCTTATAAAAGAAGAAAGACTGGTGGGAGAGATGGTGGAAAAAATGAAAACAATGTTTCTTCTATGATTCTCTGGCCCATCCTCACAGGACTTCATATGTAGTGAAGGCAGAATATTTGCCTCAAGCCCAGATGACCAACTTTTACTTTCTACACTGACTCAGGCTTCTTACTGAAAATGGTATATCACCATTTACTCCACTAACATCACTTACAAGATGAGGCCCTATGGGGCACTAACATCTATGTATCTTATGTAGAATTCAATTAATTGGGAAGGCCTATTGACAAACAGGAAGACCCCACACACAGACACACACGCACACACACACACACACACACAAAACAAAAAATAACCACCAGTGAACTCTTCTCTAACCTAATGCTTTATTTATTTAGCCAAATGTGCTTTTAAGGGTGACTGGCTTACACATCAAAAACGTTTACAATTTTAGAATAAACTATAAAACATCCTTCAGCACTAACAAAGCTAAAACTAGTAAAATAAGTAACAAGTATTGCTAACATCATTTTTAAATCACATTCCACACAAGTAGGCCCATGTAGTTTTATGAATAAAACTATTCTTTTTTATTTTAAGAATTAAAAAGTGATGTTAGTGGAATAAATGGTGAAACACCATTTTTAGGAAGAAGCCTGAGTCAGTGTAGAAAGTAAAAGTTGGTCATCTGGGCTTGAGGTAAATATTCTGCCTTCACTACATATGAAGTCCTGTGAGGATGGGCCCAGACAATCATAAAAGACACATTGTTTTCATTTTTTCCACCATCTCTCCCACCAGTCTTTCTCCTTTTGTAAGAAAAACTATTTGCGGTAAGAAGCCTGTCACATATCTTACCTGGAAACCACATCTTTCACAATTTATTTGTCTAATTGCTGTGGTTTTTGGATGTTTCTGATAGCAGGCACTGCTTGCTGAGCTAAAACTGCGGTGAGAGTTCATTCATTCTGGACTGGTTACTTCTGCAGCCGACATATTTGTAAAGACTTATTCAAAAGGTAATCATCCTGACGGAGTGTGAGGCAGCTGTCACCCAGTAGTTGACAGCTCAACCTTGACAGCTGGAATACTTGGGTTCCAACACTGTGAGGCTTTGGGCCCCCTCTTTAATTTCTCTGTGCGGCATTTTCACATTTGTGGAACACAGATAACACCTACACACCTCATAGGATTGTTAGGAGGATTAAACTTGTTAATACAGCAAAGTCCCTGGCACCTGGAGAGCACATAATAACTGTTGGTAATTTTCCTACAGGTAAAATATGGCACAAAGAGAAGTATCACATAGCAAAAGAAGTGCTAGTCTTTTGATCAGTCTTACACAAATTCTCCCATACTTTTAGACAAGAATAAGCCTTCCCCTAACTCCCACTGAAGAATGCATACAATTTCATTCAGAAAAAGTATCATCTGACACAGTGGAATGAGTGAAATAAATCCTGCTGAACATGCCCAATGCTTCCCTAGCTCCTGTGGCCAACATACAATTTCAATAGGAAAGGGGATTGTTTGTAAAGACAGTTTTATAACATCTGTCACCAAACAACAGTGAAGTTCAAAGTGAAAATTCAAGATTTCACATAGCAGGCAGAGGGACTTTCAAAAACATCTGTCCTCTCACTCCTGTTCCCCATCCCTCTTTCCTAATCAAGGTTATAATAACGCAAGCCCTCTGTAAGCTGGCACACAAGCTGACAACATGCTACCCTGCTGAACAGTCATCAAGGAGGAAAGAAAGGCCCAGGGGGCTGCTACAACATTTCCATAAACCTCTTATCCTTAGCTAAAAAGGTAAATTTGTTCTAGAGATGCTTAAAGAAAAAACACTTGACTGGCATAACCTAGACACATGCAATACCTTTTTCCCATTTCTAGTTTTCTCAAGTATTCAGGGAATGACCATCGACATTTTTGGAATCAGAAACAAATTGTTTCCAAAAGTGTTAAGCAGTGCTTGTCCAAAGGCCCCCATATAGCTAGTAATTTAGACAGCTGTGTTAGGAGCCACAGAAGCTGCATTTTCTAACCAGTATTGCTTGTGAACAATTGAAACTTTCTCCAGTGCAAAGTCCAGACACAGGAAGCAGTGTTCTCCAAAAACATTCAAACAGTTTCATTATTGTTTAACTACCAAAATAACAGCTCCAATAATCTATCAAGTTTGACATTTCATCCAACTAAGCAATTAAACCAGGATGAAAAGCATGCATGGAGAGATTTCCCTGCCTGCTCCAAATCAACACTAATTTTGACATTATAACCACAAAAACTAATAATGCATCCTCGTAGACTATTCACAAAAGGCTTCTAAAAAGCAAACACAAAAGCGTCTCGAAGAAATTGCACACCCCTAAATTTTATTTTCTGTCTCCCATCTTTAAGCATCTTAACTGTGAGTTAAGTTACAGGCCAAGAAGTTAGAAACTCCTTTCCAGTATTTAGTCAAAAAGAGGGGAATATGCCTCCCAATACAAGCACCCAATGCAAATTCTATCAATTTATTCTTTTTTTTTTTTTTTTTTTTTTTTTGAGACGGAGTCTTGCTCTGTCTCCCAGGCTGGAGGGCAGTGGCATGATCTTGGCTCACTGCAATCTCCACCTCCCATGTTCAAGGGATTCTCCTGCCTCAGCCTCTCGAATAGCTGGGACTACAGGCGCGTGCCACCACACCTGGCTAATTTTTGTATTTTTAGTAGAGATGGAGTTTCACCATATTGGCCAGGCTGGTCTCGAATTCCTGACCTCAAGTGATCCGCCCGCCTCAGGCCTCCAAAAGTGTTGAGATTACAGGCATGAGCCACCATGCCCGGCCTCAATTTACTCTTAAATATATTAAAGGTTGGCTACTGTGGGCACATTGCCTATAGGGTAGCCCTGCTCTGCAAGGAGCAGTAATTTTAAAAATAATAGTAAAAACGCCGGGCGTGGTGATTCATGCCTATAATTGTAGCACTTTGGGAAGCCAAGGTGGGCAGATCACCTGAGGTCGGGAGTTCAAGACCAGCCTGACCAACATGGAGAAACCCCATCTACTAAAAATACAAAATTAGCCGGGTGTGGTGATGCATGCCTATAATCCCAGCTACTTGGGAGGCTGAGGCAGGAGAATTGCTTGAACCCGGGAGGCGGAGGTTGCGGTGAGCCAAGATCGCACGATTGCACTCCAGCCTGGGCAACAAGAACAAAACTCCGTCTCAAATAATAATAATAATAATAATAATAATAATAATAATAATAATAGTAACAGAAGCCAGATGATGAAGGGAACATCATCGTTTGGAAAGCATCACAATAAGACGTGACAGGACGTACCACCTTCAGAAGTCGACCTGTGGCAAATGTGGCTATGCTGCCAAGCGCAAGAGGAAGTATAACTGGAGTGCCAAGGCTAAAAGACAAACTACCACTGGAACTGGTCAAATGAGGCACTTAAAAATTGTATACAGCAAATTCGGGCATGGATTCTGTGAAAGAACACCACCTAAACCCAAGAGGGCAGCTGCTGCAGCATCCAGTTCATCTTAAGAATTTCAACAATTAGTAACACAATAAATGTTCTGGTTTTTAAAAATAAAAATAAAATATATTAAAATAAATTATATATATATTAAATATATATAAATTATTTATAATAATTAAATAAATTAACTATATAGTTCCTTAACTAGTCCCTAAGTATTATCAACTTTGGTTCTGACCTAGGAAACCACCAAGTCATGAAACTTCTCTCCCCAGGTAGGAATGGGAGCTCTCAGATGGTAGCTTCAGTTATAGGTGGCATGAGGAAGAAAATGATCAAGGACCTCTGATATCAAGTTCTTAAGATGTCCTAAGAACCACTTAGAACAATGCTATTCAAAGTGTGTGTGTCAGACTGCTGGAGGCCCATTCACGTCAAGATAAAACACAGAAAATCACAGTAAGCATTTAGAAACTTTTCTAGTGCTTGACATTGCTGTGACATCCAAGTGCATGATTTTTCTGGTGATTCCCTTTTCTTGTACTTTACACAATTATTGGCTGGCAACAGATTAGGGGTGAAGGGAAACCCTTACAAAGCTGGTCCTTCACCACAGATAGTTTAAGAAGCACAAACTTTTCACACTATGAAGTGCCAGTTCAGTCATTATTGTTCTGAAGGAATCAAAGTACCTTTGCCCTCATTATCTTATAGCTTCTGATTTAAAGGCAATCAGATAAACCAGCAAGGAGGCACCCTGGCATAATCCAAGCTTGATCAACCCATGGCCTCCGGGCCCAACACAAATTCATAAACTTTCATCAGCTATCATTAGTGTTAGTGTATTTTATGTGTGGCCCAAGACAATTCTTCTTCTTCCAATGTGGCCCAGGGAGGCCAAAAGATGGCACACCCCAGACTATAATCTAATGGAAAGAGCACAAATCCACAGTAGTCAGCCAACCTAGCTTCTGGTCTGCAAGAGTCAAATAACTAGCTGGATATCCTAGTTAAGTCTGAGCCTCTTGACTTTTCTGTGCTTTAAATTCCTCCTCTGCAAAATAATAGCATTTCTCAATCTTTTTTTTTATGTGTGGTTCTTTCTCACATAAATTCTTTCTCCAAGTGGGGTCTACAGATAAACTACATCAGAATCCCACATCTCTATCCCAAACACTTTGATTCTGTAGGGCTGGGCTAGGAACCAGGAATCTTTATTTTTTACAAGCACCTAGGAGATTTTTGATCATAGTAAAATTTAAGATCTATTGCAGTAAACATATAACCTTACTAAAGACTTCAGGAATAAAAAAAAAGGTCACGATTTGTATGTAATCTCCAATAAAGAAGTTATTTGATTTTTATTATTTTTTTTCTGGAGACAGGGTCTCACTCTGTTGTCCACACTAGAGTACAGTTGTGCAACCATAGTTCATTATAACCTCAAACTCCTGGACTCAAGCAATCCTCCCAACTCAGACTCCTGAGTAGCTGAGACTGCAGGTGCACAACACCACATCTAGCTAATTTTTTGTATTTTTTGGAGACAAGGTTTTGCTATGTTGCCCAGGCTGGTCTTGATCTCCTGGGCTCCAGTGATCTGCCTGCCTTGGCCTCCCAAAGTGCCAGAATTACAGGCATGAGCCACCAGGCCCGGCCCAGAAAATACATTCTAATATGCTTTCATAATATGTGTAATACATAACAGCAAATTTCCATTTTTCCCCATCTTAAAAAGGGATAGGCTGGGTGCAGAGGCTCACATCTGCAATCCCAGCACTTATCCCAACACTTTGGGAGGCCGAGGCAGACAGATCGCTTTAGGTCAGGAGTTCGACACCAGCCTGGCCAACATGATGAAACCCCGTCTCTACAAAAAATACAAAAATTAGCTGGATGTGGTGGCACACGCCTGTGGTCCCAGCTACTCAGGAGGCTAAGATGGGAGAATCACGTGAACCCAGGAGGCAGAGGTTGCAGTGAGCCAAGATGGCACCACTGAACTCCAGCCTGGGTGACAGAGTGAGACACTGTTTCAAAAAAAAAAAAAAAAAGTGATGTTTGGTTGGGAAGACCAACGGTATATCAAAACACACAAACATTTAACTAGTGGCATCAAAAACTGCTTTCCTGACACGATATTCAGAACTCGAATATGGTATATCGATCCCTCCCAAATAAAACTAGAGGCTTATTTTTATGTTTGTGTTCCTGGGATTACAGGCACGCACCACCATGCCTGGCAAATTTTTGTATTTTTAGTAGAGACGAGGGTTTCACCCTGTTGGCCAGGCTGGTCTTGAACTCCTGAACCCAAGTGATCCACCCACCTCAGCCTCCCAAAGTGCTGGGATTACAGGCGTGAGCCACCGCCCAACCTGTTTGTGTTGTTTCTAAAACAACAACATAAGGAGAAAGATTTCAGTCTGTTTTTTTGCTAGCATTTCCACAAATAACAACAGAGCTATAGATAGCCTGTATCTCAAATAAAAACCTAATTAGATAGTAATTGTCAACGTATTTTCCTTTTTAATACTGCTTTTGGGTAGTGCAAGAGACATGTTGATGTGCTGTGGTGAGGATTTTATCAAGTAAATGCAATTTAAGAATCTGATGAAGATCATCTAGAGGTGAAGCTGCAGAACTACTATCATTTTAATGTCCCCCATTAATTGGTGGGCTCACAGTCACTATTCCTCAAGCTTCTGGTCTCTAACTGTGTCAACATTTCAGAGTTGGGAAACACTGAACTAGATCAATGGGAGTGGTGGGGATGATTCAGAATCATCTGAAGTGCTGGATTCAACCATATGGCCAAGGGTACAACAGGAAGGTGGAATGCCCTTTGACAAGCTGAGAATATTCTGACATCCCTCTTCCCACCCTCTCAGTAAACAATGGCTAAGGTATACTTTAGCTCTGACACAGAAGGATTACACAAACTCTTCCATCAGTATATGATAAGTAGACAAACATAAGAGAATCTGGAAGATTAAGAATTCTCCACTGTGGACTGGGAAAGTCCTCATCTCATAAATTATTCCTTCCCACCCCTGCTTGCACATAATTTTAGCCCCTAACTATTCCTTTCCACCCCTTGACAAAAATCCAGATTCCTCAAACTAGCTGAATTTCAGTGGACCTACTCCTGCTAAGGCCCTAGAAAACACTCCTTCCTCTCTCTCCAAATTAGAACATTCCTTTGCCCAGCATTTTAGAATAAAGCATATGCTCTGGCTGATCTTCCACACCATGTAAAATAATAATTAGTATAGTTAAGATGGTACAATCCAACCCAACTGCAAATGGTTATGCATCTACTGACGCAAGACCTAGAAGAGGGTTGGAAGTTGATAGAGGATGAAGCTTGGTTATTTCTCAGGCACATATTTTAATCATTATGAAGGTAAAAAAGCATGGGAGGATTAGCAGAAAATGCAGAGGGTAGGGCACATAGTTTTTTGTATATTTTAGGATAAAATACGTTGATTCAATTGCCACTAAGACTATATACATGTGATCAGTACCAAGACTGGAAAGATTTTCCAAAGCAAATGAAGAGTAAAACAAGAAGAGGGTGAGGTGGGAGAGGAGGATGCACGATTTACTTAAGAAAAGCTTTTTTTCCTTTCAAATCTTTTAACATAATCCACCAGCAGTTGCAAATAAACAATGGTGTTGATCACTAATAAGTTGCATTTAACCACTCAGAAGCCAGCAGAGCCTCCACTTGGCCTAACTTCCTGTAAGTTTCAAGATGAGTAGGCAGCATTTCTTTAAAAAGGACCAAGACAGTTAAAATGTTTCAGCAGATCATACTGGCTGCCAAGTAGTTCAAATCCAGGTGGATTTCCCCTACTCTTAGAACTAGCCACTGGTAGAAACAAGTGACTGTCCCAGGGAACACTCCACAACTCAGAGATAATGAAAACATATTTTTATATGTAATTCTAGAAAAGGCATGTGAACATGAAAACAGAAAATGTAGGTTTAACTGTAGCATTGCAGAGCGGCAGCTTTAAAAAGTCAGATAACATTAGCTCAACAAAATCATACACTGAAGTGTGCTCAAATTCAAATTCAGCACATGGCGGTAGTAGCAGTTGAAAAACGCTGCTGAGAGAGCAAGAAGGTTTTGCTGTATCTTTTTAGAGGAGAGGACAATGAAGAAATTACCAGACCAAGGTCACTTTTCAACCTAAAAAAAAAGTGGGGGTTAGTAGCTTTAACAGAGATAAAAACCTGTGTAGGTTATAACTCCATGAAATCAGTAGCCTGGTGAGTGTCTCTCCAAGAATCTTGCAGGAAATTAAGTGTGGATTGAGTAATTAAATGTAAAGTCTCCTTGAGAGTAACTTCAGTTATTGAAGACTATATATTTCTGTGAAACATATAGAAAAATTATGAGGAGGATTTACTAGGTATCACATCACAGCCTTTCTCCTTTCACATCAGGTTGGAAACACTATGATCTAAAAAGAATAGAACGATTTGGGAATTGTTCATTCTCTAGTCTTTGCAAAAATTCACGTGCTAGTGTAACTGTAATATACTTAGGAGTTTCCAAAAATGGCACACATTTCCTCAAGAGATGTAGAAAAAAATAATCTCTGGGTAAAAGGCCAAACATTGTCTCTTCTGAATGCTTAAACAGCCAATTATGTGTCTAATACATTAATTATATAAAGAGAGAGAGACTATTACAGGAAAGTTGAATAAGACATCTTAAAAAAATGTACCCTGGGGCCTAAGTCCATTCAAATGACAGTAAAATCACCCCTCAAAAAATCAGTTTTATGGAACATCTAGTATTTTAATTTTCCAGCTGCCAACAGAAATATATAAGGAGCAGAAATTAAACTAGTTATGGCAGCAGCGCAGTGAACAAAACTTCAATTGTATTACACACTAGTTAGACATTTGCCAAACAATACAAAGGCCCTTAAGGGTGGAAACTTCTTTAGAATATAAATGATTCCCAATCAATATGAAAGAAATTAGTCTGTTTAGGTAATAAACAGATTCATGGTTTAGATGTAAAAATTCAACTGACATCATAATTCAATATAGAAAATAAATATATAAGAAATTAATCTCTAAAATGGCTTTAAATCACTGTGATTTACATATGCTGTATCATTAATAGGCCCTTTAAGCTGGTATTGTACTAATCAGCTTTTTTAACATCCTGCCCACAAAAGAGCTTATTCATTTAGCTAGGAGACAGGTGTTAGCAACCAGAAACCTCTTTTAGCCTCGAGTTCCAGGGACTGGGCCTGCATCTATGATGATGATTGGCAAGTCTAAAGGAAGGACAGCTTTAAAAGAGGGAAAAGGAGGAGACAGGGAACAAGAAACGAAGACCAAAAGGGAGAAAAGAAGATAATGAAAGAAATGGATGTCAGGTGCTACTTAATGAGGCCACCCTCAAAGGCTCCTAGCCTAATCTGGGCTACCGTCCAAATACAGATGGCAGAATTTGGGTAATGTTATTCATTTATTCCTGCAGATAGTAACTCTGGGTACATGCCAACACTCCACTCATTCTAAAAAATTGTTTAAAGTGTTGCTAATTGTCCTGTGACTCATTCTTCTTACCCATATTCTCTGGTTCTTAACTTTAGTCCTCACTCTTTCATACATTTTCTAAAAGAGCTGACTGAATAGATATTCCTGGAAAGAGATATAGAGAAAGCTGGATTTAGAAAAGCATCTTAAGCCTACAGAATAAAAATTGTGTGAGGAAGTGGGAGAAGGGACGTTTATTGAGTTGCTTACAATATACAAAAAACATATTTTTCTCTCTTTCAATCCTCCCTTGCATATTTTCCCCCTTTTAATCCACATAACAATCCTACCAGGTATTTTCATCTTGCAGATGAAAAAACTGAAGCTCACAGAGGTTAAGTAATTTGCCTAAGGTAGCACAGCCAGGAAGTGGGGGAGTCAGAATTCAAAACCAGGTTTGTCTATACAAACAAACTACGTTAGGGATAACGTATCTAGTGCCTGAATCTGTTTTAAATCAGATGGTTCTATATTTCAGCAATTATTCTTCCTCCCATGAACTCATCAAACGGCTGCTGACTAAATTTTATTAACTATTTGTTACGCACCTATTATTTTCAATAAAGGCTTCAGCTGTGTAGAAATAAAACAGGCAAACTGACTTTATTCTAAAATTTGACATACAGAGAATTCCCAGGCATCTCTGCCATCCAACACTGATGATCATAACTAGATTCAACTACCTATTCAGACCTCTAGTTGTTTCCACATTATCATTCATTTGTCCACTCATGAGATAAACGAAGCTACTTTCACCAAAAACCCTCCCTCATGACTCCTGATAGATAATACAGCAGAGGAGGCCTCACTGTAAAGCAATTTACATAAAAGTTATAAAAGCTCTTTGTTATCTGTCATGACTAGGAAATGGGCTATTCTAGCAAATCAAACATCCTGGATAGCATAACGATTCTATTAGAGGGACTACCAATTTATAAGGAATTTCAATGTGCATAATTTCACTCTAAAAATTAAAAAAAGAAAAGCGGGTCAGGCACGGTGGCTCACACCTGTAATCCCAACACTTTGGGAGGCCAAGGTAGGCAGATCACTTGAGGTCAGTAGTTTGAGACCAGCATGGCCAACATGGTGAAACCCCATCCCTACAAAAAATACAAAAATCGGCTGGACATGGTGGCGCATGTCTGTAGTCCCAGTTACTTGGGAGGCTGAGGCAGGAGAACTGCTTGAACCCAGGAGGCGGAGGTTGCAGTGAGCCAAGATCACACCACTGCACTCCAGCCTAGGTGACAGAGCAAGACTCTGTCTCAAAAAAAAAAAAAAGAAAGAAAGAAAAGGGAAGAAAAGTGAACCCCAATTTTCAAAGTTCCATGGGGCCTGATGTACAGGAGATAATGCCCCCCCCACCCTGAAAAAGAGTATCAATGCAATAAAACGGTGGTTCCCAAACTTGACTGCACATCCAAAGCACTTGGGAAGCCAGGCACGGTGGCTCAATGGCTCAAGCCTGTAATCCCAGCACTTTGGGAGGTCGAGGCAGGTGGATCACCTGAGGTCAGGAGTTTGAGACCATCCTGGCCAACAGGGTGAAACCCTGCCTCTGCTAAAAACACAAAAATTAGCCGGGCGCAGTGGCGCGTGCCTGTAATCCCAGCTACTTGGGAGACGGAGGCAGGAGAATTGCTTGAACCCAGGAGGCAGAGGTTGCGGTGAGCCGAGATCATGCCACGCACTCTAGCCTGGGTGACAGAGACTCCATCTCAAAAAAATAAATAAATAAAAACCACTTGGGGAGCTTTTTGAAAATAAAGATGCAAGGGAGATTTTTTAAAGCTAGCTTCCTGCTGGACGCAGTGGCTCACACCTGTAATCCCAACATTGGGAGGCCAAGGCGGGCAGATCACCTGAGGTCAGGAGTTTGAGACCAGCCTGGTCAATATAGTAAAACCCTGTCTCTACTAAAAATACAAAAATTAGCCGGGTGTGGTGACACACATCTGTGGTCCCAGCTACTTGGGTGGCTGAGGCAGGCACATCACTTGAACCTGGGAGGTGGAGGTTACAGTGAGCCGAGATCACCTCACTGCACTCCAGCCTGGATGACAGAGCTGAGACTGTCTCAAAAATAAATAAATAGGCTGGGTGTGGTGGCTCACACCTATAATCCCAGCACTTTGGGAGGCTGAGGCGGGCAGATCACATGAGGTCAGGAGTTCAAGATCAGCCTGGCCAATGTAGTGAAAACCCGTCTCTACTAAAAAAAAAAATGCAAAAATTAGCTGGGTGTGGTGGTGGGTGCCTGTAATCCCAGCCGCTCGGGAGGCTGAGGCAGAAGAATTGCTTGAACCCAGGAGACAGAGGTTGCAGTGAACCGAGATCCAGAGGTTGCAGTGAACCGAGATCCCGCCACTGCACTCCAGCCTGGGTGACAGAGCAAGACTCCATCTCAAAATAAAATGAAATAAAATAAAAATAATTAATAAAAATAAAAGGTAGCGTCTACATGGTATGGCCTCATAGTAGTAATAATAAATTATAAAATTGAAAAAATAAAAGGTAATTCTCTGGTCATCACTTACCCACTCAGTCAAAATCTCCAGGAAGTGGGGCTGGGAAATCTGCATTTTTAAAGAATATCTCGGTCAGTGACTCAGCAGCAAATCACCAGGTACCTCATCTTTCAAGGAGTGGCTGGCGTTTGGAACTCCTTACAATAAAACATACTCAAAAGGCTAAAGCTGCACTGAACCCAATGTGACCTGTCATTGATGATTCAGGAGACTTCAGGATCTCCCATTACCACTAGGTTATCATTTACTACCAGTCACTAGTCACTGTACTAACAAAACCAGTAAGGTAAAGTTAATAAAGACTTTCTATTAGTAGAGAGCAGGAAAAAACAGCTTTTGTTTTATTATCAGATTCAAAAAGCTGGTTTTACTCCAGAGGAAATGCAGTTTTTTGTTGTTGTTTTTGAGATGGAGTTTCGCTCTTGTTGCCCAGGCTGTAGCGCAGTGGTGCGATCTCGGCTCACTGCAACCTCCGTCTCCCAGGTTCAAGTGATTCTCCTGCCTCAGTCTCTCAAGTAGCTGGAATTACAGGCATGCACCACCATGCCCGGCTAATTTTGTGTTTTCAGTAGAAACAGGGTTTCACCATATTGGTCAGGCTGGTCTCTAACTCCTGATCTCAGGTAATCACCCGCCTCTGCCTCCCAAAGTGCTGGGATTACAGGAGTGAGCCACTGCGCCCAGCCAAGATGCAGATTTTATGCTTTAAAAAGGAAACTGTTTAAAAACATGCAGGACTCTTTTAACCAACTGCTTGGCTTCACTGCAGAATGTTAACAGGCCCAAATACATTAAAAATGTGGAATATTCACCCTGCATAAGAAAAGTAAAGGAAGAACTTCATGACAGTCTTAACGAAGAGAAAGGATAATGGGTTTAAACTAAGACTGGCATAACAGGATTAGCTATGACCGCTGTCCTGATGGCAGCTGTTAAATCTTGGAAACAGGGAGGGCAGAGGTCTTTAAATACATGAGGCCAATTCCTACCTATCTGAGATGGCTTTTATGTGAGATATAATAGGATATCCTACTAAGAGCCAAATTAGTTTTACTATTTTAAAACTGCTTAACTAATATAAAGTCACAAAATAAGAAGTTAATCAGATATTTCCTTACGAAAGACCCGGGAGTCTGTTTCTATATGAAAAGCTTGTCTTTAGGCTGGGCACAGTGGCTCACACCCATAATCCCAGCACTTTGGGAGGCCGAGGCCAGAGGATCGCTTGAGCTCAAGGCATTTGAGATCAGCCTGGGCAACATGGCAAAACCCTGTCTCCACCAAAAACACAAAAATTAGCTGGGCGTAGTGACGCACATCTGTGGTCCCAGGTACTTGGGAGGCGAGGATTGCGTGAGCCCAGGAGGCAAGGTTGCATCGAGCTGAAATCATTCCATGGCACTCCAGCATGGTTGACAAGAGTGAGACCCCCATCTCAATTAAAAAAAAAAAAAAAGACTATCTTTACAATTGCCAAAATCTTTCTTACACAAACACCAAATAACCATTACCAATAACCAGAAGTGAAACAAAAATAACCAGTAATCATCATTAAACCAGTAACCATTACCAAACAACAATGAAGCAGCTCCTCACTTGAGACTTCACCAATAGTAATTTAAACTATGCGTTCTCATTAAACTCTAATACCTTAATTCTGTTATTGTATTAACAAGTTATGAGATTCTAAGGTATAGAGGTTAAATCTTTCCTCCAAAAACATAAACACTATGACTAGTACAAGTTTGGTATAAAAGCCTCTATCATTAAAACCATGGCAGTATTAAAGGTTCTATGACAAGAATAAAAAATCAAGGTGGAATTAGTCCCCCTAACAACTTCTTAGGTTTACAGAGGTGTTCTCAGAAAGTCTTAGGCATGACGCTCATAGAGATGGGTGTGACTGTATTTAAATAACAATGCACATGTAATTAGAAAAGAAATTGTGCCCTTTTTTGTTATTGTTGCTGTTTGTTTTGTCTTCTTAAATGCTGGTCACTAAAAACGCCTTTTCCACAACCCTTAAGAGGTGTTCCGGCCTGGCGCGGTGGCTCACATCTGTAATCTCAGAACTTGGGGAAGCCAAGGCAGGAGGATTGCTTGAGCCCAGTTCATGACGAACAACATGGCAAAACCTCATCTCTACAGAAAATACAAAAACTAGCTGGGTGTGGTTGCACATGCCTGAGGTCCCAGCTACTCAGGAGGCTGAGAAGGGAGAGTCACCTAAGCCTAGGAGGTCAAGGCTGCAGTGAGCCATGATTACGCCACTGCACGCCAGTCTGAGTGACAGAGTGAGACTCTGTCTCCAAAAAAAAAAAAGGTGTTCCTATTAGATGGTACCAAGCAGAGTTATGTCAACTGGCTTGGTCATGAGAGAAGGTTTGAAAGAAATTGATTTTTAAGGTTTCTGAGAAGAGCTTTCTTTTTTTGTGCATGTTATTTTGGAGGCTGGTTAAACTGGTCGATTTAAATATTTACAACCCTTGATCCCAATGTAAACAAGAAATCACAACTGTCTACCTGATCAATATGAAAGTTTTTAACAGGCTGGTCTTTGTAATTAGACGGGCATTAAAATGAGTGCGTCCTAGATTACATGAACATTTTCTTCAATCACAATCAAGATATTAGCCCTGCCACATCAATCTGCAATTGTTATGAAAATATACCCAAATATTTTCAAACTTAAGAATACCTCTAAATAAACTGTAACTTCTGAATTGTACTCTAAAATTCAGAATTAGGAAATATACAATAAAAGTTCGGAAACCTTTGCCATCATCTACTTCCTTGAATGTGAAAGAGAATGTAATCAGAGAAAAGGATAAAGAAGTTGTCAAACCTGAAATCCCCTGAACAGAAAGGAGCTGCCACGGCTAGGCTGCAGCCCTAGAACTCTGTACACAAATTCAGCCCAGTACCTTGTCCCCTGCCTACTCCCATTCCTAGAAGAATGGTATAATAAACGGGCAGCCCGGCCCACATTTCAGTAAATTGAACTGTCACGGGGAGAATAAGGCACCCCAAACAGTTGCAGCGACAGTGGTTAACAGGAAGTCTCTCTGTCCTCCAAACCAATAATCAAAGGGATACATAAGGAACTCACTGCTTTCTTAGAAGGCCACATGCACCCCGGGATGTTTGCTCATCACGTCACTCTGGCCTTTAACCAGGGAGCAAAGAGACAGTTGTGGGTAAAACCCTATTTCCAAGCTAACAATTATCCTTCCTTATGGTAGACTGGGGGGTGCACGGTACACTCTTGATTACACAAGCAGTCTTCTTCCCCCCTAGAACAAATGACAGACCAACAAAAAGGAGAAAATGATATGCTGTTGTTTATCTCTTCTGCCAGCCTGAACTCAAGCTCTGAGCAGACGTGCCAGCGGAGGCTCTGGCTCCCCTGGTTCGCCAGACTTCCCCATGTCTGGTCAACTGTCTCCTGGGCAGCCGGCTGAAGAGAGGCCCCATTTCCCTCTCGGTCTTGACCGCTGCCGCACAGTGGCGACCTCACACACATCGCGAACAGAGGACAACTCCCAAGCGAGGGAACAGTGGACCCTGCGGGGAGAACCGCATTCCCAAACTTCTCCATCAAACCTCCAAACTCCAAACCTCCCTCCTCCAGCCGCCTCCTCTAAGACGGAGATAGGGACGGGCTGGTTCCTTTAAAGGGGTAAGCAGGCCGCCGCGGACCTGCCTCAGTTTCTTCTGACGTACAAAGAGGTATCTTTTCCCCACAAGCCAACTAGACCTGCCGGTCTGCAGGGCGCTTGGGGATAATCGAGGACGCACGTCTCCTGTTACTGCCCCCACAGGTGAAACGCTTTCTTTGAGGGGACTTTTCAAAGGACAGGTGTGGGCTGCCCTGAAGGCGGGGACTTCCAGCCAGCCAAGGGCTTCCCCCCACCCCTGTAGGGCAGGGAGAGTCCCAGGCCGCGCCCCACACAGAGGAAGGGCCCCCAGACCACAGCCTGACGGCACCCGACCGTCCCCCTTCCCGTCCTTCCCCAGGCCGGGCGCCCAGCGGCCCCCAGCGCCGCCGCCGCCGCCTCCTCACCTGCTGCGGCCGCCCTCCCGGCCGGCACCTAGGAGAGGAGGCGAGGGGAGGGGCCGGATCCCGGCCGCGGACGCCTCAGGCAGGGAGGCTGCGGACTCCGCCGCGGCGGCGTCTCTGGGGCTGAGGGGCACCCGGGGGCGGTCGCGACATCCTCACGGGCGGCCCCAGGAAGTCGGCCCCCCCTCCCACCCATCCCCAGCCGGCCCGGCCCGGCCCGGCCGCTCCCGCCCTCCGCGCGGCCCCGCCCCTGACTCGGCCCCGCCCCCTCTCGGGATCGCGCCTCCGCTCCCGCCGCGCCCGAGCCACCATAGAGAAGAGCGAGGCGCCCGGCGGCCTCGAGCGCGGCCTCCGCTCGCGCCCCCTGGCGGAGCTGAGGCTCCCGACGGCGGGGCCGGGCTGGCCTGAGCCGTGGGGCCGTAGGAGGCGTCGTTTCCCCAAAGTCGTGGGGTCGGCCGCTGCTGGTTACCTTGGTCACACAACTCTGCGGGAGGCGCCCAAGGGTCCAGGTCCAAGTTTCAGCTGGGTCAAGACCCGGCTTGGTGACCTTGAGCGAGTCCCTCAACACCTCTGAACGCATGTCATAAAACTTTGAAAGGTGCCTGACTTTCATGTCTCATTGACTCTCTCCTCGGTGCGATGAGCAGGCGATGGTTTCCCCCGCTTCATGATTGCAGAAACCCAGCCCCACTAGGGGTTACGAGCTTATTCAGCGTCCCACAACTGGGAGGTATTAGAAGCCGGGTCTGTGGGACCTAAAAACCCATGCTTGTCCCACTCACTCTAGCACTGCCCAGTCTAAACCGCTAGGACTAGCTACTTCCCCTCAGGAAAGTCAGGAAGCTGCTGAGGAAGGCTGTGGTAGAATGAGAATGACTCAGCGAGGATCCATCCCTGCCTTTCACCCATGCACCTTTCAGCAAGGTACCTAACCTTTACGAACTCTGGTTTTCTCATCCCAGAAACGCAGGTTGGCGTGAGGATTTAGTGAGCGCATGCATGTAGCTGTGGTTAGTAAACCGCCAAGCAGCAGGGCGGCCCAGGGGATGGTTAGCCAGCGTGGGCTACGATGCCTAGTCATGAACATAATATTAAGTTCTAATCCTTCTTTTAAATGGTGTCTAGTGACACAATTTTCTTAGGCTTTAGGTTCTATTGAGAACTCCTAGTTTTTCTGAACAATTTGTATTTTCAAACAAGGAATATCGTAAGGAAAATAAGATCATGAGCCAGGCGTGGTGGCTCATGCCTGTAATCCCAGCACTTTGGGAGGCTGAGGTGGGTGGATCACCTGACGTCAGGAGTTCGAGACCAGCCTGGCCAACATGGTGAAACCCCATGTCTACTAAAAATACAAAAAATTAGCCAGGAATGGTGGCGGGTGCCGGTAATCCCAGCTACTCGGAAGACAGAGGTTGCAGTGAGCCAAGGTCGCGCCATTGCACTCCAGCCTGGGCAACAAGGGCGAGACGACGCCTCAGAAATAATAACAATAAGATCACGTATACATATCAGACTCTGTCACTTTACAAGTATTATTTTCAATCCTCACAACCCAGCAAACTGAGTACTATTATTCCCATGTTATCAATGAGGATCTACATATTAAGTAATTTACCCAAAACTACATGGTTAGAAAAAGGTGGAGCTGGAATGTATTGCTTTTTTTTCTTTCAACCAGCAGTGTCTTGAATACACGGAGCTGCAATTTATTTATTTTTTTGAGACAGAGTCTCACTGTCACCCAGGCTGGAATGCAGTGGCGTGATCTCCGCTCACTGCAACCTCCGCCTCCCAGGTTCAAAGGATCTTCCCACCCTATAGCTGGGTCTACAGTCACCCGCTACCACGCTTGGCTAATTTGTTTATTTGTTTGCCTGTTTTTGGTAGAGACAGAGTTTCACCATGTTGGCCAGGCTGGTCTCAAACTCCTAACCTCAAGCGATCTGCCGCCTCGGCCTCCCAAAGTGCTGGGATTACCAGGACGAGCCACTGCGCCCCAAAAAGCTGGAATTTAAAACTGATTTTTTCAATCACCTGGAATGCACGGAAAGACTGACCTGCTAAAGGCCTCCCACATCCGAATTAAATGTACCCTTCATTTTCCTTCCTGGCTATTTTTGTAACTTTCCCTGATGCAATTCTGTCTGGTTTGCTTCTCTCTAAGTCTTCATTTCCAGCCCTACCCTCCAAAGGCATTTATGGTCTCCTCCTTTCCCTCTAATTCCTTTTCCCTAGATATGCCAGGACCTTGTCCATCCTCTCAATTCTGAAATAGATTCCTAGCTGTGATGAAGGCACAGCCTTTTCCACCACATCACTCTTTCTCTTGATAGAAATCATAGTTATAGAAAGTTAATAGGTCCAGGCCAGGCGCGGTGGCTCATGCCTGTAATCCCAGCACTTTGGGAGACCTGATCACTTGAGGTCAGGAGTTTGAGACCAGCCTGGCCAATGTAGTGAAACCCCATCTCTAATAAAAATAACAAAAATTAGCGAGGCGTGGTGGCGTACGCCTATAATCCCAGCTACTCGGGAGGCTGAGGCAGGGGAATCACTTGAACTCGGGAGGTGGAGGTTGCAGTGAACCGAGATCGTGCCACTGCACTCCAGCCTGGGTGACAGAGCAAGGCTCCATCTCAAAACAAAAAACAAACAAACAGAAAAAAAGTTAATAGGTCCAGAACAAGGGTGGGGTGAGACCTGGGGATGTCCTTTCATAAACTTAGTTTACAACCTGAAGGTTCAGTTCTGAAAGGGGGTGCACTTAATCCACTGATTGGATCCAATAATTGAAGTTTGGATTCATGACATCCTGTGGAAATCATTTTTTTCTGGGCCCTCTGGTCCATATTACAAGCAAATCATTGGAATGCTGCTAAATAATGTGCATATCACTGCAGCACAGAGGCCTCCGAGCTGCGTTTATCCACGCTCCTCCTTTCTCCACCTTAGGCATTACCACCGTCACTATTTTTCATCTTTATCATGCCCTTCCACAGAGGCATTCAATAATGTACCCATTGTGCAAGCAATCCGAAATCCTTTTCAGCGAGCAATAGTATTTAGTAGTGATAAAACACTAATTTGTCTACCAAGTGACATATTTATAGGAGCTGTTTACTTGGACATATTTTTATTATTTCTACTCATTTGCTAAGTACTTTCCAACGCATATTTATGAAGCACAGGCCTTTCCCCAAACAGTTGTGAAAAAATAAATCATATTATTTCTTTTATTAGTAGCAGCACGGCTTGGAAGTCCTAGTGCCCTGATTTTAGTTATTTCTGGCAAGAGCTGGAAGAATTAATAGTGACCGACCACCTACTATGTGCCAGACTCTCTGTGAAAGGCACTTTACATAAATTATCTGTTTAATTCCCCTGAGGCATATATTTTACCAACAAAGAATGTAATTCCCCTGCAACATACACTTTACCAGTAGGACAGAGACATTACCTTGTCCAAGTAACTCGGCCAGAAAGGGACTAGCAGGGTTTTGAACTTAGATCTTTTTCCTGATTCCAAAATCCCAAATCACCATTCCATTTCACCAGCACCCCTACCAACCTCTCTGGATCTAATAGCTTCTGTAAAATATAAAGTGTTTTTTGTTTTGTTTTGTTTTTTTAATGAGAGAGGATGTGTAGGTTACTGAGAATGGAACAGTTAGAGATAAACATACACAGGGTGCTAACCCTAATTTTTCTATGGGAGGTTACTCTTCAAGGGATTTACTCCCTAAGAAATCAATGGAAGGATGTTTCCCAAAGAGAAGGGCCAGTACTAGTGCTGGATCCATTCCTGGAGACAGAACTGGCTACACTGTTTGCAAGAAACAGTGCAAAATATGGGATGCTTGTTTAAAAATTAAGAACTTCAAGATGGCAACAGCAGAGCATTAAACTAAGTGCAGAGCCCTGCTAAGCATGGGGCTGTGTGACTGCACTGGTCATACCACCATGTAGCTGGGCCTGCCTGGACAGAAGAAAGCTGTCATCAGTATCCCCCATGCATCATAAGCTTATTCATAATATGAGATTGAGTGCCTATATCATGCCTGGAAAACTATTCAGTGTTTTACATAAGTTACATGATCCTAAAACAACTCTATGAAACAGATATTATTTTTCCCATTTCACGGTGGATGAAACTAAGGCTTAAAGAGACTGTTATTCATCCATTGTTATATGGCAAGTAAATGTCAAAGCTAGGACCAAGTTAGTTGAGATATAAAAAATCCTGTTCCTTGACTTTGTATCTTTGTCAGCACAGGCCCATTGTTTTCCTACAAAACTCAAACTTAAGCTGAGGCTATTATACCAAAAACTATAGAGAGGCCAAGGAAGAGCAGAGATTCAAGGGCTACTCAAAAAGTCAAATGTGCAGCAGCTGAAGTGCAGCCGTACAGCTCCAGGGCATGAGGACCTGGCAGAGAGAACTCCATCATTCATGGCAAATGTCATGGCCAATACCCAGACTCCTCCAAGACTGAAGGGTAACCCAGTGAGGTCTTTCATAAAGAGCAGCTACGTGGAACCTAAGGCATCTAACTCAGTAAAATATTGTAAATAGTCCACTAAAGTTAGGAACAAGACAAGGATGATTGTTATTGTTGCTTCTATTCTGTGTAGTACTAAAAGTCAGTTTAGCCAGTGCAATAGGACAAGAAAAAAATGATAGAAAGCATTCAGGATCACTTTGGATTAATAATATACCTAACTCTAATTTAAGGTCTATGCATCACAGAGCCTTCTCCAATGCCAAACCCCAGCACACAGAACTAGACAGTTTAAACCTTACCCAGTGCTTGCTTCAGCAGCACATACACTAAAATTGGAACAATACAAAGATGATTAGCATGGCCCCTGAAATAAATTAAAATATAAATAAATCCTGCCCAGACAACTGCATGGCAGAACACAGCAAAAACCTAGTAGGATATACATCTAAATCCCTTATCTCCCCCTGCTTCACATCTCAGGGATGCATAGGCCCTGTTTTGTTTTGTTTTTTTGAGATGGAGTCTTGTTCCGTCACCCAGACTGGAGTGCAGTAGTGTGATCTTGGCTCACTGCAACTTCCACCACCCGGGTTCAAGCGATTCTCCTGCCTCAGCCTTCTGAGTAGCTGGAACTACAGGCACCCGCCACCACGCCCGGCTAATTTTTGTATTTTTAGTAGAAATGGGGTTTCGCCATGTTGGCCAAGCTGGTCTCGAACTTCTGATTTCAAATGATCCACCCACCTCAGCCTCCCAGAGCGCTGAGATGACAGGCGTGAGCCACCACGCTCAGCCAGCCCTGCTGTTTTTTATTCAGCTTTATTTCCCCCTAAACCTCCAGTTCTCTTTAATACTAATGATATCTGCCTTCTCCAAGTTTTTGTCATTCTTTTGTAACTTCCCTGGGGGAAATCAGAAAGAGCTGAGAAGTAGATCTCTGATCCCGCTTTTTATGGTGAGCTAAGCTGAAAAGAGGTTGGGATGTGCAGCCCCTGCTGCTATCAGGGCAAAGTATGAAAAAGAATTTTGTGGAAACATTTACATATTTACAGCAGAAGGCAGCGTGCAGATGGGAAAAAATGGGTTTGGTATCAGGCAGACATGTGTCTGGATTCCCGTGCTGCCACTTATTAGCTTTATGTCCTTAACCTCACTGAGATCCCATTTACTGTCTATTAAATGGAATCATTCCCTCTGCCACAAGGCTGTCCTAAGGTCATAATGAGACATGCATCAAGGGCCTAAGGATACATAATAGAGCCTTGATTAACTCGTCTTTGGTACTACCGTAAGTACTAGTGAGAGGCTGCCCACCCAGCATCCAGTTCATCCACACACTCTCCTTTCTAGTAGAAAGGAGAACTCCCATTTTTCTTTCAGTGGCTCCAGCATGTGCTTCAGGAAAGCCTGTCCCCAGCCTCAGCTCCAGGGCTATTTCCTAGTTGGTTTGAGTCAATCACAGCAGTCCCTTTTTCTTGCCAGTTACTGTATTACACATGGGTGTATGAAGCAATTCTGCACCAATGAGATTTGAGGTGAGTCAGCTTTGGTTGGAAGTTAGTTCTGAGTTAGTCCTTTGTTAAATTAAATTTGGGGTCGGGTGTGGTGTCTCACGCCTGTAATCCAGGCACTTTGGGAGGCAGAGGCAGGTGAATCACCTGAGGTCAGGAGTTTGAGACCAGTCTGGCCAACATGGTGAAACCCCATCTCTACTAAAAATACAAAAAGAGCCGGGGATGGGGGCGCATGCTTGTAATCCCAGCTACTCGGGAGGCTGCGGCAGAATTGCTTGAACCCAGGAAGCAGAGGTTGCAGTGAGCCAAGATCATGCCACTGCACTCCAGCCTAGGTGACAGAGACTCCGTCTCAAACAAACAAACAAAAGCTAAATTTGGCCTGAGGGCTAGTCACAGTGGGTCATGCCTATAATCCCAGTTCTTTGGGAGGCTGAGGCAGGCAGATCATCTGAGGTCAGGAGTTCGAGACCAGCCATGGCCAACATGATGAAACCCCATCTCTACTAAAAATACAAAAAATTAGCCGGACATAGTGGCAGGCGCCTGTAGTCGTAGTCCCAGCTACTCAGGAGGCTGAGGCAGGAGAATCACTTGAACCCGGGAGGCAGAGGTGCAGTGAGCTGAGATCACGCCACTGCACTCCAGCCTGAGCAAGAGCAAGACTCCATCTCAAAAAGAAAAAAAAAATTGACCTGAGGAGGCTTTACTTGGGCCCTTAACAAACTGCAGCCTTAGTATGCAAACTAACTGAAAACCTAATTTAGGAGTATACTTTTGTAACAGATTGCTGAGGCTCAGCCAATCACATCATCAGCTTCAGTGGGTTCCAGGCAGCCAACTATTCAAACCATTTTCAAATAAGGCAAAGGCAGAGCTGTAACCAATTAGTTGTCTTTGTATCTCATTTCTGTTTTCTGACCATAAATGCTTTCAGACTATGTTGCAGCTCTGGAATTCTCTGAACCTGTCCTGGTTCTGAGGGCAGCCCAATTCTAGAATTGCAAATAAAAGTCAATTACAATCTGCAAAACTATATTTGCTTTAATTTTGTCTTTTAACACCTTGTTTTCTTAATTTTTATTATTTTATTTTATAGAGATAGGGTCTTGCTATGTTGCCCAGGCTGGTCTGGAACTCCTGGCCTCAGGCGATCCTCCTACTTTGGCTTCCCAAATTACTGGGATTACAGTCAGGAGCCACAGTTCCTGGCATGTTAACACCTTGTTCTTTAAAGGACACACAGGAGGCGATCCTTCTCCTGCCTGTAGATATTGTCACGTCTGGATTGATGCTCAAAATGGCTGCAGCCAGGCTTTCATAAGGGGAACAAGCTTGAAGACAAAACCAACATAAAAGAACAGAGCAGAAGGATGCAAAGGCTCTACGCCATTTGACAATGAGCCACTAAATTAACAAACCTCAGACTTCCTGTTATCAGAGATAATAAGTGTCCCTGCCAGGCATGGTGGCTCATGACTGTAATCCCTAGCACTTTGGGAGGTCAAGGCGGGTAGATCACCTGAGCCCAGGAGTTCAAGACCAGCCTGGGCAACGTACAGAGACCCCGTCTCTACAAAAAATACAAAACTTAGATGGGTGTGGTGGCACACACCTGTAGTCCCAGCTACTTGGGAGACTGAAGTGGGAGGATCACTTGAGCTTGGGAGGTAGAGGGTACAGTGAGCCGTGATTGTGCCACTGCACTCCAGAGCAAGACTCTGTCTTGAAACATAAAAGAAATAAATATAAATAAGTGTCCCTAGTATTTACACTTCTTTAAGCCTAGGTTTTGTTACTTGCAGCCTTAATGATACATGGACCTTTGCCTGAGTCCTTGGGAATTCAAATGCCTGATTTTTAATTAAGGCCATCAAGTGCTAGCACATAGTAGGATCTCAACATTAATTTCATCTGATGTCAGACGAAGGGCATACAATAGTCCCCTGTAAAAAGATATGTAAGAAGACACTCTGGGGACTCAATGATGTGGGTGTGAACATATATATATATTTTTTAGATGGAGTCTCACTCTGTTGCCCAGGCTAGAGTACAGTGGCACAATCTCGGCTCACTGCAACCTCCATCTCCCAGGTTCAAGCGATTCTCATGCCTCAGCCTCCCAAGTAGCTGGGATTACAGATGCGAGCCATCACACCCAGCTAATTTTTGTATTTTTAGTAGAGACAGGGTTTCACTATATAGGCCAGGCTGGTCTTGAACTCCTGACCTTGTGATCCGCCCACTTTGGCCTCCCAAAGTGCTGGGATTACAGGCGTGAGCCACTGCGCCTGGCTCATATGTGTATATATATGTGTGTATATATATGTGTGTATATATATATATGTGTGTATATATATGTATATATATGTGTGTATATGTGTGTGTGTGTGTGTGTATATATATATATATATGTATATGTATATGTATATTTTTTTCCTAAGAACTAGAGAGTGCCCTCAGGTCTCAAACCACCCCCGCAGGGGAAATTGAAAGTTGACGCTTTATGGAAGGAACCCCTGAGATAGAGCCAGTCCTTTGCTTTTTTAAAATATATTTTTAAAACATCATTCATCTATTTAATCATTACTGAGCTTCCATAATGTATAAAGAGAAAAAGTGACAAAAAGTGGGAGCCTGTAGGCAGACACGTGAACAGAAAGTACAAGTGAATAACTAATACAGGGAAGTTACTGTAAGCATCTATCTAGATCACAGCTGAGGCATAAAAAAGGATGTCAGGGTGGGTGTGCACCAGACACAGTGGGAGCTGGGCAGAGACAGACACATAAGCAAAGGGAGCAAAAGGCACTTGGACAGGAGAGCCAGCCTAGCCCAAGTCCTACCAGGGGACTGCACAGTGTGGTGTGGCCGGAACAGAGTGCAGTGGCAGCAGGCAGGCAAGACAAAGTCCTGGTCTAGGAGGAGCCAAAGGATGAAGCTGGCTGTGAGGGGCACAGCCTGCAGGAATGTCACGTGGTGGTCTCAAGTAGCAGTGAATGCAACACCTTCCCATGGCCACAGAAACTCCTTGGGTGACAGCTGTGGTGCCTTCAGCTGGAGTTACAGCCCTAGCAGGAATAGAACTGTATGGACTGAAAATTAAATAAAATGTGGGGATTTTTTTTTTCTTTTTGAAACAGAGTCTCTGTTGCCCAGGCTGGAGTGCAGTGGCATGATCGCAGGTCATTGCAACCTCTGCCTCCTGGGCTCAAGTGATCCTCCCCACTCAGCCTCTCGAGGAGCTGGGATTACAGACATGCGCCACGACGCCTGGCTAATTTTTGCATTTTTTTTTTTTTTTTGAGACGGAGTCTCACTCTGTCGCTCAGGCTGGAGTGCAGTGGCGCCATCTCAGCTCCCTGCAACCTCCGCCTCCCAGGTTCAAGCGATTCTGCCTCAGCCTCCTGAGTAGCTGGGATTACAGGAAATGGGCCACCATGCCTGGCTAATTTTTGTATTTTTAGTACAGACGGGGTTTCACCATGTTGGTCAGGCTGGTCTGGAACTCCTGACCTTAGGTGATCCACCCACCTCAGCCTCCCAAAGTGCTGGGATTACAGGCGTGAGCCACCACACCCAGCCAATGTGGGAATTAAAAAAAAAAGAGTCCTAGGAATCAAGTTGTGGGTTCCAGATCCCACCTCCATTCTGCCACTAGGACTGTCAGTCATCCTTTTTGAGCCTCAGGTACCTTCTCTGTTAAGTAACAGGATGGGCCAGATGATTTTTTTTTTCCTTGAGACAGGGTCTTGCTCTGTTACCCAGGCTGGGGTGTAGTGGTGCGATCAGGGCTCACTGCAGCCACAACCTCCAAGGTTCAAGCGATTCTCCTGCCTCAGGCTCCCAAGTAGCAGGGACCACAGGTGCACATCACAATGCCTAGCTAATTTAAAAAATTTTTTTGTAGAAACGATGTCTCATCATGTTGCCCAGGCTGATTTTAAACTGTTAAACTCCTGGGCTCAAGTGATCCTCCCGCCTCAGGCTCCCAAAGTGCTACCATTATAGGTGTGAGCCACTGTGCCTGGCCCCAGATGATCTCAAACTGCAGTCCTAGGGTCCTCAGTTAGGTATTAAGTACCTGAACTCACTACATAATGGGAACAGGGCAGAGACGGCAACCAGACTCCACCTTGAATACCAACTCCAACTGACTGGTAGTGGCCCCCTGGAGTGCTATATTGAGAAAAACTTCTAAAAACACTTTGACTTCCACAAAAAAGAGTGCTTGTGCCCGATTGGTCATGTCTGCTGTGGGCTGAAGATGCCCAAATAGTACCTTGAGTGGCAAGAATTTGCAATTTCCAGCTTCATGTATTGCATCTTACTGTGGTTGCAGGAATGTGCCAATCACCCATGGTATAAAGATACTGAAGATTAATTTCTCCTGAGGTCTTCTGTGAAAGCAAGCGCTAGGATTCCCCCAGGCTTAGGCTTACCAACCCTGTCCTGAATCCAACACCCTGGTGCCAGTTTGCCACTCCTTCCCAATCCTCCATGATTCTATCCCTGTTGCATTCATCACCTCTAAATGTCATTACTTTCTGAGTGTAACTCGGACCCTCCTTTCCTGCAGCCAAGACATAACTGATTAATTACACAACAGGCTCTCTAACCAAGAAAGATGACCTTCCTTTAAAAGATGTGGCCAGTAACCAATCCTGATCATTTCTGTACTTTTCCTTTTATTTTCCATTCCCTGGTGTCTTCGTCCCCTCCCAGCCAGGGTCATGGCTCTCAGACGGATGGCCACAGTGCTGGTGAAAGACAGAGGGATTATTTCATACACTAGGGCACTAGCTGTGGTACAGCTGGCAGGAAGAGAGGTGTAATTATATTGCATCTTGGAGCCACCAGCAATGAATTTCTGCATAAAGGACTAGATTTGCCATGTATTATTTACGTCAGCATCAATTTTCCCAGCTGGCTCTATTTACTGTGCAAATTCTCCTCTGTCTGTTTATGGGCAAGGCCATGGTTCAGCACCTCTGGTTATGCTGTACTGTGGAGGGGCCCCACAGGGCACCATGCATATTAAATGAGTGGCTGGATTCACCAGGAGCAGGTCATACCCTCCCTTTCTGTTAAATTATATCCCTGGAACTGCAGCGAGCCCACACGTTCTCACCTAGTCATGGTGATGCAGGCAGGTCTGAAACCAAATCAGCAAGAGGAAAGGAGGAATAAACTGTTCTTTGGGCCTCACTGGGGGAAACTGAAAAACAGCCTTCTAAGGGGAAATCAGGTGGCTCTAGGGCTCGGGGAATTGCCTTTTTATATTTTTAAGAGCAAAACAGAGATGAAGAAGAGTATTTCATTTATAAGCTTATTTCCACCCAGTAACTCAGAGACAGAGCTAAGGAAGAGTGGGCCCCCATCTAACAAATGGAAAGGCAGAGACAAAAGAAAAAAAAGGCAGCAGCAGCAAAGGCAAGTTAGAGGCTTTCCCGGCTTGGCCACTGCGCTAGGAGGGAGCACAGGACACAATGGTGATGCACAGGATTATCCATCCAGTCGCCAGCATGCCTCATCAGAGATGCTCCCAGCCAGGGTGAACTTGGTTTCCACCAGAAACATACACGTTAGAAATAAGGGAAGGAAACGTGGCACCAGTATGAATTTCTGGGTCCTCGCAATGCAGCATCCTCTTTCGCCTGTGGTTTATATGCTTACAGAGAGTGAGGCCAAGGAACCCAAGATGTCTCTTCTGGCCAGCCTGAGAACGTCTGTAGTCACCAGTGCCAGGTGGCAGTAAACAGCAGGCGTTACTGGGAAGAAAAGTTGGGAGGGGTCCCCAATGCTTCCCTGTTTCCCAAACAACAGCACAGGTCATGTCTGATCACCCTGTAATGTGGCACTCTGCTCTGAGGTCCCCCAGGTCCCAATGTCTACCATCTCCTGGAAACCTGTTGGCTGGAAGAAGAAGTAAGGAGTCAGTGGAGTTAAGCAACCCAAGTGGGTAGCTTCTTTAGTTGCAAGGTTTCAGCCTCTAAAGAGTTCTTCTCGAAGACATCTGTGGGTATGGAAACCACCCTCCAGGGCCCAAGATTACTGGCATCTTCCTGGGGCTGGCTCACCTGTCGGGAAGATTTGGCCAGACACGCCATGCGCCGGCCGCCTGATGCTCCTGCTCCCTCGATGGTGTCCAGGAGAATCCGAGTGCTGGGCACAAAGCTCCAGGAGCGTCCGAGGGCAGGTTTGAGCCTCCCGCTGTCCCTGTCTCGAGTTATGTGGTTGGTCACCTGCAGCAGAAACAGACTTACAGATCCATAATGCTAGTATAGAGGACATCGATTACTACCGCTTCATTTTACGGAGAGGAAAACAGAGGCCTAGCACAGAGAAATAACTTCCCCAAGGTTACAAAACCTAATGGCAGGTCTGGAACTAGAACCTGGGCCTCCTGACTTGTGCCCCGCTCTTTCCACTAAATCTCGATGCCTCAGGTTTGACCCGAACCAGAAGGCGATGGGGCACATGTCACCATGCTTTCCAGGCTGGTCTCAAACTCTTGAGCTCATGCAGTCCGCCAGCCTCAGCCTCCCAAAGTGCTGGGATTACAAGTGTGGGCCACCACGCCCAGACACTCAGCCTTTAAAAGGAAGGAAAGTCTGACACATGCTACAAGGTGGATGAACCTTCTGGACATTATGCTAAGTGAAATACTCCAGTCACAAAAAGTAAATACCATATGATTCCATGTATATGAGGTTCCTAGAGTAGTCAAAAAGCATAGATACAGAAAGTAGAATGGTGGTTGTCAGGGGCTGGGGAAGGGGAAAATGAGTTATTTTTAATGGGTACAGAGTTTCAGTTTTACAAGGTGAAGAGTTATAGAGATGGATGGTGGTGATGGTTGTACAGCGTTATGAATGTATTTAACACCACCGAACTGTATACCTTAAAGTGGTTAAGATAGTAAATTTTATGTTACATGTATTTTACCACAATAAAAGAAACTGGAAAAAATATATAGCTGCTAAAAATTACATTTCTAAAAAATCTATTTTAAAACATAGGAAATGGACTCAGATGGTATTTTTTATGTTGTTGTTTTGGTTTGTTTGTTTTTGAGATGAGGTTTTGCTCTGTTGCCCAGGCTGGAGTGCAGTGGCATGATCACAGCTCACTGCAGCCTCGATCTCCCAGGCTCAAGCAATTCTCCTGCCACCAAGGCCACCTAGTTTTTGTATTTTTTGTAGAGGTGGGGTTTTGCCATGTTGCCCAGGCTAGTCTCGAACTCCTGGGCTCAAGTGATCCACCAGCCTTGGCTTCTCAAAGTGCTGGGATTACACGCATAAACCAGCGCACCTGGCCTATTTTTTTTTATTTTTTCATGAGGTTAGTTTAGTTAGAAAGCTGGTTAAGTGTGGGCTCACACCTGTAATACCAACACTTTGGGAGGCTGAGGCGGGTGGATTGCTTGAGCCTGGAAGGTCGAGCTGCAGTGAGCTGTGATTGTGCCCCTGCACTCCAGCCTGGGAAACAGAGCGAAACCCTATCTCAAAAGAAAAAAAAAAGAAAGAAAGAAAGTTGGCTAAAAGTATAAGTAAATATGCAGAAAAAGTATTGTATGGAGATATGTAAAAATATTAATATGGTTTCTGTGGATGTGGAGATTGATGACAAATTTGAATCATATTTATTTTCTATCCTTTCTATGAGAAGCATGCAGACTTTAAAAAAACTACCTCATAAGCAGAAAAAGTTACTTCAATAGCAAAAAGATCCATTTATATGAAGCTCTGGAAAAGGCCAAACTATTGGGATGGAAAACAGATCAGTGGTTGCCTGGGCCTGGGGGACCTTTTGGTGGGGTCACAAGACTGGATACAACTATATCCATTAGTCAAACTTCAAACAAGGAGAAAGTTACTCTATGTAAATTATACCTCAATAAACCTGACTAAAAAGAAAAAATGTAGAAACAAAACAAAACAACAAAAAAACAACAAGACGATTCCTGATTCCCTTAGCTATTTATGGTGCAAAGCTGTAGCTGACCCAGGGAAGCTGGGATATGTCCCTTTCCTAAAGGGCCACTTTGGGGTTCAGAAGCTGACATTTAAGGGAAATAAAGAGCTCGCAATAACTAGAAATCAAGTTCATTGGCCAAGCCTGCTTCCTCACCACCACTGCCATGCCAAGGTCCCGGGCCAGGGTCTTCAGCTCTCGGGCCAGCTGCATCATCAAGGCCAAGCCTGCAGGAGGAGGAGAAGCAGAGAGGGAGGGCAGTGGGGAACCAGGGATGGGGCTGGCCAGAGACCAGACTCCAGAGCTGGGAGGCGAGGTCACATTCCACTGGCCCCAGGCTCTGCCACATCACTCACCTTCCCTCTGCTGACCTCCCAGAAGTGGGGAAACCACCGCAGTGACCGAGTCCACAACCACCACCTTCACAGTTCCTGAAGAACCAGTCACCTGAAGGAATGTGGGGGAAGCACTCATGAACCTGTCAGCCTCTAGGACACATTACAGGACAAGCTTGCTTTTCTATCTAAAACTAGTAAGAAATAGCCCCCCCATCCCAAATACAGCAAGCTGCACGGGCATCACAGAATGTCATCAGCAGCAATGTCTCCCTCGTCCCATTGGCATGTGTAACAGACTTCAATGAAGACTTGGGTAGAAAGAAAGGGTTTAAATCACAGGACATCAAAACTACACTAAAGTGGCTGGGCGCAGTGGCTCACGCCTGTAATCCCAGCACTTTGGGAGGCCAAGGCGGTGGATCACTTGAGGTCAGGAGTTCGAGACCAGCCTGGCCAACATGGTGAAACCCCGTCTCCACTAAACATACAAAAATTAGCTGGGCGTGGTGGTGCACACCTGTAATCCCAGCTACTCAGGAGGCTGAGGCAGGAGAATCGCTTGAAACTGGGAGGCGGGGGTTGCAGTGAACTGAGATCACACCGCTGCATTCCAGCCTGGGCGACAGAGCAAGACTCTGTCTCAAAAAAAATAAAATAAAATAACTAAAAACTACATTAAAGTCATCAAATTTCAGAAAGCTCCGCAGAGAGTCCTGAGGCCTCTGGTCATGGATCTCTCAGCAGCCATCTCTCTCCTGTGTCCAGCCTCCCACCATGGTGGTAAGGCCCTTCTTTTCCTTTTCTGACTCCCTCCTTTCTTTCCCTTGTCCTGCTAACTACCACCCTCAAATTCCTAACTTCCTTTGCTGAAGAGTTTAGCCTTCTCTTTACTTCACTGTCTCCTTCTAGATCATGCCTCTAGGCCTCATCTTCCGTATCTAAAATGCCTCCAAATAAATTCCCTAAGTCTTGCTCTGTCACCCAGGCTGGAGTGCAGTGGCATGATCTCAGCTAACTGCAACCTCTGCCTCCTCGGTTCAAACGATTCTCATGCCTCAGCTTCCTAAGTAGCTGTGACTATGGGTGCACACATTGGGTGCACACTACGGGTGCTAATTTTTGTATTTTTAGCAGAGACGGGGTTTTACCGTGTTGGCCAGGCTGGTCTCGAAATCCGGCCTCAAGTGATCTGGCCACTTTGGCCTCCCAAAATGCCAGGATTACAGGCATGAGCCACCAAGCCTAGCCTGTGCCATCTTTCTAACCATAATTTTCTGTCTTTACACAAGCAGGAGAATCCTCCTGGTTTCCCTGGACTTAAACTGTTTTTGATGCTTCTTTTCTCTTCTCCCTTACTTCTTATATCCTGATTCTGGTTCTTTTTCTTTTCTTCTTTCTTTTTCTTTTTTTTTTTTTTAAGACAGGGTCTTGCTATGCTGCCCAGGCTGGTCCTGAACTCCTGGGCTCAAGTGATCCTCCTGCCTTGGCCTTCCAAAGCATTGGGATTTTAGGCGTGAGCCACCGCTCCTAGTCTCAGATTCTTAACCCCTAGAAACTGTGAGATAAGAAATACTATGTCTTAAGCCACTAAGGTTTTGGTAACTTATTATGCAATAATAGAAGATATATCATCTAATGGTCCTACAGTAAAAAATACAGTCTTCTGATCTGGAATTGAGAGGTTTGGGCTATAAGGTTAGTTCTTGCCCTAAATATTTGGTCAACTTTGGTCAACTCACTTCACTTCTCCGGCCTTCACTCTTCTCATCTCTAAAAGTGAGGTAAGCACTACTCAGCTTCATGTCTCAACAAGCTGGTGGGTCATAACCAGCTATGACTTCTGAGGTAAGTATTTGTTCAACATTTTTTTTTAAAGACGGGGTCTAGCTCTGCTGACCAGGCTAAGGTACAGTGGTATGATCATAGCTCACTGCAACCTCCAACTGCTAGGCTCAAGCAATCCTCCCGTCTCAGCCTCTGGAGTCATTAGGATTACAGGTGTGGGCCACCACTCCCAGCTTGTTCAACTATTATATGTTCTAAAGTTTGTAAAAATCATTGACTTTATATATAGTCGTGGGGATGCCCGTGTGAACACGTCATGCTTTGGGGTGAGAGGAAAAGTTTGAGATAAACTATTCTATCTTTAAGGTATCCTCCACATCTAGTCATTTATAAATCAGTGCACCAAATCCTGTCTAAGCACCCAACATGAGTAGCAAAGTGCCAACCCAAATGCCATTCTAAATCCTTCCCATTAACATGACTCTGAATGTGTTCAGCGACTGGGCAGAAATCTGACTTCAGGGATGGTGGGCCCAGGTCTTAGTCCAAGATACACACATAACCCCATTTTGGCCAACTAGATGTAAGGGGAAGAGGGACGTCTATTAGTGGGCTCTGGAGAAAGATTCTTCATCCCTGATAAAAGGGAGGAGGTACAGAAAAGAACCATCTATCTTTTACTGCCTTGAATATGGATGTGGATGTGTGAAGACAAGATGCTTGGAGCTTTGGCAGCCTCTTTGCAACCATGAGGGGAAGAACAAGAAAATCAGACACACAAATCTATTGCCCTGATAGCATGGACCTGCCAACCTCCCAACTCATGTGACATAATTAAATGTCCTCAAGCTTCAAGTCTCTGTCAGACAACCTCTATTACTTGCAGCTAAAAGTATTCCTCACTCACCTAGTGGGGAATGCAGACATAAATATGACATGATCCTTCCACTCAGGGGGCTTTACTGTTCAGCAGGGAAGATGAACATGTAAACAATGAGGTATGTGATTTAGGTGCTCGGGAATTCCATCCTGGGAGTAGCAAGCATAGTTGGAGTCACCAGATTGCACATCTGCATTTCCAAACAGTCTGTAGTAGGACACCTGCCCACAGAGATAGCACCTAGAAAGCTGAATTAAGCAAGGAGGGGCAGAACAGCAGGCTCACCTGCTGGGCCACAGTGCCTCGGAGCTCCTGCAGCACATCCAGCATCTGGAAGATGTCAAATGCATGCACCACCTGGATCCTCCGGAGAGCTTCTGCCTGAAGCGGTGGAAAAGAAAAGCAAGGACTTTGGATAAGAGGGAGTAGGGGGGTCAAGGTAAGGCTGAGAAGGAAGAGGCACCTGGATGCAAGGACTCAGGTCCAGGGTGGCAAATGAGCTTTGTCTAATGGTCAGTTGTCACAGTGGTGGCTGCCTGGGTGCTGAGCTGTAAAGTACTCAGAACTCAGCAGGAAAGAGGGATATGACTGATTAGTGATGTCTCTCACAGGTGAGAAATGGACTGGAAACACAAAGCTTGGTGTTTGCCAGCCCTGGTTTAGGGCATGCAAAGAGTTGGGAGGGTTTCCTGGAAGAATCAGTGTGAGTAGCATCCCAAATGGGATGATGGCATCAACAGGGGTGGCTTAAGGAATACGAGATGTATTAATAGAACAGCAAGTTTGAAGGCAAGGAATGACTATTCAACCCAAATTCTTACAATGTTAAGGGATAATGGGGTTTTCCTGTGTCAGAATCTCAATGGAACCCAGCATCCTGCCCTTACCTGTTCCTCCTCATCCTGGGTTTTAGCCTGAAGCAGCTGGAGGAGGCGGGAAGCTGTCAGCCCTCCATTGGAATCTACATATAGGACGTTTTGCTGCAGGCCATGGGCCACATTTGCTGCCATACAGAGACATACCTGGGGGTGGGGGCATTGGATGAACTTGACACTTCAGAGAGGGTCCAGATGGGAGCTCCCCACCAAACCTTGCCCAGATTCCAGCAACACAAATGGGCTGAGTCCCGACCCCATTCCTTATTACCCATCTTCTCTCTGTTGGGCTCTGAACCCATTAGTACGCTGAAGCTCCCCCAGGGACCCTGGGCTATGCATCTACCACCCTCACCCCTAAATCCTCCTGACTGCTGGCCTCACATGTACCTGAGTTTTGCCGCTACCTGGGCCTCCTACAATTTCAGTCACTTCTCCAGTATAGAGACCAGCATCAAGCAGTTTATCAAGACTGATGGCAGAAGAGAAGAAAATCAACACAAGAGGTTAGGAGGAAGACAGGGGAAAAGGTACCAAGAAGAAAAGTAAGACATTTCTTTCAAGCACTGGTTCTGTCTTTGAACATCACTGGCCAGGAGGCTTCTCCTGGTGTTTTCTTCTGGTAAGGAGGGAATGCCCAAATGTGCCTTCTCTGGTCTCTCTTCATCCCTCCACTCTTAAAGATCAGCTCTCCAGAGAGGCCTCTGCCACCCCATCAGAAGGTTCTCCCTTCATTTTTCATCTCAGGCCCTGTGGGTTTCCTTTTTTTTTTTTTTTTTTTTTTTTTTTGAGACGGAGTCTCTCTTTGTTGTCCAGGCCGGAGTGCTGGAGTGCAGTGGCGTGATCTCTACTCACTGCAACCTCCACCTCCCAGGCTCAAGTGATTTTCCTGCCTCAGCCTCCCGAGTAGCTGGGACTACAGGTGCCCGCCACCATACCCGACTAGTTTTTTTAATTAGAGACGGGGTTTCACCATGTTGGCCAGCCTGGTCTCAAACTCCTGACCTCAAGCGATCCACCCACCTCGGCCTCCCAGAGTGCTGCAATTATAGGCGTGAGTCACCACGCCCAGCTGTTTGTGGGTTTCCTTGATAGCGTTTCCCAAAATTTGTCGCTTTTTTTAAACTTTGATGGTGGCACACGCCTGTAGTCCTAGCTACTCAGGAGGCTGAGGCAGGAGAATCGCTTGAACCCAGGAGGTGGAGGTTACAGTGAGCCGAGATCACGCCACTGCACTCCAGCCTGGTGACAGAGCAAGACTCTGTCTCAAAAAAACAAAACAAACAACAACAACAACAACAAGAAAAAACAACTTTGAGATAATTATAGATTCCCAGGAAGTTGCAAAAAGTCCATGAACCCTTCACCTGGTTTACCTTAATAATAACAACTGTACTACAAAATGTATTGTACTAGCCAGGGGCCTGTAGTCTCAGTTACTTGGGAGGCTAAGGTGGGAGGATCACTTGAGTCCAGGAGTTCAAGTCTAGCCCAGGCAACATAGCAAGACCCTTTTCTCTTTAAAAAAAAAAAAAAAAAAAAAAAAAAGGACTATAGTATATCACACAAGTAGCAAACTGATGTTGGTACTATCCACAGAGCTTATTCAGATTTCACCAGTGTTCCTAGCATTCAAGCACGTGTGTTGATGTGTCTAGTCCTATGCCATTTTATCACATATGTAGATTTACACGACTACTATAATCAAGATACAGAACATTTCCATCACTATAAGTCTTCCTCCTGCTACCCTTTTATAGCCACATTCCTCCCATTCACCCCTAATCCCGAATCCCTGGCAACCACTAATCTCTATTATGTTATTTCAAGAACAAAGTTATGTACATAGAATTATACACTGTGTAACCTTTGTGATTGGCTTTTTTTCTTTTCTTTTTTTTTTTTTTTTGAGACGGAGTCTCGCTCTGTCGCCCAGGCTGGAGTGCAGTGGTGCAATCTCAGCTCATTGCAACCTCCACCTCCCAGGTTCAAGCAGTTCTCCTGTCTCAGCCTCCCGAGTACCTGGGATTACAGGCGCCCACCACCACACCTGGATAATTTTTGTATTTTTAGTAGAGACGGGGTTTTGCCATTTTGGGCAGACTGGTCTGGAACTCCTGACCTCAAGTGATCCGCCCAACACAGCCTCCCAAAGTGCGGGGATTACAGACATGAGCCACCGTGCCTGGCCCTGCGATTGGCTTTTTTACTCAGCATCATTCCCTTGAGATCCATCCCAGTTATTGCATATATGGATAGTTCATTCCTTTTTACTGCTAAAAAGTATTCCATGGTATGGATGTACCACAGTTTATTTAACCATTCATCCATTGAAGGGCATTTGGTTGTTTCCACTTTGGGGCTACTATAAATAAAACTGCTATAAGCATTTTTTACAGGTTTTTGTATAAACCCAAGTTTTTACAACGTTGGGATAAATGCCCAAGAATACAATTGCTGGGTGGTATGGTAAATGCATTATTAATTTTATAAGAAACTACCAAACTATTTTCCAGAGTGGCTATGCCATTTTACATATCCGCTAACAATGTATATATGAGTAGTCCAGTGTCTCCACATCTTCATCAGCATTTGGTATTATCATTATTTTTTTATTTTAGTCTTTCTGATAGGTATGAAATAATAGCTCACTGTGTTTTTAATTTGCATTTCCCTAATAGTTAATAGTGTTGAACTTTTTTTTTTTTTGAAACGGAGTTTCACTCTTGTTGCCCAGGATGGAGTGCAATGGCGTGATCTCGGCTCACCACAACCTCCACCTCTCAGGTTCAAGCAATTCTCCTGCCTCAGCCTCCCGAGTAGCTAGGATTACAGGCATGCACCACCACGCCTGGCTAATTTTGTATTTTTAGTAGAGACGAGGTTTCTTCATGTTGGTCAGGCTGATCTCAAACTCCCGACCTCAGGTGATCAACCTGCCTTGGCCTCCCGAAGTGCTGGGATTACAGGCGTAAGCCACCACGCCTGGCTTTTTTTTTTTTTTTGAGATAGGGTCTCACGTCTCACTGTGTCACCCAGGCTAGAATTCAGTGGCATGGTCACAGCTCACTGCAATCTTGACCTCCCAGGCTGAGGTGATCCTCCCACATCAGCTCCCCCAAGTAGCTGGGACTACAGGCATGTGCCACCACACCCAGCTAATTTTTGTATTTTTTTGGTAGAGACAGGGTTTTTGCCACGTTGCCCAGGCCAGTTTTGAACTCCTGGGCTCAAGCAATCTGACCACCTCAGCCTCTCAAAGTGCTGGGATTACAGGTGTGAGCCAGCCCTTGCCCATTTTCTAATTGAATTGTTTGATTTTTTATTGTTGGGTTTTAAGAATTCTTTCTTCATTCTAGATACAAGTCCTTTGTTGAATACATGGCTTGTAACTATGTTTCCCATTCTGTACTTCTCTTTTCATTCTGTTTTGCACAGCAAAAGTTTTAAATTTTGATTAGGCCCCATTAATCAAAAATTTTTTCATGGATCATACTTTTGGCATCAAATCTAAGAACTCTTTGCCTAGATTTTCTCCTGTTTTGTTCTAAAAATTAGACAATTTGGTTTTACATTTAAGTCTATGATCCATTTTCAATTTTTGTATAAGGTATAAGGTTTAGGTTGATTATTGTATATTTTTAGCCTATGATGTCCAATAGCTCCAGCGCCCTTTGTTCAAAGGCTGTCTTTCCTCCAACACATTGTTTCTGTACCCTTGTCAAAAATCAATTGTGTGTAATCCCAGCATTTTGGGAGGCTGAGGCGGGAGCATTGCTTGAGCCCAGGAGTTTGAGGCCAGCCTGGGCAACATAATGAAACCCTGTCTCTATAAAAAAAATACAAACAGGCTGGGCGCGGTGGCTCACGCCAGTGATCCCAGCACTTTGGGAGGCCGAGGCGGGCGATCACCTGAGGTCAGGAGTTCAAGACCAGCCTGGCCAACATGGTGAAACCCCATCTCTATTAAAAATACAAGATTAGCTGGGCATGGTGGCATGCACCTGTAATCCCAGCTACCCGTGAGGTCGAGGCAGGTGAATCAAACCCGGGAGGCGGGGGTTGCAGTGAGCCGAGATCACGCCATTGCACTCCAGTCTGGGCAAAAAGAGAGAAACTCAGGCCAGGCGCGTTGACTCACACCTGTAATCCCAGCACTTTGGGAGTCCGAGGCGGGTGGATCACCTGAGGTCAGGAGTTCGAGACCAGCCTGACCAACATGGAGAAACCCCGTCTCTACTAAAAATACAAAAAAGTTAGCCAGGCCTGGTGGCATGTGCCTGTAGGAGAATCGCTTGAACCCGGGAGGCGGAGGTTGCGGTGAGCCGAGATCACGCCATTGCACTCCAGGTCAGGCAACAAGAGCGAAACTCCATCTCAAAAAAAAAAAAAAGAGAGAGAGAGAAACTCCGTCTAAAAAAAAAAAAATACAAATACAAATAACCAGGCATGGTGTCCCACACCTGTAGTCCCAGCTACTCGGGAGGCTTGGGGTGGAAGGATTGCCTGAGCCCAGGGAGGTCAAGGCTGCAGTGAGCTGTAATAGCAGCAGTACCCTCCATCCTGGGTGACAGAGCAAGACTCTGTCTCAAAAAAAAAAAAATTAGTTGTGTATACTTGTGGAGGTCTATTTCTGGGTTATCTATTCTGTTCCACTGATCTGTGTCCATCTGTCCCTTGGTCAATACCACACTAGGCTTAATTATGTAGCTATATAGCAAGTCTTAACCCTGGGTAGACTGATTCCTCCAGCTATCCTTTTTCCAAATTGTTTTAGCTAATCTAGGTAAAACTGGTCTTCCCGTAATTATTAGAATAAGCTTGTCTATGTCTATAGAAAAAAAAAACTTGCTGGGATTTTAATAGGAACTGCGTTAAATTACAGATCAACTTGGGGACAATTGAAATCTTCATTATGTTCAGTCTCCCAATCCATGAACAAAGTACATGTCATCCATTTATCCGAGTCATCTTTGATCTCTTTCATCAACAATTTAAAAATTTTCAGCATACAGATTCTACACATGCTTTGTTAGACTTATACCCAAGTATTTCATTTCTCTGAAACAACTATAAATGGCATTGTGTTTTTGTTTGTTTGTTTATTTGCTTGTTTTTTTGAGACGGAGTCTCGCTCTGTCGCCCAGGCTGGAGTGCAGTGGCGCAATCTTGGCTCACTGCAAGCTCTGCCTCCCAGGTTCACGTCATTCTCGTGCCTCAGCCTCCCCAGCAGCTGGGACTACAGGCACACACTGCCACGCCCAGCTAATTTTTGTATTTTCAGTAGAGATGGGGTTTCTCTGTGTTAGCCAGGATGGTCTCGATCTCCTGACCTTGTGATCTGCCCACCTCAGCCTCCCAAAGTGCTGGGATTACAGGCGTGAACCACCACGCCCAGCCATTTTGTTTGTTTTGTTTTTTTGAGACAGTTTCACTCTGTCACCCAGGTTGAAGTGCAGTGGCACAATATCCGCTCACTGTAACCTGCATCTCCCAGATTCAAGTGATTCTCCCGTCTCAGCCTCCCAAGTGGCTGGGATTACAACCACCCACCACCACGCCCAGCTAATTTTTGTATTTCTAGTAAAGACCAGGTTTCATCATATTGGCCAGGCTGGTCTCGAACTCCTGACCTCAGGTGATCCACTTGCCTCGACCTTCCAAAGTGCTGGGATTACAGGCATGAGCCACTGCGGCCGGCCAATAAATGGTAGTGTTTTTTATTTTAGTTTTGACATGTTCACTGTGAGTATAGAGAAATGCAGTTGATTTGTATGTGTTGGTCTTGTATCCTCACTAGTCCTAGGAGTTTGTAATTATTTGTTATTTGCTTGTTTTTGTTTGTCTTGCTCATCTAGCTGAGAGCACCATGGGGCAAGGACTGGGTCCGATCCCTGTCGCATCCCCAGCACTAGCACAGTGCCTGAAACACAGGAGGCACCCAATAATCATTCCAGAAAAATGAGTAACAGAAAGGTGCTATCACTTTTATTTCGCTTCTGTATCATCAACACTGGCTGTGAAAGACTTGGGATAAACCTCATGACATGCCAATTCCTAAACCAGGTTCTCTCCCTCAACCACATGAAACAGGTCACCACCTACCCTCCATGCCCTGCCCTATCTCTAGGCTGAAGTTTCTTCTATGCCACGGCCTGTACCAATGCCTGATCACATGCGTACCTTTCCTAGCCCTACAATCACCTTCCTAGGTTCCAGTCCTTGAGATGGTTCTTGATGACCTCCCATGACCTCTCTGTATATGCCGAACAGCACTTTAGTAAGCATCCCATCCATTTTTTTTTTCTTTTTGAGACGGAGTCTCGCTCTGTCACCAGGCTGGAGTGCAGTGGTGTGCTCTCGGCTCACTGCAACCTCCGCCTCTCGGGTTCAAACAATTCTCCTGCCTCAGCCTCCCGAGTAGCTGGGATTATAGGCACCCACCACCACGCCTGGCTAATTTTTGTATTTTTAGTAGAGATGGGGTTTCGCCATGTTGGCCAGGCTGGTCTCAAACTCCTGACCTCAGGTGACCCACTCGCCTTGGCCTCCCAAAGTGCTGGGATTATAGGCATGAGCCACCGTGCCTGGCCCCCAACCATTTTAATTCCAGGGACTCCCCATGATTATACCCACAGGTTCCTGCCAGTCAAAACACTCTGGTTACCACTCTAGCCCTGTGGCTTCTTGAGATAATTGTGCTCACCCCATCTCTGTTTAATAAGTATCCAGCCTCTACCACTCCTGATTCCATTCTTCCCATTGAGATCAGAGGAACCCCAGTGTGGTCCCCAGACCAGGTGCATCAGCAACCTTTAAGGACTAGCTAGAAATGCAAATTCACAGCTCCGCTCCCCAAGACCTACTGAATCAGAAACTCTGGGAATGCAGCCCACACTTGAAACTTGAGTTTCAACAAGGCCTCCAAGTGATTTTGAAGCCTGCTCAAGTTTCAGAACCATTAGACTAGAGTAGTTAGTCTCAATCCTGCCTGCACATTAAAATCAGGGGAGTTGGCTGGACGCAGTGGCTCTCGCCTGTAATCCTAGCACTTTGGGAGGCCGAGGCGGGTGGATCACGAGGTCAGGAGATCGAGACCATCCCGGCTAACACGGTGAAACTCCGTCTCTACTAAAAATACAAAAAATTAGCTGGGCGTGGTGGCGGGCGCCTGTAGTCCCAGCTACTTGGGAGGCTGAAGCAGGAGAATGGCATGAACCCGGGAGGTGGAGCTTGCAGTGAGCCGAGATCGCGCCACTGCACCCCAGCCTGGGCGACAGAGCAAGATTCCGTCTCAAAAAAATAAAATTAATTAATTAAATAAAATAAAATCAGGGGAGTTTTTTAAAAAATGCCTATGTCAGCAGTACCCAAAGTTGTCTGCACATTGGATTCACCTGGGAGCTTCAAAAAAATACTGATGCCTGGCCAGGCATGGTGGCTCATACCTGTCATCTCAACACTTTGGGAGACAGAGGTAGGATTGCTTGAGCCCAGGAATTTGAGACCAGCCTTGGCAACACAGCAAGACCCCTGTCTCTACAAAAAAAAAAAATTTTTTTTAATTAGCCAGGCATGGTGGTGAGCACCTGTAGTCCCAGCTACTTGGGAGGCTGAGGCAGGGAGACTGCCTGAGTCCAGGAGTTCAAGGCTGCAGTGAACTATGATTGTGCACCACTGCACTCCTGCCTGGGCAACAGAGCAAGACCCTGTCTCTAAAAAACAAATTAAAAAATTAAAAAATACTGATGCCTGTGTCCCACTCACAGTGAATGAGATTAATTGGTCTGGGGGAGACTTGGACTTCGTAATGTTTAAAAGAGTCCTCAGGTGACTCCAATGGGCACACAAGTTTGGGAACCACTGACCTAGACTAATTAAATTAGAATATATAGAGTTGGGACCAGAGCATGAATATCTCAAGTTTCCCAGATGATTCTAACGTGCAGCTGGGGTTGAAGCACTGGTGTTGACTCTAGTCAAGAATCAACCACATCCTTGGCTGTGGAGATCAGTCTGTATAAGGTATTCCCAAATCCACCTTCCAGCCAACTTCTCACCTGAGTTTCCATTCCGTGCCTCTCCGACTGCCCAGAGAACCTTCCTACCAATATGTCCCCATCACCTTTAACTCCGCATGTCAACAGGGAGAGACCCCTGTCTTGCCCCATGAAGCAGAAGTACACCTGGGTTTTACCACTGCCTAGAATACAGGTGATTTCTGGGACTTATCCTCTGCCTTTCCCTCTGAACTGCCTTTTAGCCATTCTTTCAGTCATCCATTCACACACCACTTCAATGCCTCATATTTCCTGACAGTCTTATTCTAAAATGAGGGGACTGTGGGATGAACAGACCTAGCTCTGGCCTATAAGGAATAATCAATCTCCCTCATCAACATAGCTTTTCCCAAAGTACGTTACATGCTATAACACCCTGTAAGGAATCATTGCACCTCAGCACTAAAGGTTCTGAGGCGGCCTACAACAGAGAAACCTGTTTAATTTGGATTAGTCAGGCATTTCTCAAACTTCTGACTACAGAACTCCCCTCCTCCCAAGTTTTAAAGTTACACCATTAACTGTCCACAGCACACGGTAAGAAAGGCTAGAGACTGGGCATGGTAGCTCACGCCTGTAATCCCAGCACTTTGGAAGGCCAAGGCGGGCGGATCACGAGGTCAGAAGATCGAGACCATCCTGGCCAACATGGCGAAAGTCCATCTCTACTAAAAATACAAAAAATTAGCTGGGCGTTGATGGCACGCACCTGTAGTCCCAGCTACTCGGGAGGCTGAGTCAGGAGAATCACTTGAACCCTGGAGGCGGAGGTTGCAGTGAGCCGAGATCACGCCACTGCACTCCAGCCTGGCAACAGAGTGAAACTCCGTCAAAAAAAAGAAAGAAAGAAGGAAAGAAGGAAAGGAAGGAAGGAAGGAAGGAAGGAAGGAAGGAAGGAAGGAAGAAAGAAAAGGAAGAAAGGAAAGAAAGAAAGAAAGAAAGAAAGAAAGAAAGAAAGAAAGAAAGAAAGAAAGAAAGGCTAGAAACCTGGTGAGTCAGCTTTGATTCTTCACAATACATTCCAAACTCCGACAAAAAAAAAAAAGAAAGAAAGAAAGAAAGGCTAGAAACCTGGTGAGTCAGCTTTGATTCTTCACAATACATTCCTCCTGGTAGTAGGTCTTGTCACAGTTCCTCTTCAACATGTCTCCCACTGTTCTAGACTGGACTCACATACCCCAGGCCAGCACTGCCAGGGCCCTGCTTGGCCTCTGCCACCCTTCCACCCTGCACACCTCTACCCCACTGTCTATAACCCTGCTTTCACAATGGCCTCCCGCCTCCAGGGAGACAGCCGGGCAGATGAGTTAAGAGCCGCGTTCTTAGACTTAGGAGTGTGACAAGCATGAACTCAAATAACTGGTCTGCCGTTTGCTAACTGCACAATCTTGAACAAGTCATTTAACCTGAGTCCCAATTTCTTCACCTATAGAATGATGATTTATTTTTATTTTATTTTATTTTATTTTATTTTTTTGAGATGGAGTCTTGCCCTGTTGCCCAGGCTGGAGTGCAGTGGTGCGATCTCCGCTCACTGCAAGCTCCGCTTCCCGGGTTCATGCTATTCTCCTGCCTCAGCCTTCCGAGTAGCTGGGACTACAGGCGCCCGCCACCACGCCCAGCTAATATTTTGTACTTTTAGTAGAGACGGGGTTTTACCGTGTTAGCCAGGACAGTCTCGATTTCCTGACCTCATGATCCGCCCACCTCAGCCTCCCAAAGTGCTGTGATCACAGGCGTGAGCCACTGCGCCCGGCCTAGAATGATGATTTAAACAGTAACATGCTCATTGGTGGTTGTGACGAATAAATGAAATAATGTACCGTGAAGTGCTGACCGCAGTGCCTCGTTCATCGAAAGCATTCAGCGAAAGTCCATCTGTTCCTCCATGCCCAAGTCCTGCCTTCTTCAGAGCATTCCTGACCCCACTCCACGATCTCCCTGCGGGGACCTGAGGCAGCTGCAGTCCTCCCAGGTTCCCACTTGAGTGCGCCCTCCATGTCTGTTGGATTTATAAACTCCCTAAGCCCAAGGCCAATCGGCTTCCTGTTCACCACTCCCTCCTTACCGTTGCCTCCCTCGGTGCTTACAGCTCTCTTGTATTCACTTGATTTTCCCCTACACCCAACTAGAGGCCTTAAGGGCAGGGGCCTTGCCTCATTCGTGTATGTATCATCTGCACATACCAAGCACCCAGCAGGCCCTTAGCCAGTGCTTGATGGATCACAGACTCAGACCCCCAACCAGGGAAAGCAAGCACCACACTGCATGAACCCTGCCAAGAGAATGTGTTAAGGAAACAGAAAGGGCCACACCAATCCAAAGACCTTTATGGTGGCAGTTATTCATCAATTTCTGAACAAACAGACCAGGAAAAAGGTCAAGACTCACTTGGCCAGCAAACGTCTGTCGTCTTTGCAACTCTTCCCCAACCCACCAAACAACGTGGCGGGACATAACTGCTCCTTTTTTTTGAGAGAGTCTCGCTCTGCCACCAAGGCTGGAGTGCAGTGGTGCGATCTTGGCCTACTGCAACCTCCACCTCCCACATTCAAGCAATTCTCCTGCTGCAGCCTCCCAAGTAGCTGGGACTACAGGCGCCCGCCACCACGCCCGACTAATTTTTGTATGTTTAGTAGAGACGGGGTTTCATCATTTTGGGCGGGCAAGCAGGCCAGGCAGGTCTCAAACTCCCGGCCTCCAGTGATCTGCCGCCTCAGCCTCCCAAAGTGCTGGGATTACAGGTATGAGCACTGCATCTGGACCGCAACTCCTTCTTTCTCTGAACTCTCCTGTTCTCTACTGCTGCAGATGTGGTGAATAAGTTCTGGGCCACATACTCCCGCGCTTGAGCCTCACCTTTGCCACTTGCTCCTCTTAGGCTAAACTCAAGTAGGGTTAATTATCTCTAACTGGTAGAGTCACTGAAGAGATTACCTAGAACATACAGGTAATGCCTGCACATAGTAGGCACTCAGTAAATGTTCTCTCTTGCCATATCCTTAAGTAAAATAAGAAGTAGGGCCAGAGAAGATGGTGAAAATAATGAGATACTGACAGCTTGTGTTATAGGACAATGCTTCTCAACCAGAGGCAATTGTGCCTCCCAGGGGACATTTAGCCATGTCAGGAGACATTTTTGATGGTTACAACTGGAGCAGGGCTGGTGCTACTGGCATCTAGTGGGCAGAGGCCAGAGATGCTGCTAAACATCCTACACTGCACAGGACAGCCTCCACCCCCCAACAAATAATTACCTGTCCCTAAATATCAATAGTGCCAAGGCTGAGATACCCCATAACCCTGTTATAGGATAAGAATTCAGATGTCCTGACCCCTTTCCTTCCCATCCATTATTGGTTAAAAAAAAAACCCCTCCCGTCTAGACTCAAGCATCAAAAGCAGAGCTGAGAGGAGGCCCCATCCTCCTGCCTCTCTCCTTCTTCCCCAAGTACACACACAAACCTGCCAATGCCAGTGGACAGGATGGCAGTGGAGGTCTTCAGTTCCTCGTAGAGATCAGCGCCATTCACGGGGAAAGCCGAGAACTGAGCCAGCAGCACCCGCCTCAGGGCAACCAGGGCCTGCCAAAGGGCCCCAGACTGCTCAGCAACAAATTGCCCGTAGAAGCTGGCATCCCAGGGTGTCATTCACCCTACTTCTCAATATCTGAGAACCCTCTGCTCCCTTTGGCTTGGGATGGACTTTTGTTATTGTTGTTGTTTCAGACAGGGTCTCACTCTGTCGCCCAGATTGGAGTGCAGTAGCACGATCTCGGCTCACTGCAACCTCTGCCTCCCGGGCTCAAATGATTCTCCTTCCTCAGCCTCCCGAGTAGCTGGGATTGTAGGCGTGGGCCACCACACCCAGCTAATTTTTGTATTTTTAGTAGGGACAGGGTTTCACCATGTTGGCCTGGATGGTCTCGAACTCCTGACTTCTGACTCCAAGTGACCCACCCGCCTCGGCCTCCCAAAGTGCTGGGATTACAGGCATGAGCCACCGCGCCCAGCTGGCTTGGGATGGACTTTTTAAAAAGACACTCAGGTTTGGAATGTGGAGATCAGGAGCTCACCTTGTAAGACAAGCCACATTTCTGAGCTACCTCTTCCAGGTCTGCAGAAACCAGGTCCACCACTGAAAACAAAACACGTATAGCGGATTGGCAGAGAGGACTGGGGCCTCCCACACTTGGTTTTTCCTCATCTGTCAAATGGGGTGTCAATTCTACCCCCCGGCAGGCCGTCTCAGGAGGCCAGTGTGAAATAACAAAGCTGCAGGAGCCGGCGCGGTGCCCTGCACACAGTAGGAATCTCTACCCTGTTTTAGAGCTTGGCTCCCCACGCCCACCCTTCCTGAGCCTCTCCAGAAGCGCGGCCCTCTAGGAATGGAGGGGAAGCGCCCTGCAGGTATGCCAGGGCAGTGCGCCAGCCCTCGGGGCCTGCCCAGGTTGTGCGAGGCCCGCGCGGCTCCCTGGCACGCGCACACCCGGTCACCTGTCTTGATCCTGTGGCTCCTGAGAAGCTGGATCATCTCCTCGGTAAGGCCAGGGCACAGTCCGACCCTGAGCACGCCCATGTTCCCCGCAGGCCGGAACAGCCCCAGGGGGACTGCACGTCACGTGGGCATTCGCGGGGGGTCCTCTCCAGACGCCCCTCCCCTACCCCTTCCTAGAGAGGACACAGGCGCGCTGGCTGCCGGAGGAGAAAGGAGAGAGGAGGAGGCGGCACCAAGGGTAGGGCTGGGGGTCATCCGCCCGCCCGGGATCCGCCGGGATTCCCGCGCCCAGAGCCCGCCCGCCGGGTCGCGCCGCGCTGCCGCTTCCGGGTTCCAGGCTGGCGCGCGGCGAGGACCTGGCCTGCAGCGCCATCTGCGGGCCGCACGGGGCAGAGCCGCTGCGCCCCTCTCCACCGCCTGCACAGGTTCCCGAGTCCCACGACCCCCTCCGCGCTCAACACGCCACCCGCGGCCACATTCGGCCTCTACCTTCTGCCGCAACACACACACCGACCTTCTAAAGAGCCTTCTGTGCGCCAGCTTCCGTTCCAAACGGAACGGATCTCCGCTGGAGACAAAATGCGACACAAGACGACCCGCCCTTACCCCCAGGGAGCTTACTGTGAGCAAGGGAAAGACAGACAATGAAAAGGAATCGCAGAAATCACATCATTACAGATTATACGACAGGTGTCAAGAAGCAGCAAAGCATCCAGAGGGCACCTGCGTCTATTTTTCAAAAGTTTGTTTTGTTTTGGTTGAGACAGGGTCTCGATCGGCCGCCCAGGCTGGAGTGCCCTGGTGAGATCTCAGCTTTGCAGCCTCGACCTCCTGGGTTCAAGCGATCCTCCTGCCTCAGCCTCCTGAGTAGCTGGGACTACAGTCACGTGCCACCTTGCCCAGCTAATTTTTGTATTTTTTGTAGAGGTTTCGCCTCTACAAAATGGGGTTACACCATGTTGCCCACACAGGTCTCGAACTACTGGGCTCAAACAATCCTCCTGCCTTGGTCTCCCGAAGTGCGGGGATTACAGGTGTGAGCCACCGTGCCCGGCCTCTATTTTTTATTTTATTTTTTATTTTTTTTAAGGGCAAGAAACCTTGGTTATATAGAACACACACAAAAAGATATGATTTGGTATTTTTAAATGTCCTTTGCTTTGCCTCATCCATAGGAAGAAATAAAACTTTACATGGTTATCTCATCACAAATCTGTGAGGGAGGCGCTATTTTTTATCCCTGTTTCACCAATGAAGAAACTGAGGTTCAGTGAGGTTAAATCACTTGCCAAAGGTCACCCAGCTAGGCGGCACAGGGCTGGACTTCACATCCACATCTGACTCTGCAAAGCCAGTGCTTTCTAACAGCCCCCCTCCCCACCCCTGAAGCTGTGTACATGTTTTCCTACTGTAAGGTGGTTTCTCTGAGAGCAGAGATCATGTGTGGCCCATCTCTGTATCCCACTGCAACTGCCACCATTGTCACTCCACACAGGAAAGTACTTGGGAGTGTGGGTGTGGCACATTTAGAATTCTAGCAGTGAAGTCTGATCATATGTGAGCCATGAACCCCTATGAACCATGTGGGCTTTCCCTTTCACTAACCGACTGGGCACAGTGGAGTCTGCAGCCTATGGTTTCAGGATAGAGAGCCTTAGCTTCTACGGACAAAGTTTCCCTCCCCAGCAGACACTTTCCAATACTGCCTATCTCTCAGGGCCACACCACCATCCTCTACATCCCACGCCCATCTCTCACCATCCTTATTCTCCTTCCCAGGGCAGTGCGGAAGGACACAGGTGTCAGGCATTTTGAGATCTTCAGAGAAGGGCAGGGCTGCCATCACCATGGAGTATTAGAGCTGGAAGGGGCCCAAGGGCTCATGCAGTCTGTTCCTTGGTTTTACCCCTCTCATGATGCTGCTTCACAGTCACACTGGCCCTTGGTCTGGCCAGCCACATAGCTAGCCTGGCAGCAGTAGCCTCAAATCAAGGGGGGAGGCTGGCCTGTAATTGTTACACTCTGTGATGATTATGAAGTCAGCTCATTGCACCTGCAGACTGTCCAAACTAAAGGTGGGCCACTGCCCCCACAGTTTCTCTCTGCTTCTGGTCAGCTGGGTTGTCCTGCATGGTGACGGGTGTCATCCCGAACAAATCAGATGGCATCAGAGGCACTCCATCAAGTGGGAGATGGGGAGGAGGCTGTACTGAAGAAAGAAAACTTCAACATGATGAATGCCCTTGACCAACTGCCAAAACCCTTTTCAAACCCCAAGTCTATGAACCGGACCGTCACTACCAAAGGACTCCCACTAGCCTCAAAGGGCAATTTGGTCAACTTCTTGGAGGATGATACCATCAACCTACTGTAAGTCACAAATCTGGTCCCTCCCTCCCTCCCTCCCTCCCTCCCTTCCTTCCTCCCTTCCTTCCTCCCTTCCTTCCTTCCTTCCTTTTTTTTTTTTTTTTTGACAGGATCTTGCTTTGTCACCCAGGCTGGAGTGCAGTGGTGCAATCTCGGCTCACTGCAGCCTTGAATTCTTGAGCTCAAGTGATCTTCCCACCTCCACCTCCCAAGTAGCTGGGACTATTGACGCGCCACCACCACACCTGGCTAATTTTCATATATATATATATATATATATATATATATATATATATATATATATATATAAATTTTTTTTTTTGGTAGAAACGGGGTTTCACCGTGTTGCCCAGGCTGGTCTTGAACTTCCGGGCTCAAGCGATCCTCCCGCCTCAGCCTCCCACAGTGTTGGGATTATAGGCTTGAGCCACCATGCCTATAGTTTCTAAGAAAGGCTGGAGCCGAGGGCTGGGCAGAGAGACAAAGAATCTATACTTCCCTGACTTGTCACAACCCAGTTCCTTGACTCCCAGAGAAGAGCGTGTGGGCAGGTTGGATCTATTTATGTATTCCTGAGCCCCAAATCACTTCTTGGAGGCATATGGAGCTCCCACTCCAGGAGGCCTTCTTGGATTAGTCAGTTTGTTGACAGTGCTCCTTATCCTGCCTTGACTGGCTGTGGTCCTCACCATCACCAAATCCCTGACACACCCATGGCTCCTCTTCCTCAACCCTCTCTCTTTGGTACCTTCATCTACCTGACTGCTCCCCAGTAGCCTGCCTTCCTTCGGACTGGGTTTTGCTGTTCCTCCTCACCAAGTCTGGTTTTCCTCTACTTCATTCCACAAAACTCTTTGAGCACCTGCAAGGTGTCTGTCCCAGTGTTTAAGTTCTGGGAACGCAGAGCTGGAAAGCACAGTCCCTGCCTTTAAGGAGCTCCCAGTCTGGCATGTGGAGGTCAGGGGTGAAAGGATGGGGATCATGCAATAACCAGAATGATATAGCATGGTCTGGTAAGTGCCAGGACAGGATGCCTTGAGGGACCAGAGGGGCTTAGTATAGCTTGAGACTGGGTGCAGTTGAAGGAGGCTTCTTGGAGGAAGTGATATTTGAGCTGAGTCTCCAAGGAAGGAAAGGAGTTAGCCAGTGAAGGGGTGGTGGTACAGGGTGATGTGGGCTGAGGGAATTACTTGCAGGTCACCCACCACATGGGTGAATGACCTGTGCAGTCACAAATAGCCCTGCACTTACAAGGGGCCTGTGCTTAGTTTAATGCTTTTCTGTTACTATCTTCAAATTCAGAATTTTTGAATAAGGGGCTCAGGGTACTTCAATTTGCACTGGGCTCCACAGACTACATAGCTGGTCTTGAGTATGTGAGAGGGATGTGGTGTCCATTCCCCAAAGTGCCCGTAAGCAAGCAGGTATGGCTAAAGTGATGGATGCTCGTAGGAAACTTCATGGTATACTGGGAATCTTGGACTAGAAGCCCAAACTCAGATCCAAGTTCTGCCACTTAGAGATTTATGGTCTTAGACAACTTAATTAAGATCGGAGGCCAGATGGGGTAGCCCACGCCTGTAATCCCAGCACTTTGAGAGGCTGAGGCGGATGCATCACTTGAAGTCAGGAGTTTGAGACCAGCCTGGCCAACATGGTGAAACCTCGTCTCTACTAAAAATACAAAAATTAGCTGGATGTGGTGGCACGCACCTGTTGTCCCAGCTACTCAAGAGGCTGAGGCGGAAGAATCCTTTGAACCTGGGAGGTGGAGGTCGCAGTGAGCCAAGATTGTGCCACTGCACTCCAGCCAGGGGTCTGGGAGACAGAGCAAGGCTCCATAAAAAAAACAAAACAAAACAAAAAAAAAAACAGATCAGGGACCCTCAGCCCCTTGTTTGCCAAATGGGGCTAACATCCATCCAGCAGAGCTGTTGTGAACATCAGGAGGAGGAGATGTTCAGCATGTAGCCAGTGCCTAGCGGCCTTCTGTGCTTGCTTCAGTACCAGCATTTGCAGTAAGTGAATCTGAAATATTAATTCATTAGGACAATCTAAAGCACATATGACATTAATACCCAGACTCTTCAGTCTACAAAAGACCTTGGTGGGGGAATCATTTATTCCAAATGTCCACCAAGCGCTAGCATAGGGGATCTGGGCTAATCAGGATTTCTCAGGAGGAGGCTGATGAGGCTGGAACCTGGGGAGGAAAAACTTGGCCCGTTCATCAACCAAGACCTGGGAGGCTGGATGGGAGTAAGGGATCCACAAACTGTGGATTGTGACCTATTAATGGGTCAAGAAGTCCTTCTAGTTGGTGAAGACCACTATGATAAAAATAAACTGGCTGGGTGCAGTGGCTCACGCCTGTAATCCTAGCACTTTGGAAGGCCAAGGCGGGCAGACCACGAGGTCAAGAGATCGAGACCATCCTGGCCAACATGGTGAAACCCCTTCTCTACTAAAAATACAAAAATTAGCTGAACATGGTGGCCGCACCTGTAGTCCCAGCTACTCGGGAGGCTGAGGCAGGAGAATCACTCTCACCCAGGAGGCGGAGGTTGCAGTGAGCTGAGATCACGCCACTGCACTCCAGCCTGGCTGAGAGAGTGAGACTCCATCTCAAAAATAAATAAATAAATAAATAAAATAAACTATAATAGAATTGGAAATTCCAGAGCCCATTGCACACAGAGTAAGTGTTGGTCTGTGAAATGTTTGTCTTAGTTATAGGCGTATATATGCATGTACTAAGTTGCCATGGAAAGTGTATTTTACTTTGGGTAAAGGTAAAAAAAGATTTGAAAGCCAAACTTTTTGGCTTGGTGTTCTTCATCAGTTAAAAAAATATTGTTTTTTGTTTGGCTGGGGGCAGTGGCTCACGCCTGTAATCCCAGCACTTTGGGAGGCTGAGGCCGGCAAATCATCTGAGGTCAGGAGTTCGAGACCAGCCTAACCAACATGGTAAAACCCCATCTCTACTAAAAATACAAAAATTGGGCAGATGTGGCAGTGTGGGCCTGTAATCCCAGCTACTCGGGAGGCTGAGGCACGAGAATCGCTTAAGCCAGGGAGGCGGAGGTTGCAGTGAGTCGAAGTCACACCAGTGCACTCCAGCCTGGGCGACAGAGCGAGACTCCAGCTCAAAAAAAAAAAAAAAGAAAAAAGAGTAAAAACAGAAAAAAGAAATGTTAAGTGGTGGGGATCATGTACAAGGTTTTTCTTTGTAATAGCAAACATCTCATAACAATACAAATATCCATATAGGCCGGGCACAGTGGCTCATACCTATAATCCAAGCACTTTGGGAGGATCACTTGAGCCCAGGAGTTCGAAGTCAGCCTGGGCAACATGGCAAAACCCTGCATCTACAGAAAAACACAAAAATTAGCTAGACATGGTGATGTGCACCTGTAGTCCCAGCTACTCAGGAGGTGGAGGTGGACGGATGGCTTGAGCCTGGGAGTTTGTGCCACTGCACTCCAGCCTGGGCAGCAGAGGGAGACCCTGTCTCAAAAAACAAAAACAAAAACAAATATCCATGTAATGGAAAATCATAAAACAGTAAAAACGACTGAACCAGAGCTACATGTATCAAGATAGATGAATGTCAACACAAAGTTGAGTGAAAAAAGCATGTTGCAGATGGGTATGTGCTGAATAATATCTTTTATTTGTACAACATCTACAAACGTGAAAAATAATAGATCTTGCCTAGGGATAACATAAATATGTAAGAAACCTATAAAGACACACATTGAGTAATAAATACACAATTTAAACTTTACTGTACTCATTACTTGTCGGTCGAAGGATGGGGACTTTGGTGGGAGACAGAAGTGTCTGGGGGGCTTTACCCATAGTGATAAGATTTTATTTCTAAAGGTAGATGAGGAGTAAATGGAGGTTTAATATAATATTCTTGATATTTTTGTATAAGTCTAAAATACTTCATAATTTTAAAAAATTCAGAGTGGAAGAAATAAGTTTTTGAGCATCCACACCAACATATGTATATTTGTTTTATTTTATTTTTGAGACAGGGTCTCACTCTGTTGCCCAGGCTGGAGTGCAGTGGCAGGATCTCGGCTCACTGCAACCTCCACCTACCAGGCTCAAGCGATCCTCCCACCTCAGCCTTCCAAGTAGCTGGAATTACAGGCAACCGCCACCATGCCCAGCTAATTTTTTGTATTTTTAGTAGAGTCAAGGTTTCGCTATGTTGGCCAGGCTGGTCTTGAACTCCTGACGTCAGGTAATACACCCACCTTGGCCTCCCAAAGTGCTGAGATTACAGGTGTGAGCCACCGCGCCTGGCCCATATATGTATTTGTATTTCTGTTAATTTTACGTGCTAGATATTAATAGGTATTATTAAATGCCACTAAAATGTAAGTAAATATTAGTAATTCCATTAAAATTTAAACAATAGTAAATAAACATTAGTGAAATTGAATGTATTACTTCCATACCCCAGTAGATCTTTGTGGTTATTCCCTGGGGCATTTGCACCCCACTTTGGAGGGAGGACTTGCCATTTTAGCATGTTTTTTAAATTGTGGTTTGCAGAACACTTGCATCAGGATTTTCTAAGCTTTTTTTTTTTTTTTTTTTTTTTGAGATAGAGTTTCACTCTGTCACCCAGGCTGGAGTGCAGTGGTGTGATCTCGGCTCACTGCAACTTCTGCCCCCTGGGTTCAAGCAATTCTCCTGCCTCAGCCTACCAAGTAGCTAGGATTACAGGTGCCAACCACCGCACTCAGCCAATTTTTGTGTTTTTAGTGGAGACAGGGTTTCACCATGTTGGCCAGGCTGGTCTGTAACTCCTGACCTTGAATCTGCCTGCCTCGGCCTCCCAAAGTGCTGGGATTATAGGCGTGAGCCACTGCGCCCAGCCAGGATCTTATTAAAGATGCGGATTCTCTAGTCCCATGCTAACTGGGGACCAGGGACTAAAAGTCTGCATTTTTAGTAAGTGCCCTGGTGAGTCTAATGCAATGCTATAGAGCAATGAGGCTGTTCCAAGCTGTTTGCAAATGGCTGGGGATGCTGGTAAGTCAGGCCCAAGGCCTGCCCTCAGGTGGAACGGGCTGGGGTGGCCTCCTTCATCTGATTCACCTGTCTCCCCTTTTGCTCCAGGAAGCCGCTGCCAGTAGAGGATTCAGACTGCAGCTCTGATGAGACCAGCATCTCTGCCTTCTCATCCACCTTGCTGAACCCCATCAAATTAGCTGTGACCCAGCCCAACAGCAGCTTCTTTGCAGGGATGCTGGAGGGGGAGCTGAACAAACTCAGCTTCTCCCCAATGGCCAAGAATGCAGAAAATGAGGACCTGGCGCTCGGCCCCTGCCCATGCCCATCGAAGTCCCAGATGGCCACAAGGGGCCTGCTGGACCTTGACAACCCTGAGCTGGAGACAGAAACCTCCTCAACGCACTCAGAATCTTCTGTGGTTGTGGACCTGCCGGACACCCCCTTCATCTTTGAGCACACCGTCAACAATTCCACAGCTGTGGTGCGTTTCCCTTGCTCATGCGTTCAGCAGAGGCTTATTGTGCCAGGCACTGAGCTGAGCTCCATGGGTAGTGAGAAGGTGCCTGCCACCTGCATGTCGACCTCAAGTTCACGGTTTAGGAAGGGAGAGGATGTGTCTGTAAAAACTCCAGTGCAAGACAGAAAGGGTTCAGTGCTGTAGGAAAAGTTCAGAGCAAGTGCCACCAGGAATTCAGAGGGAAAGATATTTCCAGATGCGGGAATAAGCTTGGTGGCTTTTGGTAACATCTGAGCTGGGATGTAGAGGTAGCATGTAAACATCTAGAGGTGGAGGAGGGAGGCATTCCCTGGAGGGGCGGACCCTAGCAAAAGCTCACAGGAAAGTGAGGGAGGAAATCTCAATTTGAACAAGATGGTAGGTGATCTGTAGGAACATGAAAGCGTGAGAAGCCCTGGATGAGGACCTGGGATCGAGTGAGGCTACTCAGAATTGCTGGGCCTCCTCCCTAGAGGGTCTAGGGTGAAGCCTGATAATTTGCATTAGTAACAGATTCCCAGAGGATGCTGTGGCTCCCCGTCCGCGGGCTACACGTCGAACAACACCGTCCTACACTATGGGAAGTGAAGACAGGGGACAGGATGGGGAATGTTAGTCTGGGATCATCTTCCAGAGTCCTCCAGTGTTAGACTACTTTATAGACTTTTCTGTAAGTAATAGGGAACAGCTTTGTAAAAAGCTTCACATCAGATGATGAAAGCAATTCGAGCTGTATCTTGGGAGGATGCCTGGAATTCCACTGTTGGATGGCCCAGAGCAGTGTTTCTCAAAGTGCTCTCCAGATGGACAATGTCAGCATCACTCAGCAAATTGTTACAAATTTAAATTCTCATCTCCCTCCACCACATTTGGGCCTCCTGAGTCAGAAACTGTTGGGGCGGAGCCCAGTAATCTATCTTTTAATAAGTCCTCCAGGGTATTCTAATGCACACCAAGTTTGACAAACACTGGCCTAGATGGAGGAGAAACCAGACAGGAGGCAGCAGGCCCAGAAATCTGCAGTTACAAAATCTCCCTGAGATGCTTAGCCAGGCTTGGCAACCATTGTAGTACAAAGTGTATGGGCTCTGGAGCTATGGGTTTGAACACTGGCTGTCACTTAATTGCCGTATGATGATGGACCAGTCACTTGCCCTCTCTGGACCTAGTCGATAAGATGATCTCTAAGGTCCCTCTCAGCTAACAGAGTCTAGACAGAGTCTAGAACCAACCTTTTTGGCACCAGGGACTGGTTTCATGGAAGATAATTTTTCCATGGATCCGGTTGGGGGGATGGTTTCAGGATGAGTCAAGCATATTACATTTATTGTGTACTTTATTTCTATTATTATTACATTGTAATATATAATGAAATAATTATACAACTCACCATAATGTAGAAACTGTGGGAGCCCTGAGCTTGTTTTCCTGCAACGAGAGGGTCCCATTTGGGGGTGATGGGAGACAATGACAGATCATCAGGCATTAGATTCTCATAAGGAGCATTCAACTTAGATCCCTCCCATACAATTCACAATAGGGTTCACGTGCCTATGGGAATCTAATGCCTCTGCTGATCTGACAGGAGGCAGAGCTCAGGTGGTACCCTGAGCCGTGGGGAGCAGCTGTAAATACAGATGAAGCTTCGCTTGCTCGCCCACCAATCTCCTCCTGCTGTGCTATCCAGTTCCTAACAGGCCATGGACTGCTATCAGTTGGTGGCCCAAGGGTTGAGGACCCCTGGCGTATAAGAAATATGGAATGAGGGTGTACCCTAAAGTGGGTGGGGCTGCCCAGGAGAGTAGTACATGCTTCGGGGCAGGGGTTCCACACTCAGTGCTGCAGTACCTTGCACCTTCCATCTGACCTGCCTGGGCCCCAGCAGGAGCAGGGGATGGGCATGGGACGTCCTGACCCCAGTTGGGAGGGTGAAGGGACAGGAAGGACAGGACATATCTGAGGAAGCCTCGGGGCTCTCTCTTCCCCTAGATTTCCTGGACCTACGCCTTGGGCAAGCAGCCGGTCAGTTTCTACCAGCTCCTGTTACAGGAGGTGGCCAAGACACAGGAGAATGAGTTGCCCGAGGCAAAGAATCGTCCATGGATCTTCAACAAGATTTTGGGCACTACTGTCAAGCTGATGGAGCTAAAGCCTAACACGTGTTACTGCCTCAGTGTCCGTGCAGCCAACACAGCTGGGGTGGGGAAGTGGTGCAAGCCCTACAAAGTGAGCCCTGGGAAAAGAGGGGCCTTGGGGGTGGAGAGAAGTCCAAAGCCAGGGAACCAGGGCTTTGGAGGTTGGGAACACCCCTATGCCCACATGACTCATCTGGCTAGCTTTCCTTCTGCCTGGGTCAAGAAGCATCAATTCCAGAATGCATGCTTCTGGGAGGTTTAAGGATTAAGCCACTCTGGGGCCCACTAGGAATGCAAACGAATGTATTTTTCAACATCACTATAATGTTCCCCTTCCAAAGCCATTGGTTTTTAGACTCTGCAATTCAGTGCCCATGATTGTGAGTAGGCTGGGAAGTCAAGGGCATTGAAAGAAATAGGGAAGACAAGAGGCTAAAGGGGGACGAAGAAGGGAACAGCCTGGGTATGGGGTAGGGGTATGGGGGTATAGAGGCCTGAGTACAGACAGCCCTTTGGTTGGAAATATCCCATAATGAGGAGGTACAGGCTTGAGTCATGCATCTTTGCACCTGTTTCCTGCGTCAATGGCTAGGTTGGATAAGGCTGTTTAAGGTCTGAGTCAGCAGACAGAAAAAAAAGGGGTGATAGAGACAGAGAGAGAGCCAGGTTCAGATCTGGGAAGGAACTCTGAAGGGTTTTCTTGTTTCACTTCAGTTTGCAACCCTGGCCACTGACTTCAGCAGCTTTCCTGAGAACTACCCCATCCAGATCACCGTGCGGCGCAAGGAACCCCGGCAAAAGATCGTGTCCATCGGGCCGGAGGAGATGCGGAGGCTGGAGGATCTGGAATACCTATTTCCCTGTTAAGGGGGAGGGCCCCAGGACACCCCTCACCTACTTTCAGCTTCAACCCCAGGCCCTCAGAAACCAGAGCCATGAGACCTACCATACCACCAGCACCCTGCGGGCCCGGGGTCTGGCAGAGTGGTATGGGCACCCCACCCCTGGGCTGGGGCCAAGGCTACATAGGGGCCCCATTCACCTGGAGGCATCTCAGGCCAGGCCATGCCAGGCTCAGCCACTGCCCACAGCTGCTAGACTCCCTCCTCCTCCAAATCTGGGCTGGGTCTAGGTCCCTCATTAAAGAACTGCAGGTCATCCAGCACCCTAAAGTCTGCTTTATGCTGCAGACAGCCTCAGATGGGCTGGCTGGCACCCACCTCCTAGCTTCCACCAGGACAGAGTCTACATGGGTGGGGAGATAGAAAACAGGCAGCTAGGCAATAGGATGCTGCCATCACCCCTTCCCCAGTGGGGCGGGGTAGGGGAACAGGGAGACTGGTGCTCTAAGACTAAAAGGCTCTTACACCAGAAAAATACAGAAATAGCTGTCATGGACAGACGTGGTGGCCCATGAACTGTCAAACTAGCTTGAGCTCTGGACGGAGGGATGTGGTACAAAGTGCACAATAAGCTTTGGGGCAGGGCCTGGTTTAATCCCAGCTTTCTCTTACTAGATGTGAGGGCATGGGCTAATCATTTCTTATGTTGTTTCCTCATCAAAAGTTTTGGAGCTTGAGAACCTTCCAGGCCTGGTGCAGTCTGAGAGCACAGCAGACAAACAGCTGGCACCAAGGAGCTCAGTGGCTGATAGTTTTGTTCGCTTCTTATGTAGCCTCACTGCAGATATGTGCAAGGTGGAGGCCAAGCACCACAGCTAGGTGACGCGCAAAACCCAAAAGCACAGACAAGGGTGGAGGAGGGTAAGAAGGAGCAAGATGCTAGTTCTGAGCAGTTTATACAAGGATGGTTTGGAAATCCAATCTGAGTAGTTCAGACCATGACCCTGCTTAGCATGGGATGCAGGAGAAAGCAGAGGCAGGGTACATTCAGGGCAAGATCTCGGCCTGGGGTCTGAGTCCTGATGGGAATTCCTTTCACTGCTTGAAAGTTCTCGTGGCAAAGAACTTCCTCTGTATCAACAATACCCACTTCTGCTCAGAGCTCATACTGCTGCCTCCCCATCTGAGGGAATCCTCTGGAAGAGCCATCACCTTCCCCGCTCTATCCCATGGGCCCAGGGCAGTGCTTGGTGCCTGGCAGGGCCTCAAGCAGTGTGCTATGCGAAGGCAGAGGCATCCCCTGGAGCAGGGCTGACCAGCAGAACTCTCTTGATGATGAAAACCTTTCTGTGTGCTGTCCAATACTGGAGGCCTTACCCAGTGCGATGGAGGAACTGCACTTCTATTTCATGCCAGCAGTCACATGTGGCCGGTGCCTACTGCAGTGGACAACAATACAGCCCTAGATTCTCCTTGGCCACTATCACAACTGGCCTCTCTCTTACCAACACGGGGGAAGAGAGGGAAGGCAAGTGCCTGGTCAGTGTGGTTTTGGCGTAGTCCAGTGCAAGGGCGGGGGCTGGACAATCTCATTTAGCACAGTCCTTGATTGAGTCATGGGGATTCTAGGACAAGGAATTAGAACCCAACACACAAAACTTAAGTTACTTATTTGGTCATAGAACCTGGGATCTGACCCTGTACAGAGCTGACACTAGGGGCCCACTCATAGAGCCTGGCTGCCCACCACCCCTGTCTGTACCAGCAAGGTACAGAGTAGCAGACACGGGCCAAGTTCAGTGACAACTTCCTGTGACCTTCGATTTCTGGCTCTGGGGTGTGCCACAGGCGGGGATCTGTGGGAAAACCCCATTCCGGTCTATCGAGGACAGCAGGCCACACGCATTCTCAGGTCCCCACTGGTGGGGAGGGTGTGTGCACTGCCATCTCAGCCTTTGTTCTCTGGCAGGGAAGGCAGCTGGCAGAGGCCGAGTCGAGGTGGGGGTCAGAGAGAACTTCGGGCCGTCTCATCTCCTCCATCTGTGGAGAAGGGAAGGGTGTCAGGATGGGGATTCCACCTTAGGAAAGGGAGGCCGTCATATAATCCCAGTGTCAACAGACGGACGGCCTGTGGTCCACCCTCAGAGTCACCAAGAGCCAGGTGACCGTCCCTGCTCTGCCCACCCAAACTCAGGCTGCCCACTCACTGCCTGCTGCCACCAGGACCTCCACCCAGGGCCTGGCCCTCGGGATGCCCACCAGCAAACAGTCACAATCCCTTATAAGCACACAACACTTTGTCTTCCAGAGTGTTGACCCTCCTATTTTTGATCCTGTCTGTGAAGGTTTGATAATTCCCAAGAGACTGATTAACCAAGTTCTCTGTGATTACTCCATGGCAGAACCAGGATTTGAACTCAGGTCTTGCGACTCTGAAGTCTAGTGACAGAAAGACCTGGATGCGCCCTCTACAAGGTGTCCTGTGGCCCCTGTTGTTCCGGTGGCCCTCCCACTTGCCCACTGACAGAAAGACCTGGACGCGCCCTCTACGAGGTGTCCTGTGGCCTCTGTTGTTCCGGTGGCCCTCCCACTTGTGGCCCTCCCACTTGCCCACTGAGAATCTGGCTCCACACGCCTCCTCAAGACAGTCTGAGCACCTGGACGGCCCTGCGGAATTCTATGCTGTAAGGGAAAGTGTGCACAGAAGGACCTTAGGGGTAGGAGGGCTGTGTATGCCAACCACCACTTCCCCCACACTCACATCCGGAGGCATTTGTCCTTCCCACCACTTGCCACTCTCTGGCCATCTGGACTCCAGTCAACAGCATATACCTAAAGGGAGGCAGAGGAAGGCAGGTGGGGTGGTGAGAGGGAGACAGCCAGCCAGGCTCCAATCCCAGTCCCTCCTTTGCCTGAGGGTTGGCCCTACCTCATCCGCGTGGCCGGGCAGGTCCATGGCCAGCTTCTGGGCCTTCACATCCCACACCTTCAGTGTGCTGTCACTGCTGCCGCTGACCAGGAGCCGACTGTCAGCTGACCACGCAATCTGGTACACGGCAGCCACGTGGCCGCGTAGGGAAGCCAGGTACCTGGTCCAGGAGAAGACGATGATGGATTTTAGTCTGAGTTACATCTTTCAACACGTCTGAAGGGTCCCCTACGCTCATGGCAGTGGTTCTCAACCTCGGCTGTCTGTTAGAAATACCTGGGAACCTTTACAAAATCACACTGCCTGGTCCCCATCCCAGACCATTTTTAATCATTACCAGTCATTACAATTTGTAAAACTTCTCCAAATGAGTAGCTTCTAGCATGCCTCTTGCTTGCCCTCCATACCTGCACAACTTTGCATGCCTTAGACTCCAACGTGGCCATCTGCTTAGCCCATCTGCCTGTCATCCCCCCAAACAGCAAGTGCCTGCTGACAGGTGGCATGGAGTAACAGTGGGCCCACTGAACTTTCACGTCAACACAGTCTAGCTGTTTCTCTTTGGACAAACCATCAGGCCTCTCTGAGACTCATTTTCCTTATTTTAAAAAGGAACCCAATTACCTATCTTAAAGGGTTGCTGTGTGAAAACACAGTGACGTCACTAACGCAGAGGTCCCCCCTTCAGCCCTAACAAGGTTTCCCTGGCTCTTTTTCTCCCCCTTGCCTGTGCCTTTGCCTCTCCTCTAATCCGATTAACCCCAAGAGCACTGTGCCTCATCACACCAAGGGTTCCCATACTTGAGTGGGTAGCAGAGTCACCTGGTAACTTTGTTAAAATGAAGAATCAGATCCACAAGGTCTGAGTTGGGGCCAGGACTCTGCATTTCTATCAAGCTCCCAGGTGATGCTGATGCCGCTGGTCTGTGGCCCACACTTTGAGGAGGGCCAAGTAACAATTGTACCACAAGCCTACCTACCACCACTTCACCTTCTCCAGGGCTACAGCCCTACCTCTTCAGCAGCTAGCTCTAAGATCACTTCTCTCCTAAGACATAAACTAGCATTTTTTTTTTTTTGAGACACAGTATCACTCTGTTGCCCAGGCTGGAGTACAGTGGTGTGAACTCGACTCACTGCAACCTTTGCCTCCCAAGTTCAAATGATTCTCCTGCCTCAGCCTCCGGGGTAACTGGGATTATAGGCACGTGCCACTATGCCTGGCTAATTTTTGTATTTTTAGTAGAGACAGGGTTTTGCCATGTTGGCCAGGCTAGTCTCGAACTCCTGAACTCAGGTGATCTGCCTGCCTTGGCCTCCCAAACTCCTGGGATTATGGGCATGAGCCACCACGCCCAGCCTGAACTAGCATTTTTAGTGACCACTTAGTGCGGGTCCTAAACATACTGTCTCATTAAATCCGTGTAACTAGGCTGGGCATGGCGGCTCACACCTGTAATCCCAGCACTTTGGGAGGCCGAGGCAGTTGGATCACTTGAGCTCAGGAGTTCAAGACCAGCCTAGTCAACATGGTGAAACCCCGTCTCAACTAAAAATACAAAAATTAGCCAGGCACGGTGGCGGAGGCCTGTAATCCCAGCTACCTGGGAGGCTGAGGCAGGAGAATCACTTGAACCCAGGAAGCAGAGGTTGTAATGAGCCAAGATCGTGCCGCTGCACTCGAGCCACTTGAACACCAGGTGACAGAGTGAAAGTCATCTCTAAAAACAAACAAACAAACAAACACCTTGTAACAAAGCTGAGAGGTAGGGGGTCTGCATATTACCAAAGAGGAAACAGTGGCTTAGAAAATCCAAACACCTGCCAAGGCCATACAGCTAGTAAGTGGCAGTGCCAAGCCCCTCCCACCATTCACTCCTTACAGAGAAGCAGTACCCACCCCTACTCACTTGCCCGTCCTGCCATCCCACAGCTTGATGGACTTGTCAAAGGAGGCACTAGCCACGATGCGGGAGTCAGGAGAGAAGAGCACCTGGTTGATGAGAGCTTGGTGTCCTGTCATCCGAGTGAGAGGCTTTTTGTCCTCTGCTGGGGACCACAGGAATAAGGTGAAGTCGTCGGAGCCAGACACCAGCCTCTCTGGACCCTGGCCCTAGGGGAGGCAGAAAGCACACTGTGTTGGGTGTGGTCTCAGAAAGAAGGAGGAGGGCCCGACTTTGGCAGCAAGCATACACCCTGATTACTCAATGCCAGGGACAGAGAGAGGCCAGCGCTAGGAGCAATGAGGACTGGCTTGGCCACTCACTCGCATGTGACCCCAGGCAAGTCACTTCATCCAAAAGGAAAAAGAAACTCTACATGCATGTAGAAAAAAATTTTAAGATACATAATTACAGAAAAAGGCACAAAATAATGTGTTAAAAGAAGGATTTTATGTATGTATGCATGTGTGTGTGTGCTTATACATATATACTGTATATAGACACGTGTCTGTATATTAAATCTCTGGAAGGTGATTCAGGATACTGGTGGCACTGGATGCTACAATAGAGACGGGAGACTCCGCGATCTACCTTTTGTATTTTTTGAACGTGAATGTGTGAACAATCTTAAACAACAAATTAAAGTAAAAAAGAAGCATGTTGGAAATGTAATAAATAGACAAGCAAATAAACTAAACAAAAAACGAAATAAAATGATCTCTAGCACATTAGTATTTTAGGATTGCAAACTAGGATTATGAAGAACAACTTTTTGGAATAGGTACATTCTGAGCTGGGTCTAGAAGGGAGAAGGGTCTGAGAGGGTTTTAGTGATTGGCTAAGGACTGGTACAGAGCTAGGGGTGCACGTGGCTGGCACACACTCACCCGCACGAGGTTGTATCGGCTCAGAGCCCTCTCCTTCAACTCCTGCACTGTGACCAGGTACCGGAGGGGAGAAAAGGAGATGAGGAAGAAGGCCGATAAGAAAATCCAACACAAAGAGCAAACACTCCCCATTAAGCTTGAGAACTGGCTCCTTCCCAATCAGCCCCCGCTCTTCCTTCTCCCAATCACTCACAGGATCCTTGGAGGTCTTGGGGATTAACTGAGGCCTCAGCAGGTTCAAAGGCCCCAGTGCGCAGGGCATAGTCAGTGCTGAGGGCCATGGTGTTCACCCAGTGGCCGTGGCCTTGCAGAGTCCGGCACAGCACACCCTACGGGAGAGCGAGTCAGGTCAGACACACACACTCCTCCCCACGCCTGGGCGATTAGCCCCAGGAGACAGGTGGTACAAGACTAATAATCATCATCACTCATGCATTGTGATCTTAATCAAACTACCCCTCTGGGGTCAAGTCTCTCCCCACTTGTAAAATGGAGTCCAGATCATGAAAATGTTTCATGGAAGAGGAGTTAGGGATGTCAGAGTAAACGGCTCCTGTCCAATACATTTGGGATATGGTAGATCTGATAAAGCCCAACAGCTGTCCTACAGGAGGAATTTCCAGAGTGTGACGATCTCATGGGGACTCTGCAATCTCCACTATGGTGCAGCACCAACCACAGAACTCCTCATTCCCAAAACACCTCCCTAGACCAGGGCTCCCAGCACACATCTGGGAAACACTGGACTCGCTGATGTCAAGGTCATTCTGAGTGCCAGCATCTTGTGACTTGCGATTTTCTGGACTGGTTTCTGAACCCTCCCAGCACTTACGTCATGAGCTCTCCAGACTTTGATGGTGCGGTCCTGGGAGGCAGAGTAGAGAAGCCCGTCCCCTCCCCACCGGAGACAGGTGACCGACTGGGTGTGCCCGGTGAGGATGCGCTCACAGCGGCCTGCAGTTGTGTCCCAGATCCGCACACTGCCATCCTTGGAGCTGCTGGCCACATAGCGGCACTCAGGGTTCCTGGAGAGAAGGGAGATGTGACCTCATCTGTGACCTGGCAACATCTGTGTGCCCATGGCACCTCCCCATTCCCAACTTAAAGGCCATGGACAATCTTTTGACAGCTTTTCTGACACCAAGACCCGGCTGCACTGCAAGGTGACTGCAACCAGCAGACCCTGTGATGAGAGCCTCTCCCAAGCAGCAATGCAGGTCTGCCCGAGACCCTTCTCCCATGCCTGCCAAGCCATCACGGTCATTCAGGCTGCCCATCTTGTCCCCTCACGTAAAACTTCTATGCATTGGGCAGGGAAAGGGGATGGCTTTGATCCCCTGGCTCATTTGTCCCAGCTCCGTCAGTGTCACTTACGCATGGAGGGGCTCCCAGCTCAGGCCTGTGATCCACTTGCTGTGGCCAGCGAGGGTCCTGCCCACCTGCTTCCCTGTGCTTGGGTCCCAGAGGAGAATCTGAAGGACAGAAGCTCACTGAATAATCCTCCCCAACAGGTCTCTGGCTCCACCAAAATCCCTGCCTACCACTTCCCACCCAACCCTCCCCAAAGACTCCTGAACCTGATTCTGAACTGTCTCCTAGGAAGGCCCCCTTGAGTCTCTGCCTAGTTACCCTGAGAACTACCTACCTGGCCATTCTTGCAGCCTGAGGCCAGCTTCCTGCCATCTGGAGACCAGGATATACTAAGGACCCAGTGTCTGTGTCCTAAGAAAGCAGAGGAGGGAGAAATAAGGGACTACATCTGTCTTTATCCCAAGTGCCCAGCAGTGCCTGTCAGGTGCCAGGTACTCCTTAACCATTTGAATAAATGAATGATTGAACAAAAGGAGCGATGAGGCTTTCTGGGGATGGATAGAATGCACCCCAAGTGTTAGAGCTCTGCATCTTGCTGCATGGATAACACCATCACTCTCTAATGACTCCTTATGTGACACATGCTATGAAGTGTTTTTGTACATGTCATCCCTTGTTATTTCTCACAAGAGCTCTAAGCTATGGAGCAAAGCAAGAATTATCATCCCCATTTTCCAGATGAGAAAATTGAAGCTTAGAAAGGGAACATGCCCTACACACACAAGGTCACTTAACTAATCTGTGGTATAGCAGTGGTTCTTCAAGTGTGGTCGTCAGAGCAGCAGCATCAGCATCTCCTGGGAACTTGTTAGAAATGCAGATTCCCAGGCCCTACCCCAGGCCCAATAGAACTAAACCTCTGGGGGTGGGGCCCAGCAATCTGTATTTTTTTCTCTCTTCTCTTTTCTCTCTCTCTCTTTCTTTCATGGAGTCACACTCCATCACCCAGGCTGGAGTGCAGTGGTGCCATCTCGGCTCACTGCAACCTCCGCCTCCTAGATTCGAGCAATTCTTCTGCCTCAGCCTCCCCAGTGGCTGGGATTACAAGCACACGCCACCATGCCCGGCTAATTTTTGTAGTTTTAGTAGAGATGGGGTTTCACTGTGTTGGCGAGGCTGGTCTCAAACTCCTGACCTCAAGTGATCTGCCTGCCTTGGCCTCCCGAAGTGCTGGGATTACAGGTGTGGGCCACCACGCCTGGCCAGCAATCTGCATTTTAACAAGCCCCTGAGGCGGGGCAATTCTGATTTGTGCTCAAGTTTGAAAACCACTGTGGCAGAGGCAGGATTTAAACCAGGTTCTCCTTGGTAGCAGTCAGTCAGCCTCTCACCATGTCCCATATTGACTCCTTGGTGCAGTTTCTGCTTGTGTCTAAGTGGCTGGCTGGGCTCAAGGACATGGTCTCTACCTAGGAACAGACAGCCGCCAACTGGATATTAAGGGGTTGTAATCTGCAAAGTGAGACCCTCATCTGTATGAAAACAAAAAACGAGCCAGGTGTGATGGCAAGTGCCTGTCATCCCAGCTACTCTGGAGGCTGAAGTAGGGGGACTGCTTGAACCCAGGAGTTCAAGGCTTGAGCCCAGGAGTTCAAGTGAGCTGTGACTGCACCACTGTACTCCATCCTGGTCAACAGAGCAAGACCTTGTCTCAAAAAAAAAGAAGACCCCCTAAATGGCTAATTGCATACTGACCCTTGCATGTGAAATGTGGTGTCTCTGTGCTGAGATCCCAGAAGCGCACGGTGGTGTCTCCAGAGCCACTGGCCAGGTACCTGGGGAAGAAGAGAGGATGCTTGACACTGCACATGTGCATTTGTGCCACCTATTCAATCACTTTCTGTGAATAGAATATGGAACTGGACTCTTTCCTCGCCCCTGGAAGGGAGAAAGACAATACTGATGCTGTCCTCTGGGAGAATACATCAGGAGGCCATTTCTTTCCTCTCCACAGCTATAACCAGCTTTTGAAGCTTCTCATTACCTTTCTAAGTTTGAGAGAAGCAACTAATCCCAGTTTCACAGATGAAAAATTAACTCGGAAAGGTTAAGTGATTTATACAAGTCACACAGCTCAGATCTTGAAAAATCAAGTCTAGGAGAGGTTTGTCCAAGGCAGGGGTCCTTAAGCAGCCTTTGGGGACCATGCCCTACTGAGGAAGTCCCTTAATTGCAAGCTGAGTCCAGAGCTTGGGTCTATGGTAGGCAGCCCTGAGGCCCCATCAATTATAACTCTGGGAGACCCTCCCCAAACCAGGCAAAGACTGCACCCCCACATACCCCCTCCATGAGTCTGCAGCTGTCCTTACTTTCCCGTAGGGCTGAAGGCCACAGAAATGACTGCCTCACTGTGACCCTCCAAGGAGCTGGTGCAGCGAGTCACAGCCCGGACTCTGAAGATAGCCTGTGGCTGGTAGATGATGTCTAGGACCTTCTCTGTCTCCACTGCCTGGGACTCCAACGTCTTCCCCAGTGAGGAGACGATCTCAGCATCGTGGACAAAGAAAGCCAGTGGCAGGGGATCCTCCTGAAGGACAATGGTAAAGGACAAACCCGCAACAATGGATGTGCAGGGGCACCCTCTGCCAGGGATGCTCCCCACTGAGCTGTGGGAGGTGAAGCTTCTTCTTTTCAGCCATCGTGCTAGGGATACCCCCATCATTGCCCATTGAGCAAGACCTTTTATTTATTTATTTATTTATTTTTGAGACAAGAGTCTCGCTCTGTCACCCAGGCTGGAGTGCAGTGGAGCAATCTCTGCTCACTGCAACCTCCGCGTCCTGGGTTCAAGAGATTCTCCTGCCTCAGCCTCCCGAGTAGCTGGGATTACAGGCACCCATCACCACGCCTGGCTAAGTTTTATATTTTTAGTAGATACGGGGTTTCGCCACATTGGCCAGGCTGGTCTCAAGCTCCTGACCTCAGGTGATCCACCTGCCTCGGCCTCCCAAAGTGCTGGGATTACAGGCGTGAGCCACTGTGCCCAGCCTAGCAAGACCTTTTAAGTCACTGAACAGCAGTTGCAGGACACTTACACAGCACTTGGAAATTCTTTTTTCTTTTTTTTTTGAGATGGAGTCTCGTTCTGTTACTCAGGCTGGAGTGCAGTGGTGAGATCTCAGCTCACTGCAACCTCTGCCTCCTGGGTTCAAGCAATTCTCCTGCTTCAGCCTCCCGAGGAGCTGGGACTACAGGCGCCTGCCACCACGCCTGGCTAATTTTTGTATTTTCAGTAGAGACTGTTTTCGCCATATTGGCTAAGCTGGTCTCGAACTCCTGACCTCTAGTGATCTGCCCACCTCAGCCTCCCAAAGTACTGGGATTACAGGCATAAGCCACTGCACCCGGCCTGAAATTCTTTATCTGCATCTCATAACAACCGTGGGAAGTAGATACTAATATTCCCACTGACAGTTTTCAAAAGCAGAGGCTCAGAACAACTAAGTAATTAGTTCAATGTCCTATTGCCAATGATTAATTCAGGTTCTTTACGTCCAAGATAGGATTAGCATATAGCATTATGCAGTGTTTCCCAAACTACCACACTACACTATATTTGTGTAAAAAGCTCCCAAAACGCCTGTTAAAAAATGTAGACTTTCTGCTTCATCCCAGAGTTTGGTTTAGTAAGGCTGGGATGGGGTCCAGGAACTGCAATTTTAAGGACCTCCCCTGTCCCCAGGGCAGCTCTTCAGTAAACACACTGGCTTAAAGGTTAAAAGCAAAGGCCGGGTGCGGTGGCTCACGCCAGTAATCCCCAGCACTTTGGAGGCCAAGGCGGGAGGATCACGAGGTCAAGAGATCGAGACCATCCTGGCCAACGTGGTGAAACCCAGTCCCCACTAAAAATACAAAAATTAGCTGGGTGTGGTGGCGCGCGCCTGTAGTCCCAGCTACTCGGGAGGCTGAGGCAGGAGAATCGCTTGAACCTGGGAGGCAGAGATTGCAGTGAGCAGAGATCACGCCACTACACTCCAGCTTGCCAGCCTGGCGACAAAGTGAGACTCCGTCTCAAAAAAAAAAAAAAAAAAGGTAAATAAATAAATAAATAAAAGCATGGGTATTCGGATAGTTTTGGGTTCCAATTCCAAATCTGCTACCTACTACATAGCATCGTGCAAAATACTGAGTCCCTCCGGGCCACGCTGTAAAATGGGGATATTAACGTGTCCCAGACTGGGGGACTGTGACAAAGAATCAATGAAATACAGCATCCGGTGCGTTCAAAGCTAGGCCCCTCTCCGCAGGTGGACCCCTTTGGTTGGCGTGTAAAGCGCTATGCCACTGATTCCATCTCTGACATAGGTGGGAGCTCACGCCAGGTGGGTCACCACAGTCCGTTAGCGGGGGACCATGAACCGCAGACCCTCGGTAATATGATTCCCCCACCGCATCCGCCCGGGGGTGGAGATGCGAGGCCGCCCTGGCCAGCCACTTACCTGGGCCAGTAGCGCGTTGCACACGAGCTGCAGCCTGTCCGGGGTGATGTCCACGGGCACGTCGAACGGGGAACCCAGCAGCTGCCCGCCCTCATCCTGGAACTGCACTAGCAACCGCTGCACATCGCGCGCCACCGCCTCGTCCTGCGCGAGCAAGTGGGGCGGGAGTCAGTCTGGTCGCCCGCCCAGAAGGGCCCCACTTCGCCTCTCTCAGGCCTCAGGGACCCGGGCCCTAGCGCCCCGCGGCGACGCCCCCCGCCCCCATCCACGCACACCCACCGGCACTGCTGCCGCCATCCTGCGTCCCCACGTGGAGGAGAAAGAGCCCGGCAGACAGAGCGCCGTCTCCGTGGTCGGGCGGGGTCGCCGCCGGCCACATCGCCCTCTGCTGTTGGGGAGGAGAAGCGTCCCGCTGCGCACGGCCTCAGGGATTAGAAATGGGCTTACCTGGTGCTCCTCCCGCCCCTCAACAGCCTTCACATTTATTTTTCGCCAGGGTCTTAGAGGACACAGTAAACTTTTGACTCTTCACAACAGGGATTCTTGCCCCATTTTAATTTAATTTCATTTTGAGACAGAGTTTCACTCCGTCGCCCAGACTGGAGGGCAGTGGTGCCACCACGGCTCACTGCAGTCTCGAACTTTCTGGCACAGCGATCCTCCCACCTCAGCCTCAGAGTAGCCTGGACTACAGGCACATGACACCCTGCCCGGTTATTTTTTTCTCATTTTTTGTAGAGACGAGGTCTCACTATGTTGCCCAGGCTGGTCTCAAACTCCTGAACTCAAGCAGCAAGTCCCCCACTCCCCAGCCTCAGTGTCCCAAAGTGCTGGGATTACAGGTGTGAGCCACCACGCCTAGCCTAGAAATTAGTATCCTTTTAAAAATGGATCAAGTCAAGGCTGGGCGTGGTGGCTGACACCTGTAATCCCAGCGCTTTGGAAGGCCCAGGCGAGCAGATCACTTGAGTCCAGGAGTTCGAGACCAGCCTGGCCAACATGGTGAAACCAGGTCTCTACTAAAAATACAAAAAAATTAACCAGCCGTGGTGGCATGCGCCTGTGGTCATAGCTACTGGAGAGGCTGAGGTGGTAGATTCTCTTGAACCTGGGAGGCAGAGGTTGCAGTGAGCCGAGCTCTCACCACTGCACTCCAGCCTGGATGACAGAGCAAGACTCTGTCTCAATAAATAAATAAATAAATAAATAAATAAATAAATAAATAAATAAATAAAATGGATCAACTCAATAATACTCGAGTACAAAAGCAAATCATTTCTACAATCATCAATGCTGTAAAGCAATAATAGTGATAATGACATCAACAAGTCAGGAATTGTTCTAAGTGCTTTCCCACATAACTCATTTAATTCTTACAACCCTTTTCTCCCCATATTACTGAGGAACTGAAGCAGACAGCAATGAACTTGAGCTCTTTTGCCTGAAACGAAGGATCTCCCTTGCCAACTCTCCTCTCTCTCCCTCCACTGCTCAGGCAGTCTCAAGCTCTGCCAAGTCATCCTCATGAACACAGCTTGAATCTGCTCTCCCCATCTCCACTGCCTCACTCTGGTCAGAGTCACCATCATCACCTGCCTGGACCGCTACAACAGCCTCCCGATGAGCCCCCCCATTTCCATTCCTGCCTCTTTCTACCCATTCTCCACGATGCAGCCAGGGTTATCTTTTCAGACCAAAAATCTGGCCTGCTGCTCTTCACCCTCAAACCCTGCGACGGCTCCCTTACATGCAGGAAAAAAAGAACACTCCTTATAATGGTCAATTCAGCCTTGCTATGTCCAGCCACCCCTCTCTTTAGGTTAAATCTTGCTGGCTTTTTCTGAGTTCTTACAAGGCATGGCTCTTCCTGCATCAGTGATTTTGCCCATGCAGTTTTTTCTGTCTGGAACTGTTATGGAGTGAATTGTGCCCTTCCCCTAATTCAAGCTTGTCCAACCCCTGGGCCACAGGCTGCATGCAGCCCAGGATGGCTTTGAATGCAGCCCAACACAAATTCGTAAGCTTTCTTAAAACATTATGAGATTTTCTTTCGATTTTTTTTTTCAGCTCATCAGCTATCATTAGTGTATTTTATGTGTAGCCCAAGGCAATTCTTTTTCCACTGTGGCCCAGAGAAGCCAAAAGATTGGACGCCTCTGCCCTAATTTATATATTGAAGCCCTAGCTCTGAATGTGGCTGTATTTGGAGATAGCATATATTATTATTATTGTTTTTTTTTTTTTTTTTTAGAGACAGGGTCTCACTCTGTTGCCCAGACTAGAGTGTAGTAGTGTGATCATAGCTCACACAGCTTCAAACTCCCAGGCTCAAGTGCTCTTCTTACCTTAGTGTTCTGAGTAGCTAGGACAACAGGTGTGTGCCACTATACCTGACACTCGGCTAACTTTTAAAAATTTTTGTAGAGACAAGGCTGTCACTCTGTTGCCTAAGCTGGTCTCGAACTCTTGGCCTCAAATGATCTTCCTGTCTTAGGCCTTCCAAAGTGCTGGGATTACAGGTGTAAGCCACCATGCCTGGCCTGGAGATGGGCCCTGAAAGGACATAGGAAGGGTTAATAAGTGAGTTTGTATGGGTAGGACACTAATCAGATAGAACTGGTGCCCTTGTGAAATGAGGAGACTCCAGAGTACTCTCTCTCTGTCTCTCCCCGCCCCCCGCACTGCCTCCCTGAGCACACACAAAGATGAGGCCATAGTAGGACACAGTGAGAAGGTGGCTGTTTGCATCCAGGAAGAGAGGCCTCACCAGAAACCAACCCTCATGGCACCTTGACCTTGGATTTCTCTACTCCAGAGCTGTGAGAAAATAAATTTCTGTTGTTGAAGCCTCCCTGTCTGTGCTATTTTGTTATGGTAGCCAGAGCCAACTAATACAGGAATAGTTCCTCATTCTTCAGGTCTTGCCTTGAATATTTATTCATTCATCCAATAAATGTATTGAGTGCCTACTCTCTGCCAGACGTTGTCGGAGTTCTATGTGTATCAACTCATTTATCACTTACGCAGGGAAACCTTTGAAATGATGTCATATGATGTCATATTTCCCTGTTGTATGTTTTCAAAACATCCTGGTATTCCTCACATTTAGAAATCACAGATCCAGCTGGCACAGTGGCTCACACCTGTAATCTCAGCACTTTGGGAGGCCGAGGTGGGAGTATCACTTGAGCCCAGGAGTTTGAGACCAGACTGGGCAACATGGTGAGATCATGTCTCTACAAAAAAAATAGCCAGGTGGCATGCACCTATAGTCCCAGCTACTCAGGAGGCTGAGATGGGTGAATTGCTTGAACCTGGGAGGTCAAGGCTGCAGTCAGCCGTGATCATGCCACTGCTTTCCACTTGTGACAGCGAGACCCTGTCTCAATTAAAAAAAAAACCAAAACAAACAAACGAACAAAAAAAAGAAATCACAGAATCACAGATCCATGGAATTATTTCATTCATTCATTCATTCAACAAATAGCATTGAGCACCTTCTTTTTATTTTTTCTTCTTTTTTGAGATGGAATCTTGCTCTGTCACCAAAGCTGGAGTGCAGTGGCATGATCTTGGCTCACTGCAACCTCTGCCTCTGGGGTTCAAGTGATTCTCCTGCCTCAGACTCCTTAGTAGCTGGGATTACAGGCACCCGCCACCATGCCCGGCTAACTTTTGTGTTTTTAGCAGAGATGGAGTTTCGCCATGTTGGCCAGGCTGGTCTGGAACTCCTGACCTCAGGTGATCCGCCTGCCTTGGCCTCCCAAAGTGCTGGGATTACAGGTGTCAGCCACTGTGCCCCACACCATTACAAACGCTTGGAATATGTGAGGGAACAACATAGACACAAATCCTTGTCCTCACCAGTGTTCTATGCTTCACAGTTCCTCACACATAATAAATGTTTAAGAAATGTGGGCCAGGCGCGGTGGCTCACGCCTGTAATCCCAGCACTTTGAGAGGCCTAGGCAGGTGGATCACGAGGTCAGGGGTTCAAGATCAGCCTGGCCAACATGGTGAAACTCCATCTCTACTAAAAATACAGAAATTAGCCAGGCATGGTGGTGGATGTCTGTAATCCCAGCTACTCATGAGGCTGAGGCAGGAGAATCTCTTGAACCCAGAAGGTGGAGGTTGCAGTGAGCCGAGATCGTGCCACTGCACTCCAGCCTGGGCAACAGAGCAAGACTCTGTCTCAAACAACAACAACAACAACAACAAAAAGATGTTTAAGAAATGCTTGTGGAATGAATTACTGAATCAGCATTTGAATATAAGATCCCTTGGACCTAAAGTCACAGAACCGCAGGTCTCTGCCAATGTCAGGATCCTTTATCCTATTACCTCATTGCTGCAGAGAGCTTGCCCCACAAAAGGGCCCAGGGCTTGTGATAACATGAAGGCAGGGAATTCATCCATCTATTCATTCATTTATTTGCTCATTCAACAAACATGTGTTAGGGCTGGGCTTTGTGTCCAGCAGGGCGCTACAACTTGTCCAAGGTCATATAGCTGTGTGTCCAAGGTCACAGGTCTGCGAGTAGAATCTAGTATGAATGATTCCACCTGGGATTTTCTTCAGTGTCTTTCTCAGCTCTGGCCAGATAAGTTTGAAGATATGTGTGGGGTGGAGGGGAGAGGGATGAGAGGTGAGTGGAGGAAATCATCATCATGAAGACACCATTCATTCATTCATTCATTCATCCATCCATTCATTCCATTCAGGAAACACACTTCGGACACTGAATGTGCCAGAACCTGTGCAGGAAGGGGGTTGGGGGACAAGCTATATGGGATGCTGTCTTTGCCTTCCAGGAGGAAGCTCACAGCCCAGGCTTGAGGGCACTGAAATGCAGAAGAGTTCTGGGTCCAACTGGGGACAACGTCATAAATTTGCTTCAGGAACTCCCAGTTAGCTAAGGAGAAACATTCCTGCCTCAGGAGAGACCCCTCTGCAATGGTGAATACATAGTTCTTGTCCCAGGAAGACCCCCTTCTGAGGAGGGAGCCTCAGTGTGTCCCAGGATAGTTTCCAGTCGGGTGGGGAGGACCCTTGGTCTCGGGGGAATTCCCAGTCTGACCCAGCCCTTGCCCTAAGAGATCTCAGCCTGATGGGGGATACACAAAGCCCACTCTCTGGGAGCTAACAGTCAGATGGGAGAGGTAGGCTGAATAGATCCACTCTATACACAGGGGGAGGAACAGGAGACCGCATGTGGACCGAAACTAACGAACCACTCACTCACACTAAACTGAGTTAGCAAGTCCTGTTGGTCTTTCTGAAAAGCAAAGACATTTTGAACAGGTGAAAGCAGGGTGGGTTGAGGTGTTGCGCAGAAGTGGAAAAGGGAAGGAACTTTCTTCCCCTGTTCCTTCCCCGCTCCCTCCAGAAAGGTATTTCTGGAACTCTCCAGTTGGTCTGGGATCTGGGCAACTGCTGTGTGTCCCAGTCTGTCAGCCCCTCAGCTGTCACTCTGCTCCCAAAAATAGCAATGGTTGAGGGGAGGGAGAGGAAGCTGTTTATCTGGGATAGATGTGGAGAGGTGCATTAGAGCTGTGCCCAGGGAGGGAGTCTGCTGGGGGGTTCCTGTCCCTTCTGGATCTTTCTGTCACTCTTTGGAATGTTAGTGCCTAAGCCCCCCACCAGGATAACCCAGAGTGGGGTGCTTGGGCGGAGGCTGGTCAGCACCTCCACGTGGTCATGACTGACCAGTCTGGGGAGGGGGAGGGCCCTGAGTATCAGTGACAGACTCCAGGGGCACCTGCCCCTGTGGCCAAATATGGTCCAGAGCCACTGGCTGAGGCAAGAAAATCTCTTGGGTGGGGGCTGGGAGGGGCAGACTGAGGCTGGCTGGCTGGAGGTTGACACAGGAGTGCTCAGGGGAGCAGCATCACAAGAGGGCAGATCGAAAGCATCGTCCTTGCTGAAAAAGTGAGCATGGGCCTGGGGTGTGCCCTGGACTGGGGAGGGAGACGGCAAACTTCTAAGACCTGCAATGAGAGTTCAGGCCTTTGGCACAAACTAAGCAGCTTCGCCTGCTCAGGCTGGGAGGGACAGAGAGTGAGGCACAGGGACTCTCAACTTGGGCCAAGCTCTGAGCAAATGCTATAATGTCCTCATGGGGCAATAGATTTGGGGGTTCTGGGGGTGGGTCCCTTCCAGGCAGAATCCCCACCATCCTCTCTGGTGTGAGGGGACCCTGGAGCTCCGGACCTCAGGCCAGGAGCCCAGCCCTGGGTCTGCAGTGAGGGGCTGACCAGACAGAGCTTCTCCTGTCCCAGCAGATGGCAGAGGTGGAAGCGGTACAGCTGAAGGAGGAAGGAAACCGGCATTTCCAGCTCCAGGACTACAAGGCCGCCACAAATAGCTACAGCCAGGCCCTGAAGCTGACCAAGGACAAGGCCCTGCTGGCCACGCTTTATCGGAACCGGGCAGCCTGTGGCCTGAAAACGGTCTGGGGCAGGGCAGGGCACAGGGTGGGAGTGAGGCAGAGGGGCTTTGGGGCTGAGTGGCAGCCCCTTCACCCTGATAGAAATTGCCCTTCATCCCAGCCGACTCTCCTGGATGCCTGGGGTTGGAGAAGGGTGCCTCCAACCCCCTGACCCATGCCCCGGAAAGACAGAAATTCATCCAGAGCAGAATCAGCCCAATGCCAGGTGCTTTCATGTGTTATTCATGGCATCTTACTAATGGCCCGTGAGATAGCTGTTGTTGTCCTCCCCCTATCGCAGGTAAGAAACTCGGGATCCAGAGGGCTTCATTCATTAACTTGCCCAAGCTCTCCCAAGTAGTAGCAGAGCCGAGATTCAAACCTGGGTTTGCCTGATGTCAAAGCCTGTCCTCTTTGCCATGCCTGTGAGGAGCATGCCCTGGGCCTCTGACAGCCTGCAGCTCCCCCAGGAAACCCTCTCCCCACACTGTGGGGACACTCTCTGGCCATCTCTGCATTGGGCCCACATTAACCGAGTCTCCTTCTCCTTCCCCTTTCCTCAGGAGAGCTACGTCCAGGCAGCTTCAGATGCCTCCAGAGGTGAGCCCCTCCCACCTCCAAGCTTGCCCTGTCACATTCTCCTCTGCATGGCCTGGGTTTTAATCTAGTTACCATTTTGGGGGAAGAAACAGTGAGTATGGAGTGACTTCAGAAGGGAGAGAACAAGCTGGAGAAGGGACTGGAAACATATCCTGTGAAGAGCAGTTGAGGGAAGCTGCAATATTTAGCCCAGAAAAGGCAACTCCCAGGTGGGTCAGAGAGCTGCCTTCAAATTCCTAAAAGGCTGTCACAAGGAAGAAGGATTGGATTTCATCTCAAGGGTTCCAGGGCTGGGCAATGTTACAGGGAACACATTTCAGGCAGGGAGAGGGAAATGTTTTCTGATTAAGCTGCCTGGCTGTCTTTTGTTGTTGTTGTTGTTTGTTTTGTTTTGTTTTTTGGGTTTTGTTTTGTTTTGTTTTTTTGAGATGGAGTCTTGCTCTGTTGCCCAGACTGGAGTGCAATGGCATGATCTCAACTCACTGCAACCTCTGCCTCCCGGATTCAAGCAATTCTCCTGTCTCAGCCTTCCAAGTAGCCGGGATTATAGGCGTCTGCCACCACGCCCAGCTAATTTTTGTATTTTTAGTAGAGACAAGGTTTCGCCATGTTGGCCAGGCTGGTCTCGAACTCCTGACCTTGTGATCTGCCTACCTTGGCCTCCCAAAGTGTTGGGATTACAGGCATCAGCCACTGCGCCAGGCCCGCCTGGCTGTCTTGAGGAGGAGGGAGCTCCCCACTGCTGGAGGTATGCAAGCACCGATTGGTTAAGCCCCTGGCAGGGATCCTGTAGCAGAGACTGGAGCGTTAAGAATTGGATGACATGACCCCCAAGCTCTCTTCCCACCTTGAAACTCTGTGGATCTTACTGTCTCCCTAACAAAGGGGAGGTAAGGGCCAGAGAGTCCACATGGATGGATAATCTCCAAGGAAGACACAGAAACGAAGCAAGAGCATGCTTCCTGGAGTTGGGGCAGTGGGGCTGGTGGTCTGTAGTCTGGCTCCCTAAGGTCCTCATCCCCCGTCTCCCCTCGATAGCCATCGACATCAACTCCTCGGACATCAAGGCTCTGTATCGGCGATGCCAGGCACTGGAGCACCTGGGGAAGCTGGACCAGGCCTTCAAAGACGTGCAGCGTTGTGCCACCCTCGAGCCACGGAACCAGAACTTCCAGGAGATGCTGAGGAGACTCAACACCAGCATTCAGGAGAAGGTGAGCTGGGCCTCTTCCCACAACCCTTGGCTGCCCAGCCCCTCTCTTCATTCCTAGTAGGAATGGGTTAGGGAGGTGGGTCATCAGGGCAGGGCTAGCCCTACCTCCACACTCTGAGATAGAGACAGCAAGTGGCATGGGCAGGCTGCACAGAACAGCTAAGCAGGTGCTTCTATCTGTGATGCTTGTTTGAGGGCACAAGCCAGCCAAGGCTAGAACACAGGTCTTTTAAATTCCAGATGGGGCCAGGCACAGTGGCTCATGCTTATAATCCCAATACTTTGGGAGGCTGAGGCGGGCAGATCACTTGAGGTCAAGTAGTTTGAGACCAGCCTGGACAACATGGGGAAACCCCGTCTCTACTAAAAATACAAAAAATAGCCGGATGTGGTGGGGGCGCCTGTAATCCCAGCTACTCAAGAGGCTGAGGCAGGATAATTGTTTGAACCTGGGAGGTGGAGGTTGCAGTGAGCTGAGATCATGTGCCATTGCACTTCAGCCTGGGCGACAGAGCAAGACTCTGTCTCTCCCACCCCCGCCCCCCCCAAAAAAATTCCAGATGGAGGCTTAGAAATATTATTATAACTTAGTATGTCTGCAACATGATCTCTCTCTCTTTCTATGTATTATAAAATACATGGGAATTGAAGACATCGATGAGGGATAGAGGAGAGCCAGGCCCCATTAGGAGCATGATTGCTTTTTTTGAGACAGATTCTTGCTTTGTTGCCCAGGCTGGAGTACAGTGGCATGATCTCAGCTCCTCACTCCAACCTCTTTCTCCTGGGTTTAAGCAATTCTTGTGCCTCAGCCTCCCAAGTACCTAGGATTACAGACGTGCACCACCACACCTGGCTAATTTTTGTATTTTTCCGTACGCCACATTTCCCGCGCCCCACCGCGGGGCGGGGATTCGGCGCTGGGCTCTTCCCTGTTCACTCGCCATTACTGAGGGAATCCTGGTTAGTTTCTTTTCCTCCGCTGACAAATATGCTTAAATTCAGCGGGTCGCCACGTCTGATCTGAGGTCGCGGGCCTCGATCAGAAGGACTTGGGCCCCACACGAGCGGCGCCGGGGAGTGGGTCTTCCGTACGCCACATTTCCCGCGCCCCACCGCGGGGCGGGGATTCTAATTTTTGTATTTTTGATAGAGATGGGGTTTCACCATGTTGGCCAGACTCTCTCGAACTCCTGGCCTCATGTGATCCACCCACCTCAGCCTCCCAAAGTGCTGGGATTACTGATGTGAGCCAGGAGCATAAAATATTTTCTAGGAAATGGAGTAGGATGCGGAGAACCTGGACCAGAGGTGAGAAATCCTGAACCCTAGTCCTGGCTCAGCTGCTAGTTTTTGTGGGGCATCTCTTGGGGTGTTGGTTTCCTCTCTGTAAGAGCCATAAGGTAATTGATCACTCAGCCCCTTGCTCCAAGACTCAATAACTTCTACACATCTGGAGAAGCCCTGTGGTAGGACCACAGCATGCTGTCCAGGGTGCAGACTCAAGGACTGAGGAAATATAAACTAAGGAGAGATTCAGAGAGGGATAGGCGAAGGAAAGACCTCTCCGCACCCCCAAAGGAAATGAGCACAAGGCTGGGTGTGGTGGCTCACGCCTGTAATCCCAGCACTTTGGGAGGCCAAGGCGGGAGGATCACTTGAGCCCAGGAGTTGGAGACCAGCCTGGGCAACATAGGGAGAGACGCTGTTCCTACCAAAAATTAAAAATAAATTAAAAATAGGCTGGGTGCGGTGGCTCACGCCTGTAATCCCAACACTTTGGGAAGCCGAGGTTGGTGAATCACCTGACATCAGGAGTTCGAAACCAGCCTGGCCAACATGGTGAAACCCCATCTCTATTAAAAATAAAAAAATTAGCTGGGCGTGGTGGCACATGCCTGTAATCCCAACTACTCAGAAGGCTTAGACAGGAGAATCACTTGAACTTGGGAGGCAGAGGTTACAGTGAGCAGAGATCGTGCCACTGCGCTCCAGCCTGGGTGACAGAGCAAGACTGCATCTCAAAAAAAAAAATTAAAAATTAAAAAATGTGCTCAGAAGTAGGTGGGAGTAGTGTGGACCCCCCCAAACAAAGTAACAGGAGGTTCAAAATGAGCTGGCGGAGTGAAGGATGATGATCAGTTAGGTCACTTTATGGAGGACCCAGGGCAGTGGGGTTGGAGTGGGGACTGTGAGGGACTAGATATCCAAACAAAATGAGTTCAATTTGCTTGAAACAGAGCTTGAAAGCTGCTTCGTCTACATTTCAAGTGTGTTAAAAAGAAAGAAAGCTGCTTCAGGATTCTGAGTATGGAGACATATTTCTGTTTTATCCCTATTTAAATGTCTAATAGCAGATTGTTTACTAGACTCTAAAACTTGGCTGAAGATCCTTTACGCCTTCCCAGACTATTGTGATGTCTAAATGGGATAACAAATGTAACCAGATGGTGAGCCTTCAGGGGCAAGGACTTGATTTTGTTCACAATTCTATTGTATTTATTAATTCATCGTACTTATCCAGTAAATGTTTGTCGAATGAATACATGAATGAACGTATGTGCGGGAGCCCAGAGTAGACACCTGATATTTACTGAGATGAACTGAATGTGGAGCTGAAATGACGTGGACCCCACCTGCCTCCTTCCCCACTCCCTCCTCTCTCCTCAGCTCCGAGTGCAGTTCTCCACAGACTCGAGGGTACAGAAGATGTTTGAGATCCTCTTGGATGAAAACAGTGAGGCTGATAAGCGGGAAAAGGTGAGTGCTGGCCAGTGCCATCCAGCCAGCAGAAGGACCCGCCAGTCTGGACAGTGACATCATTCCGAGGGGGAAGGGGGACCGGAGGCCTGTCTTTGCAGCCCAGGAAGGAAAATTGGCCAAAGGTTAAGCACATTGGAACACAGTGTAAACCATAAGAAGGACTGAGATTTGGGTGAATCTAGTGAGGAGAGTCATGCAGCAAGGTTGGATCCTGTCTTTATTTGAAATTTTGATGTTTTGTTCATCATGGATTTTTCTGGCATTGATTTTGATTTTTAAAAATATAGCATTGATTATTATTCGATTATTGAGTTCTTTGGTGCCCCTTTAAATTTTGCACCCAAGGCAAGTACCTCACTGGCCTCACTATAATTTCGGCCCTAAGAAATAACGGGCCCATTAAAATAACATTTTATTTCATTAAAAAATATTGAAAGAAGTCATTCTGAAAAATTTAAATATTTACCAACATAATCATCCTCTTAACCAAACTTGTTACCTTTTTTTTTTATGTTTCCTTCTAGTGTTTCTGCAGGGGAAAAAAATTGAACATTCGAGTGTTTTACATTTGCAAGAACTTGAGAGACAATGGGGAATTTTTGTTAGTTTTATGTTCAATAAATCCATAAACTAGGCAAATATCTTTCTTAACAAACTCTTGTGAGAACATAATAAGTTGTTATAGATAAAATAAAGTTTTTTGGTTTGTTTTTTTTGTTTATTTGGTTTTTTTTTTTTTGGAAAAGTACAAAGCCCTTAGTTGATAGTGATGGTTCTGGTCACGCTTGCCTGGAATTCTCTAATCAGCCCTCTCCCCAGCACCCAACTCAACATCTCTTTGCCCACCTCCTCCCCTTCCCCTTCTTCCACCTCCTGTGTTTCTCAGCCCTGGGTTCTCAGGTCCTGCTTGAGACCTGGAGCCTTTTATTTTAAGGTTCATGCATCCTTAAGTTGGAAGGCTTTAGGTGGGAAGAGACTTGGGAACCTGCTTGCTCAACTGCCTAAATTTACAGATGAAGAGTCTGGGGTCCAGAGAAGTGCCGTGACTCACCCAAGCTCATACAGCTAGCAGGGAGCAGAATCAGAACTCAAACCCAGGGCTTTCAGGTCCCATCTAGTGTTTTTGCTGCTCACTTCCTGGGAACTTCAGATTCCCCTGAACAGGAAAATCAACAAAATGTTTAAGGAAATCATTCTCCATGTAAAAACACTTCATTTCTCCACCTTTTTTCTAGTCCTTCTCTGTAAGCATTATATACATCTTTATTTTAACATAAGTGCAATTGGAGTAAACATTTGATCCTGATTCTGCATACCAATGCTTTTTCCATTGCTCTTAGTCTTTTTATTCATGACTTTAATGGCTGCAATATATTTCATCCAGCTGGTCTTGATGCAAATTACTTGGCTTTTTTTCTTGAATTATGTTCTTGGGCTGTGTTTCCAGGAGGAGGATTACCAAGGTGAGATAATAGAACAATGTTCTGAAGATCCAGTCTTTGCACTGGCTCTTCTTGTACTTGGCCCATGGTCCAGGCCTGGGTGGCCGTACCTCCCTCGTAACCCTTATTGCCTCTTCCTCCTTCAGGCTGCCAACAATCTCATTGTCCTAGGCCGTGAGGAAGCAGGGGCTGAGAAGATCTTCCAGAACAATGGAGTAGCCTTGCTACTGCAGCTTCTGGACACTAAGAAGCCTGAGCTGGTGCTGGCTGCAGTGCGGACCCTGTCGGGCATGTGCAGCGGCCACCAAGCCAGAGTAAGTGCCCGGCTGTGGGGCATGTGGAGCAGACGACTGCTGGTCCAAGGATCCGGAGGGTGACGTGTGGTCAGGGCTGTGGCTGGCATCAATGGAACCAGATAAAAAGTCAAAGGGTGCTCCAGTCTCTTTTTCCCTTTCAGTTGGAAATGGGTTTCACTAAGCAAAGACAAGTTACTGAAAGTGCCTAAGGCAGAAGTGATGAATGCAAAGGCTATGATATTTTACATTTTTTCATGCTAAGTCTTTGAAACCCAGTGTGTATTTCACACTACAGCATATCTCCATATGGTCCTGCCACCGTGCAAGAGCTCAACGGCCCCATGTGGCCGGTGGTCACTGTATTGGATGGCACAGCTCTGACCTCCAGAGATGGGCATGGCTTGTTGTCAAGAGGTTTCCAGGACAGAGGGGCCCATGAGGCAATGGCTGCCTGGGCTGATTTCTCTACTGCATGGGATAGGGTGGGGAGGATTATCACACCCTCTCTAACCTGCATGGCAGCTAGAAGGGAGGGGCAAGGCAGCTGACCATGGTTCTTGCTGGGGTTCTAGGCCACAGTGATTCTGCATGCAGTGCGGATAGACCGAATCTGTAGCCTCATGGCCGTGGAGAATGAGGAGATGTCTCTGGCTGTCTGCAACCTGCTCCAAGCCATCATTGACTCCTTGTCTGGGGAGGACAAGCGGGAGCATCGAGGGAAGGAGGAGGCCCTGGTTCTAGGTAGGAAACATTCTTCAGTTTTGATTCAAGGGGATGGGGAAAGAAAAGGTCAGTTGCTACCTCAGACTGGGAATTCCCTGTATGTGGGGGTGGCTTGGTTTTATGTATTTTCTTTTCTTCTCTTTTTTTGAGATGGGGTCTTACTCTGTCACCCAGGCTGGAGTGCAGTAGCGCGATCTAGACTCACTGCAACCTCCTGGATTCAAGCACTTCTCCTGCCTCAGCCTCCCGAGTATCTGGGACTACAGGCACACACCATCATGCCTGCCTAATTTTTGTATTTTTAGTAGAGACAGGGTTTCTTCATGTTGGCCAGGCTGGTCTCAAACTCCAGACCTCAGGTGATCTGCCTGCCTTGGCTTCCCAAAGTGCTAGGATTACAGGCATGAGCCACTACACCTGGCCTGTTATATGTATTTTCTGATTATAAAAGTAACAGGCATAGCTGCAGTATTCACAATTGCTAAAAGATGGATACAACTCAAGCGTCTATTGGTGGGTGACTGGATGAGCAAAATATGGTATATACATACAATGAAATATTAGTCAGCCTTGAAAAGAAAGGAAAATTTGACACATGCAACAACGTCAATGAACATTAGGACATTATGCTAGTGAAATAAGCCAGCCACAAAAAGACAAATACTGCATGAATCCACTCATATGAGATACTTAGAGTAGTCAAATTCATGGAGATGGAAAGTAGAATAGTGTTTGGCAGAGGATGGAAGAGGGGAAATGGCGGGTTATTTTCTAATGGGGACAAAGTTTCAGTTTTGCAAGATGAAAAACATTCTGTGGATAGATTGTGGTGATGTTTGCACAATGATGTGAATATACTTAATGCCACTGAACTGAACACTTAAAAATGGTTAAAATGGGGCCAGGTGCAGCGACTCACTCCTGTAATCCCAGCAATTTGGGAGGCCGAGGTGGATGGATCATGAGGTCAGGAGTTCAAGACCAGCCTGACCAACATGGTGAAAACCTGTCTCTATTAAAAATACAAAAAGTAGCCGGGCATGGTGGCGCATGCCTGTAATCCCAGCTACTTGGGAGGCTGAAGCAGAAGAATCGTTTGAGCCGGGGAGGCGAAGTTTGCAGTGAGCCGAGATTGCACCACTGCACTCCAACCCGGGTGACAGAGTGAGACTCCGTCTCAAAAAAAAAAGGTTAAAATGGTAAATTTTATGTAAATTTTACCACAGCTTAAAAAAAGTAACAGAGGCTTATTGAAGACATTTGGGAAAATATAGAACTACGTAAAAATGAGAATAAATGCCTATAATTACCCATTCAGGTAATCACTATTACCATTACCACATGGATCTTTCCTCTCTTTTTTTTTAAACCATCAATATTTAACAAAATTGGAATTCTGCTATGAATAGTTATATGTTTTTTTCTGCACTGAGCATTATATTAATATTGCATACCATTTAATATTCTTTAAAAGGACTCCTTTGATTTTAATAATTAATTTTACATTTGTTTCCTGCATATGCACATACAGACTCATGCTTCTCCGTGCACATCCAGGTCCTAGGCATCAATTTAGAAGATATTGCTCTGGCTGGGAGGGCCAAAGAGGCAGGTTCACTCAGAAAACTTTATTTTCAAGAATATCATAATCTTCCCTTGTATGGATTATTCATCAATCAGCTCTATATTATTGGAGATTCCAGTTATTTCCAATTTGCATGTTTATACAAAACTCTCCAGGAGCCATTTTTGCATCTATGCTTGCATTTATAATTTATTTTTATTTATTTATATTTATTTATTTATTTATTGAGATGGAGTCTTGCTCTGTTGCCCAGGCTGGAGTGCGGTGGCACGATCTCAGCTCATTGCAACCTCCACCTCCCGGGTTTAAGCGATTCTCCTGCCTCAGCCTCTGCTAATTTTTGTATTTTTAGTAGAGACGGGGTTTTACCATGTTGGCCAGGCTGGTGTCAAACTCCTGAGCTCAGGTGATCCGCCCGCCTCTGCCTCCCAAAGTACTGGGATTACAGGTGTGAGCCACCATACCTGGCCACATTTATAATTATTTCCTGGGGTCAAATTCCTAGAAAAGGAGCACTGGGTCAAAGGCTATGAGAATAACTAATGTTCTTTCTATATCTTGCTCTCTAATTCCTTTCTGAGAGGCTGCATCAATTTATACTCTCACAAGCAATGATGAGAGTCTCCATTTTAACACATTCTCATCAGATCTGAATGCTATCCTTCTTAAAGATATTTGCCTATCCAGTAGATTCAAAATTATCGTGTTAGATTCAAACTAAATTATTCATCAGATTGATCATTTTTCTGTATCTTTATTAGCCATTTGGATTCCTTTGTCTTTGGATGGTTTGTTCATGTTGTTACCTATTTCTTAATGTTGTTCTTATTTGTCTATAAGAGTTTTTTTTTGTTGTTTGTTTGCTTTGAGACAGAGTCTTGTCTATCATTCAGGCTGGACTGTAGTAATGCAATCACAGCTCACTGCAGCCTCAAACTTCTGGGCTCAATCCTTCCACCTCAGCTTCTGGAGTTACTAGGACTACAGGCTCGTGCCACCATGCCTGGCTAATTTTTAAATTTTTCATAGGGACAGGGTCTCACTTTCTTGCCCAGGCTGGTCTCAAACCCCTGGCCTCAAGTGATCCTCCTGCTGTGGCCTCCCAAAATATTGGGATTACAGGCCACTGCGCCCAGCCCTGAAGTCCTGGATTCTTGATGTGACTCTGACTTACTATTATTATAATGGTCAGCTAGTCACTTTCCTTTTCTGAGCTAGAATTTTTGGAAGATCCAAGATGGCCCTGCTTGTGTGGCTGGCAGTCAACTGGAAATGTTGACCTTGTGGCCTTGTGACCTTGTTGATCTTGTGGCCTTGCTAGTGGCCAGCTTGGGTTTCTATAGAACATGGTGGCTGGATTCTAAATGGACAAGCCCCAATGTGCAAGTGCCATGTAAGCCTCTGGTTGTGCCACAGGTCACATAAGCAGCCCAGGGCCAGTGTTGGAGGAGATTACCCAAGAGCATTTATAATGAGTGTCGTGTTTCCCAGGGAGACACCAATTCACAATCTTCCATGACTTCCTTGGGTTGAACATCTCTGCTACAAAATTCTTCCACATATTGATTTCCACTCTATCCCCTTGTAGCTTCCATCTGCCTCTGGTCCAAAGTCTGCCCTCTGGAGCCTCACAGAAGGAGTCTGTTATCTCACTCTCATGACATGCCTCTGTCTGAAGACGAACTGTCACATCTGCTTACATCTTTCCTTCTTTAGGCGATGGAGCTGTATTCCTTCATCAGTTATTTATCTGACATGGTTTGGAGAGCTTTACTTTTTGGTTTGCCTGCCTTTGGGCTCCATCCTAGAATGAGAACAAAAATCTCTAAGTATCTTGGAGGGCAAAATCAGAAAAAAAGGCATTTGCCTTTTAAGATCTACCAGTGGGCAGGAAGTCCCGGCGTCACAGGCAAAAGCTTGAATTCAGGCTCCCAGCATGCCTGAATCTGTGGGGAGTGAAATGTCCCTAAAAAGTACAAATTCCCCTTCTGGAAAGCATTTTATTAAATCAGTTTATTAGAAACCACATAAAGCATCCCTGGATCTCTGCCAGTCACTGGTAGGAGTGAAGAACTTTCTAAGAATCTGAACTGCTCAAGGATGGAATGAGCTGTTGTAGAAGTCAGGGTTCAGGGTGGCTGGAGGACCACTTGGGGGTGTTGTCTAGGGATTTCTCTCCCTTTTTCCAGGTGAGATGGGCAACACTATACTCCCCTGGGAATTCACATATTCAGGAAGTAGTGGATTCAGTACTTCCAGAGTCTAGAAGCTGCTGCTCTTCTTGGTCATATATATGTGAGATTTCCTACCCCTCTCTACTTACCCCGTCCTCTTTTTCTTCAGACACCAAGAAGGACCTGAAGCAGATCACCAGCCACCTGCTGGACATGCTAGTCAGCAAGAAGGTGTCTGGCCAGGGCAGGGATCAGGCGCTGAACCTGCTCAATAAGAATGTTCCCAGGAAGGACCTTGCCATTCATGACAACTCACGTACCATCTATGTGGTGGATAATGGTGAGAAGAGGGGAAGGTTTGGGGCTTGCTCAAGCCTTTTAAGTGGGCACCAGGGCACTGAACAGAAAATGGAAGATGTGAGGCTCTTGAAGGGGTCTTCAGTTCTAACTGAAAAGATGAGAAAAGGCATTGGCCCATCAGGATCCACCAGTGGGCCTGTGAAGGTGCAGGTCAAGGCTCTGAATTCAGAGCCTGAACATGCCCAGGAAGTGCCCAAACACATCCCCAAAACATGTGGGTGAAGCAACCTAGCAAATGGGGACAAGGACTCCACCAACCACAGGATAAAATTCCAGAAGTCTCATGGTTGGTAAAATACTTCACAGGCCTTTCAAAAGGGAGGAAATTGCATCAAGTATAGTTTATATAAAGCACAGTGAGAATGTTTGTAAACCCAAAAGTATCTGAGACAGGTCTCAATCAATTTAGAAGTTTATTTTGCCAAGATTACGGACATGCCCCGCAGAGAGGAAACACAGAATCACAGAAACAGTCTGTGGTCTGAGCCTTTCTCCAAAGATGATTTTAAGGGCTTCAATATTTCAAGGGGAAAGACAGCCTGGAGGGGAAAGAGGGAGGGTGTGGTCACATTACATGAATGCACATGTTGGAAGAGAAAGGAGGAGGTAGGGGAATAGTCAAATAGTCAATTACATATTTGTCTCCTGCTCAGTAAATGATCACTTTACATAAGATAAGGTGAACATAGAATGGACATATTTAAGCCCTAGAGTAATTTATTAAACCTTTGGAGATATTTAACCTTTTATCTGTAGCTATCTGCTTAGGAATAAAAGGAAAGGCAGTTTCTTGCCATGATTCAGCTTTCAGCTTAATTTTTTTCCTTTGGTTTAGGGAGTTGGGGGTCCCAAGATTTCATTTTTGTGTATCTATCTATTTATTTCTTTTTAGAGACAGAGTCTCACTCTGCTGCTCATGCCAGAGTGCAGTGGCGTGATCATAGTCACTGCAACCTCAAACTCCTGGGCTACAGTGATCTTCCTACCCCTCAGCCTCCCGAGTAGCTGGGACCACAGGCACGAACCATCATGCCGGGCTAATGTTTTTCTTTTGTAGAGATGTGGTTTCACTATGTTGCCCAGGCTGGTCTCAAACTCCTGGATTCAAGTGATCCTCCCACCTCGGCCTCCCAAAGTGCTGGAATTACAGGCGCGAGCCATGGCACCGGGCCAAGATTTTATTTTCCTTTCATGTGTTCTAGCAGACAGTCACTCAATTTGTCAGCTCCGAGGTGTTACCCCTCTCCTCAATCAACTTCTTTGATTGTTAAGGAATCATACCTGTGGTTTCATGATCTGCTATGGTAAATTCTTCCGTAGGTTTTATGACACACAGACTATACCTTGTTCTAAAAGATTCAGATCAGCTCTTCCCAGCTTAAAGAATGTCTTTTGATATTGCACTTCCCTTGTTTGGTTTTTATAGACCTCAGCAAAGTGCATGTGCAAGTGCTTAGACTTTAACACATTACCCTACTGCTAAATGCCCAAACCCCACTTCCTCCCTGCCTCATTCTGGTCTTCTCCACATATGTCATGAAACGTGAGCGTTAACAACAGATCTTCTCTCTCAGCACCAGGATCTAGGCTCATCCACGTGTTATGGGATGGGACAGGTAGAGAGCAGTATTTTTTATTCTGTTCTTTTTGTAAAGGGCACCAACATGGACAGCACTTGGGTAAAAATAATGTGGATTTAAAAATTCAGATATTCGAATACAAAGCTGCAATGTTGAGGTGTTATGTGTTGTGCAAACTGGGCTGGGAGGCACGGTAAGGGAGCTGTCAGGATGTCAAACCCGAAGTGAGCTTTTGGGTGAGAGAAGGGGCAAAGATAGACAGGAGGAAGGTCTAGAGTGTTTGAACAGAAGAGAAATGAGATGCTCAAGGCATGGGCAAGAATGGAAGGGGAGACCGGGAGATGAGATTGGAGAGGGGCATTTGAGGGATGCTTTTAGGACCCAGGCTGGGGAGTCTGTGTTGGCTCATCAGGCACTTCCTGTTACTCCCCAGCCCTACTGAGCACTTTTTAAATGCATGCTTGTTGCATAATAAGAAATACACATATTTGGTCTCTGCTGCTGTTTCCTGGCACACAGCTAACCTCTGAAGTGATAAGTATCTTTTTGTATGCTCATGTAATAACTGGTGGCTGGGATCCCCTAGATAACCTCAGAATGTCAGAATGGGGGCTGGTTGCCAGGGGAAACAACCATGCAATTACAGGATTGGAACTTTCGGCCCCCCACCCCTTACCTCCAGGAAGGGGAGAGGGGCTGGAGGTGGGATTCATCACTAATAACTAATGATTTAATCAACCGTGCCTACATAATGAAGCCTCTATTTAAAAAAAATCCCTAGCCAAAGGGGCTTAAAGTGCTCCCAATTTGGTGAACACATGGAGGTGCTGGAGGGATGGCTACCTGGAGAGGGCATGGAAGTGCCACGCCCCTTGCCAATACCTTGCCCTCTGCATCTCTTCCATCTGGCTGTTCCTGAGTTTCTGTTTTTGTTGTTGTTGTTGTTTAAATAATAAATTGGTAATCTAGTAACTAAACTGGTTTTCTGAGTTCTGTGAGCCATTCTAGCAAATTATCAAACCTGAGGGAGAGGGTCATGGGAATCTCTGATTTATAGTTGGCCAGTCAGAAGCACAGGTGGCAACTTGGACTTGAGGCTGGCATCCGAAGGAGGGTAGTCTTGTGGGATTGAGCCCTTAACCTGTGGAGTCTGTGCTAACCCCAAGTGGTTAGTGTCAGCGTTGAATTGTAGGACACCCATCCAGTGTCAGAAGTAAGCTCTGAGAGTAGGAGTAGTTTAGGGAGGAAACAGAAGTTTTCCTTTAAGTGGTAAAATGTACATAGCACAAAATTTACTGCCAGGCGCTTTCTTTTTCTTTTTCTTTCATATGGGAAGATGGGTCTGTTGCCCGGGCTGGTCTCAAACTCCTGGGCTCAAGTGGTCCTCCCACCTCGGCCTAACCAAAGTGCTGGAATTACAGGCATGAGCCACCAAGCCACTTCCAGGCACTTTTTTTTTTTGAGACAGAGTTTTGCCCTTGTAGCCCTGGCTGGAGTGCAATGGCGTGATCTTGGCTCACTGAAACCTGTACCTCCTGAGTTCTCCTGCCTCAGTCTCCCAAGCAGCTGGGATTACAGGTGCCCGCCACCATGCCCAGCTAATTTTTTTGTATTTTTAGTAGAGGCGGGGTTTTGCCATGTTGGCCAGGCTGGTTCCAGGCACTTTTAATTCCCTCCTAACATCTAGAGTTTCATGCCTCCCAGCTTTTACCTGGAATGTTCTTTCTCCCACTTCCCTGTACTACACAAGGTCTGACCAGCTCCAAGCCACCTCTAAAACCTGGCTCCGAAATCCATCTCTCTGTTGCCCCAGAGGCAACATAGTATAACAGCTAACATCACAGGCTTTGAAATCAGACGGGATTGGGAGCGTGTCCTTGCTATGTCACTGGGCAACTTACTTGACTTGTCCTGGGCAACTTACTTGACTTCTCTAAGTCTTGTTTTTCTCCTCTGAAAGATGGAAATAATGATTCCTAACCAGCAGGGTTATTGTTAGGATTAGATGAAGTGAATGTGTATAAAGCTCTTGGCACGTAGTAAGTGCTCAGAATAAATTGCAGATCTTATTTTGTTGAAGTGAATCACCTCATCTTCAGTGTTACCCTTCTATACTTATCACATCTCATTGCAATCTTCATATGTCAGTTTTCCCTATTGTATTGTGAGCTTTTGGAGGTCAGGGTTGTATCTGTTATTTTGGTAGCCAGTACCCCAAAGGTGCTCATTTATTTAACAAAGACATGACTGTTGAATTTGCCCAACGGTAATAGGAAGCCATTGAAGATTTTTCAACAGAAGAGATGAGAAGACATCATCATCATCATCATAAATGTAAATATGGCATTTACTAAATAAATACTTAATAAATACACACTCAATAATAAACATTTATTGAGTCATAGTAGTGTGTCTGGATTGATAGTAGAGTTTCCATACATTATCTCATTGAGCCCTCAAACTTTATGAGGTAGGTAGTATTATTCCCATTTTACAAATGAAGAAGCTGAGGCTTGAGGAAGGGAATATGAAATAGTATTTGGAGAAGACTATACATCAGCCCATGGAATGTCAGCACTGGTAGAGTCCTCTGAGATCGACTAGTCCTGATTTTGTACACATGAAAATAGAGGCCCCTAGAGGGAGGTGAATTGGTCAAGCTGGGGGCAGTGTCAGGTGTATAACCTGGGTCCTTTGACCCCATTCTAGGCCCTTTCATTCTGGATGAACCACATGTTTTCTACAGACAGGGCTGGAGAGAAGCTGATGATAACAAGTCACTGAGTGAGGGGTGTGTGTGAGGATGGAGCCCAGCAGGAATCTTAGGCTTGCCACTGTCTACCCTGCAGGTCTGAGGAAGATCCTGAAGGTTGTGGGGCAGGTTCCAGATCTGCCATCCTGCCTGCCCCTGACTGACAACACCCGCATGCTGGCCTCTATCCTCATCAACAAGCTCTATGATGACCTGCGCTGTGACCCGGAGCGCGATCACTTCCGCAAGATCTGTGAGGAATATATCACGTAAGTTTCCTGGAGGCCTCACAGGGTCAGGCTCTGTCTTGGTTATCTATGGCTGTGTAACAAATTATCTCAAAATTTAGCAGCTCAAACAATAGTGTTTTATTATCTCACACCAGAACAGAAATTTGGGAGTGGTTTGGCTGGGTGGCTCTGGCTTATGGTCTTTCATGAAGTTACAGTCATATGCTGGCTGGGGCTGCAGCCATCTGGAGGCTTGACTGGGGCTGGAAAATGCTTCCAAGATGGTGGACTCACACAGCTGGCACACTGGTGCTGGCTGTTGGTGGGAGGCCTTGGTTCCTCTCCCTGCAGACCTCTCTGCAGCCTGCTGAAGCGTCTTCACTGCATGCCGCTGGCATGCCACAGTAAGAGAGCCAAGACAGAGCAAGGCAGCAGGGAGATGTCTTCTCTATCTAGCCTCAGAAGACACATGTCATCACTTCCGCCACATTCTATTCGTTAGAAGCAAGTCAGTAAGTTTGACCTATGTTTAAGGGGAAGAAATTAGGTTTCAGCTTTTGAAGGCAGGGGTGTCAACATATTTTTGGACATATTTTATTTTATTTATTTTTTGAGACAGAGTCTCACTCTGTTCCCCACGCTGGAGTGCAGTGACACAATCATAGCTCACTGCAGCCTCGAACTTTTGGGCTCATGTAATCCTCCTACCTCAGCCTCCCAGGGTAGCTGGGACTACAGGCACTTGCCACCATGCTGGGCTAATTTTTTTTTTTTTCTGTCACCCGGGCTGGAGTGCAGTGGCATGATCATGACTCACTGCAGCCTCAGCCTGCTGGGCTCAAGCGATCCTCCTGCCTCTGCCTCAGCCTCCCAAGTAGCTGAGACTATAAGTGTGCACTACCACGCCTGGCTAATTTTTGTATTTTTTGTTTTGCTATGTTTCCCAGGCTGGTATTGAACTCCCAAGCTCAAGCAATCTTCCTGCCTCTGCCTCCCAAAGTGCCGGGATTACAGGCATCAACTACCTTGCCCAGCCATGGACATATTTTATACCTACCACTGGCTTCTGTGGTTGAAAGGAACACATGTCAGCTTGTCAAGGAGGGAGGCCCGGTTCTTTCAAGACTAAGACTCATGTGGCTTTGCAGAGCTAGACAGGGGTTAGGACCCTCAGCAGCTGCAGTTCCTGAGTCTCCTCACTGGTGCTCCAGCATCAGTGTGACTCCAGTGCATGACCTTTTAATTCTTTATTGCAGTGATTCCCAGACTTGTAAATTATTCAGATTTCTGAGACATCCCCTCTTGACTCGGTAGTTTGGGGTGTGGCTCAGGAAGCTGCATGCTTAAAAGCACTCCAGGTGAGTCTTAGGTGGGTGAAGACGTTGCCTTTACTCTGCTTTTCCTTTCTATATTCCAGGGGTCAACAAACTTTTTCTATGAAGGGCCAGAGAGTAAATATTTTAGTATTTGTGGGACAGATAAGTCTCTGTCAACATATTTTTAAAAATCCTTTAAAATGCAAAAAGCTGGCTGGGCACAGTGGCTCACGCCTGTAATCCCAGCACTTTGGGATGCCGAGGAGCGCGGATCACCTGAGGTCAGGAGTTCAAGACCAGCCTGACCAACATGGTGAAACCCCATCTCTACTAAAAATACCAAAAATTAGCCGAGTATGGTGGCACATGCCTGTAATCTCAGCTACTAGGGAGGCTGAGGCAGAAGAATCGCTTGAACCCAGGAGGTAGAGGTTGTAGTGAGCCAAGATCGCACCACTGCACTCCAGCCTGGGTGACAGAGCAAGTCTCCATCTCAAAAAGAAAAAAGAAAGGCAAAAAGCTGCTGGCCAGGTGTGGTGGCTCATGCCTGTAATCCTAGCATTTTGGGAGGCCGATGTGGGAGAATTGCCTGAGACCAGGAGTTTGAGACCAACCCAGGCAATGTAGAGAGACCCTCATCTCTAAAAAAAAAAAAAAAAAAAAAAAAATTAAAAATGAGTCAAGTGTGGTGGCACACCCCTGTAGTCTCAGCTACTTGGGAAGCTGAGGTAGGAGGATCACTTGAGCCCAGGAGGTCAAGGCTGCAATGAGCCTTGAATGCACTACTGCACTCCAGCCTGGGCAAGAGCGTGAGACCCCGTCTCAAATAAAATAAAATAATGTGAAAGCTATTCTCAACTCCCTGGATTTGCCAACTCCTTCTCTACCCCACGGCTTCTGCTCACCCTGACTTTGGTTCACTTAGGTCTTTTCAAGGCTTCTGTCTTTCTCTACCTCAGTTTCAACTTTTCCTGCTGACTTCTTGAGTCCCTCATGAGGTCCCCAACTGACTCCCATTACCTGTCATCCAGCTAGTTCTTGTTTGGGCTTGTTGATTGAGGCTCCCTCCTGTCAGCCTGTGGAATGCTGAGAGGAGGGGTCACTGCCTTCATCAAATGGTGCCCCAGCCTGCCCCTAGCAAGAGTGGAATACATCCCGCTTCATCAGGGGCGGGGGCTGTGTGGGGACCCAGTGCCAGCTCAAAGGTCAGACCGCAACTAATTACGAAGGATGCTGGTTCCCTGGGCACTGAGTGGAGAGATGAGGCACAGGACATGGGATGCTCAAGCTGGAGGGGCTGTCAGAGCTTCCAAAGCTGAGTCCTCTTCCCCAGGGGAACTTGCCTGAGATCCTCCAGCAATCAGAGGCAGACATGGGACCAGAGCCCAGGTCTTGGACTCTTGGTGTGGAGTTCTCCTGACCAGTCCACGCTGCCTTCTTGCATTTATACACAGCTGCATTTCCACTGTGCACATCTGCCCTGTTTCCCACAATGCACCAACCTGGGCAGATGAGAAGCATCAGAAGGCATGTCACCTCTGACATTCCCACGCAGAGATTCTCCCCTAGAGTAGATGATAATAGATTCTGAAAGCAAGGCAGAACGTTCCTGGATATCTAGCCCACATGCTCACCAACAGGGGAAGGGACTAAGACCAGATCACCAGAGGGGAGTGACTGGCCCAGGCCATGTCACAGAGAGACACAGTGTGCCGGGCATCACGCTAGGCCTTTTTGTGTTGTTGTCAATGCTGTACTGTCCTCCCAGACACAGCAGCTGCTGGAAAGGCTGTCAGCTGACAGCTCTCAGCTGTTATCTCTCTTTGGGACTTGTCTCACCTGGGGAGAGCTGTTTCACCCTTCCCAGGGAAGCCAGTATGCAAACACTCACACCAGGCTAGTTGAGGTGACTCAGACCTATAATACCAGTGCTTTGGGAGGCCAGGTGGAAAGATCATCTGAGGCCAGGAGTTTGAGATCAGCTTGGGCAACATAGCAAGATCCCATCTCTACAAAAAAATTTAAACAATTGTCTGAGCATGATTGTGTGCACCTGTAGTCTCAACTGCTCAGGAGGCTGAGGTGGGAGGATTGCTTGAGCTTAGGGGTTTGAGGTCACAGTGAGCTATGATGGCACCAGTGCACTCCAGCAACAGAGCAAGACTCAGTCTCAAAAAAAAAAAAAAGAAAGAAAAAGACTCACTCTAACTTGGAACAACTGTGAAGGGTCTTCCAGCTCCAGAACTTCTTGGAGGCTGAGGCTTTGTGATAGCTGCAAAATGCCTCCCTCTGCCCCAGTCCTGCTTCCTTCTCTTCCCAAGAGCTCTCTCTAATAAACTTCCTGCATGTCAATCCCTGAGTCAGAGTGTATTTCCCAGAGGCACACTCTGTGACACAGCTGTTATGTCATTTATCCTCACCACAACTCTGAGAACTAGTAGTACTATCCTCAGTTTACAGGAGCTGAGGCTCAGAGAGGTTCGCTGAATTGCCCAATATCACACAGCACATGAGTGGTGGAGCCAGGATGCAAATCCAAATCCTACTGCCTCCAAATCTCACACTCTTTCCACTCTCTTGGACCAGTTCTCTTGACCACCCTTGTCCTTTGTTTTAGGGGCAAGTTTGACCCCCAGGACATGGACAAGAACTTGAATGCCATCCAGACAGTGTCAGGGATCCTGCAGGGCCCCTTTGACCTGGGCAACCAGCTGCTGGGACTGAAAGGTGTGATGGAGATGATGGTGGCACTATGTGGCTCAGAGCGCGAGACGGACCAGCTGGTGGCCGTGGAGGCCCTCATCCATGCCTCCACGAAGCTCAGCCGCGCCACCTTCATCATCACCAATGGAGTGTCACTGCTCAAACAGATCTACAAGACCACCAAAAATGAGAAGATCAAGATCCGCACACTGGTGGTGAGTGGGCTCGGTACCACCCTCCTACTCAGTACAAGGTGCCATGCCAGGCACCAGGGACACCAAAATGAATGAGTTGAGGCTGCTGTCCTTGAGGAGACCAGGTTCAAGGGGGCACCAGACCCAGCCACAGACCCCTGCAGAACAGGGCAATATCCAGGGGGCTTGTGAGGATGTAGATTCAGAACCGTGAACTCTGCTGCTTAACCCTGAGGACGTTCGTCTCCCTGCTTATGAACAACATGAACACTGAGGAGCTTGTGTCCAGAATGCATTTTCAGAGCAAATTCTGAAGAGTCACTTTCCTTAATCAGTTTCTATAAGGTATTTTTTTTCCACTTTCATTTTACTTTTTGTTTTTTTGAGATGGAGTCTCACTCTGTCACCTAGGCTGGAGTGTAGCAGCGAAATCTCAGCTCACTGCAACCTCCGCCTCCCAGGTTCAGGTGACTCTTGTGCCTCAGCCCCCAGAGTAGCTGGAATTACAGACGTGTGCCACCACACTCAGCTAATTTTTGTATTTTTAATAGAGACGGGGTTTCGCCATGTTGGCCAGGCTGGTCCTGAACTCCTGACCTCAGGTGATCCACCCCCCTGGGCCTCCCAAAGTGCTGGGATTACAGGCGTGAGCCACTGTGCCTGGCCTGAAATTATTATTATTATTATTTTTTCAGACAGAGTCTCCCTCTGTAGCCCAGGCTGGAGTCCAGTGGCATGATATTGGCTCACTGCAACCCCCATGATCTCGGCTTACTGCAACCACCGCCTCCTGGGTTCAAACGATTCTCCTGCCTCAGCCTCCCAAGTAGCTGGGATTACAGATGCCTGCCACCACACCCTGCTAATTTTTGTATTTTTAGTAGAGATGGGGTTTTACCACGTTGGCCAGGCTGGTCTCAAACTCCTGGCCTAACTGATCCACCCGCCTCGGCCTTCCAAAGTGCTGGGAGGATTACAGGCGTGAGCCACCGCACCCAGCATCAATTTTTTAAAAACAAATTCTAGCTTCTGACAAAAGTGAATTTTCTCTTATGAAACCGCCCCCCTAAGAAAAGTCCAATTTTCTCTGGGTAAAATTTTGCACATCTGAATCTGTTATCCAGAAGATAGGATTTCTCTGTCAGTTTCTGTGCCGTAACAAGGTTCCCCATTGAAGCTTCAGATATGGTTAACTTGGTCTTGCTGGTTTTTCAAAATGGCAGGCACAATACATCTGTGGGGTCAAAATGGTGGGGGAAGGGGGCAGGTCAAGAATTTGCAACTTTATGGGCCTCTACCCTAACCCAGAGCATCAGGGAAAGTATCTCAGCAGAGGTGACACCTGAGCTGAGTTTTACAGTCTGCACAGAGGTGGATCCAAGCAAAGAAAGAGGGGCGAAGTGTTCTGGCCATAGAAACCTGTTTGAGCAAGGCTTCATCCCCAAGCCTTGGTGTCTCTGATCCTGCATGTGTCTGCTGTCTCCTCTCCTCCTCAGGGACTCTGTAAGCTCGGCTCTGCAGGTGGCACAGACTACGGTCTCAGGCAGTTTGCGGAAGGGTCGACAGAAAAACTGGCCAAACAGTGTCGCAAGTAAGGGGGCTGTGTTTCCCAGGCCCTCCATCTCCTCATGCGCCTTCCGGGCAAGAGTCTCTGGGGTGTGCTCTAGTGGAGTGTGAAAGGGACCTCACCCCTGGTTCACCACCCTGAAATCGCTTCACCCTCTTGACCTAGCCCTGGGCCCCTTCCCATGTGTGCTCCCTCCTCACTTCCAGGTGGCTGTGCAATATGTCCATAGACACTCGGACCCGACGCTGGGCAGTGGAGGGCCTGGCCTACCTCACGCTGGACGCTGATGTGAAGGACGACTTTGTCCAGGACGTCCCTGCCCTGCAGGCCATGTTTGAGCTGGCCAAGGCAGGTGTCGGGGAGTCTGGCCCGACCACAAACCTCAGGAAAGGTCTGCTGGGTCCAGACCCACAGGGAATGGATCCCAGTCTTCCTCCTGGCTCTACTCCTTACCCCTGTATAAACATGATTGGTTATTTCCCCCTTTCTGGCCCTCATTTTACCTGATTGTAAAATGGACTCCCGACTCCCAATGCCTTCCAGAGATGGGAAGATGCACAGGAGGGCAGTTTGTTTTCCTGGGGCCCTCAGGAGGTGAGGTCTTGAAGGACCTGAGGCAGCTAAAAAAAAAAAAAAAAAAAAAAAAAGCAGGGCATCGTAGCACGTGCCTGTAATTCCAGCACTTCAGGAGGCTGAGGCGGGCGGATGGCTTGAGCTCTGGGGTTCAGGACCAGCCTAGGCAACATGGTGAAACCCCAACTCTACAAAAAATACAAAAATTAGCTGGGCGTGGTGGCACATACCTGTAATCCCAGCTACTCGGGAGGCTGAGGTGGGAGGATTGCTTGAGCCTTGGGAGATCGAGGCTGCAGTGAGCTAGAATTCCAGCTCTGCACTCCAGCCTGGGTGACAGAGAGAGACCTTGCCTCAAGAAAATAAATAAATAAAAGAGGCTGTGCCTGGCCTTTCTGGGAACCTGCCCTCCCTCCCAGGCCCCCCCAGACTCCTTTCCTCATCTGCTGGGCCAACTCCCTGGCCCTTTTCTACCAGTAAATGGAGGAAGCATGGGAGAGATTTTCACCAGGACCGGAAAATGTCCAGCTCCCACCCCATCTCCAGTTGGATGGGAAAGTGTTAGACTGGGCTTGTGGAAGAGGCGCAAAGCGAGGATCTTTGTGGGACAGCTCCTATTCATACTGTCAGAGCTACTGTGGAGGGTGCAGGAGACACTGCTGCCTGCCTTTATGGGGAGAACCGTTCCTCTCCTGCGCTGCTGTCTTTCCTCAGAATGGGCCCTACCAGCTGCACTCCTCCGACACCAACCTGCCGGCCACGTGAGGGAGCATCCTGGAAGCAGAGGTTTGTCCTAAAGTTTCCTTTCTGCTTTCCCTCTCCCCAACCCTGTGCCTTCCAGACCAGTGACAAGACCATCCTGTACTCGGTGGCCACCACCCTGGTGAACTGCACCAACAGCTACGATGTCAAGGAGGTCATCCCAGAGCTTGTCCAGCTCGCCAAGTTCTCCAAGCAGCATGTGCCCGAGGAACACCCCAAGGTAGGGTCAGGCGCGACCCGGGAGGGGTCTGGTCTGTGCCACTAGGCCTCCAAAGGAGGCGGAACGGCAAAAGGAGTGGTGTCAGGAGTGGCACGGTGTGTGTTTGGGTGGTTGGGGGTAAGATACACATACATTGAATATGTTAATGGTAAACTTTCCCACCAGATGGTGCTCATGCTTTTTCTTTGTTTTTATTTTCTATTTTGAAAAAAATCCAACAATTTATAGTCTGAGAAAACAAACAGAGCCATGATGGACACTTTGCAATTTGTGTTGTTGATTTTATGGATAAAAGACAGTTTTATTTCATGTCTCCAACAGATAACAATTTGATTTTCTCAGATTTCTGGATTTTGTGACATGGGTGCTAAGTAGGAATCATGAGAGGAGAGGCATGGTCAGCATTAGCCCAGAAGTCACAGATCCCCTGGAACCCTCTCCAACAATTCCCTGCACATGAAGATATGATTTGTGTGTGATTTGTTTAAGAATATATGCAAGATATTGCCAGCCAATAAAATCATTTAGATTTTTTTAATGATCAAAGTAATATAATCATGCTGCAAAACGAGTTAAAATGTGGGGAAAAGAAAATAACCACTCATGATTACGTCATCTCCACATGACTGCTGTTGGCATTTTGATGTTATGTTACCTACCAGAGGCTTTTTTTCTATGTATCTTTTTTCCTTTCACAGTTATAATTAGAATATATTTATCATTTTGTGCCCAATTTTGGAAAAATATGTTTTTCACATTGCCATCTCATTCTCTGAATCATTTTTATTTTATTTATTTATTTTTTGAGACAGAGTCTTGCTCTGTCACCCAGGCTGGAGTGCAGTGGTGAGATCTCGGCTCAATGCAACCTCTGCCTCCCAGGTTCAAGTGATTCTCCTGCCTCAGTCTCTCAAGTAGCTGGAATTCCAGGCATGCACCACCATGCCCGGCTAATTTTGTGTTTTCAGTAGAAACAGGGTTTCACCATATTGGTCAGGCTGGTCTCAAACTCCTGACCTCAAGTGACCCACCCACCTCGGCCTCCTAAAGCGTTGGGAATCCAGGCATGAGCCACCACACCTGGCCTCTGAATCATTTTTGAAAGCTGCATGATGTTTCATCCAGGCAAGGGTGCAGAGCATGTGCTGTGGCTGTGAAGTTCCAGTGTGGCTTCCAGGGCTTGCCCAGGGTTGTCAGCCCCTTCCCCACCACTCCTCACTCTGAGGATTATCTGTAGGGACTCTTTAACCCTGGGTTGACTTTGGGTTTCCAGCAAACCCAATCCATTGTTATGGCGGCTTCATCCACTGTGTCCTTTCCTGCCTATACCCTCTCTCTACCTCCACTCCCACCTCAGCCTTCTCCAAGAAAAACAATATACGCATCATTTAGTCTTTTGGATTATCCGTCTTTTATTTCATTCCTCTGTGAATGAGAGAATCTTTGGGACTGGTTTTCTACGGTATCAGCTCCTCAGGCTCTGTCTTGGGATTAGGTAAGGCAAGGAAGAAGAGAGGAGAGACAATCACACACGACAGCAAGGCGTGCTGTATACCCCTTGGCAGTTGCTTGGGAAGAGGGAATCTGGAGAAGTGTCTTAGTTTCCTATTGTTTCTAGAACACATTGCCACACGCACTGTGGCCTAAAACGCAATTTTTATACTTTTTTTTTTTTTTTTTTTGAGACTGAGTCTCCCTCTGTCGCCCAGGCGGAGTGCAGTGGTGCAATCTTGGCTCACTGCAACCTCCGCCTCTTGGGCTCAAGCAATTCTCCTGCTTCAGCCTCCTGAGTAGCTGGGATTATAGACACGCTCCACCATGCCCAGCTAATTTTTGTATTTTTAGTAGAGACGGGGTTTCGCCATGTTGCCCAGGCTGGTCTCGAACTCCTGGGCTCAAGTGGTCCACCCACCTCAGCCTCCCAAAGTGCTGGAATTACAGGCGGGAGCCACCACGCCTGGCCCGGTTTTAAAAATCTTATAGTTCTGGAGGTCAAGAGTCCTAAAATGAGTCTCACTCGGCTAAAGTCAAGGTGTTAGCAGGGCTGGTTTCTTTGGGAGGCTCTAAGGGAGAATCATTTTGTTGCCTTTTTCAGCTTCTAGAGGCCACCTACATGCTTTGGCTGGTGACCTTGAACCACTCTGACCTCACTTCCATTCCATTGTTACATCTCCTAGTACTAACTCTGATCTTCCTGCCTCCCTCTTATAAAGATCCTGGTGATTATATTGGGCCCACACAGAAATCTAGGCTTACCCCCTCATCTCAAAATCCTTAACTTAATCGTGTCTGCAAAATCCCTTTTGCCATGTAAGGTCCCACGTTCACAGGTTCCAGAGATTAGGCCATGGATTTTTTTTTTTTTTTTTATACAGAGTCTCGCTGTGTCGCCCAGGCTGGAGTGCAGTGGTGCGATCTCGGCTCACTGCAAGCTCTGCCCCCGGGTTCATGCCATTCTCCTGCCTCAGCCTCCTGAGCAGCTGGGACTACAGGTGCCCGCCACCACGCCTGGCTCATTTTTTGTATTTTCAGTAGAGACAGGGTTTTACCGTGTTAGCCAGGATGGTCTTGATCTCCTAACCTCGTGGTCCGCCCGCCTCAGCCTCCCAAAGTGCTGGGATTACAGGCATGAGCCACTGTGCCTGGCCAGGCCATGGACATCTTTGGAGGCCATTATTCAACCAACCCCAAGAATTCAGAAATGCACCATCTTTGGTTCCAATACCGATTGGCCTGGCACCCAGGACCCTCCCACATTGCCATCTTTTCATCTCCTCAGGACAAGAAGGACTTTATAGACATGCGGGTGAAGCGGCTTCTGAAGGCGGGTGTCATCTCTGCCCTGGCTTGCATGGTGAAAGCAGATAGTGCCATCCTCACTGACCAGACCAAGGAGCTGCTGGCCAGGTGGGGCTGCAGTGGGCCAAGGCTTGGAACTAGGGCTGGGGGCCGAGGGTCCTGGAGTGCAGCACACTGGGCAGGGAGATAGAAATGGTGGGGGCCTAAATGAGGAGATAAACTATTGGGAAAGCCTGGAGAAAGGTCTGAGGGGATCAGCTTTGAAAAGTGACATGGGACCAGGGGTGGTGGCTCATGCCTGTAATCCCAGGGCTTTGGGAGGCCCAGGTGGGAGGATTGCTTGAGCCCAGGAATTCAAGACTAGCTTGGGAAACATATTGAGACCCCATCTGTACAAAAAAATTTTAAATTAGCCTGGCACGGTGGTGTGCACCTGTACTGCCAGCTACTTGGGAGGCTGAGGCAGGAGGATCACTTAAGCCCAGGAATTCAGGGCTGCAGTGAATGATGATGGTGCTACTGCACTCCAGCCTGGGTAACAGAGCAAGATCCTGTCTCTATACAAAAGAGAAATAAAGAAAGAGAGAAAGAGAGAGAGAGAGAGAAAGGAAGGGATGGCGGAAGGAAAAAAGGAAGGAGGGAAGGGAAAAGAAGAAGGGAGGAAGGAGAAAGAAAGAAAAAGAAAGAAAGAAAAAGAAAGAGAAAGAAAGAGGAAGAAAGGAGGGAGGGAAGGAAGGAGGGAAGAAAGAAAGGAGGGAAGGAAGGAGAGAGAGGAAAGAAGGAAAGAAAGAAAGGAAAGAAGAAAGAAAGAAAGAAAGAAAGAAAGAGAAAGAAAGAAAAAAGAAAAGAAAGAAAGGGAAAGGAAAGGAAGGAAGGAAGGAGAAGGAAAGAAAGAGGGAAAGAAGGAAAGGAAGGAAGAGAAGTGGTATGTTGGGCAGGTCATCACAGGTGGAAGTTTGTATCAGGAGAAAGGAGGCCACTGTTCCTTCTTGTTACCTTGTTCTCAGAGATTAAAGGCACAGTCTGTGTGCAGCCTGGCCAGGGAGGCAGGCAAGATCACAGCTACAGTCCGATGCAATGGATGCCATGATGTGGGAAGCATAAAGGGCTGATTGGAGCACAAGCAGTGTTCCCCAACCAGCCAGACTGGAGGGGAGGTGGGTGGGCAGCTGGTAAGGCCTCCTGGGGGATGTGACAACTCAAGCTCTGAAGGAAGCAAAGGAGCCACCTAAATGCAGGAGAGGGAAGGTTCCAGGCAGAGAGAATAGCATCTGCAAAGACACTGAGGATGGAGAGAGAATGAGTGAATTTGGGGTTCTCCTGCAATATGTCTGGGGCAGGGAATCCATAGGAAGAGCTGGTGCTGGATGAGACAAAAGAGGAAGCCAGAGCCAGATCACGGAGGACCTGGGGCACATCCATTGAAGTTGAAAAGCTTCTCCTGGGTGGTTGCATCCCTAAATAGTGATAGTGGGGAGTGCTCTTTGCAGCCTCACTTGGCCTCACTTCCTTCCCAGCCAATTATTCCCATGATGTCATCTTCCCAAAGTGGTTAATTCTGGGGCACAGGCACACAAGTGGCACTTTCCATAGTCTCCCTTTTCATCCCAGGGTTTCACTGGCTCCGACTGGCTGGCCTGCTGCTGCTGCTGCCTGGGAAGGTGTGCTGGTGTATTAACTGTTCTCCTTTCTTCTCGGTCCCACAGGGTATTCCTGGCACTGTGTGACAACCCAAAGGACCGAGGCACCATTGTGGCTCAAGGTGGTGGCAAGGTAACTGGGCAGGTGCCTTCCTAGAAGGTGCCTTTGTGCATGCTCTTTGCCTAGCGCAAGAATTATGTACCCTCTGCCCCAACTCGACCTCCTGGAATACGGCCACCAGTTATCTGCGCTGTCTGTGCTCATAGCCCCAAGCCAATTTCTGCTTGACTTTATGCTATGATGGTATGTACTTTGGAATCCCATCTATCCTCCTTGCTGTTGGAAGGAAGCACCGTGCAAAGACAGACCCTGGACTTTGATGTAGAAGACTTGTAGTTGAGTTCTTGCTCTTCCCATTTCTGACTGCATAACCTCAGGCAAAATACTTAATCTCCCAGCCACAGCTTCTTCATCTGTAAAATAGGGGGAAAATCACACTTTCAATTTGCAGACTGTCACAAGAATTAGAGAAAATATAGAAAGTATTGATTCATGGTAGGTGCTCAATAGATGTCTGATGTTAAGATTGGGTTTGGCTGCAACTCCGTCTCTATTAAAAATACAAAAATTAGCTGGGCCTGGTGGCGTGCACCTGTAATCTCAGCTACTCAGGAACCTGAGGCAGGAGACTTGCTTGAACCCAGGAGGAGGAGGTTGCAATGAGCCGAGATCATGCCATTGCAGTCCAGCCTGGGCAGCAAGAGCGAAACTCTGTCTCAAAAAAACAAAACAAAACAAACAAACAAAAGGATTGAGTTTGGCTTGGGCAGAAAGTAAAAAATTTGTTGATTGAATTATTTATTTTTCCAAAAGCTGAAGGAATATTTAGGTGGGTGGGAGGAAGTGGGGTAAAGACCTGAATGTGCACTGGGAATCAAGAGGAGTGAATATGTGATTAAGGATTTAATTGTTTTCCATGATGTGCAAGGGCTGATTATACGGCAGAATTTTCCTGGACCTCCCATGGGACAGACAGACAGCACCTGGAGCAGGAGGATAGGCGAGAAGCCTCTGGATGTCTGTGACTAAGTAGTGACCTTGCCCTTTCTTGCAGGCCCTGATTCCCCTGGCTTTGGAGGGCACAGATGTGGGCAAGGTGAAGGCAGCCCACGCTCTAGCAAAGATCGCTGCTGTCTCCAATCCGGACATTGCTTTTCCTGGGGAGCGGGTAGGTGCTTGGGTAGATGGGATAGGGCAATGGGAGGGGTCTCCTTTGCTCCTAGAGGCCTTTCCCCTTGTCATTCTACCTCGAGCCTGGGACAGGGGCATGGTGCTGTCACACGGAGGGTGATGCATGGAGGCACCTGGATTCCAGGCCTGGTTCTGCCTCTGACAAACCGGATTGCCCTCTCCAAAATTCAGTTATCCTATCTATAAAGAAAATAATCCTGCCTGTCAGGATCATTGTGAGGATGAAATCAGACAATGTATGAGAAAGTGCTTTGGAAACTTTACAGCTGGTCACCTATAAATGTGAGGCACTCAGGGAACAAAGTCCTCACCTGACCAAACCCTTGACCCCTCCCCAACAGGTGTATGAGGTGGTGCGGCCCCTTGTAAGACTCTTGGACACACAGAGGGATGGGCTTCAGAACTATGAGGCTCTCCTAGGCCTCACCAACCTGTCTGGGCGGAGTGACAAACTCCGGTGAGTGTGGTGAGTGTGGCAGGGGTGGAGAGAGGTGGCTCAAAAAGTGTTTGTTTGAAATTTCACATAATGTGCTGAGAATGCTCTTCTCTGAAGACAACACAAAGGCAAGGGGTGGGATTTGAGTTAGCACAAATCCACAAACCACACAGTGACTATACCAAAGCCAAAAAATGCTACAAGGCCCTTCTTTTTCTTTTCTTTTTTTTCTTTCCTTTTCTTTTCTTTTGTCTTTTCTTTTCTCTTCTCTTCTCTTTTCTTTCTTTTCTTTTCTTTTTTTCTTTCTTTTCTCTTTTCTTTTCTTATCAAGACCGAGTCTTGCTCTGTCGCCCAGGCTGGAGTACAGTGGCACTATCTCAGCTCACTGCACCCTCTGCCTCCAGGGCTGAAGCTATTTTCCAGCCTCAGCCTCTCGAGTAGCTGGGACTACAGGAGTACGCCACCATACCCAGCTAATTTTTGTATTTTTAGTAGAGACAGGGTTTCCCCATGTTGGCCAAGCTGGTCTCAAACTCGTGACCTCAGGTGATCTGCCCGCCTTGGTCTCCCAAAGTGCTTGGATTACAGGTGTGAGCCACCGCACCCAGCCAGCACTTCTTTCTACAGTAGTAATGATCACCATTCTAACTGGCGTGAGATGGTGTCTCATTGTGGTTTTGATTTGCATTTCTCTGATAACCAGTGATGATGAGCATTTTTTCATGTGTCTGTTGGCTGCATAAATGTCTTCTTTTGAGAAGTGTCTGTTCATATCCTTTGCCCACTTTTTGATGCGGTTGTTTTTTTCTTGTAAATTTGTTTAAGTTCTTTGTAGATTCTGGATATTAGCCCTTTTTCAGATGGGTAGATTGCAAAAATTTTCTCCCATTCTGTAGGTTGCCTGTTCATTCTGATGATAGTTTCTTTTGCTGTGCAGAAGCTCTTTAGTTTAATTAGATCCCATTTGTCAATTTTGGCTTTTGTTGCCATTGCTTTTGGTGTTTTAGTCATGAAGTCTTTGCCCATGCCTATGTCCTGAATGGTATTGCCTAGGTTTTCTTCTAGGGTTTTTATGGTTTTAGATCTTACATTTAAGTCTTTAATCCATCTTGAGTTAATTTTTGTATAAGGTGTAAGGAAGGGATCCAGTTTCAGCTTTCTACATATGGCTAGCTAGTTTTCCCAGCACTATTTATTAAATAGGGAATCCTTTCATCATTTCTTGTTTTTGTCAGGTTTGTCAAAGATCAGATGGTTGTAGATGTGTGGTGTTATTTCTGAGGCCTCTGTTCTGTTCCATTGGTCTATATATCTGTTTTGGTACCAGTACCATGCTGTTTTGGTTACTGTAGCCTTGTAGTATAGTTTGAAGTCAGGTAGCGTGATACCTGACCCTGATGATGCCTCCAGCTTTGTTCTTTTTGCTTAGGGTTGTCTTGGCTATGCCTGCTCTTTCTTGGTTCCATATGAACTTTAAAGTAGTTTTTTCCAATTCTGTGAAGAAAGTCATTGGTAGCTTCATGGGAATGGCATTGAATCCATAAACTATCTTGGGCAGTATGGCCATTTTCATGATATTGATTCTTCCAATCCATGAGCATGGAATGTTCTTCCATTTGTTTGTGTCCTCTTTTATTTTGTTGAGCAGTGGTTTGTAGTTCTCCTTGAAGAGGTCCTTCACATCCCTTGTAAATTGGATTCCTAGGTATTTTATTCTGTTGGTAGCAGTTGTGAATGGGAGTTCACTCATGATTTGGCTCTCAAGGATCTAGAACTAGAAATAACATTTGACCCAGCAATCCCATTGCTGGGTATATACCCAAAGGACTATAAATCATGCTACTATAAAGACACATGCACACGTATGTTTATTGTGGCACTATTCACAATAGCAAAGACTTGGAACCAACCCAAATGTCCATCAATGATAGATTGGATTAAGAAAATGTGACACATATGCACCATGGAATACTATGCAGCCATAAAAAAGGATGAGTTCATGTCCTTTGCAGGGACATAGATGAAACTGGAAACCATCATTCTGAGCAAACTACCACAAGGACAGAAAACCAAACACCGCATGTTCTCACTCGTAGGTGGGAGTTGAACAATGAGAACACATGGACACAGGGCGGGGAACATCACACACCGGGGCCTGTTGGGGGTGGGGAGCTGGGGGAGGGATAACATTAGGAGAAATACCCTAATGTAAATGACGAGTTGATGGGCGCAGCAAGCCAACATGGCACGCACATGTATACCTATGTAACAAACCTGCACGTTGTGCACATGTACCCTAGAACTTAAAGTATTAAAAAAAAAAAGATATCCAGGTGGATAGTGGGATAAAATGTATTCCTCTTTGGAAGCAGGAGTATGTCAGCATGTACTGGGTTGGGATTCTTTTGGTTGCCAGTAGCAGAAAACTTAACTATAATAGGCCTAAGCATAAAGGAAATTTATTGGCTCATGTAGATAAAAAGTCTGGGGTAACAAGATTCAGGTGTGGCTTGATGCAGGGCTTACAAAGCTGCCTTAGGTTCCTGTTCTCTCTGTCTCTCCTCTCCTTTCTGTATTGCTTTAATTCTCAATGGGCTTTTCTGCTCTCTCATGGTTATAAGGGCAGTTCTGGCCTTCACATCTTCTTGGATCTACATCCAGGATGAGAGAGAGAGAGAGAGAGAGAGAGAGAGAGAGAGAATTTCTTTACTGCAATAATACAGAGGCTCTCCAGTTGGGTGATATCCAGAACCCACTGCTGTGGCCAGGATGCCATGCTATACAATTTAGTTGAGGCCCATGGTGCCCCTCCTAGAGCTGGGGGCAGTGTGATGCCACATAAACCATGCTGGCTGAGGATGTGGGAAGGACAGCACCAGAATGGAAGAATGGTCCCTGGGTGGCCAGAAAACCCCTATGGTCACGGCAGAAGACTCAAGGGTCTTTCTTCCTCCACCCTCCTACCCTAGGCAGAAGATCTTTAAGGAGAGGGCCTTGCCAGACATCGAGAACTACATGTTTGAGAATCATGATCAGCTGCGGCAGGCGGCCACCGAGTGCATGTGCAACATGGTGCTCCACAAGGAGGTGAGGCAGGGGCTCAGGATGGAGACCCGGGCGTGATCAAGGCACGAGAGGCAGGCCAGGGTCAGGGCCTGGGGTGAGATCGGGAGCTCTTATGATGGCATTAAGGTAGCATTTTGGGCAGAAAATCCAGGAATCCCTAAATATTTCCTAGATTATAGCCCCCCTCCCTGTAGGGGCCCTGAGAGAAAGATATGCATAAAGGAAAAAATACAAAGCTGGGGCTTTCAATCCAGACCCTGGGCTAGATGAGGTGGAAGGCACCATTTCCCTAAGTTACTTAGGCCCAAATAACCTTAAAACAAAGCAGGATATGAGACCAGGGCCTCTCAGAGGTCAAGGAAGGCTAGACCACTTGCATTTATTGAAGCTCCACATATATAAAAAAAATGAAGAAATGCCAAATACAGTTATCAGCCATTTTAGGATGTCTCAAATGTCAGCATTTAATGAACTACCACTGTTCCCATAGAAATTGCAATGCAATATAACTGTACTCAGCACAGAATAATTACAGGGTTTATAAAAATAAAATGAATTCAGAACATGCCGTAGGCTTCATGGTCCAGTCATGGGACAAATGATACCCATCTGGTGAATGTCTTCTTCTCCCCATCCTGTCAGAGTACTGCTGTGACTGTATGTGTAATCTTATCAGAGATAACAGCAGGGTCTAAGTTTGAGGCCCTTCATTAACATGAGGGCCAAGCCGAATGTCCCTCCTGGGCCCTCACATAGGGGCTAGCGTGAGACCCAGTCTGTTTACCCTCAACACCTGAACCTTAGACCTTCTCACTGTTATAGGGGAAAACCTAACCCATTAAAGCCGATTAAAGGCCAGGTATGGTGGCTCATGTCTGCAATCCCAACATTTTGGGAGGCTGAGGTGGATGCGTCACTTGAAGTCAGGAATTCGAGACCAGCCTGGCCAACATGGCAAAACCCTGTCTCTACTAAAAGTACAAACATTAGCCAGGCATGGTGGTGGGTGCTTGTAATCCCAGCTACTCGGGAGCCTGAGACATGAGAATCACTTGAACTTGGGAGGCAGAGGTTACAGTGAGCCGAGATCATGCCACTGCACTCCAGCCTGGGTGACAAAGCAAGACTGCATCTCAAAAAAAAAAAAAAAAAAGCATATTAAAGTCAGGGGGAATGAAGCTACCAGGGTCTACCAGGGAACTGGCCTAAGGCTGGGCTGGGGGCCTGGCAGCCATAGGGGAGACAGAGAGTGTGTCCAAGGAGATGGGCGGGGAGGCTGAGAGGTTGAGAGAGGTAATGGGAGGAGGGAGGCAACCTTTCCTATGGGAGCACCGGCTGCTGCAACAACCCAAGTCAAAATGTTCAGTGGTCCCAATAGGATAGAAGTTCATTTCTTGCTCACCATGTCAAAGTCCTATTTGGATTGGGTGGCTCACTTTTTTTTTTTTTTCTGAGATGGAGTCTGGCTCTGTCACCCAGGGTAGAGTGCAGTGGTGTGATCTTAGCTCACTGCAACCTCCGCCTCCTGGGTTCAAGCAATTGTCCTGCCTCAGCCTCCCGAGTAACTGGGACTACAGGCGCGTGCCACCACCCCTGGCTAATCTTTTGTATTTTTAGTAGAGACGGGGTTTCACCATGTTAGCTAGGATGGTCTTGATCTCCTGACCTCGTGGTCTGCCTGCCTTGGCCTCCCAAAGTGCTGGGATTACAGGCGTGAGCCACCGCGCCCGGCCGGGTGGCTCACTTTCAAGCTGACTCAGGGATCCAGGCTTCTTTGATCATCAAGAACTGTCTTCTCCTCTGCCACACTGGGAGTGGATTCCATTCTGATGGTGAATGGGGAGACAGACTGAGGGAGAGGTGCCTGAAAGTGACACATCACTTCCACTCATGTTCCATCTATGAGAACTAGGCCACCACCACATCGAGATGTGAGAAATGGGGGAATGTAGTCCATGTAAGGGCAGCTGTGTCCCATGAGAGGGGGCCATGCTGACCCCTCTGATATATGGTGACCTCTGCCATGCTCTCACCTCCCATGACCACTGCTCCAGCTTCAGGGAGATGCAGGTAGAGGGTCACATCTGGGAAGCTGTGATCTTGGTCCCCTTTTGGAGTTCCACTTCTAGGAAACCTGGCCCAGTAGAATGCGCTGAGACTTGACCACCTAGATTTTACAGTAGTGCAGAGGGGTGAGGATGAGATGCTGTGAGGGGTTAATACCTCTCTGAGACATATCAGGGCACTGGTCCCCTGGAAGCTCTTCTCCTGGTTTTCAGATCGTTGGGAAGCCTCATCTCTCACCTGGTGGAGACGGCACTGTAGCTTTCTAATACCAAGCAAACCACATAATTGTTCCCTGCTTCTGCCCCAGTCCCTGCAAAATCATTTTATGGAAGACCCTGAAGGCCCATCCATTATGGGAGAAACCTTCCAATGTTCCCCAAAGGGATGGGAAATACAGTTCCTCAGGCATCATCTACCCTGCAGGAGTCTGTGCCTGCCTCCTTCCCCTGGTGTGGAGGCTGAATGCAAACAGAGGTGGTGAAGCACACTAGATGGGGAATTCCTTATTTTCTTTACTTGGAAGAATTTGTAGCCCCTTCATTCAACCAGTCAGGGAAGGCTTCTTGGGGGAGGTAGCATGAGTGACCTGCTCAAAGGGAAACTCTAAGAGATCTTGGGTCAGAGAACTTCAGATGTATCTTTCCCTCTTCAGGCTGGGCAGATTGGGGACAGTTTTCTCTGAGCCATGTTCCTGCCTCCCACAGGTACAGGAAAGGTTCTTGGCTGACGGGAATGACCGGCTGAAGCTGGTGGTGCTGCTCTGCGGGGAGGATGATGATAAGGTGCAGAATGCGGCTGCAGGGGCTCTGGCCATGCTGACAGCAGCACACAAGAAACTGTGCCTCAAGATGACTCAAGTGGTAAGAGCTGGCCCTGGGGATAGGACGGGCTGGGTGGCTCCAGGGAATCTCCCCACCCACAGACCACACTGGATGATCCTCTGGGGAGGCCAACTCCTAAAGAAACCCCTCGCAGCCCCCAGGCTTCTGTTCCTACTGCCTAAGGAGAGGAGGGTTTATTCACTTCAGTGCCTTACATTCATTATTTGGTCTTCCCAAGTGTGCTAGCTCAAACCCTCCCACTGGAGTTTCACCCATTACCTTTAGTGGTGCATATACCTCATTGCTTAAGAACAATAGCAATGCTAACCACTGCCATGGAGCTCCAGAGCTTCCCAAGAGAAGCACGGATGTGGTTGGGATGCCATAAGGAGCTTATGGTTTGGCAAAAAAGCTGCAGATTCTCTTAAGTGGGCACAATGACCAGCTCCTATGAGACTGTGGCCATTGCAGCAGGTGTAATGGAAATGATATCTGTATAGTCACAAACGTGGGAGTGCACAATGAAACTTTCCTTATTTCACCAAACTGAAGAGTTTGTGGGCACTCATCTCTCCCCATGGTGAAAAATGTGGACATCTCAATTCAAAGGTGTTCATGTCTGTTTTAAAGGCAGGCTCTTCTAGATAGTCAGTGTAAGGTATGTGTGTATCAGCGGGTGTGTTCTCTAAGTTCCAAGGGGGGTTACGTTGTCCTGGCATCTGGCAAGGGTGTATCTGCTGAATGTAGCTCATCCTGCATGGTCTTTGGACTTCAGCTTCTTTCTCTAAGGCAAGCTTCTCAAAACTGTAATGTGTGTAAGAATCACCTGGGCAACTTGTTAGAACAGTTTCCCAACGTGTTCTGATTTAGTAGATTGGGGGTGGGAGGCTAACAGCTTGGAGACCACACTTTGAAACCGCTGCCCTAGAGCAGCCTCTGCTGGTGTCACTGGTCACATAACTCTTGTTGCAGGTCCTCACAGGACCCTCTGTGACTCCTTGCACTTACTGAGTGCCAGGTGTTGCCCTAAGTGTTTACATTTATTAAGTCATTTAATTCTCCCAACCACCGTGTGAGGTGGATATTATTATTGTCATCATCCCTATTTTACAAATGAGGAAACTGAGGTGCAGAAAAGCAACTAGCCCAAGGCCACGCAGGCTGTTAGTTGGGAAGGGATTGGGACCCTTCAGGATTGCCAACCCACTCCTGGCCACTTTGTCGGTCTTCCTTGCGGGGCTCAGACATCTTGGCTGCATTTTTGTTCTGACATGGGGCTTCCTGGGGACTCTGTGAAGCTGCTCAGACTCATCTTTTGTGCCACCCCATGGCCATGTTGGATGCTGGACATCTCTACAGTCTCATGTCATCTGGGCTATGCCCTGGGCTATGCTTCCTGCTCTGGAATCCTATCCTTGTTGAGTTTCTATCACTGCTTCCTTTGACCTTCGGTGACTCATCCCAGGGAGCGATGGGCCCTGGACCCATTATCAGTTACACTTCAGCGTAGAAACTTTCCAGCATAGAACCGTGCCACAGCTAGCTGAGCTTTCATGTTCTTTCCTTGGGATAGGACATTCAGTGCAGTTTACAAAAGTTGGGTTAGATGCTCAAAAGCCAAGAATTTGCCTTTTCTTCCCCCCGTGTCTGTCTACCCATGTGCTTGTGGAAAGTGAGCCCTGCTGACAAATGCCAGGTGAGGGTAACAGGTACAAAGAAGCCCAAGGGAAAACCTTTGCATTGGTGTTTTTTTTTAATTTATTTTTATTTTTATTTTTTTTTGAGACACAGTCTTGCTCTTTTGCCCAGGCTGGAGTGCAGTGGTACAATCTTGGCTCACTGCAACTTCCACCTCCTGGGTTCAAGCGATTCTCCTGCCTCAGCCTTCCTAGTGGCTGGGATTACAGGCGTGCACCACCATGCCTGGCTAATTTTTGTATTTTTAGTAGAGAGGGGGTTTCCCCATGTTGGCCAGGCTGGTCTCAAACTCCTGACCTCATGCTCCGCCTGCCTCGGCCTCCCAAAGTGCTGGGATTACAGGCATGAGCCACCGCACCTGGCCTGGGTTGGTGTCTTAAATCATCACGTACTTGCCCTGCATCCACTTCTACTTGTTGAGCACTTACTGTGCTCCAGCCTCCATACTAAGCTCTTTCCATGTATCATCTCATTAAATCACCACAATGTTAGAGGAAGGTATAGAAGATGACCCTGAGGCTTACAGAGGTTAAATAACTTAGCTGAGGCCATATGGTTGGTAGCGTGACCATAACTAAGTTATGCTGATTCCTTTAGTCCTTTTGTTTTTGTTCATTTTCTGTTGCTATAACAGAATACCTCAGACTAGGTAAAAGAAAAGAGCTTCATTTTGGTTCACAGCTCAGGAGGGTGGGAAGTCCAAGATGAGACAGTGTCATCTGATTTGCTTTTGGTGAAGGTCTTGTGCTGTGTCATAGCATGATTTAGAAGCAGAAGGGGAAGTGTGTGTGTGTGAAAAGGATAAAACACAAGAGGTGGCAATTGGGGCCGTGAGTGGCTCTCATGATTACTAGTCTAGTCCCTTGAGAGCAAGAACTCACTGCTGCAAGAATTAACACATTCCTGTGACAGCAACATTAATTCCTCTTAATGACCTAATTACCTCTTAAAGGACCCACCTCCTAACATTGCCACACCAGGGACCACATTTCCAACACATGAACTCTGGGGACACACTCAAACCTAGCACCTTCCTTACCTTTTTCCCTGCCTCCAGACAACCCAGTGGTTGGAGATCCTCCAGCGGCTTTGCCTGCACGACCAGCTGTCTGTCCAACACCGGGGCCTGGTCATTGCCTACAACCTACTGGCAGCCGATGCTGAGCTGGCCAAGAAGCTGGTGGAGAGTGAGCTGCTGGAGATCCTGACTGTGGTGGGCAAACAGGAGCCAGATGAGAAGAAGGCAGAAGTGGTTCAGACAGCCCGAGAATGTCTCATCAAGTGCATGGATTATGGTTTCATTAAACCAGTGTCTTAGACAGCGACCCTCAGGGATGCTGGGAGTGGTCCTGTACTGTGCAGAGTCCTGGGTTGGTTGGGTTCTCCTGAAGAGTCAGGTCATCTAGGGATCATAGCAGTGACAATGAAGTCTCAATATAAAGGAAAGACTTGATTGTTCTCTGAGTTGTGAGTCTTCTCCTTTGTCCTGACAGAGTTTGGATGTTTCACTCTCTCTCTTGCTTCCTGTCTCCTTATATTTGTCATGTTTCAGAAATTCCCAGAATAATTTTCACCCATGATTAGAAATAGGTTGGATCATTCTTTCTGTACCCATTCTGAAGGCCAGGATAATAGGTTGAAGTTCTTTATATTTTGGAAAATGGATTTTGTGGTAAGGTAGGAACTAACGGGTGTGTGCATATAAAGGTTAATGCTGTTGTATTTGGATGCTGATCTGTGCTGTTTTCATGACCTCTCTCCCACACTATTTGAATCAGTCTGTTCAGAACTGTGTGTTTCACCTGCAGTGCTCTGTCCCAGTCCCATGCCCATTCCCATCACTTCACTGTGATGGAAATAGAGTTTATGTTCAACAGTGGGGCATGACCTCTGCAATTTGCTTGGGAAAGTCTTCCAAGCAAGATGGACATGATGAATACAAATAAGATCTACTCAAAGTACTTCAAACAAAAAATAAATAATTCATTGGCTCATGTATCTTGGCCACCCAGGGAAGGTCTGACATTGTTAGTTAGATCCAGAGTTTCAAATGTCATCACCATGGATGTGTCTTTTTCTCTCTCTCATTTCCCCTCCCCATATCTTGTCTTTTATTTATTATAGGTTTGTCTCATTCCCTGGCAGGCTCTCTCCCTGTGATAGGAAAGAGAGTCCCCAGCAGCCCCAGGGTGACATAGTTGTTATAGTTCATTATGGAATAGAAGAGAGAAGAGCATTCTCAATAACCCGGCAAAGTTCCCAGGGATGACTCTGATATGTCTATGTCTCAGGTCACATTTCCATCTATGAACCAATCATATTCAGAGGTGGAATGCTAATTGGCCAGGCCTGGGTCATATATACAAGTCTAGGGAAGAAATGAGCTTCATCCCTGTCCAATTGACATGGACTGATTAGGGGTATTAATGGAAGAGGTGTGCCACCACAAAAGAATGTACCCTGGGCAGATCAAAGAACATATTCTGTATGTCAGGCTTGGCCACAAAAGAATGACACAAGTAATATGCTGTAGATCAGAACCTCTCTGCTAATATTGCCTTTTTAGCATGGTTAAGATAGCTAAGATCTAGTACTGTCACTCCAGTATGTCCCAATTCTACCTACGTTTATTGAAGGGTCAACAGTTCTGATCTCAGCATTGGGTAAAGGGTGGGACATTCAGATTTACGGTCCTTGATAAAAACAATTTACAACGTTCCGTTGTGTAATAAATGTAAGTGTACATATGCCTGGGACATCAGCTGGAAAAGGGACAGACTATCAGAGAGTTGCACTGTTGCGGTATGGGCCAAATCCAACATAATACCCGCTGTACCTCTAGAGAACTAAAACCTTAATTTCTCAGATCTTTTCTGCACTAATGGTCTTTACATACAGCCTACATTTTAACTAACTCTTGCATGGGCTTGTTTCACAGCAGGAAACTATATTCATCATATCCTTATTATGATAGAGAATGACAACATTCAAAAGGGTGTGGTGCTTCTGAAAATATACACAATAAATGGCATGATTTGACCTCTGTCAAATTCTTCTTTCCTGCTTTCCTCATATGTGGGCTTGAGTGGGTGTATTTAGCTCCTTTAAAGGAAACTCTTTCACAGGCAGGGCCACACTCTTACTCGTTTTGATCTCATGAGGTTACATCTGCCAGTGGCGTTCAGGGCCAGTTAGATAAAGTTCATCTTGTTTGGATTGGAGAGACTTTTTTTTTTTTTTTTTTTGAGACAGGGTCTTGCTCTGTAACCTAGGCTCAAGTGCAGTGCAGTGGTGCAGTCATGGCTCACCGCAGCCTTGGTCTCCTGGGCTCAAGTGATCTTTCTACTTCAGCCTCCTCAATAGCTGGGACTACAGGCACACACCACCACCCCCAGGTAATTAAAAAATTTTTTTTTGTAGAGACAGGGTCTCACTATGTTGCCCAGTCTGGGAGACCACATTCTTTAACATGAATATTTTGTAAATAGTCCAAGAAGATCTAGAGGAAAGCTGAATTCCTTCATCTGATTTTTGCCACTGGGCTGCCTCCCATTGTCTGGCTAAGTCTTCATGGGAGGCCTTTAAGAAAAGCTGTGACAAATACCTTTGTTTCCCACTGCCTAGGTTACATAAGTAGTTGGCTTTTCCAGCCTAGACTCTTATATTGTTGCTTGTAAGAGGGCCCTTCTTTGCAGATTTCTTTTTTTTTTCATCTATGCTTTCAAATAGGCAGATGCTAGCCTGAGATCATCTCTTTATTGAGGTAGTTTGCCCAAAAACAGCAAGGAACAGCCAATACCTGCCAACTTTCTAGGTTTTTCCAACCAATTCTCTTACAGAAAATCTATAAATATCTTAGAGGTATGTTTCTTAGTTTCCCAACATATAATGGGAAAATTCATCATTTATATTATTACTTTTAACTGAAGTATGTTGTTATCAGAGAACTTGGTCTGTGTCATATTAATCCTTTGCCATTTGAGAAGCATACAGTTTTAAAGTTTATATCTCCAAAAGGATATTTTGTAAAAATTTAACCCCTTTGACTCTTAGTCTTCTCATTTGTGAAAGGTAAATAATAAAGAATTTCTGTTCCTAGTAAGAGTAACTTGTGGCAAAACAATACCATGACATACAAAAATTGAAAAACTGGGCAAAACTTAAACAATCTGTTTAAGGCACCGAGAGCCATTAAGGCAGTGAGACCAACAAAAAGGGAAGCACCAAGGAGGAAGCTTAACTTTTTGGTAAAGTTGATTCCATTTGGGATGTTTGCCAATTTGTTAGCAGAGGTTGTGAGTCACAGAGGTTTAAGTGTCTGAGACACCATTTACTAAACTGTTAAAAGAAGAAATAGAAAATTTGAATAGTATGATACCTATTGGAGAAATTACGTTTGTAATAACAACAACGATGGTAAGGAAAGCCTTCCCACAAAGAAAACTCAGGCCCATTTAGTTTCACTGGTGAATTCTACAGGCATTTAAGAAAGAAACAATGCCATTCTTTTGTTTTCTTTTGTTTTTCGAGACAGGGTCTCACTCTGTCACCCAGGCTGGAGTGCAGTGGCGTGATCACGGCTCACTGCAGCTTCAACCTCCTGGGCTCAAGCGATCCTCCCACTCAGTCTCCTGAGTAGCTGATATTCACTGTTAGTCCTCCAACTTAATGTTTTTTTCTTTTCCTTTTTAAAAACTTTTTTTTTATATAGAAATGGAGATTCACTATGATATTATAGGTGCATCAAGTATTTTTATTTTTTATTTTTTGTAAAGACCAGGCTGGTCTTGAACTCCTGGGCTCAAATAATCCTCTCACCTCAGCCTCGCAAAGCGTTGGGATTACAGGTGTGTGCCACCGCGTCTGGCCAAAACAGTACCAGTCTTATGCAAACCCTTCCAAAGAAGATAAAAGAAAGGACACTTTCAGCTCTTTTTATGAGGATAGCTTGATAGCAAAACTTAACAAAGACATATAGGAAAATTGTAGACCAGTATCTTTTATGACTATAGGTACAAAATCCTTTACTAAATACTAGCACCCCAAATCCACCAATATATAAAAAGATAACACATTAATCAAGTTATGTTTATTCTAAGAACAATAAGTTGGTTAATATGAGACTATCAACCAATATAATGTACTACATCAACAGAATAAAGAATAAAATAATGACTATCTCAATAGACGTAAGAAAAGTTTTTGATAAAATTCAGTAACAATTCATGATAAAACTCTTCAGTAAACTAAAAATAGAAAGAAGCTTCCTTAATGTGATAAAGTTTATCTGTATAAAATCTATAGCCACTGTGATATTTAATTATCCCGAGATTAAGAATGAGATAACAGTACTTGCTATTACCAATTGTATTCAACTTTGTACCGAAGAGCGTAGCTAGTACAAAAAGGCAAGAAAAGGCAATGAAAATCATAAAATTGGCCAAACGTGACAGCTGTTACAATGGCAGGTTACAGGTTAGCCAAGCGGGAGGCAGACATGTGTTTCAGGGGAGGGGAAGGCTATTTCCACCATATGCAAGTGGATGCTGCATTGGACACTGATGGGCAGAACCATCATGCTGGAAAATAATTTTTTATTTTCATGACAGCCTACCATTGAATTTACAATTCTGATATTAATGAAATATCTCTATAAAGGGTTGAAGTGTCTTCCTGCAACAATTGCCAAGGAACAAAATTGTCAATTTATTAATGAAACATGACGTGTGTTGAACAAGACAAGCTGGGTCAAGCATTTGAGGATGCTTTTGAGGCACTGAGGCAACATTCAACTGGAGATCTTTAGTACTCGCCAGATTACAAAAATTACCTGGCTTTAATCAATTATTGTCCTCACGTCAAAGGAAATTCCAGCTGCTATGGAGTGTTGCCTACAGAGGAACCTCTCTGTAATTGGAGAACGGTAATCAACAGTGCTGCGGACTTCTATTTTGAAGGAAACATTCATCAGTCTCTGCAGAACATAACTGAAAACCAGCTGGTACAACCCACTATTCTCCAGCAAAAGTGGGGAAAAGGCAGGAAGAAGCTTAGACTGTTTGAATACCTTCACGAATCCCTGTGTAATCCGGAGATGGCACCTTGTATTCAGTGGGTAGATAAAATCAAAGGCATCTTTCCGTTTGTATCAAAAAACAAAGGAAAACTTGCCGAGCTTTGGCGGAAAAGAAAAGGCCGTTGGAAGACCATGACTTATCAGAAAATGGCCAGGGCACTGAGAAATTATGGAAGAAGTGAGGAAATTACCAAAATCCGGAGGAAGCTGACTTACCAGTTCAGTTAGGCCACTCTCCAAAGACTCTCTCCATCTTATTTCTTGGGGAAAGAGATCTTTCCCCAAGTGTGTTAAACCTGATCAGGAATATCTCAGTTTAAATAACTGGAATGCAAATTATAATTATACATATGCCAATTACCATGAGCTAAATCACCATGATTGCTAAATATACTCTCATATTTCATGGTTTCCTGGCATTGGAAGTCCCTACAGTTTTAAGGATTTCTCACTCTCTGTCTCTTTTTTCCTTCCTCTGAAGGAGTTTAGGATTTTTCTCTTAAAGCAAACACTAAAGAGAAAAAAAACCAAGTAACTTTATTTGCTGCTTTTATCAAAGAGCATGTAATCTATACTAACTCAGTGGGAAATTCTGCCAATGAGCAGCTTTTTTTTTAATACTCTATGAAGATTCAATGAAAAACTTTATTGTTTCAAATGATTAAGTCCATTTGAAACTATAGACTAAATGTCCTTGCTCTGCTCTTACTATTCTCTCTAATTTTTTTATTTTATTATTTTTTAAAAGAGGTCTCAGCCAAGACAATTTTAAATTTTTATGGATTTAGGAGTACAAGTGCAGTTTTGTTGCATGGATACATTGCGTAGTGGTAAAGCATATTGCATAGCATCCTCATCATCAGAATAGTGAACATTGTACCCAATAGGTAGGATTTCATCCCTCATCCCCCACCCATCTGCCCACCTTTTGGAGCCTCCGGTGTCTATTACTCCACTCTGTATGTCCATTGCTAAGCCCCCAACTATACTCATTTTATTTTATTTTAAAACTTGTTTTCTTTTTCTGCATACTTCAATGGATGCAAACTCTTTTCATTTTTTCTTTTCCTTTCACAGACAGTGACTTCATTTTTTTTTTTTTTTTTTGCTGCTAACTCCCAAGCACAACACAGTGACTTATGTTTTTAATTTTTTTAAGAGGCAAAGCCTACCTCTGAAGCTCCTTTTTTTTTTCTTTTCCTACTTCAATAAGCTGGTCTACATTCTTACTCTTCTCTATGCAACCACTTTCTTCTAGATTAACAGTGCTAGTACAGATGATTTGATTTATACATTGATTTCAGCATTTTCTTTTCATGTACTCAGGTGAGGAAAATCACTCTTTTATATCCAATGACTTTACAAAAAATCATTTACAAAGAAGTGACTGCATATGATAAAATATTTGTGCCAAAATAAATTCATGGCTTTTAAAATGTCATAGAAATGTCTATTCAGGTATCTTTTTTTTTTTTTTTCACATTCACTGTAATCCTTGTTTGATGTCAATGTCACGTCACCACCCCAAGCGGGGGGCACAAGCACGAGGAAAGGAAACCTTCCCCGTGAGGGGAGGGGTGGGGAGGCACGCTTCCCTCCCCCAGCGCAGCTGCTGGCTCTGTCTTTGCCGGAACACTCCAGCCCCAATGCTCTTCTCTTTGCTGCTGAGTGAAGTCCTCCCCATGGCCCACGGCCTCCCTGCCTCAGCCCTTTGGATCTGCTCCTCAGACTTTACCCCTTAGTTATGCCCTGATTCTAGGACCCAGCCTGGACTCCACATCCCTTGGTCCCAGGCTGGCCCCAGGTCTTCCACGTAGTCCCTCTCCACCAAGTCCCCAAGTCACCCTTGACTCTGAGAGGTATCCCTCTCCCACACCAGTTCTTTTCCAGTCACTTCTCCTCCCATGTTTGTCTTCAGTCTTTGCCTTTATTTATCCCTGTCCCTCCCAACCCCCGGGCTCCCAAGTTCTATCTCACTCCTCCACCCTCCCTGTCCTCTCACAGCTGAGGTTCTGGGCTGTAATGATGGCAATGCTGCCCAGCACAACCCCTGCCGCCACGATGTCAGAAGGTGCCACAGTCTCATGGAGCATATAATACTGCAGTATAAGGGCCACAACCACCTCGGAATGTAGGACAGCGCACACCAGGGCAGGGTGGGCCTTGGTGACCGCATAGCCCACACATGTGAAGGAGACCAAGGCGAGGATCCCCACTGCCCCCACACAACTCCAACTCAGGAGGTCACTGGGCAACACGGGGGCCTGCAGCACAAAGAGGCCTGGCACAGAGCCCAGCAGCCCCACCAAGCCAGATAGGAAGGCCACTGTTGGGAGGCAGGGGGGAAAGTGCAGAGAACGATAGACCAGAAGCCTCAGGGACAGCGCCAGGCCTCCCAGGAAAGCCTCCACATAGCCCAGGGCGGTGTAGACACCCGTGGTCCCCTCCTGTAGTGTCCAGAGTCCAGGTCCCACAATGATGATTAGTCCTAGGATGCAGCCCAACAGTCCACACCAGTCGTAGCCACTGAGACCCTGGCTCTCAAGGCAGAGAGTGAGGACGGCGGAGCAGACGGTGGAAGAACCTTTGCGAACAGTGGCAGCGTTGCCAGCGGGCACCACCTGAACCGCACTGTAGGCACATCCAATGCTGAGGATGTTGAGCAGGGCACAGAAGAAGGCCCGGCTTCGGATGTCAGGAGTTCCCAGAAGGGGGTCGCCACGCAGTTTAAGTAGCAGGGCAATAGGGAGGTGGAAGAGGCATCGCCAGATGAGCAGCTCCAGCGAGGGCAGGTTGGAAGCCTGGTAAGCCATACGAGAAAGGGGGCCCACGAAGCCAGCAGGCAGGCCCCCACCCAGCAGGGCCACCAGCAGGCCACTGGTGGCATCAGAGGGCTGGCAGCGCTGGTACCAGCGGAGGCTGGGTGGAGCGGAGGGCGGCGATGGGTGTGTGGAGTCAGGCTGGTTGAAATAGGGGTGACTGCCAGCCATCTTTCCTTGGACTTTCTCCTCTCCTCCTGGCTCAGGGAGCCTGGGCCCCTCAGAGCTCCAGCCATTGTGACCTCATTGGAGTGGGGGTGGGATTCTTCCCTGGAACTCTCCTGAGGTGGTAGCACGCCTATTTTCCCACTGAGTCCAACTCTGCTTCTTTTCTTTCTTTTTTTGTTTTTTGTTTTTTTTTATTGATCATTCTTGGGTGTTTCTCGCAGAGGGGGATTTGGCAGGGTCATAGGACAATAGTGGAGGGAAGGTCAGCAGATAAACAAGTGAACAAAGGTCTCTGGTTTTCCTAGGCAGAGGACCCTGCGGCCTTCTGCAGTGTTTGTGTCCCTGGGTACTTGAGATTAGGGAGTGGTGATGACTCTTAACGAGCATGCTGCCTTCAAGCATCTGTTTAACAAAGCACATCTTGCACCGCCCTTAATCCATTTAACCCTGAGTGGACACAGCACATGCCCCAGAGAGCACAGGGCTGGGGGCAAGGTCACAGATCAACAGCATCCCAAGGCAGAAGAACCCTTCCCAGTACAGAACAAAATGAAGTCTCCCATGTCTACTTCTTTCTACACAGACACAGCAACAATCTGATTTCTCTATCTTTTCCCCACCTTTCCCCCTTTTCTATTCCACAAAACCACCACCGTCATCATGGCCCGTTCTCAATGAGCTGTTGGGTACACCTCCCAGACGGGGTGGTGGCCGGGCAGAGGGGCTCCTCACTTCCCAGAAGGGGCGGCCGGGCAGCGGTGCCCCCCACCTCCCGGACGGGGCAGCGGCCGGGCGGGGGCTGACCCCCCACCTCCCTCCCAGACGGGGCAGCTTGCCCGGCGGGGGCTGCCCCCCACCTCCCTCCTGGACGGGGCGGCTGCCGGGCAGAGAAGCTCCTCACTTCCCAGACGGGGCGGCTGCCGGGTGGAGGGGCTCCTCACTTCTCAGACGGGGCGGCTGCCGGGCGGAGGGGCTCCTCACTTCTCAGATGGGGCAGCTGCGGGGCGGAGGGGCTCCTCACTTCTCAGATGGGGCGGCCGGGCAGAGACGCTCCTCACCTCCCAGATGGGGTCGCGGCCAGGCAGAGGCGCTCCCCACATCTCAGACGATGGGCCCCCGGGCAGAGACGCTCCTCACTTCCTAGACGGGATGGCGGCCGGGAAGAGGCGCTCCTCACTTCCTAGATGGGATGGCGGCCGGGAAGAGGCGCTCCTCACTTCCCAGACTGGGCAGCCGGGCAGAGGGGCTCCTCACATCCCAGACAATGGGCGGCCAGGCGGAGACGCTCCTCACTTCCCAGGCGGGGTGGCGGCTGGGCAGAGGCTGCAATCTCGGCACTTTGGGAGGCCAAGGCAGGCGGCTGGGAGGTGGAGGTTGTAGCTAGCCGAGATCACGCCACTGCTCTCCAGCCTGGGCAACATTGAGCACTGAGTGAATGAGACTCCGTCTGCAATCCCGGCACCTCGGGAGGCCGAGGTTGGCAGATCACTCGTGGTTAGGAGCTGGAGACCAGCCTGGCCAACACAGCGAAACCCCGTCTCCACCAAAAAAATACGAAAACCAGTCAGGCGTGGCGGTGCGCACCTGCAATCGCAGGCTGAGGCAGGAGAATCAGGCAGGGAGGTTGCAGTGAGCCGAGATGGCAGCAGTACAGTCCAGCTTCGGCTCCGCATCAGAGGGAGACCGTGGAAAGACAGGGAAACGGAGACCGTGGGGAGAGGGAGAGGGAGAGGGAGAGCTCAGGTATCTTATACATTGTTTTCTTTCCTTCTCTTCTTTTGATCTTACCCACTTTTTTTTACAACTTAAAGCTTTTTTTTTTTTTTTTTTTTTTGAGACAGGGTCTCGCTCTCTCACCCAGGCTCAAGTGCAGTGACACAAACATGGCTCAAGCCCAGCTAATTTTTTTTTTTTTTTTGTAGAGACAGTGTTTTATTATGTTGCCCAGGCTAGTCTTGAACTCCTGGGCTCAGGCAATCTGCCCACCTTGGCCTTCGAAAGTGCTGGGATTACAGGTGTGAGTGACCAGACTGGTCCCAAAACTTTTTTAATGTTTAAATTTTACCACTATACTAAGGAGGAGTTACCCATCTTTTAATTGCCTTTTTTTCTTCTTATTAGGGAGGGGTAAGGAAGAAGACTTGGTCAGCAGAAAGCAGGTCTTAATTGCTTTTTTGTTTTGTTTTGTTGCTATTGAGTTGTTTGAGCTCTTTATATGTGTTGGATATTAACCCCTTATCAGATGTCTGGCTTGCAAATATTTTCTCCCATTCCATAGGTTATCTCTTTACTCTGTTGATTGTTTGCTGTGCAGAAGGTTTTTAGTTTGTTTGTTTTAGCTACACATCATGAACCAAGAAGCTTTTTACTTTGATATGATACCATTTGTCTATATTTAATTTTGTTGTCTGTGCTTTTGGGAACAAATCCAAAAAATCATTACCCAGACCAATGTCTTGTATGTTTCCCCTATGTTTTCTTTCTTTTTTTTTTTTTTTTTTAAAGGAGGCTGTCAGCTGATCCCCTATGTTTTCTTCTAGCAGTTTTAGGTTCTTGGTCTTAAAGGTCTCTTTTTTTTCTTTCTTTCCTTTTTTTTTTTTTTTTTTTTTTTTTGTTGGCAATTTTCCTGAGCAAACTAATGCAGGAATGTTTAAGTATGTAATCCATTTTGAACTAACTTTTGTATATGGTGTTGAAATAAGGGTCCAATTTTCTTTTTCTGCATGTGGAAATTCAGTTTTCCCTACACCATTTATTGAAAAAAGCGGTCTTTTTCTTCTTGGCATATTTGTTGAAAATCAGATTCATCTCTGGGCTTTCTATTCTGTTCCATTGGTTGATGTGTCTTTTTCTTTTTTGCCAATTCCATGCTGTTTTACACTTACTTGATCTTAGCCAAAAGGCAGAGAAGCGATTATTTCATACTATTTTAATTAGTATAGCTTTGTAGTATAGTTTAAAATCAGATAGTGTGATACCTCCAGTTTTTTCAACTTCAGAGAGCTCTGAAGCAAATATCTCCAGCTTTTTTTCTTTTTGCTCACGATTGCCTTGGCTTTTTTTTTTTTTTTTTTTTTGCAGTTTTGTATGAATTTTAATGTTTTTTGTTTTTTTTTGAGGCATGGTTTCATTCTCTTTCCCAGGCTGGAATGAATGTCACAATCATGGCTCACTGCAGCCTCAAACTCCTGAGCCCAAACAAGCAATCCTCCTACCTCAGCTCCTGGAGTAGCTGGTACCTCAGGCATGCATTGACAAACCTGGTAAAAAAATTTTTTTTTTTTTGGTAGAGGTGAACTCCTCGGCTCAAGCAGTTCTTCCACCTTGGCCTCCCAAAGTGCCAGGATTACAGGCTAGAATTTTTTTCTATTTCTATAAGAAATGATGTTGGGATTTTCTTTTTCTTTCTTTCTTTCTTTTTTTTTTTTTTACTATAAGTTTTAGGGTACATGTGCAAAATGTGCAGGTTTGTTACATATGTATACATGTGCCATGTTGGTGTGCTGCAGCCATTAACTCGTCATTTAACATTAGGTATATCTCCATGCTATCCCTCCCCCCTCCCCCCACCCCACAACAGGCCCCGGTGTGTGATGTTCCCCTTCCTGTGTCCATGTGTTCTCATTGTTCAATTCCCACCTATGAGTGAGAACATGCAGTGTTCGGTTTTTTGTCCTTGCAATAGTTTGCTGAGAATGATGGTTTCCAGCTTCATCCATGTCCCTACAGAGGACATGAACTCATCATTTTTTATGGCTGCATAGTACTACATGGTGTATATGTGACACATTTTCTTAATCCAGTCTATCATTGTTGGATATTTGGGTTAGTTCCAAGTCTTTGCTATTGTGAATAGTGCCACAATAAGCATACATGTGCATGTGTCTTTATAGCAGCATTATGTATAATCCTTTGGGTATATTACCAGTAATGGGATGGCTGGGTCAAATGGTATTTCTAGTTCTAGATCCCTGAGGAATCGCCACACTGACTTCCACAATGGTTGAACTAGTTTACAGTCCCACCAACAGTGTAAAAGTGTTCCTATTTTTCCACATCCTCTCCAGCACCTGTCGTTTCCTGACTTTTTAATGATCGCCATTCTAACTGGTGTGAGATGATATCTCATTGTGGTTTTGATTTGCATTTCTCTGATGGCCAGTGATGATGAGCATTTTTTCATGTATCTTTTGGCTGCATAAATGTCTTCTTTTGAGAAGTGTCTGTTCATATCCTTCACCCACTTGTTGATGGGGTTGTTTGTTTTTGTCTTGTAAATTTGTTTGAGTTCATTATAGATTCTGGATATTAGCCCTTTGTCAGATGGGTAGATTGCAAAAATTTTCTCCCATTCTGTAGGTTGCCTGTTCACTCTGATGGTAGTTTCTTTTGCTGTGCAGAAGCTCTTTAGTTTAATTAGATCCCATTTGTCAATTTTGGCTTTTGTTGCCATTGCTTTTGGTGTTTTAGACAAAAGTCCTTGCCCATGCCTATGTCCTGAATGGTATTGCCTAGGTTTTCTTCTAGGGTTTTTATGGTTTTAGGTCTAACATTTAAGTCTTTAATCCATCTTGAATTAATTTTTGTATAAGGTGTAAGGAAGGGATCCAGTTTCAGCTTTCTACATATGGCTAGCCAGTTTTCCCAGCACCATTGATTAAATAGGGAATACTTTCCCCATTTCTTGTTTTTGTCAGGTTCGTCAAAGATCAGATAGTTGTAGATATGTGGCATTATTTCTGAGGGCTCTGTTCTGTTCCATTGGTCTATATCTCTGTTTTGGTACAAGTACCATGCTGTTTTGGTTACTGTAGCCTTGTAGTATAGTTTGAAGTCAGGTAGTGTGATGCCTCCAGCTTTGTTCTTTTGGCTTAGGATTTACTTGGCAATGCGGGCTCTTTTTTGGTTCCATATGTGTTGCGGGAAGTCAGGGGCCCCAAATGGAGGGACCGGCTGAAGCCATGGCAGAACGTGGATTGTGAAGATTTCATGGACATTTATTAGTTCCCCAAATTAATACTTTTATAATTTCCTATGCCTGTCTTTACTGCAATCTCTGAACATAAAATTGTGAAGATTTCATGGACAATTATCACTTCCCCAATCAATACCCTTGTGATTTCCTATGCCTGTCTTTACTTTAGTCTCTTAATCCTGTCATCTGGTAAGCCGAGGAGGATGTATGTTGCCTCAGGATCCTGTGATAATTGCGTTAACTGCACAAATTGTGGAGCATGTGTGTTTAAACAATATGAAATCTGGGCACCTTGATAAAAGAACAGGATAACAGCAATGTTTAGGAAACAAGAGAGATAACCTTAAACTCTGACCGCCAGTGAGCCGGGCGGAACAGAGCCATATTTCTCTTCTTTCAAAAGCAAATGGGAGAAATATTGCTGAATTCTTTTTCTCAGCAAGGAACATCCCTGGGAAAGAGAATATGTGCCTGGGGTTGGGTCTATAGATGGCCCCCTTGGGTGTGGCCATCTTCTATGGTCAAAACTGTAGGGGTGAAATAAACCCCAGTCTCCCATAGCGCTCCTAGGCTTATTAGGAAGAGGAAATTCCCACCTAATAAATTTCGGTTAGACCGGTTGCTCTCAAAACCCTGTCTCCTGATAAGAGGTTATCAATGGCAATGGTGCCCGAAACTTCATTAGCAATTTTAATTTTGCCCTGGTCCTGTGGTCCTGTGATCTTGCCCTGCCTCCATTTGCCTTGTGATATTCTATTACCTTGTGAAGTATGTGATCTCTGTGACCCACACCTATTCGTACACTCCCTCCCCTTTTGAAAGTCCCTAATAAAAACTTGCTGGTTTTGCGGCTTGTGGGGCATCATGGAACCTACCGACATAAGATGTCTCCCCCGGATGCCCAGCTTTAAAATTTCTCTCTTTTGTATTCTGTCCCTTTATTTCTCAACCCGGCCAACGCTTAGGGAAAATAGAAAAGAACCTATGTGACTATCGGGGCAGGTTCCCCGACACATATGAACTTTAAAGTAGTTTTTTCCAATTCTGTGAAGAAAGTCATTGGTAGCTTGATGGGGATGGCATTGAATCTGTAAATTACCTTGGGCAGTATGGCCATTTTCATGATATTGATTCTTCCTACCCATGAGCATGAAATGTTCTTCCATTTGTTTGTATCCTCTTTTATTTCCTTGAGCAGTGGTTTGCCTTGAGCAGTGGTTTGTAGTTCTCCTTGAAGAGGTCCTTCACATCCCTTGTAAGTTGGATTCCTAGGTATTTTATTCTTTTTGAAGCAATTGTGAATGGGAGTTCACTCATGATTTGGCTCTCTGTTTGTCTGTTATTGGTGTATAAGAATGCTTGTGATTTTTGCACATTGATTTTGTATCCTGAGACTTTGCTAAAGTTGCCTATCAGCTTAAGGAGATTTTGGGCTGAGACGATGGGGTTTTCTAGATATACAATCATGTCATCTGCAAACAGGGACAATTTGACTTCCTCTTTTCCTAATTGAATACCCTTTATTTCCTTCTCTTGCCTGATTGCCCTGACCAGAACTTACAACACTATGTTGAATAGGAGTGGTGAGAGAGGACATCCCTGTCTTGTGCCAGTTTTCAAAAGGAATGCTTCCAGTTTTTGCCCATTCAGTATGATATTGGCTGTGGGTTTGTCATAGATAGCTCTTATTATTTTGAGATACGTCCCATCAATACCTAATTTATCGAGAGTTTTTAGCATGAAGGGTTGTTGAATTTTGTCAAAGGCCTTTTCTGCATCTATTGAGATAATCGTGGTTTTTGTCGTTGGTTCTGTTTATATGCTGGATTATGTTTATTGATATGCATATGTTCAACCAGCCTTGCATCCCAGGGATGAAGACCACTTGATCATGATGGATAAGCTTTTTGATGTGCTGCTGGATTCGGTTTGCCAGTATTTTATTGAGGATTTTCACATCGATGTTCATCAGGGATATTGGTCTAAAACTCTCTTTTTTTGCTGTGTCTCTGCCAGGCTTTGGTATCAGGATGATGCTGGCCTCATAAAATGAGTTAGGGAGGATTCCCTCTTTTTCTATTGATTGGAATAGTTTCAGAAGGAATGGTACCAGCTCTGCCTTGTACCTCTGGTAGAATTCGGCTGTGAATCCACCTAGTCCTGGACTTTTTTTGGTTGGTAAGCTATTAATTATTGCCTTAGTTTCAGAGCCTGTTATTGGTCTATTCAGAGATTCTACTTCTTCCTGGTTTATCTTGGGAGGGTGTATGCATCAAGGAATTTGTCCATTTCTTCTAGATTTTCTAGTTTATTTGCATAGAGGTGTTTATAATATTCTCTGATGGTAGTTTGTATTTCTGTGGGATCGGTGGTGATATCCCCTTTATCATTTTTTATTGCATCTATTTGATTCTTCTCTCTTTTCTTCTTTATTAGTCTTGCTAGTGGTCTATCAATTGTGTTGATCTTTTCAAAAAACCAGCTCCTGGATTCATTGATTTTTTGAAGGGTTTTTTGTGTCTGTATTTCCTTCAGTTCTGCTCTGATCTTAGTTATTTCTTGCCTTCTGCTAGCTTTTGAATGTGTTTGCTCTTGCTTCTCTAGCTCTTTTAATTGTGATGTTAGGGTGTCAATTTTAGATCTTTCCTGCTTCCTCTTGTGGGCATTTAGTGCTATAAATTTCCCTCCACACACAGCTTTGAATGTGTCCCAGAGATTCTGGTATGTTGTGTCTTTGTTCTCGTTGGTTTCAAAGAACATCTTTATTTCTGTCTTCATTTTGTTGTGTACCCAGTAGTCATTCAGGAGCAGGTTGTTCAGTTTCCATGTAGTTGAGCGGTTTTGAGTGAGTTTCTTAATCCTGAGTTCTAGTTTGATTGCACTGTGGTCTGAGAGACAGTTTGTTATAATTTCTTTTCTTTTACATTTGCTGAGGAGTGCTTTACTTCCAACTATGTGGTCAATTTTGGAATAGGTGTGGTGTGGTGCTGAAAAGAAAGTATATTCTGTTGATTTGGGGTGGAGAGTTCTGTAGATGTCTATTAGCTCTGCTTGGTGCAGAGCTGAGTTCAATTCCTGGATATTCTTGTTAACTTTCTGTGTCATTGATCTGTCTAATGTTGACAGTGGGGTGTTAAAGTCTCCCATTATTATTGTGTGGGAGTCTAAGTCTCTTTGTAGGTCTCTAAGGACTTGCTTTATGAATCTGGGTGCTCCTGTATTGGGTGCATGTATATTTAGGATAATTAGCTCTTCTTGTTGAATTGATCCCTTTACCATTATGTAATGGCCTTCTTTGTCTCTTTTGATCTTTGTTGGTTTAAAGTCTGTTTTATCAGAGACTAGGATTACAACCCTGCCTTTTTTTGCTTTCCATTTGCTTGGTAGATCTTGCTCCATCCCTTTATTTTGAGCCTATGTGTGTCTCTGCACATGAGATGGGTCTCCTGAATACAGCACACTGATGGGTCTTGACTCTTTGTCCAATTTGCCAGTCTGTGTCTTTTAATTGGAGCATTTAGCCCATTTACATTTAAGGTTAATATTGTTATGTGTGAATTTGATCCTGTCATTATGATGTTAGCTGGTGATTTTGCTCGTTAGTTGATGCAGTTTCTTCCTAGCCTTGATGGTCTTTACAATTTGGCATGTTTTTGCAGTGGCTGGTGCCGGTTGTTCCTTTCCATGTTTAGTGCTTCCTTCAGGAGCTCTTGTAGGGCAGGCCTGGTGGTGACAAAATCTCTCAGCATTTGCTTCTCTGTAAAGTATTTTATTTCTCCTTCACTTATGAAGCTTAGTTTGCCTGGATATGAAATTCTGGGTTGAAAATTCTTTTCTTTAAGAATGTTGAATATTGGCCCCCACTCTCTTCTGGCTTGTAGAATTTCTGCTGAGAGATCAGCTGTTAGTCTGTTGGGCTTCCCCTTGTGGGTAATCCGACCTTTCTCTCTGGCTGCCCTTAACATTTTTTCCTTCATTTCAACTTTGGTGAATCTGACAATTATGTGTCTTGGAGTTGCTCTTCTCGAGGAGTATCTTTGTGGCATTCTCTGTATTTCCTGAATCTGAATATTGGCCTGCCTTGCTAGATTGGGGAAGTTCTCCTGGATAATATCCTGCAGAGTGTTTTCCAACTTGGTTCCATTCTCCCCATCACTTTCAGGTACACCAATCAGACATAGATTTGGTCTTTTCACATAGTCCCATATTTCTTGGAGGCTTTGTTAGTTTCTTTTTATTATTTTTTCTCTAAAATTCTCTTCTCACTTCATTTCATTCATTTGATATTCCATCACTGATACTCTTTCTTCCAGTTGATCGAGTTGGCTACTGAGGCTTGTGCATTCATCTCGTAGTTCTCTTGCGGTGGTTTTCAGCTCCATCGGGTCCTTTAAGGACTTCTCTGCATTGGTTATTCTAGTTAGCCATTTGTCTAATCTTTTTCCAAGGTTTTTAACTTCTTTGCCATGGGTTTGAACTTCCTCCTTTAGCTCGGAGTAGTTTGATCGTTGGAAGCCTTCTTCTCTCAACTCATCAAAGTCATTCTCCATCCAGCTTTGTTCCATTGCTGGTGAGGAACTGCATTCCTTTGGAGGAGGAGAGGCGCTCTGATTTTTAGAATTTTCAGTTTTTCTGCTCTGTTTTTTCCCCATCTTTGTGGTTTTATCTACCTTTGGTCTTTGATGATGGTGACATATAGATGGGGTTTTGGTGTGGATGTCCTTTCTGTTTGTTAGTTTTCCTTCTAACAGTCAGGACCATCAGCTGCTAGTCTGTTGGAGTTTGCTGGAGGTCCACTCCAGATGCTGTTTGCCTGGGTATCAGCAGTGGAGGCTGCAGAACAGCAGATATTGGTGAATAGCAAATGTTGCTGCCTGATCGTTCCTCTGGAAGCTTTGTCTCAGAGGAGTACCCGGCCGTGTGAGATGTCAGTCTGCCCCTACTGGGGGGTGCCTCCCACTTGGGCTACTCAGGGGTCAGGGACCCAGTTGAGGAGGCAGTCTGTCCGTTCTCAGATCTCCAGCTGCATGCTGGGAGAACCACTACTCTCTTCAAAGCTGTCAGACAGGGACATTTAAGTCTGCAGAGATTTCTGCTGCCTTTTGTTTGGCTATGCCCTGCCCTGGAGGTGGAGTCTACAGAGTCAGGCAGGCCTCCTTGAGCTGGGGTGGGCTCCACCCAGTTCGAGCTTCCCAGCCGCTTTGCTTACCTACTCAAGCCTTGGCAATGGCAGGCACCCCTCCCCCAGCCTCACTGCCACCTTGCAGTTTGATCTCAGACTGCTGTGCTAGCAATGAGGGAGGCTCCGTGGGCATAGGACCCTCCAAGTCATGCACAGGATACAATCTCCTGGTGTGCCGTTTGCTAAGACCGTTGGAAAAGCACAGTATTCGGGTGGGAGTGACCCGATTTTCCAGGTGCTGTCTGTCACCCTTTCCTTGGCTAGGAAAGGGAATTCTCTGACCCCTTGTGCTTTCCTGGTGAAGCAATGCCTCACCCTGCTTCGGCTCACGCTCGGTGCGCTGCACCCACTGTCCTGAATCCACTGTCCGACAATCCCCAGTGAGATGAACCCGGTACCGCAGTTGGAAATGCAGAAATCACCTGTCTTCTGCATCACTCACACTGGGGGCTGTAGACTGGAGCTGTTCCTATTCGGCCATCTTGGCTCCACCCTCGATGTTGGGATTTTCATAGGGATTGCATTGAATCTGCAGGTCACGTTGGGTAGCATGGATTTTAATACCTACCTGGCCAATTTATTCCTAAGTTTTTTTATTTTTTTGTAGGTATTGTGAATGTGATTGTTCCCTTTATTTCTTTTTTTGTATAGTTTGTTGTTATCTCTTTTTTTCTTTTTTTTCACAAGCCTAGGTTCCAGAAAGTCTGTTGTTAGTGTATAGAAATGCTACTGATTTTTATTTCTTTTTTTCTTGTAAATTTTTAACACATTGACACTAATCAAAAGCAAGCTGCTGATTTTTTTGTGTGTTGATTTTGTATCTTGCAACTTTACTGTATTCACATATTAGTCCTAACAACTATTTTGCTAAAGTCTATAGGATTTTCCATATATAAGATCATGCCATCAACAAACATTGGCAATTTCATTTCTTTTCCTATTTGGATGCCTTTTATTTCTTTTTCTTGCCTAATTGCTCTAGAAAGAACTTCAATCCCATGTTGAACAGAAGTGGGAGAGTAGGTGCTATGGTTTGATATGATTTGTTTGACTACCAAGTCTCATTTTATAATTTGATTCCCATTGTTAAAGGTGGGGCCTGGTGGGAGGTGTTTGGATAATGGGACAGATCCCTTATGAATAGGTTAGTGTTATCTTTGCAATAATGAGTCAGTTCTCACTCTTAGTTTTTACAAGAGCTGATTTTTTAAAATTTTGTTTATAAATTCACTTTTCTTTTTTTTAAGACAGTGTCTCATTCTGTTGCCGAGGCTGGAGTGCAGTGGCATGAGCATAACTCACTGCAGTCTTGACCTCCTGGGCTCAAGCAATCCTCCCACCTCAGTCTCCCATGTAGTTTGGACCACAGGCACACACCACCGTGACTGGTTAATTTTTTGATTTTTTGTAGAGATGGAGTCTCACTTTTTTGCCCAGGCTGGTTGGTCTTAATTAAATTCTTGGGCTGAAGTGATCCTCCCATCTTGTGCTCCCAAAGTGCTGGGATTACAGGCATGAGCCACTGTGCTCATCCATGAGCTGATTGTTGAAAAGATCCTGGCCCCTCCTGCCCCTCTCTCTTGCTTCCACTCTCTCACCATGTAATCTGCACATTCTGGCTCCCCTTCATCTTCCACCATGTGTGGAAGCTTCCTGAGGCCCTTACCAGAAGCTTGTACAGCCTGCAGAAACATAAGCCAAATAAACCTCATTGCTTTATAAATTACCTGGGCTCAGGTATTTTGTTGAGCAACACAAACAGACTAAAACAGTAGAAATCCTTGTCTTGTTGCAGATCTTACACGAAGGGCCTTGAGTGTAATGTTAGCTGTGGGCTTCTCATAAATGACTTTTATTGTGCTGAGTTACATTTCTTTTTAAAAAATTTGCACTCAGGGTTATCCTCAAAGAGATATATGCTTTCTACATCTAATTTGGTGAACTTTTTTTTTGTCATCTTTCTCTCTCTCTCTTGCTCTCTCTTGCTCTGACTCTCTGCCTAGGGAATGGAAGATAAGAGAGAGTTTTTATCATAAAAGGATATTAAATTTTATTGAATGATTTTTGGCATCTAATAAATGATTATATGGTTTTTGTCTTTCATTCTGTTACTGTGGCATGTCACATTTATTGATCCTTGCATTCCAGTGATAAAAACATTTCTCAAAAGAAGACATGCAAATAGCCAACAGATAATGAAAAAATGCTCAGCATCACTAATCATTAGAGAAATGCAAATTAAAACCACAATGAGATATAATCTTTCACCTGTCAGAATGCTTATTATTATGTTTTTAATCATCCTGTACTTTATTTCAAAACAGAGTGTTTTCAAATGAAAAAACAAAAGATAAGTGTTGGTGAGGATGTAGAGCAAAGGAAACATTTGTACACTGTTGGTGGAAATGTAAATCGGTGCAGCCATTATGGAAAACAGTATGGAGATCCCTCCGCCCAAAAAATAAAAAAAAACCAAACTAAAAATAGAATTATCATATGATTTAGAAGTCCCTCTTCAGGGTATTAATGCAAAAGACTCAAAATCAGTTTGTTGAAGGGATATCTGCACTCCTATGTTCATTGCAATACTATGCACAACATCCAAGTAATGGAATCAACCTCTGCCCATCAACAGACAAATGGATTTTAAAAAAATGTAGTGCATATATACAATGGAATACTATTCAGCCTTTAAAAAGAAGGAAATTCTGGCTGGGTACAATGGCTCACACCTGTAAGTCCAACACTTTTGGTGGGTGGAGCACTTGAGGTCAGGAGTTTGAGACCAGCCTGAACAACACGGTGAAACCCTGTCTCTACTAAAAATACAAAAATTAGCTGGGTGTGGTGGCATATGCCTGCAATCCCAGCTACTTGGGAGGCTGAGGCAGGGGAATGGCTTGAACCTGGGAGGCAGAGGTTTCGGTGAACAGAGATCACGCCACTGCACTCCAGCCCGGGTGACGGAGTGAGTGAGACTCCATCTCAAAAGAGAGAGAGAGAGAGAGAAGGAAATTCTGAAATTTGTGACAGCATTGATGGAATTGAAGAACATTATGCTAAGTGAAATAAGTCAGGCCCAGAAAGACAAATACCACATGTTCTCCGTTATATGTGGAATTTAAAACAATGAACTTATAGAAGTGGAGAGTAGAATGGTGGTGACAGAAGCTGGAAGATGGGGAAATGGGGAGGTGATGGTCAAAGGGTATTTCAGACAGGCAGAACATGATTTTTCTTTTTGTGCATTCTATTGCACAGCATGGTGAATATAGTTAATAGTAGAGTGTTGTACGTTTCAAAATTGCTAAGTAAATTTCAAATGTTCTTGCCACAAAAAAAGTTAAGTATTTGAGGTGATGGAAATGTTAACTAGTTTGATTTAATTATTTCACATTGCATTCATAAATCGTAACATCATTTTGTACCCCATAAATTTTTTCCCCACGCAACTCCCTCTTCACAGAACCCATCAATCTATACAATTATAAATTGTCAATTTACAATAAAAAAAGAAGAAAAAAAGAAAAGCATAAAATTGAAAACTTAGAAATAAAACTTTTTAATTGTTCACATGACAGGATTGTACATGTAAAAAATCTGACAGCTACAAACTATTAGAACCAATAAGTGAATTTAGATACAAAGTCCATTTACAAAAATCAATTGTGTTTCTACATACCTATAACAGTTAGGAAGTTGAGTTTTTAAAGATGGTGCCATTATAATATCATAAAACATCAATGCCTAGAGATAAATTGTGAAAGATGTTTAAGAATCCTAACTATAAAATATTATTTACAAAAATAAAAGAAAACTCATATAAATAGAGAGATATTACCAAATTCCTGGATTGGATGACAACATTATAAAGCTATAAATTCTCCCCAAAGTGATATATAGATTCCATGAAAGCCCAATACAACTTTGAGGCTTTTGGTGGGACAGAGATTGATAAATTATTTGTAAAATATTTATGAAAAGCCAAAGAGTCAAGAATAGCAATGACCATCTTGGAGGAGAATAAAGTTTGGCCAGGCATGGTGGCTCACGCTTGTAATCCCAACACTTTGGGAGGCTGAGGCAGGAGGTATTGCCTGAGGCCAGGAGTTCGAGACCAGCCTGAGAAACGTAGTGAATCTCCATTTCCACAATTTTTTTTTAATTAAAAAGAAAAGAAAACAAGAATAAGTTGGAAGACTAACAGTGAGTATCAATATAAGGTCATAGTTATTAAGATGGTGTGATGTCAGCAAAAGAATAGGAAAATAGACCAATGAAACAGAAGAGAGAATTCAGAAATAGACCGACACATATAGGTACACTTGACTTATGACGAAGATCACACTACAGAACAGAGGGGAAGGGGTGCACTTTTCAACAAATGATATTGGGTCAACTAGCTATCCATATGGAAAAAAATTAAACTTAACCCCTCCCCCACAACACACTCAAACATCAGGTGGATTAGAGATCTAAATGTGAAAAGTAAAACCAGAAATATTCTTATGACATAGGGCTAGAGAGTTTAAAAAAATAAAAAGGAAATATTCTAGAAGATAACACTAGAGACTATCTTCATGAGTTGGAGTAGGCAGGTATTTCTTAAATGAGACATAGAAACACTAACCATAAACAAAAATGTTGATAAATTGGACAACTTTATTAAATAGGAGCTTCAATTCATGAGAAGACACTATTAAGACTTCAATTCATGAGAAGACACTATTAAGACAGTAATAAAGTCAGCCACAGAGTGGAAAAAGATTGCTAAACATTTAATCAATAAAGAACTTGTCCTAGCCTGGTCAACAAATTGAGACTCCATCTCTACAAAAAATAAAAAAATTAGCCAGGCACGGTGGCATGTGCCTGTGTTTCCCAGCTACACAGGAGGCTGAGGCAGGAAAATTGCTTGATTTCAGGAGGTTGAGACTGCAGTGAGCCAGATTTGCACCACTGTGCTCCAGCCTGGGCAACAAAGGGAGATCCTGTCTCAAAAAAAAAAAAAAAAGAAAAGAAAAGCAAACTACTTGTACAGACAGACACCTTATAAAAGGAGCCAATAAATATATGAAACTCAGTCATCTTACTAGTCATCAGGGAAATGCAAAATAAAATTATAATGAGATGTCACCATAGACCTATCAGAATGGCTAATATTAAAACCACACTGCATCCATCAACTGATGAGTGGATAAAGAAAATGTGCTGTGTATATACACGCACACACATACACACACAAATACACACCATGGAATACTATGCAGCCATAAAAAGAGGAAAATAATGTATTTTGCAGCAACTTGCATAGAACCAGAGGTCATTATCCTAAGCGAAGTAACTCAGGAACAGAAAATCAAATACTGCATGTTCTTACTTGTAAGTGGGAGCTAAGCTATGGGTACGCAAAGGTATGTAGATTGGTATAATGGACACTGAAGCCTCAGAAGGTGGGAAAGTTGAGAGGGGAATGTGGAATTTAAAAATCACCTACTGAGTACAATGTACACTATTCAGGTGATGGTCGCACTAAAAGCCCAGACATTATTATCATATAATTCATCCATGTAGCCAAAAACCACTTGTACCCCTATCGAATTTTTTTTTAAAGCAAATTAAGCCAGGTGTGGTGGCTCATGCCAGTAATCCCAGCAGTTTGGGAGGCCAAGGCAGGAGGATTGCTTGAGGCCAGTAGTTTGAGACCAGGCTGGGCAACATGGCAAGACCCCCGTCTCTACAAAGAGTACTTTAAAAATGTTAGCTGGGTGTGGTGGCACATGTCTGTAGTCCCAGCTACTTGGGAGTTGGGGGCTGAGGTGGGAGGATTGCTTGAGTCCTAGAGGTCGAGGCTGTAGTTAGTGAGCCATGATGGTGACACTGCACTCCAGCCTGGGTGACAGAGGAAGACCCTGTCTGAAAAAATAAGCAAATTAAAAAAAAATTAAAACACTGACAAAACCAAGTGTTGGTGAGAATATGGGATAACTGGAACTCTTATACACTGCAGATGGGAATGTGTGAATTGCTACGAAAACTTAGGAAGATGTATTTGGCAGTATCCCCTAAAAGTGCTTGACATAAAATTGAACATATACATAGCCAGCAACTCCAAGGTACACAGCCAACAGAAATATGTACTTGTGTTTGTGTGTCGCAATGAGAAAGAACACTTTTCATTGTGACTCCCAAATGGAAATAACCCCAATGTCCATCGTAAATGGAAAAATTGTCTGATACGTATACAGGAGAAGACGATACACCAGCGTAAATGCCACATTACTGCTAAGTACAACAATACGGATGTGACTTACAAATACAATATTCAAGTGAAAGAAGCTGGACCTAATAGAATATACTGTATAGTGAATGATCCGTTTATACCAGTTCAAAACCAGGCAAGACCAGTAGGTGATGTTAAAAGTCAGCATGGTGGTTACTTACAGGCAGAGCGTAAGGATAGCGGTGGGGAGGGGCACCATGGCAGCTTTGAAGTTTTGGTCTGGGTGTGTTCACTTTCATCAAGCTTGAGATGTGTGCACTTTTCTGTGTAATGCTATGTTTCACTTTGTTAAAGCTTAGTTTCAAAAGTGAATAATACCTTTCTCTTAGAGTTGTTGTGAGGAATACGTAAAATAGCGGATCTGAAGCAACCGGTTCTTAGTTTAACAATAGCATTGATTCTATAGTATATTGTTATTAGTCTAAGACTAGTATTTATTCTATAGTGTATTCTTAGTATAATGGTATAAGAATAACATTTATTCTATAGTATATCCATACTAGTATAAGAATAGTATTTATCCTACAGTATATTCTGATTAGTGTAAGAATAGCATTTATTCTATGGTATACTCTTATTAGAATAAGAATAGCATTTATGCTATAGTATAATCTTATTAGTATAAGAATAGCATTTATTCTTACACTAAGAAAAAGTTGCTTCAGATCTGCTATTTTATGTATTCCTCACAACAACTCTAAGAGAAAGGTATCACTCACTTTTTTAAATTAAGCTTTTACAAAGTGAAACGTAGCATTACACGGAAAAGTGCACACATTTCAACCTTGATGAAAATAAACACACCCAGACCAAATTTTTTTTTTTTTTGATAGGGTCTCATTCTGTCACCTAGGCTGGAGTGCAGTGATGGTGATCACAGCTCACTGTAGCCTCCATCTCCTGGGCTCAAGCAATCCTCCCACTTCAGCCTCCTGAGTAGCTGGGACCACAGGTGCATGCCACAATGCCAGGCTAATTTTTTTATTTTTGGTGAAGAAGGGTTTCATCATGTTGCCCAGGCTGCTCTTGAACTCCTGGGCTCAAGTGATCTTTCCACCTTGGCCTCCCAAAGTGTGATTACACTTTGGGATTACAGGCGTGAGCCACCGCGCTCGGCCACACCTTTCTTTTCTATGCACTGTTGCCAATATACCATTCTGGCCCTGATCTTTGAGTTTCTGAGGTCTGTGGGCTGTTCACCTACTAGTATGGAAGTCCAAAACCCAATACACCTCAATAACAAGACAGTAGATTTCACTGCGGTTCATAACCATGAAAGATTTCAGAGGAAACAGCCACACAATGAGCCACGTTTCTGGGTTCTGCGCAAGTAGGTGAGTATTGTGTCTTGGGTGCAAACAGGTTCCGGAGATTATTCGCTAGGGGTTGCATTCCCCATGGTTGCCTGTGTATGAGCAAGTGTGTTGGAAATCTTTGTAGGGCAACAACATGGGATGGGGTTGGCTAGCCCATAAAGCTCAGTGTATCCCATCTCAAAAATCAACTAGGTCTGGCGCAGTGGCTTGTGCCTGTAATCCCAGCACTTTGGAAGGTGGAGGTAGGAGGATCGCTTGAGCCTGGGAGGTTGAGGCTGCAGTGAGCCCTGATCATGCCATTACACTTCAGCCTGGGTGACAGAGTGAGACCCCGTCTCAATCAATCAATCAACAATCAATAATCAATTAGACTCCTCTTGGGTACCAGTTCCCAGAGATTGAGGTCTGTGTGAAAAGAGATTTCCTTTCCATCCATTGCTTGGGGATGCGGGAACTAGAAAGGAACCCTCTAGGGCAGGGTCTGGGGCAGGGGGCCTGGAAGGTGGGCTGAGGATATTGGAAGCAGAGGGGTCTGGGAAGGGAAAGTATTGGGACTGTTCGGGATTGGTTTTATTGTTCATATGGAGTTCCTTGGTAGCTGAAGTGCCTGGGATACAAATGCCAAGATACCTACCCGCCCACCCAAAGAGTGGTAGTCTGCCTTCTTCCATTTGTACCTCTTGGAAATCCACCACCAAGCTTGGAGAATTCACCCTAACAAATTGTAAGTATTACCAGGTTTTCATGTAAGGATCTTGTGGTAGTGTGGATAGCTGTGATTGGCATGTGAGTCATAGCCAGTCACAGCTACCAATTACACTGAGGTTGGAACACCATTTTTACTTTCTGTACAACACGAGAAGCCTTGAAAATAAAATCTTAACCTTAAAAAAATAGTAGGCTGGGCACAGTGGCTCACGCTTATAATCTCAGCACTTTAGAAGGCTGAGGTGGGCAGATCGCTTGAACTCAGGAGTTCAAGATTAGCCTGGGCAACACAGTGAAACCCCGTTTCTACAAAAAAATACAAAAAATTAGCTGGACGTGATGGCATGCACCTGTGGTCCCAGCTACTTGGGAAGCTGAGGTGGTGGGATCTCTTGAGCCCAAGCAATTGAAGCTGCAGTGAGCTGTGAATGCACCACTGCACTCCAGCCTGGGCAACAGAGGAGACCCTGTCTAAAAAGAAAAAAAAAAAAAGTAATAGAGGCTGTAGGAAAGAACAGAGGAACAACAGCTACTTGGTGGGGCTGGGGCTACTAGCAGGTGGCAGTTAGTTGGTGAGTGTTGGGTGGGCCAAGGGTCTGATTTCTCATAATATCTAGGGATGGGGTGAAAATTCCTGCTGCCAGGCCAGAGGGGATGGTCAGCTCCAAGACAAGGAAGCAGTGTCCAGGTAAGAAATCTTCATTTCAATGGATCACAAACTCCTAAACTCTTAACAATTGAACAGAAGCATAGGTTTTATAATCTCTGTGCATGTGGGAAAACAGGAAAGAGCTCTTCCTCTCTCTTCTGGCTCGACAAAATAAATTCTTACGCGTATATCCCTTCCAGGAAAAAGCATTCATTTCAATGTCATCAGAACAGCACAACTTAGAGTTAAACAAGCCTTCAGGATGACAGACTTGGTAGCAGTTAGTGATTACTTTCATAGGACACAATAATATTCTCTGAAGTCTAGATGTTTTATACAGTTTTCCTTTGCTAGACATAACATTTGGAAAGACAATTTCAAGAAGCGAAATCATACCTACTTTTCTGCAGCTATAAAGGGTCGGAGAGACATTATCTACTTATCTTGCTGAGTTGGTTGTTTTCCCCACCAGATATGTAATTTTCAGAGCTAAGCACTGAAGTTTCACTAGTTATTTTGGAGAGAGCAAGTGCCAGACCCCAGAGTTCAAAACTTAGAAGATGCAAAGAAAAGGTCAGGATAGGATTATTATTATGTGGACTATAGATCTTGTGTTTCAGATCCACAGGAGTGGCATGAATATGGGTCTATGAAATGCTGATTCTATCAGATAATCTGCGGGGGGTTTTTCCTCCAATTATATGGGGGAAAAAAGCTGTGTAAGAAGAGATACATTGTCCACTACTTTCCAGATAGTTCTCAGATTTTTATAAGTTTTAAAAATCAAGTGGTACATGCACATAATATTGGAAGTGAAATAGTTTGACAGGGCTTAGTATAACACCAGCAGTCTCCTGCTCCTGCCCCCATCTTGTTCCTAGGGGCCATCACTTTGATGTTTCTTTTGGTACTTAGCTCTAAATGGTGCCATTTTGAGGTTTAACTAGATATTATCTATTTCCGGAAGATTTAGCTCAATTATACTCCCTCCCTATTTTGCTCTCCCCACATCCTGCCAAGATGATTTTATCACTGTTTTCGGTTAGAACAATATTCGATGTTCACCTTGTTATGAGCCTCTCTAGTCACAGTTGTGCTAGGTGATGTACTATGGGTGCATTTCATTTCTCATACAACTTTCTGCTTTCCTCAGGATTCATATCATCTTACTTTTTCTTTGTTTCATAACTTTTTTTTTTTGGTTAATCAAGTACATGAAGTCTACCATCAACTTTGTATCCTCAGGAGAAGGTCCCCCGAGCCTTCTGCCCTTGGATCCTGACTGGGGGCTCTCTGGGCCCACCCTCAGCTGTCATCCTGGACTCCCTGTCACATGTATCCAGAGGGCTCTTTTCCCAGGGTGGATCCTTGTTTCCTTGATGGAGCTGCTTGCAGGATATAGCATGGGAACAGGGTCAGGGCAGGGCTTGGGGGTGCCAAAGCCTCCCTGATTCACAGAAAAGTTGCATAGGGTACAGGGTTTTATAACTGTTTTGATGATTGGTACGGATTTCCTCTTTTCACAGACTAGATATTAGTCAGGGCTGCTTGTCACTCACAGATGTTTTTCTGATTTCAAAGATGATGTGTCCTTTGCCAATCCTGCGATTAACACAAGGGTAAGGAAACTCCAAGCCCCCTCTGCCCTTCAGTCTGGTTGTTCCAAACAAGTAGTCATTGAATTTTCTGCCCAGGGTCTACAAACCACCCAATACAGACAACCCCGTGTTCTGCTGACTGTGCCCAACATCTGTAGTGGCAGGTTTTCCCTCCTGGTGTCCTCGACCTCCACTGCATGAGGCAGCCTTAGCTCTTCTTCCCACATAATGAGGGCTGAGGTTTAGGTGTCTCATTTCTTATTTTTCATTTGGGGTATTGCAAAAAAGGGAACAGAGATGTCTTTGGTGTGACATCTTAAAAGTCTCCTATTACTACTATAATAAATGTAAAAATAAATGTAAAAAAAGATTCAGTAAAAATAAGTATAAAAAAAGTCCACTATTATTTAATTACCACTCTGCCAAAAAAAATTCTAGGGGAAAAAAAGTCCAGATGAAACATGTCACAATGCTAACAGTCTTTGGACAATAAATAAATCTATGTCCTTCCCTGCCCCTATTTCTAAAGATTTTTTTCCAGATTTCCCAAAATGTCAAGATTGACAGTGTATGTTAACCAATGGGAGAAAATAAAACAAACTTGAAAATTGTAAGGAGCTCTGAGTTTTTAAAACCTTTTCATTTTGAAGCAATTTAGACTTGTAGAAAAGTTATAAAAATAGTACAGTTCCAAACGCCTAGGCTTAAGCCATCCTCCTGCCTCAGCCTCCGAGGTAGCCGGGAATACAGGTATGTACCACTGTGTCCGGCGTCTCTGGACTTCTTTGATACCACTTTTATGTCTCACAGGTGCTTGATTTTCTTTTACTCTTACCATTCTAGCCATTCACTCAGTCTTCTTTGCAGGCTACTTTGCAATGTACATTTAATTTACCTCTTCCTTGATGGGGGCATTCCTCAGCCTTTGTTCTGAATGGGATGTTTTCAGAGTCTTCTACAGTATCTCTGGGTGATCTCTTCCATCCTGTTGCTCCAAGCTGATCGTGCCTGGATTTGTATCTCCATCGTAGGCCTGTTTCTTGAACTCTAGACTTATATTATTTAAGTCTCCATGTTCCTCGTCTACCAAATCCAGTTGATCACAGTGTACTGTTCATTTTATTTCCTAAATCTCTCCCAAATTTACCCAAGCCTCTCCTTCCCCACTGCCACTGCTCTAGTCCAGACCATCTCTCAACTGCTTGGCTGCAACGATCCTCTAATGGTCTCTCTGCCTTTAGTCTTCCCTCCCCACATCCTTCCTCTATTCTGAGTTAATAATACACCATCTAAAAGTGTAGACTGGACCATGTCTCTTTCTTACCTAAAAACTTTCATAAAGGCATAAACATGACCTTGGGAACCTGTTGGTCCGAAAAATAACTCAATTTAAACCAAGGAAAGAGAACTTCATCTTGAAGCAGTGTGTTTTCTGGATATTGTTAGATCTTTGAGGACAGAATCATGCTTGGCATACAGTGGCTAGTCAATAAATTGCTGTTGAATGAATTAATGAGTGAATGAGAAAATGGTTGTTTAATATCTCCTAAGATTATTGCCATTAAGTTAATAATTATTTGCCAAACAATTATGATATACAGGGCTCTATGGTGGGTTCTTCAGGGAATACAAAGTTGCTCTTTTCATGAACCTTACAGTTCACTGAGCACCTGTTATGTGCCAGATAATGTGGTAATGATGGGGATACAGTGTTATACAATATATACAGGATCCCTGACCTCATGAAGTTTTTTATTTAGTAGTGGAGACACCCACAAAAATTACATAATTACTTAATTAGAGTTTTTATAACTGCTATTAATAAAAAGCACAGAAATCTATAAGAACACTTTATAGTGGGACCCTAATCTAGCATGAGGGTTGGGGATAGTGGAGATGGAGAAGGGCAGGGTAGGGGTATAAGATATATATACATAAGTATAGCAAAAGAACATGCTAAGTTCCATAAGAGAACCACAGCAAAGCAATAATGAGATTTAGAGAAGGGAGAATCATGCTGAACAAATAATGTGTCCAAGACCCAAAGGAACTATTCTTTAATGATGAATCTCTGGGTATGCAGTAAAGGTATGCAGCAAAGGCACAGTGAAAGTTGATTATACAAATTGGGTAATTTTTGTCATACTCAACTAAAACAGAGTCTAGAGACCAGGGAATAAAAGCACTCAGGGCATAGAGCATTGCACCAAGGATATAATCCTCTGCTCGCTTGTCTTCTGTAATCTGAAACCCGTTACTGAATAGCTACTGAAACAATCTGCTACAACTCTAAGAGTAGTTTTAGTTATCGCTGTCACTCACCAATCTCTGAGCTTGCTGGTTCCCCAAAGCTTTACTAGCGTCAATAAACTTACTTTCGAAACAATTTGTAAAATTTCTCCTTTTTATAAAACTTCTGAAGTTTTTGTTCTTCTGGCATACTGAAGACCACCTGGTCTCTGTGTATGCCCCACATTACAGTTCTTGCTTCTCAAATAAAATGGTTTTTAAAAATATATGTATACATATATATTTAAACCCACCTCCTACATAGATGAAAATGTTTTAAATTCAGAGATTTGTCTCTATATTTTATTTGACTTCAGCAGCAGTAATTTAGCTGAGGAAGGGGATGCATGTTTGCCCAGTGTCCTCTAAATTCTTCAAGCATCACTTGGGAGTTTGTTAAAAATGCAGAATCTCAGACCCAATGGCAAAACTACTGAATTATACTTGCATATTTTTTCTTTTCTTTTCTTTCTTTTTCTTTCTTTTTTTCTTTTTCTTTTCTTTTTTTTTTTTTTTTTTTTTTTTGAGACAGACCCTCACTCTGTTGCCCAGGCTAGAGTACAGTGGCACAATCTCAGTTGACTGCAACCTCCGCCTCCCAGGTTCAAGAGATTCTCCTGCCTCAGCCTCCCAAGTAGCTGGGATTACAGGCGCGCGCCAGCTAATTTGTGTGTTTTTAGTAGAGATGGGGTTTTGCCATGTTGGACAGGCTGATCTCGAACTCCTGACCTCAGGTGATCCACCCACCTCGGCCTCCCAAAGTGCTGGGATTGAAGGTGTGAGACACAATGCCCGGCCACTTGCATTTTTTTTTTTTTTTTTTTTTTTGAGACAGAGCCTTGCTCTATCAGCCAGGCTGGAGTACAGTGGCATGATCTCGGCTCATTGCAATCTCTACCTCCCAGGTTCAAGCAATCCTCTCGCCTCAGTCTCCTGAGTAGCTGTGACTACAGGCGCGTGCCACCATACCCGGCTAATTTTTGTATTTTTAGTAGAGATGGGGTTTTGCCATGTTGGCCAGGCTGGTCTCAAACTCCTGACTTCAAGTGATCCACCCGCCTTGGACTCCCAAAGTGCTGGGATTACAGGCATGAGTCACCATGCCCGGCCTATACTTGCATTTTTTAACAACATCTCTGAGTGATTCATATAGACCTTACAGATACCATAATAAATGGTGACATTATGACATTATGATGTCTTTTGCAACCCCACCAACAAACGTCAGGACACTCTGTAGTTGAGCACTGTACCACTGAGGTGGCTTCTTGATCTTTAACAGATGCAGCTCACGCAGGAAGTGCATTGGTTAGGTAAAGTCAATTTCCTCTCCTGGAGGTAGGTTCCTCACTTTCATTATTTGTTTATTTGTTGATTTTTAAATTAACACATTTCATCTTTTAAAGCAGTTTTAAGTTTACAGCAAATTTGAACAGAACGTACAGAGGGTTTCCACATACCCACTGTCTCCACACAAGCACAACTTCCCCATTATTGATATCATGCACCAGAGCGATACATTAATTACTATAGATGGACCTATATTGACACCTCATAGTCACCCAAAGTGCATAGTTTACATTCAGGCTCAGTCTTGGTGTTGTACAGTTTACAGATTTTGACAAATGTATAATGACATGTGTCCATCCTTGTAGCATCATACGGAATAATTTCACTGCTCTAAAACTCCTCTGAGCACAATTATCACCAAGGTCATTTCTTAATTTTTAATAGGTGTGGTACATGCAGGAAGTGCATTGCTTAGGTCAAGTCAGTTTCCTTTCTAGAGAGCATTGGAAAGTTTCTTCAGTTGTTGCAGGGCCTATGATTTGTTTTTGTTTCAGAATCAGAATAGAAGGAAGTATATGAGCAAAAAATAGCAGGAGGGCCGGGTAAGGGAGAGGCTATTTCCAAACTAACTTCTCATGCCTCATAAACTTGGTTCCTTTTGTTCATAGCTCCCAAACATTGCTGTTTCAAATTCCATACTATCTTGGAATTATATTATTTTCCCTGAAGTATTTCATAAGTTAAAGCCTGTCATCTTTAATCCGGCCACATCTCATTAAATTCATTTGTTTTGGCTTTATGAAACTCATTTTTAAAATGCATACTTCATTGCTGAGTGAATTTCTTCATACTTGATGTTGTACAAGTGCAATTGTCTTCTACAGTATTTTCTACAAATGTTCATATTATACATTTTGGCTGAGTTTCTATTTTCATCTTACTAAAAATCATTTCTTAAAGTTTAATTCTTTCTTTTTTTTAACTTTGAGACAAGGTCTTGCTCCATAGCCCAGCCTGGAGTGCAGTGGCATGAATGCAGCTCACTGCAGCCTCAATTCCTGGGCTCAAGTGATCCTCCTACCTCGGCCTCCCGAGTAGCTGGGACCGCAGGCAAGCATCACCATGCTTGGCTAATTTTTTAAAATAGTTTTTGTAGAGATGGGGTCTCGTCATGTTGTCCAGGCTGGTTAAAGTTTAATTCAGAATTCAAAGTACAGGAGGCACTAACGCATGAATCCTTGACATGTTCCAATGTATTCACTGCTAATTCATTAAATCTTTACAATGACTCTGAGAGATGGGTCTGTATTGCTTACAATTGAAGAAAGTGAGGTTCAAAGAGTCAAATAATTTACCCAGGGCTTCATAGGGCCCAAGTCAGTCCAACCCCAGAGACTATGCTCTTTCACCACACTAAGCTTTTTAGTACCTACAAATCCCATTTTAAGAAGTTCCTAGATAACCCTGTAAATTATATGTTGGCTGAAGACACTTCCTGATTTAACATGTATTCTTGGCCCTGCCTAAAGAATTACGTGGTAGACAACCGCTCAGCCTCAAAGGCTACCTAGCCATCATGTCAAAAGCAACTGTGGTGATTTGTAACAAAGTACATTTAAGAAGAATAAAAATGATAAACAACTCAAGGCTTCAAAAAGGAAACGGTAGGCAGTGTGGTGGCTCACTCCTGTCATCCCAGCACTTTGGGAGGCTGAGGCAGGAGGATCACTTGAAGCCAGGAGTTTGAGACCAGCCTCGCCAACATGGTGAAACCCTGTCTCTACCAAAAAAATACAAAAATTAGCCGGGCGTGTGGCACGTGCCTATTAGTCCCAGCTTAATCCCAGCTACTTGAGAGGTCGAAGTGGGAGAATCACTTAAACCTAGGAGGTGGAGGCTGCAGTGAGTTGAGATCATGCCACTACACTCCAGCCTGGGTGACAGTGGGAGAGCCTTTCTTAAAAAAAAAAAAAATAGTGTAATATACATTGTTCATGTTGATTAATAATATTCTGAACTAATTTTCCACTAAAACCTCCAGTGTCAAAGACCATTAAAACTTACTACGTTTTTACCACAGCTGAATTTAACCCAAAAGCAACTGTTTTTAAACTTTTAACATGAAGATGAGCTCACAAAATGCCAAAAGTCTTCAAGTTTATACTCAATACTAAGTTGCCCAAAAGTCTAGGGAGTGTTTACTTCACAACACTCCATGACAACAGTGACAGGTATTTTTTTCTCACTAAAAAAGTCATAATATTGATGTTGTAGTCCCAATTTGAAGCATCTTTGCACTTACATGGAAAGACACAGTGATGATAAAACGTATTTTTCTACATGAGAACTGCAGTGACCAGGTACGGTGGCTCATGCCTGTAATCCCAGCGCTTTGGGAGGCTGAGGCGGGCAGATTGCTTGAGCCCAGTAGTTTGAGACCAGTCTGGGCAACATGGCAAGACCCTGTCTCTACAAAAAATACAAAAAAATTAGCCATGCGCTGTGGTGTGTGCCTGTAGTCCCAGCTACTTGAAAGGCTGAGGTGGGAGGATTGGTTGAACCCAGGAGGTCAAGGCTGCAGTGAGACAAGATCATGCCACTGTACTCCAGCCTGGATGACAGAACGAGATCTTGCCTTAAACAACAACAACAACAACAACTGTGATGTGTGTGTATGTGTGTGTAAATTAACTGAGATATATCACCATCTCCTTTAAAATATGTGTTTTCATGACTGTGGAAGGTAGGAGTTTTTAAATCCAGATTTAATCTAAGAATTTGTTTTCTCAATTGCTTGGCGAATGTGAACCTACAACGAATTTAAATTTGAGAATGACTTTAAAACCTGTTAATACAACATACTGATAAAAAATGACAAAATGAAGATGTAAAATGGTGAACTGAAATTGAAGAAAATAATAAGAATAACATGCCTCCTTAGTTTATGGGAAATGTGTTACATTAGCCGCTTGTCTCTGCATTGAGGGCAAGATGTCTCAGTAATTAATAACAATAGCAACAACAATGACAATTTTAACAATATAGCAACAGCTATCACCTGCTGAACACCTACTTTGTGCAAGTTTCTTAGACCCGTTAACTCTCTTAAACTCCACCATCACCCTATGAAGGACACATCTATAGATAAGCTACATATGTGGCTCAGGGAGATTAGCTTGGTCATATTGCAGAGCTACTAAAGTGGCCGAGCTGGGACTCTAAGTCATCTGACTCAAGTGTGTATTCATAAGTACTGCTATGTGGTCTCATGTATAGCTAGGCTTTTAAATGCTTTTTTGAAAACTTGCAAAAATGAAATCTGTATTATATAGTAGTCTGTTACATTAGCAGCTCCCAAGAGCCATGCATTCTGGTATCCATGCTTTTGCATAGTTTCCTCCTCTTAAATCTGGGCTGGATCCATGACTGGCTTTAACCAGTAGAATAAGGTGGAAGTGGTGCTGTGTCAGGTCTGGTCCTCAGCCTGAAAAAGTCTGGCAACTTCTACTGCTTGCTCTTGAGAATCTTGAGCTGCCAAATAACAAGTATGGGGCTGGGTGTGGTGGCTCACTCTTGTAATTCCAGCACTTTGGGAGGCCGAGCTGGGTGGATCACCTGAGGTCAGGGGTTCTAGACCAGCCTGGCCAACATGTTGAAACCCTGTCTCTACTAATAAATAAATAAATAAAAATAAATTAGCCAGGCGTGGTGGTGCACTCCTGTAATCCCAGTTACTCAGGAGGCTGAGGCAGGAGAATCGCTTGAACCTGGGAGGCAGAAGTTGCAGGTTGCAGTGAGCCAAGATCGAGCCACTGCATTCCAGCCTGGGTGACAAGAGGGAAACTCTGTCCGAAAAAAAAAGGAAGTATGGATCCCCACCTGCAGAGGCCACATGGAGAGAGAGAAAATCCCAGACAAACCATCTCTCAGCCTAGTCCAGCTCCTGGCATCACCTCCAAAGTGCTAGCGATATGGGTGAAGCATTGTCTTAGAGGTTCCAGCCCCAGCTACCTGCTGACTGCAACTGCATGAGATACCAAGCAGAGCCAGCAGAAGAACTGTCCAGCTGAGCCCTGCCCAACCCACAGAAGTATGAGGACATAAAATGGCTTCGGTTGAATCCACTAAGTTTTGGGGTGGTTTGTTATAAAACAATAACTGAAATAAAAATGCATACCTGGAACTGGAGTGCTTATGTAACAAAAATCTAAAACATGTATCATTGGCTTTGAGACTGGCTGGGGCTCAAGGTGGTCAAATGACTTGCAGGCAGTCACAAAACCAGGAAACAGCAGAGTCAGGGTTTAAATCTAGGTCTATCTCTTCACTATACCTCACTCACTATCTTAAGCCAAAATCACCACATCTCCCCAACAGTGAGCAGTTCCAACTGTAGCCCTTGATGTTGGTGTCTTATGTGATTCACATCGTCATTTACTTTTATTTCTTTGATTGTACAATGGTACACTTTCCAAAAGGAAAATATTCCTTGAGAGCAGAAAGTGCTTCTTTGATGTCATTTGTATTTCACATAGTAGTTAGCAAATTTGGGGGCATGAAATTCCCCTACCTCCTATACATTTTGCATCAGCTACATAAGGCTATTCACCACTCCCCACGTAGTTCACACACACACACACATGCACACACACACGTACATATAACTTTTTGTTATATAAATTTTCAGATAAGCACAAAAGTTGAGATAATAATATATTGAACCCCCATATACTCATAGCTTAGCTTCAACAATTACCAACATTTTTCTAATAATCTAACTTCCACCCAACTTCTTTTCCTAGGGTATTATTATTTTTTTTTTTTTGAGACAGAGTTTTACTCATTGCACTCCAGCGTGCCCAGGCTGGAGTGCAATGGTGCAATTCCCTAGGGTATTTTAAAGCACATCCTAAGCAACATATGACTTTACTTATAAATGTTTTAGCATATATCCCTAATAGATAAGGACTTTAAAAAATGTATAACTACGATTCATGCCATTATCAGATTTAAACAAAAGAATTTTCTTTCAGAGATATGGTCTCATTCCGCCTCCCCACACACGCTAGAGTGCAGTGGCACCATCATGGCTTACTATAGCCTTGAACTCCTGGACTCAAGCCATCTTCCTGCGTTAGCCTCCAGGGTAGCTGGGACTACAGGCAAGTGCCACCATGCCCAGCTAGTATTTTTTTTTTATTTTTTGTAGAGATGGGGTCTCACTCTGTTGCTGAGGCTGGAGGGCAGTGGCACAGTCATAGCTTACTGTAACCCCAAACACCAACATCAAGGGCTACAGTTGGAACTGCTCACTGTTGAGGAGATGTGGTGATTTTGGCTTAAGATAGTGAGTGAGGCTGAAGTAATCCTCCTGCCTCAGCCTCCCAAGTAGCTGGGACCACAGGTGTGCACCACCATGCCTGGCTAATATTTGCATTTTTTTTTTGTAGAAATGGGGTCTCCTTATGTTTCCCAGGCTGATCTCGAACTCCTAGGCTTAAGCAATCCTCCTGCCTCAGCCTCCTAAAGTGCTGGGATTATAGGCACGAGACAAGCCACCAAACCTGGCTCCCTCACTAATTTTTAAAAACATTTTTTTTAGAGATGGGGTCTTGCTATGTTGCCCAGGCTGGTCCTGAACTCCTGGCCTCAAGTGATCCCTCCCTCTTTGGCCTTCGAAAGCGTTGAGATTACAAATATGAGCCACCACGTCCAGCCACACACTTGATAAAATTAATAATCTTTTTTTATTGTAATCTAATACCAAGTCACAACTTCCTGATTGTCACAAGTTTTTTCTTCTTTCTTTCTTCCTTTCTTTTTTAAAAACATTTTGTTTGTTTAAATCAGACTCCTTCTTTTAAGGTGAATTCATATTTTAAAAATCAGCTACCAAAAATGGCTCACACATTGCATTTAGTTGATAGGTAATTTAAGTCTCTTTTAACTTATAACATTAGCCCTCTGCCTTTCCTCCTCAGTTATTTGTGGAAAAATCCAATTCACTTATCCCGTTGAATCTCTCACATTCATGAGTCAGCTAATTACTTCTTCATGGTGCCATTTAACTTCTTCTATGCCTGTGTTTCATCTAAACTGGAAAATTAGACCCAAGGACTGACTACATGTAGGTTCAATTATGTGTGTAAGGGGTTGAGGGGTAAGAGAGAAGCCTTTTGCTAGAACACCTCCTAGGTAGGGCTGTGTATTAGACATTGTGCTAATTTACACAGTGTCTGGCTGTCCCACTCATACCAACGTTAGAATCGGTGTGTAGGTTGAAGTGTTTTCAGTTTGATCCATCTGTTCTAAACTTCCCCATGCACCCTTCTTCAGTCTGATCTGTCTGTTATAAACTTCCCCATGCATCTTTCATCTAGTGAGTGATCCTCAATCTTGGCTGCACACTGGAATCACCTGGGGAGCATTACAATCGCCCCAGACGTTCTGATTCACTTGGTCTGGAGTGCAGCCTACACACTGAGGCTTGTAACAGCTCTTGGGGGCAGGTGAGGTTGAAAACCACCATCCTGGTAGTTTCAGCATCAGTTGACGATTGTTACCTAGATCCATGATTTCATTAGGTCTTGCAAAATGATGATTTTTCTAACTCCATAATTCCATCTGAATTTATTACCGGGAATATTTCTGTGAAGGACTTTCCTTACCATCTCTTTCTTGGCCCCAAAATAGAATGCATACAGGAAAGGAGTACAAAGGCTTGATTGCTTCCCTTCATCAGTTTTCAAAACAATGCGCTGATGTCCTAGCGTGAATTTATGAAGGTTAACCATGAAGTTTTTAAAAACAAGTATCATTGTGAACTCATGGGTTTTAATATATGAAAGTCAATTTGAAATTATAGAGGAAATGGGTAACTCCCATTTCCAGTTGAATATGCCAGTTGAAAACTAAAAATTTTTATTATAGAATCAAGATTATAATTTGAGACTCACATGAAGATAGAAATGATCTTTACATTTGTATTCTTCAAAACAAATAATTATTAAAATGAAATTCAAACCATAAAGACCAGATTTAGTCTCATGTCAGTTAAGCATCTTGCGCCTCCATGACACTTGGGGAAATTTTGTTACCAGTGGAGCTACTGAGTACCCTGTGGGTGTGTGAAGCAAGGGCCTTGCCACCAGCTGGTTAGCTCAGGGTCTAAGGGACACTCGTTCTTGGGCAGCGTGGAGTTCCATACCAATTAGGGTGCTGTGTGCCTTGTCACTTCCACATACAGGGGATGAAATGAGCACTTAATTCCTGGGTGGGTTTCTTCATCCCCAATTAATGGGAACTTTTCAGGCAACTGTTTAAGGTTCAATTACACTGAATGAAGGACGGGGCGGAATGAAGTTAATGTTTATTGAGCACATACTATATGCCAGGTATTTCGTATATACCATGACATATACTCCTCAAAGGAGCCCTAGAAGGCTTAATATTTTAATTTTTGTTTTACAGACAAATTCATACTGAAAGTTATAAATTTATTTCCTGCATTACTTTACAAAACTTACATTGAATTTTAACCCTTTTCTCAACTCATAATTATAATTCCTTTCTACTTATTACTTGGTGAGCCATGTGATTATTTCTCTAACTGAAAAGCTTGATTCTTAATATTGCTAGTGGAAGTACTTATCAGTGAATACAAAATTAGTAAAAAATTGATAAAGTTGATATTAACCATAAAACATTTGGATGACAAATATAAGTAGCAAATATCATGTTTTATAATCCATTTTAACATAAGACTATTCTGCTTCTTTCTTATATTATTTTTTGAAATTTTGAAGTTATTTGAAGTTCTGAGTAGGCCTTTATTTGAAAGACTACTTTTTGTTTCTCTTTGAGTGCTAATTATTGAAATTCCAGTATTTAGCCTGGAAACTCTAAACTCTTCTACTTCTGGTGAAAGAAAACTCAGCAAGACAAGCAAGCAAGCAAGCAAGAAACAACAGACAGTTTCCTTTTTCTTGCACCTGCAGAGAATGAGATGCTTTTCCATGTCACCAAACTGTATTTGCCATTAGCTCCTATCAAATTAGTTTGATACGACACTCAGATTTATGAGTTATTGTATTTTGGGAAAGTAACTTCCAAAAAAGTCGAATTTTGCTTGGTTGTTTATGTAATGATTTTTTTGCTCAGGTAATAATATTTAAATTGACATAGCCTCCTTTTTAAAATAAAGGTATAAATATTTGTGTATTTCTTTCTATTTCTTTCTTTCTTTTTTTTTTTGAGATGGAGTCTCGCTCTGTTGCCCAGGCTGGAGTGCAGTGGTGTGATCTCGGCTCACTGCAACTTCTGCCTCCGGGATTCAAGCAATTCTCCTTGCCTCAGCCTCCCGAGTAGCTGGGATTACAGGTGCCCACCACCACGGCTGGCTAATTTTTGTATTTTTTAGTAGAGATGAGGTTTCACCATGTTGGTCAGGCTGGTCTTGAACTCTTGACCTCAGGTGATCCGCCCACCTCAGCCTCCCAAAGTGCTGAGATTATAGGCGTGAGCCACTGTGCCCGGCCATGCATTTATTAACCCAGAAGATGACAGTTGATATTTCCCATTTGTTAATATGCATGGAAATAAAACCTACAAATGTGAGAACATGAAATAAATGATTCAAGAAAACTGAGAAGGACGATATTAGGGTTTAAACTGTGCTCTCCCAAAAGATATGTTGAATCCTAACACTTAGTACCCCAGAATGTGACCTTACTTAGAAATAGGGTCACTGTAGGCCGGGCGCGTAGCTCACGCCTGTAATCCCAGCACTTTGGGAGGCCGAGGAAGGCAGATCACGAGGTCGGGAGATCGAGACCATCATGGCTAACACGGTGAAACCCTGTCTCTACGAAAAATACAAAAAATTAGCCGGGCGTGGTGGCAGGCACCTGTAGTCCCAGCTACTTGGGAGGCTGAGGCAGGAGAATGGCGTGAACCTGGGAGGCAAAGCTTGCAGTGAGCCTAGATCACGCCACTGCACTCCAGCCTGGGTGACAGAGCAAGACTCCATCTCAAAAAAAAAAAAAAAGGAAAATAAAAGAAACAGGGTTACTGTAGAAGTAATTAGTTAAGATGAGGTCACATTGGAGTAGAGTAAGCTCTTAATCCAATATGACTCATGTCTTTATAAGAAGGGAGATGGTGTGAAGAGAGACACACACAGGGAGAAGGCCACATAGTGATGGTGGCAGAGATCGGAGTGACACAGCTGCAAGCCAAGGAACATGGAGGATTGATGGCCACCACTGGGCAGAGGTAAGAGAGGATTCTACTGAGAGTCTCAGGGAGAAGAGCCCTACTGACAACTTGATTTCAGACTTCTAGCTTCCAGAACAAAGAAAATAAATTTCTGCTGTTTTAGGCCACCGATTTTATGGTATGTTGTTATGGTAGGCTTAGGAAATGAATACAGGTGGTAACTCCAATTGAAGCCTAAATCTGAATAAGTAAAAATAGCGATGCTGGGGTGGGGAGGTAGGAGGGTTACCTGTCACTGCTGTCTAGTGCTGGCCAGCTTTGAACTCTGTTGCTAAATAATTAGTTTTGCTTAAAATCAGGGTCACTGGAAAATTAAAACATTGATTTTTGTTTTTGTCTGTTGTCTTATGGCTTTTGACAGATGTCACTTTGTCCTGGGTCCATAGGATAGGTGGAAGCTGCTCTCACTTAATTTTTTTTTCTTTTTTTTTGAGACAGGGTCTCACTCTGTCACCCAGGCTGGAGTACAGTGGCAGAATCTCGGCTCCCTACAACCTCCGCCTCTCAGGTTCAAGTGATTCTGTCACCTCGGCCTCCCAAGTAGCTGGGACCACAGGTGCACACTACTATGCCTGGCTAAATTTTTGTGGAGACAGGGTTTTGCCATGTTGCCCAGGCTGGTCTTGAACTCTTGGCCTCAAGCAATCTGCCTGCCTCGACCTCCAAAGTACTGGGATTACAGGTGTGAGCCGCTGTGCCCAGACCCTGCTCTCACTTAAATTAGAGATAGAACTATTGCAATTCTGTCTTCTGAAATAAAGCTTTCTAAGCTTGAGAGTGGATCAAGTTAGATTTTTATTGTGGTAAGAGATGAGCAAACTTTCTTTCTTTGTAAGGCTTGAGCCTGTTAAAGTACAATAGAAATTAGAATGTGAAGATTCTTAAACCGGCCCCAAAAGAGGCTTCAACCTTTTTGATTGAAACAATGTATGTCTAGAGTCTATGTGTTCCTGGAGGATTCATATGAACATATGAAGGGTGACAAGGGAAAGAAGCACCTTTCAAATTAGATGAGATAATACACCTTCAGATGTAATAGAAAGTAAAGCCCATATAGTTCCTTAAACTGTATAGATCTCCTATTTTCAGTAGCTTCAAGAGGCTATCAAGTACATAATAATCTAACATAAGAAAGCTCAAAACCCTCCCAGAAAAAAAGGAAGGAAATCTAGCCAAAATTTTATTTTCTTCTTATTATTTTTTGAGATGGGGTCTTACTCTGTCACCCAGGCTGGAGTGCAGTGGCATGATCACAGCTCACTGCAGTCTCGACCTCCCAGGCTCAAGCGATCCTCCCACTTCAGCCTCCTGAGTAGCTGAGACTACAAGTGCCCCACCAAGGCCAGCTAATTTTTGTATTTTTAATAGATATGAGGTTTTGCCATGTCTGGTGCCATGGCTGGTCTCAAAATCCTTAGCTCAAATGATCTGCCCGCTTCAGTCTCCCAAAGTGCTGCTGGGATTACCAGCATGAGCCGCCATGCCCAGCCAAAAATATAGGCAAAACTTTAAATGTATGAACCCTTTAAGAAAAGTCGTTCAGGTTGGAAGAAAATGAAAATAAAATTATAGGCTTAACATTAACCAGATTTTCAAAAGAGTTGAGATTTACATTATTCTGCAGAGGACTGAATCTTAGAGTGGTTTTCTTTTAGAGAAAGTTGCCTTCTGGTGTATGTGTGGGGGTGGTGGTGATATAAGTAGCCTTTATTAAAGGGAGAATGGTACACTCTATGTTATAGGATGAATTGTGTTTCCCCAAAATTTGTATGTTGAATCCCTAACCCTCACTACCTCAAAATGTGAATACATTTAGAGATGGAACCTTTAAAGAGGTAATTAAAGCTAACTAAGGTCATAAGAGTGGGGCCCTAATTCAATACAATCAGTATTCTCCTAAGAAGAGGAAGAGACACCAGGGAAGCACATGTATATGAAGTGGAGATCATGTGAGGGCACAGTGAGAAAGCAGCAACTGCAAGCCAAAAAGAGAGGCCTCAGAAGAAACAACATCTGCTGACACCTTGATCTTGGACTTCCAGCCTCTAGAACTGTGAGAAAATGAATTCGTGTTGTTTAAGCCACCAGGTCTTATATTTTGTTATGGCAGCCCTAGCAAACTAATTCTGCAAGAATTTTAAAATGTATAACTATATGAACAAAACTAAGCAATCAATAAAAGTGTAAACAGCCTTCCATCTTCCTACTATAAATCACTTTGGAAGATAAAAGGGAAACTTTTAATTTGGGTGGAATGACCTTGGTGTCCTTGATGAGTTTCAAGATAAAGAAGAAGGCTATTGTATTAATCTGTTTTCACATTGCTATAAAGAACTACCTAAGACTAGGTAATTTATAAAGAAAAGAGGTTGAATTGGCTCATGGTACCACAGGCTGCACAGGAAGCATGGCTGGGGAGACCTCAGGAAACTTACAATCATGGCAGAAGGTGTAAGGGAAGCCAGCACATCCTACATGGCTGGAGCAGGATGAATAGAGGGAAGGGGGAGGTGCTACACATTTTTAAACAACTAGATCTCAGGACAACTCACCCATTATAATGAGAACAGCATGGGGGAAATCCACCCCCTTGATCTAATCACCTCCCACGATGTCCGTTCTCCGACACTAGGGATTACAATTTGACATGAGGTTTGTGTGGGGACACAGTCCCAAACCATATTAGTTATGCAAGCCCTTTTGCACTAAGACTTTCAATCAAGATTCTGAGCGTTGTTTAAGATTTTAAAAAAACATTTTAAGTTCATGGGTATAAGTGCAGGTTTGTTACATAGGTAAACTTGTGTCATGGGGGTTTGTTGTACAGATTATTTCATCACCCAGGTATTAAGCCTAGTACCCATTAGTTATTTTTCTTGATCCTCTCCTTCCTCCTACCCTCCCACCCTCCAAAAGGCCCCAGTGTGTGTTCCACTCTATGTTCCACTCCCCAGTTGTTCCACTCCCCAGTTGTTCCACTCTATGTGTCCATGTGTTCTCATCATTTAGCTCCCACTTGTAAGTGAGAACATGTGGTATTTGGTTTTCTATTCCTGTGTTAGTTTCCTAAGGATAATGGCCTCCAGCTCCATCCATGTCCCTGCAAAGGACATGATCTCATTCATTGTTATGGCTGCATAGTATTCCATGATATGTACCACATTTTCTTTATCCAGTCTGTTACTGATGAGCATTTAGGTTGATTCCATGTCTACGCTATTGTGAGTGGTGCTGCAATGAACATACGTGTGTGTGTCTGTATAATAGAATGATCTACATTCCTTTGGGTATATATCCAGTAATAGGATTGCTGGGTTGAATGGTATTTCTGTTTTTATGTCTTTGAGGAATCACCACACTGTCTTCCACAATGGCTGAATTTACACTACCACCAACTGTATAAGTGTTCCTTTTTCTCCACAACCTCACCAGCATCTGTTATTTTTTGACTTTTTAATAATGGCCATTCTGACTGGTGTTAGATGATAGCTCATTGTGGTTTTGATTTGCATTTCTCTAATGATCAGTGATGTAGAGCTTTTTTCATATGATTGTTGGCTGAATGTATGTCTTCAGAATGTTTTAAACATTTTTTATTTTTGATAATTTCAAACTTATGGAAAAGTCGTAAGAATACTACAAAAAACTCCTATTCATTCTCCCCACAAAACATTATATATATTTGTTTTACCATTCTCACTTTCTTTCTCACTCTGCCTGCCTGTCTGTCTATCTATCTATCTATCTATCTAGAATTTTTGGGGAACCGTTTGAAAGTAAGTTGCCCCATTATCCTAAACATTTCACCATGTAATTCCCAAACACCAAGGACACACTCCTATATAATCACAGTGCTGTCATCACTACCAGGAAATTAACATGGATTTATACGATACTGACATTTAATCTACACACCCCCAGTGACAGTTTGTCAACTGTTCCAATAGTGGTCCCAATAATTTTCCCAATAATCCCTCAAATTGGGTTTAAACATGCAAGAATTTTCTCAGGAGAAACACCTGTGAAAGGAAAGGAGAAAGAGCCAGGAAATGCTGGGGGAACTGTCAGATCACATTATAAGTCTGACCCTGAGTGAAGGAGAGAGGAAGGAAGGTCGGGTAGAAGCTTCCTAGACCAAAGTGCTTTATCAAAAAGGTTTGGCAAGGCCATCAGGGAGTCCCCAAGTCAAAGTTGGCCATCAGAGGAGTCCCACGTCTCCCAGAATGGGCCTGTCTTAGTGTCCATGCTGTGCTTGGTCACTGGCTGGAGCAGCCTGTGGGAAGTGTGGCCTCAGCACAAAAGCAGGATGAGTTTCAGAGAGCAGCAGTTGGGGCCCTTGGCTGTGTAAGCTCTCCATAATTGGAGGTCTGTCAGGTGCATTCTCACACCACAGCAGTCCACTTCTTATTTATTTATTTATTTGAGACAAAGTCTCACTCTGTCACCCAGGCTGGAGTGTAGGGGCACTATCTTGGCTCACTGCAACCTCCACCTCAAGCGATTCTCCTGCCTCAGCCTCCCAAGTAGCTGGGATTACAGGCACATGCCACCATGCCCAGCTAGTTTTTGTATTTTTAGTAGACGTGGAGTTTTGTCATGTTGTCTTGACTGGTCTCGAACTCCTGGGCTCAGGCGATCCACCCACCTCAGCTTCCCAAAGTGCTGGGATTACAGGTGTGAGCCACTGTGCCTGGCCCAGTGCCATCCACTTCTGTGTGTACTGACCAATTCCTCCATGCAGCCCCTGCATGGCCCCTGTAGGCCATTCCTCCCTAGGGGAAATAAGAAGTGAGAGGTTAGTGGGATGAACTGCAGGCCCTGTCACTACAATGGATCTCAGGGCTGCAACTGGTTCTCATCTCCACTCCTCCACTATCCATTCTAAACACCTCTCACCCTCAGCTCTCACCTCTGCAGGTCTTGGTGACTTGCTTACCCAGGGGTATGGCCAGAACCCTCATTCCTAAGTGGTTTGAACCTTTGGAAATTATACCTTTATTGGTTTGGGGTTACTGCATGTATCTGTTCACCCTTACAGCAGGGCATCAGAGTATCAGAAGGCACTCAAGTAGATCGCTTGGGATTCACACATATTCCCTCCTGCCCCCATTGTGTGAAAACGGCCTTGCCCTCTTCTGCTGAGCAGGATCCATGATCCCTGCCAGTCTGGTGACTTTTTACACATGAGGAGAACAAAGTGCCCCTTCAGCAGCTAGTACTTATAGCTCAGTGGGACGCTCACTGTGTGCCTGGAAAGTGTGCATCCCCTTTGGGGTTCAGGACCTAGAGGGACAGGAAGCACAAAATACCCCAGTGGGTCCTTGGAAGTGATGGTAAGTGGGGCCACTCCTGTTTATCCCCTTTGGCTTCTCGACCTTGTATCCTTCCTCGTGGGGATATGGCACCATCGAGGAGTCTATGATTTAATAAATATACTGTCTCCTGAAGGATGGCACCCCATCTTTTTAGAGTGTGTTCTTTGAGCTGCCATTCAGTTGTACACTTAGAAGGCTGTTCCAGGATTCTATGAGGCTGTCTGCCTTGGGTGATATGGTATGTGACACAGACAGTGATCTCATGATCGCAGGCCTACCTCCTTTGCTGTGAAGAGAGTCTCCTGGTAGGATGCTGTGGTATGTGGGATTCCATACCTATGGATTAGACATTCCACAAACTCCCAGAGAGTGGTGCCAGCTGAGGCTCTGTGGGAAGGAAGGGCAAGCCATTTCTGGAATAGGTATCTGTCTCTGTGAGTTCGGACTGCTGGCCCTTCCAGTGTGGAAGGGGGTTGATGCAGTTAACTTGCCACCATGTGGCTGTTTGGTCTCTTTGAAGACTAGTGCCACTTTGGGAGTTCAGTGTTGGTCTCTGTTCCTGACAAGTTGGACATTCAGAGGCAGCAGTGGCTACACTGGCTTTGGCAAGTAGGAGTCCATTCTATTGGGCCCATATGTAGCCATCTCTGCCACCATGGCCACTCTGTTCATGTGCCTATTGTGCCGGTTCTGGAGTAGCTGATGACAAAGGCTGGCTGATGTTAACTGGCTGAGTCATTTTGTCTACTTGGCTGCTCAGTGCCTCTTACATGGTAGATGCTCTCTGTTGAGCATTAACATGTGATACAAAATGTTCATACATTATATCCACTTCCATATGTCCATCTACATGCTTCTAGAGTCTACCCAGAGCTCCTTGTCTCTGATTTTCCAGTTATTTTCTTTAAAGGCTCTGACCAGGCAGCCAGACCATTGGCCACTTCCCAAACATATATATTTCTTTTTTTTACTATTTGTGACTCTTAGGGATGTAGTGTTTTTTAATTATTATTATTTTTATACTTTAAGTTCTGGGGTACATGTGCAGAACGTGCAGTTTTGTTACATAGGTATACACATGCCATAATGGTTTGCTGCACCCATCAACCGGTCACCTACATTAGGTATTTTTCCTAATGCTATCCCTCCCCTAGCCCCCAACCCCCTGACAGGCCCCAGTGTGTGATTCTCCCCTCCCTGTGTCCATGTGTTCTCATTGTTCAACTCCCACTTATGAGTGAGAACATGTGGTGTTTGGTTTTGTGTCCTTGTGATAGTTTACTGAGAATGATGGTTTCCAGCTTCATCCACGTCCCTGCAAAAGACGTGAAATCATCCTTTTTTATGGCTGCATAGTATTCCATGGTGTATATGTGCCACATTTTCTTAATCGAGTCTATCATTGATGGACATTGGGTTGGTTTCAGGTCTTTGCTATTGTGAATAGTGCTGCAATAAACATACGTGTGCATGTGTCTTTATAGTAGACTGATTTATAATCCTTTGGGTATATACCCAGTAATGGGATTGCTGGGTCAAATATATTTCTAGATCTAGATCCTTGAGGAATCGCCACACTGTCTTCCATAATGGTTGAACTATTTTACACTCCCACCAACAGTGTAAAAGCATTCCTATTTCTCCACATCCTCTCCAGCATCTGTTGTTTCCTGGCTTTTTAATGATCACCATTCTAACTGGTATGATATGGTATCTCATTGTGGTTTTGATTTGCATTTCTCTAATGACCAGTGATGATAAGCATTTTTTCATGTTCGTTGGCTGCATAAATGTCTTCTTTTGAGAAATGTCTGTTCATATCCTTTGCCCACTTTTTGATGGGATTGGTTTTTTTTCTTGTAAATTTGTTTAAGTTCTTTGTAGATTCTGGATATTAGCCCTTTATCAGATGGGTATATTGCAAAAATTTTCTCCCATTCTCTAGGTTGCCTGTTCCCTCTGATGATAGTTTCTTTTGTGTACCCCAAGGATATATATTTCTTCTCCTTCTCCTTCTTCTTCTTTTTAAAAAAAGAGACAGTGTCTTGCTGTGTCACCTAGGCTGGAGTGCAGCGGTGCCATCATAGTTCACTGTAGCTTCAAACTCCCAGGCTCAGGTGATCCTCCTGCCTCAGTCTCCGAAGAAGCTGTGACTACAGGTGCACACCCCTACACTCGGCTTATTTATTCTTACTTCAGGCCACTTCTCCTTCCACACAAAGTGAATAATCAGGTGCATGATTCAGAGCTCTGCCTACTGAGAAAATCTTCCCTTTTCACTGTCTTTCAGGACTACTCCCTACAGCATGTGGCTATAACACAGTCACAGTTCATTTCTGGTCTGCACGCACATACTAAGCTAACCCATCTGTAAGCTATGCTTGAGTTTTTTTTTCTCTTTCACTTAGTTGTATGGGCACCTCTTTAGCTCCTGTAGAGAAATAGGTGCAAACTAGTGCAAGTGTGGTGAGTGACATAGGGGAGTATAGGAGAGTCTGGACTACCTGCTCCTGCAGCTTAATTGTGTCCTTTGCTCCTGCTCAAGTTCCATTCTGGATTTCCACATTAACACGTTCTGCTTCTGGGCCCATCCAACTTGGGGACTTGTTAGGTCCAACAGAATCCAGCTTATCATGGACAGTTTCAGATGCATGGTTAGCTGGTGTCCCAAGGATAAGTGTTCAGTCTCTATCAGGATCCACTAACGTGCAAGTGCTATTTCTCAAATGGCATATAATTCTCTGCTGTGGATGTCATGGCCTTGTTCCAGAATCCCAGGTGCCTGCCTTGGGATTCTCCCTCTGGGGCTTGCCATGATCCCCATACTGCATTGTCCAACTATTGCCAGATAGAATGCCACAGGCTGTCAGATTGTAAGGTGCAAGTTGCAGGGTGTGATTGCGCCATGTACTGCAGTACTGCTGCAGTACTTCCTGCTCTAGGTCCCTTGAAGCATGCAGCTCTACATGTCACCTGATTTATGGTCCAGAGTAGTATTTTTGGTATGGAGTATGTTGCCTGTAGAAGTTAAATAGTCCTGCCAGATGCTATGCTTTCTTCTTTGCGGTAGGGGATGCAAGATACAGAAATTTGTCCTTTACTATGGAGGGGACACCTAGTGCAACTCTTACTGCTGAATCCCTTAAAAATTTCACAGGAGTGGCTGGTTCCTGAAATCTTAGCATGGTTTATCTCCAGTCCTCTGGAATGTGTACATCTTACCAAGGCCCCTAGAGCCACCACTTGTTCATCTGTTCAGAAGCATGATGTCAAAGTAATGGGTCCATGTGGTGTTCTCTGGGCTGTCCAGATGGTGCAGATTTCTTTGTACTATATTATGACTGAAAGCAAGAGTTAAAATAACCCTGGAGCAAAATGTAACTGAATATTTTTGTCCGTTCCACATGAATGTGAACTGTTTCTGATCTTCTTTTCAATTGGAATGGAAGAGAATGCATTCGCCAAATCAGTGCTCACATACTTTTCACCTGAAGGCTTACTAACGTTGATCTAGATGACACCAAATAGCAGCCAGAATCAGAGTTACTCCTCGGTTAAGCCTGTGGTAGTCTATAGTCATTCTTCAGGATCTTGCCAATTTCTTCAGGGGCTAGGCTAACAAATTAAATGAAAATATAACGGGAACTGCCTTCCCTGCATCCTTTAGTTCTTTAATAGTGGCACGCATCTCTTACACTATGAAACTGATTTTTATTTATCATCTTGGCTGAGTTGTGGGCAGCTTCAGAGGTTTCCATTTGGCCGTCCCCACTATAATAGTTATGCTTTACCGACCCGGGCCTAATGTTGGGGATAGTCCAACTATGCACTTGGCTGCTTGGGAAATCATCCACAGACCAAATGAACCACTGTGAGTCAGATTTCAGACAGAACTCCATTCATTACCTTGTCCCATTGTAACAGGCACTATGATGATATTTCAGGTTTCTGGGTATCAGTGTTAACTCACATCCCATATTCAACAGACCTTGAAATGTCTGGTTATTTCCTTTCCCCAGCATATGGTCACATGAGTAAATGCCCATAGGTACCTTTGGGGAAGAGCTGGAGGAATTGTCATGGCATACATTTGCCATGGCATTGTAAGATTCTTCCTCCTGGGGACCCATCACTTCAGCCAGTGGGTTCCAGATCTGCAAATTGACTTGAGTTTGAGAACTAAACAAGAAGTTGTGGCTTTTTACTGGGGGCAATCACCCATAGCTTCCTGCTCCTTTATTATTGCTCTTCGTGGGTTATGGATGTTAAGTAACATTCTTATTGGCTGCCTGTCTATTTTGCCTCTAAGGACATCATTCTCCATTAACCATCTCCACAACTCCCTGTGGCTCTAGTCCCGGTGGCTGTCTGACTAACCATGCCAGTTACTGTGGTAATTGTGACCTCCTAGCTTCTATTATTTGAGGGCTCCCATCATGCATTCCCATGGGTGTTAATGAGCCCAGCTTTGAGACTGCCTCACCTACCATCCTCTTTGGCATGCAGTGGACAGCCATCACTGGACTTCTTTGATGCAGGTGCCCCTCTCACCAGTGCTTTCTGGCAGTCTTGGTGAGTGGCGTGTAATCTGGGACATGTCATAGAACAAAATCCTCTAGCTGCATTACTTCTGGTCTTACCTAATATATCCATTCCTTCATGCTCATTTCCCTCAAACTCTTTATTTCTTCCTCTACCATATGTCAGGGGAATTTGGGCATTTCCATGTTGCTGAGAGTTGGGAGTCAATGAAAGATGAGAGAGCTGTCAGACAATGATGCAAGTCTGATCCTGTGTGGAGGAGAGGGGAAAAAGATTGGGTGGAAGTATGCCAGATATTTACTCAAAGTCAAGCAAAAGTTGGCCATTAGAGGCATCCTTTGTCTCCTAGGAGAAGGCCTGCCCTGCTGTCCTTGCCATACTCAGTCATCAGCTGGGAGCAGCCCATGGAAGCATGGCCTTCACACAAATGTGCAATGGATTTCAAAGTGAGGCAGCTGGGGTGCTTTGTGAATTAAGCTCCAAGTTGAGGTCTTTGAAGTGCATTCTCACAATTGCCAGAGTGTCCTTTACAGCAAAAAGAATTTTTTTTCTAGTCCGAGCTACAGCCTAGGATTACATGGTGACTTTGTCTTGTCTTTTTAATGTTCTTCAATCTAGAACAGTCTTTCCATTTGGGTTTGGGTTTAACGTTTTCTTTTCTTTTTACTTTGAGACAGGGTCTTGCTATATTGCCCAGGCTGGTCTTGAACTCCTGGCCTCAAGCAATCCTCCTGCCTCAAACTCCCAAGTAGCTTGGACTACAGGTGGGCACCATTGAACCCTCTAATGTTTCCTTATAGTTACTTTCTATTGTGCTGTTTTGTTTTGTTTTATTGGGTCAGGAATACATAAGAAATAAAAATTGTTCTTTTAGTGGCATGCAATTTAATTTGTCCTGTTACTAATGATGTTAACTTTGATCACTTGGTTGAGGTGATATATTCCAGGATTCTCTGGAAAATTAGTGTCTTTTTCCTTTGTAATAAATAGAGCATCTTGTGGGGATATGCTTTGAGACTCTGTAATTACCCTCAGTGTGCTAAAGATCTGAGGGGATATAGAGAGAAAATTCTGAGTCACACTTTCATTTCATGTAGCTGAAAAAGCAACTTAAACATTGGACTTGACTGAAATTAAGCTTGGACTTAACTGAGCTCCTTCAGGAAAAGCTTAATTACTTACTGAGACAGGAAAATCATCAGGACACTCTCGGATCTCAATGTGGGTACTGGGAGTGCCAGAGAACCAAGATTCTCCCTCCCACTCTCTCTGATGTGTGTGATTCATATGAACATTGATAAAGGATGTCTCATCCCTCCTTCAAGTAAACTTGTTCTGACAAAATTTCACCACACTTTGTCAAATGGCAAACATTGTTCCTAAGAAACATCATATACGTGTTTATGCAAATTTTGTTTTTTAAACTTTTTATCAAGAAAAGAAAAAAAGTGGAAAATATGTTTTTGCCTGAAAAGTGAATATTATAAACAAGTAGCTTGGGTTTGAAAGATAGTCTGTGGAAACACAGATAAGGCTCTATGCTAAGATGCTTGCTGCTATAATCCTCAGTCCCCTAGTAAAAGTTTCTGCAAAAAGCTTGGCCAGCCATGATGCCATTGAGCATTGACCCCCATAATCAATCTCCCTGTGACTCTCACGGAGAATGCTGAAGCAAATTTTCTGTAGTGAGGGATCTGTAGACCATGGCATGCAGCCTCCAGTCTCACTGTGCAGACTGAGGACAGTGACACAGGTCATTGACACACGGCTGACCTAGGCAGTGATTCTCCCTACACTAATACAGTGATTCTTTCTGTGAGAGACTGCCTGCCCTTAATAAGATAACATGCCCCTTTGGCCGGGCACAGTGGCTCACGCCTGTAATCCCAGCACTTTGGGAGGCCGAGGCGGGCGGAACATGAGGTCAGGAGACTGAGACCATCCTGGCTAACACAGTGAAACCCCGTCTCTACTAAAAATACAAAAAAAAAAAAAATAGCTGGGTGTGGTGGCGGGCACCTGTAGTCCCAGCTACTCAGGAGGCTGAGGCAGGAGAATGGCATGAACCTGGGAGGTAGAGCTTGCAGCGAGCCAAGATCGAGCCACTGCTCTCCAGCCTGGGTGACAAAGCGAGATTCTGCCTCAAAAAAAAAAAAAAAAAAAAGAATAACCTGCCCCTTTAACCTACCAACTCTCTTCTCCTCTTTAGTTTGTTGAAGCAAAAACAACGTAAATATTGCATTAACCAAGTGTGTGTATGAGAGAGAGAGAGAGAGGAGAGAGAGAGAAGAGAGAGAGAGAGAGAGAATGAGCAGTTATGGCTCTTGGCATTTTTTACTGGACAAGGCAAACCTAAAGATTTTACTTTTAAACTTGAATTAATGCTGAGAGTAAGTCACATCTGCCCTCACTTCCCTCCCACTCCACACAAACATGCATACCACTGGAAAGGCAACATTTTATCAAAGGCATTTGGCGTTTTTCCTCTCTTATGACCCTCTAGAAGCTTGAGAATGTGGGAGAGAAGGGCTGGAACCAGAAATGGAGAAGTAGTGCTGGAACAATAATGACCTGAAAGCCAGTGGAACTGAGGTCTCCTGCAGGAACTTTTGGGGAGGCCTGGATACTTTGGAGACCAATGGGTATGGATGGAAAGAAGAGCAGAAATGATTCAGCTCATAAAGCAGTGAAAAGGAATGATCTAAGTACATGAACAAATCTTTAAAGCAAAATGTTAAAGTGTGGGAGCAAGTTCTACAGAACACATACAATATGATACTTTTTTTTTTTTTTTTAAAGAGACAGGGTCTCACTCTATTGCCCATGCAGGGGTGCAGTGGCACAATCAGAGCTCATAGCATCCTTCAACTCCTGGGCTCAAGCCATCTTCCCACTTCAGCCTCCTGAGTAGCTGGGACTTCATAGGCAGGCACCACCACACCCAGCTAATTTAAAACAATTTTTTTGGCTGGGCGCGGGGGCTCACACCTGTAATTCCAGCACTTTGGAAAGCCGAGGCAGGCAGATCATGAGGTCAAGAGTTCGTAGACCAGCATGGCCAATATGGTGAAACCTTGTCTCTACTAAAAATACAAAAATCAGCTGGGCGTGGTGGGATGTGCCTGTAGTCCCAGCTACTTGGGAGGCCAAGGCAGGAGAATTGCTTGAACCCCGGAGGCCGACATTGCAGCAAGCCGAGATTGCGCCACTGCACTCCAGCCTGAGTGACACAGCAAGACTCCGTCTCAAACAAACAAACAAACAAACAAACAATTTTTTTTTTTTAGAGATAGGGTCTTGCTATGTTGCCCAGGCTGGTCTCAAACTCTGGGCCTCAAGCCGTCTTCCCTCTCAGCCTTCCAAAGTGCTGGAATTACAGTCGTGAGTAACTGCACCTGGCCAACATGATGCCATTTACATGCAGCTTAAACGCATATACATGTGTTGAATCAGTGTCATGTGTTGATGAGGGACATAAACACATTTACTAAAAGTATAAACAGTTGCATGGGAATTAGTAACTTTAAATTCATAAAATTGTACTGGCTATCAGGTGAGTAGGGGACAAGTGGAATGAGGGAATGAGACCAGCTGGGTACCCAAATATTGCTAATGTTATTGCTTAAGCTGTGTGGTGAATACACAGGTGTTCAATTTACTATTATTTCGCACTTTCCGTGTACTTTAGCTATTTGACAATACATTTAAAAATCGAAAACTTATCCCATAATCCCAGGCTCCAGAGGTGATAGTAGGTGGTGTTTTCCAGACCTTTCCCGCTGCCTTGATTTTCTGTTAACTGGCCACCATCCTTGTCTCCTCGCGCTGCCGGTCGCTGCAGAACCCCTGCGCGGAGGGACTGCCAGTTCCCAGGAAGGTGCAGGACAGCTGGAGCCTCTTCTTCTCTGGGCAGGGATTTAAATGTTCTTGGGTAGCCTCGCCAGAGACCTGTGCGGCCCTACAGTGACCTTCTTTCCAGCCACTTTCCCATGAGCTCAAAGCTTTGGATTCTGTCACTTGCAAAGGGTCAGGCCTGATCCCTTGCGGGTTCTTGAGAAGTGAGTAAGACTTCCAGCGCCCCGGCCCAGACTGCGACGACCCAGACTGCGACGACCCAGTCTGCGCCTGGCGCAGGCTCCATAGACGGCTTTTCTTCAGCTCTGTCCACTGAGACCTCGAGCCCTTGAGCAGAAGATGGGAGAGAGAGGGTCTTGCTGGGCGGGCTCCAGAAGTCCTCCTGGCTCTGGGCGCAGGAGTTGGAAGAGAAGAGATAGAGAAACATCTACTCACCAGAATTGTAAACTGGAAGAAGGGTAGAGGAAAGGTGCCTAGAGAGGGCAGCTGGAATCAGGATTGGGCTGAATATTTTAGGAGTCCCCAAGTGCTACTTCTATCCGCTGGGAGCACGGGTTCGAATCTGCCCCCAGGCAGCCCGCTCCTGGTTCTCTTGTCCCCCTGTGCTGCGGCGGGGCCCACTTCGGCCCTCGGGTTCCCCGCACAGGCCACACAGGGCAGCAGCGCGCGCCGTACCCACGGGCAGTTCGAGAGGGCCGCGCGTGGCGGAGCCAGGCCCTTCGCCAGCGCCCAGTACAAATTTAGTACTAGAATTAAGAGAAACACACTGAAATCTGACAGCCCCGCCTAAGACCCGGGCGTGAGGAAGTCTGCGGTGGGTGATGAATACAAAGAACAGTTTCTCTTTCCTGTCAGTAAAACGCTGTTTCCAGAGCCTGCCAGGTTTCGCCCCAGTGGCCACACCTATGCCTGGCAGGTGCTGGTCCGAGCCCCTAGCGCCAGCAAAAGAAAGGAGGCGGACGCAACATTCTCGAATTACTAGGAGAAGGAGGGAGGCTTTCCCTTCCCCCCAGTGCCCCATGTACCAACGCGTCTCGCCATACCCCTTGCCCCTCTTCCAGCAGCTGACGGAGTAATTCGAGTAGGAATCGAAAGATTTGGAGGCGCCGGGGGAGAAACCTGCGGAGCGCTCTCCGAGCCTGTGGCGTCCCAGGAAGACTCCGAGCGGGGCCAGGGAAGTTCTCTGGAGGACATGGGGTGGATACCCAGGTCTCCTTCCCTGGGTGAAATAAGAACTGAAAATCTAAAAATAAAATAAATAAAATAAAATAGAAAACACAGAGAAGCAACAAAAAAGCGCTTCCCCTCCTCAGTTCTCCCCAGTCCACCCAAGGTTTACCAAGACTGTTGTAGTTGCAAGAGTGGGCTTCCGGCTCCACGTAACGATGCGATTGGGCTGTACCTCTGTCTGTCTCCTGCGCGATGTCCCGCCCCGGGAGGTGTCACGGAACTCAGCTGATATAAGCCCGGGATCCCGCCGGGTCAGGTTCTCTGCTCTGGACTTGGGAGGCTCCGTTGCCTGCTCCCGGAGGGAGACGCGCTGCCGAGGAGAACCCAGCGGGTAATGAATCCCCCGCGCTTCTTTGCCCAGGCCTTCCCCAAACCTCCCCCCGGTCTGCGCGGGTTCTCCTATTGGGCTGTGGTGAAGACAAGGTGCGGCGACTGCAGCTCCCCAGGTCTGGGCGCTGCCGGGAGAGAGTCTTTCCCGCTGGGGAGATTTAGTTTGTTGACTCAGGAGCACCTCCAACGACAGCTAGTGGCAGAGGACCCGGGAGCTGGGAGGTTCGGAACGCGGGGCGAGCTGGGGAGGAGGGAGAGGCGCCGACCCAGCGCAGCCTACATCTTAGCAAACCAAACCTGGCAACATTTCCCCACGGTTCAGGAGCACGAAGGACTTAAGGGAAAACGACGAAATCGGGGCTCCCGAGGATGAAGTTAAATGGGTTGTGGCCTGGGGACAAATAGGGCCAATGTCCAGTCTATTACAAGAGGCTTTGTTCCAGAGGCTTGCCTATAAGCCCCTGGCTTGGAACGTCAGTCTTCAAACTGTAACAACAGGGGCAGGCTACTAGGGTAGCCCACAAAGCCCTGTATCCCCCATACAGTGACTAACTAGAGCCCTAGTTGGTCATATCCGCAGTGGCTGAGACTGCGGTGTGATTCCGTTTCCCTCTTGCATGTGTCCCGGGAGCCCGAGTTGTCGAAGCCCAAATTCAGGCTCAGGAACCTGATGTGCTGTTGATGCCAAACACTGACACACAGATGCTTGGAGACAGAGGAAGATTTATTCCATTTGGCCAAAGCGAGAAGGCAAGAGGTCAAGATCTCTCAAATCCACCCTAACAAAAAGAAGTAGTGGGGAGTTTTTATGAGACCAGGAAGTAAGGGAGGGGGAATTTCAGGGAACCTCGGGGAAAAGTCTTTCTTCGTCTCAGATTACATCTTGAACCACCAGACTTCTGGGCGTCAGCAGCTGGTCACAATGCCCTTAAAGGCATTCATTCCTTCTGCAAAATTTTTTTCTTGACTCTGAAGCTATATCCTCCTGCTTGACAAAGAAACGGTGCATCAGCAGTTTATAATTATATTGCTAGAAAAAGGAATATTGGGCAAAAAGTGGGTAGTTAACATATGCAAATAAGCAAGGGCCTCATCGGAATTTTCATGGTTTCATCACTAAAAATGTTGGGGTGCTGAAATCTTGAGGGGCTCGGTTGCACCAGAAGGGGATCCTTTGTCACTAGTGCAGGCAGGAAGGGATGCTTGAGGGAGGATGGGGGGAACTTTTCAATAGTTCCTCCCCTCCCCTACCAATAGCGGGTGGGAGGGCGTTGGTTTAGAGCCAAGCCTCTAGGAGAAGATGAGAGCAATGGCTAAAGTTTGTCTGGCCTCGCCCTATGAGAAGGGGGCGGAGGCTGTGCCTGCCTTTGTGGGGGAAAAAGAAGCCGATTCCTAATCTGTCTGTCTCATGGGAGGTGAGAGTTCCTGTGGCAGGATAACAGACAAGCAATTCAGTGTGATAACATCCTGTGTCAGAAGTATTCATTTAAATGTCACAAGAGGCCGGGCGCCGTGGCTTATGCCTGTAATCTCAGCACTTTGGGAGGCTGAGGCTGGTGGATCACGTGAGGTGGGCGGATCACTTGAGGTCAGGAGTTCGAGACAGCCTGGCCAACATGGTGAAACCCCATCTGTACAAAAAATGCAAAAATTAGCTGGATGTGATGACACATGCCTGTAATTCCAGCTACTCGGAGCCTGAGGCAGGAGAATTGCTTGAACCACCCCCTCCCCCCACCATAAAAAAAGTCACAAGAATTAAACTCTTTTGTTTAAGAAAATAAGCAGTTTTATTATTTCCATGTAAGAGGAAGAAGAGGAAAATGCTGTGATCCACTCCTGGCCTGATTATGAAAATTCACACGTGTTTATAGCAGCCCCACTTTAACCATGGGATATGTCCCAAGACCCTAAGTTGATGCCTAAAACCAGATGCCTGAAACCATGGGTAGCACCAAACCCTATATCTAATGTGTTTTTTCCCTATACTTTCACTGTTTCACTTAAAGAAAGCACTTAAAGAAAGGCTTTTCTTTGGCATATCTGAATTGCCAGCATCACTACTCTGGAGATTTGGGGCCATTAAATAAAATAAGAGTTACTTGAACATAAGCAGTATTAGAGTTGATCTGGTAAGTAAGAAGGCTACCAAGTGACTAAGGGCTAGTAGCATATACGGGGTGAGTACACCAGACAAAGGAATGATTCATGTCCTGGGGTGAGAGGGAGTGGATGGCATGAGATTTCATCAGGCTACTCAGAATGAAACTTGAAACTTATAAATTATTTATTTCTGGAATTTTTCATTTAATATTTTTGGACTAGAGCTGACTGTGGTAACTAAAGCATGGAAAACCACCAGATAAGGGAGGACTACTATATACTATCAGAAAATAGAAATCATTTCCAGTATTATTGTTATGGCAAATTGAATCATATGATATACACTCTTTTATGTCTGGCTTCTGTCACTCAGCATCATTGTTTTCAGATTCATCTATGTCATTGTGGGTACCAATAGTTCTTTCCTTTTTATTACGGTTGAGTAGTCTTCTATTATATGGATAATCAATATTGGCTTCTTCATTCATCTACTGATGGGCATTTGGATTGTTTCCAGTCTATGTCTTTCACAAATAAAAATGTTATGAACATTCATGCACAAGTCTTTGTATGGACATATGCTTTTTTTTTTTTTTCCTCTTGGGTAAATACTTTGGTGTGGAATGGCTGGGTCATATGGCAAGCGTACGCAGAACTTCTTAAGAAACTGCCAAATTCTTTTCCAAAATGGTCGTACCCCTTTATATCCCTACAAGGAGTATATGACGATGCCCATTCCTTCACATCTTCACCAACAACTAGCATGGTTAGTCATTTTAGCCATTCTAATAGATGTGTAGTGGTATCTCACTGAAGTTTTAATAGGCATTTCCCTAACGACTAATGATGTTGAGCATAATTCAATGTGCTTATTTGTATCCATATATTTTCTTTGGTAAATTGTCTATTCAAGTATTTTATTCATTTTTAAATTGGGTTTTTTTATCATTACTTTTTGAGTGTTCTATATATAATCTACTTACAAGTTCTTTATCAGTTATGTAATTTGCAAATACCTTCTTCCAGTCAGAGGTTTATATTTTCTTTTTTTCTTAAACTTTTACTTTAAGTTCAGGAGTACTTGTGCCTGACGTGCAGGTTTGTTACATAGATAAATGTGTTGCCATGGTGGTTTGCTGCACAGATCATCCCATCACCTAGGTATTAAGCCCAGCAGCCATTAGCACCATTCTGATGCTCTCGCTCCTCCTGTTGCCCCCTCCTCTGACAGGCTGGGGCTTATATTTTCATTCTCTTAATAGTGTCTTTCAGAAGGAGAAGTTCTTAAAGTCCAATATATCATTTAAAAAAATTTATTGTGCATCTAGGCCAGGTGCAGTGGCTCATGCCTGTAAACCCAGCACTTTGGGAGGCCGAGGCAGGGAGATCACTTGAGGTCAGGAGTTTGAGACCAGCCTGGTCAACATGGTGAAATGCCATCTCTACTAAAATTACAAAATTTACCCAGGCGTGGTGGTGGGCACCTGTAATCCCAGCTACTAGAGAGGCTGAGGCAGGAGAATCGCTTGAACCCAAGGGGTGGAGGTTCCAGTGACCGAAATAGCACCACTGCACTCCAGCCTGGGCAGCAGAGGGAGACTCCATCTCAGAAAAAAAAAAAAAAATTATTTTGTTCATCTAATATCATCTGTAAGAAATGTTTGCCTAACCCAAGGCAAAAATATTTTCTCTTATATTTTTCTCTAGAAATTTTATGGTTGACAGGCTAAATATACATACAAACTCTGGCCAGGACATATGCAAAAATAGAACTCTGACCCAGAACTGCTGCAGTAACCAGCCTGGGAAGCCAAACACAACTTCTGCAGCAGTTGACTGGTAGTGGTCAGGACCTTGTCAATAACTGACAGCATCCTTAATTTTTGCTCCTGATTCCAATTTAGGACCAGTCAGAGAAAGCCAAATATGTTCCCCAAACTAATCATACAGGATGTTCATTTCTAGTTAGCCTGCTTCCAACTTCCCTACGACAACACCCTTGAATCATATCATACCTGAGCATTCCCTTTTTGTCACTATCAATCTTTCCCCTGCCTGTCTATGAGGCTTTGACAAATGTGAGTGATGATGGCGGCTGACTCCCTCGTTATAGTGAGCTCTGAATAAACAGCCTCTGCTTGTTCTCATCCAGGCAGACTTCATTAATGTCTTTAGTTTCCTTGCAGGTTCCACCAAGGTACCATCTGCCCACTGTGTGGACTCCCATTTTCAAACAGGATGGCTGCTACAGAGGCACCTTGCACCTTGCAGAGAGTGGTTTGTTGAGTTTGCACTGATAGGATAAGTCAGCACTGACTGAATGTCTCTTTTTTTTGAGTTCCTCAGCTACTGATTCTCATTTGATACCCGGGTTTTGTTATTGGTTCCCATTTATTTGGCACCCTAGGTGGAATCAGGCCATTCTCTTTCACCTCTTTTGGCTCTCTTTTTTGTGTGTTTGTGTTGTGCTGTTTAAAAGCGGTTTGTCCGAAGAAGGAGAATGACAGGGTCAGACATAGGCATAGGTCCTACAAGCCTGTTCAAGCTTGCTTCACAGTCCAGTGAGTTTGTGGTTCTCCCTGAACCCATGTCCATGTGGACAAACTTTGTTGTGGGTCACCAATAAAACCAGCTCAGGTTCTCCTTCCATCTTGCGTTTTTGTCCTGAGAGCTTCACTTTGGTCCACGGGGAGTGCTTTCTCTGGTTTTCTGCCTACTGAGGGGCACAGATTGTCTGGTCTGTGTTAGGAGGTGCCCAACTGTACGGTTGGGGACCTGAGACACAAAGTGCACAAGAATTATACTCCTACTGATGGTCAACAGCTCTCATGGGGTCTTCTAAGTCTAAATACCCTCCTCATCTAGGAGAAACTGCTTCTTATTTGTACAACACTAGCTCATGCACCTACCTTCCTACCTTCCTAATGGCATAACTCCAAGGATGATCTGGGCCTTTACTGGCTATTTTGGGGTACATTTGACTTGAACAAAATTGTTCATTTGACATGCACCTTAGAAAAGTAGGAATAAGATTTCTCAGGATGAATGGGGCTGCCGTTTTTTGTTGGTAGGCAGAGGCCTCCAAATGAAATTCTGATCAAAAATTGCTTCATTAAAAGATTCTTTGCCCAAAACCAATGGGAAATTTGACACACTTAAACAACAACAAACTAGACTCATTTCCCTAGTAAATGCTTCTTTTTCTTGTCTTCCAGATGCCTCCGTGTATCCAGCTCTCTCTTTTCCCCCTTATCCTTCTATTAGGTTGGTGCAAGAGTAATTGCAATTTTTGCCATGACTTTCAATAATCTCTCTCCTATACTTCAGTCAACTGCTCACTTCTCTTCCCCCTTTTCAGACCCCCACCCTTTGCCCAATAACTCTCCTAAACTCCAAAATTCCAGTTGCCTCTGAATATCCATCCCTCTCTTTAAGCCAGGTATGCAGACATCTGTAGAATTTAAACCTTGGATCCAAGCTGAATTAAGAGTTATACTTAAAGGTTTCCCTAAACCCAGCAAGACTAGCAAAAATTCACAAAAGAATTTAGAATTCTTCTAGGTACATATGACCCAAGGTTACCTAACCTCTATCAACTTGTACACATGTTGGTCAGAATCTCAGGTGCTAAATCCTGGAGGGCAAAAGCTGATTGGACAGACTCAGAAAGGGACCCACAGTATCCCTCTTTCCATAGTAAATCCGAGGGTTTTAAAAAAAAGGATCCAAAAAGTAAGGCAAAGTCTCCTAAAAGCCATACCCAAATCATTTCTAATAAAAATCCATTGGACCATGCAAACAAAAAAATAAAACTGTTGGACTTTTTCAGGATAGACTAGGAAATACCTTCCAACACATCAGTTAAAGAAGGTGGTAAAAAGCAGCCCTTTCATCTCATTTTGTCAGTGGAGTTAAACATGAAATTGGAGACTTAATTCTAAAACAGAAATTGGAATGGAAAACAACCCCTTTATCTGAATTGTAACACCAAGCAGAACATTTTGAAAGAGCTTTAGAACTAAAATGAGACAGGACTCAAAATAAACTTGTGGCCCACTTCCCAATCAACCACCTATTGACAAGGACACTACAGATATTGTAAACAGAACCAAGACAAATAAAAATCCATCAGTTCAGATCAATGAGGGTGCTCAGAGGAAGGAGAAACTACCCAATAGTCTGCCTTTCCCTAAACACTCAAGGTGATTTAACTATAAATACAGGTGGTCAACTTCATCAATTTCTGGTAAACATGGTACTACTCTTTCTATGTTAAACACTGTCCCTTTTGCTCAATCTCTTCCTCTGAGTAAACATACCACACAGGTGGTAGGTATTTCAAGTAACCCACATATAAGCCACATATTTATTCCATCTCCCAGCCCTTAACTGTAGCCCTTGGTCCCTGACTGAAAAACATTCCTTCCTCCTCTTTGATATCATGCCTATGAGTTTAATAGAGACTTAATTTGCAAATGGAACTGTAATATGTATTGATGTTCCAGAGACTTCTCTATTCATAATCAAGTTGCACCTGCTATGAATACACCTTTGCTTTCTCTATTATATTTGATGCATACTCCAAATAAATATCTTGACACCAAACCTGACAGTGTAAGGGGCTAAAAATTCCACTCACATAGGACGAATAATTGGAGAAGCAAAATAATAAGCAGAACTTACTAAGTTCAGACAGATCCTGTCAAACCATTACCCAAACTTCCCCAATATCCATAGAAGTCAGACGCAAAGGAATGGCTCGAACCTACAGTTGAAGGCCTTATATGCAAAGGTCCTCTCCTATCCCCTAGTAACACTCCTGTCCCGCCAGCAAAGAAACCAAGTGGATGAAGATATTGATTTAAGACTTCAGAACCATCAACAAAATTGTCATTTCTTTTTTCCCAGTAGTGCCTAACCCACACACCATCTGTCATTAATTCTACTTGAAGTCACTTGCTTTACTGTAGTAGAAATTTTCTCTGCCTTTTTCAGTGCACCTTTAGACAAAGACAGTCAATACTTTTCTGCCTTTGCCTTGGGAAGGACAATGGTATAACTGGACAGTCATACTCCAGAGATTCATTGAAGCCCCTGTTTTTGTCCAGATGCTCAAGTAAGAGTTAAAAGATGGCTGGGCGCGGTGGCTCACGCCTGTAATCCCAGCACTTTGGGAGGCCGAGGCGGGCGGATCACGAGGTCAGATCAAGACCATCCTGGCTAAAACGGTGAAACCCGGTCTCTACTAAAAAAAAATATCAAAAATTAGCCAGGCGTGGTGGCGGGCGCCTGTAGTCCCAGCTACTCGGGAGGCTGAGGCAGGAGAATGGCGTGAACCCGGGAGGCGGAGCTTGCAGTGAGCCGAGGTCGCGCCACTGCACTCCAGCCTGGGCGACAGAGCAAGACTCATCTCAAAAAAAAAAAAAAAGAGTTAAAAGACATAAATTTCCCTTGTGACCTTGTGATTCAGTTCTGATACAATATAAAAATGATCTCCTACTTTGTTCAGAGAACAAGGAAGCCTGTTAAAAGGATTCCATTTTCTTGCTCTCAGCCTTAGTAGAGAAGGGACATAAAATTTTTAAGGCTAAATTACAATTTTACCAAAACACAATTCATTATTTGAAGTAAACCTCTCTAAGGAGGGATAAATATTCTCTCCTGATAAAGATTATCCGAAGTTATTGTAAATCCCTCACAAAATGACAGATGAGAGGATTTCTAGGTTAACTGGATATTGCAAACAATAGGTGCCAAAGTTTTCTGAAATTGGAGCACCTCTTTATGGATTGACTGTCTTCAGTGAGGGATTCTCTCCTTTGAAAGTCCAAACATAAAGACCTCCTGGAACCTGAAATCAGTTCTTCAACAGCCTCCTTCCCAAAGCACCCCAACTGTAGAAAGCCATTTTGTCTATTTGTGCGAGAGCGATGTAGAGAAGCCCTTGGGCCTTCAACTTCATGGAAACCATGAAAACCCCATTATTTGCTGTAGCCTCACTCTTGACCTGTTTAAAAGGCTTATTTCTATTGGTTTAGGGCATTAGCTGTCACTGCAAAACTTGATGATGCTTCTGCCAAACTAGCTCTAGGCTCATTCCCCGCCTGACCTCATGGTTTCTCATGCAACACAAACATTACTAATTTGGGGTTTTTTTTTGTTTGTTTTTTTGTTTTTTGAGACGGAGTCTCGCTCTGTCACCCAGGCTGGAGTGCAGTGGCGCGATCTCGGCTCACTGCAAGCTCCGCCTCCCGGGTTCACGCCATTCTCCTGCCTCAACCTCCCGAGTAGCTGGGACTACAGGCACCCGCCACCACGCCAGGTTAATTTTTTGTATTTTTAGTAGAGACGGGGTTTCACCGTGTTAGCCAGGATGGTCTCAATCTCTGACCTCGTGATCTGCCAGCCTCGGCCTCCCAAAGTGCTGGGATTACAGGCATGAGCCATGGCGCCCGGACTTTTTTTTTTTTTTTTTTTTTTTTTTTAAAGACAGAGTCTTGTTCTGTCGCCCACGCTGGAGTGCAATGGCATGATTTCGGCTCACTGCAACTTCTGCCTCCTAGGTTCAAGCGATTCTCCTGCCTCAACCTCCCGAGTAGCTGGGATTACAGGCACACACCACCACGCCCTGCTAATTTTTGTAATTTTAGTAGAAACAGGGTTTCACCATGTTGGCCAGGCTGGTCTCAAACTCCTGCCCCCAGGTGATCCACCCATGAAAAAATCTGGTTGAATCTTTACTCTCATAATCTCTGGTGCTCTCAAAATGGCCACTTGCTGGCACCAAATTATTTAAAATGGATATTAGCTAAATTTCTCCATGAAATTACTCATTATAATATAGACAAATTGGTCACTATCTTAAATCCACATCCGTGGGAAAACTAAAAAGACAGCTGAGCGGTGGGGCATGGTGGCTCATACCTGTAATCCCAGCACTTTAAGAGGCTGAGGCAGGAGGATTGCTTGAGGTTATGAGTTTGAGACCAGCCTAGGCAATCTTGTAAGACCCTATCTGTACAAAAAATTTAAAAAATTAGCTGTGCATTGTGGCGCGTTCTTGTAGTCCTAGCTACTTGGGAGGCTAAGGCAGGAGGATAGCTTGAGCCTAAGAGTTCAAGGCTATAGTGAGCCATGACTGCACTCCAGCCTGGGTGACAGAGTGAAAAGCCCTGTCTCTAAAAAAACAAAAACCAAAAAGGACAGCTGAGGATATTTTCAGGTTATGTGTCGCCTGTCAACAACATAATCCTGGAAAAATTCTAATGTCATCTTTTGTTCCTCTATAGATAATGTGCCTTTTTCCTCTGGATGCTTTTAAGATTTTTTTCTGTATCACTGGTTTTGAACAATTTAATTATGATGTTCCTCAGTATTTTTTTTTTTCACATTTCTTGTGCTTAAGGTTTGTGTAACATCTTAGATTTTAGATCTTGATTTTTTCTAGTGTTCATCAAATTTTCTTCAAAAATGTTTTAGTTGTTTCAGACAGGAGAGTAGCCTAGTCCCTAGTACTTTATTCTGACTGGAAGTGAAAGTCTCATGAATGTAGTTTTGAAAATCATAGTTCCTTAGACACAGTAAGGAAACCAATGGCCTCAGCCTCTCCCACTTCTGCTTGCCAGGAGCCTCTTGTCTCTCGGGCTTTTTCTTCTGGCACGTGTTTCTGTATTTCTAAACAGCATGCTTATTTTCTCCTTTCTCCCTCCCACCCCCTCTCATTTTAGATATTGTCTTAGTCAATTTGGGCTGCTGTAACAAAATACCATGGACTGGGTGGCTTTTAAACAACAAAAATTTATTGCACACAATTTTGGTGGCTGGGAAGTCCAAGGTGCTGAGAGATTTGGTATCTGGAGAGGGCCCTCATAGATGGTGCCTTCTCACTGGGTCCTCGCATGGTAGCGGGGGTGTATATGCTCCCTTGGACCTCTTTCATAAGGGCACTAATCTCACTTATGAGGGTACATCATCATGACCTAATCACCTTCCAATGGCCCTATCTCCTAATACCAGCACCTTTAGGGTTAGGATTTGCACAATGAACTTTAGGGAGTTGCAAACATTCAGACCATAAAAGATACTGTTTATTTCTGGAAGATGACTGTATAGCACTCTCTCTCTCTCTCTCTTTTAAATCTTTGGAGACAGGGTCTCCCTCTGTTGCCCAGGCTGGAGTGCAGTGGTATGATCTTGGCTCACTGCAGCCTCAATCCACTGGGCTCAGGAGATCCTCCTACCTCAGCTTCCCAAGTAGGTAGGACTACAGGTGCATGCCACCATGCTTGGTGTTTTGGTTTTTGAAGAGATAAGAACTCGTTATCCCATTATGTTGCCCAGGCTGGTCTTAAGCTCCTGGCCTCAAGCAATCCTCCCACCTTGGCCTCCCAAAATGGGGGAATTACAGGTGTGAGCCGCTGTGCCTGGCCTGAGTATAGCTAACAGTTTTTTTTTTTTTTTTTTTTTTTTTGAGATGGAGTCTCACTCTGTCACCCAGGCTGGAGTGCAGTGGCATGATCTCAGCTCACTGCAATCTCCAGCTCCTGGGCTCAAGTGATTCTTGTGCCTCAGCCTCCTGAGTAGCTGAGACTACAGCCGCATGCCACCTTGCCTGGCTAATTTTTGTATTTTTCGTAGAGATGGGATTTCACTGTGTTGGCCAGGCTGGTCTTGAACTCCTAACCTCAGGTGATCCGCCCACCTTGTCTTCCCAAAGTGCTGGGATTACAAGCATGAGCCACTGTGCCTGGCCAACACTTCTTATCCTATGCCTTCCTTCTCCACATCCTGCCAATACAACTATATCTTATATCATCATTTTTTATCAGAACAATATTCGGAGTTTATATTATCATGACTAGGACTTTATTTACAACGGTGCCAAATAATGCCTTATGGTTATCTTTTATTTACTATACTACTTTTTATTTTAACTTAGCATTATTGTCTTATATTTGTATTTGTCTGTCTTCCTAAGTGCCTATGACCAATTCATCCCCTACTCTCCACCCTCTCAGTTTACTAAGTGATCTGTCAATTGCATGGTCTTAGGCTCTGTCCACCGAAGCCTGCTGCTCTGTTGTGCAGTTTTGCCTGTGATCTGTAGGCCTGCTCTGCAGCTGTTATTCCCAGACCTCCCTTCACAAACATCCAGGGGATTTTTAAACTTCCTTTCCTTGTTGAATCTCTTGTTTCCTGCATCCACTTTTTTGAGGGAAGAAATGCAGGGGGCAGGGCAAAGACAGTGTCCAGAGAGCATGAAATCTGAAATCTCAGTTCACAGTGCCAACTCTTACGACACAGGGTTCTGTAATCATGCATGAGTCACTGTTTTTCTTCCTACTTCAGAGAACTTCAAATTTTGCCAGCAATGCCCAGCATCCATTACTGCAGGCATTCTATTTTGGTGTCATCAACTTCCCTGCTCAAGTTTTCAGTGCACTTGGCATTCCTTCTGCGTACATGTTGAGGTTTAAATTTCTGGATTTCGGCCGGGCGTGGTGGCTCACGCCTGTAATCCCAGCAATTTGGGAGGCTGAAGCGGGTGGATCACCTGAGGTCAGGAGTTCGAGACCAGCCTGGCTAACATGGCGAAACCCTGTCTCTACTAAAAATACAAAAATTAGCTGGGCATGGTGGCTTGTGCCTGTAGTCCCAGCTACTCAGAAGGCTGAGGAAGGAGAATCACTTGAACCCAGGAGGCAGAGGTTGCAGTGAGCTGAGATCACACCACTGCACTACAGCCTGGGCAATAGAGCGAGGCTCTGTCTCAAAAAAATCAAAATAAATAAATAAATAAATTTCTGGATTTTAAAAAACTCACTATTGTTTTTCAATAATCTATGAGGGGTGAAGGAGGTACAGACATCTTTCTTGGGATTCTTAAGTTAGAATCTCCTGTTATTCTTCTAATTAGAAAAAGGATTAATGATGTTAAAAAAGACAAATCTTATTGTTAATGGCTCTGCAAACCAACAACACAAAAATATTTAGAGAAAAGTGCTGAAGGAAATGCATTAGAATGCTAAATCTTTAAATGGTGAATCTATAAGTGTTCTTTTTCTTTAATTCTGCCTTTGGTTTTTCTTTCTTTGACACATTGAGCACATATTACTTTTACTGCTGGGAAAAATGTAAGTTGAAATAAAAACAACATAGAAAACACTGAATCTGCTTTTAGAAAATGACTACCATGATATGTGTGTGTATGCGTGCGCACATGTGCATACGCATGGGTGTTTTAGCGGAATCTAATCTAATCTGTGTGTCTCTCAGAGTTGGGAGGTAGAGCCTTAGGGCTTTAACTAGAGATGAAAAGACATACATGGAACAATGGATGGAGTCCTGCAGGGAACCATTGTCTGCCTGAGCAGAAAGCTTGTACTTGTATAACAGTGCCTGGGAAAAAAAATGAAAACTCATTTCATTTTGGGATAATTTTATTGTAAAGTATACCACACATACAACAGAGAATAAAACTTTATTACATAGTTAAAAAAATATTAAAATAAACACACATGTATTCACTCCAGATTAAGAAATACATTTCTAGAAGCTAAGAAGCTTCCTGTATATTTCTCCCCTATTTCTCTGTCTCCCTAATTCCACCCTCTTCCTCCCCAAACAGAGGTAGCCACTATTTTGAATGTTCTATTATTTCCTTACTTTTCTTTATGATATTACTACCTATATATGTCTCCCTAAATAACACATTATTTAGTTTTACCTGTTTTTGAACTTCATATAAATGGAATCATAATAGATGTATTCTGTGGTTTGTGTATTTTTTACAACATTATATTCTTAGAGTTCATTCAAAATAGTGCATGTAGGCTGGGCGCGGTGGCTTACGCCTGTAATGCCAGTATATTGGGAGGCCAAGGCGGGCAGATCACCGGAGGTCAGGAGTTCAAGACCAGCCTGGCAAACATGGTGAAACCCTGTCTCTACTAAAAATACAAAAATTAGCCGGGAATGGTGGCAGGCACCTGTAGTCCCAGATCCTCGGGAGGCTGAGGCAGGAGAATCGCTTGAACCTGGGAGGCAGAGTTTACACTGAGCCGAGATCACACCACTGCACTCCAGCCTGGGCAACAAGAAGTAGACTCCATCTCAAAAAACAAAACAAAATAGTGCATGTAATAGTGAAAGTGGATGTCATTTTCCATATTGAGAATGACTTTATTACTGTGTATTTCCAATTTTTTGCTATTTTGAACAGCAATCCTTTGAAAATTCTTGTTCATCTCTCCAGGATATCTGCTTTTTTTTTTCTGTTTTAATCTCACAAAACACTACCAGTTTGGTTCTTTTACACCTGTTTCAGAGTATATGCAAGTAGGTTAAAACAATTTTCCTAAAGACACAAAGCTGGCAAATACTGGGAGTTTGAACTCAGGGTTTCCTCATTCCACAGCCCAAGTGATTTACTATTACACGATGCCACCTTCCTTTTAGTGATTGCCTTGTGGCACAGCTGCATGAAATTGTGGATACTGAGGTCAATCAGGTCATAAAAAGCCTCTTTTGATCTGATTTCATGCTTATCAAGCAGCCTTCTGAAATCTGGCTTCACATACTCTACACCAGGGGTCCCCCTGGCCCTGGACCAGTACCTGACTGTGGCCTGTTAGGAACCAGGCTGAACAGCAGGAGGTGAGTGTAAGTGAGCATTACCGCCTGAGCTTTGCCTCCTGTCGTATCAGCGGTGGCATTAGATTCTCATAGGAACATGAACCCTATTGTGAACTGTGCATGTGAGGGATCTAGGCTGCGCACTCCTTATGAGAATCTAACTAATGCCTGGTGATCTGAGGTAGAACAGTGCCATCCTGAAACCATCTCCTCACCAACCCCCAACCCCCATCCGTGAAAAAATTGTCTTCCAAGAAACTGATCCTGGGGACCACTGCTCTAAATCTACAGGAAGGAATGAGATGCTTTGAAATAAACACCTGAGCTCCCCCATATTTACATTTCCCACTGAACAGTAATCAAGTATCACTGTGACTCAGCTATTTCTGTTTTGAGTTTGGGGTACGAAATCACCTTCCCTCAGAAGGGAACTTTGGGGTCCTAAAAAGATTAATTTTATGGTCCTGACATGTCGAAGACTAGGTCTTAGATACAATTAATTTCACCAAGGACCTGCCATTCCAGTGGCAATTCTTGGCAGCCGGACAGGTGGCTTTTCCTGGCAACACCCCAACAAAAACTTGAGCTCTTTTGCCAATGTTTACATTGTGTACTCATGATTTATTATCTACTGGATCTCAGATCCTTTGTTCCCGCTGGAGTAAAGCAATTTTTTTTTTTTTGCACTAGTGCTTGATGTCTTGTGGAGTTACTATGGAGCAAGCTGAATAACTGCAGCCTGGTGCTGAGATGTTGGGCTCAGTCTTGCCTATGCCCCTTGTCACTGAAAATGCCCCTGCTCACAGAAACACAGCTAGGATGTATATATATGATTTTTTTTTGACAAGATGGAAACCGTTTGGATTAGGGGAAGCTGACGTCGTTGCTATGTATCTGTTCCATAGCAACAATGACAGGTTGCCAACTCAATCAGATGTGTCCCCTCCCAATATTAGGCTACAAAATAATCTGAAAATTGCCCAAGTCTCAGGGAGAGGAGAAAGACAAAGAATCAAGAAAAACAATAAATATTAGCACACCCCAGAGATACTTCTGACCACGAAAGCTTTCTCATTGCTTTCCAGCTCCAGTCCACAAATATCAATGTAAAATTTTCTATTTTCTGCAGGTGACCTGCGAGACTCTGCCACTTTGAGAACTTGGCAGATAGTTACTAAATACACAGCATAAATATAACCTGTTGGTCATTTCTGTGGTGGTGGTGTGCTTCCAGCAGACTCAGCTCCTCAACTCACCTTACAAGCTTAATTCATGTATAAATCTGACCTCAAGCTATGTGGGAATTTCATTCATCCATTTTCACACTGCTGTTAAAGACATACCTGAGACTAATTTATAAAGAAAAAGAGGTTTAATGGACTCACAGTTCCACATGGCTGGGGAGTCCTGACAATCACGGTGGACGGTGAAAGGCACGTCTTACATGGAGGCAGGCAAGATAGAAATGAAAGCCAAGTGAAAGGGGAAACCCTTTATGAAACCATCAGACCTCGTGAGACTTATTCACTACCATGAGAACAAAATGGGGGAAACTGCCCCCCATGACTCAATTATCTCCCACCGGCTTCCTCCTACAACATGTGGGAATTATGGGAGCTACAATTCAAGATGAGATTTGGGTGGGGACACAGTCAAATCATATCAGGAATAAATGAAGGGACCAACCTCAGTAGGATGGCCTTAATCTGTTGGTTTTCCTGCCTCTCCTATTCTTGTCCTGTTCTAATGGTTCTATCTTTCTGTTTTTCAGGAGAACATTTCAGGATAGGAATAGGCCAAGTGCTGAGAAGATGAGTCTTAGGATTGATGTGGATACAAACTTTCCTGAGTGTGTTGTAGATGCAGGAAAAGTCACCCTTGGGACTCAGCAGAGGCAGGAGATGGACCCTCGCCTGCGGGAGAAACAGAATGAAATCATCCTGCGAGCAGTATGTGCTCTGCTGAATTCTGGTGGGGGCATAATCAAGGCTGAGATTGAGAACAAAGGCTACAATTATGAACGTCATGGAGTAGGATTGGATGTGCCTCCAATTTTCAGAAGCCATTTAGATAAGATGCAGAAGGAAAACCACTTTTTGATTTTTGTGAAATCATGGAACACAGAGGCTGGTGTGCCACTTGCTACCTTATGCTCCAATTTGTACCACAGAGAGAGAACATCCACCGATGTCATGGATTCTCAGGAAGCTCTGGCATTCCTCAAATGCAGGACTCAGACTCCAACGAATATTAATGTTTCCAATTCATTAGGTCCACAGGCAGCTCAGGGTAGTGTACAATATGAAGGTAACATAAATGTGTCAGCTGCTGCTTTATTTGATAGAAAGCGGCTTCAGTATCTGGAAAAACTCAACCTTCCTGAGTCCACACATGTTGAATTTGTAATGTTCTCGACAGACGTGTCACACTGTGTTAAAGACAGACTTCCGAAGTGTGTTTCTGCATTTGCAAATACTGAAGGAGGATATGTATTTTTTGGTGTGCATGATGAGACTTGTCAAGTGATTGGATGTGAAAAAGAGAAAATAGACCTTACGAGCTTGAGGGCTTCTATTGATGGCTGTATTAAGAAGCTACCTGTCCATCATTTCTGCACACAGAGGCCTGAGATAAAATATGTCCTTAACTTCCTTGAAGTGCATGATAAGGGGGCCCTCCGTGGATATGTCTGTGCAATCAAGGTGGAGAAATTCTGCTGTGCGGTGTTTGCCAAAGTGCCTAGTTCCTGGCAGGTGAAGGACAACCGTGTGAGACAATTGCCCACAAGAGAATGGACTGCTTGGATGATGGAAGCTGACCCAGGTTAGGGAGCAATATCCACAATGGTTGTAATGTTTGCTGGCAGCAAGGCAGGGCGGGTCAGAGAGGAAAGAGGGATATGGTATTCCTTGGAATCTGGGGAAAGAGATTTACTCTCTGATTTGCAATTGTCTGACTTATTAATCCCTGTAGATGTAGTTCGTGGATTATTGCCCTTCCTTTCTTCTGCCATCTTAAATAGTCTTCATTCAACAGATGCCCTGGCTAGTAGCCCCATTAAAGGCTGGTGCAGGGGGCTGTTTGACCTAGTTATTTCAATTTTCACATCCTTTCTTATGTTCATAGTCAAGCCTCTTATTTTTCAATTATGAGCTTGCATTTAATTATTTAGGAAATTTCTTTTTTTCACATGTACAGATGTGTCCACTTTAATTTACTGCCACTTTCCTCTGACTTTCCCTTCTTAAATATTCACCCTTTCTCACTGCCCACTTCCATTTTTTGAACCAAAATATGACCAAATCACGGCTTTCGCTCTGCTTTCCCATTTTTCCTTTGGGGAGCCGGTACGTGATAAGCCAGAGGATGGTTGGTGACATGCATCTATCCTGGAAAAGGAAAGCCTGAGATAAAATTAGACAGAGAAAACCAATAGTAACTTCTTCAAAGGTCCAGAAAAAACAAAGTCCACCTCAGAATCTGCTCAGGTGTCTATATCCATTGGCCTTTGCATCTTCTCATCATTTTTCTTTAAAAAGTAGCATTCTAAAAATATAAAAACAGTCTGGGCACGGTGGCTCATGCCTGTAACTCCAGCACTTTGGGAGGCCGAGGGGGGCAGATCACCTGAGGTCAGGAGTTTGAGACCAGCCTGGCCAACATGGTGAAACTCCGTCTCTACCAAAAATACAAAAAATTAGCTGGATGTGGTGACGCACGCCTGTAATCCCAGCTGCTCAGGAGGATTGCTTGAACCTGAGAGACGGAGGTTGCAGTGAGGTGAGATCATGCCACTGCACTCCAGCCTGGGCAACAGAGTGAGACTGTTTCAATAAATAAATAAATAAATAATAGAAATAAAAATAGTTTTGTTTTGACATAATAAAATTAAAAAGTGTTGCTTTATGCTAGGTTATTTTTTCCTTCAAAAACCTCAGTAGGCTTTCCTGAGCTGACCTGAGATGTAAAGGCAAGTATCTGTGGGCCGTGGCTTGAGTTGTAAGACTAGGTGAAAGACTTTGTAGCACAGCTCAGCTATAAGTTGGGGTCTGCCTTTTTGCATATTGAATCCTTGGTTCTTGTTTCCTAAGACCTTTCCAGGTGTCCTGAGATGGTTCTCCAGTTGAGTTTGTCATCTGCCACGCCCCGCAGCAAGCCTGTGTGCATTCATAAGAATTCGGAATGTCTGAAAGAGCAGCAGAAACGCTACTTTCCAGGTAATTGGCCATCTCTGGTTGCTTTGGAATATGTTGATTGTTCATTCATATAAAAAATTGACTCCTACTTTATATTATATACAGAATCAATTCCAGAGGTTTAAGGACTTAAATATGAAAGCCAAACCTTTAAAACTTTTAGTAGAAAGTGTATATGAATAATTGTATCATTGGGGTAGGAAAGCATTTCCTAAACCAGACACAAAAGGATCAAACTTAAAAAGACTGATAAATTTTACTACATTAAAATTAAGAACTGTTCCTCAAAATATACCTTAAAGAAAGTGAAAAGACTGGGCACAGTGGCTCATACCTGTAATCCCAGCACTTTGGGAGGGTGAGGTGTGGAATTGCTTAAGTCCAGGAATTTGAGACCAGCCTGGGCAACATAGCAAGACCCCATCTCTACAAAGTAGCAGCACTCTACTATGCCAGGCTAATTTTTTAACTTTTGTAGAGATGGAGTCTCCCTGTGTTGCCCAGGTTGGTTTCAAGCTCCTGGACTCAAGCGATCCTTCCACCTGAGCTTCCCAAAGTGCTGGGATTACAGGCATGAGCCACCACGCCAAGCCACCAGTCTTTTTTTTTTTTTTTTTGAGATGAAGTTTCGCTCTTGTTGCCCAGGCTGGAGTGCAACGGTGAAACTTTGGCTCATTGCAACCTTCACCTCCCGGGTTCAAGCAGTTCTTCTGCCTCAGCCTCTCAGGTAGCTGGAATTAGAGGCGCATGCCACCACACCCAGCTAATTTTTTTTGCATTTTCAGTAGAGACAGGGTTTCACCATGTTGGCCAGGCTGGTCTTAAACTTCTGACGTCAGGTAATACACCCACCTCGGCCTCCCAAAGTGCTGGGATTACAGGCATGAGCCACTGCGCCCAGCCCAATCATTTTTTTGATGGACTTTTATATGACGTCTAATTTTTTCATTTTTAAACAATGCTATAATATACATTTTACCATAATATACCTGAGGTGTTCTTTAAGGATAAATTCCAAGTAGTGGCCAGGCACAGTGGCTCAGGCCTGTAATCCCAGAGCTTTGGGAGGCCAATGCAGGCGGATCACAAGGTCAAGAGATCGAGACCATCCTGGCTAACACAGTGAAACCCTGTCTCTACTAAAAATACAAAAAATTAGCTGGGTGTGGTGGCATGCGCCTGTGGTCCCAGCTCCTCGGGAGGCTGAGACAGGAGAATCGCTTGAACCCTGGAGGCGGAGGTTGCAGTGAGCCAAGATGGCACCACTGCACTCCAGCCTGGGCGACAGAGGGAGACTCCATCTCAAAAAAAAAAAAAAAAGAAAAGGAAAAGAAAAAAAAATTCCAAGTAGTAATAATTACTTGTAACTTTAGATGGATATTGCCAGATTGTAAGCTAAAACATATACCCAAATACACTTTGACCAACCAACATGGTATTATCACGGCATTTCTCTTCTGGAAGAAGCTTAGAATCATTTTATCCTATCAAAAAGAAAAAAAGATGGCCGGGTGAGGTGGCTCACACCTGTAATCCTGGCACTTTAGGAGACCGAGGTGGGAGGATCACTTGAGCCCAGGAGTTCAAGACCAGCCTAGGCAACATGGTGAAACTCTGTCTCTACAAAGAAATACAAAAATTAGCTGCATGTGGTGGCATGCACTTGTAGTCCCAGCTACCTAGAAAGCTGAGGTGGGAGAATCACCTGAGCTCAGGAAGTAGAGGCTGCAGTGAGCCATGATCATACCATTGTACCCCAGTTTAGGTGACAGAGCAAGACCCCGTCCCCCCCAAAAAAAAGTCTCCATGCTGTCCCTTTTTAGTCAAACTCTCCCCAAATCCCTAACCTCTAGCATCCATTGATCTGTTGCCTGTACCTATAGTTGTGCTTTACAGAATGTCAGGTAAGTGAAACCATACAGTACGTAATCTTGCCAGGTGTTAAGATGGCACTCTAATGCCTTCCTCACCATCCTTGTTTCCACCTCTTTGCCTCGCACTTTGGATGTCAGCAACACAAACTGCTTGGAGTGACCTGAATGGACCTTGCTTTTTATTTATTTATTTTTTTTTGAGACAGGATCTCACTCTGTTGTGCAGGCTGGAGTGCAGTGGTGTGACCTCAGCTGGCTGCAACCTCCGCCTCCTGGGTTTAAGCGATTCTCGTGCCTCAGCCCCCCGAGTGGGTGGGATTACAGGCACGCACCACCATGCCCGGCTAAGTTTTGTATTTTTTGTAGAGATGGGGTTTCACCATGTTGGCCAGGCTGGTGTTGAACTCCTGGGCTTAAGTGATCCAACTGCCTCGGCCTCCCATGGTGCTGGGATTACAGGCATGAGCCACCACGCCCGGCTTCCTTGCTGTTTCTTGTCCCTGAGTGTTAGTCATGTGCCCTCTTTTGACCATGTCTCTATTCTCCTCTTCAACTCACTAACTCCAAGTCATCCTTTAATAATCAGCTCAGGGCTGGGTGCGGTGACGCACGCCTGTGATCCCAGCACTTTGGGAGGCCCAGGCGGGCAGATCACTTGAGCCCAGGAGTTTGAGACCAGCCTGGCCAACATGGTGAAACCCCAGCTCTACTAAAAATACAAAAATTAGCCAGGCTTGGTGGCACACGCCTTTGGTCCCAGCTACTTGGGAGGCTGAGGCAGGAGAATCACTTGAACCCAGGAGACAGAAGTTGCAGTGAGCCGAGATCGCACCACTGGTGCGACAGAGCAAGACTCCATCTCAAAAAAAAAAAAAAAGAAGAAGAAAGAAAAAGAAAAAAGAAAAAAAAGAATCAGCTCAGGTGTTTCCTTCTTCATAAAGACTTTCATATTTTCTTCTTTCCTAAATTGTACCTTTCCTTGGTATTCACATAATACTTTCTGTCCTTCTCTCTAGTTGTATTGACCACTTTTTACCATAATTATTATTGTCTGTTTATACCAGCTAATTAGCGCCCCATCAAAATAAGAATTGTTTATCTTTTTATTACTAATGTATAACCTATTGTAGATACATAGTAGAGTCCCAGTGTTGATTAATTCTTCTACGTATAATGATGATTACTAGCTTGTCTGAGGCTTTTCTAATTTCTTCCCATCCTTTCCCTGTCTAGTATTTTCAGACAGAGTGGTATATACTCCAGAAAGCCTCTACAAGGAACTCTTCTCACAACATAAAGGACTCAGAGACTTAATAAATACAGAAATGCGCCCTTTCTCTCAAGGAATATTGATTTTTTCTCAAAGCTGGGCTGTGGATTTAGGTCTGCAAGAGAAGCAGGGAGTCATCTGTGATGCTCTTCTAATTTCCCAGAACAACACCCCTATTCTCTACACCATCTTCAGCAAGTGGGATGCGGGGTGCAAGGGCTATTCTATGATAGTTGCCTATTCTTTGAAGCAGAAGCTGGTGAACAAAGGCGGCTACACTGGGAGGTTATGCATCACCCCCTTGGTCTGTGTGCTGAATTCTGATAGAAAAGCACAGAGCGTTTACAGTTCGTATTTACAAATTTACCCTGAATCCTATAACTTCATGACCCCCCAGCACATGGAAGCCCTGTTACAGTCCCTCGTGATAGTCTTGCTTGGGTTCAAATCCTTCTTAAGTGAAGAGCTGGGCTCTGAGGTTTTGAACCTACTGACAAATAAACAGTATGAGTTGCTTTCAAAGAACCTTCGCAAGACCAGAGAGTTGTTTGTTCATGGCTTACCTGGATCAGGGAAGACTATCTTGGCTCTTAGGATCATGGAGAAGATCAGGAATGTGTTTCACTGTGAACCGGCTAACATTCTCTACATCTGTGAAAACCAGCCCCTGAAGAAGTTGGTGAGGTATGCTGCTTGTCTGTGTTCACTTTATTTTCTTGAGTGACTGTGGCTGGTGTGGCTTTCAGTTTACTTGCTAAAATTCATATTGTATTTACCATGACCAGAGGGGTTTAAGAGTAGAATCTGCTTTCTTTGTTTCATTGGGGAAAAACCTGACTCTGTTTCTTACAGTTTCAGCAAGAAAAACATCTGCCAGCCAGTGACCCGGAAAACCTTCATGAAAAACAACTTTGAACACATCCAGCACATTATCATTGATGACGCTCAGAATTTCCGTACTGAAGATGGGGACTGGTATGGGAAAGCAAAGTTCATCACTCAGACAGCAAGGGATGGCCCAGGAGTTCTCTGGATCTTTCTGGACTACTTTCAGACCTATCACTTGAGTTGCAGTGGCCTCCCCCCTCCCTCAGACCAGTATCCAAGAGAAGAGATCAACAGAGTGGTCCGCAATGCAGGTCCAATAGCTAATTACCTACAACAAGTAATGCAGGAAGCCCGACAAAATCCTCCACCTAACCTCCCCCCTGGGTCCCTGGTGATGCTCTATGAACCTAAATGGGCTCAAGGTGTCCCAGGCAACTTAGAGATTATTGAAGACTTGAACTTGGAGGAGATACTGATCTATGTAGCGAATAAATGCCGTTTTCTCTTGCGGAATGGTTATTCTCCGAAGGATATTGCTGTGCTTTTCACCAAAGCAAGTGAAGTGGAAAAATATAAAGACAGGCTTCTAACAGCAATGAGGAAGAGAAAACTGTCTCAGCTCCATGAGGAGTCTGATCTGTTACTACAGATCGGTGATGCGTCGGATGTTCTAACCGATCACATTGTGTTGGACAGTGTCTGTCGATTTTCAGGCCTGGAAAGAAATATCGTGTTTGGAATCAATCCAGGAGTAGCCCCACCGGCTGGGGCCTACAATCTTCTGCTCTGTTTGGCTTCTAGGGCAAAAAGACATCTGTATATTCTGAAGGCTTCTGTGTGACAGGAAACCCAAGCCTAAGAAACAATTAAGTGGTTCTCATCTCTAATTAACTGTGAAACCATTTAATCCAAACATGTAAGCACACACTCACTTATTAAGTCACATACTTTTCTAGGTGCTGGGGATTGAGAACGAATCGATGTAAGATTCCTCCTTTAGGGCAGAGACAGACCACTGACAAATACACAGATAGACAAGGAATTTCCCATGGTAAAAAGGGATATCAGTAATTAGAGGACCGTGAGACTCAGAGATGTGTGTGTGTGTGTGTGTGTGTGTGTGTGTGTGTGCGCGCGCGCACGTGCACATGTGTGTAGGTAGATGGAGGGGGTGATTATTTTGGGTGGTCAGGGAAGTGCTCAGTGAGGGAAGAACTTGTCATGAGAATCTCTGAGCGTGCCAGGCAGACTCGGATATTTTTATAAATTTTTAACATGGCCACTTGCAGAAGAGCTTGAATGGGACGTGCAGCGAGAATGTGAAGGATGGAGCAGGTAGCTCATCTGGCCTTGTAGGTGCCGGGAACGGGCAAGACATGTTTTGAAATGTAAGATCACAGACTGTTTTTTGCAAGACCACATTATATTACTTTATTATTTTCTGCTTTTTCTTTTAACGACATTAGTGTTTTTGATCACTATATTTTAAAATGCTTTTTGTGAGCCTTTTGGTTATGTGGAATCTGTTCCTTAGCTCTGATTTTTTATTCTTATGGAGCGTCTTAGGTTACTACATGAAGGTAAGACTGCCACAGTCCCCCAGGGAGGCACACTGTGTTTTACTGATTGATTTGAAGATGATAGAGAGCCTAGGGGGATGAGTCTATTGGACTCAAAGGTTACATTTTGTTTTTCCATTTAATTTAATAATCAACAAAACGACAAAGTCAGTTTAATATCTTTCTTCTGCTGAGTCTTCAGGATGTTAGCTAGTCTTTCAAAAGCCATTGCTACAAAAGTGCAAATTTCTCATTTCCTGTGGGTCTCTAGAAACTCTCTCAATATTTAAAGCCAAACAAATCCATCTTTTCTGAGAGACAGAAACTAAAAAATTCAGAGTTAATTCACTATTAAAAACAGCAAGGCCCTGCTATTTCCCAAGAATAAAGAAATTTAAAATTCTCATTGTAAGAAGTATGAACTTGAAGCTAGAATTGGTTTATTTCTGGCAGCTACTTACAATATTAAGAACTTTACTTTTTAAATTTGAGACAATTTCACAGGAAAGCAAGAAATTAGTCTATTGTGAAATGTTTTTACAACTAACTTGGAATATACTGCAAATCACTAGTAAGTAGAGACACATTTAAGATAAAATGATTAATAAAACAATTGGTAATTCTGAATAAGGATCTGAATAAATCCAGATCACAGACTGTTCCTTTACCAATATGTAAAAGAATGTGCAAAATTAGTAAAAATATACCCAAAAATTTACCAGCAACAGAGAAGCAAAGAATGGAGTTCAACCTTACACTATAAACATCTAATAGATATGTATGAAAATTTAAAAACTAGAAAAGGTTGGGCATGGTGGCTCATGCTTGTGATCCCAGGACTTTAGGAGGCCAAGGTGGGAGGATTGTTTGAGCCCAGGAGTTCAAGACCAGCTTGAGCAATATAGTGAGACCCTGTCTCTACAAAAACAAACAAACAAACAAACAAATAAATAAATAAATAAAATTAGCTGGGAATGGTGATGCACACCTGGAGTCCTAGCTACTCAGAAGGCTGAGGCAGGACGATCACTTGACCTCAGAAGTCTGAGGTTACAGTGAGCTATGATCATACCAGTGCACTCCAGTCTGGGTGACAGAACAAGACCCTGTCTCCAAAAATTAAATAAATAAAACAAAAAAAAAGAATTTAAAAGTTTTATATAAAGGCATAGCTACTATCTCATCTGCCCAGTGTAGTCATGAATAGATGTCACATAAAGAAAAGAAAACCAGAATTCTTGTTAATATGGCCAGTTTGAAGGGTGGTGGCGGAGGTATTGAGCAGGCAGCTCAGGGAAATGCCAGGGAGACCCTTGAGCACAGAAACTCCTGATTGTCCCCAGGGACTCTCCGTGGACACAGGAGGGATTTTCCAGGATTTCACATGAATTCAATGAAGGGGGCTGTGTCTTATTCCTGGATGCTTTGCCTCCTTCATGGAATTCAGTGGATTTAATGGAAGTTCCTAGGCAACAATAAAGAGTAGAAACCAGGTTAACAGCGAGGGCCTCATCTCACACCAGATCATATCAGGCTACACAAAAGTAGATGGAAGACACCACCCAGGCCTCCAGCTATACACTGGAGAAGAAGCCAAACTAGTCTACTTCATCTAAGAAAGTTGTCAAAGAGAGCCCTTCTATACTATCTTAAGGTAAAAAGAAAGACTCTACCCAGCTGCCCTGATTAAGCATTAGAAAGATAAGTGTTCTGATCATTAGGCGAAAGACAATGGGGAAAAATGTAGAAAAGAAATATGACATGAGCCAGATGAAGAACCCATCCTGAAAGGATATATAACTCAGGGGACAAAAGACAACTCACCATAAGTTGGGCGCAGTGGATCACGCCTGTAATCTCAGCATTTTGGTAGGCCAAGGCAGGTGGATCACCTGAGGTCAGGAGTTCAAGTCCAGCCTGGCCAACGTGGTGAAATCCTGTCTCTACTAAAAATACAAAAATTAGCTGGGTGTGGTGGTGCATGCCTGTAATACCAGCTACTCAGAAGGCTGAGGCAAGAGAATTGCTTGAATCAAGGAGGCAGAGGTTACAGTGAGCCAAGATCAGGCCATTGTACTTCAGCCTGGGCGACAAAGTGAGACCCTGTCTCAAAAAACAAACAAAGCCTCCCCATAGATGTCTCCTGCCATAGAAGAATTTAAGAAGTTCATAAATTCAATAAAACAAGAGTTGAAGGCCTGTCCCACTGTACCCAATTTCTCCCTCTCTGAACTGCAGCCTAGAAACTCTCTACAGGCAGTAAGCTGGGGCAGTCACAGAGGTGACCTCATCTGTTTCCCACATCCTGCATTAGGACAGTGATCAGGGATCAGTATCCTTCATTGACTGATTTCCAATATCTCGAGACCTGTTGTTTCATATATTTTGCCTTATTTTGCAATTGTTTCATATATTTTGTCTTATTTTGCAATTGTTTCAGGAGGGAGGATAAATATGGTCCCTGTTCCTCTATCTTGACCAGAAGCATCTAAGAAGGCAGTGAAGCAACATGTGTACAGTTCTTAGGGAAACAAATTTTGACCTAAAAATATTAAACCTAGTCAAAATATTATTCTAGTACAAAGGCAGCACATGGGTATTTTTGAACATAAAAGAGTTCTAGAAATACAGGACCCATGAATCATTCTTGAAGAAAAGTTACTCAGTAAGGAAATCTAGCTAAGCAAGCAACATGTACAAATAAAAGATTATTATAATTGGACCAAAGTTAAGTTTAAATCCATTCACATGTATATAATTAAGATATATAGGAATTATAATTACAGAAAAGAATGTTACAAACCTTCACAAAGTAAAAATATTTTTATATCAGATAGATTCTTCTGTTTCAATCCATAAAACCAGGGTTTGGATCATTTTAAAAAAACAAACAAAAATAATTTATTGGAATCATTAGGGAGGACCTGATAGAATAAAATGACAAGCTGACCAAATAGGCCTTAGAAGGGAGAGGTGCCTGGGCAGTTACAAGGACCTAGGTAGCAGGGGTGACTTGGCCACAGTCATTTTCTTTACTTGATTTAAGGAGGTTAAATTACAGTGAGAGAGTTGCACTTATTTAGTTTGCATACCGTACTCAACTCTTAGCTAGCATAGGGCAGGTTCCTTAGTTGAAAAATTTCCACAAAACATGATGTAAAGTGGAAAGATCAGTTCCCCCAAAGAATATCAGTTACCAAAGTAGGATGAAAGGATGTTGGGTAGATCAAAACAACAAATGTCCATTACAGCAATTAACAAAAGTTAGGGAGTGGGGAAGTCTGAGTGCTAATATGGATTTCAAAACAACTTTAAAAATGGCTTCAAACATTTTATGCTTTTTGTAATTTAGTCATTTTAATATTAGATAAATCTTCCTGTAACTGAAAGTTCTTGAGTTAAAGAAAAATATTCGGTAGTTCAGCTCTTCCTTCAATTTTATTAGTTGCTTTTTCTTTTGTTCAAGTGAAATAAACATAAAAATAATTTTAAAATATTATGTATCATATCCTTCGATTTAACATAATTCTATCTAGCTGTTCTTATATTTTCTCTGATATATTTTTAAAAGCTTTCTGGAATATTATTAACCTTGAATATTTCTAGTTGATGAGTTTATGAGTGATTTATTGCTTCCTTTTCTCTTTCAGTATTGCTAGAATTAATTTTATTGACTTTGCCCCTTTGCATAAAGACCTTGAAGGTCACATGCTGAAATCGCCCTCTACTAAAACAAACTCATAGAAATAATGGGGAAGATATTTCAAAACATTGCCATATGCATAGCCATCCTCACAACCAAGAAAAGCGCCTCTCCATGAACTAAAACCTATGAGTCATTGGTACAGGTAGGGAAAATCTAGGTAAACCACGGTAATACACTGAGGCTGGCACCACCACAGGCCAGGACAACCGTTGTCACAAAGCCAGGACAGAATCTCCCAGCCAGAAAGTGTTGCCCTGAGGCTGAAGCCAAATTCATTTTGCCCCCAGTTGGCCAGACCAAAGCCTAGAACTAAAAAACCCATACCTCAGGGTTTGTCAGCATTGGCACTGCTGGCTTTTTGGGCTGGACAACCATTTATTGTGAGAGGCTTCTCTATGCACTGTAGGATGTTTAGCAGCATCCTTGGCCCTACTCCCTAGACGCCAGTAGCAAATCCACCACCCTCCCTCCCCTACCCCAGGGTTGGTTGTCAGTTGTGACAACCAAAAATGTCTCCAGACATCGCCAAATGTCCCTTGGGGGGTAAAATCACCACCACCATACCTCTTTTGACTAAAAGAGTTTCCAGAATAGTGGCAGAATATATAGGTCAAGCATAACACATTACAATCAAGATTCAGAACATCAAAGATTCTTTTTTAATCCTAAAAGAAAAAGTTTGGAAAATCTACAAAAAGAAGTGTGAATTTGACAATAACTATTTCACTAGCAAGGGTAGACGTAAGCAGAATACAGGTAGCATATTCAAACTGCTGTGGAAAAACAACATCAAACCTAGACTTCTCTCCCCAAACTATCATTCAGAGTCGAGGGCAAAATAAATAGATTTTCTGACTTGGAACAAGTAGGAATAATGTACTTATAGTATTCATCTTCATACAGGGATGGACTATAAGTGATTTTTAAAAAACTTCCTACTTGTTCCAAGTCAGAAAAACTATTCATATAGGGATGGGCTATTAGCAAGAGTATATGAATAACGTACTATAACAAGAAAAAATGAATTGAGAAGAAAGTAGTGGTTTTAAGAAGGAAAGGAGAACAAATAAATTAGTGAAACATAAGGTTAAGTCTATACATATTATTTTCTAATTGCCTATTATGTCAGACTACATGTAGTTAGAAAATACGATGAAAGAAAAAGCCATATTATAATTCCAACAAAAAGATAAAATAATTAAGAATAACTGCAACAAGAAAATATAAGTTCTGCAACAATAAAACTATACAATGAAACTAAAGAGCACAAAAAAGAACTTAAACAGATAAAAAGCAGACCACGTTTTTGGATAAGAAGATTAAAAATTATAAATATATCAATTTTCACTGTTAATCTATAAATTCAGTGTAATCCCAATAAAAATGCCAACAGGTTTTCCCCAATAGCATTGAAATGATTTTAAAATTTAATGAAGGCCAAGCATGGTGGCTCACTCCTGTAATCCCAGCACTTTGAGAGGCCGAGGCAGGTGGATTGCCTGAGTCCAGGAGTTCCAGACCAGCCTGGACAACATGGTGAAATCCCGTCTCTATTTAAAATGCAAGAAATTAGCTGGGTGTGGTGGTGTGCACCTATAGTCCTAGCTACTCGGGAGGCTGAGGTGGGAGAATCACCCAAGCCTTGGGAGGTCGAGGCTGTAGTGAGCCAAAATCACATCACTGCACTCCAGTCTGGGCAGCCAGAGTGAGACCCTGTCTCAAAAAAAAAAAAATTATTGGAAACTACGAGGCAAGAATATCCAAGAAAAATCTAGAAAAGAAGAAACCTGAGTGAGTCAGCATGACCAAATATTAAAACATCTTATAAAGCTACAATAATTAAAACAATGTGGTGCTGATATGTGGAGGGTCAATGGAACAAGATGAAATGGCCAAAAATAAATTTAAAATACATGTTGAAATGTATTAACAGCATATGTTAAAGTTAAGTTATGTTAACTTTATATGTTAAATTCAAGTTAATTGGGGAAAGATGGATTATTCAATATATGATGAACAACTCTGTCACCCAGCTAAAAAAAATTAAGCTTGGGCCATATGCCAGACTAGATACCAAAATAAATTCCAGGAGGACCAAGTTTTTAAAAGTAAAAATATGGAATCATGGAAGTGCATGAAGAAGAAGTAGCACTTAAAAAAATAATAATCTCAGCATGGGGAAGGTCTAAGTATGGCCCTCAATCAGAAACCAGGAAGGAAAATATTGACTATTTTAAACAAAATTATCTCTGTACCAAAAACAGCATAAAAGGTCAAGAAACAACACACTGGAAAAAGAATTGCAATGAATATCACAGCCAAATAGTTAATTTCTTATTTTCAAAAAATAGCTTCTACAAATCGAAGAGAAAAATTCTAAGGTCTCAAAGGAAAAATGAGCAAAGGATTTGACAGGTGGTAGAATACAGAAAAAGAATTTAAAATAGCTCCTAAAGATATGGAAACATTACTCATGATAGCAGAAGTATCAATTGACAAAATTACTCAGATTGGTAACAAACTTTAAGGGGGAAAGCACTTCCATGCATTGCTGTAAATTGGTACATCTTCTACTGAGAACAATCCGGCAGTAGTTAACAAAATTGTGAATGCATATATCTCTTTCTCTAGAAATTTCTCTTTTGGGAATTTATTCTACATATATATTCAAACGTGTGAAATACTTCTATACAGGTGATTGAATTTCACTTTATTCCTAAGAGCAGAAGACTGCAAAATAGTAAATATATACCCAAAAGGGTCTAATGGATTAGTTTTTGGCATATCAGCACATGATAATACTATGAAGCCATAAAAAAGAGAGATCTCTATATGTATTGATGGGGGACCATCTTTAAGATATACTGTGGTGTTGAACAAAACAACATGCTGAAAATGTCTCTTATTCTTTTAGAATCAATATAAGTCTGTGCTTGTAAATGCAGTAAGTATCTTTGGAAGTATACCTAAAAATTGGTAATAGTGTTTGACTCCAGGGAAGAACAGATGGGTGCCAGAGTGAAAAAAAGATAGCTTTTGCTTTTTATGACTTTTGGATTCTGTACCACGTAATAATTTTGATGTAAATTTTGCTGTGTGTGTTTTTACTTGTTCATGTAGTGATTTTATAAATTACTCTTTTAATTTTCTATCAATGAATATCCTGGGATAAACCCCTCATGATCATAATGAATAATGATGTGTGGAGAGTGGGGAGGGTTTACATATGAAAAATGTAGAAAATACAAAAAGTGTCTATATATACAAAAATGTAAGTGTTAACATTTTTATATTTGCTTCAAGCTTTTTTTTTAAATAAAAGAAATGCAATATTGCAATTAAATTTGTGTTCTTCTTTCTTCTGTTTCACATCCAATTTATCTCCCCTTCCTCCAGAGGCAGTAACTATCATGGCTTTTGTGGGTATCCTTCAGGCTGTTAGTTTTACACACACACACACACACACACACATCAGATCACACTATCACTAGTGGTGGCATAAGATGAAGTGAAGGTAGAGGACAAGGTACTGGGAATTCCAGTTTATGAATTTAGTTTCGAAAGGGATTTAGTTTCCATGGCAACAATAGTCATTATAAAGATTGTAAATTGGCATTTTCGATAGCTCTAGGAAGTTTAGACAACGAAAAAATTGAGATTGAAAGAAAAACTATCCAGCTGAGAATATCCATAGAAAACTGGAATGCCTTGATGACAGTTTTGGACAAGTCCCTCATCCTCTATAGATGCAGGGCAGATATGACTGAGCACCAAGCCAAGGACCTAATTGTAACGGATGGTGAGTTCAATGCCAATGAAATCTGCAACCACATCACATCTCTTTCAGTAAGGGAAAAGCACTGGTATGGAAGCAGTGGGACCTTGAGACACGGCATAAGGATATTTGGGCAGATACTGAGAACTCTGGAGCCCCAAATACCTTTCAGACAGGCAGCTACATTGTGCCTAAGAGGATTATCCTTCCTTGCCAAAAAAAAAAAAAATGCCTTCTATTGACTGAATGACTGCTCCCCACTCCATAATAAGAGTTAGATCTCGGGGGTGGAGCCAAGATGGCTGAATAGGAACGGCTCCAGTCTACAGCTCCCAGCGTGAGCAACACAGAAGACAGGTGATTTCTGCATTTACAACTGAGGTACAGAGTTCATCTCACTGGGGAGTATCGGAAAGTGGGTGCAGGTCAGTGGGTGCAGTGCACCGCGCATGAGCCAAAGCAGGGTGAGGCATCGCTTCACCTGGGAAGTGCAAGGGGTCAGGGAATTCCCTTTCCTAGTCAAAGAAAGGGGTGACAGATGGCACCTGGAAAATCAGGTCACTCCCACCTTAATGCTGCACTTTTCCAACGGTCTTAGCAAATGGCACACCAGGAGATTATATCCTGCACATGGCTCCGAGGGTCCTATGCCCACGGAGCCTTGCTCATTGCTAGCACAGCAGTCTGAGATCAAACTGCAAGGCGGCAGCAAGGCTGGGGGATGGGCGCCCACCATTGTCCAGGCTTGAATAGGTAAACAAAGCTTCCAGGAAGCTCAAACTGGGTGGAACCCACCACAGCTCAAGGAGGCCTGCCTGCCTCAGTAGACTCCACCTCTGGGGGCAGGGCACAGCCAAACAAAAGGAGCAGAATCTTCTGCAGACTAAAATGTCCCTGTCTGACAGCTTTGAAGAGAGCAGTGGTTCTCCCAGCACAGAGCTGGAGATCTGAGAATGGACAGACTGCCTCCTCAAGTGGGTCCCTGACCCCTGAGTAGCCTAACTGGGAGGCACCCCCCAGTAGGGGCAGACTGACACCTCACACAGCCAGGTACTCCTCTGAGACAAAACTTCCAGAGGAACGATCAGGCAGCAACATTTGCTGTTCACCAATATCCACTGTTCTGCAGCCTCTGCTGCTGATACCCAGGCAAACAGGGTCTGGAGTGGACCTCCAGCAAACTCCAACAGACCTGCAGCTGAGGGTCCTGACTGTTAGAAGGAAAACTAACAAGCAGAAAGGACATCCACACCAAAACCACATCTGTACATCACCATCATCAAAGACCAAAGGTAGATAAAACCACAAAGATGGGGTAAAAACAGAGCAGAAAAACTGGAAACTCTAAAAACCAGAGCGCCTTTCCTCCTCCAAAGGAACACAGCTCCTCACCAGCAATGGAACAAAGCTGGATGGAGAATGACTTTGACGAGTTGAGAGAAGAAGGCTTCACATGATCAAACTACTCCGAGCTAAAGGAGGAAGTTCAAACCCATGGCAAAGAAGTTAAAAACCTTGAAAAAAAATCAGACGAATGGCTGACTAGAATAACCAATTCAGAGAAGTCCTTAAAGGACCTGATGGAGCTGAAAACCAAGGCACGAGAACTACATGATGAATGCACAAGCCTCAGTAGCCAATTTGATCAACTGGAAGAAAGGGTATCAGTGATGGAAGATCAAATGAATGAAATGAAGTGAGAAGAGAAGTTTAGAGAAAAAAGAATAAAAAGAACGAACAAAGCCTCCAAGAAATATGGGACTATGTGAAAAGACGGGGAGAATGGAACCAAGTTGGAAAACACTCTTCAGGATATTATCCAGGAGAACTTCCCCAACCTAGCAAGTCAGGCCAACATTCAAATTCAGGAAATACAGAGAACGCCACAAAGATACTCCTCGAGAAGAGCAACTCCAAGACACATAATTGTCAGATTCACCAAAGTTGAAATGAAGGAAAAAATGTTAAGGGCAGCCAGAGAGAAAGGTCGGGTTACCCACAAAGGGAAGCCCATCAGACTAACAGCTGGTCTCTTGGCAGGAACTCTACAAGCCAGAAGAGAGTGGGGACCAATATTCAACATTCTTAAAGAAAAGAAATTTCAACCCAGAATTTCATATCCAGCCAAACTAAAGCTTCATAAGTGAAGGAGAAATAAAATCCTTTACAGACAAGCAAATGCTGAGAGATTTTGTCACCACCAGGCCTGCCTTACAAGAGCTCCTGAAGGAAGCTAACACATAATAATCTTAACCTTAAATGTAAATGGGCTAAATGCTCCAATTAAAAGACACAGAGTGGCAAACTGGATAAAGAGTCAAGACCCATCAGTGTGCTGTATTCAGGAAACCCATCTCACATGCAGAGACACACATAGGCTCAAAATAAAGGGATGGAGGAAGATCTACCAAGCAAATGGAAAACAAAAAAAGGCAGGGGTTGCAATCCCAGTCTCTGATAAAACAGACTTTAAACCAACAAAGATCAAAAGAGACAAAGAAGGCCATTACATAATGGTAAAGGGATCAATTCAACAAGAAGAGCTGACTATCCTAAATATATATGCGCCCAATACAGGATCACCCAGATTCATAAAGCAAGTCCTTAGAGACCTACAAAGAAACTTAGACTCCCACACAATAATAATGGGAGACTTTAACACCCCACTGTCCACATTAGACAGATCAACGAGACAGAAAGTTAACAAGGATATCCAGGAATTGAACTCAGCTCTGCACCAAGCAGAGCTAATAGACATCTACAGACCTCTCCACCCCAAATCAACAGAATATACATTCTTCTCAGCACCACACCACACTTATTCCAAAATTGACCACATAGTTGGAAGTAAAGGACTCCTCAGCAAATGCAAAAGAACAGAAATTATAACAAACTCTCTCTCAGACCACAGTGCAATCAAACTAGAACTCAGGACTAAGAAACTCACTCAAAACCGCTCAACTACATGGAAACTGTACAACCTGCTCCTGAATGACTACTGGGTACATAACGAAATGAAGGCAGAAATAAAGATGTTCTTTGAAACCAACAAGAACAAAGACACAACATACCAGAATCTCTGGGACACATTCAAAGCTGTGTGTAGAGGGAAATTTATAGCACTGAATAACCACAAGAGAAAGCAGGAAAGATCTAAAATTGACACTCTAACACCACAATTAAAAGAGCTAGAGAAGCAAGAGCAAACACATTCAAAAGCTAGCAGAAGGCAAGAAATAACTAAGATCAGAGCAGAACTGAAGGAAATACAGACACAAAAAAAATCCTTCAAAAAATCAATGAATCCAGGAGCTGGTTTTTTGAAAAGATCAACAAAACTGATGGACCGCTAGCAAGACCAATAAAGAAGAAAAGAGAGAAGAATCAAATAGACCCAATAAAAAATCATAAAGGGGATATCAGCACCAATCCCACAGAAATACAAACTACCATCAGAGAATACTATAAACACCTCTACACAAATAAACTAGAAAATCTAGAAGAAATGGATGAATTCCTCAACACATACACCCTCCCAAGACTAAACCAGGAAGAAGTTGAATCCCTGAATAGACCAATAACAAGTTCTGAAATTGAGGCAATAATTAATAGCTTACCAACCAAAAAAAGCCCAGGACCAGATGGATTCACAGCCGAATTCTACCAGAGGTACAAGGAGGAGCTGGTACCATTCCTTCTGAAACTATTCCAATCAATAGAAAAAGAGGGAATCCTCCCTAACTCATTTTATGAGGCCAGCATCATCCTGATACCAAAGCCTGGCAGAGACACAACAAAAAAATAGAATTTTAGACCAATATCCCTGGCGAACATTGATGCGAAAATCCTCAATAAAATACTGGCAAACCGAATCCAGCAGCACATCAAAAAGCTTATCCACCATGATCAAGTGGGCTTCATCCCTGGGATGCAAGGCTGGTTCAACATACGCAAATCAATAAATGTAATCCAGCATATAAACAGAACCAATGACAAAAACCATATGATTATCTCAATAGATGTAGAAAAGGCCTTTGACAAAATTCAACAATGCTTCATGCTAAAAACTCTCAATAAATTAGGTATTGATGGTGTGACCGGAATTGGTGGGTTCTTGGTCTCACTGACTTCAAGAATGAAGCCAGGGACCCTCGTGGTGAGTGTTACAGCTCTTAAGGTGGCGCATCTGGAGTTTGTTCCTTCTGATGTTCGGATGTGTTAGGAGTTTCTTCCTTCTGGTGGGTTCATGGTCTCTCTGGCTCAGGAGTGAAGCTGCAGACCTTCGACGGTGAGTGTTACAGCTCTTAAGGCAGCACGTCTGGAGTTGTTCGTTCCTCCCCATGGGCTCGTGGTCTCGCTGGCTTCAGGAGTGAAGCTGCAGACTTTCACGGTGAGTGTTACAGCTCATAAAAGCAGTGTGGACCCAAAGAGTGAACAGTAGCAAGATTTATTGCAAAGAGCGAAAGAACAAAGCTTCCACAGTGTGGAAGGGGACCCCAGTAAGTTGCCACCGCTGGCTCAGGAAGCCTGCTTTTATTCTCTTATCTGGCCCCACCCACATCCTGCTGATTGGTAGAGCCCAGTGGTCTGTTTTGACAGGGCGCTGGTTGGTGCGTTTACAATACCTGAGCTAGACACAAAGGTTCTCCATGTCCCCACCAGATTAGCTAGATACAGAGTGTCCACTGGTGCATTCACAAACCCTGAGCTAGACATAAAGGTCCTCCACGTCCCCACCAGACTCAGGAGCCCAGCTGGCTTCACCCAGTGGATCCCCCACCAGGGCAGCAGGTGGAGCTGCCTGCCAGTCCTGGTGCCGTGCGCCCGCACTCCTCAGCCCTTGGGTGGTCGATGGGACTGGGCGCCCTGGAGCAGGGGATGGCGCTCGTCGGGGAGGCTCCGGCCGCACTGGAGCCCACGGAGGGGGTGGGAGGCTCAGGCATGGCGGGCTGCAGGTCCCGAGCCCTGCCCCACGGGAAGGCAGCTAAGGCCCGGTGAGAAATCGAGCACGGCGCTGGTGGGCTGGCAGTTCTGGGGGACCCAGTACACCCTCCGCAGCCGCTGGCCCGGGTGCTAAGCCCCTCATTCCCCCGGGCGGCAGAGCCAGCCGGCTGCTCTGAGTTTGGGGCCCGCCATGCCCACGCCCACCCGGAACTCCAGCTGGCCCACAAGCACCGCGCACAGCCCTGGTTCCCGCTCAGGCCTCTCCCTCCACACCTCCCTTCAAGCTGAGGGAGCTGGCTCTGGCCTTGGCCAGCCCAGAAAGGGGCTCCCACAGTGCAGCGGTGGGCTGAAGGGCTCCTCAAGTGCCGCCAAAGTGGGAGCCCAGGCAGAGGAGGCGCCGAGAGCAAGCGAGGGCTGTGAGGACTGACAGCACGCTGTCACCTCTCAATGGGGCATATCTCAAAATAATAAGAGCTATCTATGACAAACCCACAGCCAATATCATACTGAATGGGCACAAACTGGAAGCATTCCCTTTGAAAACTGGCACAAGACAGGGATGCCCTCTCTCACCACTCCTATTCAACATAGTGTTGGAAGTTCTGGCCAGGGCAATCAGGCAAGAGAAGGAAATAAATGGTATTCAATTAGGAAAAGAGGAAGTCAAATTGTCCCTGTTTGCAGATGACATGATTGTATATCTAGAAAACACCATCGTCTCAGCCCAAAATCTCCTTAAGCTGATAGGCAACTTCGGCAAAGTCTCAGGATACAAAATGAATGTGCAAAAATCACAAGCATTCTTATACACCAATAACAGACAGAGAGCCAAATCATGAGTGAACTCCCATTCACAATTGCTTCAAAGAGAATAAAATAACTAGGAATCCAACTTACAAGGGATGTGAAGGACCTCTTCAAGGAGAACTACAAACCACTGCTCAATGAAATAAAAGAGGATACAAACAAATGGAAGAACATTCCATGCTCATGGGTAGGAAGAATCAATATCGTGAAAATGGTCATACTGCCCAAGGTAATTTATAGATTCAATGCCATCCCCATCAAGGTACCAATGATTTTCTTCACAGAATTGGAAAAAACTACTTTAAAGTTCATATGGAACCAAAAAAGAGCCCACATTGCCAAATCAATCCTAAACCAAAAGAACAAAGCTGGAGACATCACGCTACCTGACTTCAAACTATACTACAAGGCTACAGTAACCAAAACAGCATGGTGCTGGTACCAAAACAGACATATAGACCAATGGAACAGAACAGAGGCCTCAGAAATAACACCACACATCCACAACCATTTGATCTGACAAACCTAACAAAAACAAGCAATGGGGAAAGGATTCCCTATTCAATAAATGGTGTTGGGAAAACTGGCTAGCCACATGCAGAAAACTGAAAGTGGACCCCTTCCTTATGCCTTATACAAAAATTAACTCAAGATGGATTAAAGACTTAAATGTTAGACCTAAAGCCATAAAAACCCTAGAAGAAAACCTAGGCAATACCATTCAGGACATAGGCATGGGCAAGGACTTCATGTCTAAAACACCAAAAGCAATGGCAGCAAAAGCCAAAACTGACAAATGGGATCTAATTAAACTAAAGAGCTTCTGCACAGCAAAAGAAACTACCATCAGAGTGAACAGGCAACCTACAGAATGGGAGAAAATTTTTGCAATCTACTCAACTGACGAAGGGCTAATATCCAGAATCTACAATGAACTCATACAAATTTACAAGACAAAAACAAACAACCCCATCAACAAGTGGGCGAAGGATATGAACAGACACTTCTCAAAAGAAGGCATTTATGCAGCCAAAAGACACATGAAAAAATGCTCATCATCACTGGCCATCAGAGAAATGCAAATCAAAACCACAATGAGATATCATCTCACACCAGTTAGAATGGCGATCATTAAAAAGTCAGGAAACAACAGGTGCTGGAGGGGATGTGGAGAAATAGGAACACTTTCACACTGTTGGTGGGACTGTAAACTAGTTCAACCATTGTGGAAGTCAGTGTGGCGATTCCTCAGGGATCTAGAACTAGAAATACCATTTGACCCAGCCATCCCATTACTGGGTATATACCCAAAGGACTATAAATCATGCTGCTATAAAGACACATGCACACATATGTTTATTGCAGCACTATTCACAATAGCAAAGACTTGGAACCAACCCAAATGTCCAACAATGATAGATTAAGAAAATGTGGCACATATACACCATGGTACACGATGCAGCCATTAAAAAGGATGAGTTCATGTGCTTTGTAGGGACATGGATGAAGCTGGAAACCATCATTCTCAGCAAACTATCGCAAGGACAAAAAACCAAACACTGCATGTTCTCACTCACAGGTGGGAATTGAACAATGAGAATACATGGACACAGGAAGGGGAACATCACACACCAGGGCCTGTTGTACGGTGGGGGGAGGGGGGAGGGAGAGCATTAGGAGATATACCTAATGTTAAATGACAAGTTAATGGGTGCAGCACACCAACATGGCACACGTATACATATGTAACAAACCTGCACGTTATGCACATGTACCCTAAAACTTAAAGTATATATAAAAAAAAGAGTTAGATCTCAACATAGTCCAGATGCAGAAATAAAGGCCTGTTCTTGAAGAGGGAGCTTGTACACAAAAATGTTCCAGATCTCATTTGTGTGTATTGGCAGGACCTGGGAGGCAAGTATGGGAATGCATACTAAAGATGTAGATGAAGGAGAATGAAATAAAGGCTTGATCTAGCTGAAAGCATTGACGCTCAATAGGGATTGAATGTGTTGGCTTGGGAGTAGTTGATACTCTGCTAGATTTGGCCAACTGATTTTGGCTTGCTGATGCCTTGACTCAATGTTGGTCTACAGTTAATGAGTTTGAGATTCCCTGACTTACGTGGCATTTGGTAGAAACTTGCTGCTCAAAATGTGTCATGTGGAGTTGCTGTAGCAGCATCACTGGGAGCTATTTAAAAATGTAGAATCTCGGGCCCCATCCTAGACCTTCTGAATCAGAATTTTAGCAATATTTCCATGTGCTTCATATGCACATTATATGTTACAGTTTGAGAGGCATTGTTCTAGAAGGAGCTCAAAGACTCAGGGATGTGAGAATATTGAAATGGAGCTACTATGTGCAACACGCTTCGACACTACCCCCCTAGCCAGAATCCCCGAGCAAGCCCAGGGGATGCACCTATCACCAAGGAATTAAGACATGCATTGGAGAGGAAGGTACTAGCAGTGCTGGAGTGAGGGGGGAGGCAAGAAGACACCCAGGATACAACATTTAACCGGGCACCCACCCTCCGGTACTGATCCTGAATGCATGAGCCTGAAAGTGAATGCCTCCTTTAATATCTTGTGCCAGGGTGCTTCACTAGCCGTGGGCACTGGTAACCTTGTGAAGCTTTTTGGTGGCTGTTCTCTATAGGCCAGAAATGACAGTGGGGTATGCAGCACTGGAACTGGCTTCCCTTATCTAAACGGAAGTAGTGGAATCCTGCAGTGGTAGAAGCCAGGTTGCAGTCGTTATTGAACAGCCGAGACAAGATGGACATATTATCCCAATAAACCGTAGGATTGGAGTGGTAATCTGAGTGTTTTGACCAGGAGGGATCCATAGTGATGATCATGGCATCCTTACAAATTAAATAGATGGGCAGTCTACTAAAATGTGGCTTGACATACATAGGCAGAAAAATCCCAGATATACTGGGCATAACCCTATCTTTAGTTGTCATGGTGGGGAATCAAAACCCCTTATCCAGTTTCCAAATATAAACTAATCCAAAATCCTACAACTCTTTGGGAAAGAGACCTTTGAGAAAAATCCTGTTACATGGCTGCAGACACATTCTATGACTCTTCCCTCAGTCCTTCATCAGAGGGACCTGCAGACATTTAATAGGGTGACTCTGTACTGGGGAAATGGAACTATCGAGGGATTCCTAGATTCTGGCTCTGAATGATTCTGGCTCTGATTCTGGCAGAGACTGAAGTGCCACATTGGTCCAGCAGGCAGAGGGAGGGCCCAAGGAGCCAGATAATCACTGGTCCTTTGGTTATTTCTCGAGTCTGGACAACGTATAGTAGACATAGGATTGGAAACTGCCAGAATTCCCACATCAGTTTCCAGATCCAAAAAGTGAGAGTTATTATGTTAGGAAGGGCCAAGTAGAAGCCCCTAGAATTGTACTCTTCACCCACATCAAAATAGCAATCTTGGCCGGGCGTGGTGTCTCATGTAACCCTAACATTTTGAGAGGCTGAGGTGGGCAGATTGTCTGAGCTCAGGAGTTTGCGACTAGCCTGGGCAATGTGGCAATAATCCCATCTCTACTAAAACACACAAAAACTTAGACGGGCATGGTGGTGCATGCCTGTAGTCTATTGCTTGAACCTGGGAGGCAGAGGCTGCAGTAAGCCGAGATGGCACCACTGTACTCCAGCCAGGGAAACAGAGCCAGACTCTGTTTCAAAAAAAATAGCAATCACACATTCCTGAGGGGAGTTTCAGAGATTAATCCTACCGTCAACAACCTAATAGGTGCGGAAGTAGTGATTCCTATCACATCCTCACTTGACCCATCTCTTTGACTGGTGAAAAAGCAGATGGACATGGAGAACGCCAGTGATTTTCACAAACAGGCTGTGATGCCAATATCACCTGCTCTTCTGGGTTGCAGTATCTTTACTGGAGCAAGTTAATACAGTCCCTGGCACCTGGTTTGCAGCTATTGCTGGCTTCTCTGCTCCCCCACACAATTTCTACAAGACAAGGAAATGAGAAGCAGTTTGATCTAAGTGGTGGGGCAAGAGGATAGTTTGCCATCTTGCTTCATGACTACCTCAATTCAAATGCATGCTGTCATGATGTAATCAGGACAACTCTTGATTATTTTGCTATCCCATAGGGATGACATAATGCTAATTGGACCTGATGAGGAAGTATATCAAGTGTGCCTTGGATACATGCCTGCCAGAGGGTAGGTGACAAACTTCACAGGTTCCAGAGCCTGTCACATCAGTGGTGTTTCTGGAGTTTGGTACCTTGGGACAGGTTGAAACAACATCTCTAAAAGAAAGAATAACCTACGAAGCTCCATGCTTGCTTGGTTTATCTGGATTTTGGACAGGCTAATCCATTTTCTGCCAAGCAGTAAGACTGCTAGAGAAGGAAAGTTCTCTCTAGCAGGTCCAAGTTGTGGTGTACATGTCCCACTATTTGCACACAATGACCCAGCAGACCTAATGATAGTGGGAGACTCTGCAGAAGTCAGAGATCTACCAAAATCCCCAATAACAGAATCCCTAGAGTTTTGGAGGAAGGCTATGCCCTCTTCTGCCAACAAGTACTGTCCATATGAAATCAGTATCTCACTTCCCGTGGGACCCTGTTGAGACTGAATATCTGACAAATATCTGTGTGACCTGAGCTCTTATCAAATCCAAAGGGGTCATCTCTTCCACTAAATCATACACAGCAGAATTCATCATAAAATGGAACTCATATATGTAAGACTGGGGCCTCATAGGTCTGCAAGAAATTAATAAGCTGTAACAGCAGGTGGCTCAGACTTGCATAGGATCAATGTCCACTGCTTCACTGCCTTTCTCTCCACTTACAGCAATGACCTCTTGGGGCACATGACCAGCTAAAGGAGGACAAAAAGGTGTGGGCTTGGTTTGCAAATGAAGCTTCATGATCCATAGGTCTCAACAAGAGTGGATGGCTTTTACTCTCCAGCTCCACTCAGGGATAACACTGCAAGACAATGATGAAGGGAAGTCATCTAAGTGGGTATACACGTTTGTGTATTTTGGGTGAAATGATAGCCATCACCACGGACTTAGAAACCACAGGAGAATGAAAGTTTAAGTAACCCCACCCAGTAAAGAATCCCATCCAACTGAGGTGGGCAGGCAGAACTTAGAGAGGGTTGTGGGAGAAGGCTGCTATAACTACCAACCGAGGCCTTGTGACTAGCTTCAGAAGTAGGTACAAATACAGATAGGTTTTATTTTACCAAAAGAAAAACTTTAGACAAGTTAAGTTTAGCAGAGTTTACTTGAGCAAAGAACAATTCATGAATTAGGCAGCATCCAGAACCAGGAGACGTCCAGAGAGCACTCCCTAGCAACATGGGCAGGCAGTATTTATAGAAAGAAAAGGGTAGTGACATACAGAAACAGCTTGATTGGTTGCAGCTTGGCATTTACCTTCTGTGGACATGGTCTGATCACTTGGCAGCCTGTGATTGGCTGAAGTTTGGCTGCTGTGTATGGGATTGGATGGGACTTGGCTATTCGTTACAAGACTATACTCTTAAGTTATGTTGCAGTTTGTTTACTTACTACATTAGGTTACAGTTTGCTATGTATGGAGGCAGCTTTAGGCCAAATTTAGTTTAATATAAAATTGCTAATTATTGATGTTTCTTTCTCCTCTTTCCCCTGTGGCCTTATAAAAAGAAGATTGGCCATGGCTAACATTTTTGGTTTCAAACGAACATTTGACTGAATTGATACCATGGTAGCTTAACACACTTTATTGTGTTGGGGACATTAACTCTTCACCCAGAGGAATGATAAGATTGGGGTAGGAGGGGAATGGGGGAGTTGGCATGCTGGACATCCTCCATTTATTCCTTTGGCATCTATTCTCCATCCTTCTCCAGCCTGCTCTGGGCTGCAAGAGGCTGCCTGGATAATATCGGTAGGGCTCCCTTGCCATCTGAATTTTGGTTGCTTGGTCAATGGGGACAATGGCTGAAGATGAGAGGGAGGGAGGAGAGTGAGGTGAGACTATTTTTTTTCTTCTGGTTCTCCTCTTGCGAGTAATGCACGCTGGCTGTGTCCCACAACTAAAGTTCCTATGATGCAGCCTCTTGACAGGTCTTTTGATCTCCTGGTTCCAGTAACAACTTCTTCCCCTCAACAGAGCTGCCTGCCCCTCATCAATAGCCCCAAACTATACATTATCTCCTGTGGCCTCCCTCTTCTCTGTCCACACCTTTGTAAATAGTCCCTTTTGAACTCGTCTCTAATTATGCCTTTGAATGTACCTTGTGTTTGTTAAAGGAAAACTAGACGAATTAAATTTAACAGAATTTAATTGAGAAAAGAAGGACTTGTGAAGAGATTCAGAGAGCTCTGAGCCTAAATGTGGGCAGGCAGCATTTATAGACAGAAAACAGAAGTGAGGTATAGAAACAGCTTGCTTGGTTACAGCATGGTGTTTGCCTTATTTGGACATAGTCTGATCAGTTGGCAGCCTGTGATTGGCTGCTGTGATTGGCTGAGACTCAGCTAGTCGCTACAAAAAAGATAATAAAACTCCTAAGTTAGGCTTTCAGTTTGTTTGCATAGTAAGTTTGGTGCTTGTTTGTTACATATGGACTCAGGTATTGAGGCATCCTCAGGTCAAATTTAGTTTAATTTAACATTGTCCTGCTAGGCCTCCTGTGGATATGCCAGGTTAATAATATGGACCCAGGAAAGACAGCATCTAGCCAGCACTTCTGAAGGATGCATATGAGGCACCTGGAGGATCTTGTTACAACACAGATTCTGAGTCAGTAGATCTGGGATTCATCTATTTCTAGTGGAAAGGAAATATTCTAGACCCTTGCTACTCAAAGTGAAGTCTTTGGTCTAGCAGCTCCTACATCACCTGGAATCTTGTTAAAAATAATGTCAAGCCTCACCCAGAAAGAACTTCCCAATCAGCAGCTGGTAAGTGCCCAGCTCTGCAGAGCTCCTTTGGGAGAAACCAGAGGCCCCAGTTCTTCAGGATTTTCCTGGCTGTTTCCCAAAACTGCTCACTCACTTTTTTTTTTAATTTTTTATTTCCATGGGTTTTTGGGAAACAGGTGGTGTTTGGTTACATGAGTAAGTTCTTTAGTGGTGATTTGTGAGATTTTGGTGCACCCATCACCCAAGCAGTGTACACTGAACTCAATTTGTAGTCTTTATTCCTCACCCCCTTCCCACCCTTTCCTCCCTGAGTCCCCAAAGTTCATTGTATCATTCTTATTCCTCTGCATCCTCATAGCTTATCTCCCACTTATGAGTGAGGGCATTCGATGTTTGGTTTTGCATTGCTGAGTTACTTCACTTAGAATAATAGTCTCCAGTCTCATCCAGGTTGCTGCAAATGCCATTAATTCATTTCTTTTTATGGTTGAGTCATATTCCATATGTGTGTGTATATATATATATATATATATATATATACATATATGTATATACGTGTGTGTATATATGTGTGTGTGTATATATGTATATATACACACATACATATATATACATATATACACACATATAATACACACACATATACACACATATGTATACACATATATACACACACACACCACAGTTTCTTTATCTGCTCATTGATTGATGGGCATTTGGGCTGGTTCCTCATTTTTGCAATTGTGAATTGCCACTCATCCTTTTAGCTGCTTCTCTTTCAATTCAAGTTTTCATAAAAATTCAACAGATTTTTGTTGATTCACTCTTCTTTTTCAGTTCTGCTTCTGAAGCATGGATAGAGACAAGAGTCATATAATGAGGCCAGAATTCTCTGTTTCTTTTCTTGGCTACTCTTTTTATTAGGTTGGTGCAAAAGTAAAAGCAGTTTTTGCCATTAAAAGTAATGAAGAAAAGAAACAAAACTGTGCTTGTTTCTCTGCATCTCACCATTGCTGGCTAACTTTTGGCTATATCTTTACAGTTTTCATCCATTTTATAAAATACTGGGGGAGAAGGCTGGGCATGGTGGTTTATGCCTGTAATCCCAGCACTTTGGGAGGCCGAAGTGGGCGGATCACAAGGTCAGGAGTTCAAGACCAGCCTGGCCTATATAGTGAAACCCTGTCTCTACTAAAAATACAAAAATTAGCTGGGCATGGTGGCGTGTGCCACTTGGGAGACTGAGGCAAGAGAATCACTTGAACCTGGGAGGCAGAGGTTGCAGTGAGCCAAGATTGTGCCACTGCACTCCAGCCTGGGCAACAGAGCAGTTTACTTTGATTCTGTTTGTCTACCCTTCCCCTGCCTCTGCCTCTTTTGGCCTCTCCAAGGCCTGACACAGTGCCCCTCTCTGTCCTTCATACCCACCCTACCCCAGAGACTCAGGCATTTCTGCTTCCTCACGGTGGGGGATATCAAGACTGAGAAGTGCCTGCCCTCAGGCTTCACATGGCAGCTCTTTCCTCAGTAGGACCTCCCTGACCTCCCAGTCTAATTTACCAACCCCTCTTACCAAGCAGACAGACCAGACAGACACACTCGTAGATACTGAGAGCCCTTCTGTTGTACTGCCTTGCTTTACAATCTTTTTTATCTGTTATTCCTTGTACTCGTATTTGTTCACATATTCCAGGACTTTCCTGTCGTGTCTGCCTCTGGACTCCCAACAACCTAGACCTGCTAGTTTCACACACAAGCAAGGGCAGGAGCTGCCTCTTTCTTCTTAGATGGGAGGCCTTCCAATCAGTTATCACCCTTCAGAATATAAAGCTGTGTTCTCACCCTAGAGGCTGGAGAGAGTGGAAGATCTTGTACAACAGTTGTTTCAACCCATTCTATGGAAATCTTTATTCAACAAGAAAGAATGAGGGAGTTAATGAATACGGGAATATAAGAGACAAATAACTTACGGACTGAATTGTGTTCCCCCAAAATTCGCATGTTGAAGGTTTTAGGGAACTAATTAAGGTTAAATGAGGTCATAAGAGTGGGTCCCTAATCTGATAAAACTGGGGCTTTTATAAGAATAGGAAGAGACACCAGAGATCAGAGATTCCGCACCCCCAACCCCAAAGTGCACAGAGAAAAGGCCATGTGAGGAAACAGTGAGAAGGTGGCCATCTACTAACCAGAAAGACAGCCCTCACCAGAAACCAAATTTGTCATCATCTTGATCATGGACTTCTTGCCTCCCTAACTGTGAGAAAATAAATGTCTATTGTTTAAGCCAGCCAGCCTATGGTATTCGACGACAGCCCAAGTAACCTACTACAATAACCAAGGATCAAAGAAGAAATCACAAAGGAAATTAGAAAATTCTTTGAGATGAATAAAAACTAAAACACAATGTACTAACATTAATGGGATGCAGCTAAAGCAATGCTTATAGGGAAATTTATAGCTGTAAATGTCTATATTTAAAAAGAAGAAAGGTCTCAAATCAATAACCTAAACATCCACCTTAAGAAACTAGGAAAACAAGAGCAAACTAAACCTAGAGCAAGCAGAAGGAAGAAAATAACAGACCAGTGCAGTAATAAGTGAAACTGAGAACAGGAATAGAGGAAATTAATGAAACTGAAAGTTGTTTCTTTGAAAAGATCGAGGAAATTAATGAAACTGAAAGTTGTTTCTTTGAAAAGATCAAGGAAATTGACAGTCTTTTAGCTAGACTGACCAAGAAAAGAGATGACACTCAAATTACTAAAATCAGGAATAAAAAAAGGGGCATAATGAATGACATTATGGAAATAAAAAAGAATATAAGGGAATATTATGAACACTTGTACAGCAAAAAAAATCAGATAATATAGATGAAAGCAACAAATTCCTAGAAAGATACAAACTATTGAAACTCACTCAAGAAGAAATAAAAATCTGAATAGACCTATAACAAGTAGAGAGATTGAATTATTAATAACTAGGGGGAAAATGCCCAACAAACTTCCCACAAAGAAAAGCACAGATGGCTTCCCTGGTGAATTTCATCAGACCTTAAAAAAGAATTAACACCAATTATTCATAAATTTTTCTTAAAAACAGAAGAAAATGGAATACTTTCCAACTCATTCTATGTAGCCAATATTACTCTGATACTAAAGACAGACAAAGATATCACAAGAAAATAAAATTACAGACCAATATACCTTGCGAATATACATGCAAAAATCCTGAACAAAATACTATCAAACCAAAGACAGCAACATATAAAAAGGAGTATAAGTCATGACCAATTGAGATTTATCCCAGGAATGTAAGGTTGGGCTTGACATACAAAATCAATGTAATACATCATATTAATAGAATAAAAGACAAAAACCCCATGATCACATCAATATATACAGAAAAAAACTTGACAAAATACAGTGTCCTTTCATGATAAAAACACTAAACAACTAGGAATAGAAGAACATCTCCTCAACTTGATAAAGGCCATCTACTAAAACTCCACAACCACACCAAACTTAATGGTGAAAAACTAAATACTTTCCCTCTGAGATCAAGAACAAGACTATAATTTCTGCTCTCGCCACTTCCATTCAACATGGTACTGGAAGTTCTAGCCAGGATAATTTGGCAAGAAAAGAAAATAAAAGACACCTAGAGTGAAATAAAAGAAGTAAAACTATCTCTATTTGCATATGATATGATATAAAAACTAAAGTATCCAGTTGGAAACTATTATAATGAATAAATGAGTTAAATAAGGTGCAAGATGCAAGATCTGGTTACAAAAATCAGTTGTATTTCTGTGTAATAGCAATACAAAATTTGAAAATAAAATTTAGAAAACAATTCCATTTATGAAAACATCAAAAATAATAAAATACTTAGGAATAAGAGAAATGTAAGATTTGTCCATCAGCCGAGCGTGGTGACTCATCCCTGTGTTCCCAGAACTTTGGGAGGTCGAGGTGGGTGGATCGTTTGAGCCCAGGAGTTTGAAATCAGCTTGGGCAATATTACAAAATTCCGTATCTGCAGAAAATACAAAAAAATTAGCCAGACATGGTGGCGCATGCCTGTAGTACCAGCTACTTGGGAGGCTGAGATGGGAGGATCACTCGAGCCTAGGAGGTTGAGGCTGCAGTGAGCCGTGATCACATCACTACACTCCAGTCTGGGCAACAGAGTGAGACCCTGTCTCAAAAAAAAAAACTGTCCATTGAAAACTATGAGATATCATTTAAAGGAATTAAGCAAATGGAAAAATATTCCATGTTCATGAATTGGAAGGTTTAATTTTGTCATGATGGCAATACTCTCCAAATGGATCTATAGAGTCAATGTAATCTCTTTCAAAATTCCAGCTTCTCTTTTTGCAGAAATTGATAACATGATCCTAAAATTCATATGGAAATCAGGGGATCCATAATAGTCAAAATAATCTTGAAAGAGAACAAATTTAGAGGATTCACTCTTCTTGATTCAAAAATTTAAAGCAGTGTGGTATTGCATGAGGGTAGACACATAAATCAATGGAATAGAACTGAAAGTCCAGAAATAAATACATTTATGATCAACTGATTGTTGACAAGAGCGTCAGGTTAATTCCATGTGAAAAAGACTAGTCTTATCAACAAATAGTGCTGAGACAACTGGATATCCACATGCAAAAGAATCAAGTTAGACCTATATCTCATATTGTACACAAGAAAATAACTCAAACTGACTCATAGGCTTACTTGTAAGAGCTAAAATTATAAAGCTCTTAGAATAAAACATAGGAGCAAATCTTTGTTAGCTTGGATGAGGCAATGATTTGTTAGATATGACAGGAAAAGCACAAGACGGGAAAAAAGATGAACTGTACTGCATTAAAATTCAAATTTTTTGTGTGTTTCAAGGGACATCATTAAGAAAGTGAAAAGATAGCCAGGTGCAGTGGCTCAAGCCTGTAATCCCAACACTTTGGAAGACTGAGGTGGAAAGATTGCTTGAAGCCAGGAATTTAAGACCAGCGTGGGCAACATAGAAAGACCTTGTCTCCATAAAAAATAAAAATTAAAAATTATCTGGATGAGGCTGTGCACACCTGAAGTCCTGGCTACTCAGGAGGCTGAGGTAGGAAGATCTTGAGGAGTTAGAGGCTGCAGTGAGATATGATTGCACCATCGCACTCCAACTTGGGTGATAGAGACCCTGTCTCTAAGAAAACAAAACAAAACAAAGAACCAGTGCTTCAAAAAGTTATATGACTCAGCAAGGAAAGCAAAACCATATGTCCTCAGAAAAATTTGTACACAAAAATTCATAGCAGCATTATTCATAACAGTCTGAAGTGGAAACAATCCAAACATCAATCAACTGATGAATGGATGAGCAAAATGTGGTACACAATGAAATTCTCCCATACAAAAAGGTGAAGTACTGATACGTGCTACGACAGATAAACTGTGAAAACATTATGCTAAGTAAGTGAAAGAGGCCAGACACATATTGTATGTATTTATTTATATAAAACATCCAGAAAAGGCAAATCCATAGGAACAGAAGTTAGATTAGTGGTTGCCAGGGACTGAAGGTAGGGAAAGGGAGATTGAGGAGTGACTGCTCTGGGTATGGGGGTTTCTTGTTGGGGTACTGAACGTGTTCTGGAATTAGATAGTGAAGATGGATGCACGACTCTATGAAAATACTAAAAATCCCAGAGTTGTATACTTTAAAAGAGTGAACTTAATAGTATGTAAATTGTATCTCAATACAGCTGTTATTATAAATAAATAAATATGCTTTGTTTCTCAAAAAGCATTTTTTTTGTTGTTGTTTGTTTATTTTTTTTTAGCAGTGGGGCTGTGGACCTGGGTCCAGAGTATGGAATGATGCAGGTTGGAGGGGCCATCCCACGCACGCTAGTAAAGTTAGTGAACATGAATGAAACATGGAAGTGTATGTGTCTTGATTATGGTCTTCACTCTGGGATCTGAGAGAAACACACAGCTCCTCAGTGGTTCAGACTTGCAAATAATTTATCTTGAGTCTTATCAGCTTACAGCCACCTAAAACACGAAGCTATGCTAATGTTCCCTGTGATAGCCTTGTTTGGGTTTAGAAAATTCTTATGTGGCCAGTTGGGATCTGAGGTATAAATCTACTCTTAAATAAACAGCAGGAATTGCCTTTAAAGACTTGCTCCAAGACAAATGAAGAATTTGTGGCTTACCTGATGTAGTTGTGACTATGAAGATCATGGAAAAGATTAAGAATGTGCTTTACTGTGGCAACATTCTTGGCATTTGTGGAAATTTGCTTTTGAGTAAATTTATTAGGTAAGCAATTTGACTGCGATGATAGCAAATAAATATTATTACTTATTTGCTATCCATTTCATTTTCCTAAATAACTTAGAGAGGGATTCTTTCTGGTTTCATTGGTAAAAGTAATGTTACATATTCTCAATACATTGCAGTTTAGTATTTAACTTTGCTTCTTTGTTAACTGGGAAAGCATGACTTGGTTTCTAAAAATTTTAACAGAATGAAAAACATCTGCCAGGCAGTGATACAAAAATTCTTCATGAATCATCTCAATAGATGCAGAAAAAGCATTTGATAAAAGTCAGCACCCTTTCATGATACAAATCTTCAACAAACTTCAGAAGAACTACCTTAAAATAATAAAGGCCCTATACAACAAACCCACAGCCAGCATCATACTGAATAGGAAAAAGTTGCAAGCATTCCCTCTAAGAACTGGAGCAAGACAAGGATGTTCATTCTCACCACTCCTATTCAACATAGTGCTGAACTCATAGGGCAATCAGGCAAGAGAAAGAAATAAAAGGTATCCAACTTGGAAAAGAGGAAGTCAAATTATCTCTGTTCACTGGCAATATAACCTTATATCTAGAAATTGCTAAAGACTTCTCCAAAAAGCTCTAGATCTGATAAATGAATTCAGTAAAGTTTCACAATACGAAATCAGTGTACAAAAGTCATTAGCATTTCTCTGCATTAATAATGATCAAGCAGAGAACCAAATCAAGAAGGCAATCCCATTTAACATAGCTACAAAAAATGAAGTAAAATAAAATAAAATGCCCAGGAATATATTTAACCAAGGAGATAAAAGATCTTTACAAGGAAAACTACAAAACACTGATGAAAGCAGTTGTAGATGACACAAACAAATGGAAAAGCATCTTATTCTCATGGATCAGAAGAATTAATGTCATTAACATGACCATACTGCACAAAGCAATCTACAGATTCAATGCAATATCTATCAAAATACCAATGTTGTTTTTCGCAGAGTTGGAAAAAAACAATCTTAAAATTCACTTGGAACCAAAAAAGAGCCCAAATGGCTAAAGCAATCCTAAGCAAAAAGAACAAACTCGGAAGCAACACATTACCTGATCTCAAACTATACTACAAGGCTATGGTAAGCAAAACACCATGGTACTGGTACAAAAATAGACATATAGATTAATGGAACAGAGAACTCAGAAATAAAGCCACACACATACAGCCAACTGATCTTTGGCAAAGTTGACAAAAACATACACTGGGGAAAGGATCCCCTTTTCAATAAATGATGGTGGGGAAATTGGATTGCCACATCCAGAAGAATGCAACTGGACTCCTATCTCTCACGATATACAAGATGGATTAAAGACTCAATTATAAGACGTGAAACTATAAAAATTCTAGAAGAAAACCTAGGTAAAACTCTTGTGGACATTGATCTAGGCAACGAATTTATGACTAAGGCCTCAAAATCACAAGCAACAAAAACAAAAATAGACAAATGGGACTTAAACTAAAAAGCTTCTGCACAGAAAAAAAAATCAATAGAGTGAACAGACCTGCAGAATGGGAGAAAATATTTGCAAACTATCCATTCAACCATTCAACAGGGGACTGGCATCCAGAATTTGTGAAAAACTCAAACTTCAACAACAATAACAGCAACAACAACAAAAGTGGGCAAAGGATTTGAATAGACATTTTTTTAAAGAAGACATACAAATGACCAACAAGCATATAAAAAAATTTTCAGCATCACTAATTGTCAGATAAATGCAAATGAAAACCACAATGAGATATCATCTTACATGAGTCCGAATGGTTATTACTAAAAAGTCAAAAAATAACATATGTTGGCAAAGATGCAGGTCACATTTCTGACCCCTCCAAGAGCAGCTGAAACAACTGTTGCACAGAACCTTCAACTCTTTCCAGCCTCCAGGGTGAGACACAACTGTATATTCTAAAGGGTGATAACTGATTGGAAGGCTTTCCATCTAAGAAGTTTCATACACAGGCTCCTACCCCAGCCTGTGTATGAAACTAGTAGATCTAAGTGCTGGGAGTCCAGAGGCAGACATGACAGGAAAGTTCTGGAATATGTGAACAAACATGAGTACACGGAATGGCAGAGCATGAAAAGGGATAATAGGGTTGTAAAGCAAGGCAGTACAACAGAAAGGCTCTCGGTATCTGTGAATGTGTGTCTGTCTGGTTTGTCTGTCTGGTAAGAGGAGTTGGTACATTAGACTGGGAAGTCAGGGAGGCCTCAGTGAGCAAAAAGCTGCCATGTGAAACCCTAGGGCAGGTTCTTCTCAGTCTTGACATTCACACTGTGATTGAGTGTGGATATGAAGGATGGGACGGGCGGGGCGGGCATTGTGTCAGGTCTTGGAGAGGCCAAGAGAGGCAGAGGCAGGGGCAGGGTAGAAAAACAGAATCAGAGCAAACATTGTCAGTTGCAAATTATCACTTTTGCAACACTGAATTTTCTTGTTTTTCTCCCCTTTCCCTTTCCTTGGCTGGTTAGTTAATATATTTTTATAGCGCCCTTTTCTTTCCTTTGCATGATTGTGAAATCTTGCTGTTTACCTCTACTTTTAACACCATCCTTGTAAAGTCCCACAGTCCTCACAGTGGTCAGGCTGCATCAGCATAATGGAAAAAACAATATTTCTCCTTGATTTAACTTTGGAGAGAGTCTGACAGAAGGAGTGAGTGCTCTCAAATGCCTTCAGTTCTGCTGAGTCCTTAGGAGTCCAGTTAGGCCTTCCTGGGCCATCACTGCTTGAAGCCCAATTATGTGATTTGTCACATCTTCCTCTAGACTATACTCATGCCTAAAGAATCTCCATCCTTGAAACTCCCATTTCCTGCGTTAATTTCCAGGAAATGGACTCCCTTCAAGGATCCTCAGAAAGAATCTAAAAAAGGGTCCTTGAAGGCAGTTAATTTCTGGTTAAATAAAACATCTGCCATCTTTTCAGAATATAGACTTTTCCTTCTTACCATAAAAAACGTGAGCTTGTTCTGGGCAGTGATTTCTTTGCTAGGTCCCAAAAGTACAGGCAATGAAAACAATAATAGACAAATGGTATTGCATCAAACAAAAAAAACTACTGCACAGCAAAGGAAATAATTAACAGAGTGAAGATACAGTCCACGGATTGGGAGAACATATTTGCAAATTATACAGCATAAAATGGGCTAATATCCAAAATATACAAGGTATTCAAATGACTCAATCGAAAGAAACAAATAACTTGATTAAAAACTGGGCAAACAATGTGAATACACATTTTTCAAAATACACACAAATGGCCAATAGATATTTGGAAAAATGCTCAATATTACTGATCAGGGAAATGTAAATAAAACCACAATAATATATCACCTCATGCTGTTAGATTGACTATTACAAAAAAGATGAATGAAAACAAGTGTTGGAGAGGATGAGGAAAAAAGAAAACTCTTGTACACTGTTGGAGGAAATGTAAATTAGTACAGTCATTGATATGGTTTGGCTGTGTCCCCATCCAAATCTGAGCTTGAATTGTATCTCCCGGAATTCCCACATGTTATGGGAGGGACCCAGGGAGAGGTAGTTTAATGATGGAGGCCGTCTTTTCCCATGCTATTCTCATGATAGTGAATAAGTCTCATGAGATCTGATGGGATTATCAGGGGTTTCCTCATTTGCTTCTAGCTCATTTTCTCTTGCCACCACCATGTAAGAAGTGCCTTCACTTCCCGCCATGATTCTGAGATTTCCCCAGCCATGTGGAACTGTCCCAATAAACCTCCTTTTCTTCCCAGTCTTGGGTATGTCTTTATCAGCAGCATGAAAACAGACTAATATAGTAAATTGTTACCAGTAGAGGGGTATTGCTGAAAAGATACCAGAAAATGTGAAAGTGATTTTGGAGCTGGGTAACAGGCAGAAGTTGGAACAGTTTGGAAGCCCCAGAGGAAGACAGGAAAATGTGGGAAAGTTTGGAACTTCCTAGAGACTTGTTGAATGGCTTTGACCAAAATGCTGATAGTGATATGGACAATAAGGTCTAGGCTGAGGTGGTCTCAGATGGAGATGAGGAGCTTGTTGGGAACTGGAGTAAAGGTGGATCTTGTTATGTTTTAGCAAAGAGGCTGGTGGCATTTTGCCCCTGCCCTAGAAATTTGTAAAACTTTGAACTTGAGAAAGATGATTTAGGGTATCTGGTGGAAGAAATTTCTAAGCAGCAAAGCATTCAAGAGGTGACTTGTTAAAGGCATTCAATTTCATAACAGAAGCAGAGCATAAAAGTTTGGAAAGTTTGCAACCTGACTATGCAATAGAAAAGAAAACCCCATTTTCTGGGGAGAAATTCAAGCCAGCTGCAGAAATTTGCATAAGCAGTGAGGAGCCTACTGTTAATCCCCAAGACCATGGGGAAAATGTCTTTAGGCCATGTCAGAGACCTTCACAGCAGCCCCTCCCATCACAGGTCTGGAGGCCCAGGAGGAAAAAGTAGTTTCCTGGGCTGGACAGAGGATCCCTGTGCTGTGTGCAGCCTAGGGACTTTGACAGAACAGGAGCATCACCATCTTGGACAAACACCACCATTCTAAAGTTCCCCTTAATCAAAAACCACCTAAATCCACAGGGCATCAGCCTAAAGGCTAAGGCCAGCATGACCATAAACCATAAATGACATCTCTGACCAGAAACATTTCAACCATAAGATAAACCCCTCCCCAGAGAGATGTCAGCCCCAAGACAACCTCCCCTCCTACCAGAGACATTCCAAACCCACAATAAACTTCTTCCCCACAAAGAAACATTCCAAGCCTATGATAAGCTCTCTCACCCTAAAATCAACAAATACGCTTAATCTGTAAGAGAGTGTGCTCCTGACCAAAATCAGCCAGAAGCCCCTCTCAGGTTTATTCTCCAAAATAAACCTGTCTTTGACTGGTGAGTCACTTTTCGTGTTTCTTTCCTCTTTCTTTAACTCTTACATTTGCTGCCAAAACTCAGGATGGGTGCTGGGGGTAGAGGTTCTCCTGCAACCCAAAAAGCAGTGGACAGCAGCTGCTCATCCTGCTGGATCCTGAGAGTCTCTGGCCACCCATCTTGTCTTGTCTCTCACTTCACTTTTCTAGCAATTTGTCTGAGGAGGACAACTAACCTGAAGGGGACTGTGAGGCTCAGGCTGGGGCAAATCTCCAGTGAACCCTCAAAGCCCTCAGGTCTTAGGAATCCACCTCTGGCTGCCCACAATGGGTATTTTGCTCTCTTCCCTCCTCCCTCATCCTCTTCTCTCTCTCTCTCTCTCTCTCTCTCTCTCTCTGTCTCTCTCTCCCTCTCTTCCTTGTGAAGCTCTAGTCCAAGGGGCCCTTTGCCAATTCCAATCAGAACATCCAACATCGGACACTAATCCAGCTGACTAGTAAGATCTGCCCTCTCCTGACTTTCTCACAGCACCTGGGAGAGTCAGGTCAGCTGTCCCGGTCCTCAGAGGACCAGTGGGACTAAGCTAGAAGAAATCTTGGAGATGCCCAGTTTCTTCGCAGCTTGATCATCCTCTTTATAAAGAGGATTCCAGGTTTCTGTCTTTTATCTGTGGATGCCTAGAACAAAAACAGACACCTTCAGCTTCCTCTTACCAGTCCACATGGGTGCCAAACAATCCCACTTTCCTAAGTCCTCTCCATTGGGCTGTCTCCTTCACAATGTTGCTAAGCTTGGCTTAAAGGAAGCATAAAGCCAAAGAGTATGCTTTTTTATTGCAACATGGCCTGGCCCCAATACAAATTAGATAATGACAGCTGGTAGCCTGAAAATGGCACCTTTGACTTTCAAATTCTCAGGGACCTTGACAACTTTATAACTAGGAACAGCAAATGGCAGGAGGTTCCCTATATTCAGGCTTTCTTTTACTTTAGATCCCAACCCTCCCTGTGTCAAACTTGCACCCCTCATGAAGTCTTTCTTCTTAATGATAACCTTCCCCAGGTCTCTCCTTTCTCTGAAACTCCTTCCTCCAAAACCCCTTTGACCCTGCAGATGAACCCCCTCCATATTCTTATCCCCCTGCATCTGCTCCTCAACCTATCTGAATCCTCCACTTCAGTGACGCCTCCTGCCCGCAAGCTTTCAGCTCCAAACCCTGCTCCTTCTCCTTCTCCATCTGTTACCCATTCAAAAACTGCTCCAACCAGTCAAACCACCCTGCCATTCTCCGTCTCCAGGAAGTGGCTGCGGTTGAAGGCATTGCTCCCATTCATGCCCTTTCTCCACATCTGATTTGTCGCAGATCAAACAGTGCCTGGGATCTTTCTCTGAAAATCCCCCTGACTAGTGCAGGGAATTCCTGCACATAACCCAATCCTTTAATTTAACATGGCATATTTATATAATTCTAACCTCCACCCTCACCCCTGATGAAAAACAGCTCTCAATTTAATTAAAATGAATATTCAAGCTATGAGTATATTCAAAAGGCCTTTATGTTTTTCTCTTCATAAATCTTGTTTTCCTGGAAAAGGTTTTTTTCCCCAGTCAACTGAATTACTTTTCTCCACTCTGTCTTACCACTCTTGGTGCATATATGAAAAATCCCAAAATGACTTCTGGTGGCCTGGGACTCCTTGGGAAAACAGAAAAGCTGCCACAAATCCCGTTTTGGGAAAAAATCTGTTTTCCTTATGGAACCCCTGGAATTAAAGATGAATAAGTACCTCTCAAAATCTGTCTTTGTCTTCCAGCTATGCTTGTTTATTAGGCCCTGGAAACTGTTTTCATAGCCCTGTTCTTAAAGGGTCTCACCCAAAGGCCAGTGATCCAATTGGGAAAGGGGCAAAAAAAAAAAAAATTCTAATTACTGGATCTTCTTCTGGTTGTCTGTGTGGCTATGTATGTGTTATGTGTGCAATGCCTATTTAAAAAGCTCTAATTAATTGACCTAAGAAAAATAAGCACTTAAATCAAATATTTTTAACAGAAAAGTAAAAGCTGTGGGACCTTTCAGTTCATGTGACTTTAATCTTTAAAACTTACTAGTACAGTAAGATTAGAAATGTCTTAAAAGTTTCCAGCATACATTTTTGTTTGCATTTATTAATCAAGCAATTTCATAGTTATCTCTGCCAAATACTATAAGATGTGAAAATTTTGCATAGAGGCCACAAAACTATAACTCAGCCCAAACAGAATAATCTTTGCTTCTGTAATTTTTTAATCAATGAAACATTAATATTGGTTTAATAAAGATAGCTACATCTTGAACTATTTAGTGAAATACCCTAACTTCTAATCTTGATATTAAAGAAAAAAGAATTTATGGCCAGGCACAGTGGCTCACGCTTGTAATCCCAGCACTTTGGGAGGCCGAGGCAGGTGGATCACGAGGTCAGGAGATTGAGACCATCCTGGCTAACATGGTGAAACCCCGTCTCTACTAAAAATACAAAAAATTAGCCAGGTGTGGTGGCAGGTGCCCATAGTCCCAGCTACTCGGGAGGCTGAGGCAGGAGAATGGCATGAACCCAGGAGGCAGAGATTGCAGTGAGCTGAGATCGCGCCACTGCACTCCAGCCTGGGTGACAGAGCAAGACTCTGTCTCAAAAAAAAAAAAAGAAAAGGAAAATTTATATAAAAAAGAATCTTATATGGTAAATTCTTGTCCTAAAGTAAATTAACTGGTTGTTTAAGGAGAGGGATGTTTACAAGTCAGAAAGTCAAGGCATGTCAGAGATTGTCTGTGTAAGTCATGAAAAATTTTATAAAAGGGAGAGTATGGACAAGATGGATGAATAGGAACAGCTCTAGTCTGCAGCTCCCAGTGAGATCAGAGCAGAAGTCAGGTGATTTCTGCATTTCCAACTGAGGTACATGGCTCATCTCACTGGGACTGGTTGGACAGTGGGTGCAGCCCATGGAGGGTAAGCCAAAGCAGGATGGGGCGTTGCCTCTTCTGGGAAGCACAAGGGGTCAGGGAACTCCCACCCCTAGCCAAGGGAAGCCATGAGGGACTGGGCCATGAGGAATGGTACATTCTGGCCCAGATACTATGCTATTCCCATGGTCTTTGCAACCTTCAGACCAAGAAATTCCTTCGGGTGCCTACACCACCATGGCCCTGGATTTCAAGCACAAAACCAGGCAGCCATTTGGGCAGACATTGAGCTAGCTGCAGGAGTTTTTTTCATACCCCAGTGGCACCTGGAACCCAGCAAGATAGAACCATTCACTTCCCTGGAAAGGGGGCTGAAGCCAGGGAGCCAAGGGGTCTAGCTCAGCAGATCCCACCCCCCATGGAGCCCAGCAAGCTAAGATCCACTGCCTTGAAATTCTCTCTGCCAGCACAGCAGTCTAAAGTTGACCTGGGATGTGTGAGCTTGGTGGGGGGAGGGGGGTCCACCACTACTCAGGTTTAAGTAGGTGGTTTTCCCCTCACAGTGTAAACAAAGCCTCTGGGAAATTGAACTTGGTGGAGCCCACTGCAGCTCAGCAAAGCTACCGTAGCTAGACTGCCTCTCTAGATTCCTCATCTCTGGGCAGGGCATCTCTGAAAGAAAGGCAGCAGCCCCAGTCAGGGCCTTATAGATAAAACTCCCTTCTCCCTGGGACAGAGCACATGGGGGAAAGGGGCAGCTGTGGCCACAGCTTCAGTGGACTTAAACTTTCCTGTCTGCCGACTCTGAAGAGAGCAGCAGATCTCCCAGCACAGCACTCGAGCTCTGCTAAAAGACACATTGCCTCCTCAAGTGGGTCCCTGACCCCCGTGCCTCCTGACTGGGAGACACCTCCTAGCAGGGGTCAACAGACACCTCATACAGGAGAGCTCTGGCTGGCGTCTGGTGGGTGCCTTTCTGGGATGAAGCTTCCAGAGGAAGGAGCAGGGAGCAACCTTTGCTGTTCTGCAGCCTCCACTAGTGATGCCCAGGCAAACAGGGTCTGGAGTGGACCTCCAGGAAACTCCACCAGATCTGCAGCAGAGGGGCCTGACTGTTAGAAGGAAAACTAACAAACAGAAAAGAGTAGCATCAACATCAACAAAAAGGATGTCCACACAAAAACTCCATCCAAAGGCAACCAACATCAAAGACCAAAGGTAGTTAAGTCCACAACAATGAGGAAAAACCAGCGCAAAAAGGCTGAAAATTCCAAAAACCAGAATGCCTCTTCTCCTCCAAAGGATTAGAGCTCCTCACCAGCAAGGGAACAAAACTGGACAGAGAATGAGTTTGATGAATTGACAGAAGTAGGCTTCAGAAGGTGGGTAATAACAAACTCCTCCGAGCTAAAGGAGCATTTTCTAACCCAATGCAAGGAAGCTAAGAACCTTGAAAAAAGGTTAGAGGAATTGCTAACTAGAATAACCAGTTTAAAGAAGAACACAAATGACCTGATGGAGCTGAAAAACACAGCATGAGAACTTCATGAAGCATACACAAGTATCAAAAGCCAAATCAGTCAAATGGAAGAAAGGATATGAGAGATTGAAGATCAACTTAATGAAATAAAGTGTGAAGACAAGAATAGAGAAAAAATAATGAAAAGAAATGAACAAAGCCTCCAAGAAATATTGGACTATGTGAAAAGACCAAACCTACATTTGATTTGTGTACCTGAATGTGACGGGGAGAATGGAACCAAGTTGGAAAACACTCTTCAGGATATTATCCAGGAGAATTTCCCCAACCTAGCAAGGCAGGCCAACATTCAAATTCAGGAAATACAGAGAACACCACAAAGATATTCCTCGAGAAGAGCAACCCCAGACACATAATTTTCAGATTCACCAAGGTTGAAATGAGGGGAAAATGTTAAGGGCAGCCAGAGAGAAAGGTTGGGTTACCCATAAAGGGAAGCCCATCAGACTAACAGCGAATCTGTCTGCAGAAACCCTACAAGCCAGAAGGGAATGGGGGCCAATATTCAACATTCTTAAAGAAAAGAATTTTCAACCCAGAATTTTATATCCAGCCAAACTAAGCTTCATAAGTGAAGGAGAAATAAAATCCTTTACAGACAAGCAAATGCTGAGAGATTTTGTCACCACCAGGCCTGCCTTACAAGAACTCCTGAAGGAAGCACTAAATATAAAAGGAAAAACCAGTACCAGCCACTGCAAAAACATATCAAATTGTAAAGACCATCAATACTATGAAGAAACTACATCAACTAATGGGCAAAATAACCAGCTAGCATTAATAATGGCAAGATCAAATTCACACATAACAATATTAATCTTAAATGTATATGGGCTAAATGCCTCATTTAAAAGACACAGACTGGCAAATTGGATAAAGAATCAAGACCCATCAGTGTGCTGTATTCAGGAGACAAATCTCACATGCAAAGACAAACATAGGCTCAAAATAAAGGGATGGAGGAATATTTACCAAGCAAATGGAAAGCAGAAAAAAAAGCAGTGGTTGCAATCCTAGTCTCTAATAAAATAGACTTTAAACTGACAAAGATCAAAAAAGACAAAGAAGGGCATTATATAGTGGTAAAGGGATCAATGCAACACGAAGAGCTAACTCTCCTAAATATATATGCACCCAATACAGGAGCACGCAGATTCATAAAGCAAGTTCTTAGAGATGTACAAAGAGACTTAGACTCCCACACAATAATAGTTGGAGTCTTTTACACCCCACTGTCAATATTAGATAGATCAATGAGACAGAAAATTAACAAAGAAATTCAGGACTTGAACTCAGCTCTGGACCAAGTGAACCTAATAGACATCCACAGAACTCTCCACCCCAAATCAACAGAATATGCATTCTTCTCAGCACTACATCACACTTATTCTAAAATTGACCACATAATTGGAAGTAAAACACTCCTCAGCAAATGGAAAAGAATGGAAATCATAGCAAACAGTCTCTCAGACCACAATGCAATCAAATTAGAACTCAGGATTAAGAAACTTACTCTAAACCACACAACTACATGGAAACTGAACAACCTGCTTCTGAATGACTACTGGGTAAACAACAAAATTAATGCAGAAATAAATAAGTTATTTGAAACCAATGAGAACAAAGACACAACCTACCAGAATCTGTGGGACACAGCTAAAGCAGTGTTTAGAGGAAAATTTATAGCACTAAATGCCCACAGGAGAAAGTAGGAAAGATCTAAAATCAACACCCTAACATCAAAATTAAAAGAACTAGAGAAGCATCTGGCCCCACCAAAGTGTTAAAGGCGCACCGGAAAGAGAACATAAACTCCGCGAGCTAGGCACCAAAACTATGTCCCTTACAAGCAGTAGGAGGAGAATTTGGGCCCATTCATGTGCATGCCCCCTTCTCACTCTCAGATTTAAAACGAATAAAGAGCAGAAAACAAATAAAGGCAGATTTAGGGAAATTCTCAGATAATCCTGATAACTATATATAGGTCCTGCAAGGATTGGGGAGTCCTTTGATCTAACATGGAGAGCTATCATGTTGCTTCTTGATCAGACATTAAGTCCTACTGGAAAAGAAGCAGCTTTAGCAGCAGCTCAGCAATTTGGGGATCTGTGGTACCTTAGCCAGGTAAACGATCGAATGGCCCAGGAGGAGAGGGAAAAATTCCCCACAGGGCAAGAGGCAGTCCCCACTGTAGACCCTCATTGGGATACTGACTCAGATCATGGAGATTGGAGCCACAGGCATTTGCTAACTTGCATTTTAGAAGGGTTGAGGAAGACTAGGAAAAAGCCTATGAACTATTTAATGCTATCCACAATTACACAGGGAAGAGAGGAAAACCCCTCAGCTTTTCTAGAAAGGCTAAGGGAGTCCCTAAGAAAGCACACCTCCCCAACTCCAGATTCTGTAGAAGGCCAACTTATTTTAAAGGATAAATTTATCACCCAATCATGGCTGACTTTAGGAGAAAACTCCAAAAGTCTGCTTTAGGCCCAGAACAAAATTTGGAGACGTTATTAAACCTGGCAACCTCGGTGTTCTATAACAGGGACCAAGAGGAACAGGCCAAAAGGGAAAAGTGAGATAAGAGAAAGGCTGCAGCCTTAGTCATGGCCCTCAGACAGGCAGACCTTGGTGGCTCAGAGGGAACCAAGAGAGGAGCAGGCCAATTGCCTAGAAGGGCTTGTTATCAGTGCGGTTTACAATGACACTTTAAGAAAGATTGTCCAACCAAAAACAAACCGCCCCCTCGCCCATGTCCAATATGCCAAGGCAATCACTGGAAGGCACACTGCCCCAAAGGATGAAGGCCCTCTAGGCCAGAAGCACCCAACCAGATGATTCAGCAATAGGACTGAGGGTGACTGGGGCAAGTGCCAGCTCATGCCATCACCCTCACAGAGCCCTGGGTAAGTTTGACCATTGAAGGCCAGGAAGTGGACTTCCTCCTGGACACTGGTGCGGACTTCTCAGTTTTAATCTCCTGCCCTGGACGACTGTCCTCAAAGTCCGTTACTATCCGAGGAATCTTAGGACAGCCTATAACCAGGTATTTCTCTTGCCTTCTCAGCTGCAACTGGGAGACTTTGCTCTTTTCACGTGCATTTCTTGTTGTGCCTGAAAGTCCCACACCTTTATTAGGGAGGGACACATTAGCCAAAGCTGGGGCCATTATCCATCCCAGTCCTAAACACCACCAAATCAGTCCCATAATCCCCAATTTACCAGCCACACAGGCCTCAAATCTCACATGCATAAACTTCAGCATGGCTCTCAATAAGAACACCTCCCAATGTCAGTCCTGGATATCAATAACCTCAGGTTTCACCTGTCTAACTTCAGGCATTTTTTTCAACTGGGATAACACAGCCTATCAATGCCTAAACGGCATTCGGAAAGAACTATGCTTTCTCTCCTTTCTAGCACCTCCTATGTCCATATATACTGAACAAGAGTTACAAAGTCTCCTTATACCCCAATCTCGCCACACATGAGCCCTTATTGTAGGAGCCGGAATACTGGGTGGGCTTGGGACTGAAATTGGAGGCATAACCTCCTCCACCCAATTCTATTATAAATTATTACAAAAATTAAAGGATGACATGGAACTAGTTGCCAACTCCCTAGTGACCCTACAAAGCCAGCTTAATTCTCTAGCTGCAGTAGTCCTTCAAAACCAGAGAGCCCTAGACTTACTAACAGCTGAAAGGGGAGAAACCTGCCTCTTCTTAGGAGAAAAATGTTGCTATTTCATTAACCAGTCAGGAATCATTACTAAAAAGTCAAAGAACTAAGAAAATGAATAGAAAGTAGAAAAAAAGGAGCTTGAACACTCAGGGCCCTGGAATATGTTTAACCAATGGATACCTTGGCTCCTCCGCTTTCTAGGCCCTGCGACAGCCATCCTACTATTATTCGCTTTTGGGCCTTGCATTTTTAACCTCCTTGTCAAATTTGTTTCCTCCAGAATCAAGGCCATCAAGCTACCAATGGTCTTATAAATGGAACCTCAAATGAGTTCAACTCACGGCTTCTACCGAGGACCTGTATCGACCCACTGGTCCCTCACTAGCCTAAAAAGTTCCCCTCTGGAGGACACCACAACTGCAGGGCCCCTTCTTGGCCCTTAATCAGCAGGAAGTAGCCAGAACCACCACCGCCCAGTTCCCAACAGCAGTTGGGGCGTCCTGTCTAGAGGGGGAGCTGAGAGGAGGTGCCCACTGGGCTTCCTGGGTTGAGTAGGGGCTCAGAAAGCTGTGAAACTCACTCATTTCCTGCATCAGGACTTACTTTGGTCCTGGATGAATAATATTGAAGATATATGCTTAAAATATTCCTAACATCAGAATTTGCACACGTGTTTTTTTCCCCAAGAAAGCTATAAACAGCAAAAATTTTGCTGTGAGCTTCCCTGTGTCCTCTCTCCCTCTCTCCCCTCTTCCTCCCCTGAAACTAAAAGGAATGTTAAAAGCCCATTTTTCTGTGACCAGCAGACCTTAGCTATGCCCCCAATTCCAATTCCTTGTAAACACAATTTGTAAAATCCTGTGAGATCCTGTCTCCTTTGCCATGCCACTGCAAGGTTATAAAGTCGATAAAACTTAAGTTACAATTCCGGTTTTTCTCAAGATCCGAGACATGTTAATTGTCTTTGTTTCTCGCTCTGGTAACATCTTCCCTCTGCATGTATTTCTCACCTTAAAGACTCTAAGAGGTGATCAAAAAATCTAACACTGGCTACCCGCTCGGGACTCCTTCCATGCTGTAGAAGCTTTGTACTGTCACTCTGCTTAATAAAGCCTATAGCTTTTTTTCTCTCAGTCCAATCCTTGTCTCTCTCTCACCACGAGCTGCCGCCACACCAAATCTTTGGCGTGGCTAAGGCAAGAACCTTTGGCATTACAAATCTAGGAGCTGGTTTTTTGAAAAGATTAACAAAATAGATAGATGGCTAGCCAGACTAATAAAGAAGAAAAGAGAGAAGAATCAAATAGACACAATAAAAAATGATAAAGGGGATATCACCACCGATCCCACAGAAATGCAAACTACCATCAGAGAATACTATAAACACCTCTGTGCAAATAAACTAGAAAATCTAGAAGAAATGGGTAAATTCCTGGACACATATGCCCTCTGAAGACTAAACCAGGAAGAAGTTGAATCCCTGAATAGACCAATAACAAGTTCTGAAATTGAGGCAGTAATTAATAGCCTACCAACCACTAAAAGCCCAGGACTAGACAGATTCACAGCTGAATTCTACCAGAGGTACAAAGAGGAGTTGGTACCATTTCTTCTAAAAGTATTCCAAACAATAGAAAAAGAAGGAATCCTCCCTAACTCATTTTATGAGGTCAGCATCATCCTGATACCAAAACCTGACAGAGACACAACAAAAAAAGAAAATTTCAGGCCAATATCCCAGATGAACATCGATGCTAAAATCCTCAATAAAATACTGGCAAACAGAATCCAGCAGCACATCAAAAAGCTTATCCACCACGATCTTGTCAGCTTCATCCCTCAGATGCAAGGCTAGTTCAATAAACACAAATCAATAATCATAATTCATCACATAAACAGAACCAATGACAAAAAACACATGATTATCTCCATAAATGCAGAAAAGGTCTTCAATAAAATTCAACACCCCTTCATGCTAAAAACTCTCAATAAACTAGGACTGATAAAACATATCTCAAAATAATAAGAGCTATTTATCACAAACCCACAGCCAATATCATACTGAATGGGCAAAAACTGGAAGAATTCCCTTTGAAAACCAGCACAAGAAAAAGATGCCCTGTCTCACTACTCCTATTCAACATAGTATTGGAAGTCTGGCCAGGACAATCAGGCAAGAAAAAGAAATAAAGCATATTCAAATAGGAAGAGAGGAAGTCAAACTCTCTCTGTTTGCAGATGACATGATTGTATATTTAGAAAACCCCATGGTCTCAACCCTAAATCTCCTTAAGCTGATAAACAATTTCAGCAAAGTCTCAGGATACAAAATCAATGTGCAAAGATCACAAACATTCCTATACACTAATAATAGACAAACAGAGAGCCAAATCATATGAACTCCCATTCACAATCACTACAACAAGAATAAAATACCTAAGAATACAACTTACAAGGGATGTGAAGGACCTCTTCAATGAGAACTACAAACCACTGCTCAAGGAAATGAGAGGACACAAACAAATGGAAAAACATTCCATGCTCATGGATAGGAAGATTCAATATCATAAAAATAGCCATACTGCCCAAAGTAATTCATAGATTCAATGCTATCCCCATCAAGCTACCATTGACTTTCCTCATAGAATTAGAAAAAACTACTTTAAATTTCATATTGAACCAAAAGAGAGCCCATATAGCTAAGACAATCCTAAGCAAAAAGAACAAAGCTGGAGGCATCACACTACCTGACTTCAAACTACACTATAAAGGTACAGTAATGAAAACAGCATTGTACTGGTGACAAAACAGATATATAGACAAATGAAACAGAACAGATGCCTCAGAAATAACGTTACACATCTACATCCATCTGATCTTTGACCAACCTGATAAAACAAGCAATGGGGAAATGATTCCCTCTTTAATAACTGGTGTTGGGAAAACTGGCTAGCCATATGCAGAAACCTGAATCTGCACTCCTTCCTTACACCTTATGCAAAAATTAACTCAAGATGGATTAAAGACTTAAATATAAAACCTAAAACCATAAAAACCCTAGAAGAAAACCTAGGCAATACCATTCAGGACATAGGCATGGGCAAAGACTTCATGACTAAAACACCAAAAGCAATGGCAACAAAAGCGAAAATTGACAAATGAGATCTAATTAAACTAAAGAGCTTCTGCACAGCAAGAGAAATTATTGTCAGAGTAACAGGCAACCTACAGAATGGGAGAAAATTTTTGCAATCTATCCGTCTGACAAAGGGTTGATATACAGACTCTACAAGGAACTGAAACAAATGTACAAGAAAAAAAAACCCATCAAAAAATGGGCGAAAGATATGAACAGACACTTCTCAAAAGAAGACATTTATGTAGCCAACAAATGTATGAAAAAAAAGCTCAGCACTGGGCATTAGAGAAATGCAAATCAAAACCACAATGAGATACCATCTCATGCTGGTTAGAATGGCAATCATTAAAAAGCCAGGAAACAACAGATGCTGGAGAGGATGTGGAGAAATAGGAGCGCTTTTACACTGTTGGTGGGAGCATAAATTAGTTCAACCATTGTGGAGGACAGTGTGGCGATTCCTCAAGGATCTAGAACCAGAAATACCATTTGACCCAGCAATCCCATTACTGGGTATATACCCAAAGGATTATAAATCATTCTACTATAAAGACACATGCACTCGTATGTTTATTGCAGCATTATTCACAATAGCAAAGACCTGGAACCAACCCAAATGCCCATCAATGATAGATTGGATAAAGAAAATGTGGCACATATACACCATGGAATACTATGCAGCCATAAAAAATGAAGAGTTCATGTCCTTTGTAGGGACATGGATGAAGCTGGAAACCATCATTCTCAGCAAACTAACACAAGAACAGAAAACCAAACACCACATGTTCTCACTCATAGTGGAAGCTGAACAATGAAAACACATGGACACAGGGAGGGGAACATCACACACCAGGGCCTGTCAGGGGGTGGGGGCATAGGGGAGGGATAGCATTAGTAGAAGTACCTAATGTAGGTGATGGGTTGATGGGTGCAGCAAACCACCATGGCACATGTATACCTATGTAACAAAACTCCACATTCTGCACATGTATCCCAGAACTTAAAGTATAATAAAATAAATAAATATATAATAAATAAATAAATAAATAAAAAGCAAGACTCAATGATCTGTTGCCTATAAGAAACATGTTTCACCCATACAGATACACATAGGCCGAAAATAAAGGGATGGAAAAAGATATTCTATGCTAATGGAAACCAAAAAAGAGCAGGAGTAGCTATACTTGTGTCAGACAAAATAGATTACAAGACAAAACTTTTGGCCAGGTGCAGTGGCTCATGTTTATAATTCCAGAACTTTCAGAGGCCTAGATGGGCAGATTGCTTGAGCCCAGGAGTTTGAGACCAGCCTGGGCAACATGGCAAAACCTCATCTCTATTTAAAATAGAAAAACCACTCAGGTATGGTGGTGCATGCCTGTAGTCCCAGCTAGTCAGGAGGCTGAGGTGGGAGGATCACTTGAGCCTGAGAAACAGAGGTTTCAGTGAGCCAAGATCACACCGGTGCACTCCAGCCTGGGTGAAAGAGCAAGACCCTGTCTCAAAAAAAATTAACTTTTTGTTGTTTTTATTCATCTTATTGTACTGACTATGTCTTGAAAAGTTGGTTTTTACTATATTTGTTTATCATTTAATCTTTCTATTTAAGATAAGAGTAGTTTACACGGCACAGTTACAGTGCTATACTATTCTGTGTTTTTCTGTGTACTTTCTATTGCCAATGAGATTTGTACCTTCAGATTATTTTTTCTCATTCATTAATGTCTTTATTTCTGATTGAAGTACTGCCTTTCACATCTCTTGTAGGACTGGTCTGGCGTTTATGAAATCCCTGTTTCTGTATGTCTCGGAAAGTCTTATTTCTCCTTCATGTTTGAAGGATTTTTCACCTGATATACTATTCTAGGGTGGGTGTTTTTTTCCTTCAGCACTTTAAATATGTCATGCCAGCTCTCTCCTGGCCTGTAAGGTTGAAATGTCTGCTGCCACACTTATTGGGATTCCATTGCATATTATTTTTTTCTTTTCTTTTGCTGCTTTTGGGAGCTTTTCTTTAACCTTGAGCTTTGGAAATTTGATTATTACGTGCCTTGAAGTAGTCTTCTTTAGGTTAAATCTGCTTTGTGTTCTATAACCTTCTTGTAATTGGATATTGATTTCTTTCTCTGGGTTTGGGATGTTCTCTGTTATTATCCCTTTGAATAAACTTTTTACCCCTATCTCTTTCTCTAGCTCCTCTTTGTCCAATTTCCACTCTGTGCCTTTTAAGTGGAACATTTAGACCATTTACATTCAACGTTAATATTTATATGTGAGGTTTTTAATCCTGTTGTGATGTTGTTAGCTGGTTTCTTTGTAGTCCCGATTTGTGTAGTTGCTTTATAAGGTCTGTGAACTATGTATAATACTTAAGTGTGCTTTTGTGGTAGCAGGCATCATTCTTTCATTTCCATATTTAAAACTCTCTTAGGATATCTCGTAATGCTAGTCTAGTGGTAAAAAATAAGGTCCTTTAACAATTGCTTGCCTGGAAAATATTTTATTTCTTCTTTGTTTATGAAGCTTAGTTTGGGAAGACATCAAATTCCTGGTTGGACTTCCTTTTATTTGAGAATACTGAAAATAAGTACTCAATCTCTTCTCATTTGTAAGGTTTCTGCTGAGAAGTCCATTGTTAGCCTAATGGGGTTCCCTTGTAAGTGATCTGACATTTTTCTCTAGGTGTCGTTTAACATTTTTTCTTTAGTATTGACTTTGGATACTCTGGTGACTATGTGCCTTGGTGACATTTGTCTTGTATAGTATCTTGCAGGTGTTCTCCAGGTTTATTGTGTTTGGATGTCTACCTCTCTAACAAGATTAGGAAAACATTTTTGAATTATTCCTTCAAATAAGTTTTCCAGCTGTTTACTTTTTCTTCTTCTCTCAGGAATTCCAATCTTTTGTAGATTTGGTTGCTTAACATAATCCTATGTTTCTAAAAAATTTTACTCATTTTTAAACAATTCTTTATTTCTGTGTGACTGAGTTAGTTAGAAATATTGGTCTTCATGCTCTGAAATTCTTCCTTGTGCTTGATCTAGTCTGTTGATAGAGATTTCAATAGTATTTTGAAATTCTGTAAGTGAGTTTTTCAATTTCTGAAGATCTGATAAGTTTTAAAAAGATGCTTATCTCTTCCTTCATTTTCTGGATTGCTTTAGTAGTTTCCTTGCGTCGATTTTCAGCCTTGTCTTGGATCTCGTTGAGCTGCCTTGCAATCCATGCTTTGAATTCTCTGTCATTTCTGAGCTTCCTTTTTTGTTAGGGTCCATTGGTGGAGAGCTAGTGTAATCTTTTGGTGGTGTCACAACATTCAGATTTTTCATGGTGCTGGAATTCTTACACTGTTTCCTTCTTATCTGGAGAGGCTAGCACTTCTAATTTTTGTAATTAATTTAATGTGGAAAGAATTTTTTTTCTTTGCCTTTCTCCCCCACCCCATCTCTAGCAGGGTATAGCTACAGAGTATGTTGAGTAGGGCCTTCTGGCTTTGCTTCTGTAACCCTATGCACTTCTGTTGGCAGGTTTTACACTGGGCTGTGATATTTGATCTACAGGCCAGTAGATGGCGCTTAAGGGTAATTGTCAGCTGCGGCACAAGCAGAGGAGTATGTAACTGATCTTTGTTTACTGTGAAGTTCTCTCTATTGTCTCAGGAGGTGGGCTGGGCAGTGGAGAGCCCCCTACCCTAAGCTTTCCTGTTCTTGGAGGGTAGCTGGAGCCCCTAGCTTGCCTAAGAAGGCCCCAGTAGTGAGTGCAGGCACCAGCCCTGATGACAGTGGGTGGGTGGCTCCCGGTGAAATGCGCTGAGGTGTCTTTGGGGTGAGGAGGTTAGGGGGCTGTACTGGCTCCCCATCCTACATAGGCAGGAACATGATCTGTTTGCCTATCACACCCCTGTTCTGGGCGGGGTTGGTGACTCCTAGTTCAGACACACATAGCCAATCTCTGGACCCCTACGTGGTTGAGAGCCACAGGAAACTGTTTTGTGAGTCTCCGTGGGAGTGGTTTGGGGGCAAAACTTTGTAACTCAGCCCAATAGAGATAGCTTTGTGGCTCCTCTGTTTTCTGATGTGGTAGCACTGCTGCTTCATGTGAAGGGTGGGGCGGGGAGAGCTCCACCCCAAACCCTTACATGGTTGGTTATGGTGGTGTCCGCTGATTGGGTCCACCTGACCTCGGCCCCGGTGGAAGTTATCGGGTGGCAGCAGAGTTGGAATGGGATAGGTAGTTCCCCGTTTCCAGGACCCCAGACGGCCTGCTGGGACAGTGTATATGAGTCCGGAATGGGCTGGACCAGGGTCAGGCTAGCCCAGACTTCAGGTACGGGCTGTGATGACGAGGAGTGGGCTAGTCTCCCGGGTCGGTCACCGCTGAACTCTCAGGTGAGGGCAGGCAGAGCACTTGGGCGGTGGAATCCCAAGGAAGATCAAAAGCTTGGGGGGTTGGGTTTTCAGAAGGGCTCTGGGCTGCAGCTGAAAATGTTTACATGGGGCAGGGTGGCTGTGCTGTGGGTCTTTCACCGGGGAGGGCAGGACCCCTCAGCTGGGGCAGTGGGGACGGGGCACTCTTGCACTTCCCTCCCACGCAAGCAATGCTGGATTTCACTGCTGCGGGCACACAAAGGTGCAAAGCCTCCTCTTCCCACGCTGGCCTGGGGGTGGTAGGGATGGAGCCAAAAAGCTTGTTGCTGGCCTCAGGGAATTGGGCTCTCAAAGGAACCGAGCCATGGCCATAATTTCAGGAAGGGGCAGGAAGGCCGTTGTGGGCCGGAAGCCAGCGAGCCCGATTTGGCAGGGGACAGCAGACGCGGGGAGTCCTCGGTTACACAGTCTCCTCCTTCTTATCTCAGCTGAGACATCAGTGCTGAAGGCACAGGAAGGTGTCCAGCCTCCTTGTTCCCTCCCAGACCCGGGGGCAACAGGGGTGGAGGGGGAGGCAAAGGCAACAGAGATCGAAAAGGGCCTGTCAGCTACCTCAATGAGTCCTGCACGCAGAGGAACACCAAGTCTCCACCGCGGTGTTCGGGCAGGAATGGGGCGGGTGCACTGGGTGCCAGAAGGTGGTGAGCCTCATAGTGTATGCAGAGAGTTGCCCGGTGTGTGCAGTCTGTCCATTGTTCCTCCGTATCTTGGCTGTGACATCCATGCTGGAGGTACACACAAATGTGTCCAGTCTTCTTGTTCCCTCCTTGGCCTGAGGGCAGCAAAAGCGGAGGCAGCGGCAGTGGCGACTGTGGAGGGCTTGTCAGTTACCTCTGGGGAACTTGATCCCCATTACAAGCCATTACGAGCCACAGTGTTCAGGCGGGGTCAGGGCAGCTGTGCTAGGAGCCCAGGCCTGGGACCCTGTCTGGTGAGGAGCAGTGGGGATGGAGATGTTGTGCAGTGTGCAGTTTGGCCTCTCCTCAGCACCACAGCTGCACCACAACCTAGGGTTGTGCAGAAGAGGCTGGTCCCACTTGTTGGCAGGGCTGCATGGGGATCAAAGGCCCAGGGGTTCCACGTGGGCTTGAGTGTGCCTCTGCATAGACCCTCTGTAGGTCTGGAGGCCTACACAGTGGGGTGGGGGTTGGTCAAGGGACTCTCCCATACCCTGAATTGCAAAGACCTAAGTGTAGATTCCCCAGGGACTCTTTCTCTGCCTTAGGGAGCTTCTCCCTGCTCCAGCTCTGCCTCTCTCTCTGTTCTCTGTGGGTCCCATCACTTCCTTGAAGAAAATCCTAGCATGATCTCAGCCTATTCACTTGTAGAGTTAGTATTTACTCACTACTTTGTGTTCCTCTCTGAGAGAGAGGCAGGCACTAGCTGCTTCTACTCAGTCATCTTGAACCGGAACCTGATACTCTTCTTTTTTTTCTTTTGAGGCAGGGTCTTGCTCTGTAACCCAGGCTGGAGTGCAGTGGTGTGACCTCAGCTCACTGCAGCCTCAACTTCCCAGGCTCAAATGATCTTCCCACCCCAGCCTCCTGAGTAGCTGAGACTACAGGCACACATCACCATCCCCAGCTAATTTTTGTATTTGTTGTAGAGACAAGGTCTCCCTACGTTGCCCAGGCTGGGCTCATGTTTCCCAGGCTGGGCTGCAACTCCTGGGCTCAAGCGATTCACCCACCTCAGCCTCCCAAGTTGCTGGGATTACAGGGAGGGGCCGATACTCTTTTTCTGATAAATGACTCAGTCTTTTTGTGTGGCTGCCAATGGAATCTGTTTTTACATTCCGACAAGTATATTTTGGGTTATGTCCCAGTGTTGACTACTCAGTGTTAAGCTTCTCAGACACACGGTAGGCCTCTATGATATATAGATTCAGGTGCTCTTTTAGTTTGAACACATTTTATTCCATTATCATTCTAAATATTTGCTCCATTCTACTGCTTTATTTTACTCTTTGACAGGTTCCAATTATATATACACTGAAAATCCATTGACTATCTTCTCGTTAATCTGTTTTTTTCATTTCTTAAAAAATAGTCTTTTATTTTTTAGAGCAATCTTAGATTCCCAGCAAAATTGAGGGGAAGTACAGAGTTCCAGTACACACCCCACCCAGCACATGCAGACTCTACCCCCAACCCTCTGCTTCTTAATCAACATCTTTACCAGAGTGGTACATTTGTTACAATTGATGAACCTACATCGACATATCATTATCACCCAAAGCCCATACTTTACATTAGGTTTCTCTCTCAGTGTTGTACCTTCTATGGATTTGGACAGATTATTTTTTAAATTTCATTTCAATAGCTTGTTGGGGAACTATTGTGGTTTTTGTTTACATAGATAAGTTCTTTAGTGGTCATTTCTGAGTTATTGGTGCAGCTGTCATCCGGGCAGTGTTCACTGTACCCAATGTGGAGCCTTTTATCCCTCACCACCCCTATTCTTCCCCCTAAGTCCCCAAATTCCATTGTAACATTCTTGTGCCTTTGTGTCCTAATAGCTTAGTTCCCACTTATAAGTGAGAACGTATGATATTTGGTTTTTCATTCTTGAATTATTGCACTTAGAATAATGGTCTCCAACTCCATCCAGGTTGCTGCAAAGGCCATTATTTTGTTCCTTTTTCTGGCTGAGTCATATTCCATGGTATGTGTATTTTATTTATATATATATATATATATATACACACACACACACATACACACACATATATATATGTGTATATATATGCCAACATCTACTTTTTTTACTTTTAAATTATGGCCATTCTTGCAGGAATAAGAATGGTAAGGTGGTATCACATTGTGGTTTTGATTTGCATTTCCCTGGTCATTAGTGATGTTGAGCATTTTTTTCATATGTTTGTTGGCCATTGTATATCTTCTTTTGAGAATTGCCTATTTATGCCCTTTGCCCACTTTTTGATGGGATATATATATATATATATATACACACACACACACATACACACACATATATACATATATATGCATATATATGTGTATATATACTTATATATACATGTATATATATACATATAAAGAAAATGTGGTATATATATATATATATATATACCACATTTTCTTTATTCACTTGTTGGTTGATGGGCATTTAGGCTGGTTCCATATTTTTGCAACTTCAGGTTCTCCTGCTAGAAACATGTGTGTGCAAGTGTCTTTTTCATATAATGATTTATTTTCCTCTGGACAGATATTAGGTAGTGGGATTGCTGGATCAAATGGTAGATCTACTTTTAGTTTTTTAGGGAATCTCCATACTGTTTTCCATAGTGGTTGTACTAGTTTATATTCCCACTGGAAATGTAAAAGTGTTCCCTTTTCACCACATCCATGCCAACATCTATTTTTTTTTATTTTTAAATTATGGCCATTCTTGCAGGAATAAGAATGGTAAGGTGGTATCACAGTGTGGTTTTGATTTGTATCTCCCTGATCATTAGTGATGTTGAGCATTTTTTCATGTTTGTTGTCCATTATATATCTTCTTTTGAGAATTGTTTGTTTATGTTCTTTGCCCACTTTTTGATTGGATTATTTTTTTTTTTGCTAATTTTTTTGAGTTCCTTGTAGATTCTGCATATTAGTCCTTTGTTGGATGCATAGTTTGCAAATGTTTTCTCCAACTCTGGGTTGTCTGTTTACTCTGATTATTATTTCTTTTGCTGTGCAGAAGCCTTTTACTTTAAGTCCCAACTATTTTTTATTTTGTTGCATTTGCTTTTGGGTTCTTGGTCATAAATTATTTGCCTAAGCCAATGTATAGAAGAGTTTTTCTGATATTATCTTCTAGAATTTTTATGGTTTCAGGTCCTAGATTTAGGTCTTTGATCCATCTTTAGTTGATTTTTATATAAGGTGAGAGATGAGGATCCAGTTTCCTTCTTCTACATGTGGCTTGCCAATTATCGCGGCACCATCTCTTGAATAGGGTGTCCTTTCCCTACTTCGTGTTTTGTTTGCTTTGTCAAAGCTGGGTTGGCTGTAAGTATCTGGGTTCTCTATTCTGTTCCATTGGTCTATGTTCCTATTTTTATACCAGTATAGTTTGAAGTCGGGTAATGTGTTGCCTCCAGATTTGTTCTTCTTGCTTAGTCTTGCTTTGGCTATGCGTGCTCTTTTTTGATTTCATATGAATTTTAGGATTGTTTTTTCTAGTTCTGTGAAGGACAATGATGGTATTTTGATGAGAATTGCATTGAATCTGTAGATTGCTTTAGGCAACATAATCATTTTCATAATATTGAATGATACCCATCCATGAGCATGGAATGTGTTTCCGTTTGTTTGCATCATCGATGATTACTTTCAGCAGTGTTTTATAGTTTTCCTTGTAGAGATCTTTCACCTCTTTGGTTAGGTATATTCCTAAGTACTTAACTTTTTTTTTTTTTTTGCAACTGTTTTAAAGGGGGTTGAGTTCTTGATTTGATTCTCAGCTTGGTGTGCAGCAGTGCTACAGATTTACATACATTGACTTTGTATCCTGAAACTTTACTGAATTCATTTATAAGATCTAGGAGCTTCTAAATGAGTCTTTAGGGTTTTCTAGGTATACAATCATATCATCAGTAAACAGTGACAGTTTGATTTCCTCTTTACAGATTTGGATGCCCTTTATTTCTTTCTCTTGTTTTTCTGTTTCCCCTTATTTGTCCTCTTGTCATAGATTTTGAGTACTATGTTGAATAGAAATGGAGACAATAGGCATCATTGTTTTGTTCCAGTTCTCAGGAGGAATGCTTTCAACTTCATCCAAGCCTTCCATAAAATCCTTGTATAAGCACTGGTAATAGGATAGGGAAGTTTCAGTCCTGCTAACTCCTGTTCCTACTCCTACTCTACCTCATATTGGGTTGGCAGTCTTTACAAGCACGTCAGCCTTTGAATTGGTGCCCTGGAAGTTTTCTCTCTAATCCAATGGCACGATCTCCAAAGTTATCAGAAACTTGCATTTAAGAGTTCTTTTCATGAACCCCTCCAAAGAAGTAATTCTTGAACTGTAGCTGATTATAACTCACTTTTTTTTTTGAGAAGGATCAAAGCCAAACATCAATTGTGGATGACAAAAGTCTTAAGACAGACATAAAGACACAGTTGACCAGGAAATTAGGTTATTTATTATTTTAACATAATAATCATACATTACTGACAACATATATTAAGACACATTAGAATTTTAGGAATTTCATATAATCCTGGAACACATATTAACGACACATTTATATAAATATAACCCAAAGGAAGCTTAACACCACCTCAGATTTGACAATGCTTCCGGTATAATTCTTTTTTTTTTTTTTTTTTTTTTGAGACAGAGTTTCACTCTTGTTGCCCAGGCTGGAGTGCAATGGCACGTTCTCAGCTCACTGCAACCTCTGCCTCCTGAGTTCAAACAATCCTCCTGTCTCAGCCTCCTGAGTAGCTGGGATTACAGGCATGTGCCACCACACTGGCTAATCTTGTATTTTTACTAGAGATGGGGTTTCTCCATATTTGTCAGGCTGGTCTCGAACTCCCAACCTCAGGTGATCTGCCCGCCTTGGCCTCCCAAAGTGCTCGGATTACTGGTGTGAGCCACTGTGCCCAGCCACTTCCTGTATAATTCTAACATTACAAATAAGCCTAATAAGCCCAGCATGTCTCTCTTGAAGTTCAGGGAATCCATTTCCCAATAAGTTCCTTATTTCCATTTGAGAACTCCTCAGCCTGGAGTTCATTGTCCATATCACTATCTGCATTTCAGTCAAAACCATTTAACCAATATCTAAGAGCCTCCAAATTTTCCCTCATCTTCTTGTCTTCTTCTGAACCCTCAAAGCTCTTCCAATACCTGCCTGTTACCCAGTTCCAAACCTGCTTCCACACAAAAACTCACTATCACAAGGACAGTACCAACAGGGATGGTGCTGTCATTCATGAGAAATCTGCTCCCATGATCCAATCACCAGCAACCAGGCCCTACCTCCAACATTGGGGATTACATTTCATGAGATTTGGGTAGGGACATATGTCCAAACTATATTAACCACATATATCTGTTTCTCCAGGATTGGTCCCTGGTGACTTATTTAGTTGTTTGGTGTGGTCATGTTTTCCTGGATGATCTTGATGCTTGTGGATGTTCATCAGTGTCTGGGAATTGAAGAGAGGTATTTATTGTAGTCTTCATAGTTTGGGCTTATTTGTTCCCATTCTTGTTAAGCATTTCCAGGTATTCAAAGGGACTTGGGCCCCAAGCCCAACAATGCTGTGGCTTTTGTAGACTTGTAGAGGTACCACCTTGGTGGTCTTGGATAAGGTCTGGAAAAAGTCTGTAGATTACCAAGCAGAGACTCTTGTCCTTTTCCCTTACTTTCTCTTAAATAAATGGAGTCTTTCTGTCTGTGGTGAGCCACCTGGAACTGGGGGTGTGGTGATACAAGCACCCCTGAGGCCACCACCACTGAGACTGTGCTGGATCATACCTGCAGCCAGCATAGCACTGGGTCTTGCCCAATGCCCACAATAACTACAATCTGGCTACCATCTATGATCACTCAAGGCTCTAAGACTATACAATCAGCGGGTGGCAATGGCAGCCAGGTTTGTATCCTTTCCTTCAGGGCAGCAAGTTTCCCCAGGCAGGTCCAGAGATGCTGTCTGTGAGTCAGGAATTGGAGGCAAAAACCAATAAATAATAAACATCAGAGAAGAAATAAATAAAATTGAGACTTTAAAAAAAAAGAAATAAAAAAGATAACAAAAGGAACAGTTGGTTTATTTATTTATTTATTTATTTATTCATTTATTTTTGAGATGGAGTCTCGCTCTGTCACCCAGGCTGGAGTGCAGTGGCGCGATCTCGGCTCACTGCAAGCTCTACCTCCTGGGTTCACACCATTCTCCTGCCTCAGCCTCCTGAGAAGCTGGGACTACAGGCACCCGCCACCACGCCTTGCTAATTTTTTGTATTTTTAGTAGAGATGGCGTTTTACTGTGTTAGCCAGGATGGTCTCGATCTCCTGACCTTGTGATCCACCCACCTCGGCCTTCCAAAGTGCTGGGATTAGAGGCGTGAGCCACCGTGCCAGGCCTGTTTTTTTTTTTTTTTTTTGAAAAGATACATAAAGCCAGGCACAGTGGCTCATGCCCAGCACTTTGGGAGGCCAAGATGGGAGGATTGCTTGAGCCCAGGAATTCAACATATGCAAATCAATAAACATGATACATCATGTCAACAGGATCAAAGACAAAAACCATGTGATCATTTCAAGAGATGCTGAAAAGGCATTCAATAAAATTCAACATTCCTTCATGATAAAAACTCTCAACAAATTGGGATAGAAGAAACATACCTAGACATAATAAAGGCTATATGTGACAAACCTACAGTTAATATGATAATATTACATTTCCAGCAGGAGTGTAAAAGTATTTCCTTTTCACCACATGCATGCCAACATCTGTTAATTTTTTATTTTTAATTATGGCCATTCTTGCAGGTGTAAGGTCATCTTGTTGTGGTCTTAATTTGCATTTCCCTGTCCATTAGTGATGTTGAGCATATTTTCATATGTTTGTTGGCCATTCGTATATCCTCTTTTGAGAATTGTCTATTCATATCCTTTGTCCACTTTTTGATGGGATTCTTTGTTTTTTTCTTGCTGATTTGTTTGAGTTCCTTGTAGATTCAGGATATTAGTCTTGTCAGATGCATAGTTTGAAAATATTTTCTCCCACTCTGTGGGTTGTCTGTTTACTCTGCTGATTATTTCTTTTGCTGTGCAGGAGGTTTTAGTTTAATTAGGTCTGATCTATTTATTTTTGTTTTTGTTGCATTTGCTTTTGTGTTCTTGGTTATAAACTCTTTGCCTAAGCCAATGTCCAGAAGTGTTTTTCTGGTGTTATCATCTAGAATTTTAATGGTTTCAGGTCTTAGATTTAAGTCTTTAATTCATTTCCTTTTCCCTAGAGACAATCAAGCTTTCGATGATCATGTGATGAGGTTTCCAGTCAGTTCCAGGTGAAGACACCACTGGCCATCAAGAAGCTACCCTCTCCCCACCAGACAGAGCAGGATGAGAGTTCTATAATCCTCAATAGGTAGGGACGGTGCTCCAAGTCAGCATGAAGCAGTTACAGAAGAAAGACCCTCAGTCCCCCTGCCTCCCATAAAGATTTATGGGGATCACATCTCTCAGAGGGGAAATGCACAGGAGAACTGGGCCTGGAGGCAGAGAACCTAACCCCACCTCTCCACACCCAAGTAGTAAAGGGATCAGAGGCTACTTTCTTTGTAACTCTCCCCATCTTTTCTGCATTGCAGATGAAAAATGAAAGTACCTCTGATTGGCCAAGTCTTCATGTATAACTTTGTAACTTTACTTCAGACTCTGATTGGTCACCTTCCACAACCATTCAGACTGGTTATGGGCCATTATTTCATTTACATAGGGTGTAAAGCAAATAACCAATGGGAAACCTCTTGAGGGTATTTAAACTCCAGAAAATTCTGTAACCCCTGCTCTTGAGCCACTTGCTTCAGCCCACTCCCATTCTGTGGAGTGTAGTTTCATTTAAATAAATCTGTGCTTTTCTTTCATTGCTTTGTGCATTTTGTCCAATTATTTGTTCAAAACACCAAGAACCTGGACACCCTCCACTGGTAACATCATCAGTAATAATTATGATTATTATTTTAAATTGCATGCCACAGAAATAACCAAATTTCCTTGTCAACTGTGTCTTTGACTACGGCTATCCTAAGACTTTTTTCATCCACAAATGTTGTCTTGCTGTGATCCTTCCAAAAAACGTTACTAATAATCAGCTACAGTCCAAGTCTTGTTTCTTTGGAGGAGTTCATTAAAAGGACTCTTGAATGCAGGTTTCTGATAACTTTGCAGATTGTACCATTAGATCAGAGAGAAAACTTTCACTGCACTTATTGAAAGGCTGATATGTTCATAAAGATTGCTAATGCAATATGAAGCAGAGTGAGAGTTGATTGCATTGACAGAACTAATGGAGGACTGAAATAATTTTTATGGCTTTTTTTGTTTGAAATATTGCTGATTCTTTTTGTTTTGTTTTTTGGAGTCTGAAGAATTGTTTTCTTTTGAGCTATTTATAAACTTGAAACATATTTTAAGTGTATTAAGTAAATATACGTTTGTAAACAGAATTTGAGTCATATTTTTCTCTCTGCCTAATTTCTCCAGAATTTGTAAACTATTTGTAAATATTCTTAATTCACAGCAATGTATTTGATTGCATATGGTTCATAACAACATGTTTTTGATGCAGGATATTTTCTTGATGCCTTTGTGGGACTTGTGACTGGAGTGCCTTGTATACTCAGTCCACTGTGCTCAACCCCTTGCAGGAGGAAGCACTCAATTGAACAAGTGCAGGAACCAGCTGGCTGCCTCAGCACTGACAGAAGCAAATTCCATTTGCTTGGACCCACTGCATTCCATCCCTTGTGGAAGAGAGCATGTAAGCAAGTGAGTGCAGGAACTGGCTGGCTGCTTTGGTGCTGGCAGGAGCAAACACCATGAAGGCCCCATGGCAGAGTCCAGGTAGGGGTGCCTGCAACCCCAAGGCCCCAGAGGGAATGTTACAGTGCTCTCTTAGCTCCACCTTTCACAGATAGCACTGTGTTATCAGCTCAGTGGGCCCTTTGACTCATCAATGGGGCTGCTGCCCTCTGCCAGTGAGAGCAAAGGGCCAGTGTGACAGCCCTTTTGGGTACCTGCACTTGGTGGGTCCCCAATTTTTGTCCAGTGCCAAAGAAGAATGAGGTTGGCCAGGCGTGGTGGCTCATGCCTGTAATCCCAGAACTTTGGGAGGGCAAGGTGGGTGGATCACAAGGTGAGGAGTTCAAGAGCAGCCTGGCCAACATGGTGAAACCCCGTCTCTACTAAAAAAAAAAAATACAAAAAATAGCCGGGCATGGTGGCACACACCTGTAATCCCAGCTGCTCAGGAGGCTGAGGCAGAAGAGTTGCTTGAACCCAGGAGGTGGGGGTTGAAGTGAGCCGAGATCGCGCCACTGTACTCCAGCCTGGTGACAGAGCAAGACTCCATCTGAGTAAAAAAAAAAAAGCAAGAATGAGGTCAGGTCACACAGATGAAGGATGGTGAAGGTGGAGTTTACTGAGTGATGAAAGTGGCTCTCAGTAGAGAGAAGAGCTGGCAAGGTGGCAAAGGGATGGGAAGGGCAGGTTTCTCTCTCCTGAAGTCAAGTCACCACTCTGCCTCTCTCCTCCAAAGTCAAGTTGCCTCTCTGTGACATCCAGCCATCATCTATGTAGTCAATTCATCTTTCCCCAATGTCCAGCCACTTCTTCTCCCTCCTGGTTGAGGGAGGGAGGTTGAGGTCTTTATAGGCACAGGATGGGTATGGGCAGGCCATAGGTAGTTTTGGAAAAGGCGACATTCCATTGGTAAAGATATTATTCAGAAAGAACCAATCAGGAGAGAGTAGGCAAACAGGAATAGAAGTTCTCACTTTGGGCAGTGGGTTTAAGGATATTTCTGGCTTGAAGGTGGGATTTCCACTGGGGACCCTCCCCTGTCTGCTTAGAGTTTCTCTGCTTCCAAAGATTGTGTTTCAGAAGAAAAGTCTATATTAGATTAACGTCTGATTCTTGGGCAGCCACGTGGTCACCCATGGTATGGAGCTGCCTATGACACCCCTCCTCAGCATGAAGCAGCCAGAAAGATTGATGACCAGATTCCTCATGTCTGAGGAATTGATAAATAGAAAGTGGGGGCTGAAACTGACCCAATAGTCTCATAGACTGATCTTTTTGATAAACATAGAAATTGACCCTTCTGGTCTTAAAGCTTGAAACTTATATTTGTTTTATCTGCATTCCTTCCTCAGGACAGGACCTTCAGGCCTCTGAAAAAAAAAGGATCAAAGAACTGAAACTCACCAGATCACCTCACCAGATGCTGGACCCCTCATTCACCATGTTTGCTTCCTTGCCTCTCCCTAGTTCTTATTTTCTTACACATTGTTACATTTCTTCCCTGCTATATCAACCCCTAGTTCTAGTCAGTCATGGAGATGGATTTGAGACTGATCTCCCATCCCCTCAGCTACACCACCTGATTAAAGCCTTCTTCCTTGGCAATAATCATTGTCTCAGTCATTGGCTTTCTGTGCAGGGAGCAGCAGGACCTAGACTAAACCCCTGGTGTTTTGGTAACAAAATAAGGCCAGGCACAGAAAGACAAACATCACATGTTCACACTTATTTGTGGGATCTAAATACCAGAACAATTGAACTCATAGAGATAGAGAGTAGAAGGATTATTACCAGAGGCTGGGAAGTGTGGTTGAAGGAGTTGGTGGGCAGTGGGGATGTAGAATGTGTCCAAAAAAAGGAATAGAATGAAGAAGTCCTAGTATTTGATAGCACAACAGGGTGACTATAGTCAATAATCATTTAACTGTACATTTTAAAATAACTTAAAAGGTGTAATTGGGTTGTTTGTAACACAAATGATAAATGCTTGAAGGAATTGCTACTCCATTTTCCATGATGTGATTATTGTGCATTGCATGCCTGTATCAAAATGCCTCATGTACCTCATAAATATATATACCTACTATGTACCCACAAAAATTTTTTAAGAAAATATACCACTGCTTTTCCATTTGTCAAGTGAAAAACTTCTGGGTTATTTCCAGGTTTTGACTATTATGAATAGAGCTATTAAGAATAATAAAATACCATGGCCAGCATACTGAATGGGGAAAAGTTGAAAGCATTCCTCCTGAGAACTGGAACAAGGCAATGATGCCCTTTCACTGTTTTTTTTTTTTGTTTGTTTGTTTGTTTGCAGCTATTGTACAAGGGGTTGATTTCTTGATTTGATTCTCCCCTTGGTCGCTGCTGATGTATAGAAGAGCTATTAATTTGTGTACATTAATGTTGTATCTGAAAACTTTGCTGAATTATCAGTTCTAGGAGCTTTCTGGAGGAGTCTTTAGGGTTTCCCAGGTAAATGATCATATCATCAGCAAACAGGGACATTTGAGTCCCTCTTTATTGATTCGGATGTCCTTTATTTATTTCTCTTGTCTGATTGCTCTGGCTAGGACTTCCAGTACTATGTTGAGGAGTGGTGAGAGTGGGCATCTTTGTTTTGTTTCAGTTCTCAGAGGGAATGCTTTCAACTTTTCCCCACTCGGTATTATGTTGGCTGTGACTTTGTCATAGATGGCTTTTAATATATTGAGGTATATCTCTTATATGCCAATTTTGCTGAGAGTTTTAATAGTAAAGTGATGCTGGATTTTGTCAAATGCTTTTTCTGCATCTATTGAGATGATCACATGGTTTTTGTTTTTAATTTTGTTTATGTGATGTATCACTTTTTTTTTTTTAGACAGAGTTTTGCTCTTGTTGCCCAGGCTGGAGTGCAATGGCCCAATCTTGGCTCACCGCAACCTCTGCCTCCTGGGTTCAAGCGATTCTCCTGCCTCAGCCTCCCGAGTAGCTGGGATTACAGGCATGTACCACCATGCCTGGCTAATTTTGTAATTTTTTTCTAGTAGAGATGAGGTTTCTCCATGTTGGTCAGGCTGGTCTCGAACTCTCAACCTCAGGTGATCCACCCACCTCGGCCTCCCAAAGTGCTGGGATTACAGGGGTGAGCCATCGCACCCAGCTGTGTCACATTTATTGACTTGCATATATTAAACCATCCCTGCATCCCTGGTATGAAACCCACTTGGTCATGGTGGATTATCTTTCTGATATGTTCTTGAATTTGGTTAGCTAGAATTTTGTTAAGGATTTTAGCATCTAATGTTCTTTATGGATATTGGTCTGTAGTTTTCTTTTTGATTATGTCCTTTCCTGGTTTTGGTATTAGGGAGATACTAGGTTCATAGAATGACTTAGGAAGGGTTCTCTCTTTCTCTGTCTTGTGGAATAGTGTCAAAAAGATTGTTACCAATTCTTCTTTGAATGTCTGGTAGAATTCTGCTGTGAATCCGTCTGGTCCTGGACCCTTTTTTTTGTTGGTAATTTTTAAATTACCATTTCAATCTTACTGCTTGTTATTGGTCTGTTCAGGACATCTAATTTTTCCTGATTTAAGCTAGGAGGGTTGTGTCTTTCCAGGAATTTATCCATCTCTTCTAGGTTTTCTAGTTTACGCATGCAAAGGTGTTCATAGTAGCCTTGAATGATCTTTCACATTTCTGTGGTGTCAGTTGTAATCTCTTCCGTTTCGTTTCTTACTGAGCTTATTTGGATTTTCTCTCTTCTTGGTTAATCTTGCTAATGGTATATCAATTTTATTTATCTTTTCAAAGAACTAGCTTTTTGTTTTATTTATCTTTTGTATTTTTTTGTTTTAATTTCATTTAGTTCTGCTCTGATCTTGGTTATTTCCTTCCTTTCTTCTGGGTTTGGGTTTGATTTGTTCTTGTTTCTCTTGTTCCTTGAGGTGTGACCTTAGATTGCCTGTGCTCTTTCAGATTTTTTGATGTAGGCATTTAGGACGATGAAATTTCCTCTTAGCATCACCTTTGCTGTGTCTCAGAGGTTTTGATAGGTTGTGTCACTATTGTCATTCAGTTCGAAGACTTTTTAAATTTTCATCTTGATTTCATTTTTGACCCAATGTTCATTCAAGAGCAGGTTATTTAATTTCCATGGTTTTGAAGGTTCCTTTTGAAGTTTATTTCCAGTTTTATTCCACTGTGGCCTGAGAGAGTGCTTGATATAATTTCAATTTTCTTAAATTTATTGAGGCTCATTTTGTGGCTATCATATGGTCTATCTTGGAGAAAGTTCCATGTGCTGTTGAATAGAATGTGTATTCTGCAGTTGTTGCATGGAATGTTCTGTATATATATGTTGAGTCCATTTGTTCCAGGGTGTAGTTTAAATCCATTGTTTCTTTGTTGGCTTTCTGTCTTAATGACCTGTCTAGTGCTGTCAGCGGAGTATTGAAGTTCCTCAGTGTTACTTTGTTGCTGTCTATCTCATTTCTTAGATCTATTAGTAATTGTTTCATAAATTTGGGACCTCCAGTGTTAGGTGAATGTATGTCTAGTATTGTGATAGTTTCCTGTTGGACAAAGCCTTTTATCATTATATAATGTCCCTCTTTGTGCTTTTTTTTATTATTATACTTTAAGTTCTGGGATACAAGTGCAGAATGTGAAGGTTTGTTACATAGGTATACACGTGCCATGGTGGTTTGCTGCACCCATCAACCCATCATCTACACTAGGTATTTCTCCTAATACATCCCTCCCCTAGCTCCCCACCCCCTAACAGGCCCCGTTGTGTGATGTTCCCCTCTCTGTGTCCATGTGTTCTCATTGTTCAACTCCCACTTATGAGTGAGAACATGTAATGTTTGGTTTTCTGTTCCTGTTAGTTTGCTGAGAATGATGGTTTCCAGCTTCATCCATATCCCTGCAAAGGACATGAACTCATCCTTTTTATGGCTGCACAGTATTCCATGGTGTACATGTGCCACATTTTCTTTATCCAGGCTATCATTGATGGCATTTGGGTTGGTTCTAGGTCTTTGCTATTGTGAACAGTGCTGCAATAAACATACGTGTGCATGTGTCTTTATGGTAGAATAATTTATAATGTTTTGGGTATATACCTAGTAATGGGATTGCTGGGTCAAATGGTATTTCTGGTTCTAGATCCTTGAGGAATTGCCACACCGTCTTCCACAATGGTTGAACTAATTTATGCTCCCACCAACGGTGTGAAAGCGTTCCTATTTCTCCACATCCTCTCCAGCATCTGTTGTTTCCTGACTTTTTAATGATCGCCATTCTAACTGGCATGAGGTGGTATCACATTGCGGTTTTGATTTGCATTTCTCTAATGACCCAGTGATGATGACCTTTTTTTCATATGTTTGTCAGCTGCATAAATGTCTTCTTTTGAGGAGTGCCTGTTTACATTCTTTGCCCACTTTTTGATGTGGTCGTTTGTTTTTTTCTTGCAAATTTGTTTAAGTTTTTTGTAGATTCTGGATATTAGCCCTTTGTCAGATGGATAGATTGCAAAAATTTTCTCCCATTCTGTAGGTTGCCTGTTCACTATGATGATAGTTTCTTTTGCTGTGCAGAAGCTCTTTAGTTTAATTAGATCTCATTTGTCAATTTTCGCTTTTGTTGCCATTGCTTTTGGTGATTTAGTCATGAAGTCTTTGCCCATGCCTGTGTCCTGAATGATATTGCCTAGGACTTCTTCCAGGGTTTTTATGGTTTTAGGTATTGGGTTTAAGTCTTTAATCCATCTTGAGTTACTTTTTGTATAAGGTGTAAGGAAGGGGTCCAGTTTCAGTTTTCTGCTTATGGCTAGCCAGTTTTCTCAACACCATTTATTAAAGAGGGAATCCTTTCCCCATTGCTTGTTTTTGTCAGATTTGTCAAAGATCAGATGGTTGTAGATGTGTGACATTATTTCTGAGGCCTCTGTTCTGTTCCATTGGTCTATATATCTGTTTTGGTAGCAGTACCATGCTGTTTTGCTTACTGTAGCAATTGTAGTATAGTTTGAAGTTGGGCAGCTTGATGCCTCCAGTTTTGTTCTTTTTGCTTAAGATTGTCTTGGCTATACGGGCTCTTTTTTGGTTCCATATGAAATTTAAAGTAGTTTTTTCTAATTCTGTGAAGAAAGTCAACAGTAGCTTGATGGGGATAGCATTGAAACTATAAATTACTTTGGGCAGGATGGCCGTTTTCATGATATTGATTCTTCCTATCCATGAGCATGGAATGTTTTTCCATTCATTTGTGTCCTCTCTTATTTCCTTGAGCAGTGGTTTGTAGTTCTCCTTGAAGAGGTCCTTCACATCCCTTGTAAGTTATATCCCTAGGTATTTTATTCTCTTTGTAGCAGTTGTGATTGGAAGTTCACTCATGATTTTGCTCTCTGTTTGCCTGTTGTCAGTGTGTAGAAATGCTTGTGATTTCTGCATATTGATTTTGTGTCCTGAGACTTTGCTGAATTTGCTTTTCAGCTTAGGGATATTTTGGGCTGAGACAATGGGTTTTTTGAAATATACAATTATGTCATCTGCAAACAGAAACAGTTTGACTCCCTCTCTTCCTATTTGAATACGCTTTATTTCTTTTGCATGATTGCCCTGGCCGGAACTTCCAACACTATGTTGAATAGGGGTGGTGAGAGAGCATCCTTGTCTTGTGCTGGTTTTCAAAGGGAATGCTTCCAGCTTTTGCCCATTCAGTATGACATTGGCTGTGGGTTTGTCATAAATAACTCTTATTATTTTGAGATATGTTCCATCAATACCTAGTTTATTGAGAGTTTTTAGCATGAAGGGGTGTTGGGTTTTAACGAAGGCTTTTTCTGCATCTCTTGAGATAATCATGTGGTTTTTGTCATTGATTCTGTTTATGTGATGGATTACGATTATTGATTTGTGTATGTTGAACCAGCCTTGCATCCCAGGTATAAAGCTGACTTGATCGTGGTGGTTAAGCTTTTTGATGTGCTGCTGGATTTGGTTTGCCAGTATCTTATTGAGGATTTTAGCCTCAATGTTCATCAGGGATATTGGCCTGACATTTTCTTTTTTTGTTGTGTCTCTGCCGGGTTTTGGTATCAGGATGATGCTGGCCTCATAAAATGAGTTAAGGAGGATTCCTTCTTTCTGTTTTGTTTGTAATAGTTTCAGAAGTAATGGCACCAGCTCCTCTTTGTACCTCTGGTGGAATTCGGCTGTAAATCCGTCTGGTCCTGGGCTTTTTTTTTTTTATTGGTAGACTATTAATTACTGCCTCAATTTCAGTACTTGTTATTGGTCTATTCAGGGATTTGACTTCTTCTTGGTTTAATCTTGGGAGGGTGTATGTGTCCAGGAATTTATCCATTTCTTCTAGATTTTTGAGTTTATTTGCATAGAGGTGTTTATAGTATTCTCAGATGGTAATTTGTATTTCTGTGGGATCAGTGGTGATATCCCCTTTATCATTTTTTATTGTGTTTTGATTCTTCTCTCTTTTCTTCTTTATTAGTCTGGCTAGCCATCTATCTATTTTGTTAATTTTTTCAAAAAACCAGCACCTGGAATAATTGACTTTTTGAAGGGTTTTTTTATGTCTCTATCTCCCTCAGTTTTACTCTGCTCTTAGTTATTTCTTGTCTTCTGCTAGCTTTTGAATTTGTTTGCTCTCACTTCTCTAAATTTCTACTCTGATCTTAGTTCTTTTAATTGTGATGTTAGGGTGTCTATTTCATATCTTTCCCGCTTCCTCCTGTGAGCATTTAGTGCTATAAATTTCCCTCTAAACACTGTTTTAGCTGTGTCCCAGAGATTCTGGTACATTGTGTCTTTGTTCTCATTGGTTTCAAAGGACTTCTTGATCTCTGCCTTAATTTTGTTATTTACCCAGTAGTCATTCAGGAGCAGGTTGTTCACTGTCCTTGTAGTTATGCGGTTTTGAATGAGTTTCTTAATCCTGAGTTCTAGTTTGATTGCACTGTGTTGTGAGAGACTAATTGTTATGATTTTCATTCTTTTGCATTTGCTGAGGAGTGTTTTACTTCCAAATATGTGGTCAGTTTTGGAATAAGTGTGATGTGGTGTTGAGAAGAATGTATATTCTGCTGGTTTGGGGTGGAGATTTCTGTAGATGTCTATTAGGTTCTCTTGGTTCAGAGGTGAGTTCAAGTCCTGAATATTCTCGTAATTTTCTGTCTCATTGATCTGTCTAACAGTGACAGTGGGGTGTTAAAGTTTCCCACTATTATTCTGTGGGAGTCTAAGTTTCTTTGTAGGTTTCTAAGAACTTGCTTTATGAATCTGGGTGCTCCTGTATTGGGTGCATATATATTTAGGAGAGTTAGCTCTTCTTGTTGCATTGATCCCTTTACCATTATGTAATGCCCCTCTTTGTCCTTTTTGATTTTTGTTGGTTTAAAGTCTGTTTTATCAGAGACTAGGATTGCAACCCCTGCTCTTTTTTTTTTTTTTTTTTTGCTTTCCATTTTCTTGGTAAATATTCCTCCATCCCTTTATTTTGAACCTATGTGTGTCTTTGCACGAGAGATGGGTCTCTTGAATATAGCACACCAATGGGTCTTGACTCTATCCAATTTGCCAGCCTGTGTCTTTTAATTGGGGTATTTAGCCCATATACATTTAAGGTTAATATTGTTAGCTGTGAATTTGATCCTGTCATTATGATGCTAGCTGGTTATTTTGCCCATTAGTTGATGCAGTTTCTTCAGAGTGTCGATGGACTTTATAATTTGATATGTTTTTGCAGTAACTGGTACTGGTTGTTCCTTTCCATATTTAGTGCTTCCTTCAGGAGCTCTTGTAAGGCAGGCCTGGTGGTGATAAAATCTCTCAGCATTTGCTTGTCTGTAAAGGATTTTATTTCTCCTTTGCTTATGAAACTTAGTTTGGCTGAATATGAAATTCTGGGTTGAAAATTCTTTGCTTTAAGAATGTTGAATATTGGCGCCCACTCTCTTCTGACTTGTAGGATTTCTGCAGAGAGATTCACTGTTAGTCTGATGGGCTTCCCTTTGTGGGTAACCCGACCTTTCTCTCTGGCTGCCCTTAACATTTTTTTCTTCATTTCCACCTTGGGGGATCTGATAATTATGTGTCTTAGGGTTGCTCTTCTCAAGGAGCATCTTTGTGGTGTACTATTTCCTGAATTTGAATGTTGGCCTGTCTTGTTAGGTTGGGGAAGTCCTCCTGGATAATAACCTGAAGTGTGTTTTCCAACTTGGTTCCATTCTCCCTGTCAGTTTCAGGTACACCAATCAAATGTAGGTTTGGCCTTTTCACATCGTCCCATATTTCTTGGAGGCTTTGTTCATTCCTTTTTATTCTTTTTTCTCTAATCTTGTCTTCATGCTTTATTTCATTAAGTTGATCTTCAATCTCTCGTATCCTTTCTTCTGCTTGATCAGTTTGGCTATCAATATTTGTGTATGTTTCACAAAGTTCTCATGCTGTGTTTTTCAGCTACATCAGGTCATTTATGTTCTTCTCTACACTGGTTATTCTAGTTAGCAATTCCTCTAGCATTTTTTTCAAGGTTCTTAGCTTCCTTGAATTGGGTTGGAACATGCTCCTTTAGCTCGGAGGAGTTTGTTATTACCCACCTTCTGAAGCCTGCTTGTGTCTATTTGTCAAACTCATTCTCCGTTCAGTTTTGTTTCCTTGCTGGCGAGTACTTGTGATCCTTTGAAGGAGAAGAGGAATTCCGGTTTTGGGAATTTTCAGCCTTTTTGCGCTGATTTTTCCTCATCTTTGTGGATATATCTAGCTTTGGCCTTCCAGTGGGGTTTCTGTGTGGACGTCCTTTTTGTTGATGTTGATGCTTTTCCTTTCTGTTTGTTAGTTTTCCTTCTAACAGTCAGGCCCCTCTGCTGCAGGTCTGCTGGAGTTTGCTGGAGGTCCACTCTAGACCCTGTTTCCCTGGGTATCACCAGCGGAGGCTGCAGAACAGCAAAGATTGCTGCCCGTTCCTTCCTCTGGAAGCTTTGTCCCAGAGGGGCACCTGCCAGATTCCAGCTGGAGCTCTCCTGTATGAAGTATCTGACAACCCCTGCTGGGAGGTGTCTCCCAGTTAGGAGGCATGGTGGGGAGGGTGGTCAGGGACCCACTTGAGGAGGCAGTCTGTCCCTTGGAAGAACTTGAGTGCTTTGCTGGGAGATCTGCTGCTCTTTTCAGAGCTGGCAGGCAGGAACGTTTAAGTCTGTTGAAGCTGCCCACAGCTGCCCCTTCACCCAGGTGCTCTGTCCAAGGGAGATGGGAGTTTTATCTATAAGCCCCTGACTGGAGCTGCTGCCTTTCTTTCAGAGATGTCCTGCCCAGAGAGGAGGAATCTAGAGAGGCAGTCTGGCTACAGTGGCTTTGCTGAGCTGCAGTTGACTCTGCCCAGTTCGAGCTTCCAGGCAGCTTTGTTTACGCTGTGAGGGGAACACCACCTACCAAGCCTCAGTAATGGTGGATGCCCCTCCCCCCACCAAGCTGTAGCATCCCAGGTGGACTTCAGACTGCTGTGCTAGCAGCAAGAATTTTAAGGCAGTGGATCTTAGCTTGCTGGGCTCTGTGGGGGTGGGATCCGCTGAGCTAGACCACTTGGCTCCCTGGCTTCAGCCCCATTTCCAGGGGAGCGTATGGTTCTCTCTAGCTGGCATTTCAGGCACCACTGGGGTACGAAAAAAATTCCTGCAGCTAGCTCAATGTCTGCCCAAACGGCCGCCCAGTTTTGTGCTTGAAATCCAGGGCCCTGGTGGCATAGGCCCCCAAGGGAATCTTTTGATCTGCGGGTTGTGAAGACCTTGGGAAAAGTGTAGTATCAGGGCCAGAGTGCACCATTCCTCACGACACAATCCCTCACGGCTTCCTTGGCTAGGGGAGGGAGTTCCTCAACCCCTTGTACTTCCCCGGTGAGGCAACACCCCACCCTGCTTCTGCTTGCCCTCCATGGGCTGCACACATTGTCTAACCAGTCCCAGTGAGATGAGCCAGGTACATCCTTTGGAAATGCAGAAAACACCCGCCTTCTGCATTGAACTCCCTGGGAGCTGCAGACCAGAGCTGTTCCTGTTCGGCCATCTTGCCAGCCACCCCCATGTTTGTCTTTTTTAACTGCTGTTGCTTTAAAGTTTGTTTTGTCTGATATAAGAATAGCTATTCCTGCTCACTTTTGGTGTCCGTTCATGTGAAATGTCTTTTTCCATCTTTTTACCTTAAGTTTTTGTGAGTCCTTATGTGCTAGGTGAGTCTCCCAAAGGCAGCAGATGGTTGGTTGGTGAGTTCTTATCTATCCTTCAGTTCTGTATCTTTTAAGGGGAGCATTTAGGCTATTTACATTCAATGTTAGCATGGAGATGTGAGGTATCATTCCATTCATCGTGCTATTTGTTGCCTGTATACCTTTGTTTTTTGTTTTTTGCTTTTTAAATTGATTGTTTTATAGGTCCTGTGAGATTTATACTTTAAAGAGGTTCTCTTTTGATGTGTTTCTAGGATTTGTTTCAAGATTTAAAGCTCTTTTTTTGCAGTTCTTGTGGTGGTGGCTTGGTAGTGGTGAATTCTCTCAGCATTGGTCTGAAAAAGACTGTCTTTCCTTCATTGATGAAGCTTAGTTTCACTGGATACAAAATTCTTGGGTAATAATTGTTTTGTTCAAGGAAGTTGAAGATAGGGCCCCAATCCCTTCTAGCTTGTAGAGTTTCTGCTGAGAAATTTGCTGTTAATCTGATAGGTTTTCCTTTATAGTTACCTGGTGCTTTTGCCTCACAGTTCTTAAGTTTCTTTCCTTAGTCTTAACTTTAGATAACAATAACCTGATGACAGTGTCCCTAGGCAATGATCTTTCTGTGATGAATTTCCCAGGTGTTCTTTGTGCTTCTTGTATTTGGATGTCTAGGTCTCTAGCATGGTCAGGAAGTTTTTCTTGATTATTCCCCCAAATATGTTTTCTAAACTTTCAGATTTCTCTTTTTCCTCAGGAACACCAATTTTTCTTAGGTTTGGTCACTTAACATAATCCTAGACTTCTTGGAGGCTTTGTTCATATTTTCTTTTTTTGTCTTTGTTGGATTGGGTTAATTCAAAGACCTTGTATTCAAGCTCTGAATTTCTTTCTTCCGCTTGTTCAATTCTATTGTTGAGAGTTTCCAAAGCATTTTGCATTTCTAGAAGTGTTTCAGGAACATTGTTTCCTGAAGTTTTTATTGTTTTTTATTTACGTTATTTCCTTAAATATTTCTCCCTTCGCTTCTTGTATTATTTTCTGGATTTCCTTGCATTGGGCTTTGCCTTTTTCTGATGCCTCCCTGATTAGCTTAATAACTAACCTCCTGAATTCTTTTTCAGATACATCAGGTATTACTTCTTGGTTTGGGTCCATTGCTGGTGAGCCAGTGTGATTTTTTCAAGGTGTTAAAGAAACTCATTCTTAAATGAGAATAAAAAAGGAATTTATTAATCGCAAAAAGCAAATTGTAACTGCACAGTGGGGAAACCTGGCAGATGTCACTTTATCCAAATGATCAGAGTTAACATCATCAGGAATGGAACTAATCACTATCAAGTGCCTTCTAATACCATGAACTGAGAACCATAACATCCCTTCTATGGTATTCATGCCAAAAATGCATAACCTGCATCTAATCATGAGAACACATGGAATGACCCAAAATCATAGATACTCTGCAAAATAATAGGCCAATCCTCTTCAATAGTGTCAAAGATATGACAAACACTGATTAACATTTCCAGATTAAATAAGACTTAAAAGAAATGAAAGCTCAATACAATGCACGATCTTAGATCAAATCCTAGACCAGAATTATTTCTCATTTGCCATAAGACATTTGTGGCACAACTGATAAAATTCAATAAAGTCTGTAGATTAGATAATAGTATCAATGTTAATTTACTGATTTTGATGATGGTACTATAAATGTCCTTTTAGGAAATACCCACTGAAGTATTTAGAGGTAAATGGGAACCTGTCTGCTACTTATTTTCGAATATCTCAGGAAGAAAAATGGTAGAAGGAGGCACAGGGACAAGGCGAGAGAAGGCCATCAGGATCATCTGTGGTCAAAGGACTCTGGGCACACTGACATCCAATACCTAATTTTAAACTTTTGATTGTTTTATTATTATTTTGTTAGAGATAGGGTCTTACTCTATTGCCCAGGCTAGGATGCAGTGACATGATTATTGCTCACTACAACCTTGAACTCCTGGAATCAAGCGATCCTCTTGCCTCAGCCACTGGAGTATCTAGGACTGCAAGAGCACACCACCACACCCAGATAATTTTTCGTTGTTGTCTTCTGGAGAGGGGGTATCTATGTTGCCCAGGCTGGCCTCATATGATCCTCCCACCTCAGCCTCCTCCTGCTAATATTATAATTTAAGTATTTGCCTTTTGCTATGCTCAAAGTTTTACTTAGCCTTGTTGAAAGTAGGGCCAAGTGTTGACTGCTAATGTGTGAAACAAAAGATATGACTTCTTTCCATGCTTGGGATACAGAGGAGCATAGAGGAACAGAAGCTTAGAAAAGCCATTATGTCAAGCCAACTAGAAACTATCAGAGGCCTTGGTACAGCATTTTATTGCAAGAAGTGGCCGGAGACTACCAGGACAGATCTGTGGAACATGGAAGCATTCCTGGAATTCTCAGAAATCTCAATAGAAAGAAGCTAGGTTTAAAAAACAAAAACCTTTGTCTATTTACACATAATAAGAGCTCAGACAATATTAGTGGGTACTAAAAATCTCAGTGACACTGATACCTGGAGAATTTAGATACATTCCAATTTCAAATAAATAAATTTTTCTGCTATAAAGTAGAATAAATTAAACAAATATCTTGACCCTCCCTCCATTGCCCCTTGTGTCCAATCTAGAAGTAAGAGAAAGAGGAAACATAGGTGCTGTGGGGTTGTTGGTCATATAGATTCCCCAAAAAACAAGGAGAACCTCATCCTGGTGTTCAGAACCAAATCACATACATTGTAAATGTGATCAATGCCTTGAACAGGGAAATAGCTAAGAAGTACATTTTGGGGAATGAGGTATTTACAGCCTTATGCAAAAGAAAATAAAAGGCTGTAGGAGGGTGGGATGTGATAGATGTGGAGATGCACTCCCTAGATCCCCTTTTAATAAAGGACTTGCTGCCCAGATATGGAGAGGGCACTCAGCAAACAGCCTGCAAATGTCAGCTCCTTTGAAGTCTGCCTCAGCTGCAGAGCCACCTTGCCTGGGGTCACAATCCCTTCCCAGAAAGTTCACAACTGGCCCCTGAGCAAGGCTACATTCCTCCTCATGTGGGGATCCAGGCTGACAGAAGGTCCCTGTCTGAGACATTGTCAGTCTTGAGGCAGAAAGAAACAAGTGTATGGAGGATCTAAATGGTGGCTCTGAAAGCTCTTGTTCAGGGTAGCACACATCATTTCTACTCACATTTATATTTGGCCAAAACAAAGCACATGGCCCAGCTTGATTACAATGGAGTAGCAAGTGTAATCCTAAGAGTGTAAGAAAATGTTTTGGAAAGGAATACAGTCAGCCAGGCATGGTGGCCTCTGCCTATAGTCCCAGCTACTCAGAAGACTGAGTCAGGAGGATTGCTTGAGCCCAAGAGTTTAAGTCCAGCCTGGGCAACATGTCTCTTAAGAAAAAAAAAACCTATCAAAAATATTTGCTCACAAATATTCACTTTTATTCCTTTTATATACCTTTCCTTCCTTAGAGAAATAACAAAAATTCCATTCCAATGCAATGCCCCATCATAGACAAAATCCAGATCATGTGATGGTCTTTATATCAGGCCTGGGTATGACTCCTTTGGAGATATTTGAATTAAAAATACAAGTTATCACACATACACACACATTATACAACAGTGAAATAAATAGTAACAGAATAACATTTAATAATCCTCTCATTTGATAGGCCAGGAGTGATGGCTTATGCCTATAATCTCAGCACTTTGGGAGGCCAAGGCAGATGGATCCCTTGAGTATGGGAGGTTGAGACCAGCCTGGGCAACATGGTGAAACCTCATCTCTAAAAAAAAATTACAAAAAGTATCAGGCATGGTTGTGTATGCCTGTGATCGCAGCTACTCAGGAAGCTGAGGTGGGATGGCTATTGCACAATGGCAATCCAGCCTGGGCGACAGAGTGAGACCCTGTCTCAAAAAAAAAAAAATCACCTCTCATTTGGGAAGGGGAAGAATGGGAGGCACAGAATAGTCCCTGGTCCCTAGAAATTTTGAAATGCTGTTGGGCAGACACTCTGAGGCACTGTTACCCAGGGGTGGGGACTATTCCCTGTGGTTCTGATTCTAGTCAGTGGTTGCCCATGGTGTTTTCCTCCATTTCACTCTAGCCTTACTGAGGTATGATTGACAAATAAAATTGTATATATTCACAGTGTACAACATGATGTTTTGATACATTTATACATTGTGGAATGATTAAACTCAGCTAATTAATGTATCTGTCACCTCACATAGGTATGTTTTGTGATAAGAACAATTGAGTTCTACTCTCTTGGGAATTTTTAAATATACAATACATTGTTATTCCTTGTAGTTGCCATGCTGTACAATAGATCTCCAGAACTTATTCATTTTGTCTAACTGAAACTTTTTACCATTTGACCAACATTTCCCCATGTTCCGACCTCTGCCCACCATCCAGCCCCTGGCATTCTTTCTTTGCTTCTATGAATTCGACTTTTTTAGATTCCACATATAAGTGGAATCATGTAGTAGTTGTCCTTCTGTGGCTGGCTTATTTCACTTAGCATAATGTCCTCCAGGTTCATCCACCTTGTTGCAGATGACAGAATTTTCTTCTTTTCTAAGTCTGAATAGTATTCCCGTGTGTGTGTGTGTGTGTGTGTGTGTGTGTGTCTTACTTTCTTTAATCACACATGCATCAATGGACAGTTTTGGTTAATTCCATATCTTGGCAATTATTAATAATACTACAACAAACATGAGATTGTAGATACTTCATTGATCTACTGATTTCATATCTTTCAGACATATACCCAGAAATAGGATTGCTGCATCATATGATAGCTATGTTTATTTTTAATTTTTTTTAGAAATTAGATTTCACTCTGTTGCCCAGGCTAGAGTGCAGTGGTGGCATCCTAGATCACTGCAGCCTCAACCTCGTGAGCCCAAGTGATCCTCCCGCCTCAGCCTACAGAGCAGCTGGGAACACAGGCTCATGCCACCATGCCCAGGTAATTTTTAAAAATGTTTTGTAGAGATAAGGTCTTGTTGTGTTGCCCAGGCTGGTCTCAGATTCCTGGCTTCAAGTGGTCTCCCTGCCTTAGCTTCCGAAAGTGCTGGGATTACAGGTGTGAATCACTTAGCCTGGCATATTTTTAATTTTTTGAGGAACTGCCATATTGTTTTCTCTAATGGCTGCACTAATTTAAGTTCCCACCAACAGTGTGCAGATACTCCCTTTTCTCCACATCCTTGCCAACACTTATCTTTTGTCTTTTTAGTAATAGCTGCATGAGTATGAGATGAGATGATACCTCTTTGTACTTTTAATTAATATTTCCTTCATTATTAGTAATATTGAACACTTTTTCATATACCTATTGGCCATTGAAATGTCTTCTTTTGAGAAATGTCTACTCAGATACTTTGCTCATTTTTAAATTAAATTATTTGTTTCCTTGCTATTGAATTGTTTGAGTTCTTTTTATATTTTAGATACTAACCCCTTATTAGATGTATGGTTTGCAAATATTTTCTCTCCTTCTGTAGGTTGTCTCCATTCCTTTGATAATTTCCTTTGCTGTGCAAAAGCTTTTTGTTTTATGTCATTCATTTGTCTTTTTTTGCTTTTGTTGCCTGTACTTTTGGGGTCATATTCCAAACATTCATTGCCAAGACCAACATCAATAAATCACCCTTTGGGTTTTCTGCCAGTGGTTTTATAGTTTCAGCTTTTACATGTAAGTCCTTAATCAATTTCGGGTTTATTTTTATGTGGTATGAGATAAGGACCCAATTTCATTCTTCTGCATTGGATATCCAGTTTTCCCAACACTATTTATTGGAAAGAGTATCCTTTCACCATGTATGTTCAAGGTAACTTTCTCAAGGTTGCTTGGCCTATGAACGTATATATTTATCTCTGGGATCTCTATTCTGTTTCATTGGTCTATATGACTCTCTTTATGCCAGTACGATGCTGTTTTGATTACTATAGCTTTGTGCTACATTTTGAAATCAGGTAGTGTAAAGTCTCCTGCTTTGTTCTTCTTACTCAAGATTGCTTAGGCTATTTGGGATCTTTTGTGGTTCCATAGAAATTTTAAGACTGTTTTTCTATTTCTGTGGAAAATGTCCTTGGAATTTTGATAGAAATTGTAGTGAACCTGTAGTTCACTTTGGGTAGAATAAACATTTCAACAATATTAATTCTTCCAATCCATGAACATGGGATATCATTTCATTTATTAGTGTCGTCTTCAATTTCTTTCATCAATGTTTTATAATTTTTAATGTGCAGATCTTTCACTCCCTTTGTTCAACTTATTGCTAAGTATTTTTTTTGTAGCTATTGTAAATGGGATTGTTTTCTTGATTTCTTTTCTTTCCTTTTTTTTTTTGTGTTTTTTTTTTTTGTTTTGTTTTTTTGAGACAGAGTCTCATTTTGTTACCCAAGCTGGAGTGCAGTGGCTTGATCTTGACTCACTGCAACTTCCACCTCTTGGGTTCAAGTGATTCTCCCACCTCAACCTCCCGAGTAGGTGGGATTACAGGTGTCCACCACCATGCCCAGCAAATTTTTGTATTTTTAGTACAGACAGCATTTTACCATGTTGGCTAGGCTGGTCTCAAACTCCTGACCTCAAGTGATCCACCCTCCACAGCCTCCCAAAGTGCTGGGATTATAGGTGTGAGCCACCACGCCTGGCTGATTTCTATTTTGCATAGTTGTTATCGGACAGAAACACTGCTGATTTTTGCATTTCTAGTTTTGTACCTTGTAACTTTACCAAATGTGTTAATTAGTTCTAACAGTTCCTGTGGAGTTTTTAGGGTTTTCTTGTAGGGAGACCCCCTGAAACTATTGCTACAGAATAAAAGATGAAATGCTCCTGATTATTATAAATACAAAATTGCATGCAGGATTGTGTAAAGACAATGCAAGGTTGGGCTGCCTGAATGAGCCAACAGCACATGATGTGCTTCCTCCTGCAGAGAGCCTATAAACGGATGTGCAGTCAGGGAGGTTTCACATCACCAATATTCTTATCCCAGAAAAGCAGATGTTCACAGCTCTGGGAATGGAATGCGACCCTTGTGGAGAGCCTATAAATGGACGCATGAGGGGCGGCCATTCATATGTATAAAATAGGGTTTTAAATGCCCTTATCTTGCCATGGCTCTTCTAGGTCTCTTTAGGGTTAAGGCATACTCCCTTCTGAGAATTTGTGGTCTCACCGGTTGTCTAGTTTCACATCCTGTTTCCATCAATTGTTTGCAACCAGCTTTTGCTGCAACTGTTACTGCTGATTAATATCTTGCTAAACATAGGTTATGGATAGACTGTGTTTCTGTTTTAAGGCTCTGTTAAAAATCACTGACACACACACTGTATTGTAAATTCTTATCTCTGTATTCTGCACTTCTGCATACAGATGTTATGTTAAAGAATTACTTCATCCCCATGTGACCATCTCACCTCATAATCAAAGACCCTAAATCCCTCACTAACCTACCCCCACCCTCACTAAACTTAATAATAAATGCTGCTATATCCAGTGCATTCGTGGCATCACAAGACCAGAAGGCGGTGACCCCCCTGGACCCAGCTTTCACTATCTCGCATGTGTCTTTTATTTCTTGACCTGCCGATCCACCTGGGAACAAAGAAAGAGCCCCGTTGGATTGCAGGCTGCTGGTCAGATCCCACAATATTTTCCGTATATAATATCATGACATCTGCAAACACAGATAATTTTATTTTGTCCTTTCCAATTTGGGTGCCTTTTATTTCTTTTTCTTGCCTAATTGCTCTGGCTAAGAATTCAGTATCTCTTGAATAGAACCCATGGTTCCTGATTTCACTCTCAAGAGGGTGTCATTATCTTTTTCCACTTTTTTTTTTTTTTTTTTTTGAGATGGAGTCTCACTCTGTTGCCCTTCTTCCACTTTTAAAGTGGAAAGTTTCCCTTTTCTATTATTTTCTTCAACCACATTTAAAGCAGGAACTGGGGACTGTACCTTCCTTTAGAACTAACCAGCTTTCTCAACCTACTGCTTGCCCAAAGAATGTTGGAGTCCAAGGGTTGTGTTTAGTCTGAAAGCATCACAGTTTTTGCTTTCTGGATTTTAAAAATCTAGGTATGGCTCCTTGGCAATTTAACTTTCTCAAAAACTTCTTGTTGTTTTTCTAAATCTATACGGTCCCAGTTAACTCTGTGTGCTAATACAATTCAGTATTTTTGAGATGTGCTTCTCTCTTTAGATTTAATTATATTACCTTGAATTAGCAGGCTTTCATCAGAAAGCAATGCACTCAAGCTCTTTTCTCTGAGCAATTTTGTCTGAAAGGATTTATTGGCTGACATCTTAGTTGATTCAGAGGTTTCCACCATAGGTTTAATAGCTACTTATTAACTGCCTCTTTGCCAAAGACTGAGTTTGAATTTCTGTCTTTGTTACCCAAAGACATTCTCAGATTTTTTATTAGTTGAAGAAGAGAAATATTTGCAACTTCTTATTCTAAAAGTCCAAAAATGTGTAGACCATTTTCTTCCCTTCCTGCTTGCAAAGAGTTTAGTGCTTTTCCAAGCACATTTTTCCTCCCACCTTTTGTATTACCCTACCTAGTAGCGATCAAACTATATTACTAGCATCTGTTTCCTTACTTCTTCACTCAAATCCACAGGCTCATTTAATACATTATCTTCATTCTAAGTTATTAAAGGTGACTGTTTTGTCCAGTCTTTCACTGCTACAAAACAGGGGTTGACATTTTCCCAGCCTCCAATAATATTTTCTTCATTGCCCATCACTCAGCCCTGGAACCAAAGCCACAATTTAAATTATTTTGTTATGCAGCATCCCACTCTAAGCACCAATTTCTGTACAAATCAGAACTAGCCAGATTTTGCTGTGGTAACAAATTATCCCCAAAGTTTCCATGACTGTTTAAAAATAACAAATGTTAATTTCTTTCTTAAACTATATGTCTGTTGTGGATCCCATTTGGCTCTACTCTTCATTGTTTTCATTCCAGGACCCAGACAAAGCAGCCAAATCTGGGTCATTGCCTATCTTATACCAGAAGGGAAAAAGAACATGGCAGAAACACTCAATGACTCTTAAGAGTTCTTCTTGGAAGTAACACACGTTATGCCTGCTTATACTTCATTGATCATAACAAGTCACATTGCCAAGCCTGAGACCAATGGGGCACAGAATATGATCTACTTCTGGGTAGGGATATCAACCTTATCAAACAATATTTCAATTTATCACACCATCTTTTGCTCCAAGATGACTGTACCAGATTCTGGCATCTTGTCAACATTTCAGCCAGCAGAAAAGAATTCACACTCTTTTCACGAGCACAATATGAAAATTATACACATTACCTTCCAATATTCCATTGGCCAGGCCTTGGGAACAAGCCATATCTATCTGCTTTGGAGCATGGGAAATACAGTTTGTGGTTTTTTGTTTTGGGGTATTTTTTTGTGTGTCTATCTTCCCCACTACCCCCAAAACCATACAGTTCTTACCTGGGCATCCCTATAGTGGGTTTTTTGTTTTGTTCTGTTTTTCTTTTTAATGTGGTCCAATAATTGTGTCTTACTTGGAATTTAGTCTCAACACTATTGAATAAATAACAAAAATCCAGTCTCCACTATAGGCTCTGCACAGCTGCCAATGCTAACGTGGAAGATGGCAAGGAGCCCTGTGCCTTGTCCTCTCACTCTGGGAGCACAGGCTGCAAGTTGGAAGGGCAACAAAAATGTTCTCTCTCCAGGTGTGAAACACAGTGGGCATGTAGAGCTGCGACACGGAGTGCCATACAACTGCCATCTGCAGGGTTGAGGTGATGGATGCCTTTCTTGGGTGTCAAGCTGAAAACAAGAGAACTGTGCTGTCATCTGAGGAGAATGTAATCACTCCTTCCACAACTGTTGCATGTCCCTGTGGGTACAACAGAGCAATCACTGACCTCTCTGCCAGCAAGACTGGATGGTCTAAAGAATAAGAGACGGAGAGTAGCAGAAGGCTTTCTTAGTGCACTTGCCCTAACCCTTGGTGGATCTTGTTATCAAGTGTCCAACAAAGGCTGGAACATTCCAGGGGATTAATTCTTCAAATAGGACACCATGAATCTGTCCTTTGGAAACTCATCAAGGCAGAATTTACAATTTCATCAGTTTTATTTTCAGGAATTCTCTACAATTAAGAAGATAATTTACTAAAAACAGTCTTTCCTACCTCTGAGGTGTGTGTCACACACACTGATTAGAAGTGCTATAGAAAAGAAAATTCCAAATCGAATGACCTTCAAAATTTGCCTGTTAATACCCAGGTGTGGAAACAGTTCCATTCATTCAGAGAACTTTTGTATGCTTGTGGTTGATCAGTTTTAAAAAAAGAGAATAGTAATAAATAAAGTACAGTTTAAAACCCAGAATGGGCAGGGTATGGTGGCTCATGCCTGTAATCCCAACAGGTGTGACTAGGATGAGAGGAGTGACACAGGGCCCGGCAAATGCAAAGTTGGATCCTCTCTTCATTTAGCATTTTTATATTTTATTCATCAGAAATGTTTGCATTAATTTTGATTTTAAAATATTGTTTATCTTGGTCACTGAGAGGTGGTGTTTCTTTGGTGCCCCCTTCAATTTTGCACTAGCAGGTGCCTCACTCTCCTGCCTCACTCTCCTTACCCAGCCCTCCCCATAGGCTCATTGTCTTAAGTGCGGTGATGATTTCAAGGGATTCTACATAGGCCGATATCCATCATTTTGTACACTTTAAACAAGTGCAATTTCATGTATATCGATTATAGCTCAATACAGTTATTTTTATAGTAATATATAAAGCAATAGAGCACAGGCTCTGTGCACTGGTCGCCTTTTCCCTGCAGCTGTGGTCTCCGTCCTAGTTTCTCGCATCTCCAGAATCCAAAGACCAAGACAATTCCCCAGGGTAATGCTGTCGGCGCAGGACCCGAGACTCCTGCTGCAGGCATCTTCTTTGGCTCCTCCTGAGGTGGGTGCTGCGCTCAGAGGCTTAGGCCCGCACCCACCTCCCTAACCCACGCCCCTCCGCAGCCGCCTGCTGCTCGCGCGCTGCAGAGATTGATGCCCACCCACCCCTTTTCCGGGCAGGCGAGGATTAGACAGGGTCCAACCCCAGGGGACGCTGGCCTTCAAGCCCACCAACAACTGGTCAGAGTGAGGATCCCCAGATCCGCCGGGATGAGGGGAGAATCTGAAGTTCGCAGGGTCTGCGAAATAGGCTGGAGAAAGCTCATTTACAGAGAAAAAAAAAAGACGCGGAACTGTCTTCAGGGCCCTCAGAAGTGGTTTAAATTCTCCGCAAGGAAACCGAGGCGGGTACTGAGGTCGGTCTCGCCCTTTCCAGGGCGCGCAGTGAGGTCACCCCGGGAACGGCTGTCACCGCGGGAGGAGAGCAGCCCAGGGAACTAAAGACGAGTCCAGTTACCAGGGAAATGTCCTGAACACGTGTGGTCATCCCTGCCGGAATGAGGTTGAGTGATTCCTTAGGTCAGGCACTGCGGTTAAGTCCTGCAATCCCAGCAAATTCACAGGCAGAGGCAGAGGCGGGAGGATTTTTTTTTTTTTTAAATTAACCAGGCCTGGTGGCCCTAATCTGTAGTGCTAACTACTCAGGAAGCTAAGGCAGGAGGATCCCTTTAGCTCAGGAGCTGGAGGCTGCAGTGAGCCGTGATTGCGCCACTGCACTACAGCCTGGGCGACAGAGCTAGTTCCTGTTTCAAAAAAGAAAAAATTCCTCAAATGTTAATTATGAAATATTTCAGAAGTACGAAAAAGTGTACCACCACCGGCGCTACCACTTCCACCTTGGCAAGTGAAGCCCCACTACAATGGAAGCGTCGGGCGTATCCTCCCGGGCCTCTTTCCCTCCCTCCCCGGCCCTTCCCTCTTCCGATTTCCCTCCCGCCCTTTCCCCTCCCTCCCCTCCTGACCTCGACTTCCTTCCCTTCTCTGTCTAAGGGGCAGGGCGGAAGATCGAGCCTCAACGCTGCCCCACACCCACGCTGGATTTAAAGCCCACGCTGTAGGCGTCTGTCTCCGCGGTGGCAGCGTTTTCCTGTCCTCTCCAGGACTGGGAGAGTGCAGCGCTCCTCGTTCCCTTTCCTGGTGCAGGAAAGTGAGACCGCCTTCAGCCTTCTCTCTGCGCCTCCCCAGACCCTCATCTCTCCAGTGATTCTTATGGCCCTGCCCTGGGAGGGGGTCACCCATTCAGCAAAAAGTCACCGAGGGCCCAAAAGGTTTTGCCAGAGAAATAGGACGGCTGAAAATGTTACCCTGATGGTACAAACGGAATAACCCCGTAGGCACACATAATTAGCTGTTTTCTGAGGGTATCAAAAGCCACTATGGGTGGAGTGCCTCACGCCTGTAATCCCAGCACTTTGGGAGGCCAAGGTGAGAGGATCGCTTGAGGGGAGTTCAAGACGAGCGTGGACAATTCTGAGGGACCCCGTAGCTACAAAAAAAAAAAAAATTTTAGCCAAATATGGTGAGCATGCCTGTAGTACCAGCTACTGAGGAGCCTGAGGTGCGAAGATCACATGATCCCAGGAGTTTGAGACCAGCTTGGGCAACAAAGGGAGACCTCCTCTCTACAAAAAAGAGAAACAAAATTAGCCAGGCTTGGTGGCCAGCGCCTGTAGTCCTAACTACTCAGAAGGCTGAGGTGGGAGGATCCCTTGAGCCCAGAGTTTCCAGGCTGTAGTGACCGCACTCCAGCCTGGGCAACAGAGCAAGACCCTGTCTCAAAAAAAAAAGAAAAAAAAAGAAAAGCCAATGCATACTGCTGGTGAGGCAGGATAGTTAGGCAAGGAAGTAACCATGTTTTCTGGAAGCAGCAGCCATGGTTATAAAATAACTATCATATGATCCAGCAATCCCATTTCTGGTTAATTAAATTTCAATTGCAAGCACCCTTTTCTGGGTATATATCTAAAAGATGTGAAATCAGTATGTCAAAGAGGTATCTACGCTCCCATGTTCATTGTAGTATTGTTAATAATTACCAAGATGTGGAATTAAACTATCCATTGATGCATGAACAGATACAGAAAATGTGTTACATACACACATACACACACTCTCAAATACACACCACACAAAATGAAATACTCTTCAACCTTAGAAAAGAAGAAAATCCTGTCATTTGCAACAACATGGATGAACTTGGAGGACATTAAGCTAAGTGAAATAAGCCAGGCACAGAAGGACAAATACTGCATGATTCCAATTATATGTGGAATCTAAAATAGTTGAACTCATGGAAGCAGAGGGTAGAAGAATGCCAGGGGCCGGCTGGGGGACAAAGGTCAGGGAATGGGGAGATGTTGGTCAAAGGATACAAGGTTTCAGTTAGGATGAATAAGTTCTGGAGATCAGTTGTACAGCATGGTGACTACAGAGAATAATAATGTATTGTATACTTAAGGGTATTAGAAACCAAGATCTGGATCCCCATTGCTATTTATTTGTTTGTTTAATTTGTTGATGTTGACTGTGGTGGATTTTTTTTTTTTTTTTTTTTTTTGAGACAGTGTCTTGCTTTGTCACCCAGGCTGGAGTGCAGTTGTGCAATCTCGGCTCACTGCAACCTTTGCCTCCCAGGTTCAAGTCTTTCTCATGCCTCAGCCTCCTGAGTAGCTGGGACTACAGGCTTGTGCCACCATGCTCGACTGAATTTTTTTGTATTTTTAGTAGAGGTGGGGTTTCACTATATTGGCCAGGTTGGTCTCAAACTCCTAGCCTCAAGTGACCTGCCCACCTCAGCCTCCCAAAGTACTGGGATTACAAGCGTGAGCTACCACACTCTATCTGTTATGACTTTTGCCAGATATCCTGTATATGCCTAATACTAGAACAATCTGAGCATCTAAATAAATAATGTAGCGTTGGAATATAACACAAAGTATTAAATAAATATCTATAAGTCCATTCTTACAAGTAAATGAAGAATTCCAAATAATTTATATAGATAAATTATTTTGTAGGATATATAGACATTGGCCCCCTCAAGAAAGTGGAGCTTCAATCCTCACCCTTTGAGTGTGAGCTGCACTTAGCAACATAGGAGGAAGGAAAAGTAACTTCACTGTAGAGAAACCTGGCAAACACTTCCTCTGTCAGCTGGTCAAGGTTGATATCATGAGTGATAAGGCATGTTGATAGCATATACCCTTGATGTGATGTGATGAGAATACCTCTTCATTCCTGTGGTCTTCCTCTTGAAAACCTATAACCCCAGTCTGAGAAAAAAATCAGACAAACCCAAACTGAAGGACATTTTATTTGTAGATACCTGACCAGTACTCCTCAGAACTGTCCAGGTCATCAAAAATAAAGCATCACAGGTCAGAGGAGTGTAAGGAAACATGACCACTAAATGTAGTATGGTGTCCTGGATGGGATCCTGGAGTAGGCAAAGACATTAGAGAAAAACTAGAGAATCCAGGCCGGGTGCAGTGGTTCATGCCTGTAATCCCAGCACTTTGGGAGGCCGAGGAGGGCGGATCACAAGGTCAGGAGATCGAGACCATCCTGGCTAATACGGTGAAACCCGGTCTCTACTAAAAAAATACAAAAAATTAGCCAGGTGTGGTGACGGGCGCCTGTAGTCCCAGCTACTCGGGAGGCTGAGGCAGGAGAATGGCGTGAACCCCGGAGGCAGAGCTTGCAGTGAGCCGAGATCATGCCACTGCACTCCAGCCTGGGCGACAGAGCAAGACTCCGTCTCAAAAAAAAAAAAAAAAAAAAAAAAAAAACTGGAGAATCCAAATAAAATGTGGGGTTTAGTTAATAGTCATGTACTAAGTAAGGTTGGTTCCTTAGTTGTGATGAATGCATCACAACAATACAGTAATAAAACAGGGAAATAGCCACTGCAATGGCTCACACTTGTAATCCCAGCACTGTAGGAAGCCCACGCAGGAGGAATGCTTGAGCCTGGGAGTTTGAGACCAGCCTGGGCAACATAATAAGACCCCGTCCTCTACAAAATTTTTTTAAAAAAATAGCCAGGTGTAGTGGCATGCACCTGCAGTTCCAGCTTCTCAGCTAGTTGGGGTGAGAGGATCACTGGAGTCCAGGAGTTAAAGGCTGCAGTGAGCTGTGATCACCCAACTGTACTCCAACCTGGGTGAGAGAGCAAGACCTTGTCAAAATAAAATAAAATAAAATAAAATAAAATAAAATAAAATAAAATAAAATAAAATAAAGAGGAAACTAAATGAAGGGGACACAGGAACTTTCTGTACTATCTTTGTAACTTTTTCTGTAATTCTATAACTACTCTAAAATAAAAAGTTAATTTAAAATATAAAAACATTTTGTTTCATTTTATAATGGCTGGGTAGATTTTCAGATCTTTAGTGAAGTAGGTCCCAGATGTCTAGAGGCAGATTGCAGAGATGGGCAGGCACCCATCCAAACCCAACTGAGTCTAGTGCACTGGCTCATGCCTATAATCCCAGCAATTTCGGAGGCTGAGGCAGGAGGATCACTTGAGCCCAGGAGTTCGAGGCTATAGTGAGCTATGATTGCACTACTGCATTCCAACCTGGGCAACATAGTGAGATCTTGTCTCTTAAAAAAAAAATTGAAAGTTAATGTTGCTTAATCTTTTACTGGCTCGTTTTGGCCCTCTCACAGAGTCACTGGCCTCAGTCTTCTCCTTTTCCCCCATTTAAGCACTTATTTTACAAGACCATTTTTTTCAGTTTAATGAGACACAAACTCTCAACTTTTTATTTAAAACAGAAATGCAGTAGTAAGCTAAACCTTTTGCCATTCATAGGGAAACAAATATCAGTAATCCTCTTTGTTCTAAACAAAAATTCATAATTATTTATACATTTTAAAATATTATATTGTTTCAAATATTGTTAGTGGGGCAATAAATCATAAAGAGATACAACCAGTCGAAATTAGACTTTTAAAGAATTACTCTCAAAGACATTGCAACAACTCCAAAGTCCAGGGATCTTATAAGACTAATTTATTAGTAACAACATTTACAAAGATAGCTTTTTAATGCTGAGTTGTATCTGATTTAATGCAGTCAGAAAGAAAAAAGAAACATTTATCTCATTTTGCTGATCTGTCAGATTTTGCTTAAGTTAGGAGAGCCTGCAATTTCAAGCCCAGATAACTGGAATTCCATGAATAAACACAGAAAGACAGGAGAAAGGCAAGGAAGTTCAAAAATCACAGTCTGGGGGGAAATCAGTAGAGTAAGATTACCAATAAGTGAAATATTGGTCATATGATTTCTTAGTTTCCATTAGTTATGCAAATATTTTACTGTTAATATTTAGATTAGTGTTTTAGAACGTTTTGTAGAGACTGAAAAGCAAATAAATAATTGCATTAGCATTGTTAAGTATCAGTGTTTTCTGTTTGACAAATAATCGTACAGCTGTGTTCTCAGGCTGCAATAACAAAACACCAGAGACTGAGAAGCTGAAACAACAGAAATTTGTTTCTCACAGTCTGGAGGCTGGAAGTCCAAGACAGAGTCCAAGACTCTCGCCAGCAGCGAGAGTTTGATTGTGAGGCTTCTCCTCTTGGCTTGTAGGTGGCTGCCATCTCTCTGTGTGCTCCCATGCCCTCTTGTTTGCATGCACAGGGAGGGAGGGAACAAGCTCTCTGGGGTCTCTCCCTATAAGGACACCAACCTTAGCAGATCAGAGCCCCACCATGACTTCATGTAACCTTAATTACTTCCTTAGCAGCCCCAGCTCCACAGTGCAGGTTGGGGCTTCAACACGGGAATTTGGGGGTGAAGGGTGGGACACAAACATTCAGTCCATAACAATGGCCCACCAAACCATGAAAGTAAATAGAAAAAAAATCACAGTTCAAGAATAACATAAAACTTAACTAGGTGTGTTATAGAGCAATGCATAGAACTAAGCTGAGAAGTTAAAACATAAACTCATTGATTTTTAAAGACAATCTTTCCCAAGTCTGGTTCACCTTAGGGCTGATACACACCTTCAGAACCAGATTTTGGTCTCTAATATCATCTTCCACTGAAAGCCAGGGCAAACAGGTTTATGTTCATTTCATCTTGGCCTATAATTTCTCCTTAAAGTGACCATTAATATTCACTATCACAATTAAGGCTTGGTCTGGGCCATTCTGAGAACAAGCTCTGGAGACCACAATTTTAAAGGATTAAATAATCATAACGGTATTCTTTGTCCTGACAAAATTATTAATCTGACAGTGACTGAATTATCTTCGGACTCTCCCAAGCCCTAAATGAATACAGCAAAGATAAATGTCAAGAATTCAGGAAACAATTGCTTCTGCTACGGCCAGTAAGCTCCTAACAGACCATGCTTCTGCAGAAAACGATTCTGGACAAATTTTTAAAAGCAACAAACTGCATGAAGTCACTTAAAAAAAGAAGCCCAGCCTTGGAAGAAAGAAAGGCCACAGGCTGAGTTTCTTATTTTTATGGCTTTTACCCAAAATGCAAGACACAGATCGGCATTGTGCAGGACAGCTAAAGTTCCTTTAGAAAACCACCATCTTTCTGGCTGGAAGAGTCAGGGGTCAGAATGGGGGGCAGCCACCGCTGCTGAAAGGGTTGGGGAAGGAACCCCTGAAAGGAGAGCCAGAAATGGGGGAGCTCCAAACTCTTTGTGTCAGCTCCGTCCAAATCTCTGACTTGTGAACTAAAAAGAAAGGTTTCTACCATCAGCAGACTGTCACCCATAGACATTTACATAGCATTTTGATTTGGAGTTCTTCCTAATGGCCACCCCACGGAAAAATATACAGGTGTTGTTTTGCCCTGGAAGCCAGACAGATCAGAACATTGGGTAAGATAGCTGGGTCAGCTGTCCTTGGATGGATCCCAAACACTATGCTCCTTTCCAGGCCTGAGAATCGCCGAACACTGTCCAACACAATGTGATCACCCAACATATCACATGCATCACTGAGCTGCACCACCCTTTTCTTCCTCATTGCTTTCAAGAGCTCATACTTATAGTGCTCCACTTCTTTTGCGGTGCTGACAAGCACAGCAACATCCTTTGGAGAATAGCCCCTATCAAAGAAGCGCCTGCACGTGTCTGCCACACAGGTCATTATTTGCTCCACAGTCAAGTATTTCTTAATTCGTAAGGTTCCCTGAACACCCTGGGACCATTCGGCTTCAGGAAATACCTCGAGGCACCCAGTGGGGATGTTAAATGAAGGATTACTTCTAATTACTTGCATTTCTTTTTGTAAGTACTTGGCTATTGGATCTGCATTGCGAACTATTCTGGTGAGCTCTTCTCTTGGATATTGGTCTGAGAGAGGAGGGAGGCCACTGCAATCCAAGTGGCTGGTCTGAAAGTAATCCAGAAAGATCCAGAGAATTCCTGGGCCACCCTTTGCTCTCCGAGTGATGCTTTTTGCCTTCCCATACCAGTCCCCATCTTCAGTACGGAAATTCTGAGCTTCGTCAATGACGATGTGTTGAATGTGTTCAAAGTTTTCTCTTAGGAAAGTTTTCCGGGTCTCTGCTCGGCAGATATTTCTATCACTGTAAAAATTAAAAGAACACACTCAGGTTTTCTCTAAAAAAACAAGGGGAGAAAATAATTGTATCATGTTCCTCCGAGCACAGTACATTACCACAGATCATTTTACCACTCAATTCTCAAGAAAGACGGTGACTTAGCAGAAAAAATTAAACCCAGATTAAATAATACTTAGAGACGTAAGATCCAACTGCTTACCTGATAAAGTTCCTCAGAGGCTGGTTTTCACAAACGTAGAGAATTCTGTGTGCCTCACAGTGAAACACATTCCTGATCTTCTCCATGATCTTCATGGCCATGATGGTCTTCCCTGAGCCAGGTAAGCCGTGGACAAACAACTCTCTGTTCTTGCGGAGGCTTCTGGAGAATATCTCATACTGCTGGGCTGTGAGCAGATTTAAAACCTCACAGCCGAGCTGGTCACTCAAGAGAGACCTGAAGCCGAGTAAGACAATCACGAGGGACTGCAGCAGGGCTTCCATGTGCTGGGTGCCTGCAAGGCTATAGGACGCAGGGTAATCCATCGGAGACACTGCAGCCTCCAAGGCCTCTGCGCTGCTCTCAGGACTCAGGCAGAGGACCTTGGCCCTGACACACACCTTCCCGGTGTAGCCCCCCATGTTCACTAGCTTCTGCTTCAAAGTAAAGGCGGTGCGAGTGCAGTAGTCCTGGCCCTCTGCATCTTGCTCCCTGAGAATGGTGTAGAGAATGGGGGTGCTGTTCTGTGCTATCAGCAGAGCATCACAGATGACTCCTGGCTTCTCCTGCAAGTTCAGGTCCACAGCCCAACTTCTAGAGAAGATCAAAATTCCCCGAAAGAAAGGTTGCATTTGCTTATTTATTAACTCCTCTAGTCCTCTGTGCTCTGAGATCAGGTCCCTCCAGAGTGACTCTGGAGTATATCGCAAATATCCTGGTGGGACTGTATGTGAAAAGAATGATAAATTAGAGGAAGAGAAATAACCCTATTGATTAAGATGACTAATTATAATTAACTAATTGATTAACTAAATGATTACTTATAGAAGTTTCAAATACTATTTTATAAATATTATTATATTATAGTTATAAAGGAAAAGAACCCTTGGAATATCTGGTATACTTCATCTAAACCCATGTGTTTTTTACAACTTATAACCTTGGGAAATTCCTTAGCCTAAGACTTTGCTGTCTCATCTGTAAAACAAAACTAAGAATAGCACATTTCCTATGAGGAGGAATAAATGAAATAACATAAAATGTTTGGCTCATTGTAGCTGCTTGAGAAATGTTGGTTCTCCTCCTCCCCTTTCTACTTTCAAAGTACCTGAATCTCAAAATGCCCCATTGCTGGGAGTAGCAGGAGCCCCCCCTCCTCCACTGCCACAGGAAGAAGGTAGTCATTAACTCCATAGTTGCAGAGGAGAGGGAGTCATATTAAAACCTTTGTTGGCAGCGAATTTCCTGCAGTCCTGGACTGGAAGATTCTTAAAGCTATCTCTCCTGAAGCAGAATTCTTGCATCACTTAAAGATCAACGTATGGCTCCCCACTACCACAAAAGTCTTCCCTGTGTCACAGGCAAACAAGAAATAATTATGTGACACGAGAATATACTTGCATTGGAGGATTATGAACTTATTTCAATGATCAAGGGTTCCAAAGTGGGAGGGGGAGGAAGATAATTGTTGTCCTGTTGTGGTAGTGTTAGAGTACAAACCCAAATCAAGATTTGTAGTGGTAATTTCAAATGAAATTACCCAGATTTTATTGGTAATTGTTTCTTGTTCATTGTTGCTAGTGCTTTCTCATTCGTACCAGGTGCTCACACGACTTGATTATCCCTGCAACCTAGATGACAGTAGGAGATAGCATCTATTATGAGACACATCCAGATTTTAGAGATGTTAAAATATAGGGGGAGATACACATCTTAGAATGGATAAAATAGGATAATTGAGTATATGTTTAAAATGAAGCTTTGGAAACCAAAGAAATGTAAAATAAGAAAATACATCATTTGTTGATTGTTACCAGGGAATTTGCATGTATCTCTGGTCTTCACAAATTTTCCAAGGATGACATATTTATTCCCATCTTCATATGAGTAGATAAGGACTCAAAGAGGTCAAGTGAGAGCTGGGTGCAGTGCTATGGGCCTGTAGTTCCAGCTACTCAGGAGGCTGAGGTGGGAGGATTGCTTGAGCCAGGGAATTTAAGGCTGCAGTGAGCTATGACTGCACCACTGCACTCTATCCTGGGCGACAGAGCAAGATACTGTCTCAAAAAATAAAAAATAAAAGAGATCAAGTGATTTGCCCAACATCACACCACTAGGAAATGGCAGGGCGAGTCTGAACCCAAGTCTCTTGGACATCGGATCCTCTACTGTTTTTGCCCTGCCCTGCAAGTCACAGACTACTCCTGCCTGATAAATGGTAAAAGTCACTAAAACACTTGATGTTTATTTACCTTATCATTGCATAGGTCTTCTTTTTCTTTAATTGTATAATGGAGCATGCTTCTGAAGGAAATTATAGGAAGATAAGAAGTGCTTCTTTCATTTCTTTGATATTCCACATAACAGTAATGATAGGGACCAGACTAGGTGTTCAATTAATGCCATCATTCCAGGTGCACCAGAGTAGTCACCACTCCCCATGTGATTTGAGGACTCTGTGCCTTTGCACAGGTGTGCTCTGAAACTCTGAAGACTTCCACCTTGATCACTTGATAAACTCCTCACCCTCCCCAGAACTCCCATATTCATCCTTCTGTCCTCAGAGCTCCCACTTTGTATCCATTCTGGGAACTAATTTCACCATGGATCTAGGGAATCTTTAGAATCAGCAGTGAAGGGTCCAGGGCAGTTGTTCTCAAACCATAAGAAATCAATCAGGTGAGGTATCCTAAAGGTTTAGGACACCAAGAGGAAGAACACTGGAGCTGGCTGATTCTGACCTACTACACCAGGCCCTGACTATCTTTAGTACCAGTAACTCCAGTTATAGACAAAATTTCTATTTGAGACAATCATTGCATTTCTTCCAAGAGAAGCACTGACAGCATTGATTCTGAAGCCAAATTATTGTCAATCAATGCTAATAATTAGTGTGCTAAGAACATCTTTATTCTTAATATCTGGATTCTAATTGTAAAAGTATAAACATAGTTTGTTTACCACCATTAATGTTCAAAATCTAATAACAATAACAGTGTTCCAAAAATGAAAATTGTCTTTTAAAAAAATAACTTTAGTTAATATATTCCTATACCAAATACCCAAACACTCCTACTCTCATTTTCTTAATTTCCTGCCTTCCCAATCTCACCCTTCTCCCTTATCACAGATACTTTTAAGTTTCTTGCCTATTCTTCCGAAATTACTTTATGCAAATACAAACAAATATTCTGCCCTTTCTTTCCCAACAGGTAGCAAACCATTCAGCAACTACTTTTTTCTTCACTTAGCAATGTATGGTAGAGATCTTTCCATATCAATGCACAATTCCTTATTCTTTTCTTACAGCTATCTAACACAGTATTTTATGGATGTACCATATCTTGTTTGACCAGTCCCTATTGATGGGCCCTTGAGTTTTCCCTCCAGTCTTTTGCTATTATGTTAATACTACAGTGAGTAACCTTGTATGTTTGGTGTGTATGTAAGCATATGTAGCATACACACACACACACACACACACACACACACACACATAATAAAATCCCAAAGGTTAAATGCATTTGTGATTCCAATATATTAATATATTGCCAAATTGTCCTCCAATGGAGTTGTACCAATATGGACTCCCACTAGCAATGTACAAGAAGGTGTGTTTCCCCACAACTAGCAAATAAGAGATAATGTCAGGTTTTTTCATTTTTTAACAATCCAGTAGACGGAAATAATTCTCCTTTTAATTTACATGTCTCTTATTTTGATTAATATTTAGCATCTTTTCAAATGTTTCAAAGCTGTATGAATTTTATTTTCTCTGGACTATCCGTGTTGATTTTTCTGTGCGTGTGTGTGTGTGTGTGTGTGTGTGTGTGTGTGTGTGTCTGTGTCCTTATCAACTTCTGGAAGCTCTTTATATATTAGAGACACTGGCCCTTTGGTTGTGATACGGGTTGCAAATATTTTTTCTACTGGTCATGGTCATTTGACTTTGTTCTTAGTGGCTTTACTCATGCACAATACTTGTTATTTGTATGCAGTCATATATAACAGTCTTTACTTTTATGGTTCACAGATTTTGAATCTTGATTTTTTTAAGTCTAACGCAAAAATTATAAAGATGTTTGCCTATGTTTTCTTCTAGAACTTTTCTGGCTTTTTGTTTTAAATTCTTGATCCATTTGTAGTTTATGTTAGTATATGAAGTAAAGTATGAGTTCATCTTTTAAACAGTTAATTGCCACCAAGTTACCCTATGTATTTATGAGCATGTCTGTTTTTCTCTACTTACTTGCAAGGCCAGTTTCATGATAAACTAAATTTTAATTTGTGTTTCTGTGTATTTCCAGATCCTACATTCTGTAACTTTGGTCTAATTATATGACAATACAACTCTTTTTATTATTTATATATATAATATATATTTAAATATATATAAATAATATATATCATATATAAATAATATAAATATATAATATATAAATATGAAATAATAAACATAAAAATATAATATAAAGATTTTAAAAAACAAATAAATAATAAAATTAAAAATATATAATTATTTATATAATATATATTTTATATATCTATATATTATAGTTATATAATTATATATTATATTTATATATCTATAAATAATATATATTATTTATAGATAGCTTCCCTTGTTTTTCAGGTTTTAATTTTCCAGCTGTTCTTGCTCATTTAGTTTTTATGTTTAGATTTAAATAATCTCTTTTTAAAATTGATATATAAAATAACTTCAGAATTGACAACTTTGTGATGTTGACTCTTCCTTCAAAGTATGTAACATTCCCTGATTCACTTATGCTTCTGTGTCCTTCAATATTATTTTAACTTTTGCATTAGATAGGTTTATTGCAGATATTTTAGCTTTTTGTTGCTATTGAAAATTGGGTGTTTTCTTTCATTATATGTTATATTAAAGATACTGAATTCTGCATATTAATTTTTATAGTTTCTTCTTATAATACTAATATAAGTACTTATATTCATTCTGAATTATTTTACTGTTTACAGTAGTTTTCTTTGATTATCATGAATTCTCCAGATATATAGTCCTATCTTCTTCCATTTTAATCCCTCTAATTTCTTTCTCTTATCTAACTGTATTGGCCAATTAATATTACATTGTACTTGTAATATGCACATGGCTGTTTTGTTCCTGAATTTAATAGAATGCCTGTAATCTCTCCCAATTAACATGATGTTCTTGGTGGACATATATATACATGTAAATATATATATAATGTTAAAGAACTATAGGTTACTATTTTATTGAGGACCTTTAAAAAACAACATGTATTGAGCTTTTTCAAATGCCTTTTTGATGTATTAGAAAACAAATATATAATTTATTTGCATAGATACACAGAAATGATGAATTACATTAACTCTTTAAATGTTGACACATGCTTGTATTTCTGGAATTCTGTCTTTGCATCCTCATTAATAAGTAGGATTAATCTGAGTTTTCCTTTTCCTTTTCCTTTTCCTTTTTTTCTATCTTTAACAAGTTTTACAATTACTGTTATTCACACTTAAAAAATAGCTTAGGGCTGGGCACAGTAGCTCATGCCTATAGTCTTAGCTTCTCAAGAAACTGAGGTGAGAGGATCACTTGAGCCCAGGAGTTCAAGGCTGCAATGAGCTATGATCACATCACTGCACTCCAACCTGGGTGACAGAGCAAGATCCTGTCTCAAAAAGAAAAAAAGACTTGGGAATTTGTGTTATTTTTCTATGAATTTAGAACAATGTAAATAGTGTAAAAAATGCCTATTTTTCAAAAGTTTGGTAGAAGTTTTAGAAAACTGATTTTTTTATACCAGAATAATAGGCTGTTCCTCTATGGGCATATAGCCCATTATTTTGTCTTAGTTATAATTTATTCCATGGTAATAAGCTCTACTAAAATGGATCTTATTGAGCTTAAAAGGTGATTAGCAGCGCTTAATAGATTTACTGTTAGATTTTACATTGTTTATTGTGGACAGTTTCTAAAATATAAATTTGATATGTAAATGAATGCAAGGACCTTGGATAAAGGAAAAAATGAAATTCTAATGGGGGCAGTCATTATCTATTAATTTAATGATCCTTGACAGATATTTACACATATATAGGACATTTATGTATCAATTATAGTGCCAGATAAGCCACTGACTTACTGCACAGATTTAAGCAAGTGGTTTTCCCTCTCTGGGATTCTACAAAGACAGCAATGGATTCCTAAGCAAAGCCTATCATGGGAACAAGGGATAAGAGTAGAGAAAAGGCGTTGACCTTGGTCCTGAATTATTGTGTTTGTGCTGCTACGTGATTGTCCTAAACCCAAAACATGGGAAGAAATGCATAATCCATCTCCATTTTAAATGTTTTGTTTTCCATCTTGACCTAGATTTATATTGTTTTCTCTTATTTACAACCACCACTCCCGTGGAAAATCTGGCAAGGGCAGGCAGTTTTTTGGCTGCTCTCTGGTGCAGCATATGACTAGTTTGACTAGATAAAAGGTTTCCAATCTAGATGAACATAAAATCATGAGGGTAGTTTGAGAAAAGTACATATTGCAAGCCACTCTCCCCACATATTCCAATTTGTTATGAGTGGAGTAGGGACTCAGATATGTGTCCTTTTAAAAATGACCAGAAACACTGATGATCAGCCAGATTTGGGAACTACAAGAACAAATAGTCTTTAAGGGAAATAATGTTCCTGGATTCTATGTGTGGTCCTGCCTTAGCCAGTGGGGTCAGTAAGGGTTCATTTCTAAACCACTTATCACCAATAGGATTGTAACATCATCACGTCTTACAAATGGGTTTGCAGAGCACTTTCAGGATTTTACAAAACAAATATTATAGTTTAATCTCCCTTTATCCTAATATAGAAACTGGCTGGTGTTGAGAAGACAAACCATAATTACCTGAAAATAAAAGTTGCTGGAGTTCCTTTTTATGTTCCAGGCCTTTCTTGGAGTACACTGGTCTGCTAAGGGGAGGCCCACTAGATAGACTCAGCTGACATTCAAAATCTTCAGACAACTGTAGAAGATCTTAAGAAAGAAAATTCATGTTATTCTGACGTGTTAATCTCTTCATACTGAAAGAGGCTCTATCAGTAGGTGGAATGTGTGACTTTCTAAATAGTTTGACTTGAGAGATAATATCAAAATAACTCTCCTCTCACTCACTTACTCTAGATAAGTGCCTTTATTGCATATCAAGGTTGCCAAAACCCACCCTGAAAAGCCATTATTTGGAAGTTTAACTGTATTTCTCCATTCAGTATAATTCTTCATTCTCTGTATCTGGTTAGCATTTTGTTTGCACACCTGTTACGTTACCTAGCTCATTCTTTTAGTACTGCTGTCTGTGCATGTATCTTGTTTTACATCCCCTCTCCAACTGCCACCACCTCTCCTGAACCCAACTCTCAACTCTGTTCAATATCATCTCATCACTGATTTGTAATTACCATTACTCACACTTAAAAAATAGCTTAGGGCTTGGGCACAGTAGCTTGTGCCTGTAGCCTCAGCTACTCAAGAGACTGAAGTGAGAGGATCACTTGAGCCCAGGAGTTCAAGGCTGTAGTGGACTATGATCACGCCACTGCACTCCAGCCTGGGTGACATTCTGACACCTATGCTTATTCCTGAAGTTAAAATGAGAAATTGTGTGAAATCAAAGGACATTATAGAGTGCATTAACTTTTTCATGTGCTTTGGAGATTGGAGTCAGCTTTATAATATCTCCTTTCCAAGTACACATCCACTTTACTCAGAAGATTGTGTCCCAATTTTTATGTTCTCTCTGTGTTTCTCCAGGCTTAGGGTGTTCTCAGTTGTTCTAGAGACACTGAGATAGCCCACTAGCCTGCCAAATTATAGCATGATGGGGTAAATATAGAAACATGTTTGGGAAGCAGTAGTGATGCAAGGCAAGAAATATTTCAAACTGTTAGGAGCAGAGGGGTAGAGCAGATTATACCTGCTGGCATAGAGCATAATGGGTACATGGTGATGAGTGGAAGAAAAGGCAAAATATCAACAGGATAAACAGAGACACAGGACAATATGAAACGGTACTGAGGACAAACCTTGAATACACCCCTACCCCCGTGACCCTCATCACCCTGAAATACTTTCTGTTCTTTTGTTTTTGAGACAGGGTCTCACTCTCACCCATGCTGGGGTGCATTGCTGTAATAATGGCTCACTGCAGCCTCAAACTCCAGGGCTCAAGTGATCCTCCCACCACAGCCTCCGAAAGTGCTGGAATTATAGGTGTCAGCCACCATGCTTGGCCCTGAGCTACTTTCAAATTTTCCTGAGCTACAAAATCAACAATGTCCTCAAGGATCAAGAGATAAACTACATCTTAATTTAGGCAGGGTACTATTATAAGGTGATAGCAAACTTCAATGCAAAGGGCTTTTTTTTTTGAGACAGAGTCTCGCTCTGTCACCCAGACTGGAGTGCAGTGGTGCAATCTCGGCTCACTGCAACCTCCTCCTCCCAGGTTCAAGCAATTCTTCTGCTTCAGCCTCCCAAGTAGCTGAGACCACAGGCACGCACCACCACGTCTGACTAATTTTTCTATTTTTAGTAGAGACGGGGTTTCACCATATTGGTCTTGAACTCCTGCTCAGGTGATCCACCCACCTCAGCCTCCCAAAATGCTGGGATTAGAGGCATGAGCCACCAAGCCCAGCCCAAGAAAGCAACCCCAGAAAGCAGTACTATCTATGCTGGTGATGGTTTAATAAACAGATCTAGTTGAGAAGAGATCCCTCGTTCATAGCCAACTGCCAGTTTCTGTTTTATAAATCTTCCTGCCATGGACAATTTCAAGCTCCTAATGGATTATCACTAAATACAGAGTTGGAAAGCCATGCACAGTAGCACTCCATTTTATAGTATTCCCACCACACAGATACAATAGATGTAAATAATCTCTCAAGCAAAGATAATAGTGAAATGTAGCAAATAATTAGGAAGTGGTGAGTTTGAATTTATTACATTTGTTTCTGATACGATTTATTTAGGTGCAAGTATATACAATCTAATTTTTAGTAATAACTATGTTTAACAACTAGCTCAAAAATTCCTGAAAATTTAATAATTGATTCTAAAGCCAGTAAGAGCCATTCCAGTACACCATTGCAAGGGTGGCCATTCTCAAATAATTTTCTGTTCAGTTACTAATGTAGAAAATTGGCCATTTATAGACATGTGAGTTAGGTTTCTAATCACCCAACAAAATTTTCTCATGTATGAAAAGTAGAATACTTGGGGATTCAAAATAAAGTGTTCAGTGGATGTAAGATGTTCAAAGTCATAGGCAGCAAAGGAAAATTTAATATGGGAGGTCCCAAGGATGTAGAAAGGACAGGGAGGGAGGAGCTTTCTCCCTCTTACCTGGATCTGTGTCTGTCATCATGCCTACCCATTTCTCGGTTGTCAGGCTGCAGACGTACTTGTCCTCCACTATCCATGAATTGGGAGCTTCTGAGAACACTGCACAGCAGAAGGGATTTACTCTGATCATGCAAGCATAGCCATAGAGCTCTCCCCTTTTTAACACATTCACAATTTTGAGTGTGAAGGTTATCGGGCGTTGGGGTTGGCAAAAATGAACACAAGGTAGTTTGTATATGGCTTGTTCTATTTTCCTTCTCAAAGAGTCAGGGTCAACATTTTCTTTTGCACATCCCAGGACTTCCCTACTCTTATCATCCACTCCAATAAAAAGATAGCCTCCTCCAGTGTTTGCAAATGCAGGGACGTATTCTGGAATTGTCCTTTTTACATATTCTTGGAAGTGTTTTGTAGAGAACTGTTTAAACTCTACTAACTGAGACTCAGGAAAAGGCAGGATTTCACCATATTCAAGATAGTCTTTTTGGAAAATTAGGTCAGCAGGATCCGAGTTTGGGTCAGCAGGATCCGAGTTAGGGAGCTCTTGGTATACACCCTTGTGAATTTTGTGAAAAGGTCCTTCTTCCAAGATTTTTGGCTTCCTTTTGGTCTTCAGGAAACAGAATGCCTCTCTTGAGTCCATGGAACGCACAGAGGTCTCAGATCTACGGTATAATGAAGAACTGAGGCTGCAAAGGCGGGGCTTGACAGAGCGATCTTCAGGGAAAGGGCCACTGCTCCAAGATTTAACAAAAATGTAAAAACACCTTCCTTGTTGCTTGGTCTCAAAGAAAGCCTGCAGATCTGAAGACTGAATAAGCTCTCTCAAAGACTGTTCTAAATCCAGTCCCATCTCCACGGGATGCTCAACCTTCTTGGCCATTCGAATCACTCCTCCTCCTGAGTTTAATAAAGCACATGCAGCCCGCATAACTCTCTCCTTCTCTTGGTCTCTCTGAATTTTCTGCAGCTTTTTTCTGTTTTCTTCTCCAAGAGTCACTTCTCCTACATTGATGACCAGGTCTGGGTAAGATGGTTCCACAACCAGGGGGCACTGATTTGCCTCCATGTTGAACTCACAGCTGAAACTATTAGAAGAAATGAAGTGTTACATGCATGCAATTCATTTATTAAAAGGGTATTTATTTTGTGTCTAATATGTGCTGAGAGAAGACAATAGACTAGCAAGCAAGACAGGAGCAATCCCTTCTCTTTAGGAGAAGAATGGCTGGCAAGGAAGGGTGCTAATGAAATTAGCATTTAACATCATATATGATATGGGCTATGAGAGGAAAAATATACTAAAGGGGTATCTAAACTAATCTGAAGATGATGGTTCAAAAAGACTTCCAAGGCAAAGGTGACATTTAAAGACCTGAAGGATGCATTGGAATTGGCCAGGTGAAGTTATCAGCATTGAAGAATGGAAGCAGTGGAGCGCATGAAGGGCATGTGTACAATGGCATGAGACTATCTCAGTTTAGGTTGTTGATGTTCCAGTGAACACCAACTTTAGGGGATGAGTAAAAGAAAACAACATTGAAAAGGAGACTTCAGAAAGGACTGACTGTGAAAAACCAGAGGTAGGAGAAAAACCAAGGGCATATGGTATTAAGGAAGCCCAGAACAAAGTCACCTGCACAGAGGTCTCAGATCTATGGCATAATGAAAAACTGAGGCTGCAAAGGTGGGGTGTGACAGAGCCAAGGTGTCTAATACTGCTGACAGGTACAGCTAGGTGATGACTCAAAAGTGTTATTAGGTTTAGTAAAATTAAGGTTATTGGTGACTTTGAAAAATGCTGTTCAGACACCTGGGCAGTGGGCACCAGGAGGCAATAAACCAGAGGCTAAGGTCTTACAGACCAGAGTTCATGGAGATGGCTTGAATTCCACTTGTCATTAAAAGTATTATAACATTAACCTAGATATTTAATCTTTCTAACTCTGTTTTCTTACCTATAAAACATGGTGCATCCACCTTAATATGCCTGTTATTATGAGGATTAATTGAGAATAATTCTCAATAAGTATTTAACACTATATTTTGGTTCACAGGTGTTTAGTAAAGGAATCTATATTAATTGTCCATTTCACAATGAGTCAACGAATAAATGGGAGGTAAGGAAATAGTATCATCAAATACGCACAACTTGTTCACTATATGAAGCTATAAAGGGGAGAGGTAAAAAGAAATGTAGCTGGAGGAAAAGAGGAAGTTAAAGAATCTTATTAAGATGGGAAAGGCCTGAACTGAACATATTTAGATGGGAAGAAGCCAGTAGGGAAGTGAAAATTTAAAGAGGTAGAAGGAAGTTGGGATGATTGAGACAGTGAAAGCCCTGAAAAGAGAGGTAAGGAAGGAATGTGATCCAGGATGCAGAAGAAGGTCAGGAGGAGGAGAAATGGAGATAATAGGCATGGGCAAAGGTAGGCTTATCGCTTTGGTGGGAGGAAGCTGAAAGAGTCCCCTTCTGATAGCTTCACTTTTCTCTTTGAGGTAGGAAATAAAGTCACCCCCTGAGACAGAGGCACTTGGTATAAAAACAGGACAAAAATATTTTTTGCGTGTGAGATGGGGTCTCACTCTGTCATCCAGGCTGGAGTGCAGTCACAGCTCACTGCAGCCTCAAACTCTGGGGCTCAAGTGATCCTCCCACCTCAGCCTCCTGAGTAGCTGGGACTACAGGCGCACAGCCACTATACCCAGCTAATTCTTTAAAAATTTTTTTTTTTGTAGAGATGGGGGTCTCCCCATGTTGCCCAGGCTGGTCTCAAACTCCTGGGCTCAAGCAATCCTCCTGCCTTGGCCTCCCAAAGTGCTAGGGATTATAGGCATGAGCCACAATGCCCAGCTGACAAAAACATTTTAATAATAGAATGGAGACAGTTTGAAACAGACATTATAAAGAACAAGAAAGATATTTGACATGGGAAACAAACAACTTACAATGGAAGATTAATACAGCAGACAAAATAAGTAAATCATATCTTCAAGTATAAATAAACTCTCAAAGCATGATGATAAATTTAAAAAGCAGGTTTGCAAAAAATAATATACAATAGAATAGCATTTAGATTAAAATATTTTAAAAACTGTAATAAATACGTTTATGTTTAGTAAAAGGAGAAAAGCATAGTGAATAAAGATGCACTTATTTTTTACAGAGGTTACAATAAGGATGGAAAATAATGAGATTGGAGAATTAAGCCTTTAACTGTACATACAATGCTGTAAGTTCAGAAGAAAAAGCACCTGTACCAAATACATCTCAGAGGTGGGTGGGACATAAATTTTTGTTGTTTTCTTGTCTTTGCACTTCTGGAATTCTGAATTATTACAACATTTTTTAAAAGCCATCCTCCTTCAAATTAAAAAGGTAGTCGGGGGAAAGGGTAGGATTTTATCACAGAAGTAACTGAAATCTGGACTATGCATTCTAAGACAAATAGGTCAGGGAATGAGGGTGGCAGGGATCGCATTGATAGGAACGAAGTAAAAAGGTGAATGGATTATAGGTCTCAATAAGGGAAATAATAAAGAAGGAGCGTGAACTTTGAAATAAAGATTATGAATAATCAAGATTAAGAATTGTTCAAAAAGATCAATATAATCAACAAATAACCGATATCACTATTTGAAAATTATTATTTAAAACAAAATTGTAAAAAATCAGTACAATCAACAAATACTTTGCATCATTATTTGAAAATTATTTTTTTTAAATAAAAATTTTAAATACAGTCAACAAATACCTTGCATCATTATTGGAAAATTATTAAAATAAAATAAAATTTAAAACAATCAGTAAATTCATAAACTATTTTGAAGTCATCAAGGATATATACAATATGTAGAAGCAGACTATCACAGCCTTATTTTCCTTTCCTACAAAAATCCATCCTATACTAAAGGCTTGGAATTACAAGTCTCAGTGGGTGCTAGTAACTCTGAACAGATAAGGTGGATGTTATTGCAGGTGACAGAAGGAATGAGATGACTGAGGTGTGAAGACATTTAGAAGAAATTTGTTAGATAAAAGTGAAGGCTGGGCCGGGTTTGGTGGCTCATGCCTGTAATCCCAGCACTTTGGGAGGCTGAGGCAGGCAGATCACTTGAGCCTAGGAGTTTGAGACGAGTCTGGGCATCATGGTGAAATCTCACCTCCTCAAAAAATACAAAAATTAGGCAGGTGTGGTGGTACTCACCTGTGGTCCCAGCTACTCAGGCGGCTGAGGTGAGAGAATCACCTGAGCCTTCGAGACGAGATTGTGGTGAACCAAGATCGTGCCACTGCACTCCAGCCTGGGGGTCAAAGTAAGAATCTGTCTCAAAAAAAAAAAAAAGAAGGCTGGCACATCCACATTCTTACCACCTTGCCTAGTTTAGACCCTTGCCTACAAATTTCTATTTCTCAAAATTCCATTCTGCATTCCAAGACCATTGAAACATCTTTGTCAAGTTATTTGTAAAATATTCCTTTCGATGTACAGGGATTTCAAAGTTAAATATTTTCTCTGCCCCATAAACTTTATTGTCAAAGCCAATAGATTATAGTTTTTGGTTGGCAATTGTATTTAAACAGCAACCCCACCATCTGCTTAGATTCTTTTGCAGGCAAAAAAGGCTTAGGGAGCTCTATCTCAAGCTCTTTCCTTAGGATTAAAGGAATTATAATCAGCATCACTTGCACATTTTTTGTAAGGTAGAGATATTGTCCCATATAAATTTGAAATCCTAAATAAAATTAAACTAAGTCAATAAGAAATTAAGAATTCAGAAAAGAAACTCAGTACACTTACAAAAGCACTTCAGAAACAAAAGCACCTGATTCTAGTCAGTTTACAGGATAACTTTTTCAAACCTTTCAGTGTAGCCAGAGTTCCCACCAACACAGTGAATTAGCACCACCTGCTATCTCTTTCCACCAAAAGCAGTCCTGAAGGCTATGTATACAGAAACCTATGTAGACAGAGGTAACAGAGTTCAAGGATTAAGACTCAGTTTTCCTAGGTTCAAATCTCAGCTCTGCCATTTATTAGCTGTACGGTTTCCATTTATTAGCTGTATGGTTTCCATTTATTAGCTGTATGGTTTCCATTTATTAGCTGTACGGTTTCCATTTATTAGCTGTCCCCATTTCTCCCCATGCCCCAGGATCTAGTCCTGCAGGACCCCTGATGGAGCAGTGACTCTGATGTGGACATGCAGGGACAACCACCCCCAAGCGAGGGGCTCAGTGGGTAGCATCTGTGCATTTCTCCCCTGCCAAGAAGGCTTACCTAGTTTGCTCAGCAAACTCCCTAAAAGGTGAGGAATTAGCCTGGGAAAACTTTGCAATGTCAAATTGTCAAGTAGTGCCCAATTTTCTGTATGCTTCTGGGTGGTTCTTATTTTTTTGTTTTACTTCCCCTTTCCTTCCATCCTCCCACCCATCTCCCCTAGATCACAGGGGATTGGCTAGCCTCAGATAGAAACTGAACAGAAAGGGAAATGGGAGGGCAGAACAAGACGGTGTAATAGAAGGCTCCACCTACCATCCCCCTTCTCCAGCAGTGACCATGTGGTGCAGAGAAATCTGTGTGCTTGGGGAAGGGAGGGCACAGCAATTGTGAGACTTTGCATTGAACTCAGTACTGCCCTGTTACAGTGAAAAGCAAAACCATGCTGAATCCAGCATATACCTGCCCATGGAGGCAGAATTTGGACCAGCCCTAGTGAGATGGAAATTGTCCATCCCAGCAGTTGAAACCTGAGTTTCAGCAAGCCTCGCCACTGTAGCTGAAGTGCTAGGGGGTTCTAAATAAACTTGAAAGGCATTCTAGGCCACAAGGACTGAAACTCCTAGGCAAGTCCTAGCCCTGAGCTGAGATCAGAGCCAGTAGGCTTGGAGGGCACACGACCTACTGAGATACCAGCTGGGGCGACTAAGAGAGTGCTTGCACCACCCCTCCCCCAACCCCAGACAGTGTGACTCTCAGCTCCAAAAAGATCCCTTCCTTCCATTTGAGGAGAGAAGAGAGAAGACTAAAGAGGACTTCTGTCTTGCATCTTGGATGTCAGCTCAGACACAGTAGGATAGCACATTGGTCAGGGTCATGAGACACCCATTCCAGACCCTATCTCCTGGACAACATTTCTAGACACACTCTGGGCCAGAAGAGAAACTGCTGCCTTAAAGGGAAAGACCCAGTCCTGGCAGGATCTATCACCTGCTGACTAAAGAGCCCTTGGTCCCTGAATAATCAGCAACGATACCCAGGTAATATGCCGTGGGTCTTGGGTGAGACTCTGCTGGCTTCAGGTGAGACTCAGCACAACCCCAGCTGTGGTGCATACAGGCAGAGACTCTTTCTGCTTGAGAAAAGCAGAGGGAAAAGTAAAGGGGACTTTGTCTTGCACCGTAGGTACCAGCTTAGCCACAGGGGTAGAGCAACAAGTAGGCCCTTGGACAGCATTTCTGGACCCAACCTGGGCCAGAGGGGAGTCCACTGTCCTGAAGAGTGAGTCCCAGACCTGGTAGCATTCACCACCAGTTGACTAAAGAGCCCTTGGGCTTTAAGTGAATATCAGCAATAGCTAACAGTACTCCCTGTGAACCCGTGGTTGTGTTGGCCACAGGGTCATCTCCTCTGCCTGTGGAAAAAGGAGGGAAGAATGGGAAGGACTGTGTCTCATGATTTGAGGGCCAGCTCAGTCCCAGTAGAATGGAACACCAGGTAGACTTCTAAGGTTTTCTTACTCCAGTCCCTGGCTCCTGGATAGCATCTGTGAACCCACCTAGGGCCTGGGGGAACTTGCCACTCTGAAGAAAAGAACACAGCTTGGCTGGCTTCACCACCTGTTGATTGTTTGAAAAGATAAACAAAATTGACAAACCTTTACCAGGCTACCTGAGAAAAAAAGGAGAATACCCAAATAAATGAAATCAGAGATGAAAAAGGAGACAATACAACTGATACTGCAGAAATTCAAAGGATCATTAGTGGCTACTATGAGCAACTGTATGCCAATAAATTGGAAAATCTAGAGGAAATAAATTCTTAGACACATACAACCTACCAAGATTGAACCATGAAGAAACCCAAAACCCGCACAAACCAATAAGAAGTAATGAGAACAAAGCCATAATAAAAAGTCTCCAGCAAAGAAAAGTCTGGGACCCGATGGCTTCACCACTGAATTCTACCAAACAGTTAAAGAAGAACTAATATCAATCTTACCCAAACTATTCAAAAATTAGAGAAGGAGGGAATACTTACAAACTCATTCTATAAGGCCAGTATTACTGATACCAAAACCAAAGACACATCAAAGAAAAAAAATTATGGACCAGTATCTCAGCAAAATACTAGCAAACTTAATTCAACAATACATTAAAAAGATCATTTATCATGACTAAGTGCTATTTATTTCAGGGATGCAAGGATGGTTCAACGTATGCAAATCAGTCAATGTGATACATCATATCAACAGAATGAAGGACAAATGCCATATGATCATTTCAACTGATGCTGAGAAAGCACTTAATAAAACTCATTATCCCTTCATGGAAAACTCCTCAAAAAACTGGGTATAGAAGGAACATACCACAACATAATAAAATCCATGTATGACAGACCTACAGCTAGTAGCATACTGAGTAGGGAAACACTGAAAGCCTTTCCTCTAAGATCTGGAACACTATAAGGATCCTCACTTTCACCATTGTTATTCAACATAGAAATCCTAGCTAGAGCAATTAGACAAGAGAAAGAAATAAAGGGCATCTAAATTGGAAAGGAAGAAGTCAAATTGTCCTTGTTTGCAGGTGATATGATCTTACATTTGAAAAAAACCTAAAGACTATACCAGATAACTATTAGAACTGATAAACAAATTCAGTAAAGTTGCAGGATACAAAATAAACATACAAAAATCAGTAGCATCTCTATATACCAATAGTGAACAATCTGAAAAAGATATAAAGTAATCCCACTTACAATAGCCACAAATAAAATTAAATACCTAGGAATTAACCAAATAAATGAAAGATCTCTACAATAAAAACTATAAAATCATGATGAAAGAAATTGAAGAGCCAAAATATGGAAAGGGGAAATATACCCATGTTCATGGATTGGAAGAATCAATATTGTTAAAATATCCATACTTCCCAAAGCAATCTACAGATTCACTGCAATCTCTATTAAAATATCAATGACATTCTTCACAGAAATAGAAAAAACAATCCTAAAATTTATATAGAACCACAAAAGACCTATAATAGCCAAAGTTATCGGAAGCAAAAAGAACAAAACTGGAGGAATCACATTACCTGACCTCAAATTATACTACAGAGCTACAGGAACCAAAATAGCATGATACTGACATTAAAAACAGACACATAGACCAATGGAACAGAATAGAGAACCCAGACACAAATACACACACCTAAAGTGAACTCATTTTTCACAAAGATGCCAAGAACATACACTAGGGAAAAGACATTCTCTTCAATAAATGGCACTGGGAAAACTGGATATCTATCCGCAGAACAATGAAACTAGACTCCTAACTCTTGTCACATATAAAAATCAAACGAAAATGGGTTAAAGACTCAAATCTAAGACTTCACACTGTGAAACTACTACAAGTAAACATTGGGTAAGATCTCCAGGACATTGATCTGAGCAAAAATTCATTGAGCAATACCCCACAAGCACAGGCAACTAAAGCAAAAATGGACAAATGGGATCACATCAAGTTAAAAAGCTTCTGCACAGCAAAGAACGCAATCAACAAAGTGAAAAGACAACCCACAAAATGGGAGGAAATATTTGCAAATTAACCATCCAACAAGGGAGTAATAACCAGAACATATCAGGAGCTCCAACAACTCTATAGGGAAAAAAATCTAATAATCCTATTGAAAAATGGGCAAAAGATTTGAATAGTCATTTCTCAAAAGAAGACAAATGGCAAATAGGCATGTGAAAAGGTGCTCAACATCACTGATCATCAGAAAAATGCAAATCCAAACTACAATGAGATACCATCTCATCCAAGTTAAAATGGCTTTTATCCAAAAGACGGGCAATAACAAACGCTGGCAAGGATGTGAAGAAAAGGGAACCCTCAAACAGTGTTGGTGGGAATGTAAATTAGTACAACTATTATGGAGAACAGTTTGGAAGTTCCTCAGAAAACTAAAAATAAAGCTACCACACAATTCAGCAATTCTACTCCTAAGTATTGACCCAAAAGAAAGGAAATCAGTATATCCAAGAGACATCTGCACTCCTATGTTTCCTGCAGCACTGTTTAAAATAGCTAAGATTTGGAAGCACTCTAAGCGTCCATCAGCAGATGAATGGATAAAGAAAATGATGTGCATATACACAATGGAGTACTATTCAGCCATAGAAAAGAATGAGATCCAATCACTTGCAACAACACGAATGGAACTTGAAATCATTACGTTAAATGAAATAAGCCAGGCAGAGAAAGACAAACATCACATGTTCTCACTTATTTGTGGCATCTAAAAATCAAAACAATTGTATTCTAAGAGCAGAAGGATGACTACCTGAGGAAGGGTGGTAGGAGGGAAGGGGTGAGGTGGGGAGAGTTAATGGGTACAAAAAAATTAGAATGAATAAGACCTACTATTTGATAACACAACAGTTATTATAGTCAATGATAACAATTGTACGTTTTTAAATAACTTAAAGAATGTAACTGGATTGTTTGCAACTCAAAGGGTAAATGCTTGAGGGGATGAATACCCCATTCTCCATGGTGTGCTTATTTCACATTGCATGTCTGTATCAAAACATCTCATGTACCCCATAAATATACACATCCACTATGTACCTACAAAAATAAAATAAAATAAAATAAAAACTAATGAGCATAATTGGATTGTTGGTAACACAAAGGATAAATGCTTGAGGCGATGGATACCCCCATTTACCGTGATGTGATTATTAAACATTACATGCCTGTCTTAAAATATCTCATGTAACCCATAAACATATACATCTACTATGTACCCACAGAAATTAAAAATTAATTTAAAAAAAAAGAAAAGAAAGGGAAATGGGCTGCGACAGATGTGCCCTCTTGGAAAACTAAAACTTAGAGCTCTTTGTCCTTCTGGGGTAGCACGTGTATTCTACAGATCTTGTCCAGAGGGAGACATTTTTCTCATTTCTCCCCCCTCTAGATTATAAATCTCCCCGCAGGGCAATGGCAATTCTAATTCTGCCTTTTAGTTTCTATATTAAGGAAAATAGTTTAGAGTGGTTGGTCGGTCACATAGACAGCTGTAGAACTAGTTTCTCAAGTTTAAAATACCAATAACTCTGAAACCTGAGATCTGCAGCCCTGGGAGCCACCAAGGTGCACTCAGTGGCCTTCTAGGCTTCGGTTCCTGCTCCGCGCCCCGCAGAAACCGCGGCTGGCTGGCCAGGGGCTCTTCCAACTTCCAGCGGGAGCAGGTGCACAGGTCAGGCCCGCCCCGCCCCTAATGCCTTCTACCCCCATTACCCACCCCCGCCCCGCCCGCCAGTCCTCCATAGTCCGCTTTTTAGGGAACCTGCTGAGCAAACTAGCTGGGCCCCCGGACAGGGGAGAAAAGCACAGATACCCCCACTCCACTCCACCCCCAGCCCCTCCGCACCCCTCCAGCCCCTCCCCACACCCCACACCCTGGCTGGGGTGGGGTGGGAAGGGTGCTGCTCCCTTCTCGAACCTGGCACTCGAGTTACAGCCCGACGCGGATTCGGCTGGGCTAGACCCTGAAGCACGGGTAGAAACGCAACTCCGGAGTCCCAGGCTGGGGGCAAGGACCCTCTCTGACCTCTCAAGCTCCAGCGCTTCCGAAGCCCCCTTAGCGTTTCCCTGGAGGCGCCCAGGTCGAGTCCTTATATACTAGCGGGTTGGCGCCATCCCACGCACATCCCACGCAGGAGATGCAAGAGCCAATGGGCGGGTCTGCTAAGCCCGCGAACTCTGCCGCGTTAAATTGCCTAGAAGCTCCCACCCTTCTGACTGTTGCCACGTAGTTCTTAGTTTCCGGGAATTTGGGGATTTTTTCCTCCCCCTTCTTCCCACCCTTCCTCCGTCTCCTCGCTCCCTCCATCCATCTCTCCCTCCCTATCATCTATCTATTCATCTATCTGGATTACAGCAAAACAAAGAATAAAGATTATGAAGAAAGAGAAGAACTTCCCAGGCCCAAGCAGCTGTCGGCTCCTGCGCTCCCAACGGGGTGGCCGTTTCCTTCCTCGCACCCTCTTCTCTCCCGGTGCCTGCGGTCCCACCTTCCAGATACCCCTCGGAGAGTCCAGCTGAGCTCTCGCCAGAGCTTTCCCCTTCCAACCCGCTCGACTTGCCCAGATCCCAAGCTGGGCTTCTCTCTCCATCGCCCCAGAAAGTGGGTCTTGGAGACCGAGGCAAGAATTTGGGCCTCCGCTTCTGTTCCAGACCCCGGACCCCTTGCCAAAATGCGGCAGATGTGCAGATTGGGCCGCGCTTGGTTCCTGGCTGGGTTTATGGAGCCTGCGGCTGAGGCAGGCTCCGCAGACCCCGAGCCAGAGTGGGATTTAACGGCGGCCGGTGCGCTGTGCTTGGTCAACCCCGGTAACCGTCACGCTGCTAGTGATATGAAAAAAACCTGCCAGCGTTCTGCTTTTCTGCCCCGCTGCAGTCTTTAGCACCCGCCAGGATTCTGTCCGAGTGTTTGGATTTTGTAATCCTCCTGTCTTTGGCCAACTCCCCATCCTTGGCGGAGCGCTCGCCCTTGGCCGGGCTCCGTGCTGCCAGCCTTGCGGAACCCTAGGCCCGGGCGGCTCTGTCGGAGGCCCACTTCTCACTGATGCGGAGTGGCCCGAGGGTGGGAGCAGCGGTTAATGCCGCACTGATTAATACAGGCTCCAGTGAAAGCGAAAGTAAGAAAATAAAACGGATTTCATTATACATATACAATGTGTGTATGGATACATGTACATACATATTACACTTATGTGTATGTTACGCACGTTTGTTAAAATGAGGTCATAATGTTCATGCTGTTTCATAACCCACTTTCTTTCAATGACCACCTTTTCATTTCAGTAAATCTTCGTATTCTCATGTTGCAGCTTCTCCATTTTTCTTTAACATGTTTACAGAGAGTCTGTGCAAACCTGTACCAAATCCAGAACCATGCATCTATAACGTGCTAAAAGATTGTCAACCTAGAATCCTATAACAACCACAAAAAAGGCCTACCTAAATGGAGGCAAAGTAATGACTTCAGACAAAAAAAAAAAAAAAGGAAATCTGAAAATCTGAGGGAATTTGTCACCAGCCGATCTTTCTTATGAAAAAATATTAAAGGAAGTTCTTTAGCTGGAAGGAAAATGATACCTGAATGAAACTCAGATCTACAAAAAAGAATGAAGAGCACAGAAGATAGTAAATATGCAGATAAATATAAAAAATCTCTTTTTTACTGTTAAAATTATTCTTTTTTTACAATATAACAAAATGTATTTTCATTGGATATTAATTATGAACCCACAATGCATGTAAACTAAATACAATACTTCAAATCATTCTGCACAAAGAAATTACAGATCACATTTATTTAATAACAAAATGTCTAATTGTTTAATAAAATGTTTTTAGGAACTTACAATATAATTTTCAAAAACAAAGAATAAAAATATTAAATATATCACTTTATGGCAGAGGACAACATAAATTTATTTCTGCAACACAGCAGGCAAACTTTTGTGCTAGAAACAGTGGAGAAAAAATTTAAAGCAAAAAGTCAGGAAATGGATGTTCACAAATTTCTGGTTAACTGAGGCTCAATAGTTATTGTAAGAAACGGGCGTTTGAACATCAGATTTTAAAATAAAATATTTTAAATATTTTTATTTTATAATATTTTAAAGATTTTATTTATAAGATTTTAAAATTTTAAAATATTTTTATTTTATAAAAATAAAAACTTCCTCAAACACCAGAGTTTTTCACCTCAGCAAATGTCTTTTCCTTTGATAATTCATAATCCTGCTGTTCATTTGTCACATATATGAATATCTGGTAACTTCATAAACAACTACCAATGGCACACTTCAAATGCTGAGTCTGTTGAATTTTCTTATATCTTTTTCCCCAATGAACCTAGAGCCTATAACAGAGAAGATACTGAAACATGCTAAGATAATAATTGGTCTTAGAGAGACTTCACAGCAAGTATTTAATGAAAGCCACTACATTTCCAGCTCTAAAAAGAGCCAGACAGACACAATCCCTGCTTCCAGAGTTCACCGTTCAGACAGAATACAGCAGGGCAAGCACTGATTCTGAATCATTATGAGCTTTGATTTCATCTTTCAAGATTTACATAGATACTGATTTCTTCTGGAAGGGCACATAAAATCTTCCCTTACACACATCATTCTTTGGATTCTCATAAGGGGTATTTTGAAGTCTGTATGTTGACAAGGCCAGTAGATACTTAGTTTTCTCTAATTGCCTTCTACTACTTAAGACTATGTCAAGTATTTTGTTTTCCCTTTCAGTTCTCCCCAACCTCTACCTTCTGCAGTGTTGTCTATCCAGTTGGCTTTTCTGTAACACTTTGCTACACTTTTCTGTTCCCCTTCACTGTTTTCCTCCGTTGCTTTCCTCCTTAACAGAAGCCTGGTCATCTAGGTTTCCCCATCTTTCCTTTCCTGGCTTCTTATTCACATGAGTGACTAATCTTAGCACTTCCTTAAAAGTTGGATCTTCAATAAATATAACTTGTCAGCACTTTCAATCTGCATCTCCTTGAGCTTTTTTTTTTTTTTGATCATCAGATCTTCTGTGCAATAATATTCTCTTCCTGAATGCTATTTAGAAATATTATCCTCAAAACACCAATGGTTTCTTGAAGATACTTGTTTTAAAAGTTGTATCAAAAGAGATTGATAAAGGAATCTATAACTCAGCAAAGGATGCTTCTACTGTATTGTGAATTCCCACCATTACAAATATTGGATTCTGCAAGTCCAACATTAAAACCTGGTATGAGACATCAATTTATACACATAAGAGTTACATTATTATTTTAATTTTTTTGTGGATACTAAACTGAAATTTATATAATACATGAGGTTTTAATCTTAGAAAAAGTAAATGATAAAAATTTAATATAGTTAATTGTTCACTGATATGTCTATTGACTTCATCATAACCTATATATTTAATTAAAAATCAAACTATGAGTCTGCAAATCAGATGCTATCAAGCAAATTGCCATCCAGGATCCGTAATTCTTTGTATATTTTTAAGTCAGATGAATATATAAGATTCAGTAAATTTTAATGTTCCAAATTGTTCTCAAAAAAAAAATTATCAGAACCTTGCAGTTAACACAGTTGGCTAATTCATTTCCCCCCAATGAACTACCTATTTGTGTTGTGAGGTAGCAAAGACTATGATCTTCTGTGACAGTAGTAGCCTTAATTCTTATGCATTCCCTCTTCATATGAAGAGTATGAACAACAAAAAGGGACAGATGAGTCACCTTTCATTATTCATTGACTCTTAGTGTTTTCATAGTATGTTAAATGCCTGATTTCAATTTTACAACAACAAAAAATACCAATATTTATTCTGAAAGGCAATCGTATGTTCCAAGTAGCAGATATTAACAACTTCCAACATGATCTCTAGGAATAATCCGCAGTTCTGAACCTTGTTTTAGAAAAACATTTCCAGCAGTCTGTGCAAGATTTATTCCTATTCCATCATTGGTAATAACTGCACTTGTTGCAGCAGGAGCTTTAAATTCTTCGGCTGCAAACTTTAAGACTGCTGTGAAAGGTGTACTTTCAGGAAAGTACAAAGTACACTGAGTACTTTGTATGGCAGCTGCGTGTCCGATGTCAGCATGATCTTAAAGGAAACCTTCGACATGGTGGTACCAGGATGAATCTAGAACACACGCCAACTCTGCGGGGTAGCACGACTTCCTCCACTGTGCTGAAAATTATTCTTAAAATAATTAAGTTTTTAAAGGAATAAAACTATGTATTGTGGTGCTTATAATAGAAATATTTTGTTTTTAGGAATAGAGGAAATGGGTGTGTATTGTTATAAAGCTCTTACATAATTCACAAAGTCATATGCTATGATTAAACTGTGGTAAGTTGAAGGTGCATATTGTAAGCCCTAGAGCTACCACAGAAGAAATGGGAACAAAAACATATAGATAATAAACCAACAGAGGACTTTTCCTTATGACTCCTATTTTCTTCCTGTTTTTACAAAAATATTATTTTTCCTACCTGTTTTTGCTTTATAGACATGCAGTGGACTTTTTCCCCATAAGTTATTGGGGTACAGGTGGTATTTGGTTACATGAGTAAGTTCGTTAGCGGTGATTTGTGAGATTTTGGTGCACGTATCATCCAGGCAGTATACACTGCAACATATTTGTAGTCTTTTAATCCCTTGTCCCCTTCCCACGCTTTCCCCAGAGTCCCCAAAGTCCACTGCATCATTCTTATGCCTTTGAGTCCTCATAGCTTAGCTCCCACGTATCAGTGAGAATATACAATGTTTGGTTTTCCACTCCTGAGTTACTTCACTTAGAATAATAGTCTCCAATCTCATCCAGGTCACTGCAAATGCTGTTAATTCATTCCTTTTATGGCTGTGTAGTATATATGTATGTATGTGTGTGTATATATATATATATATATATATATATATATATATATATATATATATATATGATGGAATACTACCGTGGTGTATATATACATATATCTCACAGTTCCTTTATCCACTCATTGATTGATGGGCATTTGGGTTGGTATCATGATTTTCCAATTGCGAATTGTGCTGCTACAAACATGCGTGTGCAAGTATCTTTTTCAAATAATGACTTCTTCTCTGGATAGATACCCAGCAGTGAGATTACTGGATCCAATGGTAGTTCTAGTTTTAGTTCTTTAGGGAATCTCCACACTGTTTTCCATAGTGGCTATACTAGTTTACATTCTCACCAGCAGTGGAGAAGTGTTCCCTGTTCACTGCATCCATGCCAACATCTACTGTTTTTTGACTTTTTTGTTATGGCCATTCTTGCAGGAGTAAGGTGGTATCGCATTGTGGTTTTGATTTGCATTCCCTGATAATTATTGATGTTGAGTATTTTTTCATATGTTCATTCACCATTTGTATATCTTTCCTTGTGAATTGTCTATTCATGTCCTTAGCCCACTTTTTGATGGGACTGTTTTTTTTCTTACTGATTTGTTTATGTTCATTGTAGATTCTGAATATTAGTCTTTTGTCAGATTTATAGACTGTGAAGATTTTTTCCCACTCTGTGGGTTGTCTGTTTACTCTGCTGACTGTTCCTTCTGCTGTGCAAAAGCTCTTTAGTTTAATTAGGTCCCAGCTATTTATCTTTGTTTTTGTTACATTTGCTTTTGAGTCCTTGGTCATGAAATCTTTGGCTAAGCCAATGTCTAGAAGGGTTGTTCCAATGTTAACTTCTAGAATTTTTATACTTTCAGGTCTTAGGTTTAAGTTCTTAATCCATCTTGAATTGATTTTTGTATAAGGTGAGAGCTGAGGATCCAGTTTCATTCTCCTGCATTGGACTAGCAAATTATCCCAGCACCATTTGTTGAAAAGGGTGTCCTTTCCCCACTTTATGTTTTTGTTGGCTTTGTCAAAGATCACTTGGCTGTAAGTATTTGGATTTATTTCTGGGTTCTCTATTCTGTTCCATTGGTCTATGTGACTACTTTTATACTAGTACCATGCTGTTTTGGTGACTATAGCCTTACAGTATAGTTTGAAATCAGGTAGTGTGATGCCTCCAGATTTGTTCTTTTTACTTAGTCTTACTTTGGCTATGCAGGTTCTTTTTTTTGGTTCCATATGAATTTTAGAATTGTTTTGTTCTAATTCTGTGAATAATGATGGTGGTATTTTGATGGAAATTGCATTGAATTTGTAGATTGCTTTTGTCAGTATGGTCATTTTTACAATATTGATTCTACCCATCCATGAGCATGGGATGTGTTTCCTTTTGTTTGTGTTGTCTATGATTTCTTTCAGCAGTATTTTATAGTTTTCTTTATGGAGGTCTTTTGACTCCTTGGTTAGGTATATTCCTAAGTATTTTGTTTGTTTATTTATTATTTATTTATTTATTTGTTTGTTTTTGCAACTATTGTAAAAAGGGGTTGAATTCTTGATTTGATTCTCTGCTTGGTCACTGTTGGTATATAGAAGTGCTACTAATTTGTGCACATTAATCTTGTATCCAGAAACTTTGCTGAATTCTTTTATCAGTTCTAGGAGCTTTCCAGAAGAGTCCTTAGGGTTTTCAAGGTAAATGATCATATCGTCAGCAGTGACAGTTTGACTTCCTCTTTACCAATTTGGATGCCCTTTATTTCTTTCTGTTGTGTGATTGCTCTGGCTAGGACTTCCAGTACTATGTTGAAGAGGAGTAATGAGAGTGGGCCTCCTCGTCTTGTTCCAGTTCTCAGAGGGAATGCTTTCAACTTTTCCCCATTCAGTATTATATTGGCTGTGTGTTTGTTATACATGGCTTTTATTACATTAAGGTACGTCCCTTGCATGCTGATTTTGTTGAGATTTTTAATCATAAAGTGACACTGGATTGTGTAGAATGCTTTTTCTGCATCTATTGAGATGATCACGTGATTTTTATTTTTAATTATGTTTATGTGGTGTGTCACATTTATTGACTTGCATATGTTAAACCATGCCTGCATCCCTGGTATGAAACCCACTTGATCATGGTGGATTAGAATTAGAACAAAACAATTCTAAAATTCATATGGAACCAAAAAAAGAACCTGCATAGCCAAAGTAAGACTAAGTAAAAAGAACAAATCTGGAGGCATCACACTACCTGATTTCAAACTATACTGTAAGGCTATAGTCACCAAAACAGCATGGTACTAGTATAAAAGTAGTCACATAGACCAATGGAACAGAATAGAGAACCCAGAAATAAATCCAAATACTTACAGCCAAGTGATCTTTGACAAAGCCAACAAAAACATAAAGTGGGGAAAGGACACCCTTTTCAACAAATGGTGCTGGGATAATTTGCTAGTCCAATGCAGGAGAATGAAACTGGATCCTCAGCTCTCACCTTATACAAAAATCAATTCAAGATGGATTAAGAACTTAAACCTAAGACCTGAAAGTATAAAAATTCTAGAAGTTAACATTGGAACAACCCTTCTAGACATTGGCTTAGCCAAAGATTTCATGACCAAGGACTCAAAAGCAAATGTAATAAAAACAAAGATAAATAGCTGGGACCTAATTAAACTAAAGAGCTTTTGCACAGCAGAAGGAACAGTCAGCAGAGTAAACAGACAACCCACAGAGTGGGAAAAAATCTTCACAATCTATAAATCGTTTTGATATATTGTTGGATTTGGTTAGCTAGTATTTTGTTGAGGATTTTAGTATCTATGTTCATCAAGGGTATCGGTCTGTAGCTTCCTTTTTTGGTTATGTCTTTTCCTGGTTTTGGTATTAGGGTGATGCTGGCTTCATAGAATGAATTAGGGAGGTTCCTTCTTTCTCTATCTTGTGGAATAGTGTCAAAAGGATTGGTACCAATTCTTTTTTGAATGTCTGGTAGAATTCTGCTGTGAATCTATCTGGTCCTGGACTTTTTTTGTTGTTGGTAATTTTTAAATTACCATTTCAATTTTGCTACTTGTTATTGGTCTGCTCGGAGTATCAAATTCTTCCTGATTTAAGCTAGGAGGCTTGTATTTTTCCAGGAACTTATCAATGTCTTCTAGGTTTTCTAGTTTATGTGTGTAAAGGTGTTCATAGTAAGGGAGGAGACCACACCTCATATTGTCTTATGCCCAATTTCTGCCTCCAAAGAAAGAAGAAGTAAAACCTAAAAGGCAGAAATGAAATCCACAAGCAGACAGCCTGATGCCACACCCTGGGCCTGGTAAAGATCGACCCCTGACCTAATTGGTTATGTTATCTATAGATTACAGACATTGTTTAGAAAAGCACTGTGAAAATCCCTGTCCTGTTCTATTCCGTTCTGATTACTGGTGCATGCAGCCCCCAGTCATGTAACCCATGCTTGCTCAATCAATCATGACCCTCTCACGTGGACCCCCTTAGAGTTGTGAGCCCTTAAAAGGGACAGGAATTGCTCACTCAGGGAGCTCAGTTGTTGGAGACATGAGTCTTGCTGAAGCTCCCGGCCAAATAAAGCCCTTCCTTCTTTAACTCGGTGTCTGAGGGGTTTTGTCTGCGGCTTGTCCTTCTACAATAGTAGCCTTGAATGATCTTTTGTATTTCAGTAGTGTCAGTTGTAATATTTCCTGTTTCATTTCTTAATGAGATTATTTGGATTTTCTCTTCCTTTCTTGGTTAATCTTGCTAATGGCCTATCAATTTTATTTATCTTTTCGAAGAACCAGCTTTTTGTTTTATTTATCGTTTGTATTCTTTTGTTTCAATTTCATTTAGTTCTCCTCTGATCTTGGTTATTTCCTTTCTCCTGCTGGGTTTGGGTTTGGTTTGTTCTAGTTTCTCCAGTTCCTTGAGGTGTGACCTTAAATTGTCTGTGCTCTTTCAGACTTTCCTCTTAGCATCACCTTTGCTGTGTCCCAGAGGTTTTGATAAGTTGTGTCATTATTGTCCTTCAATTCAAAGAATTTTTAAATTTCCATCTTGATTTTGTTTTTGACTCAATGCTCATTCAGGAGCAGGTTATTTAATGTCCATGTATTTGCATGGTTTTGAAGGTTCCTTTTGGAGTTGATTTCCAGCTTCATTCCACTGTGGTCTGAGAGAGTGTTTGGTATGATTTCAATTTTCTTAAATTTATTGAGGCTCGTTTTATGGCCTAACATATGTTCTCTTTTGGAGAAAGTTCCATGCACTGTTGAATAGAATGTATATTCTGTGGTTGTCAGATGAAATGTTCTGTATATATCTGTTAAGTCTATTTGTTCCGGGGTATAGTTTAAATCCATTGTTTCTTTGTGGACTTTCTGTCTTGATGACCTGTCTAGTGCTGTCAGTGGAGTATTGAAGTCCCCCACTATTATTGCGTTGCTGTCTATCTCATTTCTTAGGTCTATTAGTAATTGTTTTATAAATTTGGGAGCTCCAGTGTTAGGTGCATATATATTTAGGATTGTGATATTTTCCTGTTGGACAAGGCCTTTTACCATTATATAATGTCTCTCTTTGTCCCTTTTAACTGCTGTTGCTTTAAAGTTTGTTTTGATACAAGAATAGCTACCCCTGCTCGCTTTTGGTGTCCATTTGCATGAAATGTCTTTTTCTACCCCTTTACTTTAAGTGTATGTGAGTCCTTATGTGTTAGGTGAGTCTCCTGAAGGCAGCAGGTAGTTGATTGGTGAATTCTTATCCATTCTGTGGTTCTGCATCTTTTAAGTGGAGCATTTAGGCCATTTACATTCACTGTTAGTATTGAAATGTGAGGTACCTTTGCAATCATTGTGCTTTGTTGCCTGTGGACTTGTTTTTTGTTTTTCTTTTTAACTTGTATTTTTGTTTTATAGGTCCTCTGTGATTTATGCCTTAAAGAGGTTCTGTTTTGATGTGTTGCCAGGATTTGTTTCAAGATGTAGAGCTCCTTTTAGCAATTCTGGTAGTGGTGGCTTGGTAATGGCGAATTCTCTCAGCATTTGTTTGTCTGAAAATGACTGTATCTTTCCTCCATATATGATGTTTAGTTTTGCTGGGTACAAAATTCTTGTCTGATAATTGTTTGTTTCAGGAGGCTGAAGATAGGGCCTCAACCCCTTCTAGCTTGTAGGGTTTCTGCTGAGAAATCTGCTGTTAATCTGATAGGTTTTCCTTTATAGGTTACCTGGTGCTTCTGTCTTGCAGCTCTTAAAATTCTTCCCCTCATCTTAACTTTAGATAACCTGATGACAATGTGCCTAGGTGAAGATCTTTTCACAATAAATTTCCCATGTTTTCTTTGTGTTTCTTGTGTTTGGATGTCTAGTTCTCTAGCAAGGCTGGGGAAATTTTCTTCAATTATTCCCCGAAATACGTTTCCCAAGCTTTTAGAATTCTCTTCTTCCTCAGGAACACCGATTATTCTTAGGTTTGGTCATTTAACATAATCCCAGACTTCTTGGAGGCTTTTTTTGTATTTTCTTATTCTTTTTTCTTTGTCTTTGTTGGATTGGGTTAATACAAAGACCTTGTCTGTGAGCTCTGAATTTCTTTCATCTACTTGGTCAATTCTATTGCTGAGACTTTTTAGAGCATTCTGCAATTCTAAAAGTGTGTCCAAAGTTTCCTGAATTTTTGATTTTTTTTTCTTTAAGCTATCTATTTCCTTGAATATTTCTCCCTTCACTTCTTTTAGCATTTTTTGGATTTCCTTGCACTGGGATTTTCTCTGGTCCCTCCCTTATTAGCTCAATAACTAACCTCCTGAATTTTTTTTTTTTTTTTTTGGGTAAATCGGATTTCTTCTTGGTTTGGATCCATTGCTGGTGAACTAGTGTGATTTTTGGGGAGTATTGAAGAGCCTTGTTTCATCATATTACTGGGGTTGGTTTTCTGGTTCTTTCTCATTTTGGTAGCCTCTGTCAGAGGGAAGGTCTAGGGCTGAAGGCTGTTGTTCAGATTCTTTTGTCCCACAGGGTGATCCCTTGATATAGTACTCTCCCCATTTTCCTAAGGATGTGGCTTCCTAAGAGCTGAGCTGTAGTGATTGTTATCTCTCTTCTGGGTCCAGTCACCCAGCAAGTCTACCCGGCTCTGAGCTGGTACTGTGGTTTGTCTGCACAGAATCCTGTGATGTGAACCATCTATGGGTCTCTCACCAGTGCCTGTTCTGGTGGAGGTGGCAGAGGGTGCAACAGACTCCATGAGGGTCCTGAGCTTTGGTGGTTTAATGCTCTATTTTTGTGGTGGTTGGCCTCCTTCCAGGAGGCTGCACTTTCCAGAAAGCATCAGCTATAGTAGGCCCCAAGTAGGCCCCAGTGTCTGTTCTTCCCCGCTTTGTGTCCATTTGTTCTTATCATTTAGTTCCCACTTATAGGTGAAAACATGCCATATTTGGTTTTTTGCTCCTGCATTAGTTTGCTAAGGATAATGGTCTTCAGTTTCATTCATGATCCTGCAAAGGACATGATCTCATTCTTTTTTATGGCAGCATTGTATTCCATGGTGTACATATATCACATTTTCTTTGTCCAGTCTACCATTGATGAGCATTTAGGTTGATTCCATGTCTTTGCTATTGTGAATAGCGCTTCAAGGAACATACGCATCAGTGTCTTTATGGTAGAAAGATTTATATTCCTTTGGGTATATACTCAGTAATGGGATTGCTGTGTCAAATGGTAGTTCTGTTTTTAGCTCTTTGAGGAATTGCCGCACTGCTTTCCACAATGGCTGAACTAATATACACTCTCACCAAAAGTGTATAAGTGTTCCCATTTCTCCATAACCTCGCCAGCATCTGTTATTTTTTGATTTTTTAATAATAGCCATTCTGACTGGTGTGAGATGGTATCATGTTGTTTTTGCTTTTGTTTTTTTGAGATAGATCTCACTCTGTCACCCAGGCTGGAATGTAATGGCATGATCTTGGCTCACTGCAACCTCTGCCTCCTGAGTTCAAGCAATTCTCCTGTCTCAGCCTCCAGAGTAGCTGGGACTACAGGCGTGCACCACCATGCCCAGCTAATTTTTTGTATTTTTGGTAGAGATGGGGTTTCACTATGTTGGCCAGGCTGGTCTCGAACTCCTGACCTCAAGTGATCCACCCACCTCAGCCTCCCAAAGAGCTGGAATTACAGTGTGAGCCACTGCGCCTGGCCCTCATTGTGGTTTTGATTTGCATTTCTCCAGTGACAAATAATATTGAATTTTTTTCATCTGCTTGATGGCCAAATGTGTCTTCTTTTCAAAAGTTTCTGTTCATGTCCTCTGCCCACTTTTTAATGGGGTTGTTTTTTTCTTGTAAATTTGTTTAAGTTCCTTATAGATGCTAGATATTAGACCTTTGTTAGATGGATAGATTGCAAATATTTTCTTCCATTCTCTATGCTGTCTGTTCACTCTGTTGATAGTTTCTCTCGCTGTGCAGAAACTCTTTGGTTTAATTGGATCCCCTTTGTCAATTTTTGCTTTTGTTGTGATTGCCTTTGGCATCTTCATCAGGAAATCTTTGCCAGTTCCCATGTCCAGAATGGTGTTGCCTAGGTTGTATTCCAGGGTTTATATAGTTTTGGTTTTACATTTAAGTCTTTAATCCTTCTTGAGTTGATTTTTGTATATAGTGTAAGGAAAGGGTCCAGTTTCAATCTTCTATATATGGCTAGCCAGTTATCCGAGGACCATTTATTGAATAGGGAGTCCTTTCCCCATTGCTTATTTTTATCAGCTTTGTGAAATATCTGATGGTTGTAGGTGTATGGCATTATTTCTGGAATCTACTCTGTTCCATTGGTCTGTGTGTCTGTTTTTGTACCAGGTCCATGCTGTTTTGGTTACTGTAGCCCTACAATAGTGTTTGAAGTTGGGTAACGTGATGCCTCCAGCTTTGTTCTTTTTGTTTAGGACTGCTTTGGCCATTTGGGCTCTTTTTTAGTTTGATATGAATTTTAAAGTTTTTTTTTCTAGTTCTGTGAAAAATGTCATTGGTAGTTGGATAGGAATAGCATTGAATCTGTAAATTGCTTTGGGCAGTATGGCCATTTTAATCATACTGATTCTTTCAATTCTTGAGCATGGAATGTTTTTACATTTGTTTGTGTCATCTCTGATTTCTTCAAGCAGTGTTTTGTAATTCTCATTGTAGAGCTCTTTCACCTCCCTGGTTAGGTGTATTCCTAGGTATTTTATTTTTTGGTGGCAATTGTGAATGAGATTTCATTCCTGATGTGCCTCTCATCTTGGCTGTTGTTGGTGTATTGAAATGCTAGTGATTTTTGTGCATTGGTTTTGTATCCTGAAACTTTTCTGAAGTTGTTTATCAGCTAAGAGAGCTTTTAGGCCAAGACTATGGGGTTTTCTAGGCATAGAATTATGTCATCTGCAAACAGGGATAGTTTGACTTCCTGTCTTGCTATTGGGATGCCCTTTCTTTCTTTGCCTGATTGCTCTGGCCAGGACTTCCAATACCATCTTGAAGAAGGGTGGTGAGAGAGGGCTTTCTTGTCTTGTGCAAGTTTTCTAGGAGAATGCTTCCAGCTTTTGCCCATTCAGTATGATATTGGCTGTGAGTTGGTCATAGATTGTTTTATGTCTGATTGTGTGGTGGTCAGTTATAGAGTACATGCCACGTAGCAATGAGAAAAGTGTATATTCTGTTGTTTTGGGGTGGAGAGTTCTGTGGAGGTCTATCAGATCCATTTGGTCCAATATTGAGTTCAGGTCCTGAATATTTTTGTTTATTTTCTGCCTTGATGATCTTCTAATACTGTCAGTGGAATGTTGAAGTCTCCCACTATTATTGTGTGGGAGTCTAAGTCTCTTTGTAGGTCTCTAAGAACTTGCTTTATGAATCTGGATGCTCCTATGTTGGTTGCATATATATTTAGGATGGGTAGGTCTTCTAGTTAAATTGAACCCTTTACCATTATGTAATGCCCTTCTTTTTTATTTTTTTTACCTTTTTTGGCTTGAAGTCTGTTTTGTTTGATATTAGGGCTGCAACTGCTGCTTTTTTCTGATTTCCATTTGCTTGGTAGATTTTCCTCCATCCCTTTTTTTTTTTTTTTTTTTGAGCCAATGGGTGCTTGAGAAATGGTTGTCCAGGAGACAGAATACCATTGGCTCTTGCTTTTTTATCCAGCTTGACATCCTGTGCCTCTTAAATGAGGCATTTAGCCCATTTACATTCAAGGCTAGTATGTTAGCAAGTTGATATGTGTAGATTTGATCCTGTCATTGTGTTGTTAGCTGGTTATTATGCTGGCTTGTTTGTGTGGTTGCTTTATGGAGTCACTAGTCTAAGTACTTACATGTGTTTTTCTGTTTGCTGGTAATGGCCTCTCCTTTCCATATTTAGTGCTCCTTTCAGGATCTCTTTTAAGGCAGGTCTGGTGGTAATGAACTCTCTCAACATTTGCTTATATGCAAATGATCTTACTTCTTTGCAGAGGAAGCTTAGTTTGGCTGGATATTAAACCCTTGGTTGAAGATTTTTTTCTTTAAGAATGTTAAATACAGGCCCTCAATCTCTTCTGGCTTGTAGGATTTCTTCTGAGAGGTCCATTGTTAGCCTGGTGGGGTTCCCTTTGGAGGTGACCTGTGCTTTCCCTCTAGCTGCCTTAAATATTTTCTTTCATTTCTCTCTTGGGGAACCTGATGATTATGGGTCTTGGGGATAATCTTCTTGTGTAGAATCTTGCAGAGGTTCTCTGTATTTCCTGAATTTGACTGTTGGCCTCCCTAGCAAGGTTAGGGAAGTTTTCCTGGACAATATTCTCAAAAATGTTTTCCAAGTTGTTTGCTTTCTCCCCACCCCTTTCAGGGATTCCAGTGACCCATAGATTTGGCCTCTTTACATAATCTCATATTTCTGGGAGGTTTATTCATTTCTTTTTATTCTTTTTTCTTTATTTTTGTCTGACTGCTTTATTTCAGAGAATCAGTCTTCAAGTTCCAAGACTGTTTCTTCAGCTTGGTCTATTCTGCTGTTAATACTTGCCACTGCATTGTGAAATTATTGTAGTGTGTTTTTTCAGCTCTATCAGATCAGTTAGATTCTTTATTATACTGGCTATTTCATCTGTCAGCTCCTGTTTTATTGTGATTCTTGGTTTCATTAGATTGGGTTTTGCTGGTCTCCTCAATCTCAGTGATCTTTGTTCCTGTCATGTTCTAAAGTATACTTCTGCCATTTCAGCCTAGTTACAAACCCTTGCTGGAGAACTAAGTGTGGTTGATTGGAGGACATAAGATACTCCGGCCATTTGAGTTGTCAGAGTTCTTGTGTTGGTTCTTTCTCATCTTTGCATGTGGATGTTCCTTTAACTATGATGTAGATTGAATACACTCAGAAGACTTCTTTTCCGGATGTTTTCACAGGTCAAGGCTTTGTGCAGGGTCTTTATGTATAGCTGACTTATCTTTGGTTTGACTGGATTGTATGTTAGCAAGGTATTTTGGTGCTGAAGCTTTGGGGTGTGGTCCAGTTGGTGGTGCTTAGCGTACTGGCCAGTTAATAGACTCTTGCTCGGTTATGCGGTTTTTGTGTTTCCTCACAGTTGCAGCTGTGCTCTCTCTCAATGCTCTGAAAGTGTGAGCTCCTCTCCCACTTGAGTTCTGGCTGTAGATTGTCTTGGCACTCCTGGGCTGCCCACCACAGCTCTGGGGTGATCTCAGGGTTTATGTTGCCTCCTTAACTTGGAGGCAACTGATGAAGGGACCTTATTTGTAGTGGTCATGGCCAAGGGTCTTTTGCTGGTCTCCTGGAGGCTCCACCCTAGAGAGATGCAGATCAGCAATCACTCAGTGCAATCGGCCCAGAATGGGGGGGGTCTCTGCTTTGGGCCCCAGCTGGATCCACATCCCTGCCTAGTGATGAGCAGGTGGGTGGGTGGGGAAGCATGGGAGATGTTCTGGCTTCCTCTTCTTGGGTCAACTGCTGCTTGTTGAAGGTGTGGAGAATGTACTTAGGGTCTTTGCTCCTTTGCTAGTCTGAGGGCAGCAGGAATAGTACCACTGCAGAGGCAGTGGCAGAGGGGCTTTCAGTTTCCCATGGGGGTTCTACCTCTGAGTAACATAGAGCTGCTGTTACTGGGAATGTTCAGCCAGTAGGGTGAGGTGGCTGCACTACTGGCATGAGCTCAGGGTCCTGCTTGTTGGGAAGCAGGGGGCTGAGGGTTCACCAGGAGGAGAGCCTGGCCTCTTCTCCATATAGTGACTGTGGCATGCTGTAGCTTGGTTGCAGCCCTCAGGCTCTGTTTCTTCCCCAGATTGAGGGCAGCAAGGATAGAACCACTGCTGTGGCAGTGGCAGAGGGGCTGTGTTGGATGCCTCTGGAAGTCTCTCCCCAGGGTAATTCTGGGCCACTCTCAGTGGGTATTCTCAGCTGTGGTTACAGTGGCTGTTCTGCAGTAATGAGCTGGGAAAACTGCCTGGCAAAGAGTGGGGAATGGGAGTTCCCAGGGAATAAGGGCTGGACTTCTATCCATATGGTGGCTGCAGTGTGCTGGCAGTGCCAGCATAGTGACTAGGTGCTTTTTTCTTTCTCCAGCTTGAGGGCTGCTAGGTCACTAACACTGCAACTGCAGAGGCAGAGGGATTGCAGGTTGACTCTGGGATTTCCTCCTCAAAATAATGTTGAGATGCCTCTGATTGAAGTGGCCAGGCAGGGGCAAGGTGGTTGTGCTGGAGTCCCAGGTCAGGTAGCCCTGCCCATTGAGGAGAAGTGAGGACCAGGACCTGCATGGAGAACAATACGGCCACTTTTCCATCAGGTGGGTGCTCTGTGCTGGGGGTCTAGACCAGCCCCTGACCTCCAGAGAGTCTCCAGATCCTGCAGACAGCAAGGGCGAGGGCTGCAAGACAGCAAAGACAGCAATCTACCCCTCCCACTTGGAGCTCTGTCCCAGAGAGTTGCCAAGCTGCTACTAGCTTGATAGCCCCAGTGGGGGGTGTCTGTAGAGGTTTTATAAAGGAGAGTGGCTTGTAGGGTTTTATAAATGGCAGTTCCCTTTATAATTTGATAGAACCTTCCAAACAGGAACATTTGGATTTAAAACCCTTCCCATCTCCATCAACCCAGTGAGCAATAATATTCAACTTTTCAGAAGACAATCTTTCCTAGGAATTTTAAAACAAAATGCAAATGTAAATTACAAAATGTAAATTGTAAAATGTAAATGTAAACTAAATATATTAGTTTACTAACTCTATGTTTTTCATACCCTGACAACTTCTTTTACTCTCCAGAAAGACTACATGTTGTAAGTTAGGAGTCAGTTGTCCTTTATATACATAGATAAATAAAACAAAATGCACAGACATAAGAGACAATGATTAATCTTGCCTCACTATAAGCACCCTGGCATAGAGTTCATACACTTCCTCCTTCTCCCTCGGCACCAAAGTAGTACACAAACACAATGTGTATTACGCAAGATGTGGTTTGGCCATTCCTCTCCAAAACAACATTTCATATGAATTTTAACACCAAAGTACCAAAATGTGTTATTTTACTACCTCTAATTTTAACAAATGTCTGGCACTTCAGAACATCTAGAAAGACTAGATATTAACATTTCAAAAAAGTTCTTAGCATTGTCAGCTATGTATACAGTAGTGGTGAATAAAACACACACACACATAACAATGGTGAGAATACGAAAATGTCTTCTAAATATAACCAGTCAGGCATAGAACCTTCTTCTCTTCCTTCTCAGGTCTTCCGCTCCATGTCCTCTAACCCCCTGAATAAATGTGGACTTGTCACTCTTGGTGTCACTTCCAGAGGTGGTCTGACAACTCCATTTCAAAAAGTCATCTACAGAAGACATTTATTTTCTATGATTTCTTTTTAAACAAATGGGAATATACAAGATATGTGATTTTCTAACTCTGTCATACCATGGGAATCTCTTTACATCTAGAAGGGCTAGATTTAGCAAATGTTTTCTTTTAAAGGGTTGGGAGGAAAGTTGAGAACAGCTTTTTCATATTAAATACACAGGCCTTCTATAAATGGCCAGTAAATCTTCCCAAAGTGTGGTGGGCCTTTCAATGGGCCAAATGTGGCATGTTATTCTACCATTCTTCCAACATCAACATCTGGTAGGTAGAACCAAGACCCACCCTCACCAATGGGTGCTAACCGTTCCACCCATCATGCTTGGGGGACTCCACTCACCTTCCTGTGGTTAAGGCCTTTGTCCAGTGTCATCAGGACTAGGTAGGTCTCGCCCAACTGGGACAGAGTGGTCACCCCAGGACCCGGATCTGTGTGGCTCCATGGCCTAAACAGGCCGCCGAGCCTGCGTCCGTAGACCTGCCTTCTCGGGCCCTACACACCCTATAAATGGCCTCTGCGCCCTCCCAACCGCTACCATATTTCCTGCCCCCCCCCATACCTGCCGCCACCCAGAGGCGCTGCATCCAAGTGGCACTCAGGGCTTCCTCTAGCCCCAGCAGGGTTGGGCCTGAAAACCCCCCAAGTGGCAGAGTCCTGGCAGGATCATGGCAGGGTCCAGGCTGAGAGATGGCAGCCACGATCAGGTCATCTTAGAAATAATATTCCATTGGATATACCACAGTTTGTTTTTTCATTCACCTATTGAGGGACATCTTGATTGCTTCTAGTTTTGGGCACTTATGAATAAGGCAGCTATAAACATCCACGTGCAGGTTTGCATGTGGATATATGTTTTCAACTCTTTTATGTAAGTACCTAGGAGTGTGATTGCTGAATCATATGTAAGCCTGTGTTTATTTTTGTTAAGAAGCTGCCAACCAGCAATGAGTGAGAGTTTCTGTTGCTCCACATCCTCACTAGTGTTTGGTATTGTCAGGTTTTTTGTGAGGTTTTGTTCATATATTTTTTGGATTTTAGCCATATAGTTGTATAGTGGTAACTCATTGTTTTGATTTAAAATTACCAGCCGGGTGTGTTGGCTCACTCCTGTAATCCCAACACTTTGGGAGGCTGAGGCAGGTGGATCACCTGAGGTCAGAAGTTTGAGACCAGCCTGGCCAACAGGGTGAAACCCCATCTTTACTAAAAAATACAAAAATTTGCTGGGCATGGTGGTAGGCGCCAGTAACCTCAGCTACTCGGGAGGCTGAGGCAGGAGAATTGCTGGAACCCAGGAGGCAGAGGTTGCACTGAGCTGAGACCATGCCATTGCACTCCAGTCTGGGCTGACAACAGCGGGACTCCATCTCAAAAATAAATAAATAAATAAATAAAATTACCAACCCATAATGTTGGCCATTTATTCCTACGCTTAATTGCTATCCATAAATCACTTTGATGAGGTGTCTATTCACATCTTTTGCCCATTTCAGTTGGATTGTTTTCTTGTTATTGAGTTTTTGGAGCTCTTTGTGTATTTGGGATACAAGTCTTTATTAGATGTGTGTTTACCAAGTACTTTCTCCCAATCTGTGGTTTGTCTTTTCATTATCTTAATAGTGTCTTTCTCAGGGCAGAAATTTTTAATTTTAATGAAGCCCAATGGCCTATTTTTTTTTTCATGAATTATGCTTTTGGTGTTGCATCTGAACAGTAATCACCAAATACAAAGTCATGTAGATTTTTCTTCTTTAGCCTGATGATATATGGTGGATTACATTGATCAATTTTCAAATAATAGAGCCAGCCTTGCACTCCTGGAATAAATCCTGGTATATAAGTCATTTTATATATTGCTGATACTATTTGCTGGAAATTTATTAAGAGTTTTTGGTCAGGCATGGTGTCTCATGTCTGTAATCTCAGCACTTTGGGAAGCTATGGTGCGAAGCTCACTTGAGCCCAGGAGTTTGAGACCAGCCTGGGCAACATAGTGAGATCTTGTCTGTACAAAAAAAAAAAAAAAAAAAAAGCCAGGGATGGTGACCCACGCTACTCAGGAGGCTGAAGTGGGAGGATGGCTTGAGTCTGGGAGGTTGAGGCTACAGTGAGCCGTGATCGTGTCACTGCATTCTATCCTGGGTGACAGAGTGAGACCCTGCCTCAAAAAAAAACCAAAAAAAGAGTTGTTACATTCATATTTATAAGGTCTATTGGTCTGTGGTTTTCTTTTCTTGTACTGTCTTTGTCTGGTTTTGATATTAGGTAATACCATAAATGAATTCACAAAATGAATTGGGAAGTGTTGTTCTCTCTTCTGTCTTTTGGAAAATAATATGTATAATTGATGTTAACTTTTTTTAAGTGTTTGGCAGACTTCTCTAATGAAATCACCTGGACACAGATACTTCTTTCTTGGGAGCTTGTAAATGACAAATTCAATTTGAGGAAGCAGTTCGTTTCATGTTTTCTTATTTATGAATGCAGAGTTGTTTGTAGTATTACCTCATTATCCTTTGGATGTCTACGTGGTCTGTGTTAGGTTTTGAAGGGAAGGCAAGGGTTAAAGAAAGACACAGGGAAAGCAGCGGCTCTACAGCAAATGCAGGCTTTATGTCCAGCATAAGACCTACAGAAGTGGGGAACGGGAGGAGGAGCCAAGACGGCCGAATAGGAACAGCTCCGGTCTACAGCTCCCAGCGTGAGCGACGTGATTTCTGCATTTCCATCTGAGGTACCAGGTTCATCTCACTAGGGAGTGCTAGACTGTGGGCACAGGTCAGTGGGTGCGTGCACCGTGCGCAAGCCAAAGCAGGGCGAGGCATTGCCTCACTTGGGAAGTGCAAGGGGTCAGGGAGTTCTCTTTCCTAGTCAAAGAAAGGGGTGACAGACGGCACTGGAAAATCGGGTCACTCCCACCCGATTACTGCGCTTTTCCAACGGGCTTAAAAAACAGCGCACCAGGAGATTATATCCCGCACATGGCTCGCAGGGTCCTACGCCCACGGAGTCTCGCTGATTGCTAGAACAGCACTCTGAGATCAAACTGCAAGGCGGCAGTGAGGCTGTGGGAGGGGCGCCTGCCATTTCCCAGGCTTGCTTAGGTAAACAAAGCAGCTGGGAAGCTCGAACTGGGTGGAGCCCACCACAGCTCAAGGAGGCCTGCCTGCCTCTGTAGGCTCCACCTCTGGTGGCAGGGCACAGACAAACAAAAAGACAGCAGTAACCTCTGCAGACTTAAATGTCCCCATCTGACAGCTTTGAAGAGAGCAGTGGTTCTCCCAGCATGCAGCTGGAGATCTGAGAACAGGCAGACTGCCTCCTCAAGTGGGTCCCTGACCCCTGACCCCCGAGCAGCCTAACTGGGAGGCACCCCCCCAGCAGGGGCAGACTGACACCTCACATGGCTGGGTACTCCAACAGACCTGCAGCTGAGGGTCCTGTCTGTTAGAAGGAAAACTAACAAACAGAAAGTACATCCACACCAAAAACCCATCTGTACATCACCATCATCAAAGACCAAAAGTAGATAAAACCACAAAGATGGGGAAAAAACAGAGCAGAAAAACTGGAAACTCTAAAAAGCAGAGCACCTCTCCTCCTCCAAAGGAACGCAGTTCCTCAGCAGCAACGGAACAAAGCTGGACGGAGAATGACTTTGACAAGCTGAGAGAAGAAGGCTTCAGACAATCAAATTACTCCGAGCTACGGGAGGACATTCAAACCAAAGGCAAAGAAGTTGAAAACTTTGAAAAAAATTTAGAAGAATGTATAACTAGATTAACCAATACAGAGAAGTGCTTAAAGGAGCTGATGGAGCTGAAAACCAAGGCTCGAGAACTACGTGAAGAATGCAGAAGCCTCAGGAGCCGATGCGATCAACTGGAAGAAAGGGTATCAGCGATGGAAGATGAAATGAAGTGAGAAGGGAAGTTTAGAGAAAAAAGAATAAAAAGAAACGAGCAAAGCCTCCAAGAAATATGGGACTATGTGAAAAGACCAAATCTACGTCTGATTGGTGTACCTGAAAGTGACAGGGAGAATGAAACCAAGTTGGGAAACACTCTGCAGGATATTATCCAGGAGAACTTCCCCAATCTAGCAAGGCAGGCCAACATTCAGATTCAGGAAATACAGAGAACGCCACAAAGATACTCCTCGAGAAGAGCAACTCCAAGACACATAATTGTCAGATTCACCAAAGTCGAAATGAAGGAGAAAATGTTAAGGGCAGCCAGAGAGAAAGGTCGGGTTACCCTCAAAGGGAAGCCCATCAGACTAACAGTGGAGCTCTTGGCAGAAACTATACAAGCCAGAAGAGAGTGGGGGCCAATATTCAACATTCTTAAAGAAAAGAATTTTCAACCCAGAATTTCATATCCAGGCAAACTAAGCTTCATAAGTGAAGGAGAAATAAAATACTTTACAGACAAGCAAATGCTGAGAGATTTTGTCACCACCAGGCCTGCCCTACAAGGGCTCCTGAAGGAAGTGCTAAACATGGAAAGGAACAACCGGTACCAGCCACTGAAAAATCATGCCAAAATGTAAAGACCATCGAGACTAGGAAGAAACTGCATCAACAAACAAGCAAAATAACCAGCTAACATCATAATAACAGGATCGAATTCACACATAACAATATTAACTTTAAATGTAAATGGACTAAATGCTCCAATTAAAAGACACAGACTGGCAAATTGGATAAAGAGTCAAGACCCATCAGTGTGCTGTATTCAGGAAACCCATCTCACATGCAGAGACACACATAGGCTCAAAATAAAAGGATGGAGGAAGATCTACCAAGCAAATGGAAAGCAAAAAAAGGCAGGGGTTGCAATCCTAGTCTCTGATAAAACAGACTTTAAACCAACAAAGATCAAAAGAGACAAAGAAGGCCATTACATAATGGTAAAGGGATCAATTCAACAAGAAGAGCTAACTATCCTAAATATACATGCACCCAATACAGGAGCACCCAGATTCATAAAGCAAGTCCTGAGTGACCTACAAAGAGACTTAGACTCCCACACATTAATAATGGGAGACTTTAACACCCCACTCTCAACAATAGACAGATCAACGAGACAGAAAGTCAGCAAGGATACCCAGGAATTGAACTCAGCTCTGCACCAAGCGGACCTAATAGACATCTACAGAACTCTCTACCCCAAATCAACAGAATATACATTTTTTTCAGCACCACACCTATTCCAAAATTGACCACATAGTTGGAAGTAAAGCTTTCCTCAGCAAATGTAAAAGCACAGAAATTATAACAAACTATCTCTCAGACCACAGTGCAATCAAACTAGAACTCAGGATTAAGAATCTCACTCAAAACCGCTCAACTACATGGAAACTGTACAACCTGCTCCTGAATGACTACTGGGTACATAATGAAATAAAGGCAGAAATAAAGATGTTCTTTGAAACCAACGAGAACAAAGACACAACATACCAGAATCTCTGGGACGCATTCAAAGCAGTGTGTAGAGGGAAATTTATAGCACTAAATGCCCACAAGAGAAAGCAGGAAAGATCCAAAATTGACACCCTAACATCACAATTAAAAGAACTAGAAAAGCAAGAGCAAACACATTCAAAAGCTAGCAAAAGGCAAGAAATAACTAAGATCAGAGCAGAACTGAAGGAAATAGAGACACAAAAAACCCTTCAAAAAATTAATGAATCCAGGAGCTGGTTTTTTGAAAGGATCAACAAAATTGATAGACTGCTAGCAAGACTAATAAAGAAAAAAAGAGAGAAGAATCAAATAGATGCAATAAAAAATGATAAAGGGGATATCACCACCGATCCCACAGAAATACAAACTACCATCAGAGAATACTACAAACACCTCTACGCAAATAAACTAGAAAATCTAGAAGAAATGGATAAATTCCTCAACACATACACTCTCCCAAGACTAAACCAGGAAGAAGTTGAATCTCTGAATAGACCAATAACAGGAGCTGAAATTGTGGCAATAATCAATAGCTTATCAACCAAAAAGAGTCCAGGACCAGATGGATTCACAGCCAAATTCTACCAGAGGTACAAGGAGGAACTGGTACCATTCCTTCTGAAACTATTCCAATCAATAGAAAAAGAGGGAATCCTCCCTAACTCATTTTATGAGGCCAGCATCATCCTGATACCAAAGCCAGGCAGAGACACAACCAAAAAAGAGAATTTTAGACTAATATCCTTGATAAACATTGATGCAAAAATCCTCAATAAAATACTGGCAAACCGAATCCAGCAGCACATCAAAAAGTTTATCCATCATGATCAAGTGGGCTTCATCCCTGGGATGCAAGGCTGGTTCAATATATGCAAATCAATAAGTGTAATCCAGCATATAAACAGAACCAAAGACAAAAACCACATGATTATCTCAATAGATGCAGAAAAGGCCTTTGACAAAATTCAACAACCCTTCATGCTAAAAACTCTCAATAAATTAGGTATTGATGGGACATATTTTAAAATAATAAGAGCTATCTATGAAAAACCCACAGCCAATATCATACTGAATGGGCAAAAACTGGAAGCATTCCTTTTGAAAACTGGCACAAGACAGGGATGCCCTCTCTCACCACTCCTATTCAACATAGTGTTGGAAGTTCTGGCCAGGGCAATTAGGCAGGAGAAGGAAATAAAGGGTATTCAGTTAGGAAAAGAGGAAGTCAAATTGTCCCTGTTTGCAGATGACATGATTGTATATCTAGAAAACCCCATTGTCTCAGCCCAAAATCTCCTTAAGCTGATAAGCAACTTCAGCAAAGTCTCAGGATACAAAATCAATGTGCAAAAATCACAAGCATTCTTATACACCAACAACAGACAAACAGAGAGCCAAATCATGAGTGAACTCCCATTCACAATTGCTTCAAAAAGAATAAAATACCTAGGAATCCAACTTACAAGGGATGTGAAGGACCTCTTCAAGGAGAACTACAAACCACTGCTCAAGGAAATAAAAGAGGATACAAACAAATGGAAGAACATTCCATGCTCATGGGTAGGAAGAATCAATATCGTGAAAATGGCCATAGTGTCCAAGGTAATTTATAGATTCAATGCCATCCCCATCAAGCTACCAATGACTTTCTTCACAGAATTGGAAAAAACTACTTTAAAGTTCATATGGAACCAAAAAAGAGCCCACATCGCCAAGTCAATCCTAAGCCAAAAGAACAAAGCTGGAGGCATCACACTACCTGACTTCAAACTATACTACAAGGCTACAGTAACCAAAACAGCATGGTACTGGTACCAAAACAGAGATATAGATCAATGGAACAGAACAGAGCCCTCAGAAATAACGCCGCATATCTACAACTATCTGATCTTTGACAAACCTGAGAAAAACAAGCAATGGGGAAAGGATTCCCTATTTAATCAATGGTGCTGGGAAAACTGGCTAGCCATATGTAGAAAGCTGAAACTGGATCCCTTCCTTACACCTTATACAAAAATTAATTCAAGATGGATTAAAGACTTAAATGTTAGACCTAAAACCATAAAAACCCTAGAAGAAAACCTAGGTATTACCATTCAGGACATAGGCATGGTCAAGGACTTCATGTCTAAAACACCAAAAGCAATGGCAACAAAAGACAAAATTGACAAATGAGATCTAATTAAACTAAAGAGCTTCTGCACAGCAAAAGAAACTACCATCAGAGTGAACAGGCAACCTACAAAATGGGAGAAAATTTTCGCAACCTACTCATCTGACAAAGGGCTAATATCCAGAATCTACAATGAACTCAAACAAATTTACAAGAAAAAAACAAACAACCCCATCAAAAAGTGGGTGAAGGACATGAACAGACACTTCTCAAAAGAAGACGTTTATGCAGCCAAAAAACAAATGAAAAAATGCTCACCATCACTGGCCAACAGAGAAATGCAAATCAAAACCACAATGAGATATCATCTCACACCAGTTAGAATGGCAATCATTAAAAAGTCAGGAAACAACAGGTGCTGGAGAGGATGTGGAGAAATAGGAACACTTTTACGCTGTTGGTGGGACTGTAAACTAGTTCAACCATTGTGGAAGTCAGTGTGGCGATTCCTCAGGGATCTAGAACTAGAAATACCATTTGACCCAGCCATCCCATTACTGGGTATATACCCAAAGGACTATAAATCATGCTGCTATAAAGACACATGCACACGTATGTTTATTGCAGCACTATTCACAATAGCAAAGACTTGGAACCAACCCAAATGTCCAACAATGATAGACTGGATTAAGAAAATGTGGCACATATACACCTTGGAATACTATGCAGCCATAAAAAATGATGAGTTCTTGTCCTCTGTGGGACATGGATGAAACTGGAAATCATCATTCTCAGTAAACTATCACAAGAACAAAAAACCAAACACCACATGTTCTCACTCATGGGTGGGATTTGAACAATGAGAACACATGGACACAGGAAGGGGAACATCACACTCTGGGGACTGTTGTGAGGTGGGGGGAGGGGGGAGGGATAGCATTGGGAGATATACCTAATGCTAAATGACGAGTTAGTGGGTGCAGCGCACCAGCATGGCACATGTATACATATGTAACTAACCGGCACATTATGCACATGTACCCTAAAACTTAAAGTATAATAAAAAAAAAAAGTGGGGAACCAGCTTAATGCCAGTGCCCACTGCTGCTTACAGGTTGGGTTACTTATAGATATGGGTGGAAGGGGTCTGGGCAGTATGGCTTGCTGCCCTGGAGAACGTTGATAATGTGTTCCCAGGATGAGGTGGTTCTGGCTCTTGTTCTGGGAGAATATGGTGTTCCTTGCACTTGCTCCCAGCAGAATATGAGGCAGGCTGTTTCTCATGGCTCCAACCCCCGTGGAATGTTTTACTTTCACCAAGGTCTGCGAAATGGCGGGGGACTTACAAAATGGTGCAGTTTGGACTAACATTCTGTATTGATATTCCCCCATTTCATTCCTGATATTGGTAGTTTATATGCTATTTTCCTTCGTTGTAAATCTCCCAAGAGATTTGCCAGTCTTGTGGGTCTTTTTTCAAATAACTGGCTGTTTGTTCTATTGATTTTCCTATTTTTCTGTTTCCAGTTTTATTGATTTTTGCTGTTTATTTCCTTCTTTTCTGCTTGTTTTGGGTTTATTCTGCTCTACTTTTTCTATGATCTTAAAGGGGGAGCATAGCAACTCTTCTTTTTTTTTTTTTTTTTTTTTTTTTGACAGAGCCTCACTCTGTTACCCAGGCTGGAGTGCAGTGGTGAGATCTCGACTCACTGCAACCTCCGCCTCCCAGGTTCAAGCCATTCTCCTGCCTCAGCCTCCCGAGTAGCTGGGACTACAGGCATGTGCAACCATGCCTGGCTAATTTTTTTGTATTTTTATTGGAGACAGGGTTTCACCACGTTGGTCAGGCTGGTCTCAAACTCCTGACTTCAAGTGATTTGCCCGCCTTGGCCTCCCAAAGTGCTGGGATTACAGGCGTGAGCCACCATGCCCGGCCTCTTCCTTTCTAATTATATTAGTTTCCTATTGCTGCTGTAACAAATTACCACAAAGTTAGCAGCTTAAAACAACATGAATTTATCATACAGTTCTGAAAGTCAGAAATCCAAAATCAGTTTCCCTGAGCTGAAATCAAGGTGTCGGCTGGCTTGTATTCCTTCTGGAGCTGTAGGGGAAAATCCATTTCCTTGCTTTTTCCAGCTTCTAGAGGCTGACTGCGTGCCTTGGTTTGTAGCCCCTTCCTCCATCTTCAAAGCCAGCAGTGCACAGCACCTTCTCTTGGCTCTATCCTGTGCTTCCATCCTTATATATTTTCTCTTTCTGTGGCTGATTCTCCTGAGTCCTTCTTATAAGGACCCTTGTGATAATATTGGATCCACCTGGATAATCCAAGATAATCTCATCACAAAAGTGTTAATTTAGTCACATCCAGAAAGTCCCTTTTACTATGTTAAGGCAACACATTCACAGGTACTAGAGATTAGGATATTTACATCGTTACGGGGGCTATAATTCAGCCTACCACACTAATGTGTGCATTTAGTGCTTAAATTTCACTTTCATCACTGAATCTCCTTACTGTCACTACCTATGTCTCACAAATTTTGATATACTGTATTTCCATTTTCACTCACTTAAATACATTTTTAAAATTTCCCATGAGACTTCCTCTTTGATCTATGGATTATTTAGAAGTGTGTTTTTAGTTTTTAAGTGTTTGGAGAGTTTCCTGTTATCTTTCTGTTATTGATTTGTAGTTTGATTCCATTTAGGCCATAGAACACCCTTTGAGTTTAATTTTAATCTTTAAAACTTTAATCTTTAAAATTTATTTAGGTTTCTTTTATGGCTCAGGTTATGGTCTATCTTGGTATATGTTCCATGGCATTTGAAAAGAATGTATATTCTGTTGCCATTAGGTAGAGATTTCTGTATATGTCAGTTAGATCGTGTTGACTGCTGTTGACTGGTGGTGTTACGTTCTTCTATATCCTTGTATATTTTCCTTTTTTTTTTTTTTGTAGAGACAGGTTCTCACTCTGTCACACAGGCTGGAGAGCAGTGGCATAATCATAGCTCACTGCAACCTCATCCTCTTGGGCTCAAGTGATCCTCCTGCTTCAGCCTTCCAAGTAGCCAGGACTGCAGGTGCACACCATCTTCCCCAGCTAATTTTGTTGTTGTTGTAGAGATGGGGTCTTGCTATGTTACCCAGGCTCCTGTTGCAGATTTTTTTGTCTACTTGTTCTAGCAGGTATTGATAGAAGGGTGTTAAAGTGTCCAGCTATAATTGTAGAGTCTATTTCTCATTTCAGTTCTAACACTTTTTGTGTCACATATTTCGCAGGTCTGTTGTTTGAAACACATACACATACAATCACTATATCTTCTTGATGGACTGATGTTCATCATTATATAATGTCCCTGTCTGTCTCTGGCAATTTTACTAAAAGTAAAATCTTACTTAAAGTAATATCAGATATTACTTTATCTGATATTAGTGTAGCCACTCCTGCTTTCCTTTGCTTGCATAATTCTTTTTCCATCCATTTACTTTCAATTTCCATACATTTGAAGTGAGTTTCTTTAGACAGCATGTAGTTGGGTCGTGTTTTTAAATATACTCTACCAATTTGTTTTTTAATTGGTGTATTTAGACCATTTACACTTCCTGTAATTATTTATATGTTTGGGCTTAAGTATCCCCTTTTATTTTTTGATTTATATTTCTTCTGTCTGTTTTTCTTTACTTTTTCCTGTCTTCCTGTGGGTTGTATGAATATTATTTAGAATTCCATTATGATGTATCTATTATGTTTTTAGTGTATCTGTTTGTATAGTTTTTATAGTGGTTGCTCTAGATATTGCATTATATATACATAATTTTTCACGGTGTACTGGTGTCATCATTTTACCAGTCCTAGTAGGATATAGAAATCTTACCTCCAGTTATGTCTCTTTAATCATTTTCACTTGTTTATAATAATATATTAAGTATTTCCTCTATAAACATGTAGAATCACATCAGACAGTGTTGTAATTTTTGTTTCAACTGTCAAATGTAATTTAGAAGACTTAAGCAGAGAAGGAAAGCCTACTGTTTTTTGTACTTACTGTGTTCTTTTTCCTTCCTGATGTTCCATGACTCCTTCTTTTTGCATTTTTTTTCTCTTTAGCTAACTTCTTTTAGCTGTTCTATTAGGGTAGGTCCTCTGGTGATGAATTCTCTTATTTTTCCTTCATGTGAGAATGTCTTGATCTCCCTTTCATTTCTGAAGAATATATTCTCTGTGCATAGAATTCCAGGTTGAGAGTCCTTATCTTTCAGCATTTGAAAAATATTGTACCACTTCCTTTTGGTCTCCAACTGTTATTCATTATTATTTATTCATAAATGCCCATCTGTACCTATTTTAAATACATCTACATAGTAAAATATAGTTATGTAAAACTTCTGAGTTTACTAAGTCAGATCTAATTTTTTACTTGTAGCATCAATAAAATTTACTTCTGTACCAATAACAATTACATACAAGGGTCAACAATTTAGCTCCCTAAAATTAAGCATCCCTGAAATTCAATGGAAAGGATTCTCTAATAACATGGTCACATTTTTAAACCTATTTGGAGCAACAGTTGGAAATATGTGATGAATAAGCTGAATAAATTATACAGAAGTGTTCTATCTAATTTATTAACTGAGAGGCCAAGGCAGAAGGATCTCTCGAGGCCAGGAGTTCAGAACCAGCCTAAACAACATAGTCAGACCCCCATCTCCGCAAAAATTAAATGGAATTAAAATTTTAAATTAGCTGAGTGTGGGGCTGAGGTTCTAGTTACTTGGGAGACTGAGGCAGGAGGAACACTCGAGCCCAGAAGTTCAAGCCAGCAGTGAGCCATGATTATACCACTGCACTCCAAACTGGTTGAGAGAAGGAGACCCTGTCTCTTTAAAATAAATAAATAAATAAATTGTAGCAGGACAAGCCACAGACAAAACCCCTCAGACACCGAGTTAAAGAAGAAAGGGCTTTATTCAGCCAGGAGCTTCAGCAAGACTCATGTCTCCAAAAACCGAGCTCCCCGAGTGAGCAATTCCTGTCCCTTTAAGGGCTCACAACTCTAAGGGGGTCCGCATGAGAGGGTCGTGATCGATGGAGCAAACAGGGGGTACGTGACTCGGGGCTGCCTGCACCGGTAATTAGAATGGAACAGGACAGGACAGGGATTTTCATGGTACTTTTCTATACAATGTCTGTAATCTATAGATAACATAACCGATTAGGTCATGGGTCAATCTTTAACTACCAGGCCCAGGATGTGGGGCCAGGCTGTCTGCTTGTGGATTTCATTTCTGCCTTTTAGATTTTACTTCTTTCTTTGGAGGCAGAAATTGGGCATAAGACAGTATGAGGGGTTGTCTCCTCCCTTAAAATCACGAACTGGTGGTATAGTGAGGAGCTATTCCTTCCAAAATCTTTTAAAAACATTACTGGTCATGGCTGAGAAAAGTGTCTCTGGAGTCTTAAAGTTAGTGAAAATAATTTTTCCCAATATAATTATCTTACTCCACATACGAAGTCTTGTAATCCAACCTGTAGAGAGTTGCCATGCACTGTGACTTACTTTGTATAATATAGTTCTCAACCCTTTGTACTCATATGCATGAGAAACTCTCAGTATCTCTCATTACACACAGTGATTTCAACATACCATAAATGGGCTGATTAAAAGTGAGGTCACTTTATGTACAAGGAAATACTATTCTCTGAGTTACATGGCTCAGATAACTCACAAAACCATCTACACCACATCAAAGTGCATTTGGGGTACACAAGTAAAGCCTCTACTATCAGCTACAAATTCATAGAGCCTGGAACTTCCAGGAAAATCAAGCAAATATAAAGAATCTGAATTTAGAAGTCAACTAATACAATAAAAAAGTAATTTTTAAAAGCCTGATTAAATTTTCAGTTAAAATATTCACATAATACTACACACTTTGAGAACTTTTAGTAATTAAAAGAATGGCTTTTAAAACTTACTTAAAACTGTTTAATGAGAACAGGTGGCTAGAGAAGCATTTTATACCACAGATGATTAAATGGACTCACCTTGTAAAGGGGTCATGAAAAAATAAGTTAAAAACAAGTAAAGTGCGTTAACAGATCAGTAAAATAATTTGGAAAACTATACATACTTCAAGAAAACGTTAATACATTTCCAAAAACACTAAATGTTAAGCTTTTTGTCTTGAAAAATACACAAAAATGTTTTATTTAAAAGATAAAAGTAGAAATTACTCTTTAAAAATCAACAAAGTAAAATTTTGAGATACAAAATGGTATATTAGGGGTGGGGGGAGTTTTCTTTTTAAAAAATAATAATGACTAAAGGAAACTCATGAAGTTTAATATCAATGTGAAAAATTACTATAAAATGATTTTTAGCCCCACTTGTTAAGAAACTATATTATATAGTATTATGTGCTATTTCTTTTCTAGAGCACCAAATAATCATCTGATATTAGGTGTTTTACACTGTAAATGAGCTAATTTGTTTATTTATTTATGGAGATAGGTCTCACTCTGTAATCCAGGCTGGAGTGCAGTGGAATAAACACAGCTCCTTGCAGCCTCGACCTCCTGGGCCCAAGCAATCCTCCTGCCTCAGCCTCCCAAGCAGCTGAGACCACAGGTGCACACCACCATGTCTGGCTAATTATTAAAAAAAAAAATTGCGTGGAGTTGGGGTCTCACCGTGTTGCCCAGGCTGGTCTCAAACTCCTGGGCTCAAGCAATTCTCACATCTCAGCCTCCCAAAGTGCTGGGATTACAGGTGTGAGCTACTGGGCCCAGCCCTAATTTGTTTTTAAATCCAAAAATAAATCAACAACAGAAGATAGCACTCTAACTTTTACTATTTTAAAATATTTTCTGCATAGCTTCCCCAAATATTAGCATTCTAATTGTGACCAGCATTATGGTTTTTAATGAGCCTAATCCAAGTAAACAATAAACAAATGCGCATGAAAACTGTGAGAAATAACCATTGGTGTATGCTTATGTTCCATAAATAGTTATCAAGTTTACCTTTAAATTGCATGTTTAGTTTTTCCTTACAACTTAACACTAGATACAGGAAACTGTAGAAGTCATAAACAAAGACTAAACAAAATCCTCTCGTCTTGCTAAGATGTGTACATGATTGCAGTAGACTTATGCTGAATATAAATATATGTTACATACATGTCTCTTATTCTATACAAAATCTCAGCCAATATTTTCCCACAGAGGAGAGGAATTTGTTCTCTCAAATTGAAAGTTTTTGCCCTTTAAAAAGGTTATTTTAAATAGCCCTAAAGAAATATGTTCTGAAAATAACAGTTGTATCATATTCCACTTACTATTTTCCGGTTGAAAACTTCAATAAAATAAGTTTACCATAGTCAATAAGCCTGTTCAATGAACACTGAAAAATAAAAATTTATCCCCAGAGTGATTGCAAATGAAAATGTGTGCTATTTCAAAATTACATGTACCTCTTTAAAAATCAGGGCAATTAATAGAACACTTAAATCGTATTAGCTAAATTCAAATTTAGCCCCTAACAATAAAGTTTTCTTATTCCTTTATAGTGTTTTACAAAATAATGAATTAATTATCATAATTTTCTTTTGCTACTTACTTCAAACTATAAAGTTAGGACTGCAAATTGATGTAGGTATCTTATATTATTGGTCTACACCTACTTATTTATAAACATTAATGGAAACAATACTGTTCCAATCTACCACAAGGATTTCCTTCTATTTTACAAGCAAGAACTTCTAACCCAGCTCAACAACAAATCACACTTTAAATTTGGGTTTGAAAACATGTATTATTAGAGGCACATGTTTAAAAACAAGTACAGTATGAAATCTTCCTTTTCAGTGAGCCAGTGAATTTTCATTCGTTTGTTTGTTTCTATGAATATTTGGTTTACTTCCTTCTTCTGGGCAAGATTAGTATGCAATTCTCATTAGCAAGTCAAAAACCTACAGACCTAAACTATATGAAAACTTAAGTTGGTATTGTTAGATGAAGACAGGTAAGCTAACACCAAAAGAACAACTGTACTAAATTTTAACACTATTCTTTAATAGTTCCATTTTCCTGAGTTTGTGTTTGTTCTTTGGCATTGGTTTAGGATATAATCCATTTTTTCAGAAGGCGTTGCTTGCTGGGGCCAATTTGGGCACCATGCTAAATCTGGAAAGAGCATAAAGCTTCAAGAGGGCGAAGCAAAGTCTCTTGTATGTAATTATTTTTCTCCAAGATGGAAAGAGCAACAGGTGCACACTCCAGTGTAGAAAGACATCTATTAATTGGCTGTATCCGAATTACATACTGACTAGAAATGCTCGTTTTTAACTGCACCTGTTTGGGGGTGTCAGAACAAGGAATTCTTACAGAAAATGTCCTTAGCCTGGCTCCGTGTACCATCAATGACGATGATTGTAGAAGGATAAACAGGAGAATCTAATATAAATTCTTCCAGATTAGCAGCTTCTTATATTAGCCCCTGGATATAACATTAATGTACCAAACTTCCGGCAAACAGTTGAAAGTTCAGGATCTCTTTCTTCACTGAAGCGACGACCAGTCTTCACTTTGCGCTTGTCCTGGGGGAGGCATGCTGCTGGTAGAGGAACTGTCCGCAACATTTTGTCTTCCTCTGCTGGATGCTGAATTATGCACAAGTAGGTAGAGATATGCAAAGGGTGCGCTGGGAGAAATGGACAAAAACACACTTTCTGAGGCCGGCTTGCAGCGGCTGCACGCAGGCCTCAGCTCCTCGGCTCCACCTGCAGCTCCCACAGCCCGCCCGCACTAGCGTCGTCCGCCTCTGTTCCCAGGGCAGCCGTCGCCAGCACTGCGCCGCCCTCCCGCTGCTCCTTGTAGTTTGGCGTCTGAGACCTTGAGGCCCCAGGCGGTCGCGCGACGGGGTCGCGCCTCTTTCTGCGACTCCATGGCGGACACTCTGGTCAGGCCTTCGATATAATATTTCAATATAGACTTAAGGAATAGATTGTATGTGTACATATAGATATGGATATAACATAAGTAACTAAATTAAAACAAATGTCCATAATTTGGCCCAATTAGAAATCCAGAATGTATATACCAAAGAATTTATATTACAAAAAGATAAAAGGACATTGATTAGATTTTTTGTCTCTACAACATAAGGTCTAAATTAACTTTAGCATTTGCTAAAATATACCAGCTGACATACTTCATGGACTCAATCAATACTGGGGCTCCAATTATACTTGGAGTGGGCCGTGGTGGCTTACACCTGTAATCCAAGCACTTTGGGAAGCCGAGGCGAGTGGATCACCTGAGGTCAGGAGTTCAAAACCAGCCTGGCCAACATGGTGAAACCCTGTCTCTACTAAAAATACAAAAATTAGCCAGGCATGGTGGCAGGTGCCTGTAATCCCAGCTACTCGGGAGGCTGAGTCAGGAGAATCACTTGAACCCGGGAAGCGGAGGTTGCCGTGAGCCAAGATAGCATCATTGCACTCCAGCCCGGGCAACAAGAGCGAAACTCCTTCTCAAAAAAATACATATTATACTTGGGGTTCTCATTAAATTTAAATATTGTATGCCCTCTAATCTTAAAAAGGTAACTAAAGTTAAAAAATATTTTGGATAACTATCCCTCACTTTACTGCTTTGGTTGAATTTCCCATAGTTTTGTACCCATTGCTTTAAAGTATCTCTTATTGGACACAGACTCTCTGACACAACAAATAATAAACTAAAGTTAAAATTTTGGCACTTAAAAAATGGCTTGATAAAATGGGACCCTATAAATCCCTCTTTAAAATAGTTAATATGGCACAATTTAAGTTAGAATAGGCCCTTCAAGGATTAAGACTTGTTATATAGAACCTCATTATGAAAGGGGATAATTATCCCCACTGCTTCTCATTAAACAGCTCAATTTTGCCTATTCGAGCCCTTTGGGAGGCCAAGATGGGAGGACTGCTTAACCCCAGGAGTTGAGACCGGCCTGAGCAACGTAGTGATACCCTATCTCTACAAAAATTTTAAAAATTAGCCAGGTGAGTTGGTGGTGTCTGTAGTCCTAGCTACTCAGGAGGCTTAGGTGAGAGAATCTTTTGAGCCCATGTGTTCAGTGATGCAGTAAGCTATGATCACACCACTGCAATCCAGCCCAGCCAACAGAGCAAGACCTTGTCCCTAAAAAAAAAAATAAAATAATAAAAAGTAATGGAGATTATTGCCTTCTCCTGGAGGTAGTTGTTTCCTATTAGTCAACTCCTTGACCCACTCGCTCCCCAGTGCCCTCCCCTACCACTCCCTGAAGCTTCCCCCCGCCGACCTCTTGTCTTACATCTCTGACCATGACCACCCCTTCCCCTTGGTTATACACACATACACGAATGTACACATACATTATTAATGTATCAGCCACACTGTTCAACAATATGACTGCCAGACCTGCCACTTTGATATATATATAATTCAGACTTTTAATCCACTTTACAACTCCACCAAGATTATACTAAAGACCCCCCAAAATTTCAGATCTACTTTCTTGACTAATGATGCACACATGAAAAACTTACTGATGGGCCAGATTGCAAGGACTCCTCGTATATCCACTTGTGTTCTTCCTTCTTACTCTCATAGTAAACATTTTCTAGGCTGTTTAGGTGAGCTTATGCCTCACTCTCTAAATACGTCCACTATTACTACCCCAGGTTTCTTGCAATGATGCCAAATAGGCACGGGGCCAATGACTCTTATTGTGTTTTCTTATATTCTGTATTTGTCTATTTGGCATCCAGGCACCTGGAGGCTTCATCAAAGTTCACATTTTCTTTTGCTGATGTTTCAATTTATCCTACAAAACTATGTTCCATGTAGATCTGGCCCATCTTGAGGCTGCTGTTTCTGCATTCATCCTCCCATGGTCACATTTCTTGGCCAACAGAACCACAGAAACTGGTCTGCCATGAGTTAACGTTTAGTCCAAATCATTTTTCCACTTTGGCTCTGCTTCAAATGGGGCTGGGCTGGTGATACTGAAGACAATCAATGCACCTATGAATTCCAGACAATGGGCTCTTGTCATTTTCCCAATCTTTCCTCATCGCAATGTTCCACAGCTGCAGTTGTGCCAAGGCCTCTGAGTCCCAGTGGAGCTCCTTCAGTGCACAGTTCACACAATGGTGAACTGGCTTGGAGATGCCAAGAGGAGTTCTGGTGCACACAGTGTGTGATGATGATGGCCTTGCCTGTGCCCAGGTCACCCATACCGGCAGCTGGTACAGGCTGACACACTGTGCTGGCCACAGTTCAGGGCTGGAGAGAGACTCCAGGAGTGCAAGTATGCTCTCGTTTTAGGTTCTTCATTTTGATTCATCTCTTCATTGGCTGGATTTCATTGTAACATAGTTTTCAAGAAGGTAGAAGAGAACTACGTTCCGTTCCCTATATCCTTTGATAAGAATGTCTGCCTATTTCCTTTATAGTCAAACATCATCTCGTTTGGCAAAATATGTGTTAGTAAAACTTTTCTCAGAATACTGAATGCATTGATCGACTTCCTCTGGCATTGGACACAGTGGTGGAGAAGGCTGAGGCCCTGATGGGTAATTTAGGCTCTATTCTCTGTTCCAAGATCCCACTGAAGGTCTTAGGCATGAATTCAGAACACCCAGCCAAGGGTGTATCCCACTCTGCTGAGCTTCATCTTGGTCCCTTAGCTCATCTTAGATGAGTGGGAAATGCCAGACCCTGGTGCTCCTTCCTCTTGTTGATGAAAACTCTCGTTGTCTAAAAGAGTTTCTACTTATACCTTGGCTGCTTTCCTTCAAATCTTAGTTAGAGAGGATTTTCCATATTTTGTCATCTCACGCTTCTTTATTCAGAACTGCTTGTAGAAAAATAAAGTAACCATTCTTGTGAGTTCTTTAAAGGTGCTAGCTGACCAGTTAGGAAATCCACAACCCTTCCAAGTAAATAGTGTGAAAGTAGCTCAAGAAGATCCAGAGAATTCCTGGAGTTTTGTTTTGAGAAAATGAGTTTTGCCTTCTTATTCATTCCCACTGTGGAAATTCTGAGTTTCATCAAGGATAATCTTTTGTAAGTTATAATTGTTTTCTAGGTATATGCTGGGAGATTTTCACTGTTGTCATTAAGAATAAAAGTGTTGCAATTTTCCCAGTTCAAGCATGGAAGAAAATTTATTCAGGAACTACAGACAGAGTAAATAATACTGTGCACAGACGAGTTAACAAATTAATTTTCCTAATATCCCTCAAACAATATCTGTGAAGATTATTTAGGGAGAAGTGAAAATAGACAAAACCCAATTATCCAACATCACATTAAGTTGCTTAACTTGCAAAGTTTTCAAAGAAATATTTTCACAGAATTAGAGAATGTTATCAAATATATAATGAAAAATATCTCAGTAGCCCAGTCCATTTTCCATCAGGTGAGCCTTCGACAAGATTTAAACATCTTTTTATCATTCTTCTGAAAGCAATCTATACCGATTATCTGGTATAGATTTTCTGCAAAGGAAAACTGGTCTCTCAGAGACTTGAGTCTCTTTAAGGCTTTAAAAAGGGCTTTCAGCAAGTATTTCCTTCTTGTAAAATAGTAGGATTCAGGGTAAATTACTTGCGACCTTAAATCATACTGGCAGCTTGTCATGCCTTCAGGGCTCAAGTAGAAGATCTTTGTCATGACACACACTTTTTTAGTGTAACCACCAATTTTTGCCAGCTTCTGCTTTAAGGTTAGGGCAGTTTGTGTAGAATAGCCTTTAAACTCCTCATCCTGTACCATGTGGAAGGTGTATAGGACTGGAGGACTGTCCTGGGAAATCAGAAGAGCATCACAGAGGACTTTGTGGTTCTCTTGCAAGCCCAGATCCACAGACCAGCTCCTAGAGAAGATCAGTGAGCCCTTTCTGACAGAGTCCATTTCTTCACATATTAATTGCTTAAGTCCTTCATGTTGTAAGAACAGTTTTCTGCAAAGGTTTTCTGGAGTATACGTTATCCTTCCTGATAGCCCTGAATAAGGAAATAATAATAATAAATTATAAAACACTAGGAAGTTCCCATTTAAGCCATGGCAAAGTAGCTTGTAAAAAACCAATCTTCCCATCAAAAACACTGTAAAAGTTGTATAAAATATATTCAAACAATAATTTAAAGAACTAGAAAGCACCAATAAAAGCAGTATTTGAAGTGCCACAGTCTTTGATAGAGGTGAAACACAGAAAGTAGCTTCACATTCACCCCTGCTTTTTCCCTAAGTAGATTTTCTATATCATGGCATGGGTAAATAGAACCCAAGGAGAAATCATCAGTCTTATTAGGCTGAGGAAAAGAAGTAAGAAGAGCTGGAATATGAGAAGTAAAATCTCAGAGAAAATGAAGCTGCAGAGAAGAAGCCAAAGTCTACATACAAATTTCCCTCAACTCATTGGCTAATACAGGTCAGATGCTGGAAACACAGAAGAAAATATCAACTGGGAGACTAAAGAGCTGAATGTAAGTTTCTTCAGCCTCATGGTGCTCAGGAAACACAGACTGGAATTCCAGTCCCAAAAGAGTGGAGGGATCTTGGTAAACACCAGCGACATTACAGCAATAGAAAAGCCATGACCTAGTAGTAACGGCAAAATTAAAAACTATTATACCTAGAAAAGGATAAAAAAACTTCAAAAGAATAAAAGCAATGGGTGGTACTCTAACTACCTGTCAGAAGTAAATATAGCCCTTTTTGGAGAAATGTAATATCTATCAAAGTCTCTACAATTTGTAATCCATGATACAATAAAAAATTACGAGACAGAATAAAAATCAGAATGAATTACTAGAAAACAGGAGAAAAATCAGATCAGAGAAAAAGACTGACAAGTGCTTCAGATATTGTAGTTATCAAAGAGGGACTTTAACTGTAATATATTTAAAAACAAAAAATAATAATAAAATAGATGAAAAGATGAAGATGTCCTTATTCTCTTACAGCCTTAGAAAAACTAAAATTGAGGGATAAAAATTGTGTGGGCATTCCTTAACTGAAAAATACAGTAGGTGGTAATAAGAACTTATTTGATAATATTTAACAGCAGACAGAGCATAGCAGAAAACAGGACTAGTCAATAGGAAGACAGGATGGTAGCAAAAGTCCGAACTCAAACTCAATAAAAAAAAAAAAGGTAAAAACAGAAGATAAGAGATATATCCGAAACTGTCAAAAGGTCTAGCAAATTTATAAGTCCCACAAAGAGAAAGGAGAGAAAAATAAGATAAGCAATATTTGAAGAGATAAACAATTATAGTTTTTTCAAAGTTGATTAAAGATATCACTCACAAATACAAGAGTATACCAATCCTTCTCAGACTCTTCCAAAAAAATTGAAGAGGAGGAAATACTTCCAAACTCATTTCATGAGGTCAACATTACCCTGATCATGAAGTCAGTCAAGGACACTACAAAAAAAAAGAAAGTTACAGGCCAATATCACTGTTGAAACTAGATGCAAAAATTCTCAACAAAATGCTAGCAAACCAAATTCAACAGCACATTAAAAGGATCATTCGGCCCAGTGTAGTGGCTCACGCCTGTAATCCCAGCACTTTGGGAGGCCAAGGCAGGTGGATCACCTGAGGTCAGGGGTGCAAGACCAACCTGGCCAACATGGTGACACCCCGTCTCTACTAAAAATACAGAAAATTAGCCAGAAATGGTGGCAGGCACCTGTAATCCCAGCTACTCGGGAGGCTGAAGTAAGAGAATCGCTTGAACCCGGGAGGTGGAGGTTGCAGGGTGCCAAGATAGCGCCATTGCACTCCAACCTGGGTAACAAGAGTGAAACCATGTCTCAAAAAAAAAAAAAAAGAAAAAAAAAGATCATTCATCATAATAAGTGGGATTTATCCTTGGGATGCAAGCATAGTATAACATGTGAAAATCAATAATTGTGATATACCACATTAATAAAATGAAGGGCAAAACTATATGCTCATATTAACGGATACAGAAAAAGCATTTTACAAAATTCAACATTCTGTAATTTAAAAAAACCTCTTAACCAACTAGGTATAGAAGGAATGTACCTCACCACAGCAAAGACCATATATAAAAAACCTAGAGCTAACTCCATGCTCAATGGTGAAACATTGAAAGCTTTTCATCTAAGATCAGGAACAAAACAAGGATGCCCATTTCACCACTTCTATCCAATATGGAAGTCCTAGCCAGAGCAATTAGGGAAGAAAAAAGAAATAAAAAGAATCCAAACTGGAAAATAAGAAATTAAATTGTCACGGTTTGCCCACAATGTGAACTTATATATAGAAAACCTTAAAGATGCCACCAAAAAATGATCAGAACAAATAAAAGAATTCAGTAAATTTTCAGAATACAAAAATCAGTAGCATTTCCATACACTAACAACAAATTATCCTATAAAGAAATCAAGAAAACACTCCCATTTACAATAGCTACAAAAAATACTTGATAATAAATGTTATCAAGGAGATGAAAGATTTCTATACTGATATCTATAAAATGCTGATGAAGGAAATTGGAAAAGACACAAATAAATGGAAAGATAGCTTGTGTTCATGGATTGAAAAAATCATATTTTTAAAATGTCCACACTACCCAAAGTGATCTACAGATTCAACGAAAACCCTATCAAAATTCCCATGTCATTTTTCACAGAAAAATGACTGTATACCTAGAAAACCCTAAAGACTCATCCAAAAAGCTTCTAGATTTGATAAATGAATTCCATTAAGTTTCAGGATACAAAACCAATGTACACAAATTAGTACTGCTATACAGCAAGAGTGACCAAGCTGAGAATCAAATCAAAACCTCAATCCCTCCGACAACAGCTGCAAAATAAAATAAAATACTTAGCAATATACCTAGACAAGGAGGTGAAAGATCTCTACAAGGAAAACCACAAAACACTGCTGAAAGAAATCATAGATGAAACAAACAAATGGAAACACATCCCATGTTCATGGATAGGTAGAATCAATATTGTGAAAATGACCATACTGACAAAAGCAATCTACATCAATGCAATTCCCATCAAAATACCATCATCATTCTTCGCAGAACTAGAAAAAATAACCCTAAAATTTATATGGCACCAAAAAAGAGTCCACATAGCAAAAGCAAGACTAAGCAAAAAGAACAAATCTGGAGGCATCACATTACCTGACTTCAAATTATGCTACAAAGCTATAGTTACCAAAACAGCATGGTTCTGATATAAAAATAGGCATGTAGACCAGTGGAATAGAATAGAGAACACTGAAAGAAAGTCTAATGCTTACAGTTCAATTGGATCTTCAACAAAACAAGCAAAAACAAAGTGGGGAAAGGACACCCCATGCAACAAATGGTGCTGGGATAATCGGCAAGCCACATGTAGAAGAATAAAACCAGATCCTCATCTCTCACCTTATACAAAAACCAACCCAACAGGAATCAAAGACTTAAATCTAAGACCTGAAACCATAAAAATTCTACAAGATAACATCAGAAAAACAATTCTAGACGTTGGCTTAGGCAAAGAGTTCATAACCAAGAACCCAAAAGCAAATGTAACAAAAACAAAAATAAATAGATGAGAAGTAACTAAACTAAAAGGCTTCTGCACAGCAAAAGAAATAGCAGAGTAAAAAGACAATCCACAGAGTGGGAGAAAATATTTGCAACCTATGCATCTGACAAATGACTGATATCCAGAATCTATGAGGAACTCAAACAAATCAGCAAGAAAAAAACAAAGAATCCCATCAAAAAGTGGGCAAAGGATATAAATAGACAATTCTCAAAAGAAGATATACAAATGGCCAATGAACATGAAAATATGCTCAACATCACTAATGATCATGGAAATGAAAATTAAGTCCACAATGAGACCATCTTACACCTGCAAGAATGGCCATAATTAAAAGTCAAAAAATAATAGATGTTGGCAAGTATGCACTGAAAAGGGAATTCTTTTATACTGCTGGTGTGAATGTAAACTATTACAACCACTGTGGAAAAATGTGTGGAGATTCATTAGGGAATTAAAAGTAGAACTACCATTTGCTCCAGCAATCCCACTACTGGGTATCTACTGAGAGGAAAATAAGTCATTACATGAGAAAGATGTTTGCACACACATTTATAGCAGTACAATTTGCAATTCCAAAAATATGGAACCAGCCTAAATGCCCATCAGCCATCAAGTGGATAAAGAAAATGTGGTATATATACACCATGGAATGCTATCAGTCATAAAAAGGAATGAAATAATGGCATTCACAGCAACCTGAATGGGGTGGGAACCATTATTCTAACTGAAGTAACTCAGGAATGGAAAACCAAATATTGTATGTTCTCACTCATAAGTGGGAGCTAGGCCATGAGGACACAAAGACTAAGAATGATACAAAGGACTTTGGGGACTCAAGGGGAAGGGTGGAAGGGGAATGAGGGATAGAAGACTACACACTGGGTACAGTGTACATTGCTCAGGTGATAGCTGCACCAAAATCTCAGAAGTCACCACTAAAGAACTTATTCATGTAACCATAAACCACTTGTTCCCCAAAAACTAGTGAAATAAAAATTTTAAAAATTAACATATAAGATACCTAGAAAAAGCATACATTTTAAAAGTACTTACTACACAAAGTAAATAAATTTTTGAAACCAATCTGCTTTGTTCTCACAAGAAAATAAAAATAGCCTGAAATAAGGATCTGAAATATAAGTCAGACTAATACTGAGATGCCAGCTATTGAATTTAGGATTCCTTAAAAATATCTTACCAAAATTAACACCGAAGGAAACAGAAAGAGTAGGCAACCCTTTTATTAAAAAACCAGAAATATGTCAGGCACAGTGGCTCAAGCCTGTAATCCTAGAGCCCTGATAGGCTGAGGCAGTTGGATCACTTGAGCCCAAGAGCTTGAAGCTGCAGTGAGCCATGATCACACCGCTACACTTCAGCCTGGGTGACAGAGCCAGTTCCTGATTGAAAAAAGAACTAACAGTCTTCCCACAAAAGGAAGACAAACCATTTTACAGGCAAATTCCACCACAATTTCAAGCATATCATTCTAATCTTATATAAATTTTTTCAAAGGATAGGAAAAGAGGAAATAATCCCCAACTCATTCTGAGTTCAGCACAATTTTAATACAAATACTAGACAAAGAAAGAGAGAAAACTATTCTTAGACCTTGTCACTCATGGATTTAGATACAGAAATTCTAAATTAAGTATTAGCAGCTGAATAAAAATGCATAAAAAAGATAATACTGCAAGACCGAACTGAGTTTGTTCCAGGAATGCAAAAAAGGCTTAATAGAAAATATTAAACATCATTTGCCAATCAACATATTAAAAACATTTAATCATGTCAACAGGAGTAGAAAATGTGTTTGATAAAATTCAGTATTCATCCATGATAAAAAAAGAAAAAACATTTAGTAAACTAGAAATATCATTAAACTTCCTTAGCCTGATAATGGTATATTCAAAGTACCTAAGGCAAACCTCAATTTCTTTTTTTTATTATTATACTTTAAGTTCTGGGGTACATGTGCACAATGCACAGGTTTGTTACATAGGTATACATGTGCCATGTTGGGCAAACCTCAATTTAAATGGGAAAGCCATAGACACACTCTCTTTAAAATCTGAACTAAGACTATTTGCATTAAGAATTGTCTAAAAGTTTTCTTCAGTTCATTAGGACAAGAAAAAAAGACATTAAAGGCAGAAAGATTGGAAAGGAAAAGACAAAACATTTTATGATCTGCATATTTGTTTATACAAAATGTAAATAATCTATGGACAGATTATTTAAAATAATAAGGAAACCTAACAATGTGGCCTTATATAAACTCAGTATGTAAAAATCAACTGCATTTCTACACATTAGCAATAAACAAGAAAATGGAACTTTTAAAAAAAATATCTTTACAACAACAAAAATAAAAGGAACCTAGACATAAGTGTAATAAAAGATGTACAAAATGTGTACACAGAAATTTATGAAACTATAAAGGCATTAAAGAAGATATAAATAAGTAAAAAGATTTCCTATACTCAAGGATACAACTTACTGATATAAATATGCCATGTCTTCCCAAATCTATCTAGAGATGCACTGTAACTGCAAATCAAAATCCCAAAAGTTTTTTTGGCATTTAAGCAGATTCTAAAGTGTGTATAGAAGATTAAATGATTAAAAATTGCCTAGACACTCTCAAAGAAAAACTAAAGGGCTTACCCTACCAGATATCGATACTTAGTATAACATTACAGTGGCAGGGACAGACAATTTGATCAAGGAAACATAATAGAGATTCTAGAAAGAGGATTATCTATAGATATACAGTTGACCCTTGAACAACATGGGTTTGAATTGCATGGGTCCACTTACGCCAAGATCTTCTTCCACCTCTGCCACCCCAAGATAGCAAGACCAACCCTTCTCTTCCTCAGCCTACACAACGTGAAGGCAATGAGTACGAAGACCTCTAAATGATCCATTTACACCTAATTTATAGAAAATATATTTCCTCTTCCTTATGACTTTCTCAATAACATTTTCTTTTCTCTAGCTTACTTTATTGTAAGAATATAGTATATGATACTTATTGTAAGAATATAGTATATGATACACACAAAATATGTGTTAATTGACTACGTTATTGGTAAGGCTTTGGGTCAAAAGTAAGCTATTAGTAGTTAACTTTTTGGAAAGTCAAAAGTTATACACCGATTTTCGACTGCACCTTTTGTTCAAAGGTGAATTGTACTTAGTAATATGATGAAGGTGGCATGGCAGATCATGGTGAAAGTGAGACTTTTCAGTATTGCGGCTGGGAAAGTTGTTATCCACATGGAATAAAATGAAATAGCATGCTACATTACTGTCTATTGAGATGGATTGTGTATTTATTTATTTGTTTGTTTGTTTGTTTGTTACTTACTGAGACAAGGTCTCACGCTGTTGCCTGGGCTGGAGTACAGTGGTGTGATCTCAGCCCACTGCAAGCTCCGCCTCCTGGATTCAAATGATTCTTGTGCCTCAGTCTCCTGAGTAGCTGGGTCTGCAGGTGTGCACCACCACACCTGGCTAATTTTTGTATTTTAGTAGAGACACGGCTTCACCATGTTGGCCAGGCTGTTCTCTTGGCCTCAAGTGATCCGCCCACCTCTGGATTGTGTATTTACATGTTAAATGTTGAGTGCAAAACTTTAAAATTTTTAGGAGAAAATTAAAAGAAATATCTTTATAATCCTAGTGTATAGAAGGATCTCTTATGCAAGGCACAAAGAGCACTAAACCGCAACATTTTAAATGATAGTTTTGCCTACATTAAAATTTAAAACTACTACTTATGAGAGTATACCTTAAGAAAAGAGAAAATGCAAGCCACCAGCTTGGAGAAAACATTTGGTAGTCGTTAATACCTATGACTAAAAGAGGATTTTATTCTAGAATCTCTAAATTACTCCTATAAATCAATAAGAAAAAGACAAAGCTTATTAGAAAAATGGTCAAAGACAAAATAGACACTGCACAGAAGATGAAATATATATGGCCAGTAAGTATATGGAGAGATGCTCAACCCAATCAATAACCAGGGAAATGCACATCACAAAGACATACCATTTTATACACATTTGATTGAGAAGAAGGAGGTCAAGAGAAGGACAACCATAAATAAGAAAAATTTGACAACTGGAGAAGATGTGGCATTTCTAATATATTGCTGATGGGAGTAACATGACCTATCTACTTTCAAAACAATTTGGCATTATCTTATTACTTGAATATTCACACACCTCCTGAGCCAACAATTCTACTCCTACTTAGGCACCCAGGAGAAAATCTTGCACATATGCACTAGAAGACCGACTAAGAATGTTCAAGGTAACACTGTTCATGTCACAGAAAGCAGGAAATAACTCAATTGCCCATCATCAACAACAACAACAAAAACAGATAGATCAATCAGAGATCCTGAGTACTGATGGCGTTTCTTCAGTAACTGAACATAGCTATGCCTGAAGGTGGGCCTCAATCTAGACTGCTCAGTGACATGATATATATGCTTTCTTTTTTTGTTTGTTTAAACTAAACTGACTTGGGTTGCTCTTACTTTCAAGTAAACGAGTTTGTATTGCACCAAGAAAATTCTAACCCAAATATAAAGAAATAGGATTTGACAGATTCAATGACTTAAAACACCAAAGAATTCTCATAAACACAAGAATGTGCTTTCAGAGCAAATTTCAAGACTGAGCTGGTTTGAAGAGAAAGAGGTTTGACTACAGTCACACTAACAAATCCGAAGAAGCCAGAATGAAATTACCTGGACAGTGATGTCTCTGCCGTTGCCATTCCAAAAGAGGCCAACTGTGGGGAGCAGGTAATGACGTATTTATTTGAGAGATCACCTCTTCATATGAACTGGAAAATTCTTAAAAACAAAAATATCACATTCTTAATTTCGCAGAAGGGAGACCCCAACTAACTAATGCATAGTATTATATATTAAAAGTCTACTTGTAACTGATTCTGTTTTCCAAAAAAAAATTAATGTTAGATATTGTGGTTAGATTCTTAGGTCAGATACAAATTGCAAAATTAACTTTTGATGCCACTGACACACTATATTTCAAATGAAAATTAACAGTAAAAATGCATTAATAGTAATTTAATACATTACCATATAATTGGGTTTATTTTTAAAGCAGTTAAAATGAGACGTGATGGCTAGTGAAGGAAAGCTGACTTTTGTGCAGATTCTGAGGAAGAAGCTTACATTTTCAGACATTTTATAAGCTGCTAGTACTGGTCCAATTGCTAGTACTGGTCCAATTTCATTTGAGGCTTTCTTTTCCCAAACGCAGAGAAAATACCAGCATTATTCCTTCCTTACTAGTACAAATTAGGGCTACTACTTGGCTCACAAATGTGAGAAGAAAAAGGAAGCGGTTTTATAGGAAATAAATAGAAAGGGACGCCAGGCATGGTGGCTCACGCCTGTAATCCCAGCACTTTGGGAGGCCGAGGCGGGTGAATTGCCTGAGGTCAAGAGTTCGAGACCAGCCTGGCCAACATGGTGAAACTCCGTCTCTACTAAAAATACAAAAATTTAGCTGGGCGTGGTGGCGGGCACCTGTAATCCCAGCTACTCGGAAGGCTGAGGCAGGAGAATCGCTTGAATCCAGGAGGCGGAGGTTGCAGTAAGCCGAGATCCTGCCATTGCACTCCAGCCTGGGTGACAGAGCAAGACTCCGTCTCAAAATAAATAAATAAATAAATAAATAAATAAATAAATAAATAAATAAATAGAAAGGGGACAAGAAGCATGAAGGAGCAAGTAAGTAAAAGAGGCAAATGTTCCTGAAAGAAAGCAATGGTTACTTACTGAAATAGAGCTCAGAAACAAAAAGGAAAAGGATTAAACGGGGTTTCCTTCAAAACTAGTATAGACGTGGTAGGGAAGAAACTTCCAGGTTTAATTGGGTTTTTGCACCAGGTAGGGCTACTAAAAGTAGATGATGTGCTTATTTTATGAAATATCTATCTTCTTCTAAGGGTATAGAAGAAAACAAGAGGCAGGGAACTTTTTTTTTTTTTTTTTTTTTTTGAGATGGAGTCTCGCTCTGTTGCCCAGGCTGGAGTGCAGTGGCGCAATCTCCGCCCACTGCAACCTCCGCCACCTGGCTTCAACCGATTCTCCTGCCTCAGCCTCCTGAGTAGCTGGGACTACAGGCACGTGCCATCACACCCAGCTAATTTTTTGTATTTTTAGTAGAGACGGGGTTTCACCATCTTAGCCAGGGATGGTCTCTATCTCCTGACCTCGTGATCCGCCCGCCTTGGCCTCCCAAAGTGCTGGGAATACAGACGTGAGCCACCGCGCCTGGCCGAGGCAGGGAACTATTGATTGTATCCACCAGGGATTAATAGTTTAGGTGCTGAAATTTGAGGACTATTGATCTTGCCCCAGATCCCATAGAGAAAACCTCCCTGCCACCCAAGCCAAATGCATTCCTGTTGCGAATCCCCCGCTCTCAACTTGGTTCAGCCTCCACCATGAACTGGATCCATTCCTTCCTGGTCAACTGCATCACACGGTTATCTTTCACATGCCAGGAATCAGGCTCTTTAGCAAACACTGCACAGCAGAAGCGCTCCACTCTGAGTGCACAGACATATCCACAAAGACTTCCTTTATCATATACTCCAAGGAATTTGCATGAATAATTTATCTTCTTCTTCTCCATACAGAAGTGATGCACAGGCATCTTCCTAATGGACTTTTCGATTTCTCTTTCTAAGTCATCGAGGTCACTCATCTCTGCTTTAAAGCCAATTATTTCTTTATCTTCATTTAAACCAATGAACAAATATCCTCCATCAGTATTTGCAAATGCAGAAACATATTGAGGGAGAATCTCTTTAATTCGTTGTAACAACTTTTCTGTCGAGAAGTTTTTAATTTCAACATGTGTGGATTCAGTAAAGGTCAATTTTTCTTTCCGATCAAGTTCTGTTCTATCAAAAAAAACCCCGGCCAAGGCCTTCATGTTATTTTCTTCTTGTATATCAACACAGGGCCTCTTTGCCAGCAATTCTGGTCTTAAATACAATCTCCCTCTAGTCTTTTTCATGTCTTTGAGGAACTCCAGTGCAGCAGTGGCATTCATGACTTTTGCAGATGTTATATCTCTTTTGTACAAATTGGAGCTCAAGGTGGTAATCCGCAGACCAGAGGTGTTCAAGCTCCATGACTTCACAAAAATCAGAAAGTAGTTACCATTCTGCATGAAGTCTAAGTACTCAGGAACAAATAACAGAATGTTACTAAAAGAATTTTCCAAATCTAGTCCTATTCCATCTTTTGTATAACTATAGTCTTCATTCTCAATTTCAGCCTTGATCACTCCCCCTCCAGAATTGAGCAGAGCACACATAGCTCGTGAGACACTTTCATTCTGCTTTTTTCTCAGTTTACAATCCTTCATTTTTTTCCTACTGTTCTCTCCAAGAGTGACTCTTCCCACATCTAGAACCAACTCGGCATAATTCGTTTCCAAATCAACACTGATGTTCATTTTCCCAGCAGCTATGCAGTGTCCAAGCAGAAATTCTTTTCTGTAAAATAGACAGAGCCATTAGAATAGGACCTGAACTAGAAAGATAGCAAATTCTGTATTATGAGGCAAATGCAAAAAAATCCTGTGCTGTATATATTCTACTAGACTGGTAAGTATATGGATATGAAGAGACTGGCAAATTTTGAGCTAAGACCGCAATAATTTATACTCCTACTGAATTTTCAAATTTGTTACTATAGTTCTATATAATGTATTCTAATTATGTAATCTCTTTATCCGCCTTTTTTCTCCTTTCTAGTCCCTAATATTGTACAACCTGTTTTCTCTCTCCTTTTCTTAAACAACCCCTGGAGTGAGTCTATGTTTTTATCTTCTCAGTGAACCAGGCTTTAGTTATACATATTATTTCTACTTTTCTTTTTATTTTAATAATTTCAGCTTTTACCTTAATTATCTCCATTTATGGGTATAAATCTTTTGGAAGATTTCCCGTTAAGGTCTAATGACATCCAACATGTCATGTTAATTATTTTTCCTTCTTATAAGAATGAAATAGATTTATAAATTTTGGCCATTGATCTTAAGCAAAGTGGGCTAAGTCATTGTGCCCTTTTTAAATCTAATATCCACATATTTTCAATAAGGAAAATTCTTATATACAAAACACCTGTGCTATGGTTTGAATGTTTGTGTTCCCCCAAAATTCATATGTTGAAATTATAACTCCTGAGGTGATGAGGTTTTTGGGAAGTGATCAGGTTATGAGGGTGAAGCCCTCATGAATGAGATTAGTACTCTCCTAAAAGGGACCCCGGAACACTAGCTCATCCCTTCCACTATGTGAGAACACAGCAATAAGTAGGCAGTCTGCGACAGGAAAAGGGCCCTCACCAGAATCCAACAGTGCTGGCACCTTAATCTTAAACTTCCCAGCCTCCAGAACTGTGAGTCATAAATTTCTGTTATTTGTAAGCCACCCAGCTTGCGGTATTTTGTTATGGCGGCCTAAACAAACTAAGACATTGTGCTTTAGTCTATGTATCCCTAATCCATTAGCTCTGTTCCCTTAAAATCTATTAGGATCACTGCTTTGCTCTAAATGGAAACTTTTAAGTTAAGAAGTGTAACTTAAGTTTAACTTTTTTTTAAGTGTAACTTAAGTGTAACTTTTTAAGTTAAGAAGTGTGACTTAAGTTTAACTATTTTTAAATGTAACAAGTGTAACTTTTAAGTTAAGAAGTGTGACTTAAGTTTAACTTTTTTTTAAAGTGTAATTTAAGTGTAACTTTTAAGTTAAGAAGTGTGACAAGTTTAACTTTTTAAAAAAAGTGTAATTTATGTGTAACTTTTAAGTTAAGAAGTATGACTTAAGTTTAACTTTTTTAAAAGTGGAATTTAAGTGTAACTTTTAAGTTAAGAAGTGTGACTTAAGTTTAACTTTTAAGTGTAACTTAAGTGTAACTTTTAAGTTAAGTTAATAAGTGTAACTTAAGAAGTGTAGGTTTTCCGAGTGGCATAGAGACAATTGAGAATAAAGTCCATCATAGGTAGTAATTGCTATACTAGAAAAGGAATGTAAAGGGGGTCAGAATATTCCTGTCCACAGCTGGACCAATATCATGCAGATACTCAGCTAAGGTTGTGGATACCACCTGTGTCCATATAAATTCCTGATCACATGTAAACAATGTTAACATTAGAGCCCCAAACCATTTGGACAGTTGGGGTTGAATCCTTTAGTTCTTTGTCCATGTTTTCTCTTAGCTCTTTGAAGATACTTAAGACAGTGCCTGTTTTTTATTTTATTAATTTATAAATAAAATCCTATATATTGATCATGTACAATGTGTTTTTTTGAAACTTGTATATATTGTGGAATGGCTATGTTGAGCCAACTACCATATACATTACTTCACATACTTATCATTTTTTGTGGTGAACATTGCTACTATTTTAGCAACTTTCAAGAATACAGGCCCAGCACAGTGGCTCATGCCTATAATCCAAGCAGTTTGGGAGACTGAAGTGGGAGGATCACTTGAAGCCAAGAGTTCAAGACCAGCCTAGACAACAAAACAAGACCACATCTCTACAGAAAAGTAAAATAAAATAAGAATTGGCTTGGCACAGTGGTTTGTGCCTATGGTCTCAGCTACTTAAAAGGCTGAGGTGGGAGGATCACTTGAATCCAGGAGTCCAAGGCTGCAGTAAGCGATGATCATGGCACTGCACTCTAGCTTGGGCAACAGAGAAAGACCCTGTCTCCAAATAAATAAATACATAATAAAGAATACAACATATTGTTAACTATAGTAATCATATTGTACAATAGAGCTCTTGAACTTATTCCTCCTATCTAACTGACATTTTGTAACCTTTAACCAACATTTCCCCAAACCCCATCTTCCCCCAGTAACCACTATTCTACTCTATACTTCTATGAGTTTAACTTTGATAGATTCTACAAATAAGTGAAATCATGCAGTATTTGTCTGTCTCTACTTGGCTTATTTCACTTAACATAAAGTCCTCCAGATTCATCCATGTTATCAAAAATGACAGGATTTCCTTCTTTTTCTTAAGGCTAATTAGTATTTTATTATCTATATGTACCACTTTTTCTTTATCCATTCATCTGTTGGTGAACACTTAGGTTGCTTCCATATCTTGCCTATTGTGAATAATGCTGCAATAGACATGAGAGTACAGATATCTCTTTGATAGACTGATTTCATTCCCTCTGGATATTTATCCAGGAGTGAGGTTGCTGAATCATATGGTGGTTCTTTTTCTTTTCTTTTCTTTTCTTTTTTTTTTTTTTTTTTTTTTTTTTCAGAAACCTCCATACTATTTTCCATAATGGCTAAGCTAGTTTAAATTCCTACCAATAGTGTGCAATGGTTCTCTTTTCTCTACACCATCTCTTTTTATCTCTTGTCTTTTTTATAATAGCCATTTTAACATGTGTGAGGTGATTTCTCATTGTGGTTTTAATTTGCATTTTCCTGATGATTAGTAATGTTGAGCATTATTTCATATATCTGTTGTCCATTAGAATGTCTTCTCTTGAGAAATGTCTATTCAGATCCTTTGCCCATTTTTTAATCTGTTTTTTTTTCTTACTATTGAGTTGTTTGGGTTTCTTATATATTTTGGATATTAACCTCTTATCAGATGTATGGTTTACAAATGTTTTCTTTCATTCTGTAGCCTATTCTTTTACTCTGTTGATTTTTTCCTTTACTGTGCAGAAGCTTTTTGGTTTGATGTAATCCCATTTGTCTACATTTGCTTTCATTGCCTGTCCGCCATTGGGATGACATCCAAAACATCACTGCCCAGGCCAATGTCTTGGATCTTTTTCATATATTTTCTTCTAGTAGTTTTATAATTTCAGCTATTACATCTAAGTCTTTAATCCATGTTGAGTTGATTTTTGTATTTGGTGTGAGATGAGGGTCTAACTTCATTTTCTGCATGTGGATATCAAGAACGTTATTTTAAAATCTTTGTCTAATATGTCTGATGTCTGGCCTTCCTCAGAGATGTGTTCTGCCAATTTACTTTCTTCTTTTGAATAGGTCATATTTTTCTGTTGTGTGTATGCTTTATGAATTTTTGTTGGAAATTGGACATTTGAAAAAACAGCGATCTCTCACAGTCTTTGCAGACAAATGCTATGGCAAGGCAAACCTTCAGTGATGGGCTAAGTATACTCTGATCTTAGGGATCAGCTCAAGGAAAAAGCTTAAGGTCTTCTCAGGTCTTTTCTGAGCATTTATCCTGCCTGGATTGAGCGGGGCTTTCTTGATTCCTCTACATACATGCCTGCTTTTGAATGTCTTAATTTCCCAAAGAATCTCACCCCAGCTCATCTTCTGAGCCTTAGATGGTTATTCTATGTCTCTAGCTATAATCTCTTGCCTAAGACATCTGGGGGTCTATAGTCTTCTTGCAGCTTTCCTGAGCAGTGGCTGTCACTTCTCCTCACCTGAGATCTGAGTTAGGGGATACAGAAATGAATCCTTCAGGCAGTCCCCAGACAGGTTACAACATTGAAAATAAGTTTTACTATGCCCCACCAATTCCAGGGAGGAAACTAGGAGCAGTGATGCTGCCTCCTCAAGACTAAGACCTTGCCATGCAGGGCAAAAACTTGGGCAAGGGTGAGTAAAAACACCATGAAATTTCCTACAGTTTTGAATGCTGCTTTTCCTTGATTGGGCATTCATTTAGTTGCAACAGATCTTTGTTGTTAGTTCAGCCAGTTTTGGGTTGCTTTTGATGTTTCCATGGAGAAACAGAGTTGAAGCTTCCTAATCCACTATTTTTCTGACATCATTCCTGTCACCATTTCTTTATATTAAACGCAATTCGATAATATTTTTAAGATTTTGCACCCATGATGTCCCTTTCTCCTATTCTTGTTGACAGACAATGCAATCAATAGCTTCACAAAATGAGTTGAGGATGTGAGCTGTATTTCTATTATTTCACATTTTACCCAACATGAGGACCTTTTTGCAGTGGGAGAGTTGGTCATGGTTGGCCATACTGCCCAAAACGAAAATATACTATTTGAATCTTGCTTTTCCATGTATCAATATAGTATATACAACAAGTTTTGCAAAAATAATAATTAGCTATTCTTTAAAAACCTTATTAACTGCATAATTTCATACATGGTATTAATGTACCATTATTTAACTATTACCTTACAACTGAACATTGAAGTTGCTTTCAATCATTCGATATAATTATACTAGAATCTTGACTCAGTTATTTCAATGTTTGGGTATGCTAATCACACAGTCTAATTTTCATTGAGTCTAAGAGTGCCCTGGCAAAGCACTTCAATTATATATACAGATACGGTTCAGATATATACAAAGATGGTTAAATCGAGTATGGGAGGCCAGAACATGTAGACAGAAAAGAAGCCAGATTTCAGGATATAAGAAATGGAACCTTGAAGGGGAAAAATTATGTAAGAGAAGAAAGAGTCTGAATCTGTGGAAATAAAGGTTCATGGTGAAACATAAGGTTATATTTGAACCTGTGCCTTAGGTACATAATTAAGCTGAAATTATGTAAGTATATAGAGTGTATATATGTACACACAGAGAGAGACAGAAGTTTGTAAAAGTTAAATTACTGTATCAAGTGACAAAAACTTCAAAGATTTTGATATATATTATCAAATACTTTCCCAAATAATTGTATCAGAATTATCGCTAGCAAATTTATCTTAGTGGTGATTACAGCACTTTGCCTTGAACCTTTTGGGGGGAAGAGGATATGGTATAAAAGCTACTGGAAAGCATCTTAGTGGGGATTACAGAACTTTGGCCTGTACCTTTTGCGGGGAAGAGGATGTGGTCTAAAAGCTGTTAGAAAGCATCTTAGTGGGGATTACAGAACTTTTCCCCTGTAATTTTTGGGGGTAAGAGGATGTGGTCTAAAAGCTATTAGAAAGCAGCATCTTTCCCTCAGTGTTTCCTGAAAACTCAGAGAGAACAAAGAGAGGCTGCCTTCTAAGAGATATTGGACCTAGCATTCATTCAAATAGGCTCCCTGGGCCTGGGTCCATAGAAGAAAGCATTTGCATATGACCCAGGGAGATTCCAAAAAAAGAGAACCTAAGTGGGGAGGACCTGACTCCTGGTAGTTGAACAAGAGTGAAGCCAGGTAAGCACAATCATTGAAGTTTAAATTTAAAACTCAATAGTAGTCTCAATGTGGCATAATTATGCTAGAAAGCAGAGGAAGATGTATATCTCTGCCATGCTGAGCTTTCTCCTTAGTATTATAGCACAATTAGTGTTCTTTAGACCCAATTTCTTCATATTTCTTGCACATGAGGCTGCCCCAAAGGCAAGTCCACCTTCCCTGTTGACCAGACAGAAGAGATTCTCCATCTCTACCCACAAAGGCTGCAGGAGAATCAGTTCCACTTCTACCCAGGCGCACAGCCCCAGCCCTACAATTTTCTGGTAATGCCTCACCAAGCAGCCTCTGCTCTGCTCCCCGATTCTTTTTTGCAGCCTCTCTAACTAGAGTCTTGTCCCCTTTCCTCTTAGCCCACCTTTCTGCACTGTCTACATCAGGCTGGGCTCTGTGTAAACTTTTTTGCCTAACCCACCATACACAGAAGGGGACAGAAATCACATCTCACCCTCAGATTGATTAAGGAGGGTGCTCATACCACTGAGAAACTTGGAACCCATGGGAGCTGCAGTTGAGCCACCTTATAGAGGACCCAGCGCTTGTGAACTAGCCTGGGATCCCGGTCACCCCAGTCCAACATCTGCAGCTGTGTAAAACTTTCCATAGTTGAAAATCACTGCCTTCAAGCATACATCTGGGACAAAACCCTTAAAAAATGAGCTGGGGATTGAGCTTACCAAATCCCTAGGGCCTAAAACTTACTGGCCTCCCTTAAACCTTGGGTCTAGGTTTACAGGTTAGATGTTTCCACTGAAATCCTTTATACTTTTGACTATAGGGGAAATTCTATCAGACCTGAACTCACTATTTAGGCTTTGTTGTTGGCTATCTTTAATGGGAAAGGAGACAGCATTCAGATCTCCTTAGAGTTATGTCAGAACAGCAGGTTAGTAGGAACTGCCCACAGGGTGGGACAGAAGTTGTAAGAGCTACCTCCTGGGAAACAAAAATCATGCAACACTCTTTGCCCTCCTAGGATGTCACTTTGCATTTAGTTCAGGACAGCACTGCTCTCATCCTTCCCGCCTTCTAGATAATAAACCAGCAGGGCATGAGGGTGCTTGGTTTTTCTTTTAGGATCTAGCAATGCAGTTCATCAGTGCCTGGTCGCATTTCACCTAAAGAACCTATTCCCCAACTCCCTGCATGTTCAGGACTCCAGGAGGATGGATAACCCTGGGAGGTCTGGACACCCACCAAGCCTGGCCTGACCATAGAGCACTCTGCCCTCCCTGCCTCTCTAGCTCTGCTTGAACACTGCAGATCCCTGGCTCACTGGCCCCACAGCTCTTTAAATTTTCTGGTAATGCTTTAAATTTTCTGGGCTGCTCCCCAGCCCATGCAGGAGCAAAAGTTCCACCCGACCTATAGCTTCCAAGTCCACCATTCTGAAGTCCTCAACAGCCTGCAGTTTATTAGAAGTTGCTACAGAGACAGGAAAGTGTTACCGGTGGAGGGTGTCCTGCTCACTGAAACATTCTGTTTGCAGGAGAAAAACAAAAACTTGGTCTGTTCTAGGATCTATGTGTTTCCTTAAAGTCTTAGAATGAGCAACTCCATTTTGGTTTGGTTTGGTCTGTTGGGGCCATGAGCTCAGTCCAAAACACTGGCCTTTCACAATTTTGTTTTTTAAAATTCCCCCTTTTTGTTCAGGTTCTCACTTAGGTGAGAATGTAACCAAAACGTAAGGCCTTAGCGCCGCTCTCAGTTACCATCATTTTGGGTTTCCAGTCTCAGCACACCATCCATAGGTTACAGTGTCCTCATGGTCGCATATTTGTTTCACTTCTCATCATTCCAGTTGAAGAGAGACCATTTGACATTCTAGAGATGGCTGCATGCAAACATCGAAAACCTTTGAGAGAATACAGTGCACCAGGGAGCCTATTATTATGATGACTATTGGGAGGATAATACCAAGAGTTTGGAGGATGCTCCTTGCCCAGGGTTCCCATAAACCAAACCAGTTAAAATTAAATAGATCAAATAATGAACTAAATAAAGAATCTACCAACTTAAGTAAACAATCTCCTCATTAATCCCCTACAACTGAATCTCTTAATCTTCATTTAATGTATTTCTCCATAGACTCTAAGTGCCAGCAGCTGCACAGATACTTCTCTGTTCAGCCAATTCTATCATAACTTTCACAAAAGAATTTAAAGTCTGTTGTGTAACTATGGCCTTTACAGTAGATGTTCTGAGAACATCTATCCTATGGGTTCTAGGTTGTGAAGGGGTTGATTGTTCTCAGTGAACCATAAAAAGCTTTCTTTACCTGGTGAAAATACACTGTAGCATAATCATGGGAAAAGCTTTTATACAACAAGAAAACATGCATTGAAAGTGACATTGAATAAAATCCCTTTGTAAATGTTTAAATGGCCCATCGGGTAGCCAAATGTACCTGAAGCTTTGATTGTCTTCCCAGGAATATGGATTTGAGAAACCAAACATTGGTTATAAACAACTTTAGCAATTTATAAGTCAGCGGTTTCCATGGCAGTTTGATTTTTAAAGGTCAAACTTCCTCGCACTTCAAAGAACGCTGAGGCCAAACAGCACCAAAGGAGAACATCACACTTTAACCCGACACAACCCTGCTTAGAACAGCAGCACAAGAGCCTGCATACATGCAACTCCATCCCACTTTACCATTCAACAGCAAACTCCAGATTCCAAACAATATTGAGGCCAAACACTACTGCAACCGGAAGAGAAAATTCTAAGGAGGGCTTAGTACTAGGCCTAAGAACCTCTACCAAAGGAACCCCCTTGGAGAGGCTGAGGTCCAAAGGATCCTCCAGAGCATCCCCCTTTAGGGTCCAATCTTAGAGCGTCAGACGTCTCTGACCTTAGGTGGTCACCAGTGCCACTTTACATGTTTTCCCTCCAGAGGGGATGGCCTACTGTGAGCTTTCCTTTTGTCTCTGGATGAAGGCCTTGACTTCTAGCATCCTTATAATTTGATAAGGCCATGCTTTCCCATGGTTCCCATTCCACTAGAGTGATAGTCATGAACTTTAATGATATGAAATGGAGGCTAGGTGGGTTTCTTTTAACCTTAGCCAGTAGAGTAGGGGAAGGGAAGAATTTAACATAAGGAAAGAAGGTTTAAGTCACCTGAAACACGTGTGAGTTCGCCCTGGAGAAGCTGCGTCACACATAGGGATCAGGGACCACAACCAGAAAAGACAGAAAAGAGCCCTTCCCGCTTCTGGGCAGGGCAACTATCCCCATTCACTCCTTGGCCTTCAAGGCAGCACTGGAGAGTAGCCCCCGGCCAGAAACCTGCAGTCGCCTCCGTGTCTAGGCGCTACCCACCAAGGATCCCACGTTGGAAAGGAAAAGAGAAAGAGAGAGATTTACCTGTATGGAGCAGAAAGGAAAAGGGAAAGGAGAAAAATAAATCCCAGACTTTGGGCTTACCTCCTGGTTGGCTTGCCAAAATATGTTACCAGTGAAGAGTGTCCAGGTTCTTGGCGTGTTGAACAAAGAACTGGACAAACACACAAACAAAGCAAGGAAAGAATGAAGCAACAAAAGCAGAGATTTATTGAAAACGAAAGTGCACTCCACAGGGTGGGAGCAGGCCCGAGGATAGCGGCTCAAGAGCCCGGTTTCAGAATTTTCTGGGGTTTAAGTACCCTCTAAAGTTTTCCCACTGGTTACTTGGTGTGCACACAATGTAAATGAAATAGGAGCCCGAGATCAGTCTGAATGGTTGCAGAAAGCGATCAATGGGAGGCTGAAGTGAAGTTACAAAGTTATGCCCTATGAAAACATCTGATTGGACGCAGAAAGCGAAGTTACAAAGTTACATTCCTATGCACATGAAGACTTGGCCCTGGAGACCAGTCTGATTGGTTGCGGGAGGGGACCAATCAGAGGTATTTTCAGTTTTTCATCTGCCATGTAGAAAAGGAGGGGCTACAAAGGAAGTTTGTGGAAAGTTGGGATTTTCCTCCAGACCCTTATTCTCCTGCTTCAGAAGGGAGAGAAAGCAGACCGGGATGGGGGTGCGGGGATCTTCCCGGGAGTGGTGGGGTTGTGTTACCAGTGCCCCACCTCCTCCCGAGCCAGCAGACTCCCCAGAAATGAAAAACTAAGGCTGGAAGGTTTAGCGATGGAGCAGGACCAACTTACCAGCTCGCGGTGCTCCCTAGAAGCTGGATTCTTCGCAGGTGCGAGCACACCCCAGATGCCAGCGTGGACCCTTGAGCAACTGGAAGTTAAAAACCCACGAAAACAGCTCTGAGTGATCTCTAGGGAGCTCTCGTTTCTTTTTCACCCATGTGTATTTTTTAAGACAAAAAGAAAAAAGGTAATTTAAAGAAAACAAAGAACAAAGGAACTTGGCGAGGCCCAGGCTACAGTCCGCGGGCTCACTCTCCACAGAGTAAAAAGAACGCGAATCCTTTTCTGTTTTCCGGCCCTCCCCATCCTGGGCTGCGGCTCCACACTTCCCCAGCGTGGCCTGCATTTCTATTGGGCAGCTGGCGCTCCGGAAGTGTCCGCACTCTTTATTATCGACTCTGCGCCTTTGGGCAATTGTCACTATTTTGGTTCATCAAAATTGAAGAAATACCAGGCATTCTTACCATGCCCCTAAAGGGGTGACTCAACCTTTCCAGCTGTACTCGCATTCCCAGAGCAGCACTGCTGCCCCCTTGCTTAAAAGCACGGTTGCCCCCAGGAACCAGGCCAGGGCAGCTGTGGATGGACAGGAGAGGACAAAGGTGCAAGGAGCGGATTGCTCCAGGACAGACAGATTCAAATACCTACCCCTGGCAGTGTAGGGAGCATCTTGGGGCCATTTGGGAGATTCCTTTATTGGGATGCTCCAAAGGCTAGTCTGGCCGGATACAGTCCTCCTGCCACTTTGCTTTCCTTTAGCCCCCTTATTATGATAATTATGGTAATACATGTTTTTCCTGCTAACTTGTCTAAGAATTGGTGTCTCAGTACATAGCTTTTGAAATGCACACAGGCCACGATGACTCATCACAGGGGAATGTGCAAGTCTGAGTTGCTCCTTCTCCGCAAGCTCCACCTACCCCACTCTGGACTGCATTAACTGCCTACTGCCTATTCTAAAATCTTAAGGTACCTAGGAAGAGTACCTATTCACATTAAATAACGTATATATTGAAAGCACATAGCTGCGCTTTTCTTCTTCTCATCTGATCCAGACGCCAGCTCTATGGATACAGTCTCACCGAAGTTAAAAAACTATTCTTCAGTCATTGGCTTAGAAAATGCTAGTGCCGGCTGGGAGCAGTGGCTCATGCCCATAATTCCAGGACTTTGGGAGGCCGAGGTGGGTGGATCACCTGAAGTCAAGAGTTCGAGACCAGCCCAGCCAACGTAGTGAAACCCCCGTCTCCACTAAAAATACAAAAAAAATTAGCCGGGCGTGGTGGCAGACCCCTGTAATCCCAGCTACTAGGGAGGCAGAGGCAGGAGAATCAGTTGAACCTGGGAAGCGGAGGTTGCAGTGTGCTGAGATCATGCCACTGCACTGCAGCCTGGGCAACAAGAGCAAAACTCTGTCTCGGGGAAAAAAAAGGAAAGAAGAAAGAAAGAAAGAAAGAGAGAGAGAGAGAAAGGAAGGAAGGAAGGAAGGAAGGAAGGAAGGAAGGAAGGAAGGGAAAGAAAGAAAGAAAGAAAGAAAGAAAGAGGAAGGAAGGAAGGAAAGGAAGGAAGGAAGGAAGGAAGGAAGGAAGGGAGAGAAGAGAGAAAGGAAGGGAGGGAGGGAGGGAAAGAAAAAAAGAAAGAAGAGAGAGAGAGAGAAAGAAAAAGAAAGAAAGAAAGAGAAAGAAACAAAGAAAAAAAGCTAGCGCAGGCCGGGTGCGGTGGCTCACGTCTATAATCCCAGCACTTTGGGAGGCCGAAGTGGGTGGATTGCCTGAGCTCAGGAGTTGGAGACCAGCCAGGGCAATATGGTGAGAGGGCATAGTCGTGCGCGCCTTGGTAGTCCCAACTACTGTGGTGGACTGGGGAGGGTGTGGGGGCGCTGAGGCATGAGAATCGCTTGGATGGAGGCAGAGGTTGCAGTGAGCCAAGATCACACGGCTGCACTCCATCCTGAAAGACAGAGCAAGGGATTCTATCTCAAAAAAAGAAAAAGAAAAAAAAGAAAAGAAAAGAAAAAGAAAATGCTAGTGCAGGGATTTTCCCAGAGCACCAGGATGGCTTCCAAGGCAGAAACAAAAGACATTAAGAAGTTGTTCCCATGGGAATGTGTGTGGCAGGCATGACATATCAGATCAACTTGGAATAGAAAATGCATATCCCAAAAGGCCCCTCAAAAGTGAGCAGAGTAAAAACATTCACAGAACTTTTAAATTATGTTTTTATTAACTATTGAGTAGAAACAATATTTATAGAATACATATAAGGTATAAAGAACAAAAGTATGAACATCTGTGAACCCCTTACACGGCTAAAGAATATTAACAATAAGCCTCTCCTCAGAGGTAAAACACCATATCAAAGTTTACATTGAACCTTGTGTTGCTATTCTTTATAGTGTTTTGCGGGGAGGGGGTTGGGGGGTTGTTCTGGTTGTTTTTAGCCCACTGCAGCCTTCACCTCCTGGGCTCCAGTGATCCTCTCACCTCAGCCTCCCAGTAGCTGGGACTACAGGCACACACCACCAAACCCAGCTAATTTTTAAATTTTATTTCATTTTATTTTATTTTTTGTAGAGCCAGGATCTTGCTATGTTGCCAAGGCTTGTCTCTAACCCCTGGGCTCAAGTGATTCTCCTGCCTTGGCCTCTGGAAGTGCTGAGATTACAGGTGTGAGCCACCATGCTGGCTTGCTGTTTGTTCATGCTGTAAATTCCCTTTGTTGATTTCCAAAAGTGTTTTTATACTTCTAAGTTGCTGAGAGTCCTTATTATGAATGGATGTTGAACTTTATCAAAAGCTTTTTCCTCTATTCAGATGATCATGTGATTTTTCTCTTTTGAACTCTTAATCTGTGGTGAATTACACTGATTAATTTTTTTTTCTTGGAGACAGGGTCTCAAACTGGCACCCAGGCTAGAGTGCGGTGATGCAGTCACAGCTCAGTGCAGACTCAAACTTCTGGCCTGAAGGATCTTTCCTCCTTCAGCCTCCAGAAAGTCTGGGATTACAGGAGTGAGCCACCTCACTGGGCCTGATGATTGATTTTTTAACGCCAAAATCAACGTTGAATTCCTGACTTGAACCACCTTGGTCGTGGTGTATTATCACTTTTACAAATTGTTGGATTTTGTTTGCTAAAATTTTGTTTAGAATTTTTCATGTAGATATTTGAGTGATAATTGAGTGACCTGCAATTTTCCTTTCATACTTTACCTATCAGACTTGTTATCAAGATTATGCCAGCCTCATGAAATTAGTTAGGAACTGTTTCCTCTTTCTAGGAAAGCATTTGAATAAGACTGAAATTCTCTAGGACTGAAATTCTCTCCTCCTTAAACTTGCTTGTTAGAACCTGCTGTGACAATGGTTACAGAATTTCTGCTTTGATCCACGAGTTAAACACTTTTTTAATTCCAAAAGATATGAACATTTTTCTAGTTACCGTTTTATTACTAGTTTATAATGTATTTGCATGTGGGGTCAAAGAATGTGATCAGTATCAGTTCTCTGAACTCTTTGAATAATTACTTTTTAATTAGAAAAAAATCTCAAATATTATGCGTTCAGAAGCAAAAACACCCCCCCTCCACACACACACACACACACACTTTATTAATTACAAAAAGCAAATTGTAACTGCACAGTAGGGAAACCTGGCAGACGCCACTTTATCCAAATGATCAGAGTTAACATCATCAGGAATGGAACTAATCACTATCAAGTGCCTTCTAATACCGTGAACTGAGAACCGTAACAGCCCTTCTATGGAATTCATGCCAAAAATGCATAACCTGAATCTAATCATGAGAACACATGAAATGACCCAAAATCAGATACTCTGCAAAATAATAGGCCAGTCCTCTTCAATAGTGTCAAAGATATGACAAAGACAGATTAACATCTCCAGATTAAATGAGACTTAAAAGAAAGGAAAGCTCAATACAATGCATGATCTTAGATCAAATCCTGGACCAGAACTTTTTCTCTTTTGAGAAAAAAACATAAAGACACTTGAGGCACAACTGATATAATTCAATAAAGTCTACAGATTAGATAATAGTATCAGGGTTAATTTACTGATTTTGATGATGGTACTATAAATGTCCTTTTAGGAAACACCCACTGAAGTATTTAGTGGTAAATGGGAACCCTGTCCGCTACTTACTTTTGAATCTCAGGAAGAAAAATGGTAGAAGGAGGCACAGGGACAAGGCGAGAGAAGGCCATCAGGATCATCTGTGGTCAAAGGACTCTGGGCACACTGACATTTAATAACTAATTTTAAACTTTTGATTGTTTTATTATTATTTTGTTAGACATGGGGTCTTATTCTGTTGCCCAGGCTAGGATTCAGTGACACGATTATCGCTAACTACAGCCTTGAACTCCTGGAATCAAGCGATCCTCTCGCCTCGGCCTCTGGAATAGCTAGGACTGCAGGAGCACACCACCACACCCAGATAATTTTTTGTTGTCTTCTCGAGGGGGGGGTCATGCTATGCTGCCCAGGCTGGCCTCATATGATCCTCCCACCTCAGCCTCCTGCTAATATATAATTTAAATATTTGTCTTTCACTATGCTCAAGGCTTTACTAAGTTTTGTTAAAAGTAGGGCCAGGTGTTGACTGTTAATTCGTGAAACAAAAGATGTGACCGCTTTCCATGCTTGAGATTCAGAGCAGAAGAAGTTTAGGAAAGTCATTATGTCAAGCCAACTAGAAACTAGCAGAGACCTTGGTACAGCACTCCATAGCAAGAAGTGGCAGGAGACTACAAGGACAGATCTGTGAGCATTCCTGGAATTCTCAGAAATCTTAAAGGAAATAAGCTAGGTTTAAAAAAATTTTAAAAAGGAGGGCACTAAGTGGGGTATATAGGAACTTTCTGTACTATGCTTGCAACTTTTCTATATGTCTGAACTAAAATAAAAGGCTAATTTAAATTTTCAAAACATTTTGTTTCATTTTACAATGGCTGGATAGATTTTCAGATCTTTAATGAAGCAGGTCCTATATGACTAGAGCCAAATTACAGAGATAGGCAGGTACCCATCAAAACCCAATTAAGCCTGACACAGTGGCTCATGCCTATAATCCCAGCAATGGGAGGCTAAGGCAAGAGGATCACTTGAGCCCAGGAGTTCAGGGCTCTAGTGAACTATGATCACACCACTACCCTCCAGCCTGGGAAACACAGTGAGACCTTTTCTCTTTAAAAAAAAAAAAAAAAAAAATTTACAGTTAATCTTGCTTAATCTTTTACTGGCTCATTTTTGGCTGTATCATGGAGTTGCTGGCCTCAGTCTTCTCCTTTTCCTCCATTTAATCATTTATTTTACAGAACCTTTTTTTTCAGTTTAATGAAACACAAACTCTCAATTTTTTATTTAAAACAGAAATGCAATAAATATATAAGCTAAACATTTCCTCATCATATGGAAAAAGAAGAAAGCATCAGTAATCCTCTTTGGGCTGAACAAAAATTCATAAATATTTATATATTTTAAAATATGATACTGTTTCAAATATTACTAGGGCAATAAATCATATAGAGAGATTCAACCAGTCAGAATTAGACTTTTAAAGAATTACTCTCAAAGGCTGAAATAACTCCAAAGACCAGGGAGTTTACTAAGAACATTTACAAAGATAGCTTTTTGGTGCTGAGCTGTATCTCATTTAATGCAGCCAGAAAGAAAGAAGAAATATTTTTCTCCTTATTTTGCTGATCTGTCAGATTTTGCTCAAGTTAGAAGAGCCTACAATTTCAAGGCTAGACAACTGGAATTCCATGAGTTAACACAAATAGGAGAAAGACTGGCAGAAAAGTTCAAAACTTACAATATGGAGGGAAATCAGCCAAATAGGATTACTTATAAATGGAATATTGGGCATGTGGTTTCTTAATTTTCATTAGTTATGCAAATATTTTATTGTTAGTATTTAGATTAGTGTTTTAGAATGTTTTGTAGAGACTGAAAAGCAAATAAGTAATTGCATTAGCATTGTTAAGTATCAGTGTTTTTAGTTTGATGAATGATCATACAGCTGTGTTCTCAGGCTGCAATAACAAAACACTAGAGACTGGATGGCTGAACCAACAGAAATTTATTTCTCACAGTCTGGGGGCTGGAAGTCGAAGACATAGGTGCCAGCAGGGTGGGGGGGGGGGTTCATTGTGAGGCTTCTCCTCTTGGCTTGTAGGTGGCTGCCATCTCTCTGTGTGCTCCCATGCCCTCTTGTTTGTGTGCACAGGGAGGAAGGGAACAAGCTCTCTGGGGTCTCTCCCTATAAGGACACCAGTCTTAGCAGATCAGATTCTCCACTGTGACTTCGTGTAACCTTAATTACTTCCTTAGCAGCCCCAGCTCCACAGTGAAGGTTGGGGCTTCAACATGGGAATTTAGGGGTGAGGATGGGACACAAACATTCAGTCCATAACAATGGCCCACCAAACTATGAAAGCAAATAGAAAAAAAAATCACAGTTCAAGAATGACATAAAACTTAAGTAGTTATGCTATAGAGTAATGCATACAGCTACGCTGAGATGTTACAATGTAACAACATAAACTCACTGCATTTTTTTTCTTCTTCTTCTTTTTGAGACAGTCTCACTCTGTTGCCCAGGCTGGAGTACAGTGACATGATCTCAGCTCACTGCAACCTCTGCCTCCAGGATTCAAGTGATTCTCATGCTTCAGCCTCCCAAGTAGCTGGGATACAGGCATGCACCACCATGCCCTGCTAATTTTTGTATTTTTAGTAGAGATGGGGTTTCTCCATGTTGGCCAGGCTGGTCTTGAACTCCTGACCTCAGGTGATCCACCTGCCTCAGCCTCCCAAACAGCTGGGATTACAGGTGTGAGCCACCGTGCCTGGCCAACGCTCATTGATTTTTAAAGAAAATCTTTCCCAAGTTTGTTCACCGTACATCTGATACACACTTTCAGAACCAGATTTGGGTTTCTAATATTAACTTCTACTGAAAGCCAGCATTTTCTCTTGGCCTATAATTTCTCTGTAAAGGTACCATTAATGTTCACTATTACAATTAAGCCTTGGTCTGGGTTATTCTGATAACAAACTCTGGAGATCACAATTTTAAGGATTAAATAATCATAACAATATTGTTTGTTCTGCCGAAATGATTAATCTGACAGTGACTGAATTATCTTGGGACTCTCCCAAGCCCTAAATGAATACAGCAAAGATAAATTCAGGAAACAACTGCTTCTCCTATGGCCTGTAAGCTCCTAACAGACCATGCTTCTGCAGAAAACAATTCTGGACAAATTTTTTAAAGCAACAAACTACACGAAGTCACATAAAAGAACTCGAGAACTCCAGCCTTGGAAGAAAGGCCACAGGCTGAGTTTCTTATTTTTATGGCTTTTACCCAGAGAGCAAGACACAGGTCTGCATTGTGCAGCACAGCTAAAGTTCCTTTAGAAAACCACCATCTTTCTGGCTGCAAGAGTCAGGGGTCAGAATGGGGGGCAGCCACCACTGCTGAAAAGAGTTGGGGGAGGAACCCCTGAAAGGAGAGCCAGAAATGGGGGAGCTCCAAACTCTTTGTGTCAGCTCTGTCCAAATCTCTAACTGACTTGTGAACTAAAAAGAAAGGTTTCTACCATCAGCAGACTGTCACCCATAGACATTTACACAGTATTTTGGTTTGGAGTTCTTCCTAATAGTCACTTCACAGAAAAATATATAGGTGCTGTTTTGCCCTGGAAGCCAGACAGATCAGAATATTGGGTAAGATAGCTGGGTCAGCTGTCCTTGGATGGATCCCAAACACTATGCTCCTTTCCAGGCCTGAGAATCGCCGGACACTGTCCAACACAATGTGCACACCCAACATATCACATGCATCACTGAGCTGCACCACCATTTTCTTCCTCATTGCTTTCAAGAGCTTAGACTGATACTGCTCCACTTCTGTCACGGTGCTGACAAGCACAGCAACATCCTTTGGAGAATAGCCCCTTTCAAAGAAGCACCTGCAGGTGTCTGCCACATAGGTCACTATTTGCTCCAAAGTAAAGTTTTTAATAATCTTTGTGTTGCCTGGAACACCTGGAACCCATTTAGCTTCACTGAGAATTGCCAGATACCCATGGGGGATATTAATTGGAGGATTTTCTATAATTAGTTGCATTTCTTGTTGTATGTACTCGGCTATTTCATCTGCATTGCGAACTACTCTGGTGAGCTCTTCTCTTGGATACTGTGCTGAGAGAGGGGGAAGGCCACTGTGACCCAAGTGACTGGTCTGAAAGTAGTCCAGAAAGATCCAGAGAACTCCTGGACAATCCTTTTCTCTCTGAGTGATGGTTTTTGCCTTCCTATACCAGTCCCCATCTTCAGTACGGAAATTCTGAGCTTCGTCAATGACGATGTGTTGAATGTGTTCAAATTTTTCTCTTAGGAAAGTTTCCCGGGTCTCTGCTCGGCAGATATTTCTATCACTGTAAAAATTAAAAGAATACACTCAGGTTTTCTCTAAGAAAACAAGGGGAGAAAATGATTGTATCATGTTCCTCCGAGCACAGTATATTGCCACAGATCATTTTACCACTCAATTCTCAAGGAAGAAGGTGACTTAGCAGAAAAAATTAAACCCAGATTAAATAAAACTTAAAGACGTAAGATCCAACTGCTTACCTGATAAAGTTCCTCAGAGGCTGGTTTTCACAAACGTAGAGAATTCTGTGTGCCTCACAGTGAAACACATTCCTGATCTTCTCCATGATCTTCATGGCCATGATGGTCTTCCCTGAGCCAGGTAAGCCGTGGACAAACAACTCTCTGTTCTTGCGGAGGCTTCTGGAGAATATCTCATACTGCTGGGCTGTGAGCAGATTTAAAACCTCACAGCCGAGCTGGTCACTCAAGAGAGACCTGAAGCCGAGTAAGACAATCACGAGGGACTGCAGCAGGGCTTCCATGTGCTGGGTGCCTGCAAGGCTATAGGACGCAGGGTAATCCATCGGAGACACTGCAGCCTCCAAGGCCTCTGCGCTGCTCTCAGGACTCAGGCAGAGGACCTTGGCCCTGACACACACCTTCCCGGTGTAGCCCCCCATGTTCACTAGCTTCTGCTTCAAAGTAAAGGCGGTGCGAGTGCAGTAGTCCTGGCCCTCTGCATCCTGCTCCCTGAGAATGGTGTAGAGAATGGGGGTGCTGTTCTGTGCTATCAGCAGAGCATCACAGATGACTCCTGGCTTCTCCTGCAAGTTCAGGTCCACAGCCCAGCTTCTAGAGAGGATCACAATTCCCTGGGAGAAAGGTCGCATTTGCTTGTGTATTAACTCCTTTAGTCCTTCATGCTGTAAAGACAGCTCCTTCCAGAGGGACTCTGGAGTACATTCCAAATGTCCTGGTGGAACTAGACAGGAAGAAAATAGAAAGATGTTTTCACTGTGTTTATGTGATTTTGTATGAATCACATGTTACATTTAAAAGACAGAGGAAAGCCCCCAAAGAATTGTACAATTTAACAGAAATTCCTTCTGGTGCATCTCTGGTTTTTTGTTTGTTTGTTTGTCTGTCTGTCTGTTTTTGAGACGGAGTCTCGCTCTGTCGCCCAGGCTGGAGTGCAGTGGCCCGATCTTGGCTCACTGCAAGCTCTGCCTCCCAGGTTCAGGCCATTCTCCTGCCTCAGCCTCCCAAGTAGCTGGGACTACAGGCTCCTGCCACCACGCCCGGCTATTTTTTTGTATTTTTAGTAGAGACAGGGTTTCCCCATGTTGGCCAGGATGGTCTCGATCTCCTGACCTCATGATCTGCCCGCCTCGGCCTCCCAAAGTGCTGGGATTACAGGCATGAGCCACCACGCCTTGCCTGGTGCATATCTCTTTAACCCACAACCTACAAATCTGGTAAAATGAATGATGTCACCCTTCTATGTATCTCATGGACAGTGGAGCATGTCAACTGAAATGCAATTTACTGAGCCTGAGAAAGTGAAAGCCATGTATTCAATTACTCTTGCACCTTGGATTCTTAATGTGGAATGTTTAAAAACTTTTCTGATAAGCTAATGACTATAAAGCTCTCAGGTAAGTAAAGAAACTATTTGGTGGTAAACAGACCTAAGGAAGGCCTAATATATGAATTACCTTGCCCTTCATAAATGTTTGGACATACGTAGGATATTTGTGTATCATATTCTTTTGTCAAATCTCATACTTAATATGTTCAATGTATGAAGTTAAGCCATTTCCCTCCTTGAAAAATCTAGGTTTCATTTTGTAAGTAGGAACTCCGAGAAAAAAACCTTGCTAAAAAATGTTTGGGCAGCAGGGAGAGGGGTTACATAACATTGTCTATGGGCTTGAATTATTATTTGGTGCCACCTTTGAAGCATTAGCGAGTCGTTCCCTCTAGCCTCTTCCAAAGAGAAATTATTTGTGGTTTTTCTATATTCTTATATTCTACCAGGTGAATGTTTTTATTCCTTTTACAGACATAATTCCTCCATCCTTGAAAAGTAGACCAGAAGTGGCTAGTTATTCCATTGTTCCCCTTGTAGTTGTACTAGATCACTGGTTTCCAAACCCAGCAGGGCATCAGAATAATTTGGGAAGCTTGCCCAAATGCATATGGCTAGGCCTTTCCCCTGGAAATTAAGCGTTCATAAGTTCTTGGTGTGGGCCTGGAGATCTGCATGTTTAACTACCTTCCATGGCATTTCTAATAATCAGCCAGATGTGGCAACCAATGGGCCAGATGATTTCTAAAGGCACCTGAAACTCATCCCCAAGAGGCTTGTGGCATTGTCACTGTGTACACCTGGATCTGCAGGACACAATCTTTCATGGATTTGTTTTCCACGAAATGTATTAAATGACTTCCTTCTCTCCTGATGTAAAAACTGGCAGTCAGTACCTGGAAATAAATGTTGTTGTAGATCAGCTTTGTGTTCCAGACCTTTCTTAGAATACACTGGTCTGCAAAGTGAAGGACTGTCAGATAGACTCAACTGAGACTCAAAGGCCTCAGCAAAGTCTGGAGGAAACTCTGAAAGAAAGAACATTTTAATTTACACTATATGATTTCATGTCTCGCTATTGGAATAGGCTGTACAAGGCTGTGTCTAAATTTCATCTAACATGGTACAAGTCAGGCCACAAAGTCAGATGCTTTACCCTTTCTTGACTCTATGTCCAGGTTCCCAAAGATTCATCATTAAAAGCCCTTTTTCTGATCCTTGAATGGTGTTTCCCCATGCAATATAATGCCCCCTCTTCCATGTTTGAATAGTTCTTTGCTTGAATTGCAGTGGAAAAAAACTCTCTTTAAGTTATAATCATCAGGTTTTTATATCCCTGTGCACGCACCTCCACTAACCTCAACTTAAACAAACCTCAACCAACACTAGCTCTTGTCTCCCAGAGTTGATTTTATGCTAATCTGAGGTACAAGCTAATCACTATTATGAGGCTCCAACAGATTCCAATTCAATGGTTTTATTAAAGGAACCAATTTCCAAGGTTTTTCCTTTGCTTCTTCTTTTGTGGGAAATCACCATTCACAAAATATCTCATTTTGGCTTTTTCTCACCCAATAAAACTTCCCATCTATGAAAAGCATGGAGATTTAGAGAAAGTAAATTTCAGTGGGTGTGAGAAGGTCAAGCTTAGAGAATAAAGAAGGAAGTGGTATTGGGGAAGAGGTAGAAAGGTCAGGAAGGGAGAATCTGGTTCCCTCTTACCTGGATCTGCGTCCATCATTTTCTCTACCCATTCCTCAGTTGTCAAGGGGCGGATGTACTTCTCCCTCACCATCCATGACTTGGGAGCTTCCGAGAACACCACACAACAGAATGCCTTCACTTTAATCACACAGAGATAGCCATACAACTCTTTCCCACAAAACACTTCTACGATTTTGGTGCTGTACTCTACCCGAGGTTTTGAAGAGCAAAAATGAACAATGGGCAACTTAGAAATTGCTCTTGCAATTACATTTTTCAAAGAGTCAGGGTCAACCTGTTCTTTGGCACATCCCAGGACTTTCCTACTCTTATCATCCACTCCAATAAAAAGATAGCCTCCCTCAGTGTTTGCAAATGCAGAGATGTACTCTGGAATTATATTTTCTACATATTGTTGGATATGTTTTGTAGAGAACTGTTTAAACTCTATGGATGGAGACTCAGGAAAAGATAGGATTTCACCATATTCAATAGTGTCAGTTTGGAAAACTTCATATGCAGGATTTGACTCAGATATGTTCTGGTATACAGCTTTCATAATTTTACTAGGTGGAGACCCTTCATTAATCAGATTATATTTGGACTGTCTTTCCTTGGTCTTCAGGAAATCGAATGCCTGTCTTGAATTCATGTGAAGCACAGAGGTGCCAGATCTACAGTATAATGAAGAACTAAGGCTGCAAATGCGGGAATTGAAAGAACCATCTTTAAGGAAAGGATCACCACTCCAAGATTTAACAAAAATATAAAAACACCTTCCGTGTTGCTTAGTCTCAAAGAAAGCCTGCAAATATGGATACTGAATAAGCTTTCTCAAGGATTCTTCTAAATCCAGTCCCATCTCTGTGGGACGCTCATCCCTGTTGGCCATTTCCATCTGAATCACTCCTCCTCCTGAGTTTAATAAAGCACACGCGGCCCGTATAACTCTCGCCCTCTCTTGGTCTCTCTGAGTTTTCTGTAGCTTTTTTCTGTTTTCTTCTCCCAGAGTCACTTCTCCGACATCGATGACCAGGTCTGGGTAAGATGGATACACACCCAGGGAGCAGTGATTTGCCTCCATGTTGAACTTGCACCTTAAAGTATTAGAATATTTGTTTCATTTTTGATTAAAAAATTGTTACAGGCCTGCAATTCATTTATTAGAAAATATTTAAAACGTGTCTAATATGTGCTGGGATAAGACAATAGCAAGAAAGACAGGTATAGTCTCTTTAGGAGCTGACTGGCTGGCAGGGAAGGGAACTAATGAAATTAGCCTTTACCATCATCTGTGACATGGGCTCTAAGAGGGAAAACACATTGAATAGGGTATCTGAACGAATCTGGAGACCATGGTTCCATAAGACTTCCAGGAGTAGGTTCCATTTAGGCCAAGACTTAAAAGATGCACTAGAACTGGCCAGGTGAAATCATTAGCATTGAAACACAGAAGTAGTGGATCAGCTGAGGGGCATGTGTACCATGGCATGAGAACATCTAGGTTTGGAACAGATTCTCCATGAACATCAACTTTAGAAGATAAGTAAAAGAAGACCACATTGAAAAGGAGACTGTAGAAAAGTCTGAGTATGAAAAATCAAAGAAGTAAGAGAAAAATCAAGGGTATTTGGTATTAACAAAGCCTGGAACAAAGTCACCTGCCAAGGTTTTAAGATGTCTAATACTGCTGACAGATACAGCTAGGTAATGACTGGAAAGTGTTACTAAACCTAAGTTTAGTAAAATTAAGGTTAACTGTGACTTTGAAAAATGCTCTTCAGACACCTGGGAAATGGGCATCAGGAGGCAATAAACCAGGGGCTAAGGTCTTGGAGAACAGAGTCAATGAAGATGGCTTGAATTCCAGTTCTGCCATTTAGTACTGTTATATTAGTCTAGATATTTACTCTTTCTAACTCTATTTTCTTACTATAAAACATGGTGCAGCCACCTGTGACTGTTATTATGAAGATTAACTCAGATAGTTTACAACAAGCATTTAAAACTATGCTTTGGTTCACAGGTGTTCAGCAAAGGAACCTATATTAATTGACATTATTTTACAATGGGTTGAGGAATGAATGAGAGGTAAGGAAGTAGCATCATCAAGTGTACACCTGCTGTCTTCTTACACCAAAATCAGTCCTGAAGTACCTGTAGGCAGAAACATGTTTAGAGAGAGGCAGCAGAGTTCAGAGGTCAAGATTCAGAAATAAAGGCTGGGACATTCACAATCTTACCAGTTTGCCTAATTTAGACCCTTGCCTAGAAATTTCTACCGTCAGGATTCTGTCTTGCATTCCGAGACCACTGAAACATCTTTGTCAAGTTACCTGTAAAATATTCTTTTTGATATATGGGGACTTCAAAGTTAAATCTTTTCTCTTTACCCCCATGAACTTTATTGTTAAAGCCTAGATAAGCTGATAGTTTTTCATTGGTAACTGTATTCAAATGGCAACCCCACCCATATCTTTTGCAGGCAGAAAAGTCTTAGGGAGCTCTATCCCAGCTCTTCCTTTGGGTATAAAGGTATTATAGTCAGTGCTACTTGCAGATTCTTTGTAAGGTAGAGATATTGTTTCCTAAATAAAATTGAAACCCTAAATAAAACTGAACTATTCAATAACAAATTGAGAATTCAGGTGAAAAAAATCAGGAAGCTTACCAATATATTTAACAAAAGCAACTGATTCTGTTGTATTTACAGAATAACTTTGCTAGAATTCCTTTCTTAATGTAACCAGACTTCCCACCAGCACAGTGAATGCCCACCGCCTGCTGTCTTCTTCCACCAAAATCAGTCCTGAAAGACCTGTATGCAGAAACATGTAGAGAGAGGCAGTAGAGTTCAGGGGTCAAGATTCAGACTTCTTTGAACCCCCCCTACACATGCATGGGAATAATTAGAGATAATTCTTGCCCTTGCTTCTCTGTGGAAATTGATGGAAACAGTTTCGCCTCCTACACAGGTATACTGTAGGTAAAATCAGAACAACACAAATCCTCCCATCCACTCCCAAGCCCCCCACCCCACTGAGGAAAACTGGTGGGGACTGGCTAGTCTCAGGCAGAAACAGAAGGAAACAGCTGCGACAGAGGCTCCCTCTTGGGAAAATAAAACACAGAGCTCTTTGTCCTTCTCAGATAGCAGCTCTGTATTTTACAGACGTTGGGAGGGAGACATTTTTCTCATTTCTCCCCTTTCTAGATTGCAGGGTAATCAGGATAATGGGTACAGGGTAATGGCAATTCTAATTCTGTTTTGTTGTTTTGTTTTGTTTTGTTTTGTTTTTGTTTTGATACAATGTCTTCCTGTGTTGTCCAGGCTGGAGGGCAGTGGCGCCATCACAGGCTCAGGCGATTTTTGCCTCAGCCTCCGGAGAAGCTGGAACCACAGGTGCGCGCCACCAGGCCCGGTTAATTTATTAATATTAGTATTATATTATTATTATTATTATTATTCATAGCGATAGGGTCTCCCTACATTGCCCAGGCTGGTCTCGAAATCCTGGGCTCAAGTAATCCTCCCACTTGGCCTTTCAAAGTGCTGAAGCTACAGGCATGAGCCACCACACCCGGCCTAATTCTGCTTTTTAACTCTTAGATTAAGAACAATAATTTACAGTGGTTAGTGAGTCAATGCCAAGAACCCTGAAACAAGAGTCCCAACCTTCGCAACGGGGGAAGCCTCCAGGACGCACTTGGCTCTGCCTGTTTGTTCCGCCCCCGCGGAAACCGCTGCTCGCTGGGCAGGGGCTTTCTGTTTTGCAGCCGGAACAGGAACACAGATAGCCCGCCAAGCCGCCGGCGACACCTTCCAACCCCTTTAGCTCTCCGCACCGTCCCTCCCCACCGCCCCGCCTCCACCCGCGCCGCGATCAAGTCCTCATAGCCTTTTAGGGAATTTGCTCAGCAAACTAGCCGAACCCCAAAGGCAGGGGAGAAGCACGCAAATACCCCGACTCCACCGGCTGGCCGGAGCTGGGGGGCGGGGGTTGCTCTCCTAGCTTGCTCCCCATCCGAGTCAACGCCAGTCCAGGGTCGTGCCGGACTAGACCCTAGGGCGTGGGTACAAACGGGAGCTCCGCAGTCCCCGTAGGAGCAGGGACCCTCTCTTACCTCTCAAGCTCCAGCGCGTCAAGCTCCAGGACACTCCGCGTTTCCCTGGAGGCGCCAAGGTCAGGTTCTTATAACCAATGGTTGGCGCCTACCTGGGCAGGTCCCACACAGGGGATGAACGAACCAATGGGTCCCAGGCAGGGCATGGACGCGCCAATGGGAGTGTCTACAAAGCCCGGGAACACTTTGCCACGCTGTCTAGAAGGCCTGGCGGGAGGCTCGCGCCTATGAAATCCCAGCACTTTGGGAGGCCTAAGCGGGTTCATCGCTTGAGCCAAGAAGTTCGAGACCAGCCTGGACAGCACAGTGGGACCCCCGTCTGTACAACAACAACAACAACAACAACAACAACAAAATTACTCAGGCTTAGTGGCGCGCGCCTGTAGACTCAAATGTAGTCTCAGATGCCCGGGAGGCTGAGGCTGGAGGATCACTTGAGCCCGAGGAAGTCCAGGGTAAAGTGAGTCGAGATCGCACCACTGCACTCCAGCTTGGGCGACAGAGTGAGAGCCTGTTCCCCCTACAAAAAAAAAAAAAAATGTCTGGAAACGCCAAGTTTTCTGATTGCTTTCGAGTGGTTCTTAGTTCTTTCTTACTCCCCCTCCGCCCCTCCTCCGTCCCTATCTCTCTCTCCTTTCCCGGAGCCTGCGGTCCCGCCTTCCCCGGACCCCTCCTCTGAGGGTCCAGCCAAGCTCTCGCCCGAGCTTTCCCCTTCCACCGCACTGCAACTGCCCATACCCCAGCTTGGGCTTCTCTCCCCACTGCCTGCCCCAGAAAGTGGGCCTTGAGACCCGGGAACCCCAGGTCAAAATGCGACGGATGCTCGGATCGGGCGGCACTCGGTTCCTGGCTGGATTTGTGGCTCCGCAGACCCCGCGCCAGAGTGGGATGTGGCGGCGGCCGGTGCTCTGTGCTCAGTCAACGCCTTGGAGAGGAGGACTACGAAACCCATACACTCGGACAGAACCCTGGCAGGTGTTAAAGGCTGCGGCAGAGCAGAAAAGCAGAACCCTGGCTGGTTTTCTTGTAACACGAGCAGTGTGACGGTTACCGGGGTTGACCAAGCACCGCGCATCGGCCAAGTTCTCACTGACGCGGACTGGCCCAAGGGTGGGAGCGGCGGTTAACACCGGGGTGATTAATATACGCTCCAGTGGAGGCTAAAGTGAGAAAATAAAACGTACTCCAATACCACCCCCCCTTCGCCCCAGAGATTACCACTGACCACTATTAACACCCTATTGTACATATCTTTACGGATCATACATATATATTACACAAACATATATGTAATACTTTTTTATTAATACAAAGTCACACTGTATGTACTCTTCTTAATCTGCTTTTTTCAATGACTTCCACCTTTCCATTTCAGTAAATCTTCATATAATCATATTCCAGTTTTTTCATTTTTCTTTAAAATGCGGTTTATAGATTGTGCAAACCTGTACTGAATCCAGAACTATACATCTGTAAAGCGCTGGAAAAAAAAAAAAGGCTGTCAATCTAGAATTCTATAACCACCAAAAACAAAACAAAACAAGTCCTCCAAAATGGAGGCAAAATAACGACGTATTCAGACCAAAAAAAAAAAAAAAATCTTAGGAAATTTGTCACCAGCAGATCTTTACAAAAACTATTAACGTGTTTTTTTGTTTTTTGTTTGTTTGTTTGTTTGTTTCTCAGATGGAGTCTCGCTCTTGTTGCCCAGGCTGGAGTGCAATGGCGCGATCTCAGCTCACTGCAACCTCCGCCTCCCAGGTTCAAGCGATTCTCCTTCCTCAGCCTCCCGAGTAGCTAGGATTACAGGCGCCCGCTACCAGGCCCTGCTAATTTTTGCATTTTTAGTAGAGACGGGGGATTCACCATGTTGGCCAGGCTGATCTCAAACTCCTGACCTCAGGTGATCCACCCGCCTCGACCTCCCAAAGTGCTAGGATTACAGGCATGAGCCACTGCGCCCGGCCTAACAAAGTTCTTCATATTGAAGGAAAATGATACCAGAATGAAACTCAGATCTACACAAAAGAATGAGGAGCATGGAAGATAATAAACGCGTAGGTAACTATAAAAGATTCTCTTTTTCATTGTTAAAAATTATTCATAAAATAATTGATCTTTAAAGAAAAACTATGTATTGTGGTGCTTATAACAATGAAGACATGAAAATTGTGATAATTGCAACGCAAAGGAAGGAAGGGGAAAATGAGTGTGTATTGTTTTAAGGTTCTTATATCACACATGAAGTCATATACTATGATTTAACTGTATTAAGTTGAAGGTGCATATTGTAAGCCCTAGAGCTACCACTAAAAAAAAAGGGAACAAAATCATATAGACTGTAAGTCAACAAAGGAGTTTTCCTTGTGACTCTTATTTTCTTGCTGTTTTTATAAAACTTTACTTTTACCTGTTTTTGTTTTATAAACATGCAATTAACTTTGTATGCTTTTTTTTTTTTTTTTTGCCAACTTTGCTAAACTTTGTAGTTAATTTTGACGATCAATCTCTATGTTCTTTTAGGTCATCTAAGAAAACAATAATATCAAATGTGCATAATGAGAGTTTTATTTCTTCCTTTGTAATCTGCATACTTTTCTTGTTTCCTTTTCATGTATAATGCATTGGCCAGGACTTTCAGCACAATGCTAAATGAACGAACTGGTACCTAAAGACACAACCTAACCGTACTAAAATTCCATCTTTGGGGATCTGTTTCCTGGGATCGCCTTAAAGAACAGTTTCTGTGTTAGTCAGGGTCCTGTCAGAAGACCAGTTATTTTGAACAGAGATGTTTTAAAATGAAGAACTATTCACTAGACATAAAGACTTTTTAACTCAATCATGGAAAAGGCAAAAAAGTAACACCACAGTATTATGGAGGTAACTATGGAAAAGAGCCATCAACTCTGAGGCTAGGAGAACAAATGGAAGAGATCTTTGAGGGAGCATAAGGCAGCCACTGTGAGTGTTGGGAAAATTTTTTTAAAAATCTGAAAGGTGTTTATGGGAAAGTTTATAAAACCTTATTGGAAAATAATAAATATATAAATAGGTTAAATCATATACCATGTCCATGGATTGGAAAACCCAACATATTAAAGACCACTTTGGGAGGCTGGGGCGGGCGGATCACCTGAGGTCGGGAGTTCAAGACCAGCCTGGCCAACAGGCAGGAGAATTGCTTGAACCCGGGAGACAGAGGTTGTGGTGAGCCAAAATCATGCCATTGCACTCCAGCCTGGGCAACAAGAGAGAAACTCCATCTCAAAAACAAAAAAATAATAATAATTCTCACCAAACTGATGAGTAGATCCATTGAGATTCCATTTTAAATCCCAGCAGTATTTTCCTAGAACATTACACACTGATTATAGATTTATATATAAGACTCGAAACACTCTTTAAAAGAAAAAGCACGTTGTGAGCAGACATCAAATTTTCTTATATAGCAAAAATAATTAGAAAAAATAGAGCATGGAATAAATGACAGAGCCTAGGACTCACATATTGATGGAAAAATCTATGACAGAAGTAGCATTGCAGTTAAGTGGGGAAAGGAGAGACTATTTTATAAATTGTGTTGAGATATCTGGTATCCCTAGAGAAAAAAATATTAATTTGCATCCTGTCCTCCAAAATCTATTCTGCTAAAATAAAAACATAAATACAAAAAAACAAAATCAGTAAATTTTTAAGATAATACAGGGGCCAGGTGCAGTGGCTCATGCCTATAATCCCAGCACTTTGTGGGGGGGTCAAGGTGGACTGATCACTTGAGTCCAGGAGTTCGAGACCAGGCTGGGAAACATAGTGAAGCTCCATCTCTACCAAAAATACAAAAATTAGCCAGGCATGGTGGTGTACGCCTGTGGTCCCAGCTACTCGGGAGGCTGAAGCAGGAGAATCACTTGAACCCAGGAGCTGGAGGTTGCTGTGAGCTGAGATCACACCACTGCACTCCAGCCTGGGTAACAGAGCAAGACCCTGTCTTCCAAAAAAAAAAGGCAAAACCATGATGTTCCCACCTGTTATGGCTGTTAACGAACCTCTTCCTTACAGACAGCTGGAAAATGACTAGGCAGTGGTGATATAACCAATATATCCAAGGCCTGACCAATTACGTGGGAACCCTTCTTAAGTACAGATTCCATAAGTAGAAATTGTGCCTTTGCAAATTAGGTTACTCACTTTCTTTTTTTATCTTATATGAGATGCCTTCTTTTTCTCAACTCACATTTCACATTCACATGCCTTTTTTAGTCTTTACATAAATACAGAATTTACTTTTTCATGTACAGTAAAATTTACCTTTTATGTATAGTTCTATTAACACATGTTTAGAATCATGTAACCACCACAAAACAGAATAGAGCCACCACCACCACACACACACACACACACAAACACACACACACAAACTAATGATTTCCCCCAATTCCAGTCCCTGCAAAGCACATATTTGTTCTCTATCCCTAGTTTTCTCTTTTCCAGGATGGTGTATAACTGTAATCAAATAGTATGTAACCATTTGGGATTGGCTTCTTTGCATAATATCTTTGAGTTTCTTCCCTGCTGTGTCTGTTAATTTTTCATTCCTTTCGATTGCTGAGTGGTATTCCATTGTTTGGATGTACCACTTTTTGTTTAACCATTAACCCATTGGAAGACATTCAGGTTGTTTCCTGGGTTTGTTAATTATGAATAGAACTGCTACAAATAGCCATGTATAGCTGTGATGGTTAATACTGAGTGTCAACTTGATTGGATTAAAGGATACAAAGTATTGATCCTGAGTGTGTCTGTGAGGGTGTTGCCAAAAGATACTTGCTTTTGAGTCAGTGGGCTGGGTAAGGCAGATCCACTCTTAATCTGGTGGGCACACTCTAACCAGCTTTCAATGAATATAAAGCAGGCAGAAAAACGTGAAAATGAGAGATGGGCCTATCCTCCCAGCCTACATCTTTCTCCTGTCCTGGATGCTTCCTGCTCTTGAACATCGGACTCCAAGTTCTTCAGTTTTGAGACTTGGACTAGCTCTCCTTGCTCCTCAGCTTGCAGACAGCCTATTGTGGGACCTTGTGATAGTGTAAGTTAATACTTAATAAACTTCCCTTTATATATATATATATCTCCTATTAGTTCTGTCCCTCTAAGAGAACCCTAACTAATACAGATTTTGGTACCAGGAGTGGTTCTAAAGGAACAGATATTAAGGATGGAGTTTTTTCATTGGTTTAGGGGTTTCTGGAGTTGGCTGCTTAATAGGATTAGACCCAAAAATGCTAAGGACTCTACTTCTAACAGTATGGAGAACACTGATAGTCCTTCACATGAACTGTTTAGAGAGTTGTGCAAAATAAATGCATTTGGCACTCCTGATTCACTGCTCATGAGAGGCAAGGGGTTTAGTGACACTGCCTAATACTTTTGACCATATGCGGAGAACCAAGGAACGTAATGAAGCTGGTTGGTTGCTCCTAAGTTCAGTAGGCAAAGTGATGAAAGAAAATGATGAGCTCAGGGATTCTGTCTCCCGGCTTCAGAAGCAGATACTGAGCCTCAAATCTGCTAAGATTACCCTGAGTGAGAGCCTTATCTCCTGTAGAGAAAGAGCTGAAATTGTGGAAAAACAGACACAAGCTCTTATGCGAGTGGCTGACCTGCAACAAAAGATGCATGCATAGCCTCGCCAGGTGTCTACTGTTAAAGTGAGGGCATTGGTTGGAAAAGAATGGGACCCTGCAACTTGGAATGGGGAAATGTGGGAACACCCTGATGAAGCTGGGGACACTGAGTTTGTAAACTCTGATGAACTTAGTGAGAAGGGAGAGCTTCCCCATCCCAAGTAGTGGCAACATCCCCTCCTCGACCCATGCTGCCATCAGCCTTTCCTCCTTCGTCTGAGGAGATGAACCCTGCGCTGCCTGAGGTAACAGTGATGGCCTCCCCTGAGGCAGTTGCCAGGCAAGATAATGTTGATTCTCCTCAGGAGCCACCCCCAACACCCTGTTTGCTTCTAGACCTATAACCAAACTAAAGTCCCAGCAGGCCCCTGGAGGTGAGGTTGAGAGTGTGACCTATGAGGAGGTGCAATACACTCAAAAAGAACTGTTTGAGTTCCCTAATTTATATAAACAGCAATCTGGAGAACAGGCATGGGAATGGATATTAAGGGTATGGGATAATGGTGGAAGGAACATAGAGTTGGATCAGTTTGAATTTATTGATCTGGACAACCAAAGTTGCCATGGTGGCAGGGATGGCGGTTATGCATGGGCTCAGGAACATGGACTTCCACTCACCAAGGCTGACCTGGCTATGGCCACTGCTGAGTGCCCAATTTTCCAGCAGCAGAGACCAACACTGAGCACTCAATATGGTACCATTCCTCGGGGCGATCAGCCAGCCACCTGGTGGCAAGTTAATTATATTGGACCTCTTCCATCATGGAAATGGCGGAGGTTTGTCCTCACTGGAATAGACACTTACTCCGGATATAGTTTGCCTATCCTGCACGCAATGCTTCTGCCAAGACTACCATCGATGGATTCACGGAATGCCTCATCCACCATCATAGTATTCCACACAGCATTGCCTCTCACCAAGGCACTCACTTTACAGCTAAAGAAGTGTGGCAGTGGGCTCATGCTCATGGAATTCACTGGTCTTAACATGTTCCCCATCGTCCTGAAGCAGCTGGATTGATAAAACAGTGGAATGGCCTTTTAAAGGCACAATTAAAATGCCAACTATGTGACAATACTTTGCAGCACTGGAGCAAAGTTCTCCAAAAGGCTGTGTATGCTCTGAATCAGCATCCAATATATGGTACTGTTTCTCCCATAGCCAGGATTCACTGGTCCAGGAATCGAGGGGTGAAAGTGGAAGTGGCATCACTCACCATCACCCCTAGTGAGCCACTAGCAAAATTTTTGCTTCCTGTTCCCGTGACATTAGGTTATGCTGGCCTAGAGGTCCTAGCTGCAGAGGGAGGAATGCTGCCACCAGAAGACACAACAATGATTCCATTAAACTGGAAGTTAAGATTGCCACCTGGACACTTTGGGCACCTCCTACCTTTAAGTCAGACTAAGAAGGGACTTGCAGTGTTGGCTGGGGTGATTGTCCCAAACTATCAAGATGAAACCAGTCTACCACTCCACAATGGAGTTAAGGAAGAGTACTCATGGAATACAGGAGATCCACTAGGGAGTCTCTTAGTATTACCATGCCCTGTGATTAAGGTCAATGGAAAACTACAACAGCCCAATCCAGGCAGGACTACAAATGGTCCAGATCCTTCAGGAATGAAGGTTTGGGTCACTCCACCAGGGAAAAAAAAACCATGACCTGCTGATGCACTTGCTGAAGACAAAGAGAATACAGAATGGGTAGTAGAAGAAAGTAGTCATCAATACCAGCTATGGCCACGACCAGCTGCAGAAACGAAGACTGTAATTGTCATGAGTATTTCCTCCTTCTTTTATTAAAAACATGTTTGTGCATGTATACACTTGTACTAAGAAAATATCTTCATTTTATTTCCTTTTCCTTTATCATGTGACATAAGATTTATTGACTTCATATCAGCATTTAAGTATTGTTAACTTTAGGTAATAGTATTTGGGTTAGGGATTGGTGCATTTCTAGTTGTATGAAGGATAGTTGTATTATGCTAAACATAATTATGACTTCATTATTGTCTTTATTTGAATATTATGTATAATCTCAAATGGAGATGTTTTTGGGTTCAAGTTGACAAGGAGAGGACTTGTGATGGTTAATACTGAGTGTCAACTTGATTGGATTGAGGGATACAAAGTATTAATCCTGGGTGTGTCTGTGTGGGTGTTGCCAAAAGAGATTAAAATTTGAGTCAGTGGGCTGGGGAAGGCAGATCCACCCTTAATCTGGTGGGCACAATCTAATCAGCTTCCAGTGAATATAAAGCAGGCAGGAAAATGTGAAAAGGAGAGACAGGCTTGGCCTCCCAGCCTACATCTTCAGATTCTTCAGTTTGGGAACTCTGACTGTCTCTCCTTGCTCCTCAGCCTGCAGACAGTCTATTGTGGGATGCTGTGATTGTGAAAGTTAATACTTAATAAACTCATATATATATGTTATATATATTAGGATATATAATAAGATATATATTATATATAATAGTTCTATCCCTGTTAGTTCAGTCCCTCTAAGAGAACTCTAATACAAGCTACGTCCCAGAGACTCCGGTATTTTATCTCTTTGTTCTCATTAGTTTCAAAGAACTTTTTTATTCCTGCCTTAATTTCATTATTTACTCAGGAGTCATTCAGGAGCAGGTTGTTCAATTTCCACGTAGTTGTGTGATTTTTAAGTTAGTTTCTTAATCTTAAGTTCTAATTTGATTGCACTGTGATCTGAGAGACTGTTATGATTTCAGTTGTTTTGCACTTGCTGAGGAGTGTTTTACTTCCAATTATGTGATCAATTTTAGAGTGAGTGCCATGTGGTGATGAGAAGAATGTATATTCTGTTGTTTTTGGATGGAGAGTTCTGTAGATATCTGTCAGATCGCCTAGATCCAGAGCTGAGTTCCAGTCCTGAGTATCTTTGTTAATTTTCTGTCTCAATATTCTGTCTGATATCGTCAGTGGGGTGTTAAAGTCTCCTACTATTATTGTGTGGGAGTCTAAGTCTCTTTGCAGGTCTCTAAGAACTTGCGTTATGAATCTGGGTGCTCCTGTATTGGATGCATATATACTTAGGATAGTTAGCTCTTCTTGTTGCATTGATCCCTTTACCATTATGTAATGGCCTTCTTTGTCTTTTTTGATCTTTGTTGGTTTAAATTCTGTTCTGTCAGAGACTAGGATTGCAACCCCTGCTTTTTCTCTGCTTTCCATCTGCTTGCTAAATCTTCCTCCATCTTTTTATTTTGAGCCTATGTTTGTCTGTACATGAGTTGGGTCTCTTGAATACAGCATACCGATGAGTCTTGACTCTATCCAGCTTGCCATTCTGTGTCTTTTAATTGGGGCATTTAGCCCATTTACATTTAAGGTTAATATTCTTATGTGTGAATTTGATCCTGTCATCATGATGCTAGCTGGTTATTTTGCAGACTTGTTTATATGGTTGTTTCATAGTGTTACTGGTCTGAGTACTTCAGTGTGTTTTTGCAGTGGCTGGTAATGGTTTTTCCTTTCCATATTTAGTGCTTCCTTCAGGAGCTCTTGCAAAGGCAGGCCTGGTGGCTGTGAATTCCCTCAGCTTTTGTTTATCTAGAAAGGATCTGATTTCTCCTTCGCTTATGAAACTTAGTTTGCCCGGAAATGAAATTCTGGGCTGGAAATTCTTTTCTTAAGAATGTTGAATATTGGCCCCCAATCTCTTCTGCCTTGTAGGGTTTCTGTTGAGAGGTCTGCTGTTAGTCTCATGGGCTTCTTTTTGTAGGTGACCTGGCATTTCTCTGTGGCTGCCCTTAACATTTTTTCTTTCATTTCAACCTTGGAGACTCTGAATGATTATGTGTCTTGGGGTTGATCTTCTCATGGAGTATCTTACTGGGGTTCACTGCATTTCCTGAATTTGAATGTTGGCCTGTCTTGCTAGGTTGGGGAAGTTCTCCTGGATGATATCCTAAAGTATGTTTTCCAACTTGGTTCCATTCTCCCCACCTCTTTCAGGTACCCCAATCAGTTGTAGGTTTGGTCTTTTTACATAATCCCATATTTCTCAGAGGTTTTGTTCATTCCTTTTACTTCTTTTTTCCTCTAATCTTGTTTGCCTGACTTATTTCAGAAAGATAGTCCTCAAACTCTGAGATTCTTTCCTCCACTTAGTCTATGTGGTTATTGATACTTGTGATTGCATTGTGAAGTGCTCGTGTGTTTTTCAGCTCCATCAGGTCATTTATGTTCCTCTCTAAACTGGCTACTGTAGTCACCAGCTCCTGTAATGTTTTATCATGATTCTTAGCTTCTTTGCATTGGGTTAGAACATGATCCTTTACTTCAGTGAAGTTTATTGCTACCCACCTTCTGAAGCCTACTTCTGTCAACTCATCCATCTCAGCCTCTGCTCAGTTCTGTGCTCTTGCTGGAAAAATGTTGTGATCATTTGGAGGAGAAGAGACCCTCTGGCTTTTTAAGTTTTCAGAGTTTCCGCATGGATTCTTTCTCATTTTTGTGGGCTTATCTACCACCAATCTTTGAGGCTGCCGACTTTCAAATTTTGCAATGGTCTCAGCAGAAAATAAACAGTCCACAATTTAAACAGAACTCATAGCATTACAAAAGTTTACAGAACCCCTATGTTTTCATCATTTGTTTCTAACAACAAAGATTACAACGACAGAATTGAATGATCAGAATGTAAAAATATTTGTGCAAAACTGCATTAATTGTTCTTACTATCTAATAGGGGTAAAACTTAAGAACACACAATGACAATAATGAAGAAAAACTACATTAAAAGTAATTCTACTTTAGATTTCAAACATGAATTATATTATTACTAAACATTAAAAAAAAAAGTGGCACCATGAGAGCAGCAGGAGCAACAAATTATGCCAGCTAAGGAAAGCTGACACTGGAATATGCCAAAGTTAATCTCCACAATAGGTATCCATCTGAAAAGACTGGAAACAACCGTAGGGCCTAAAACTCACTTCAATTTATTTATTCTTGAATTTGTAGGTCTTAATTGAAGTATTTAAGAAAGTCTTTTCCCCTCCCTCTCAAGGAGTGTTTCTTGCTTTACTGTCAATCATTCGAAGAGTTGAATCATAGACTCTGGATTTACCAACACCAATCCATTTAACTGGAATTTGAAGCTCATCTTCAATAAATCGAACATAGTTTTGTGCATTAACAGGTAGTTCTTTAAATGCCCTTGCATTTGATATGTCTGTGTTCCATTCTCATGGAGTCTTATATTGAACTTCAACTTTAAGACTTCTTGATTTGCTGGAATATGAGGTATGATTTGACCATCTAACTTGTAAGCAACTCCAACTTTGATTTCCATAAACATGTCCAAAATATTCAACTTGGTAACTTCCAGCGCAGTAAATCCATTGATAATATGAGCATATTTGAGCAAAACGAGGTCCAACCAGCCACATCTTCTTTTCCTTCCAATAGTTACACCAAACTCTCTACCCTTTGTTTGTAATAATTCTCCAATTTCCTTGAGATTTTGTAATTCACCTTCAATGTCTATTTCCAAAGTGGGATGTATAGATTTGTATTGTTTAGCTGGAACTTTAAACATCTCAGAGAAGCCAACAAGGTCAGAAACAAGATCGCACATCCTAAGTCCACTCCGAGCAGCTTTGGAAGAATAAACTGGGCCAATGCCCTTTTTTGTTGTACCCAAATTTTTTCCTGCTTGTTCTTGTCTCTGTTGTTCCTGGACACCATCAGCGGCTTGATGAAAATCAAATACAATATGAGCTCTGTCAGATAAAATAAGCCTTTTTCCCAGCCTTCTAGTCCTTTTCCTTTTTGAACATTTTTCTCTGCTTCTTCAAACAATCCAGGTAGATGAATTACCACACCATTTCCATTGAATGCAGTAACATTTGGAATAATTATTCCACTGGGTAAGAGATGAAAATCATACTCCACAGAATGCACAACAACTGTATGGCCAGCATTATTTCCTCCCTGGCAGCGGCACATGGGGTCCTGCGCCAGTAGATCCGCCACCTCCCCTTTGCCTTCGTCGCCCCACTGCACACCGAGCACCACCGTCACCCAGTTTCCTCTGGGCCGCGCCCTGGGGCGGCCGCAATCGCCGCTGGGCAGGGAGGATGCCTCCAGGTAGTTCTTGGCGAACGCCGCAGCTCCGGTGACGCGAGGAGAGCCGGAAGGAGACGCGGCCGGCGAGAGGTGAGCGAACTGTATTGCTCTGCGGCCTCCAGCCACCTGCGGAGGAAGAGGGAGCCAGAGGCCGGCCCCGCCCCCGCCCCCGCCCCGCTGGGCTGCCACACTCCAGCCAATCCCTGCCCCGCTCTCCGCCACAACCCGCTCAAGTAGGGGGACTCTGACTGCCCCGCGCAGGTGGCCTGCCTTGGCAGCACCGCCCGCGGGAAGTGGCGGCCTGGCGCGCTACTCGGAGAAGGCCATAATTTAGCCTACCACACTAATATGTGCACTTAAATTTTACTCATCACTGAATCTCCTCACTCTCATTATCTATGTCTCACGAATTTTGATATGTTTTCATTTTCACTCGACTGCATTTTTAAAATTTACCCTGAGACAACCTCTTTGTCCTATGGATTACTTAGAAGTACGTTTTAACTTTCTAAGTGTTTGGAAATTTTCCTGTTACCTTTCTGCCATTGATTTGTAGTTTGGTTCCATTTTGGTCATAGAACACACTCTGAGTATAATTTCAATTCTTTAACATTTGTTTAGGTTTGTTTTATGGCTCAGGTTCTGGTCTATCTTGGTATATGTTCCATAGGCATTTGAGAAGAATATATGTTTTGCTGTTGTTGAGTAACATGTTGACTGGTGGTGTTAAGTTCTTCTATACCCTTGCAGATTTTCTTTAAGACGGGGTCTCGCTCTGTCACTGAGGCTGGAGTGCAGTGGCATGATCATAGTTCACTGCAACCTCATTTCCTGGACTCAAGCAAGCCTCCCACTTCAGCCTCTCAAGTAGCTAGAACTACAGGCATGCACCAACATGCCCCCCCAGAAATTTTTTTTAAGAATGGGGTCTTGCTGTGTTGTGCAGGCTGCTCTCAAATCTGCCTTATAGATTTTTTGGTCTACTTGTACTACGAGGTACAAGGGTGATGACGTCCCTAACTACAATTGTGAAGTCTACTTCTCCTTTCAGTGCTATCACTTTTTGTGTCACATATTTTGCAGCTCTGTTGTTTGATATACATACATGTAGATGGCCATATCTTCCTGGTTAACTGATCTTTTCATCATTAATATAATATCCCTATGCGTCTCTGGTAATTTTCTTTACTTTATCTGATATTTGTATAGCCGCACCTGCTCTCTTTTGTTTGCATAATATGTCTTTTTTTTTTTTTTTTTTTTTTTTTAGACGAAGCCTTGCTCTGTCACCCAGGCTGGAGTGCAGTGGCACAATCTTGGCTCACTGCAGTCTCAGCATCCCAGGTTCAAGTGATCCTCCCACCTCAGCCTCCCAAGTAGCTGAGATTACAGGCACCCACCACCAAGTCCACCTAATTTTTGTATTTTTAGTAGAGATGGGGGGGTTTCACCATGTTGGCCAGTCTGGTCTTGAACTCTTGGCCTCAACTGATCCACCACCTTGGCCTCCCAGAGTGCTGGAATTACAGGTGTGAGCCACCATACCTGGCCCTACATGATATGCCTTTTTCCATCATTTTATTTTCAACTTTCATACATTTGAAGTGAGTTCCTTATAGACACCATACACTGGGTCATAATTTTTAATCCACTCTGCCAAATGGTTCTTTAATTGGTATATTTAGACCCTTTATATATTATATAATTATTGATATGTTTGGGCTTAAGTATGCCATTTTATTTTTTGATTTCTATTTCTTCTCTGTGTTCTTAATATTTTTTTCTTTTCCCTGCCTTCCTATGGGTTGAATATTGGGCAGAATTCTGAGTTATCTATTATGTTTTTAGTGTATCTCGTTGTATAGCTTTTATAGTAATTGCTGTAGGTATTACATTATATATACATAATTTTTCACAGTGAACTGGTGTCATCATTTTACTAGTTCTAGTGAAATATAGAAATTTTACCTCCAGTCATGTCTCTTTAACCACCTTTCTTTGTTTATAATAAAATTGTATTAAATATTTCCTCTACAAACATGTAGAACCACATCAGAGAATGTTATAATTTTTACTCCAACTGTCAAACATAATTTAGAAGACTCAAGCAGAGAGAGAAAGCATATTGCATTTACCCATATTTTTACTTACTGTGTTCTTTCTTCCTTTCTGATGTTCCATAACTCCTTTTTTTTTTTTCATTGCCTCCCTGTTTAGATAACTTCTTTTAGCTGTTCTGTTAGAGTAGGTCTTTTGGTGATGGCAATGAATTCTCTTATTTTTCCTTCATCTGAGAATGCCTTGGTTTTCCTTTCATTCCTAAAGAATACATTCTCTGTGCATAGGATTCTGAGTTGAGAGTTCTTTTTATTCAGTACTTGAAAAATGTTATGACACTTTCTTCTGTTCTCCATGATTCCACTGTCATTCAAATTGTTATTCTCTATAAAGAAGGTGTTTTCACTGGCTGCTTTAAATATATTTTATGTCCTTAGTTTTCAGATATTTAATTAAAATTTGTCTTGGCACAATTTTCTTTGAGTTTATCTTGTTTGGGATTTGCTTAGCTCCTTGACTCTGTGTTTACCTGAGTTATCAGGTAAATATCCAAGAGAACAAAAAAGGAAAAAAATGATTGGGACAAAGGAGACCAAAAGGAGTGAAAGAGAGAAGGAAAATTTTAACCTAGAGATACAAGCCACTCTAAAATATTTTGTTTAACAAAAAAGTGGGAGAAAGTGGACTGCAGGGGCTTGTCCAGGGAAAGGCTACTGCCAAGAAGCACTGTGTCCCTTTCTCCTCCATTCTTTCCTCTTATCAGTCAGAGATAGAAACTAAAACAGCCTAAAACTGGGGGGTGTAGTGTGACGGATCCCCGACCAGGTTACTTAAGGGTTTATTTTTGCTGCTTGCACCCTGAAGGCTGAGCACTGAGCAAAGGCCATGATGCCTACCTGAGGAGAAGGTGTCCCTGACAACCCAAACATCCCAGAATGTCTCTGGGAACATACCAAGGAAAACAGTCTCATTGCAAACAGTAGGCAAAGAGCCAGAATATTCGCTTAAAAGAAGCTTAGGGCTGGGTGATGGGGCAGGTCTCTGGAGCTATCCTGCTCCCACCAGGAATACCTTGTATGTAAGTCCTGATAAATTCATCTACTCACAAACCTAGATTTGTCTGAGCCATTCTTTGGTTTCTTGGCTCCTTCTCAGTTTGGGAGTATGTTGCAGTCCCAGTTTTTCTTGTAACAGCATGAGGGAGAGGAATAGAAAAAAAAAAAACCTGAATTCAGGGTGCCTAAGTCTATTTTGTGTTATAAGGAATTCCTGAGGCTGTGTAATTTGTAAAGAAAAAGGATGCATTTGGCTCACAATTCTGATGTCTAGGAAAGTTCAAGATTGGGCATCTGCATCCGGTTATGTCCTCAGGCTGCTTCCACTCATGGCAGGAGGCAAAGAGAAGCCAGTGTGTGCAGAGATCACAAGGCAAGAGAGGAAACAAGAGTAGAGAGAGGTGCCAGGGTCTTTTTAACAACCAACTCTTATGGGAACTAATAAAGTCAGAACTCACCCCCAAGAAAGGGCATTAATCTATTCATGAGACATCCTCCCCCATGACCCCAACACCTTCCATTGGGCTCCCTCTCCAACACTGAGGATCAAATTTCGACATGGGGTTTGGAGGGGACCAAACATCCAAACTATAGCACAGGGAGAGAAAAAAAATAACCAACTGAATTATATGTAGATAAAATTTTTGTTAATTTTTATTTTAGGTTTGGGGGCGCATGTGAAGGCTCATTACACAGGTAAACATGTGTCATGGGGTTTTGTTATACATATTATTTCATCACCCAGGTATTAAGCCCATACCCAATAGTTAACTTTTCTGCTCCTCTCCCTCCTCCCACCCTCCCCCCCTCAAATAGACCCCAGTGTCTGCTGTTTCCTTCTTTGTGTTCATAAGTTCTTTCGTTTAGCTCCCATTTATCAGTGAGAAGATGCTGGACTTGGTTTTCTGTTCTTAAGTTAGTTTGCTAAGGGTAATGGCCTCCAGTTCCATCCATGTTCCTGCAAAAGACATGATCTTGTTCTTTTTTATGGCTGTGTAGTAGCCCATGGTGTATATGTACCACATTTTCTTTATCTAATCTGTCATTGATGAGCATTTAGGTTAATATAGACATAATGAATAGATTGTACATGTACATAGATAAAGATATCAAACGTATATCTAAATTAAAACAAACATCCATAATTTCACCCAATTGGAAATCGAAAATTTGTATACCAAAGAATTTATATAACAAAAAGATAGCTAAGGTCGTGATTGGGTTTAGAACTGTAAGGTTTTTTGTTTTCTGTTTTTTGCTTTTTTTAGAGAGAGATAAAGTCTTGCTCTGTCACCCAGGCTGGAGTGCGGTGGTGCCATCTTGGCTCACTGCAACCCCCGCCTCCCAGGTTCAAGTGATTCTCCTGCCTCAGCTTCCCAAGTAGCTGGGACTACGGGAGCACACCACCACATCCAGCTAATTTTTGTATTTTTTAGTAGAGATGAGGTTTCACTATATGTTCGCCAGGCTGGTCTCGAACTCCTGGCCTCAAGTGATCCGCCTGTCTCGGCCTCCCAAAGTGCTGGGATTACAGGCGTGAGCCACCACGCCTGGCCAGAACTGAAAGCTCTAAATTAACTTTAACATTTGCCAAAATGCACCAATTGAGAAACCTCGTGGACTTAATAAATACTCAAATTATACTTATGCCTGAGGTTCCAACAAATTTAAACATTGTACCCCATATAATTTTAAAAGGTAGCTAAATAGCTTTTTAAAAATAGCTATGCCTTATTTTATATCTTGATTGAATTGCTCATAGTTGTTGTACTCAGTGCCTTAAAGTATCTCGTATTGAACATAGACTCCATGTCACAATAAATAATAAATTAAAATTAAATTTTTGGCACTCAAAAATTGGCTTGATAAAATAGGATTATATAAATCCCATTAAAATAGTTAATATGGTTCAATGTAAGTTAAAATAGGCCCTTGAAGGATTGAAAGTTGTTACATAAAACCTCATTTATATAACATAAAAGGGATAAAGGAGATAAGTATTCCCTGCTGCTTGTCCGTTTAACAGCCCAGTGTTGCCTGTTCTTAAACCTGGAAAATAATAAGCAGCAGGCACCTCACGGTGGAGGACTACAACATTATTGCTGTGGTCTTGTCGACTAGGGCCTCATAGCCAGTATCTAGTATGATTAACATTATTAACTCTATCCAATCAATAACTGCTAAATACTCTGTTCTTACAGACTTGGCTAATATGTTCAATATGTTCAATTCCGTGCCTATTTCAACAGACTCCACTGTAGTTTGCCTCCATTGCTGAAGAGACACAATATACCTCTTGCAGGCTACACCTCAGTACCTTCACAATTTTGCCATCATGCACACATCTTACAGACAAGATCTTTTTTAATACTTAATTTTTCTAGAGCAGATTCACAGCAAAATTGAGCGGAAAGTACAAAGATTTTCCATATACCCACTGCCCGCACTCATGCATAGCCTCCCCCATTAGCAACATCTCCCATTAGTGTGGTACATTTGTTACAATTGATTAATCTAAATTAATACATCATAATCACTCAAAATCCATTGCGACTTTTACATTAGCGTTCATTCTTCTTGTACATTTTATGGGTTCAGACAAATGTATAATGACATATATCTACTATATAGTATCAAACACAGGATTTTCATGGCCTTAAGAATCCTCTGTGGTTCAACTATTCATTCCTCCCACTCCCTTAATCCTTGGAAACCACCGATCATTTTACTGTCTCCATAATCTTGCCTTTTACAGAATGTCATATAGTTGGAATCATACAGTATATAGCCTTTTCAGATGGCCTTCTTTTTAAAGAGACAGGGACAGACAAGATCTTAAGTGCATGCACCTTCCTCTGGGAGCACAGATATGATATTACATTAATAACCTCCTCCAAGGAGATGTCACTTAATCTACTCATATGGACATAAGAGTCCAACATCTTTTCATCCTTTTTGGGTTTTCATGGCAAAATATTCTTCACTTACAAATTTTACTTAATCTCATTGAGCTGTAACTCACAAATGAACCCACTTTAAATGTGGCAGCCTCAAACAAAAAGGCTCTAAAATCTATCCAAATTAATACCAACAGACAGACCCATTGGTGCCTGCATTGATTCCTTTACTGAAGAGACTTTAACAAGCTCTACTCATGCCTCCTAAAGTCTAGACCACCTGTGATGGCTACGAATTGCCTGAGGGCTCTCAGCCTCATGCTATATGCCATTAAAACCACAAATGACTAGCTCCATACTGGGCTCTCCTGGACATAGAGGCTTTCACAGATTCTGAGTCTGTGACCCTCCATACCTGGCTACCTGTTATGCTTTCAGTCATGGAAACAGCACCCTGCAAGCTCAGCCTCTCAGAGGGCCCAGGTTTGTCTCTAACCTGTCTCAAGGAGGCTACCAAGTCCTGGGCTCTCTAGCATATTCACACGCAGAAGGGAGTGACGTCCCCAGTCCTTGGTCCCTTGCCAGATGCCATAGTGCTGGAGGAGGTCACCTCTCCTCCAGACCCCTTGGTTACCTGGAAAGCTCCTTTGGATTGACTGAGTGAACAGCAATAGAAGTTCACGGACTATATGAATGGCACTGCCAACCACCATACATGATGGAGCTAGGTGGAATATTACCGAATGCTGGATGCCCTGGCCAACAAATGGCCCCATCTCCATATTCCTTTTGAACAATTGAGCCATTGCCTAATGAATTGTCCCTTTCAGATTAAGGAACACTAAGAACCTCTTTCCTCTTAGATACCCAAAATCACGTGTCTATGTATATTAAGGCCACCATATGAGGCCTTACAATTACCAAGGTAATAACCAAGGCACACATTTCACATTGCAAAATACACACTGAATGGGCTCCCGAAACAAACAGGCATTCAATAAAACTTTCATGACCCTAATAGGTCCCAAATAGCCAGTTTAACAGAGAGACATAAGAGTCTCCCCAAACAACTTCTTTTAAAGTTCCAGTCCAACAAATGGACCTCTCAATGGGTCTTTATCTTGCCCCAGGCCTTAACCTATTTTTATAGATTTTCAATATCAAACCCCCCCCATCAGGAGGCCACAGCAGGTGTGTATATTCTCTGGGGTCCAATTAATAGTGATTGTCCAATGGGCTAGGCAGCTGCTTATCTGATATGGGACCCGTTTGAGCCTAAACTTCAACCATGAAGCAAGCAAGCAAGCAAGCAAAAACCAAAACTCTGTCAAATGCAGCTGCACACCATTCTGTTTTCTGTTTATCTTTTTTGTTTTGTTTGTTTGTTTTTGCTTTTTGTTTTGGTCTGAGACAAGGTCTCACTCTGTTACCCAGGCTGGAGTGCAGTGGCGTGATCACGATTCACTCCCCACTCTACTTCCTGGGTTCAGACAATCCTCTCACCTCAGCCTCCTGAGAAGCTGCGACCACAGGCACACACTACCACGCCCAGCTAATTTTTTATGTTTTTTGTAGAGACAGGGTTTTACCATGTTGCCCAGGCTGGTCTTGAATGCCTGAGCTCAAGCAATGCACCTGCTTTGGCCTCTCAAAGTGCTGGGATTACAGGCATGAGCTGCCATGCTCAGCCTGCTGATCTTACTGCTGGTATGGGTGCTTTTGTTGTTTTATCATCTGGAGGCACCAACCCTCCATACAAGCCATTGTTTTAATCAATCATGGCAAATGCTAAGACCCACATCAACCTGAGTCTGTATTTACTTAAAAGAAATACTCAAGACCCATATCCTAGATGACATTTTCCTGGATAGGCACTCACTGCTGGAGATTATGCTGCCTCAGATGACATCGATCCAGCTTACCGTCAGAGATGAATTTACCCCTGCACCAGACATGGCGTCACCCTAAACACAAAAACCTTCACCCCAGTGACACCCATGGACTGCCTCTTCTCAGGCACAAACTGCACACCGAACATTTGGCCTTTTTTCCTTTGATATCAGGGATTCTATTGTGTTTCTGAGTGTGCTGTCTGCTTAGCCTATCATCCTGGCATACTCCTTGCTCTCTGCCAAAACATACACCCCGCACTCCTATGCCTGAAGGAAAATTTAATAGTAGTTACCACTACCTACGTCATTCTAAGAATTAATGGAGGGCCAAGCACAGTGACTCATGCCTATAATTCCAGCACTTTGGGAGGCTGAGGCAGGACTGCTTAATCCCAGGAGTTCAAACCAGCCTGGGCAACATGGGGAGACCCCATCTCTACAAAACATATAAAAGTTAGCTGGGCATGGTGGTGTACACCTGTAGTCCCAGCTACTCAAGAGTCTGAGGCAGGAGAATCTCTTGATGTCGGGAGGTCAAGGCTGTAATGAGCTATGACCACACCACTGCACTCCAGCCTCGGTGACAAGGGCAAGACCCTGTGTCTAAAAAGATAACAAAAATTAATGGATAGTATTGCCTTTCTCTGAAGGCTGTTGCCTCCTGAGTCAATCCCTCAACCCACTGGGAAGAGGACCACTAACTCCCCAGTGCCTACCCCTACTACCCCCTCAAGCTTTCCCCCGTGACTTCCTGCCCTGTGTCTCTGACCATGACCACTCCTCCTTGGTTATACACACACGCTAGTCTACACATGCATTATTAATGTATTAGTTCCTATCCCCCAACAACCTGACTGCAGGACCTGTTTTATATAAAATATATATATATAAAATATATATATATTATATATATAAATATATATATAATATATATATATATGTATTTCAAACTTTTAACCCACTTTAAAACTCCACCAAGATAATAGTAAAAACCTCCAAAAATTTCAGATCTACTTTCTTGACTAATGACATGCAAATGAAGAACTTAGTTATGGACCAGCCTACAAGGGCTCTTTATACTTCCACATTGTTCTTCTATCTTACTCTTACAATAAAATATTTTCTAGGCTATTTAGGGCAACTGTACCCCATCCTTTAAATAAGTCCACTATTACCACCCCAGGTTTCTTACGATGATGCCAAATAGGCCCAGGGGCAATGGGTCTTACTGTGTTTTCCTAGGTTCTGTACTTGTCTATTTGGCATCCATTAATCACAGGGCCAAACTAATGGCCAACATTCTTTACATCCCCGCTGTGACCCAGAGCTCATACTCTAAGCTACTCACACATCGAGCCAATATTTTCCCTACCCTACATAAACCCAGGGCCATGTAACAGACAACTGGGGACCGTCCCTAGGCCCCAAAGCCCATCAGAATTATTCAAACTATTGAGTCCTAAGCTGTTCCCCCTGCCCAGCTGGACCTTTCCCACAGAAACCCTAATAATAAAGGTTCCGAATTAGATTTTCCCCTCACTTCTGCTCCTCTTTCCTTAACCAACTGGATGCTTTACCACATGACCCTGCATGACAGAGCAAGTCCCCTTCTCTTGGAACTATAAGTAATAAAGTCTTTTTTCAATGGCGCTAGTCCATCTGTGTTGACACTCAGTCACCTCCATAAATCAAAACTTCAAGAGTACATTTTCATATAATATTTTATCAGGCATCTGAAGGTTTCACCAAAGTTTATATTTTCCTACTGCAAAACTATGTTCCATGTAGATCTGGCCCATCTTGAGGCTATTGTTCCTGCGTTCATCCTCCCATGGTCACATTTCTTGGCCAACAGAACCATAGAAATTGGTCTGCCATGTGTTAACGTTTAGTCCAAATCATTTTTCCACTTTAGCTCTGCTTCAAATGGGGCTGGCCTGGTGATACTGGAGACAATAAATGCGCCTGTAAGTTCCAGATAACAGGCTCTTGTCATTTTCCCAATCTTTCCTCATTGCAATGTTCCACAGCTGTAGGTGTGCCAAGGCCTCTGGGTCCCAGTGTAGCACCTTGAATGCACAGTTCACACAGTGGTGGCTTCAGGGTGCCAGCCAGGAGGAGTTCTGGTGCACTCACTGTTTGATGATGGTGGTCTTCCCCATGCCCAGGTCACCCATCACCAGCAGCTGATACAGGCTGCCTGAGGTTCAGGGCTGGAAAGACTCCAAGAGTGTGAACATGCTCCCACTGTTTTAAGTTCTTTTTTTTTTTTTTAATTTTTATTATACTTTAAGCTCTGGGATACACGTGCAGAATGTGCAGGTTTGTTACATAGGTATACATGTGCCATGGTGGTTTGCTGCACCTATTGACCCATCCTCTGAGTTCCCTCCCCTCACTCTCCCCACCCCACAACAGGCCCTGGTGTGTGTTAATCCTTTCCCTGTGTCCATGTGTTCTCATTGTTCAGCTCCCACTTATGAGTGAGAACATGTAGTGTTTCATTTTCTGTTCCCATGTTAGTTTGCTGAGGATGATGGCTTCCAGCTTCATCCATGTCCCTGCAAAGGTCATGATCTCATTCCTTTTTATGGCTGCACAGTATTCCATGGTGTATATGTACCACATTTTCTTTATCCAGTCTATCACTGATGGGCATTTGGGTTGGTTCCATGCCTTTGCTATTGTAAATAGTGGGGCAATAAACATATGTGTGCATGTGTCTTTTTTTTTTTTTTTCTGAGACAGAGTTTTGCTCTTGTCACCCAGGCTGGAGTGCAATGGGGTGATCTTGGCTCACTGCAACCTCTGCCTCCCGGGTTCAAGCAATTTTCATGTCTCAGCCTCCCAAGTAGCTGGGATTACAGACGCCTACCACCACTCCCAGCTAATTCTTGTATTTTTAGTAGAAATGGGGTTTCACCATGTTGGCCAGGCTGGTCTCAAACTCCTGGCCTCAGGTGATCCACCCGCCTCAGCCTCCCAAAGTGCTGGGATTACAGGCATGAGCCACCGCGCCACGCCTGCATGTATCTTTATAGTAGAATGATTTACATTCCTTTGGGTATATACCCAGTAATGGGATTCCTGGGTCAAATGGTATTTCTGGTTCTAGATCCTTGAGGAATCGCCACACTGTCTTCCACAATGGTTGAACTAATTTACATTCCCACCAACAGTGTAAAAGCATTCCTATTTCTCCACAGCCTCGCCGTGCAGTGGAGACTTTTTAATAATCTTTCTTTTAATAAAAGATTATTTAAAAGTTTTAAATATTCTTTTAATAAAAGATTATTTAAAAGTTTTAAATAATCTTTTATCTTGACTTTTCAATAATCACCATTTGACTTGTGTGAGATGGTGTCTCATTGTGGTTTTGATTTGCATTTCTCTAATGATAAGTGATGTTGAGTTTTTTTTCATACGTTTGTTGGCTGTATAAATGTCTTCTTTTGAGAAATGTCTATTCATATCCTTTATCCACTTTTCAATGGGGTTGTTTTTTCCTTGTAAATTTGTTTAAGTTCCTTGTACATTCTGGGTATTAGACCTTTGTCAGATGGGTAGATTGCAAAAATTTTCTCCCATTCTGTAGGTTGTCCGTTCACTCTGATGGTGGTTTCTTTCCCTGTACAGAAGCTCTTTAGTTTAATTAGATCCCGTTTGTCAACTTTGGCTTTCGTTGCAATTGCTTTTGGTGTTTTTGTCATGAAGTCTTTGCCCATGCCTATGTCCTGAATGGTATTGCCTAGGTTTTCTTCTAGAGTTTTTATGGTTTTGAGTTTTGCATTTAAGTCTTTAATCTATCTTGAGTTAATTTTTGTATAAAGTGTAAGGAAGGGATCCAGTTTCAGTTTTCAGTTTGAGTCTTTAGTCCATCTTGGGTTAATTTTTGTATAAGGTGTAAGGAAGGGATCCAGTTTCAGTTTTCTGCATATGGCTAGCCAGTTCTCCCAGCACCATTTATTGAATAGAAGATCCTTTCCCCATTGCTTGTTTTTGTCAAGTTTGTAGAAGATCAGATGGTTATAGATGTGTGGTGTTATTTCTGAGGTCTCTGTTCTGTTCCATTGGTCTATATGTCTCTTTTTATGCCAGTACCATGCTGTTTTGGTTACTGTAGCCATGTAGTGTAGTTTGAAGTCAGGTAGCATAATGCCTCCAGCTTTGTTCTTTTTGTTTAGGATTATCTTAGCTATACAAGGTCTTCTTTGATTCCATATGAAATTTAATTTCATTTAATTCTGATTTGATTCCATATGAAATTCTGTGAAGAATGTCAATGGTAGTTTGATGGGAATAACATTGAATCTATAAATTACTTTGGGCAATATGGCCATTTTCATGATATTGATTCTTCCTGTTTATGAGGATGGAATGTTTTTCCATTTGTTTGTGTCTTCTCTTGTTTCCTTGAGCAGTGGTTTGTAGTTCTCCTTGAAGAGGTCCTTCACATCCCTTGTTAGCTGTATTTCTAGGTATTTTATTCTCTTTTTAGCGATTGTGAATGTGAGTTCACTCATGATTTGGCTCTCTGCTTGTCTATTGTTGGTGTAATGGAATGCTTGTGACTTTTGCACATTGATTTTGTATCCTGAGACTTTGCTGAAGTTGCTTATCAGCTTAAGGAATTTGGAGGCTGAGATGATGGGATTTTCTAGATATAAAATCATCTCATCTACAAATAAAGACAATTTGACTTCCTCTCTTCCTATTCGAATACCTTTATTTCTTTCTCTTGCCTGATTGCCCTGGCCGGAACTTCCAATACTATGTTGAATAGGAGTGGTGAGAGAGGGCATTCTTGTCTTGTGCCAATTTTCAAAGGGAATGCTTCCAGGTTTTGCCCATTCAGTATGATATTGGCTGTGGGTTTGTCATGAATAGCTCTTATTGTTTTGAGATATGTTTCATCAATACCCAGTTTATTGAGAGTTTTTAACATAAAGGGATGTTGAATTTTGTCAGAGTCTTTTTCTGCATCTATTGAGATAATCATATGGTTTTTGTCATTGTTTCTGTTTATGTGATGAATTACATTTATTGATTTGTGTTTGTTGAATCAGCCTTGCATCCCAGGGATGAGGCCCACTTGATCGTGGTGGATAAGCTTTTCTGACATGCCACTGGATTCGGTTTGCCAGTATTTTATTGATGATTTTTGCAATGATGTTCATCAGGGATATTGGCCTGAAGTTTTCCTTTTTTTATTGTGTCCCTACCAGGTTTTGGTATCAGGATGATACTGGCTTCATAAAATGAGTTAGGCAGGATTCTTTCCTCTTTTATTGTTTGGAATAGTTTCAGTAGAAATGGTACCAGCTCCTCTTTGTACCTCTGGTAGAATTCAGCTGTGAATCTGTCTGGTCCTGGGCTTTTTTTGGTTAGTAATTACTGCCTCAATTTCAGAACTTGTTATTGACCTGTTCAGGGATTTGACTTCTCCCTGGCTCAGTCTTGGGAGGTTGCATGTGTTCAGGAATTTATCCATTTCTTCTAGATTTTCTAGTTTATTTGCATAGAGATGACAGAGTCTTGCTCTCTTGCCCAAGCTGGAGTGCAGTGGTGTGGTCTTGGCTCACTGTAACCTCCACTTCCTGCGTTCAAGCAATTCTCATGCCTCAGCCTCCCGAGTAGCTGGGACTACATGTGTGTGCCACCACACTTGGCTAATTTTTATATTTTTAGTAGAGACTGGGTTTCACCATGTTGCCCAGGCTGGTCTTCAACTCCTGACCTCAAGTGATCCATCCAACTCGGCAAGTTCTCCATTTTGATTCATCTCTTCATTGGCTGCATTTCATTGCAATATAGTTTTCAAGAAGATATTAGAGAACTATGTTTTCCATGTCCATTGGATAAGAATGTCTGATATTTCCTTTATAGTCAAATGACATCTTGGTATGGCAAAACATGTGTAGGTAATTAATTTTTCTAATTTCCCTTAAGGAATATCTATAAAGAACTTAGGAAGAAGCGAACATAGGCTAATCCCAGTTTTCCAACATCACGTCAAGTTGCCTAACTTGCAATGTTTTCAAAGACGTATTTTTAGAGAATTAGAGAATGTTACCAAATATATAATGAAAAATATCTCTGTAGCCCAGTCCATCTTCCATGATTCAAGTGAGCCTTGGACAAGATTTAAACATCCTTATCTATACTGATTATCTGGGAGATGCTGGAAATGTCAAAGGCTAATTGGTCTATAAAAGAATTGATTCTCCAGCCGGGCGCGGTGGCTCACATCTGTACTCCTAGCACTTTGGGAGACCGGGGGGGGGGGTTGAATCACGAGGTCAGGAGTTCAAGACCAGCCTGGCCAAGACGGTGAAACCCCATCTCTGCTAAAAATACAAAAAAAAAAAAATTAGCCAGGTGTGGTGGCAGGCACATGTAATCCCAGCTACTCGGGAGGCTGAGGCAGGGAATTGCTTGAACCCAGGAGGCAGAGGTTGCAGTGAGTCGAGATCGTGTCACTACACTCCAGTCTGGGTGACAGAGTGAGACTCATCTCAAGAAAAAACAAACAAACCAACAAACAAACAAACAAAAACGAAACAAACAAACAAACAAAAAGATTTGATTCTCCTTAGGTAAGATATTTGAAAGGGCCTTTTCCAAGTCTTTCATTGTTTGAGCTGTTGTCCAATAGTAGGATTCAGGGTAAATTACTTGCGAGTTTAAATCATACTGGCAGCTTGTCTTGCCTTCAGGGCTCAAGTAGAAGATCTTTGTCATGACACACACTTTTTTAGTGTAACCACCAATTTTTGCCAGCTTCTGTTTTAAAGTTTGGGCAGTTTGTGTAGAATAGTCTTTAAACTCCTCATCCTGTACCATGTGGAAGGTGTATAGGACTGGAGGCTTGTCCTGGGAAATCAGAAGAGCATCACAGAGGACTTTGTGGTTCTCTTGCAAGCCCAGATCCAAAGACCAGCTCCTAGAGAAGATCAGTGAGCCCTTATTGACAGAGCCCATTTCTTCACATATTAATTGCTTAAGTCCTTCATGTTGTGAGAACAGATTTCTGCAGAAGGTTTTTGGAGCACAAGTTATCTTTTCTGATAGCCCTAGATGGGGAAATAATGATAAATTATAAAAGACTGAGAACTTCCAACTTAAGCCATGGATACAAAGCAGCTTGTATTAGATTAATTCTCCCACCAAAAGCAACTATAAAAGCTATGTAAAAGTGTATCAGGGCCAGGCATGGTGGCTCACACCTGTAATAACAACACTTTGGGAGGCAGAGGCAGGAGGATCACTTGTGCCCAGGTGTTCAAGACCAGTCTAGGCAACACTGTAAGACCTCTTCTCTACAAAAAGGTTACAAAGTTAGCCAAGCATGGTAGTGCATGCTGGTAGTCCCAGCTACTTGGGAGGCTGAGGTGGGAGGATCACTTGAGCCCAGGAAGTTGAGGCTGCAGTGAGCTGAGATCATGCCACTGCACTCCAGCCTGGGCAACAGCATGAGATTCTGTCTCAAAAAAATTCTACATATATATATATTTTTTTAAATTTATATATATGTATATATATATATCATAAAACTATAATTTAAAGGACTGGAGAGCAACCAATACAAGCAGGACTTAAAGGGCTACAATCTTTAATACAGAAGAATCACAGGAAGTAGCTTCACATTCACCTCTGCTTTTTCCCTAAGGAGATTTTCCATATCACAGCATGGGTAAATAGAGCCCATGCAGAAATCAGCAGTTTTACTGGGCTAAAGAAAACAGAGGTCAGACTTCAGGGCTGCCAGAGGAGCTGGGATTTCAGAAACAAAATCCCAGAGAAGATGAAACTGAAGAGAAGAAGCCAAAATCTACCCACAAATTTCCCTCAACTCACTGGCTAATACAGGTGAGATGCTAGAAACACAGAAGAAAATATCAACTAGGGCTGGGTGTGGTGGCTTATGCCTGTAATCCCAGCAGTTTAGGAGGCCGAGGCAGGTGGATTGCTTGAGCCCAGGAGTTTGAGACCAGCCTGGGCAATATGGTGAAACCCTGTCACAAAAAGAAAGAAAAGAAAGCAAGGAAGGAAGGAAGGAAGGAAGGAAGGAAGGAAGGAAGGAAGGAAGGAAGGAAGGAAGGAAGGAAAGAAGGAAGGAAGGAGAAAATATCAACTGATCAACTGGGAGATTAAAGAGCTGAACATCACTTTCATCAGCCTCACGGTGCTCAGGAAACACAAATTGTAATTCAACTCCCAGCCAAGTAGAAGGGTCTTGGTAAATACCCCAGACTTTAAGACCCCAGAAGAGCCATGACCTAGTAATTAGTGCAAAATTAAAAGCTACTATACCTAGAAAAGCATAAAACAAAACTTCAAAAGAGTAAAAGTTATCACTGGTGTTCTGTCTGCCAAAAAAAAAAAAAATGTGTAACCCTATCTGAAGAAATGTAACATCTACTAAAGTCTCTACAATTTGTAATCCATAATACTATACAAAATTAAGAGACAGGATAAAAATCAGAACAAATTACTAGAAAATAAGAGAAAAACTGGATTATAGAAAAAGACTGGCAAGTGCTTCAGACATTGGAGTCATCAAAGAGGGACTTTAAAATAACTGTTACATCTTTTTTAAAACCCCCCAAAAATAAAATAGGTGAAAAGATGAAGATGTCCTGATCCTCTTACAGGCTCAGAAAATTGAAATCAATGGATAAAAATCATCAGGGGTTTGGTGGTCTTAAGCCCCAGTTTGTTCAAGGGTCAGTTGTATGCAGTAATATCCCAGAGGTGGCGATCAGCAGGTGAAACTGAGTTTTCAGTAACTGGATCTAGGAAAAGTGGTTATCCACATGGGATAAAATGAAATAGCCCCCTACATCACCGTTTATGGATGTGGATTACATATTTAAATGTTAAATGTTAAGTGCAAAACTTTAAAATTTTTAAAAGAAAATAAACAGAAATATCTTTATAACCCCGGGGTAGGGAAGGATCTCTTACACAAGGCACAAAGAGCACTAAACCACAAAATTTTTAAATGGCAAGTTTGACTATATCCAATTTAAAACTGCTAGGGAGAATATGCCTTGGGAAAAGAGAAAATGCAAGTCATGAACTTGGAGAAGACGTCTGAAATCTGTACTATCTGTGACTAAACGAGGATTTTATGTTAGAATCTGTGAATTGCTCCTAGAAATCAGTAAGAAAAAGATAAAGCCTATTACAAAAATGAGCAAAAGACAGAATCGCCACTTCATAGAAGATAAAATATCTTCTATGGGAGATATTTTCTTCCATGTATATACCCAAATAAATACCGATTTGACTGAGGAAGAAAAGAAGTTCAAGAGAAAAGAAGTTCAAGTAGAAAGATGAAGAGAGAAGTCTGGCATTGGAAAAGATGTGGCATTTCCAATATATTGCTGGTGGAAGTAAAGTGAGCTATCTACTTTGGAAATAATTTGACATTATCTTATTACTTAAATATTCACACACTGCCTGAACGAACAATTCTACCCCTACTTAGGCACCTAAAGAAATAGAATTTGACAAATTCAATGACTAAAAACACCAAAGAATTTCCATAAACAAAAGAATGTGCTTCCATAACAAATATCAAGACAGAGCTGGTTTGAAGAGAAGGAGGTTTGAACACAGTTACACCAACAACTCCACGGAAGCCAGAATTAAATTACCTGGAAGGTGATATCTCAGTGGCTGAATTTTGAAGTTAATATATTCACGAAGAGGATAACTCTGGGAGACAGGTGATGATGTACTTGCTGGAGAGGGCAGTTCCTCACATACTATGGAATAATGTTAGAAAACAAAAATCACGCTCTTAATTTGGCATGGGAGAGACTCAAGCTAACTAATGCACAGTATACCAAACGTCTACTTAGAACTGATCCTGCATTCCCAATACAGAACATTAGATATTGTGGTTACATATTGTGGTTAGATTCCTAGGTCAGATACAAATTGTAAAATTAACTCTTGATGCTGCTGAAACACTCTATACTTGGAAGGAAAATTAACAGTAAAAATGCATTGATAGCAATTTAATACATTGCCATATAACTGAGTTTATTTTAAAACAAGTTAAAATTAGAAGAATGTGATGGCTAGTGAAGGAAAACTGGGTTTTATGCAGATTCTGAGGAACAAGTTTGCATTTTCAGAGATTTTGTAAGTTGCTAGTTCTGGTCTAATCTCACTGGAGGCTTTCCTTTTCCAAAACCAGATAAAATATCAGCATTATTCTTCTCTTATTGGTACAATTTAGGTTACTCTTTGGCTCATAAATGTGAGAGGAAGAGGGGAAGTCTTTACAGGAAATAAATGGAAAGTGGGTAAAGAAAGATGAAAGAGCAAGCAAGTAAAAGAGTAAGTGTTCCCAAAAGAAAGCAATGGTTAGTTACAGAAAATGAGCCCTGAAAGAAAAACGAAAAGAATTGAACAGGCTTTCCTTGAAAGTGAGTAAAGAAATGGTAGAGAAGAAACATCTAGAATCTTTGCATCAGATAAGGCTACTAAGAGTAGATATTTAGTTATTGTATGGAATATCTATCTTCTAAGTGTGCAGAAGAAAACAAGAGGCAGGGAAGTATTGGTTGTATCCACCAGAGATGTTGAAATTTGAAGACTTTTAATCTTGTCCCTAATCCCAAAGATACAATAAAACCTTCCTGCCACCCAAGCCAAAGGTATCCTTATTGCCAATCCTCCTTCCTCAACCTGGTTCTGAATCCACCATGAACTGGATCCATTCCTTCTCGGTCAACTGCTTAACTCTGTTATCTTTCACGTGCCAGGAATCAGGCTTTTTAGCAAACACTGCACAGCAGAAGCGTTCCACTCTGAGTGCATACACATATCCACAAAGCCTTCCTTTATCATATACTCCAAGGAATTTGCATAAGTAATTTATCGTCCCCTTCTCCACACAGAAGTGATGCACAGGCAGTTTCCCAATGGAATTTTTTGTTACTTCTTCTAACTTAGTAAGATAACTCTTCTCTGCTTTAAAGCCAATTACTTCTTTATCTTCATTTAGACCAACGAATAAATATCCTCCATCAGTATTTGCAAATGCAGAAACATATTGAGGGAGAATCTCTGTAATTCGTTGTAACAACTTTTCAGTCGAGAAGTTTTTTATTTCAACGTGTGTGGATTCAGTAAAGGTCAATTTTTCTTTATAACCAAGTTCTGTTCTGTTAAAAAAATCAGCAGCCAAGGCTTCCATGTTACTTTCTTCTTGTACATCAACACAGGCCCTTTTTGCAGGGAATTCTGGTCTTAAATATGCTCTCCCTCCAGTTTTTTCCATGTCTTTGAGGAACTCCAGTGCAGCAGAAGCATTCATGACTTTTGCAGACGTTACATCTCTCTTGTACAAACTGGAGCTCAACGTGGCAATCTGCGGACCAGAGGTTTCCAAGCTCCATGATTTCACAAAAATGTGAAAGTAGTTACCATTCTGCATGAAGTCCAGGAAATTAGGAACAAATGGCAGCATGTTACTAAAAGAATTTTCCAAATCTAGCCCTATTCCATCTTTTTTATAACTATAGCCTTTATTCTCAACTTCAGCCTTGATCACTCCCCCTCCAGAATTCAGCAGAGCACACACAGCTCGTGAGACATTTTCATTCTGCTGTTTTCTCAGTTGACAATCCTTCATTTTTTTTCTATTGTTCTCTCCAAGAGTGACTCTTCCCACATTTAGAACCAGCTCAGCATAGTTTGTGTCTAAATCAATACTGATGTTCATTTTCCCAGCAGCTAAGCCATTTCCACGCAGAAATTCTTTTCTGTAAAATAGAGCCGTTAGAATAGGAGTTAAGCCTGAGAGACAGCAAATTCTGCATTATGAGGCAAACGTAGAAAAATCCTTTACTGTATATTTTCCACTAGACTGGTAAGTATATGGGTCTGAGATAACTAATTTCTAACAAATTTTGAGCTAAGGCTGTGATAATTTATACTCCTACTGAATTTTCAAATTTGTTACAACTGTTTTATACGATCTTATTCTAATAATTTTAATCTTGTCTTTATGTGTTCGTTGTGTCCTTTCTCATCACTAATATTGTACAATTTGTTTTCTCTCTTCTTTCTTTAAGTAAATCCCTGGAGGGATTCTATGTTTTTATTTTCTCAGTGGACAAGGTTTTAGTCATGCATATTATTTCTTCTTTACTTTTTATTTTAATAATTTTAGCTTTTACATTCATTAATTATCTCCTTTTATGGGAAATCCTTTTGGAAAACTGCCAGATAGGGTCTAAGAGGGTCCAGCAATAATAATCTTAATTATTTTTTATTCTTATAAGAATGAATTAGATTCACAAATTTTGGGCATTGATCGCAAGCAAAACAGACCAACTCCTTGTGCCCTTTCCCTATCAAACATCCACGTTTACAAGGAGGTAATCGTGGGTGGCAAGCCACCCAGGTGCCAAGGCAAGAGACTGAGGGCACAAGCTCTTCCAGTATAATAAAGAAAATATATAGAATAAGAATAGTTATACTAAAAATAGATTATAGATATGATTATATATGATTATCATTAATCATTAGTTTGTGGTATTATTATTCCAATATTATAATAATCTTTGTTCTACAATTATAACCTAGAAAAAAACCAGGCCATACAGAGATAGGAGCTGAAGGGACATGATGAAAAGTGACCAGAAAACAAGTGTGAGCCCTTTGTTACGCCCGGACAGGGCTTCTAGAGGGCTGCCTGGCCTAGCGGTAACACCAGCGCCAGGGAAGGCACCCGTCACCTAGCAGACCTTGGTCTAACAGTAGCATCAGTGCCTGGGGAAGGCACCTGTTACTTAGCAGACCGGGAAGGGGAGTCTCCCTTTCCCCGGGGGAGTTAGAGAAGACTCTGCTCCACCACCTCTTGTGGAAGGCCTGACATCAGTCAGGCCTGCCCGCAGCCATCTGGAGGCCTAACCGTCTCCCTGTGATGCTGTGCTTCAGTGGTCATGCTCCTGGTCCACTTTCATGTTCCACCCTGTACACCTGGGTCTGCCTTCTAGATAGCAGTAGCAGAAATAGTGAAAGTACTAAAAGTCTTTGAAATGCGTAGAAGAAATAATGGCATAAGCCGTGCTCTCTGTCTCCATCTTGGCTGCCAAACAGGGAAGGGCCCCCTGTCCAGTGGACACATGACCCAAGTGACCTTACCTATCACTGGAGATGGCTCACACTCCTTACCCTGCCCCGTTGTCTTGTATCCAATCAATAACAGCGCAGCCTGGCATTCGGGGCCACTACCAGGCTCCGCACCTTGGTGGTAGTGGCCCCCCAGCCCAGCTGTTTTTCTTATATCTCTTTGTCCTGTGTCTTTATTTCTACAATCTCTCGTCTCCGCACACGAGGAGAAAAACCCACAGACCCTGTAGGGCTGGACCCCACAGATAATATTGGTTTTTTTGTTTGTTTGTTTTGTTGTTTGTTTTTTGTTTTTGTTTTTGTTTTTGAGATGGAGTTTCGCTCTTGTTGCCCAGGCTGGAGTGCAATGGCACAATCTCAGGTCACTGCAACCTCCACCTCCTGAGTTCAAGGGATTCTCCTGCCTCAGCCTCCCAAGTAGCTGGCATTAAGGCACCTGCCACCATGCCTGCCTAATTTTTTTGTATTTTTAGTAGAGACAGCGTTTCACCATGTTGGCCAGGCTGGTCTCGATGATGATCCTGACCTCAGATGATCCACCTGCCTTGGCCTCCCAAAGTTTTGGGATTACAGGCATGAGCCACAATGCCCAGTCAAGGTAATATTCTTATATACAAAACACCTGTGCTCTACCTTGAATGTTTGCATCCTCTCAAAATTCATATGTTGAAATTCTAACACCCAACATGATGGGCGTTTGGGAGGTGATTAGGTTAAAGGGTAGATCCCTCATGAATGAGATTAGTGCTCTTCTAAAAGGGACTTCAGAAAGCTAGGGATGGCAGCCTGCCATCACAAAGGCTGCAGCAGGGAGGGGCAGCTAGGGCTGCACACTTTCTGGAGCCCGTGGGAGCCCTGCCTCTTCCAAGTTGGGACGTGAGCTCCCCAGGTGCTGCTGCAGCCACCCAAACCACCACTGTAGACCCAGGCCTCCCGCTCTCTGCAGCATGCTAGAATCCTGCCCCACAACCCTGCCCCATGCAGCTGCAGCCACCCAAATCGAGATTGCAGATTCAGGCATCTCTGCACTCTTGGGGCCTGAGAAGATCCCCCTGCCCTCGCAGGCTCAGAAGTGCCTGCTCCCACTGCCTGGCTTCTCCTTCTCCCTGCTGTCGGTGCCCACTCTGATCTGGGAGCAAAGGCTGGCCAAACTCCGGAGACATAAATGGCAGTGGGAGGCAGACAGATTCCTGGGTCAAAGGCGGCGGGTCCCCAGTAGGGCCACACCTTCAGGCCTGGGAGGGCCTGAAGGCTGGGGACCGGGCTGCCAGTGCTGTAGACTGTGGGGACTTGTGGTGCCTCTTCTGGGGCTGCATGTGGACCAATGGCACACACTTCCTCCCCTCTGAGGTCCATAAAAGCCCTGGGCTCAGCCAGAGCAGGGGCAGAGGAGGAAGAGATGAAGAGAGGACCAACTTCAGAGAGGAACTACCCTCTCTGCTGATAGCAGGAGAGGACAGGACAACCAGCCGCAGAGTGGAACTACCCTCTCTGCTGAGCGCTTCAGAGACCTGAAGAGACATTGGCTGCAGAGAGAAGCAACGGTCCCCAGGGCCTCCTCTCTGCTGAGAGCAGCAAACGTAGGAAGGACCAGTAGCAGATAGAAGCTACCCTCCCCAGGGCCTCCCCTCTGCTGAGAGCTGAACATTCCATGGGATGACCTGCCTACAGAGAGGAGTTACTCACTGCAGGTCTCCTCTGAGCTGTCCTAACATTTAATAAAGCTCATCTTCGTCTTGTTCACCCTTCACTTGTCTGCATACCTCATTCTTCCTGGACACAGGACAAGAACTCTGGCAAAGGTGCCGCCAGCCACAGAGGTTTCTGGCCAGAAAATCAACACCCTGAAGATCCTGTAACACAAGCTCACCCCTTCTGCCATATGAAAAACACAGAAGAAGTTGACAGTCTGCAATGGGAAGAAGGTCCTCACCAGAATCCAATGATGCTGGTATCTTGATCTTGGACTTCCCAGGCTCCAGAACTGAGTAATAAATTTCTGTTATTTATAAGTCACCCAATTTATGGTATTTTGTTGTGGCAGGCCAAACAGACTAAGACAGTGTGCTTTAGTCTATGTATACATAATCCATTAGCTCTTTTCCTTTAAAATCTATTGGGATCACTGTTTTGCTATAGACGAAAACCTAAAGACTGTAGGTTTGTCAAGTGGCCTAGAGACAGTTGAGAGTAAAGTCCATCATAGGTAGTAATCACTACACTAGGAAAGGGCTATAAAGGGGTCAGAATATTCCTGTCCACTGCTAGACCACTATCACGCAGATACTCAGCTAAGGTTGTAGATACCACCTTTGTCTCTATAAATTTCTGATCATGTGTAAACAATAATAAAATTGAGGCCCCAGATCATTTGGACAATTGGGGTTACATCAAGAGAATTCATATGCAAATCATGGTGGTGACATACAGAGGAAAAAGAACCGTCTATTCCATATAACACTTAACAATTTACAGGGACCAGAGTAGATGTTCAATAAATGACACAACTCCTTGTGCACCAGAGTAGTCACCACTCCCCATGTGATTTGGGGACTCTGTGCTTTTGCATAGGTGTGCTCTGAGACTCTAATGTTTTCCTCCACCTTTGTCACCTGATAAACTCTCTATCATCCATCCCAGAACTCCCATATTTGTCCTTCACTCTCTGCTACTCCCACATAACTTTGTACCTATACTTGGCACTAATTTCACCATAGATCTAGGGAAATATTTAGAAACAAAGCAGTGAAGTGGCCAGAGCAGTTGTTTTCAAACTGCAGGAAATCAAGCGAGGACTCCCAATCATTTAAGACACCAGAAGGAAAAGCTTTGGTTCAGTTCCTACCTTAGACACTGAACCTCAGGGGGTTCAAAGCACGTTCCATGTTCTGGAATGCCCTCCTTGAAATTATCTAAACCATTTCCAGTGCCAGGTACCAATCAGCACCAGCAGTGTCATCCTGGCAGGGTGCCCCAGACTGGACAGAACTACTAGCATCCCTGTTCCTTCCATCTGGGAAACTCAATGGCCCTTCACCCAAGAAACCCTGGGACTTGTGGCTGTGGGGTTGTCCTAGGACCTCATGGCTAGGTCCTATTCCAGGAGAATAGCCTGGCAAGTGCATTGCTCTCACTATCTGGAGCAGGATTTCTTTCACAGGATCAAGTCAGATTGGATTGCCAGGATGGTGCTGATAATGCTGATTTGGGTTTATTCAAATTGTTTATATTGACAGAGGCTCACAAAAAAAAAATTTACTCGGGTAGAATTTATTACTGAAGTCATCTGGTCCATGGCCTTTCTTAGTTGGGTTTTAGATTACTGATTCCATCTCCTTACTAGACATAGGTCTATTCAGATTTTCTGTTTTTTCCTGACTCAGTGTTGGTAGGTGATGTGTTTCTAGGAATTTGTCCATTTCATCTAGGTTATTTGATTTGTTGGCATACAATTTTTTACAGTACACTCTTATAATCCTTTTGATTTCTATAAAATCAATAGTAATGTCTCTTCTTTCTTTTTTGATTTTAGTTGAGTTTTTTCTTTCATCAATCTAGCTAAAGGTTTGTCAATCTTGATCTTTTCAAAAAACCAACTCTTTATTTTTCATTAATTTTTTCCTACATATTTTGACTTTTTAGTATAGTCATTTTGACTAGATGAGATGGTATTTCATTGTGATTTCGCTTTGCAGCTCTCTGATGATTAGTGATGTTGACCTTTTAAATGTTTGTGAGCAGCTTGCATGTTTTCTTTTGAGAAGTTTCTGTTCATGCCCTTTGCACATTTTTTAAATGGAGTTGTTTGTTTTTTTCTTGATTCATTTAAGTTCTTTATAAAGTCTGGATATTAGTCTTTTGTTGGATGCATGACTTGCAAACATTTTCTCCCATTCTCTAGGTTGTCTGTTTACTCTGTTGAGACTTTTGCTGTGCAGACGCTGTTTAGTTAAGTCCCATTTGTCTATCTTTGATTTTGTGGCATTTGCTTTTGAGATCTTTATAATAATTTATTTGCCCAGGGCAATGTCTAGAAGAGTATATCCTAGATTTTCTTCTAGAACTTTTATAGTTCGTGGTCTTACATTTCAGTCTTAATTTTGAGTTAATTTTTGTATATGGTGAGAGACAGGGATCCAGTTTCATTCTTCTGCATATGGTTAGCTATTTATTGAATAGGGTGTCCTTTCTCCATTGGTTATTTTGGTGGACTTTATCAAAGATGAGTTGGTTGTAGGTGTGAAGCTTTATTTCAGGGGTCTTTATTCTGTTCCATTGGTCTACGTGTCTATTTTTGTATCAGTACTATGTTTTGGTTACTGTAGCCTTGAAGTATAGCTTGAAATGCAGTAATGTGGTGTAAGGCTCCCTATCCTGTTTTGTTCTTTTTGTTTAGGATTGCCTTGGCTATTCAGGCTCTTTTTTGGTTGCATACAAATTTTAAATCATTTTTTCTAATTCTGTGAAAAATGACATTGGTAATTTCATAGGAATAGCATTGAATCTGTAGATTGTTTTGGGGAGTGTGAACATTTTAATGATACTGATTCTTCCAACACATGAGCATGGAGTGCTTTTGCATTTGTTTGTGTCGTCTATGATTTCTTTCAGCAGTGTTTCATAGTTCTCCTCGTAAAGTTCTTTCACCTCCTTGATTAGCCCCTGCTCTCCAATTCTTCTTGCAGCCTCTGTAACTGGAGTCCTGTCCCCTTTCCTCCCAGCCCAACTTCCTGCACTGTCTGTATCAGGCCTTGCCCTGGATGAACCCTTTTGGCTCACCCACCATACACAGAAGGTGACAGAAATCACATCTCACCCTCAGATTGCTTAAGGAGGGTACGCATACCACTGGGAAACTTGGAACCCATGGGAGCTGCAGTTGAGCCACCTTATAGAGGACCGAGCACTTGTGGACTAGCCTGGGATCCTGGCCACCCGAGTCCAACACCTGCAGCCATGTAAAACTTTCCATGGTTCAAAACCTCAGGCTTCAGGCATACATCTGGAACACAATGCTAAAATTAAATAAATAAATAAATAAAAACGAGCTGAGGACTGAGCCGACCAAATCTCTAGGGCCTAAAACTCACTGGCCTCCCTTAAACCTTGGGTCTAGGTTTACAGGTTAGATGTTTCCACTGAAATCCTTTATACTTTTGACTATAGGGGAAATTCTATCAGACCTGAACTCATGATTTAGGCTATGTTGTTGGCTATCTTTAATGGGAATGGGGGTGGCATTCATATCTCCTTAGAGTTATGCCAGAACAACAGGTTAGTAAGAACTGCAACCCACAAGGGTGGGACAGGAGGCAGAAGAGCTACCTCCTGGGGAGCAAAAAGCATAGAGCGTGATTTGCCGTCTTCGGATACCACTTTGCATTTAGTTCGGAACAGCACTGCTTTCACCCTTTCCCTCTTCTAGATGATAAACCAGCAGCGCAAGAGGGTGCTTGGTTTTTCTTTCAGGATCTAGGGCGCAGTTCGTCAGTGCCTGGTCACATTTCACCTAAATAACCCATTCCCCAACTCCCTGAATGCTCAGGACTCCAGGAGGGTGGGCAACCCCCATCCGATGGACACCTGCCAAGTCTGGCCTGTCCATACAGCACTCCCCACTTCTCCAGCTCTGCACCAACACCTCACGGGCTTGAGCCACCGCGCCCGGCCGCCCTGCGGCTTTTTAAGGCGCTCCCCAGCCCACGCACGGGCGGAAGTTTTGTCATCTACAGCTTTCAAGTCCTCCATTGCTAAGTCTACAACAGCCTGCGGTTTTGACAGACATTGCTACAGAGACAGGAGCCAACTTTCCCAGAAGGGAGAGAAAGCAGCCTCGGGTCTCCCCGAGATCGGTGGGGTTGCTCTGGCAGCGCCCCACCTCGTCCCGGAGCCCACGGACCACCCCCCCCGGACCCCCGGAATAAGAAACGGAGGCTGGAAGGTTTGGCAGTGGAGCGGGACGAATTTATCTGCCAGCAATTCCCTGGAAACAGGATTCCTTGCAGGCGCTGTGCCAGCGCGGGCCCTTAAGCAACTGAAAGTTAAACGCCCACGTGAATAGCTCTGAGGGATCACGGAGAAGTTCTCGTTTCGTCTGTACCTATTTGTATTTTCTAAGGCGAAAAAAAAGTTATTTAAAGAAAAAGAGAACGAACCTGGCGAGGTCCATGTCTGCGCACTCTTCACCAAGTAGGGGGACCTGAGTTCTTTTCCACTTTCCTGCTCTCCGCGTCCGTGTGCGGCTAGCCCCTCGCTCAGCTGCATTTCTATCGGGCACTCGACTCCCCGGAAGTGGTGGCACCGCACGCGCTGTTATCGACTCTGCGCCTTTGGAAACGGTGTGTCTGCGAATCCAACGACGGGCGCGGTGACTCACGCCTGTAATCCCAGCACTTTGGGAGGCTGAGGAGGGTGGATCACCAGCTTAGGAGATAGAGACCATCCTGGCTAACATGGTGAAAACCCGTCTCTACTAAAAATACAAAAAAATTAGCCGGGCATGGTAGCGGGCGCCTGTAGTCCCAGCTACTCGGGAGGCTGAGGCAGGAGAATGGCGTGAACCCCGGAGGCGCAGCTTGCAGTGAGCCGAGATCGTGCCACTACGCTCCAGCCTGGGCGACAGAGCAAGACTCCGTCTCAAAAAAAAATTGACGAAGGACCAAACCCCTAAAGGGGTGACATTCCAGCTTGACTCGTATCCCAGAGCAGCCCTGCTGTCCCCTTGCTTGAAAGCGCAGTTGACGCCAGAAACCGGGGGAGAGCAGCTACTAATGCACAGGGGAGGAGGGAGGTGCGAGGAGCGGGTTGCTCTCAGAGAGACAGAGTTGAACAACTACCCCTTGCGGTGTAGGAAGTATCTTGCGGCCTTCTAGGCCAATTAGTTGGCTTCGAACAGTCCAGTGGCTCCTCTAACTGGATACAGCCCTCCTGTCACGTTGCTTTCGTGGGGCCCTTGTTATGGTAATTACGATAATACACGTTTCTCCAGCCCACACGTCTAAGAACTGTTGCGAGAACCCATACTTTTTGAAATGCACACAGGCCAAAATGACTCACTAACTGAGGAGTTCACCAGTCTGAATTGCCCTTTCTCCCTAGCTCCATCCCACTCCGGACTCAATTAAGGGCCTGCCGTTGGAAGTCCCATCTAGAATCTTAAGGTACAGGCAGAGTACTTCTTCACACTGAATGAGCACATGCATTGAAAGTATATAGCTGGCCGGGCGCGGTGGCTCAGGACTGTAATCCCAGCACTTTGGGAGGCAGAGGCGGGCGGATCACCTGAGGTCAGGAGTTTGAGACCAGCCTGGCCAACATGAAGAAATCCCGTCTCTACTAAAAATACAAAAATTAGCCGGGCGTGGTGGCACGCGCCTGTAATCCCAGCTACTCGGGAGGCTGAGGCAATAGAGTCTCTTGAACCGGGGAGGCGGAAGTTGCAGTGAGCCCAGATCCCGCCACTGCACTCCAGCCTAGGCGACAGAGCGAGACTTTGCCTCAAAAACAAAACAAAACAAAAGTACATAGCCGTGCTTTTCTTCATTTCATCTGATTCTCACGCCAGCTCTAAGGAAACAGCTTCACTGAAGTGAGGAAACTCTTCTTCAGTCACTGACTTACAAAATGGTAGTGCAGGGATTTTCCCAGACCACCAAGAAGGCATCCAAGAAGTAAGCAAAAAAGATTACGACGTCGTTCCTATACCGTGGCAGTGGCTCACGCCTATTATCCCAGCACTTTGAGCGGAGGAGACAGGAAGGTCGCTTGACCCCAGGACTTCAGGACTAGCCTGGCAATATAAGGAGACGTCATCTCTACAAATAATTTTTTAAAATAACCGGGCGTGGTGGCAGTGCACTTGTGGTCCCAGCTACTAAGGAGGCTATGGTGGGAGGATCACTTGAACTTGGGCTGTTGAGGCTGCAGTGAGCCGTGATCAGGCTACTGCACTCCAGCCTGAGCGACAGAGTGAAACCCTGTCCGTATATATATGTACATATATATATGTAAAATGAATGCAGCAATATACCCCCCAAAATTATATTAAGACCAACAGAGGTTTACTCTCGGTATCCAAGAGTGATTTAGATGTGAAAATCAATCGGCCTATTCACTGCATTAATGAAAAAAGGAACATCACATGATCATTTCAATAGATACCGAAAAAGCATTTGACTCTTGAAAGTTATCCTCAGAAAGAATACATATGACGTCTGCACTTATTCCATAGATCAAAACAAGTCACCTTGCCAAGCCTAATATCAATGGGGCAGAAAACTGTCATCTACTTCCGGAGAGGAACACCAACCTTGTGGAATATTATGACAGTTTATACAGCACAGCATCTTATGCTCCAAGTGGGACAAAAATCCCACAACCAGTCATGATTTTTAAAAAGAACCCTTAGCAAATTGGGAATAGAAAGAAATATCCGACATCCAGATCCTCACCACGAACACTTCCACCACCTCCTGTTCCCTCTCCCTCCAAAGCGGCGCCGTAGCCACCGGCCCCCTCCTCCCCAGTGCCCCAGGCGCGGAGCAGACCGCCGGCAACCTCCTCTACACCACGCCGCAGGGACCCTCCAGCAGAGCCGGGCTGCTGCAGCCACCAGCGCTGGGACGAGGCGGCAGTGGCCCTCTGGCAAAGTGAAGTCTGGAGCTAGGAGAAAGCGGTCATCAGTACCTCTCGGATGGTTCAAAAACCCCCAAGGGCAAAGGAAGAGCTGCACTAAGAAGTCCAGATACTCCAAAAACTCCAAAATCTACCTCAGAAAAAACACGGTACGATAGTCTCTTGATCTGCTCACCAAGAAGTTCATTCAGCTCCTGAACCAGTCACCCGATGGGGTCTTGGTTTTGAACAAGGCAGCGGAAGTGCTAAAAGTGCAAAATAGAAGGATTTATGATATCACCAAAGCTCTGAAAGGCATCCATCTCATTAAGAAGAAGTCTAAAAATAACGTCCAGTGGATGGGTTGCAGTCTGTCTGCGGATGGGGGCATGCTGACCCAGTGTCAAGGCCTGTCAAAAGAAATGACCAAGCTCACTCAGGAAGAGAAGAAATTAGATGAACTGATCCCAAGCTGCACGCTGGACCTCAAACTATTAACCGAGGATTCAGATCGTCAAAGGTTAGCTTACGTTACATATCAACATATTCGAAAAATTAGTGGCCTTAAAGACCAAACTGTTATAGTTGTGAAAGCCCCTCCAGAAATAAGACTTGAGTGCCTGACTCAATAAGAGAGCCTACAAATACATTTGGCAGGTACCCAAGGGCACATTGAGGTTTACTTATGTCCAGAAGAGACTGAAACACAGTCCAATGACAACAAACAACCAAGACCCCAATGGGAATATCCTTAAACCCACCTCGTTGGTTTCAACCAACTCAGGACATAGCGATTGCTCAATTTCTATGGGAAACCTTTCTCCTCCGGCCTCCCCAGCCAACCTCTTACAGCAGACTGCGGACCAAATTCCTTCTAATCCTCTAGTATGACCATTTGTGAACTTACTGCCTCCCCTGCTGCAAGATGACCATTTGTGAACTTACTGCCTCCCCTGCTGCTCCTCCTGAGCCTCGGGGAGGAGGAAGGCATCAGCGATCTCTTTGATGCCTATGATTTGGAAAAGCTCCCACTGGTGGAAGACTTCAAGTGTAGTTGATTATGCTTCATGTGAACTCTCCTTAAAAACCAATTTTTTTAAATCATGGAACCAGAACATATGTCATGCAATGTTGTCCCTTCCTACTTTCTTCCTCCAGGAGAGTATCATGAAGTAAACTACAAACTTCAGAAGAAAGCTGACATTTTCATGAATTTTTTAAAAATTAATAAACAAATTGTCTAAACGCACAGTTGCAGGCTCCCTTGGGAAAGCCCTGCTTTGCTACAGGCTCCAAGATCTCCTGGCTAGGTCAGCAAGTGAGAAAATGTACAATCAGTTGTCTCTCACCCCGACTTTTCCTTCCTCCTTCCTCCCCGGATTGGCTTGCTGTGCCTGAGGGATGGGCTGCAGAATGGGGTCTGGCCACCTGGCCTGCTGGGAAACAGCAATCTTCCTTAATAGCATTTCAAGCCATGCCTTCTCCACAGAATGCATGTCTTTGAGGTCTGCTGATATGGAATGGAACTGCAGCAAATGCAAACTTGAAGTCATGCAAAAGTATGAAATGAATTTCTTCAGCTCTTCTTAGGAATATTCAAATTACTGTCATAATTCAGTTTAAGCTATGAACTGTGTGTCCCAGTAGGAGGTCAAGAAGATCTCCACAGGCTTCTGGATGAAGAACCTGTTTTCAAATATACTTGTTGCAGATACAGAAGACTAGTAGAGTTCTGCCACTCTAAGCTGTTGTGGATTTTCCTGTCTCCATGAACCACTCCCATTCCCCTGTCCCCAATGTGTTTGTGAGTTTCTAGTTGATTTGTAGCAAATGCCTACTTAGTTCTTTGTGGATTGTTTTGAACTTTTTATTTTTTTAGCTGCCATTTAAGCATTCCTGTGGCACCCATCACCATTTCAATTTAATTGTTTACTTTGAAGCGATTTTTGCAAATTCACATTACTTCAGCAGAGGGAGAGAACCTCTACTGATCAGAGCATCTAAACCTGTGTGATCTAAGGTTTATCAGCTTCTGCAAGGAGCTTTGTCCCACCATGCTTCCATTCCCAGAAGGAGGAGCTTGGAGCGAGTCAGTCCTGGGGCTTGCTGACATGGGTGACCCATTGGAAAGGAGAACCAGGTTGGGTGACTTAGCCCCAAGGAGCAGCAGGCATGGGTCCCTCCATCCTTGGGCTTCCTGGGCCCCTGTGATGGGGGAAAGGGCTCTCTTATACCACACTCAAGGAGACCACTTCTCAGGATGGAGTCAGATGGAGAGACCTCTCGGGAGAAAGACATCCCCGTTGTGTGAGTGGCATTTCCTTAAGCTGGCAGGAACGGGGAGCTCCCACTGTGTTGGGGGCTGGAATAGTTCTGGCCAGACCCCGTTCCCCTTCCTCTATGAAGGAATAAGTTGGACCAAGGGAAGTTGGGGGCGTAGAAAATGAAGCAAAACAATTCCAGGGTGTCTCCCGCTTTACTCTTCAGGAATGGTGTCCCAAGTTGGAGGTTTTGTGTCAGCTGCAAATCCTACCAGTTATGTCCAAGAATGGCTTTCCCTCGGGCAGGTGGCAGTGGTCATCTCCCACTGGGAATATGGCGTAGTATCTCCGGTCCATTCCTTGGATGCTAAGGACTGTGGGAATGAGGGGGTCAGATAAAGAACAAACCTCAAAACAAACAATTAAATTGAAATGTTATGTGCCTGACCCAATGGTAGGCACATAGTAGGCACTCAACTCATATGTTTAATTGAATTGAAAATATCCCTTAGGGGAAAAAAAAAACACACACACACACAAGCAAAAAACCACAAGAGCCTCAGCCAGTTTACTCCAGGTAGATTTCCACAATATGCAAAGTGGTGGTGGGGTCAAGACAGGTGACACCAGCACTTTAAATTCTTTGTGTGGGTATGCGTGGGTGTATGTTTGGGAAGAAAAACGAAGGTGCAGACTATCTTCCTTTTTTCTTCTTCAACCTCCATCCCTGGCTTCCTCCCCTCACACACACTGGACTTGGTACAAAATGTCAGTGTGGTCCTAGAGGAAGCATTGGGGTGGGGGAGGGAGAGGGAGCTTTGTGTAAAGTGCCTACTGGAAATGCACTGTGGGGTTTTTCCTGTATGGGAAACCATTTATGCCAAGCTTTCCCCTATTTCCCAAATTTATATCATCTGGTTAGCTGCCTCTGCTTCCAGCTTTGTATAATTCTCTTTGCCAGCTGCACAAAGCTGATTTTCTCCAAAGTCTAAAGACTGAGCTCACCTGGCTAGATTGTTGTGTGTTTTGTTGAAATTGTTCATAATGTAATGCCGTATTTATTGTTTTAAAAATGAAAGGAATACTAATAAGTCTTAAAAGTTCCTTCATGCCTAAGATTTTTTCCAGTTACTGGGCTTAACTGGTGTACATTAATTAGATGTCCATACTGTATTTTGTTTGCATCAAGTAATTTTCTTTTTGACTTAGTATCTGGCACACAAAGTGGGTTAGTACTACAGTATTTGCATTACTTTAAGTACAAAGTTAGGTATGTGCTTATATGTACAGAGTTGTGCATAGCAATCATTTTATGTAAGTTGACATGTAGTCTACTCACATTTTCATTTTTAGCAGTTTTGTACAAAAATAGCAATTAATTTGTAAACACTACCAGAATACTTTCTAGATGGCATGTAATTTTTTAAGAGTGTTATTTTGTTTTTGTTTTTGTTCTTAGTTGTGGTTCTTCTTTTCATTTTTGTTGTACGTGTAGATCTGTAAATAAAATTGCAGTATTCAAAGCTTAAGCTTTCGGGAAAAAGAAAATAAGAATTCAGTGTGTGCATGACAACTCGTGTGTATGAGAAGGAGGGATTTGAAGGAAGATGACTTGCAGAGTAAGTCGGGTAGCAGTTGTCAGAGTGTGGGAATTTATTTTCCTACGGGGTACGTGATTTTGTAAAAAGGAAGTATTTCTCCCAAAATTGGGAGTAGGCAAATTACTAATCGGTTTAGCTTTGTGTTGTATGCTAGTTTAAAAAAGAAAATATGTAATATAATGTAAAAAAAAAACAACAAAAAAGCTTTTATGATGGATTTTGTAAACAGATTTGTTACAGGGTGACCTGTTCTCTAGCTGTGATCTTACCACTTCAAATGGGTGTAATTTGAATAACTTTTGTATGGTAAAGGATCAATAAAATGATTTTTTAAGAAAAAAAGAAATATCCTTAATCTGTTAAAGATTATTTATAAAATAAAAACTTTTAAAAAATCACACTCAGTGAGGAAATATTAAAAACTGTCCCATGAGTTTTAGGAATGAGGCAAGGATACTCTTTACTTTCACTCCCATTGCAGCTTGTGCTGGAGGCCTTGGGCACTGCACTAAGGCACACAGAGCTGAAGAACCCTGAAAAACAATAAATCTCTAATACGACAGCAATGTGCCAGGGCACACAAATAGACCAGCAGACCAATGGGACAGCAGAGAGGATCCAGAAGCAGGCAATATATAGTCAGCTGATTTAGAATGCAGGAAGGGAGCAAGCTGGAGCAGGGGAGGGAGGGGCTTCTGTGGTGGGAGGACTGGTTCAGGGCCAGGACTGGGGTGAGGAGAGTGACGCAGGGCCAGGCAAAGGCAGAGTTGGATCCTGTCTTTATTTAACATTTTTATGTTTTATTTATCACCGATTTTTGCGTTAATTTTATTAATTTATTTATTTTATTTATTTATTTATTTATTTATTTATTTATTGAGACAGGGTCTCCCTTTGTCACCCAGGCTGGAGTGCAGTGGCTGGATCTCTGCTCAAGGCAACCTCCACCACCCAGGCTCAGATGATCCTGAGCCACTGGAGTAGCTGGAACTACAGGGGCGCCCCACCACACTGGCTCATTTTTGTTTGTTTTCTGTAGAGAGGGGGTTTTGCTATGTTGCCCAGGTTGGTCTCAAACTCCTAGGCTCATGCAATCTGCCCGCCTTGGCCTCCCAAAGTGATGGGATTATAGGCATGAGCCACCACGCCTGGCCGCATTAATTTCGATTTTTTAAATATTGTTTATCTTGTTCACTGAGAGGTGATGTTTGTTTGGTGTCCCCTTCAATTTTGGACTAGCAAGTGCTTCACTCTCCTTAAACAGCCCTCCCCATAGGTTCATTGTCTTAAGTGCCGTGATGGTTTCAAGGGTTTCTAGGTAGGTCAATTTCCTTCATATTATACACTTTAAATACGTACAGTTTCATGTATGTCGATTATAGCTCAGTATAGCTATTTTTACAGTAACATATAAAGCAATAGAGTGAAGGCTCTGTGCACTGGCGGCAGCCGTGGTCTCCGGCCCAGTTTGTGGCATCTCCAGGACACAGGCCAAAACAATCCCCCAGGGCAACGGCCTTGGACCTGAGACTCCTGCTGCAGGTGTCCCTGCTCCCCGCGCCTTCTTTGGCTCTCCCCGGGGTGGGTTGCGGCGCTCAGAAGCTTCGGCCCGCGCCCACCTCCCTACCCCACCCCACCCCCACCAGTCCGATTCTGCTCGCGAGCCGCAGAGATTGGTGCCCACTCGACCCTTTTCGGGGCAGGCAAGGATTAGACCGGGATCTGACACCAACTGGCGCTGTCCTTCGCGCCCACTAACAACTGGTCAGGGTGAGGACCCCCAGACCCACTGGGATGAGGGCAGAATCTGAAGCGTGCAGGGTGAGCGACAGAAGCTGGAGAAAGCCGATTTGAAACACACACACACACACACACACACACACACACACACACACACACACAACAAAACGCCAAGACGTGCCAGTGTCTACAGCGCCTTCGGGGGCATTTAAATTCCCCACCAGGAAACCGAGACCGATGCTGAGGTCTCGCCTATTCCTGGGTGCTCAGTGAGGTCGTCCCCACCCCCGGAACGGCTGTCACAGCAAGCAGGAGAGCAGCCCTGGGAACTAAGGACGTGACCAGTTACCAGGGAAACATCCTGGAGACACCACCTGTGGTCATCCCTGGGGAATGAGGTTCAGAACTATTCCTCAGTCCAGGCACGGTGGCTCACGCCTGTAATCCCGACACTTTGGGAGGCCGAAATGGGCGAATCTTATGAGCCCAGGAAATCAAGGCTACATCAGCCGTGATCGCGCCACTGCACTCCAACTTTGGCGACAAGAGTGAGACCCACTCAAAAAAAAATAGATTTCTTAAATGTTAATTATGAAATATTTCAGACGTACAAAAAAGTGTACCACCACCAGCGCATCCACTACCACCTTAGAGAATGAAGCCCCGCGTTTCCTCCTGGACAAGTTTCCCTCCCTCCCTACCCTTCCTTCTTCCGACTTCCCCCCTCCCCACCGTCCCTCCGGCCCCTCCTTTCCCTTCCCTCCCCTCCCCTCATGACCTCGACTCCCTTCCCTTCTCCCTGGAAGGAGCGGGGCGGAAGATCGAGCCCCAGCGCTGCCCCACAACCAGGCTGGATTTAAAGCCTGTGCAGTAGGCGTCTGTCTTCGCGGTGGCAGCATTTTCCTGTCCTCCCCAGGACTGGGAGAGTGCAGCGCTCCTCTTTCCCTTTGCAGGTGTATGAAAGCGAGATCGCCTTCTCAGCCTTCTCTTTGCGCCTCCCCAGACCCTCAGCTCTCCAGTGATTCTTATGGCTTTGTGCAGGGAGCGGGTCACCCATTCAGCAAAAAGTCACCAAGGGCCCAAAACGTTTTGCCAGAGAAATAGGATGGCTGAAAATGTTACCCTAATGGTACAAATGGAATAACTCTGTAGGCGCACATAATTACCTGTGTTTTCCCAGGGCATCAAAAGCCACTGTAGGCTGGGCACGGTGGCTCACGCCTGTAATCCCAACAATTTGGGAGGCCAAAGCGGGAGGATTGCTTGAGCCTAGGCAGCCTGGGCAACAAAGCTAGACTCCTGTCTCTACAAAAAACAAAACTAGACCGAGCGCAGTGGCTCACGCCTGTAATCTCAGCACTTTGGGAGGCCGAAGCGGGCGGATCACCTTAGGTCAGGAGTTCCAGACCAGCCTGGCCAACATAGCGAAACCTAGTCTGTACCAAAAATACAAACATTAGCTGGGCGTGGTGGCACACACCTATAATCCCAGCTACTGGGGAGGCTGAGGCAGGAGAATCGCTTGAACCCGGGAGGCGGAGGTTGCAGTGAGCCGAGATCGTATCACTGCACTCCAGCCTGGGCGACAAGAGCAAAACTCCATCTAAAAAATAATAATAAATAAAATAAATATAAAAATAAAAAATAATTTTTTAAAAAAGCAAAAAACAAAACAATGAGCCACCTAGGCTTAGTAGCACTGTCTGTAGTCCTAGCTACTCAGGAGGCTGGGCAGGGAAGACTGCATGCTAATATTCATTTCCATTATAACCCAATTTAGTGGAAGGCCACGTTTACATTCTCATACTGTTCTATTTAGTGCAATGAATACACTCATCTGACTTGGTAATAAAATGTAGTTATTTTAGAAGTTCCAAAGCAATCCGACAGTCTTGAAAACGCCTTCTTTGCATTTTCAAAGAAAATGTTTATTTCACACCAGGGAGAATCAGGGAGAAGATTCAAAAGCATTGTGTAAACCTTGAATTCATGAAACAATTTTAACAAAGGGTACAACTTCAGAAGCATTAAATTTGATTGTCTTGTATTTTTGTTACTAAATAATACTAAAACCCTCTCAATCTTCGTGAAAAGTCTTAGTAAGGAAAGGATTCTTGGGCCAGGCGAAGTGGCTCATGCCTGTAATCCCAGCACTTTGGGAGGCCAAGGTGGAAAGATCGCTTGAGCCAGGAGTTTGAGACCAGCCTGTACAACATAGCGAGACCCTGGCTCTAAAAAATAATAATAATTAAAATAAAGAGTCACAGAGCGGCCGCCCAGAGCGGCGGCGAGGGCGGCGGGGCGCGGGGCTCCAGGACACAGCTGAGCCGGCGGTCAGAGCGAGACCTGCAGCAGAGACGACGGAGGCGGAAGCATCTCGATCCGGGAGGCGGCGGCGTGGGGAGCCGGGGCCGCCTGGGATGTTCAGTCATGAAATGAGTGCGTACCGAGGAGATCCAGATGGCAGTGTCCTGCTACCTCAAACGCTGGCAGTACGTGGACTCAGACGGTCCCCTGAAGCAAGGACTGCGGCTGCCACAGACTGCTGAAGAGTTGGCGGCCAATCTCACGGTACACAGAGAATCTCATTGTGCCGACATAGTGTCTGCAGTCCCTTGCCAGGCAGAGCCCCAGCAATATGAAGTACAGTTTGGACGACTGCGGAATTTTCTCATCGATTCTGATTCCCCGCATAGCCACGAAGTGATGCCTCTCCTTTATCCTCTCTTTGTCTGCCTCCATCTCAGCCTGGTCCAGAACAGTCCAAAAAGTACAGTGGAAAGTTTTTACAGCCGCTTCCATGGAATGTTTCTGCAGAAAGCTAGCCAGAAGGGCGTCATTGAGCAGCTACAGACCACTCAAACCATCCAGGACATCCTATCTAACTTCAAGCTTCGAGCATTCCTAGATAACAATTACGTGGTCCATCTCCAAGAAGACAGCTACAACTACCTTATCCACTACCTCCAAAGTGACAGCTATACTGCCCTGTGCAAAATGTTTATCTTACTTATTCATCTTGATGTGCAGCCTGCCAAGACAACAGACTAACAGCTGTATGCAAGTGGCAGCTCCTCCCGCAGTGAGAACAATTACTTGGAGGCCCCTGATATGCCCAGCCCTATTCTGCAGAACGATGCTGCCCTGGAGGTCTTACAGGAGCGCATTAAGCAAGTCAAGGATGGGTGTCCCTCCCTCACTACCGTCTGCTTCTATAACACCTAGCAGCTGTTGAACACTGCAGAAATCTCCCCTGATAGCAAGCTGCTTGCTGCTGGGTTTGACAACTCCTGTATAAAACTTTGGAGCTTACAATCCAGGAAGTTAAAATCAGAGTCCTGTCAAGTAGACATGTCCCGCATCCATTTGGCTTGTGATATTCTGGAGGAGGATGTGTGAATACCGTTTTTTCTTCCCTGCACCTGCCTTCCTAATTTGCTTAGAATGTCCTTACCAAACACGACATATCTTAGAATGGACTTCCTAATTTTCCTCATCATATAGCTAAAGCCAGACTAATGCCATGTAACCTGTAGCCATTGAATTCCTGCACATGCCTAACCTAAGGTGTAAAAACAATTTTTAGCAACGTAACTTAACATTATTAATGAATGGTAGTATTTATACTATCTGAAATGTGGATAACAACCCTAAGCCTAATTAAAGACCTTTAGCTAATAATGACTTTAGCTGAGATTTGCAGTAAATATGCACTTATGTGTGCGTACATTTGCTCAGGTATAAATAATTAGAAGTAAGATTACTGAGTCAAAGGGCCTGCATTGTAAACTGTAATGAATATTGCTTTTCCCACAGAAGGTTGTGCCATTTCACAGTCTCAGCAGCAGTAGTGAGAACACTGCTGTCCCTGCACCCTCACCACACTGGATGGTATTGCCTTTCTGAGGCCAGTCCGTATCCTGTGGATCCATGTACCCCAGGGTGTTCCCAGACCCCACTTTGAGAAGTAACACAGGAAGTAGAGTTGCTAGCTCTCCCCTGTCAGTCAGTGTTCAACCTTTTTTGGTTTGTAACCATTTAGTCATTGAAAAGGGCAGGCGCAGCTTGGGTTTCAGGTCACTGAAAATCACTACCTTAGAAAAAAATGTAGGCCAAGGAAGATAGAAATTAAACTTCACAGAGTTAACTTTCCTTCAGAGTGTTCCTGCGAAAGCTGTGGGCCAAAATATTTTTGTCTTATCACCACTGAAATTCAGGTAGCTCTGCCTCATGTTACTTTGGATGGAAAATTCTTTATACGATGTTAAAAACTTAAGGATCAAAAATATCACGCTAACTAAGTTACAGTTAATGATAAGGATATCAAGAATATTCGGTGTGCTAAATTAAGCCATTGTTTTCCTGTTTCTGTTTTCTGAGTCTGCGTCCAGTTAGTATGGCCTTTGAATTTTTGATTACTGCAACCGAGACAGTATAATTCAAGGATTTCCTTATGATGAGTAAAGAGTCTGATTCCTACGTAGAAGCTTTAATTTCTAGTATTTTTTTTAAACTAAGGGAGGAGACCACCCCTCATATTGTCTTATGCCAATTTCTGCCTCTAAAGAAAGAAGAAGTAAAAACTAAAAGGCAGAAATGAAATCCACAGGCAGATAGCCTGGCGCCATGCCTCAGGCCTGGTTAAAGATCCACCCCTGACCTGGCCAGGCGCAGTGGCTCACGCCTGTAATCCCAACACTTTGGGAAGCCAAGGCGGGTGGATCATGAGGTCAGGAGATCTAGACCATCCTGGTTAACATGGTGAAACCCCGTCTGTACTAAAAACACAAAACATTAGCTGGGCATAGTGGCAAGCGCTTGTAGTCTCAGATACTCAGGAGACTGAGGCAGGAGAATGGCATGAACCCAGGAGGCAGAGCTTGCAGTGAGCCAAGATTGTGCCTCTGCACTCCAGCCTGGGTGACAGAGCGAGACTCTGTCTCAAAAAAAAAAAAAAGATCGACCCCTGACCTAACTGGTTATTTTATCTATAGATTCCAGACATTGCATAGACAAGCACTGTGAAAATCCCCTGTGCTGTTGTGCTCCATTCTGATTACCGGTGTATGCAGCTCCCAGTCATATACCCCACTGCTTGCTCAATCAATCACGACCCTTTCACGCAGACTCCCTTGGAGTTGTAAGCCCTTAAAAGGGACAGGAATTGCTTACTCGGGGAGCTCGGTTTTTGGAGACGTGAGTCTGCCAATGCTCCTAGCTGAATAAAGCCCTTCCTTCTACAACTCAGTGTCTGAGGGGTTTTGTCTGTGTCTTGTCCTACTACATTGCTTGGTATTCTGACCAGAAAGCGAGGTGATTAACAGACATGGTCTAGGCAGCCCCTTAGGCAGCTTAGGCCTGCTCTGTGGAGCATCCCTGCAGGGGACTGCAGCCAGCTTGAGCAACATGGATCCTGAGAGCACTCCTGGGTAGGCATTTTCCCTGGTGGAATGCCTTGTTAGAGCAGAGCATGGCAGACCCCAATGGAGGATCAATATGGTGGCTGAACACCAGGAGGAACTGGCACTTGGAGTCCGGACATCTGAAACTTGGTAAGACTGGTCTTTAGACCTTGCCCACTCCATTTTAGTGGAAGCATGGCCTGATCACCCACAGCGTGCCTGTACCGGCACTTTGGTTTTTGTTTTTGACTTGACTTGGATTGCTTGATACTTCGGTTTTGGTTTTGACCTGGCTTGGATTTCTTGATACTCTGATTTTGGTTTTGATTCTGGTTTGGTGTAAACTGTAAAAGTGCGTGTGTGCCCTTTTTATCCGTTCTTTGTTTTGTGGTGTGCATGAGGTGTGAGTGTGGTGTTTTGTCTCAAGGAAGCATGGGTCAGGCACAAAGTAAGCCCACCACACTAGGAAATATGTGGAAAAATTTCAAGAAAAGATTTAAGGGAGACTATGGAGTACTATGACACCAGGAAAACTTAAAACTTTGTGTAAGGTAGACTGGCCAGCATTAGAGGTGGCCATCAGAAGGAAGCCTGGACAGGTCCCTTGTTTCAAAGGTATGGCACAAGGTAACTTGTAAGCCAGGGCACCCAGACCAGTTCCCATACATAGACACTTGGTTACAGCTGGTTTTAGACCACCCCCCACAGTGGTTGAGAGAACAGCAGCATAAGCGGCTGGCAGAGGCAAGGAAAGACCAGCAGAGAGAGAGAAAGGAAGAGACAGAGAGACAAAGAGGGAGTCAAGAAGAGAGAGAGAGAAAGAGAAGCAGAGAGAGAGGAAGAGACAGAGGCAAAAGGAAAGTCAAAGAGAGAGAGAGAGACAGAAAGTCAAAGAGAGAGACAGAGAAATATACAAGTAGTTAAGAAAAAAAAAGTGTACACTATTCCTTTAAAAGCCAAGGTAAATTTAAAACCTATAATTGATAATTAAAGGTATTCTCCATAAGCCTATAACACTCCAATACCACTTTGTTGTCAGTGTAAACAAGGGGGTATCCCAAAAGCACTGAGGCCTTCCTATCAAAAATCCTTAGCCCTGTAACCTATGGATGGCCCAAATGCATTCAATCTGTAGTGGCAACTGCTTTGCTAACAGAAGAAAGTAAAAAATAACTTTTAGAGGAAACCTCATTGTGAGCACACCTCACCAGTTCAGAAGTATCCTAAGGAAAAAAAAAAAAAAAAAAAAAAAAAAACGATGATTTAACATTAACCACTGAAAATTCCCTTAACCCAGCAGGTTTCCCAACAGGGGATCTAAATCTTAATTACCATACAAAGGTCCGACCAGACCTAGGAGGAACTCCCTTCAGGACAGGATGATAGATGGTTCCTCCCGGGCAATTGAAGGAAAAAAAAAAAAGCCATCTATACCAATTCTAAGTTAGTTTGGACTAAACAAGGTCTTATTAATAGCAAAGGATAATTGAAATCCCAAACTTACAAGGTTTTCAACAAAAGTAAAGTTTACTAAAAGTTAACAGTGTAACATGTATTATAGTAACCTGTAATCTTGTGGCCTTAGACAGTCTAGTCCACAGACATAAAGGAAGTTTGCTTTGGAAAAGAACGGTTATCTTCAGGAAAAAAAGGGGGGCAGAATTTATGCAAAAATAATGTTATATGGTAAATTCTTGTCCTGAAATAAATTAACCGGTTGTTTAAAGAAAGAAATGTTTGTAATAAGTCAGACAGCTGAGGCATGTTGAAGAATTGTCTGTGAAAGTCGTGAAAGAGAAAAAAAGTTATAAAAAAAAGTGTGTTAGAAAAAGAATTTATGCAAGAAATGTTGTATAATTTAAAAGTAATTAGGCCTCCTGAATGTAAAACTATTGAAGAGACAGTTTTGTGCAAGGTGTATAAGGAAAGTAAAGTATACCTTTGGTAAAGGGATTATAAGGAGACATAAGAATGTGGACTTTTTACCTACATTAAAGGGTTAAAAAAATGTTTTAAAGGTTTAAGCAAGTTTTCAAATGTTAGTTGTGTGTAAATTCTGTGTGTAAATATATTAGCTAAAGTTAAAGGGGTATCATCCAGTTTTTCTGAGAACTGGACATTAAAGTAAAAACACAACAGGTTTCTCTTAAAGCACTAACCTGCTCTTTAACAAAGATTATAAAAGGTTAAAAAGAGTCTATAAAAATCTTACCTAATGGTCCGACATTAAAAATTGAATAAATATGCCTACAAAGTTTTATTAAAACTAACTTTAACATTAATAGCATACTAATATAAAGGTGAAATTTAGCTTATCTGGTATAAAAATCATACAAGAAGAATTGTCAAATATAAAATAGTGTTTGGCTTCTTTGGTCTAAAAACTAATAAAAAATAGGTACTAAAGGAAATTTCGTAGTAGAAAGGCACCAAGGACTATAAAGTCCACTGCCGATGTCCCCACATTTAAAACAAAAGGTCAATTTCTTTAAAAAATAATTACATACTTGCTTTATCTTCCACTTTCCTTTCCCTCAAAACTAAAAGTCTTTTAGCACATGTACCACCCCTAGAATTTCTGGTAAACCCGCACCAGCCTGAAGATCATGTTCTCATCAAAGGGTGGAAAGAAAAAAACTCGAGCCAGCCTGAGAAGGACCCTACCTTGTGCTGCTATCCACCGAGACTGCTGTTCATACAGCAGAAAAGGAATGGACTCATCACACCCAAGCCAAGAAAGCACCACCCCCTCCAGAGTTGTGGGCCACAGTCCCAGGAGAAAACCCTACAAAACTAAAGCTAAGAAAAGTTTAACTCCTTCTTCTATTCTATCGCTCTTTCTTCTTTCTTCACTCTATTTCTGACCATCTAGTTATTAACATAACCAAGTCAATTTTGCCTCAAACTATTGCATTTAATGCTTGCCTTGTTATACCCTGTGGGGACTTGCCAAGTCAAAGACAGCTCTCTACTTCAGAAAAGTACCTCTGTCCCTCCTGACTCTCCTCAGACTGGGCATTAATAAATTGGGACCATTTAATCCAGGGAGATTTTGATTAAAAACCCCAGTGTCAATCAGGAGTCTTGCCCCCCAGTAGAGAGTTTTTATGCTGTAGTTGGTCCAATGTTCTGTGGACCACTAAAGAGCAAGGATGGACTGCCCCAACCGGTTTTTGTAATTTCCTAAAATCATACATTCATTTTACTAGAGGATCATAGACGTTAAAGACTGAAAACAAACTTTGGCAATTAAGCAGGATGCCAAGATGCAAATGCCTGGTTGAAATGGATCAAATATTCTGTCCACACATAAAACAAAAGCAATTGTTATGCTTGTGCACATGGCAGTCCAGAGGCCCAGATTGTCCCCTTTCCACTGGGGTGGTCCTCCAGTCGACCAGGCATGGGCTGCATGGTAGCTCTTTTCCAGGATTCTACAGCCTGGAGTAATCAGTCATGCCAAGCTCCCTCTGCTATATCCCAAAGTCCAGCACCCTGTGGGTCAGCCCCCAGGGGACATCCAGCTTCCATCTCCCAACACTAAGTTCACTTCTTGTCTCTCACGACAGGGAGGAAACTTAGCCTTCTTTGGAGACCTGAAGGGATGCAATGAGCTTAAGAATTTTCAAGAGCTTATCAATCAGTCAGCCCTTGTTCATCCCTGAGCAGATGTGTGGTGGTATTGTGGTGGACCTTTACTAGGCACTGTGCCCAATAACTGGAGTGGTACTTGTACTTTAGTCCAGTTGGCTATCCCTTTCACCCTGGCATTTCATCAACCAGAGGGAGGAAAAATAAGATATCATAAAGCAAGAGAAGCCCCTTATGGGTCTTTCAACTCTCACGTCTATTTAGATGCAATTGAAGTCCCATGAGGAATACCAGATCAATTTAAAGCCCAAAATCAAATAGCTGCAGGATTTGAGTCAATATTTCGGTGGGTGACAGTTAATAAAAATGTAGATTGGATAAACTACATCTGTTAAAACCAACAGCAACAAGCTTTTCATGAGTTAAAAGAAAAACTCATGTCGGCCCCAGCCCTGGGGCTACATGACCTGACAAAATCTTTAACACTATATGTGTCAGAGAGAAAAAAAAGTGGCAGATGGAGTTTTGACCCAGACTGTGGGGCCCTGGCTGAGGCCTGCCTACCTCGTCAAAGATCTAGATGGAGTTTCTAAGAGTTGGCCCCTGTGCTTAAGAGCCTTGGCAGCAACAGCTCTGCTAGCACAAGAGGTGGATAAGCTAACTCTTGGGCAAAACCTAAACTTAAAGGCCCCCCACGCTATGGTGACTTTCATGAATACATCATTGGCTAACAAATGCTAGATTAACCAAGTACCAAAGCTTGCTATGTGAAAATCCCCGCATAACCATTGAGTTTTGCAACACCCTAAACCCTGCCACCTTGCTCCCAGTATCAGAAAGCCCAGTTGAACATAACTGTGTAGAGGTATTGGACTCCGTTTATTCTAGTGGGACCAATCTCCAAGACCACCCTTGAACAGTAGACTGTGAGCGGTACATGAATGGGAGCAGCTTCGCCAACCCCTGTAAAGTGACTCTGAAGAAGACGAGAAGCCCTGCTCCAGTCACACCCAGAAGCTAACTGGTCCACGCATGGCTGAAGCATGAGAAAACTCTTCATGGGACTCATTTTCCTTAAAATTTGGACTTGTATAGTAAGTACTTCAACTGACCTTCCTCAGACTGAGGACTGTTCCCAGTGTATATATCAAGTCACAGAGGTAGGACAAAAAGTTGCTACAGTCTTATTTTATGCTTATTGTAAGTGTACTGGGACTGTAAAAAGAACTTGTTTGTATAATGCTATTCTATACAAGGTATGTAGCCCAGGAAATGACCAACCTGATGTGTGTTATGACCCATCTGAGCCTCCCATGACCACAGTTTTAAAAATAAGATTAAGTACTGAGGACTGGTGGGGGCTCATAAATGATATGAGTAAAGTGTTAGCCAAAACAGAAGGAAAGAAAAGGGATTCCCAAACAAGTCACCTTGAAATTTGATGCCTGTGCTGTCATTAATAGTAATAAGTTAGAAACATGATGTGGTTCTCTTAATTAGGAAAGAGGCTGTATGGCAGAAAATAAGTACATTTGTCATGAATTAGGACTGTGTGGAAATAAATGTAGATACTGGTCTTGTGTCATTTAGGCTATGTGGATAAAAAATAAAAAGAATCCTGTCCACCTTCAGAAAGGGAAAGTGGCCCTTCCTGTACCAGTGGTCAGTGTAACCCCTTAGAACTAGTAATAACCAATCCCCTTGATCCTTGCTGAAAAAATGGGGAGCATGTAACCCTAGAAATTGATGGGGCTGGACTGGATCCTCGAGTAAATATCGTGGTTTGAGGAGAAGTTTATAAATGCTCTCCTGAGCCAGTATTTCAAATCTTCTATGATGAACTAAATGTGCCAGTACCAGAAATTCCAGGAAAAACAAGAAATTTGTTTTTGCAATAAGCCGAGCATGTAGCCCAGTCTCTCAATGTCACTTCATGTTATGTATGTGGAGGAACTGTAATGGGAGATCAATGGCCATGGGAAGCCCGAGAATTAGTACCTACAGACCCAGTTCCTGATAAATTCCCAGCTCAAAAGACTCACCCTGATAACTTCTAGGTCCTAAAAGCCTCAATCATTAGACAATACTGTATAGCAAGAGTGGGGAAGGACTTCACCCTTCCTGTGGGAAGACTCAGCTGCCTTGGGCAAAAACTGTATAATAGTACTACAAAAACAGCCACCTGGTGGAGTTCAAACCACACTAAGAAAAATCCATTTAGTTAATTCCCAAAGTTGCAAACTGTGTGGACCCACCCAGAGTCCCACCAGGACTGGACAGCCCCCACTGGATTATACTGGATATGTGTGCATAGAGCTTACACCAAATTACCCGGCCAGTGGGCAGGTAGTTGTGTTATTGGCACTATTAAACCATCTTTCTTCCTACTGCCCATAAAGACAGGTGAACTCCTGGGCTTCCCTGTCTATGCTTCCTGCAAAAAGAGAAGCATAGCTATAGGAAATTGGAAAGATGATGAATGGCCCCCTGAAAGAATAATATAATATTATGGGCCTGCTACTTGGGCACAAGATGGCTCATAGGGATTCCAGACTCCCATTTACATACTCAACCAAATCATATGGTTACAAGCTATCTTAGAAATAATCACTAATAAGACTGGCAGAGCCTTGACTATTCTGGCCCAGCAAGAAACTCAGATGAGAAATGCTATCTATCAAAATAGATTGGCTCTTGACAACTTGCTAGCAGCTGAAGGAGGGGTCTGTAGGAAATTTAACCTTACTAATTGCTGTCTACACATAGATGATCAGGGCAAGCAGTTGAAGACATAGTTAGAAATATAACAAAATTGGCACATGTGCCCATGCAAGTGTGGCATGGATTTGATCCTGGGGCCATGTTTGAAAAATGGTTCCCAGTGCTAAGAAGATTTAAAACTCTTATAATAGGAGTTATAATAGTAATAGAAACCTGCTTACTGCTCCCTTGTTTGCTACCCATACTTCTTCAAATGATAAAAAGCTTCATCACTACCTTAGTTTACCAAAATGCTTCAGCACAAGTGTACTATATGAATCACTATCGATCTGTCTTACAAGAAGACATGGGTAGTGAGAATGAAAGTGAGAACTCCCACTAATGAGTGAGATTCTCAAAGAGGGGGAATAAGGGAGGAGACCACCCCTCATATTGTCTTATGCCCAATTTCTGCCTCCAAAGAAGAAGAAGTAAAAACTAAAAGGCAGAAATGAAATCCACAGGCAGATAGCCTGGTGCCGTGCCCTGGGCCTGGTTAAAGATCAACCCCTGACCTAATCAGTTACGTTATCTATAGATTCCAGACATTGTATGGAAAAGCACTGTGAAAATCCCTGTCCTGTTCTGTTCCGTTCTGATTACTGGTGCATGCAGCCCCCAGTCATGTACCGCCTGCTTGCTCAATCAATCACGACCCTTTCATGTGGACCCCCTTAGAGCTGTAAGCCCTTAAAAGGGACAGGAATTGCTCACTCGGGGAGCTCAGTTTTTGGAGACGTGAGTCTGCTGATGCTCCCAGTGGAGTAAAGCTCTTCCTTCTACAACTCGGTGTCTGAGTGGTTTTGTCTGCAGCTCATCCTGCTACAAGACGGTGTCTCACTCTGTTGCCCAGGCTGGAGTGCAGTGGCACGATCTCAGCTCACTGCAATGTCCGCCTCCCAGGTTCATGCCATTCTCCTGCCTCAGCCTCCTGAGTAGCTGGGACTACAGACACCCGCCACCATGCTGAGCCAATTATTTTTGTATTTTTAGTAGAGACGGGGTTTCACCGTGTTAGCCAGGATGGTCTCAATCTCCTGACCTCGTGATCTGCCCACCTTGGCCTCCCAAAGTGCTGGGACTACAGGCATGAGCCACTGTGCCCAGCCTAATTTCTAGAATTTTATAGTACTCTCCAAAATATTTTTATTACATTTATATTTGAATTTTCAAACTTCTCTTTTCCTTGGAGACAGTTCTCTTTTCCTTGGAGACAGTTTTTCTGATAAAACTGAGGAATATTGCCTGCATTTTCTTTCAGTTTTCTGTAAATACAAAAAATAATATTTATACTGACCTTATTAGCTTTGATGATACAGAGTTTGGGATTATTCTGGGCATTAAAAATTAATATTAAGGAAGATAGCATTATGACATCTTGTAACAGTAGACCAAAATAAAACATTTTAAGACTCTGGCCACTACTGAAAACTAGCTCTGTGACTTGTCCTATATATATTTCTGGGTATTATCTGAAGACTCAAAAGTGAGGAACAGAGTGAGGAATCCCAGGAACTGAAAGAAATTAAGTATGGCTGGAGTTAGGAGAAGGGCTAAGACAGGAAGTGATGTGATGACAGTGTCTTATATGAGCAATTATGACAGCCAAACTAAGGTAGTGACAGTGGAAAAGGAGGCATGGATGGACTAGAGAAGAGCTCAGTTATTAGATTACTGTAGGGGATGAGGGAGAGGAAGCACCAAGGGTGACGTTTGTGTCTCAGGCTTAAACAGTTGGATATCCATCAAGAAAAGAGCAAAAGATGTCATTGGAATGGTGGTTTTGTTTAAATACTTCTGGCTTTCCACCATTGTTCATATTGAAAGTACTGCAGATGCTCGCCAGCCTCTGCCTTTTTTAAGAATAAACTTTTTTTAAACTAAAGAACTAAAGCTGAGATTCTTCTGTTCTGTTGTTGAGGGGCTTCCTGTGTGGGATTTCTGCATGCCCGCCCATTTAGTCACAGCAATTTGGGAAGTTTTCTCTTTGGTTTCTGACAATGAGCATTTGGGGGGAAAGCCAGGCATAAATTAGTTACAGTAGTTGGTGTTTAATGTTTCTCCAGTGAAAATTTGGACTTTTATTTTTTCCTTGTAGAACGCATAATTAAAACTCATAGTATTATTTTGAAATGAAATATTAAATATTTTAAAAAAAGAGACTCTTTTTTTTTTTTGAGACAGAGTCTCGCTGTGTCCCCCAGGTTGGAGTGCAGTGGCGTGATCTCAGCTCACTGCAAGCTCCGCCTCCTGGGTTCATGCCATTCTCCTCCCTCAGCCTCCCGAGTAGCTGGGACTACAGGTGCCTGCCACCACGCCTGGCTAATTTTTTGTATTTTTAGTAGAAACGGGGTTTCACCGTGTTAGCCAAGATGGTCTCGATCTCCTGACCTCATGATCCTCCTGTCTCAGCCTCACAAAGTGCTGGGATTACAGGCGTGAGCCACCGCGCCCGGCCAAAAAATAGAGACTCTTAATGGAGGAGCCATAAACTCACATACCTATAGAAGCCAAACTGGTAAAAGCAAGTAGTGGAACCACATGGATTAATGAGATGATAGGAAGTACAAAACAGCCATGTAAGTCAAATTAAAAAGCCAGCTTCCACTTTCTGCTTTAATCTTTTCAAAGCAATAACTATTACATAAATCAGTGGATACAATATTTCAGCAGTATTTGAAATGGTGTTCATACCCAGCAATTCCGCTTCTAGACATAAATCCAAGAGAATTGAAAACATATGTGCACACAGGCACTTGTACATGAATATTCATGGAAGCATTATCCACAACAGCCAAAAAGTGGAAACAGTCCAAATGTCTATCGAGATGAATGAATAAATAAAATGTAGTGTATGCATGCAGTGAAATATTATTTGGCCATAAAAAGAAATGAAGCACTGATGCAGGCTGCAACACGGATGAACTTGAAAACTTTATGTTACGTGAAAGAAGCCAGTCATAAAAGGTCACACGCTGTTATTCCTATTATAGGAAATATCCAGATAGGCACGTCCATAGAGACAGAGAGGAGAGGAGACGTTGCCAGGGGCTGGACAAGGAGAATGAGAGTGAGCGCTAATGGATGTTGCATTTCTTTGTGAGGTGGATAGTGGTGATCATTGCACAACTCTGTGAATGTACTAAAAATTATTGAATTGTACACTTTGAAAGAATTAATTATATAGTATGCAATTATATCTCAGTTTTAAAAAAAGGAAAACAGTAACCAAAATCTCCTATGGAAGCATAAAATTTTCTCTGTTAATTATGCCAAATAAAACTGAATTCACAGCAAAAAAAAAAAAAGAAGAGAAAGGATTCCTAAATTATTTAATTACTACTAATATCTGACCTGAAGTTACTTTGAATGTCTTGCTTCTTCATCAGCACTGACCATAGTTCTAGTCAGATTTTCCTATTTTTTTAACTCAAACTGTTGAGAGAGAGAAATGGCGTATATTAGAAAGATGCAATATTGTTTAAACTTTACTACTCTTTTGTTTTTACATTGATTTTCATGTTTATCTTATTCTATTTTGACTGTAATGTATACATTTAACTAAAGATTGTATTTCTCAATTGTAATTTTTTTCTAGTAGAAAACATTTTAAGATGCAGAGTTCTTTTCTTTTTCTCCAATCCCTTTAATAGTCACTTAAACAATTAAGATTGAAGCGATAATAAAACTGCATTTCTTACAAGATTTTGTATGATATTTGTAGTATATACCAATTTTCTCATAATCTCTTCTGCAATAACATTTCATTAATACTCTGGTCCTCAGGTTGTTTCAACAAGGTCAGAAAGATAGGCAAGAAGATGGTAAAATAAACTTACTCATGGGTAAAAGGAATCAAATATTTACTATGTACACTATTCTAGGTTTTACACACTTTACATAAATTAAGTGTGACATAAGTTCTAGTTGTCTGTTAATAGAAAAGCATCACTTTGGGAGGCTGACGCAGGAGGATCCCTTAAGCCCAGGAGTTAGAGACCAGCCTGGGCAAGATGGTGAGACCTCGTCTCTACACACACACACATACACACACACACACACACACACACACAGAGCCCCTATAGTCCTAGCTACTCAGGAGCAGGAGGCTGAGGTGGAAGGATCCCTTGAGCCCAAGTATTTGACGTGGCAGTGAGCTATGATTGTGCCACTGCACTCCAGCCTGGGCAACAAAGCAAGACTTCATCTCTAAATAAAATGAAACAAAATAAAATAAATAAAAAACATAACAGCAATTCCAGGGCCAGCTAAGTCTATGTTTTACATGTGCTTTCACTTTAAGTACAAATTGTGGAAACAAACAATGTATCCTTGCCTAAAGATACATTGTCAACATGGCACTAATACATATTTTCCACTTCCAAAGTTTTTTTTGTAAGTGTACAACGTTAGCACATGGAAACATTCAAGCTGTTTATCATTCCACTGAAATCTGGGTTTTGTTATGTTTTGTTTTGTTTTTCTGTTCTCACCTGCTGAGCAGCATTTGGCCAGCATCACCACAGGGACTTGGTTCTATCACCCGGTAAAGTTAAGATGGGAACAGAAAGTGGCAATTGTGTTTCTGGGAGAGAATTTAAAAAAGAGCTGATTTTTTTTTTTTTTTTTTTTTTGAGACGGAGTCTCGCTCTGTCGCCCAGGCTGGAGTGCAGTGGCGTGGTCTCAGCTCACTGCAAGCTCCGCCTCCCGGGTTCACACCATTCTCCTACCTCAGGGACTTGGTTCTATCACCCGGTAAACTTAAGATGGGAACAGAAAGTGGCAATTGTGTTTCTGGGAGAGAATTTAAAAAAGAGCTGATTTTTTTTTTTTTTTTTTTTTTTTGAAACGGAGTCTCGCTCTGTCGCCCAGGCTGGAGTGCAGTGGCGTGGTCTCAGCTCACTGCAAGCTCCGCCTCCCGGGTTCACACCATTCTCCTACCTCAGCCTCCTGAGTAGCTGGGACCACAGGCGCCCGCCACCATGTCCGGCTAATTTTTTTGTATTTTTAGTACAGACGGGGTTTCACTGTGTTAGCCAGGATGGCCTGGATCTCCTGACCTTGTGATCCGCCTGCCTCGGCCTCCCAAAGTGCCAGGATTACAGGCGTGAGCCACCGTGCCCAGCCTTTTTTCTTTAACTTAACACTGCTAGCTTTAAAAGGTAGTGTGTAATTTTAAAGCACTGAAGTTGTCATTTAAATAAGAAAATGCACTTGGCTTAATCAACTGTGAAATGAAGACGATATCACTGCCTTTTCAGGCATTAGACCAAAGCCAATTATTTTGAGCCAAGTGATACCAAGTTTATATTGCACTACAGTTTTCAAGGACATAGTGTTTCTACCCTCTCCGAACCTAAGTTGCCCCCTCACTCCTCCAGCCAACCCCCCTTTCTCTGGGCCCGTTCTTTCCCAGCTGAGCTGTTTGCCCCTTGCTCCCTTTCCCTCCTCTATTTGCCCTTTGACTGTCCCTCTATCTATATCTGGGCTAGTGCAAAAGGTTTCTTCACTGCCTGGTCAGTCACTGACCAGTCACCACTGCACTGGGGTGGATTTGGGATCCTATTAGTAAAACTGACTATCTGGTATGTTTGTGCTGGTCATCTCCCCTGAAAATGATATTGTGCCTCATCATCAAAAGTACTGTTTAAGGGATAAGGATGGCAAACCCACAAGGTATCTGAGAAAATCCTCAAATGTGTGAGTCACCTAGTCAAATGTTCACTTATATATACTACAGGTAAGTTCAGAGATGAACTGTGACTTGCCCGAGGCTGTGCAGCTGACCAGAGGGAGACACTGGAACTGTATTTCTCTTTCCACTATACCATAAAAAAAAACAAGGTTAATGACACTTAAAAAGAGTTTGTAAGTAAACCAAAATGAAATGCCTAGTACATAGGAAAAGTCTTTGGGATCTCCCCACAGATTTTTAGGCAGAATGAAAGCTATCTGTACAATGAGAAATGCTGCTCAGTTCGACAGATGCCACCAAGTACCAACAGATGCCACCAAGTACCAACAGATGCCACCAAGTATCCTTACTGTCGTTCTGAAACTGAGTCTGTGACTGCAGATAATATGTCACTATTTGAGAATAAGAGGTCCCACCCTCTCCATTCTTTTCAGGTCTTCAGTCACAAGGTCACACCTTACTTTCATTGTTTAACAGGATAAATTAATCAGGTTGAAGTAGGACTTAGGAGGTACATTGAAGATAAAAGCAAAACGCAGCAAACATTTTTACAAGTAGATCATCGCGGTTACCTTAAAAGTTAAGTTTCAGATTAATTTACAGAGTAGTGACAGAATCATAATTTCAGTGAAAATCAACAATAGAGTTGTATCATTGAAAAAAGATAAATTTGGAAATACTAAGTCAGGCAAGCACGCGAAATTCAGAATATTAAAAAAGGCAAGGCCTGGTTGCCAACATACGTTCCTCAGATGAAGGTGGATATGAAGATACTAAACAGAACCAAATGACCGAGAAGCTGAAAGGGACACTTTGCAGATCAGCAAATGGACTCCGACTCCCTCGTTCAATACATTGAGGAAAGTGAGCTCACAAAGCTTGATTGGGGTATACATAAATCTAATTCCTGGTGCTGTTTGCAACTACTTATATTTTAAATGCAAGGAGATAATTGCTTAGAACACATTAAGCTCACTGATTTAAACAAAACATTTCAAGACTGACACACTGGAAGGTGGTAATGTTAACACAGCACAACAGCACACCTCGCAGATTTATGTCTAAGAGATTAAATGGAATCATCACCTCAAAATTTTAATCCTCAGTTTTCACAAACACGATCAAGTCTCTATCAAATTTTCTGATTTATAGCATAATGCACTAGCCGTAAAAATGTGCATTCTTCAGTTTCTCCTACACTTTTCTGCCTATCTTTCAACACTGAGCCCTGGGTGTTTTCAACATAAGCAAGGCCATATGCACATTTTAATCTCATGTTTTAGAAATGAACAAAATCTGTGATATTTCAGTAGCTCATAGTGTACTTAAAAAATGAAAAGATCTCTATCAAAATATGCTTTTCACTGGGAAAAATAAATGAACCAAATGGATTTACACAAAGTAAACATTAACTTTGGTAGATTTCAATGTAGAATAGTTCATAACAAGCATATTTGCCCTTCTGCTCAACTACCAAGTTAAGACTTTTTCAAGTATTTTAACTGAGATTTTATTATGTTGACATTTGTTTCTCATTCCACATCGTCTTTGGCCAAGCGCCAGCACTTACAAGTCTCTGATTAACTGGTAGGGGCTTTGTCAGAAGCATCTGGATCACTGGTAGTGGAAGAGTTTGTTGTAACACTTGCAGTAACCACTGTGGCTGTCCACACACAGCACTTGGATTTGTCAGGTGGTCTACACCTTTAGCTAGGATCTCTTCACCAAAGCTATATCTCTTCCAGGAAGAATTTCTGGACAGCTTCAGCATCTTTAAGGTCAGCTAACTTGGAAAGCTCAACTCACTCCTCGGCCAGCTTCTGTTTCTTTCTTTATTCTGGACGCCTATTCTTTAAGTTGGGGTCACTTCAGTCTTTTGCGGTCGAAGTAGATGCAGTACCCGATGAAAAGGGCCCCGAATACTCCAGCGGCGATGGCTCCGTTCCGACCCAGCCTCTTCCCCAGAACGCTGAGTGTGGACTGCGGCGGTGGGGGAAAGGAGCGGTTGCCCACAAACCATCCGAGCACAGGGAGCCGCTCAGACCCGACGCCGGCGGGACAGGCACTTGGAAAGCAAGATCCAGGGTTCTGAAGATTAAAATCGTTAGTTCATTTACTATATTTGTGCAAGTTTGAGAGAGAGTCATGTGTATAGGATTACCACTGAGTTTATATTATTTTCTCTATGCCTGGAGAGTGTTTCTTTTGTTTTAGTTTATTTGTTTGTTTTGATTTTTTGCTTGTTTGTTTTTGAGACCTATTCTCGTTCTGTCACCCCAGGTTGGAGTGCAGTGGCGTGATCTCAACTCACTGCCACCTGCGCCTCCCAGACTCAAGCCATCCTTTCGCCTCAGCCTTCTGCGTAGCTGGGATTGCAGGAGCGGCCACCACGCCCGGCAATTTTTTTTTTTTTTTTTTTTTTTTTTGAGATGGAGTTTTGCTCTTTGTTGCCCAGGCTGGAGTGAAGTGGCACGATCTTGGCTCACTGCAACCTCCATCTCCCAGGTTCAAGCGATTCTCCTGACCCAGCCGCATGAGTAACTGGGATTACAGGAGCCCACCACCACACCCGGCTAATTTTTGTATTTTTAGAAGAGACAGGGTTTCACTATGTTGGCCAGGCTGGTCTCGAACTCCTGACCTCGTGATCTACCCGCCTCTGCCTCCCAAAGTGCTGAGATTACAGGCGTGAGCCACCGCACCCCGCCAGTGTTTCTTAAAGAGTTAGCATATTTAAAGAATTGGATGTTTTGGGCTTAATTTCTTATTTTTTCCCTGGGATTCTTAGAGACCCCCTCTACTAGATTTATATAAACACTTAGTAACATCTTCAAACTGATCAATATAGGACCATAGAATTTGAGAGACATTAATATCCTTATTTTCTAATATCCACTGAAGATAGTTTATCTTTCTGAGGAAACTATTTCCCTTAGTTGTCCTTCACATATCACTACCACTTCACAAGAACAAACAGTTTTTGCAACTCTATTACTTCAGCATCAAAAAGGTTGGGGTCCCTACTAGGGGCATGGAATCCTCTAAGATTCTTCATTCCATTTTCCAGCTCCCCAGCATATAGGAACCTCAGTGCACCAGGCATTAGTTGTCCTAAAGCAAAACATTCCATCACTTTGATCAGATTAAAACTCTAACCAGTTCTGCCTTTCCATTCTGGAATACGTGTTTAAGAAGGATAGAACTATACTCCTTCTTTTTGTAGTACAGGATTTGTCAGCCTTGACACTATTGAGATTTGTGGCTGGAAAATTGTTTGTTGTGGGGGGCTATCCTGTACCTTCTAGGATGTTCAGCAGTATCCCTGGCCTCTATCCACCAGGTACCATTAACACACTCCCCTCAAGGGGTGACAACCGGAAATATCTCCAGATATTATGTCCCTTGGAGGGCAAAATCCACCACCCCCTCCACTCTATTGAGAGCCACTGGTCTAGTCTAATGATGAGCAGATTAATTTTAACAATGAGCAGACCTATTTTAATGATCCATATACCAGTGCCATCCAACAGAAATATAATGCAATACATAAATGTGATTTTAATATAGTAAGCACATTTTTAAAAGGTAAAAATAAATAAGCAGCTTTACTTTTAATAAAATATTTTATTCAACTAAATATTTCCAAAATATTATCATTTTGACACGTAATCCATTTAAAAATGATTCATGTAATTTTTCATTCTTTGTCATACTAAGTTTTTGAATCCCAGTGTCTATTTTACACTTACTTGTCATCTCAATTTGCACCAGCCACATAGCAAGCACTAATTTTCTACACATGGCTAATGTGTGCCATGGGCACTGCAGTCATATACAGTGACATCCCGCAAAAGCCAGAATAGTCAACATAAACAAATTAAGAAAACAAACAAATAGCAGTGAGGGCACAGATCTTGGTTTTTGCCATTCTTCAGTAAAAGGAACCAGAGCTTCTTGGAGAAATGGCTGATTTTAGGGCTGGGGCAGAGAAAAAAAAATCACAAGCATTCCTATACACCAACAACAGACAAGCACAGAGCCAAATCATGAGTGAACTCCCATTCACAATTGCTACAAAGAGAATAAAATACCTAGGAATACAACTTACAAGGGACGTGAAGGACCTCTTCAAGAACTACAAACCACTGCTTAAGGAAATAAGAGAGGACACAAATAAATGGAAAAACATTCCAAGCTCATGGATAGGAAGAATCAATATTGTGAAAATGGCCATACTGCCCAAAGTAATTTATAGATTCAATGCTATTCCCATCAAGCTACCAGTGACTTTCTTTGCAGAATTAGAAAAAACTACTGTAAATTTCATATGGAACCAAAAAAGAGCCCATATAGCCAAGACAATCCTAAGCAAAAAGAACAAAGCTGGAGGCATCACACTACCTAACTTCAAACTATACTACAAGCCTACAGTAACCAAAACAGCATAGCACTGGTACCAAAACAGATACATCAACCAATGAAACAGAACAGAGACCTAAGAAATAACACCACACATCTACAACCATCTGATCTTCGACAAAACTGACAAAACAAACAATGGGGAAAGGATTCCCTGTTTAATAAATCATGCTGGGAAAACTGGCTAGCCATATGCAGAAAACAGAAACTGTACTCCTTCCTTACACCTATACAAAAATTAACTCAAGATGGATTAAAGACTTAAATGTAAAACTCAAAACCATAAAAACGCTAAAAGAAAACCTAGGCAATACCATTCAGGACATAGGCATGGGCAAAGACTTCATGACTAAAACAAAAGCAATTGCAACAAAAGCTAAAATTGACAAATGGGATCTAATCAAACTAAAGAGCTTCTGCACAGCAAAATAAACTATCATCAGGGTGAACAGGCAACCTACAGAATGGGAGAAAATTTTTGCAATCTACCATCTGACAAAGGTCTAATATCCAGGATCTACAAGGAACTTAAACAAATTTACAAGAGAAAAACAAACAACCCTATCAAAAAGTGGGCAAAGGATATGAACAGACACTTCTCAAAAGAAGACATCTATGACCAGGTGTGGTGGCCCACGCCTGTAATCCCAGCATTTTGGGATGCCGAGGTGGGTGGATCACTTGAGGTCAGGAGTTTGAGACCACCCTGGCCAACACGGTGAAACCCCATCTCTACAAAAATACAAAAATTAGCTGGGCATTGTGGCAGGTGCCTATAATCCCAGCTACTCGGGAAGCTGAGGGAGGAGAATTGCTTGAAGCCAGGAGGCAGAGGTTGCAGTAAGCCGAGATCGTGCCACTGCACTCCAGCCTGGGAGACAGAGTGAGACTGTATTTAAAAAAAAAAAAAAAAAGACATTTATGCACCGAACAAACATGAAAAAAAGCTTACCATCACAGGTCATTAGAGAAAAGCAAATCAAAACCACAATGAGATAGCATCTCACACCAGTTAGAATGACGATTATTAAAAAGTCAGAAAACAACAGATGCTGGAGAGGATGTGGAGAAATAGGAACACTTTTACATTGTTGGTGGGAGTGTAAATTAATTCAACCATTGTGGAAGACAGTGTGGCAATTCCTCAAGGATCTAACACCAGAAATACCATTTAACCAAGCAATCCCATTACTGGGTATATACCCAAAGGATTATAAATCATTCTACTATAAAGACACATGCACACATATGTTTACTGCAGCACTATTTACAATAGCAAAGACTTGGAACCAACCCAAATGCCCATCAATGATAGACTGGATAAAGAAAATGTGGCACGTACACACTATGCAGCCATAAAAAAGAATGAGTTCATGTCCTTTGCAAAGACGTGGATGAAGCTGGAAGCCATGATTCTCAGCAAACTAACACAGAAACAGAAAACCAAACACCACATGTTCTCACTTATGAGTGGGAGTTGAACAATAAGAACACACGGACACACAAAGGGGAACATCACACACTGGGGCCTGTCAGAGGGTAGGGGGGCAAGGAGAGGGAGAGCATTAGGACAAATACTTAATGCATGCACGGCTTAAAATCTAGATGACAGGTTGATGGGTGCAGCAAACTACCATGGCACATGTATACCTATGTAACAAACCTGCACGTTCTGCACATGTATCCCAGAACTTAAAGCAAAATAAAATAAATAAAAAAGAAAGAGCTTCCAATGGCTAATACTAGAACAATTTGAGGAACTAAATAATGTAATATTGAAATATAACCCAAAATATTAAATAAATACCTATAAGTTCATTCATACAAGTAAAAGATTGAATGAATGAGTAAATGGAGAAAAGACAAGTCTCCTATACAGAAGAATTCCAAATAACTTATGTATAATAGCTACATCCTCTCTCCCCACATCAAGGAAGTGGCACTTCAATCCCCACCCTTTGAGTGTGAACTGCACTTATGACACCTGAGGGAGGAAAAGTAAATACGGTGGATCAACCTGGCAAACACTTTCTGACTCATACAGTCAAGGTTAATATCCACATGATAAGACATGTCGATCGCATACACCCCTGATATGATATGATGACAATTACAGTTCATCCCTGTGGTCTTCCTCTTGAAAATCTTGAGTATGAAAAATAAAATCCTAAGCCCCCCAACCACTGAACAGACCCTCTCTTGGCCAAGGGGACCCCAGAAAAACCTTAAAAGTTGAATTTGCAAGCATAATGGAATGGCAGGTCAGCCGCACCTCATTATAACCGCTCTCTTTTGCAGTTTAGACACAACAACTGACCAGCACTCAGGTTAAAATAAACATCATAAGACCGATGGAACAGTCTCTTCGTGGCAATAAGATACCAAGTTGTAAATAGGACCTAAAGCCTTGACAGGCAAGAATTGAGTCACGCGTCCCTACACTTAAAGAATAAACTATGTTCTAATAGCCACAAGCTTTTTCTTTTCTTCTATCAGCTAAACAAACACTGGCCTGGAGATAAGCAATATTAAAACAACTGCAGCGCATCCACTGCCAGACATGAACCAACTGACCACCTGCTCCACCAGCCCTAACTACAGCTTTGACTGGACAAGAGACTGATTTTAGTAACTTTCTTCTGATAACAAGACCACCAACCATGGACTGCTTCTGGCTGGTTTCGATTCTGAGCACTTGAGTGCCTTCTTCTCCTGAAAAGACTTTTGATGTGTAAGGTCTAATTGTAATAGATATAAAAGTTAAAACATATAGGGTCTAATTGTAATAATTATAAAGTTTAGTCTCTACTGGCTGGGCACGATGGCTCATGCCTGTAATCCCAACACTTTGGGAGGCCAAGACGGATGGATCACCTGAGGTCAGGAGTTCAAGACCAGCCTGGCCAACATGGCAAAACCCGTACTCTATTAAAAACACAAAAATTAGACAGGGTTGGTGATGCACGCCTGTAGTCCCAGCTACTCGGGAGGTTGAGGCAGGAGAATTTGCTTGAACCCAGGAGGCAGCAGTTGCAGTGAGCCGAGATCATACCACTGCACTCCAGCCTGGGCGACAGAGCAAAACTCGGTCTCAAAAAAAAAAAAGTTGTCTCTACTAAAAAGTGACCATGGGACACTACACACAATAAGCATGTTTACTCTCCATGCACATGCACAACCCCCTCTCAGGAGTATTCATATCTCCTCCTATAACCTGCTGAATATATATACTGCCCAAGCCATTCAGCACAAATCCCTGTTCCATCCTCCCTTCTCTCAAAGTGCTGCCTTTCTGTCTAAGCTTCCCCCCAATCAGGATGGCCAGCCTGCAAGTTGTAACACTTTATAATAAATAAAATATCTTTTCTAAACTTATAAATTGTGTGATTTTTAAGTTGACAACCTATAACTCCAGCCTAACTATGAGAAAAACATCAGACAAACCCAAAAGGGACATTCTACAAAGTGCCTGAACAGGGCTTCTCAAAACTATCCAGGTCTTCAAAAATAAAGTCTGAAAAATTATCACAGATCCAAGGAAGCTAAGGAGACATAACTACTAAATGTCATATGGCATCCTGGATGGGATCCTGGAACAGACAAGCAGAGTAGGAGAAAACTGGGAAATCCAGATAAATTGCGGAGTTTAGTTCACAGCAATGTACTATGGTTGTGAAAAGTGAACCACAGTAATGTGGTAATGAAAGAGGGAACTGAGTGAAGGGTACACAGGAACTTTCTGTACTATCTTTGCAACTTTTCTGTAAGTCTATGAATATTTTAAAATAAAAAGTTAACTTAAATTTTAAAAGCATTTTGTTTTATTTTACCATGGCTGGGTGGATTTTCAGATCTTTAATAGAGTAAGTCCCAGCTAGCTAAAGCCAGATTGCAGAGATAGGCAGGCACCATCAAAACCCAATTGAGCCTGGCACAGTGGCTCATGCCTACAATTCCAGCAATTGGGGAGGCTGAGGCAGGAGGATCACTTCAGCCCAGGAGTTCAGGGATATGGTGAACTATGATCACTCCAGCTTGAGCTACATAATTGTTTTTACAAAAATATTTTTAAATTATCCAGGCATGATGGCAGGCAACTGGGTCCTAGCTACTCAGGAAGCTGAGGTGAGAGGATTGCTTGAGCTCAGGAAGTTGAGGCTACAGTGAGTCATGATGGTGCCACTGTACTCCAGCCTGGGTGACAGAGCAAGACTCTGTCTCAAGAAAATGAAAAATGACCCGAGTCGGTTTTCTTTAGCTAAAAAAGGTAGAAAATGGACACAGGAAAGGGAACATCACACACACCGGGGCCTGTTGTGGGGTGAGGGGAGAGGGAGGGATAGCATTAGGAGATATACCTAATGTTAAATGACGAGTTGATGGGTGCAGCACACCAGCATGGCACATGTATACATATGTAACAAACCTGCACGTTGTGCACATGTACCCTACAACTTAAAGTATAATAAAAAAAAGGTAGAAAAAATTACCCCATTGTGCTCTCCTAAACACAGTTTGTTGTCACAGATAATTTTACCACTTAATTTTCAAGGGACAAGGTGACTTAGCAGAGAAAATTAAACCCAGATTAAATAATACTTAGAGACATAAGGTCCAACTGCTTACCTGATGAAATTCCTCAGAAACTGACTTTCACAAATGTAGAGAATTCTGTGTGCCTCACAGTGAAACACATTCCTGATCTTCTCCATGATCTTCATGGCCATGATGGTCTTTCCTAAGCCAGGTAAGCCATGGACAAACAATTCTCTGTTCTTGTGGAAGCTTCTGGAGAATATCTCATACTGCTGGGCTGTGAGCAGATTTAAAACCTCATAGCTGCACAGGTCACTCAAGAGAGACCTGAAGCCGAGCAAGACAATCACGAGGGACTGCAGCAGGGCTTCCAATGTGCTGGGTGCCTGCAAAACTATAGGACGCAGGGTAATCCATCGGAGACACTGCAGCCTCCAAAGCCTCTGCGCTGCTCTCAGGACTCAGGCAGAGGACCTTGGCCCTGACACACACCTCCCCAGTGTAGCCCCCCATGTTCACCAGCTTCTGCTTCAAAGTAAGGGCAGTGCAAGTGCAGTAGTCCTGGCCCTGCCAGGGCTGTTCTATGCTATCAGCAGAGCATCACAGATGACTCCTGGCTTCTCCTGCAAATTCAGGTCCACAGCCTAGCTTCTAGAGAGGATCACAATTCCCCAGGAGAAAGGTTGGGTTTGCTTATTTATTAACTCCTCTAATCCTTCATTCTGTGAGGACAGCTCCTTCCAGAGGGATTCCAGAGTACATCGCAAATATCCTGGTAGCACTAGATGTGAAAAGAATGAGAAATTAGGGGAAGGAGAAGAATCATACTGATTATGACAATTAGTTATAATTAACTGATTAATATATTTGATTATTAATTACAGATATTTCAAATATTCTTCTATAAACATTATATTACAATTATAAAGGAAAAGAAGCTTTGAAATATCTGGTAAATCTCATCTAAACCCATGTGTTTATTATGCCTTTGACCTAACCTCTCTGAGACTTTGCTCTCTCATTTGTAAAACAAAACTAAGAATAGCACATTTCCTATGGAGAGGAATAAATGAAGTAACATAAAGAGTCTGGCTCATTGCAGCTGCTTGAAAAAGATGAGTCCTATTCCCCATCCCACTCTCAAAGTGCATGAATCTCAAAATGTCCCTGAACAGTCCCCACTAATGGGGGTAGCAGGAGCCTTCCCAGGAAGAAGGTACTCATTAGCACAATATTTGCGGAGAAGAGGAAGTTACGTAAAAGCTTTTATTGGCAGTTAATTTTCTTCAGTCCTCAACTAGGAGACCCTTGAAGCTATCTCTCCTGAAGCAGAATTGTTGCATCACATACAGATCAATCTGAGGCTCCCCCCCATTACAAAAGTCTTCTCTTTGTCACAGGCAAACAAGGAACAATTACGTGACATGAGAATATACTTGTGCTACAGAGTTATAAACTTATTTTAGGCTGGGTGCGGTGGCTCACTCCTGTAATCCTAGCACTTTGGGAGGCCGAGATGGGTGATCACTTGAGCCCAGGAGTGCGAGACCAGCCTGGGCATAATGGTGAAACCCTGTTTCTACAAAAAATATAAAAATGATCTAGGCATAATGGTGCATGCCTGTAGTCCCATCTCCTCAGGAGGCTGAGGTGGGAGGATTGCTTGAGCCCAGGAGGCGGAGGTTGCAGTGAGCTGAGATTGTGCCACTGCACTCCAGCCTAGGTGACTGAGTCAGAACTTGTCTTAAAAAAAAAAAAATTTCAAAGATCATGGGGTCCAAAGGGAGAAAAACAAGAATGTTTTTGCCCTATTGTGGCAGTGGCAGAATACAAACCAGAATCAAGATTTGTAAGTGGTAATTTGAAATTGAAATTACCCAAACTTTACTGGTAATTGTTTATTGTTCATTGTTGCTTGTGCTTTCTCATTCATACCAGGTGTTCACACAACTTGATTATGCCTGCAACGTGGATGTTAGTGAGTAGGAGATGGCATCTATTATGACATACATCTAGATTTTAGAGATGTTAAGAAGTTGGGGGAGATAAATAAAACCCCCATCTCCCTGGGACAGAGCACCTGGGGGAAGGGGCGGCTGTGGGTGCAGTGTCAGCAGACTTTAGTGTACCTGCCTGACAGCTCTAAAGAGAGCAGCAGATCTCCTAGCACAGCGTTCGAGCTTGCTAAGGGTCAGATGGCCTCCTCAAGTGGGTCCCTGGCCCATGTGTATCCCAATTGGGAGACACCTCCCAGCAGGGGCCAACAAACACCTCATACAAGAGAGCTCTGGCTGGCATCTGGTGGGTGCCCCTCTGGCACGAAGCTTCCAAAGGAAAGAACAGGCAGCAATCTTTGCTGTTCTGCAGCCCACACTGGTGATACCCAGGCAAACGGGGTCTGCAGTGGACCTCCAGCAAACTCCAGCAGACCTGCAGCAGAGGGGCCTGACTGTTAGAAGGAAAACTAACAAACAGAAAGGACTAGCACATCCACTCAGAGACCCCATCTGAAGGTCACCAACATCAAAGACAAAAGGTAGATAAATCCATGAAGATGGGGAGAAACCAGCTCAAAAAGGCTGAAAATTCCAAAAACCAGAATACCTCTTCTCCTCCAAAGGATCACAACTCCTTGCCAGCAAGGGAACAAAACTGGACGGAGAATGAGTTTGACAAATTGACAGACGTAGGCTTCATAAGGTGGGTAATAACAAACTCCTCTGAGCTAAAGGAGCATGTTTTAACCCAACACAGGGAAGCTAAGAACCTTGAAAAAAGGTTAGACAAATTGCTAACTAGAATAACCAGTTTAGAGAAGAATATAAATGACCTGATGGAGCTGAAAAACACAGCACGAGAACTTCGTGAAACATACACAAGTATCAGTAGCCAAATTGATCAAGCAGAAGAAAGGATATCAGAGACTGAAGATCAACTTAATGAAATAAAGCAAGAAGACAAGAATAGAGAAAAAAGAATGAAAAGGAATGAACAAAGCCTCCAAGAAATATGGGACTATGTGAAAAGACCACATCTACGTTTGATTGGTGTACATGAAAGTGATGAGGAGAATGGAACCAATTTGGAAAACACTCTTCAGGATATTATCCAAGAGAACTTCCCCAACCTAACAAGACAGGCCAACATTCAAATTTAGGAAATACAGAGAACACCACAAAGATATTCCTCGAGAAGAGCAACCCTAAGACACATAATCGTCAGATTCACCAAGGTTGAAATGAAGGAAAAAAATGTTAAGGGCAGCCAGAGAGAAAGGTTGGGTTACCCACAAACGGAAGCCCATCAGACTAACAGCAGATCTCTCTGCAGAAATCCTACAAGCCAGAAGAGAGTGGGGGCCAATATTCAACATTCTTAAAGAAAAGAATCGTCAACCCAGAATTTCATATCCAGCCAAACAAAGTTTCACAAGTGAAGGAGAAATAAAATCCTTTACAGACAAGAACATGCTGAGAGATTTTGTCACCACCAGGCCTGCCTTACAAGAGCTCCTGAAGGAAGCACTAAACATGGAAAGGAACAACTGGTACCAGCCACTTCAAAAACATACCAAATTGTAAAGACCATCGACACTATGAAGAAACCATCAACTATGGGCAAAATAACCAGCTAGCATCATAGTAACAGGATCAAATTCACACATAACAATATTAACCTTAAATGTAAATGGGCTAAATGCCCCAATTAAAAGACACAGACTGGCAAATTGGATAAAAGAGTCAAGACCCATCAGTGTGCTGTATTCAGGAGACCCACCTCACGTGCAAAGACACACATAGGCTCAAAATAAAGGGATGGAGGAATATTTACCAAGCAAAGGAAAGCAAAGAAAAGCAGGGGTTTCAATCTTAGTCTCTGATAAAACAGACTTTAAACCAACAGAGATCAAAAAAGACAAAGAAGGGCATTACATAATGGTAAAGGGATCAATGCAACAAAAAGAGCTAACTATCCTAAATATATATGTACCCAATACAGGAACACCCAGATTCATAAAGCAAATTCTTAGAGACCTACCAAGAGACTTAGACTCCCACACAGTAATAGTGGGAGACTTTAACACTCTACAGTCAATATTAGACAGATCAACGAGACAGAAAATTAACAAGGATATTCAGGACTTCAACTCCGCTCTGAACCAAGCGGATCTAATAGACATCTACAGACCTTTCCACTGCAAATCAGCAGAATATACATTCTTCTCAGCACCTCATGGCACTTATTCTAAAATTGACCACATAATTAGAAGTAAAACACTCCTCAGCAAATGCAAAATAACAGAAATCATAACAAAAATCCTCTCAGTCCACAGTGCAATCAAATTAGAACTCAGGATTAAGAAACTCACTCAAAACCACATAACTACATGGAAACTGAACAACCTGCTCCTGAATGACTACCAGGTAAATAACGAAATGAAGGCAGAAATAAAGACGTTCTTCATAACCAATGAGAACAAAGACACAACGTGCCGGAATCTCTGGGACACATTTAAAGCAGTGTGTAGAGGGAAATTTATATCACTAAATGCCCACAAGAAAAAGCAGGAAAGATCTAAAATCGACACCCTAACATCACAATTAAAAGAACTAGAGAAGCGACAGCAAACAAATTCAAAAGCTAGCAGAAGACAAGAAATAACTAAGATCAGAGCATAAATGAAGGACATAGAGACACAAAAACCCCTTCAAAAATTCAATGAATCTAGGAGCTGGTTTTTTGAAAAGATCCACAAGATAGATAGACTACTACCGAGACTAATAAAGAAGAAAAGAGAGAAGAATCAAATAGATGCAATAAAAAAATCATAAAGGGGATATCACCACGAATCCCACAGAAATGCAAACCACCATCAGAGAATACTGTAAACACCTCTATGCAAATAAACTAGAAAATCTAGAAGAAATGGATAAATTCCTGGACGCATAGGCCCTCCCAAGTCTAAACCAGGAAGAAGTCGAATCCCTGAATAGACCAATAACAGCTTCTGAAATTGAGGCAGTAATTAATACCCTACCAACCAGAAAAACTCCAGGACCAGACAGATTCACAGCTGAATTCTACCAGAGGTATGAAGAGGAGCTGGTACCATTCCTTCTGAAGTTATTCTAAACAATAGAAAAAGAGGGAATCCTCCCTAACTCATTTTATGAGGCCAGCATCATCCTGATACCAAAACCTGGTAGAGATACAACAAAAAAAAGAAAATTTTTTTTGATGAACATCAATGCAAAAAATCCTCAAAAAAATACTGGCAAACCGAATCCAGCAGCACATCAAAAAGCTTATCCACCACAGTCAAGTCAGCTTCATCCCTGGGATGCAAGGCTGGTTGAACATACGCAAATCAATAAACGTAATCCATCACATAAACAGAACGAATGACAAAAGCCACATGATTATCTCAATAGATGCAGAAAAGGCCTTCAACAAAATTCAACACCCCTCCATGCTAAAAATTCTCAATAAACTAGGTATCGATGGAACGTACCTCAAAATAATAAGAGCTATTTATCACAAACCCACAGCCAGTATCATACTGAATGGGCAGAAGCTGGATACATTCCCTTTGAAAACCAGCACAAGACAAGGATGCCCCCTCTCACCACTCCTAGTCAACATAGTATTGGAAGTTCTGGCCAGGGAAATGAGGCAAGAGAAAGAAATAAAGGGTATTCAAGTAGGAAAAGAGGAAGTTGAATTGTCTCTGTTTGCAGATGACATGATTGTATATTTAGAAAACCCCACAGTCTCAGCCCAAAAATCTCCTTAAGCTTATAAGCAACTTCAGCAAAGTCTCAGGATACAAAATCAATGTGCTAAAATCACAAGCATTCCTATGCACCGATAACAGACAGACAGCCAAATCATGAGTGAACTCCCATTCACAATTGCTACAAAGAGAATAAAATACCTAGGAATACAACTTACAAGGGATGTGAAGGACCTCTTCAAGGAGAACTACAAACCACTGCTCAAGGAAATAAGAGAGGACACAAATAAATGGAAAAACATTCCATGCTCATGGATAGGAAGAATCAATATTGTGAAAATGGCCATACTGCCCAAAGTAATTTACAGATTCAATGCTATCCCCATCAAGCTACCAGTGACTTTATTCACAGAACTGGAAAAAACTACTTTAAACTTCATATAGAACCAAGCCTGCATAGCCAAGACAATCCTAAGCAAAAAGAACAAAGCTGGAGGCATCAAGCTACCCTACTTCAAACTATATTACAAGGCTACAATAACCAAAACAGCATGGTGCTGGTACCAAAACAGACATATAGACCAATGGAACAGAACAGAGGCCTCAGAAATAACACCACACATCCACAACCATTTGATCTGACAAACCTAACAAAAACAAGCAATGGGGAAAGGATTCCCTATTCAATAAATGGTGTTGGGAAAACTGGCTAGCCACATGCAGAAAACTGAAAGTGGACCCCTTCCTTATGCCTTATACAAAAATTAACTCAAGATGGATTAAAGACTTAAATGTAAGACCTAAAACCATAAAAATCCTAGAAGGAAACCTAGGCAATAACATCCAGGACATAGGCATTGGCAAAGACTTCATGACTAAAACACCAAAAGCAATGGCAACAAAAGCCAAAACTGACAAATGGGATCTAATTAAACTAAAGAGCTTCTGCACAGCAAAAGAAACTAACATCAGAGTGAACAGGCAATCTACAGCATGGGAAAAAATTTTTGCAATCTATCCATGTGACAAAGGGCTAATATCCAGAATCTACAAGGAACTTAAACAAATTCACAAGAAAAAAACAAACAACCCCATCAAAAAGTGGGCAAAGGATATGAACAGACAGTTCTCAAAAAGAAGACATTTATGCACCCAACAAACATATGAAAAAAAGCTCATCATCACTGGTCATTAGAGAAAAGCAAATCAAAACCACAATGAGATACCATCTCATGCCAGTTAGAATGGCGATCATTAAAAAGTCAGGAAACAACAGATGCTGGAGAGGATGTGGAGAAATAGGAATGCTTTTACACTGTTGATGGGAGTGTAAATTAGTTCCACCATTGTGGAAGACAGTGTGGCAATTCCTCAAGGATCTGGAACCAGAAATACCATTTGACCCAGCAATCCCATTACTGGGTATATACCCAAAGGATTATAAATTATTCTGCTATAAAGACACATACACACATATGTTTATTGTGGCACTATTCACAATAGCAAAGACTTGGAACCAACCCAAATGTCCATCAATGATAGACTGGATAAAGAAAATGTGGCACATATACACCATGGAATACTATGCAGCCATTAAAAAGGATGAGTGCATTGCTTTGCAGGGACATGGATGAAGCTGGAAACCATCATTCTCAGCAAACTAACACAAGAACAGAAAACCAAATACCACATGTTCTCTCTCATAAGTGGGAGTTGAACAATGAGAACACACGGACACATAAAGGGGAACATCACACACTGGGGCATATCTGGGGGTGGGGGGCTAGGGGAGGGACAACATTAGGAGAAATACCTAATGTGGGTGACGGGTTGGTGGGTGCAGCAAACCACCATGGCATGTGAATACCTATGTAACAAACCTGCACATTCTGCACATGTACCCCAGAACTTAAAGTATAATAAGAAAAGAACTTGTCCATATAACAAAATACCACCTGTTCCCCTAAAACTATTGAAATAATAAAAATAATAATAGTAAATAAAAAATAAAATAGATTAGAAAAGAAAAAAGTTGAAGAGATGGAAGCTCAGAAACATTAATTAACTTTCTCAAAGTCACTCAAACCCATACTGAAAGAGAAACCCATACTCTTCCGACTAACATTATAACCTCATAAACGTCATCTGTCACGTCTTTTGGTACCCTGGCTAGCCTCCTGGGTGACTGCTTTGTCTTTTTTTTTTTTTTTTTTTTGAGATCGAGACCATCCTGGCCAACATGGTGAAACCCCGTCTCTACGAAAAATACAAAAAATTAGTCAGGCGTGGTGGCAGGCACCTGTAGTCCTAGCTACTCGGGAGGCTGAGGCAGGAGAATCACTTGAACCCGGGAGGCGGAGGTTGCAGTGAGCCAAGATTGTGCCACTGCACTCCAGTCTGGTGACAGAGTGAGACTCTGTCAGAAAAAAAAAGAGAAAGAAAGGAAGGAAGGAAGGAAGGAAGGAAGGAAGGAAGGAAGGAAGGAAGGAAGGAAGGAAGGAAGGAAGGGAAGGGAAGGGAAGAAAGAAAGAAAGAAAGAAAGAAAGAAAGAAAGAAAGAAAGAAAGAAAGAAAGAAAGAAAGAAAGAAAGAAAAGAAAAGAAAAGAAAAGAAAAGAAAAGAAAGAAAGAAAGAAAGAGAAAGGGAGAGAAGTTAAACTTTTGGACTATACATTCTTATGTAGATAGTGGGGGAAATGAAGATGGCCAAGGGACGTGGTAAATCTGACAAATGGAGTAAAAGGAACATCAATGATTCTTAGTCTTTTTTATTTCAAAGAACTTGTATTTGGGAGTGGTTGTGCAAATCAATAAAACTTAACTGTGCTATGGTGAGAAGGGGGCTCCTAAGACTCTCAGAATTGTGCCACAACCTGCACAATCACTTTTTTCTTTTGCTTGACTATGCATTCGTGCATGCCGTGAAAACATTTCGTTATTTGATTCAGTAGCGCAGGAAACATTCAATGAAAGCTCACACTAAACACAGTCCTGTCAGAGATACTAAGAATCTGTCTGCTGGGGACATATGGTTTAGGTCACAACAAATTGCCATAACGTGGCTTAAACATATGTGAAGAAAAATCCATAGCCCCAAATGCCTATATTGGTTAAAGAGAAAGATAAAAGTAGAGTGAATTTACAGAACTTAGAAAAAGAACTAGATCACAAAGGAACACAAAATAAAGGGAATAATAAATGTAAGGGCAGGAGGAAATTGAAAAATTAAAAAACAATTTATTTGATTAATTAACAAGATTAAAAGTTTTGTTTTTCCTTGTTTTGCTTTTTTGTCTGGTTTTCCATCTTTTTAGACAACCCACTAGCACTTTTATTTTTTTCACTAGCATCTTTATTATTTTAAAGAAATGAACAAATAAAATGGTGGTTGATGCAGGTGTGAAAAGGAAATAGACTTCTGAGCAGGAAATTATGTAGAAGGCCAGATCTTTCATGATCTTACTCATATGTCTGATACGTGCCTTGTAATAAAGCTTACAACTGTCTTCTTCTGTATTTTATGACCATTAAAACAACCTTGTCAGATTATTTATACAAAGTGCCATTTGTGACATACAAGCTTTAAAGTTTTAATGTTTATTCCTATGGACATGTTCTTTCAAGTATAGCATGCCATTGGTTTCCATGGATAAAATTTTCATATTGGCAACTCTCTTCTTTTATTATATTTACTTATTTATTTATTTATTTTTGAGATGGAGTTTCACTCTTGTTGCCCAGGCTGGAGTGCAGTGGCGCGATCTCGGTTCACTGCAACCTCCATCTCGCAGGTTCAAGTGAGTCTCCTGCCTCAGCCTCCCAAGTAGCTGGAATTACAGGTTCCTGCCACCACGCCTGGCTAACTTTTTAAATTTTTTTTATTTTTATTTTTTTAATAGAGATGGGGTTTCATCGTGTTGGCCAGGATGGTCGTGAAATCCTGACCTCAGGTGATCCACCCACCTCGGCCTCCCAAAGTGCTGGGATTATAGGTGTGAGCCACCCAGCCCGGCCTGACAACTCTCTTCTACATCTAAAAGTGCAAATTATTTTGTATGAAATAGAAACCTCAAGAACTGCTAATCTTTTCTTCTCCCTTTAAGACCCAAAGAAAAAAATCAATACACAGAAAACTCTAGTAGATTTCTTCCTCTAAAATCATACCTGAGAAAGATTTGGTTCCATCAAAATATGTATTAAGAAATTTGAAAACATAAATGAATGGTTTTTAAAAATAGGCACAGGCCGCGCACAGTGGCTCACGCCTGTAATCCTTTGGGAGGCCGAGGCGAGTGGATCACCTGAGGTCAGGAGTTTGAGACCAGCCTGGCCAACATAGCGAAACCCCGACTCTACTAAAAATACAAAAATTAGCTGGGCGTGGTGGCACATGCCTCTTATGCCAGCTACTTGGGAGGCTGAGGAAGGAGAATTGCTTGGACCTGGGAGTTGGAGGTTGCAGTGAGCCGAGATTGCACCACTGCACTCCAGCCTGTGCAAAAGGGAGTGAGACTCCATCTCAAAAAAAAAAAAAAAGGCACAAAAGCAAAGCTTGTTTAATAAAAAATTGATAGTGCAGATAAATCAATAACAGAATAAAAAGCCTGAGGGACGTTATCAAGAAAAATTTTATAAAGTACCTGGCTCCGTTGGGATTACTGGAAAACTTTTTTTAAAACTTCAAAATCAGGCCAGGCACCGTGGCTCTCACCTATAATCCTTACACTTTGGGAGGCCAAGGCAGGCATATCACTTGAGGCCAGGAGTTCAAGACCAGCCTGGCTAACACAGTGAAATCCTCACCCCTACTGAAAATACAAAAATTAGCCAGGCATGATGGCAGGTGCCTGTAATCCCAGCTACTCAGGAGGCTGAGGCAGGAGAATCACTAGAACCCAGGAGGCAGAGGTTGCAGTGAACAAAAATCATTCCACTGCACTCCAGCCTGGTGAGACCCTGTCTCAAAAACAAAAACAAACCAAAAGACAAAAACAAAAAAACTTCAAAATCATATAATTATCACATTATTAAATATATATTGTTTGACACACAAAAAATGGCAGGCTACAACATTCAGTTTTATATACTTTATAAACAATATTATGGTGATCAATAATATTTTCAGCCTTATCTCTTATCATCTTAATAATATTACATTGTTTTACAATTTGTAAACATCAAATAAACAGAATTTTATATTCTGCTTTTATCACATAACACCTCTACAACCCTTTCAAGTTGTTATGCTTTTAGTTATATGTTACATTTCATCAAGAAGATGCTTAACACAATGTTGTATGTAGAAACTATTTTTAAAAGATGCATATTAATGAACTAGGTACTTCTCAATTGTTGAAATTGCTCTCAATTCATACTTAACCATAAATAATAGTCATAAATCATTTACTCAACAAATATTTATTGGAAATCTATTATTTGCCTAGCACTGTGCTAAATCCAGAAAAGACAGTGGTGAACAAAACAAACCTGGTCCCTGTTCTTGAGGAGGTTGACAGTAAACAAGTGACTCCTATGGACAAAAGTTTAGAATGTCAGGGGAGCTTAGAATGGAAACACTGCCCTCACCTGGCAGTTGGAGAGGGAATGGGTTCAGAGAAGGATTTCCAGAAAAAGTAACATTTGAGTTAAGATCTGAAGAATGCAAATGAGGTGAAGAGTTAATTTGGTGAAGAAGGGGGGGAAGAATTTTCTAGACAGAAGTAAGAAGGAGTATGTCAAGTTCAAAAGACTGACAGCACAGAGCTGGAAGGATAGAGGCAGGAGATGAGGTTGGAACCATGCTCAGGTGTCCAGCTGTGCATTGTCTGGTAAGCCACTTTAAGGGTTCCTGGCTTTACCCTAAGAGTAATGGGAAGCTGGCCAGACACCATAGCTCACGCCTGTAATCCCAGCACTTTGGGAGGCCGAGGCGGGCAGATCACCTGAGGTCAGGAGTTCGAGACCAGCCTGGCCAACATAGTGAAACCTCATCTCTACTAAAAATACAAAAATTAACCAGGCTGCACCTGTAGTCCCAGCTACTTGGGAGGCTGAGGCACGAGAATTGCTTTAACCTGGGAGGCAAAGTTTGCAGTGAGTCAAAATCATGCCACTGCACTCCAGGCTGGGCAACAGAAGGAGACTCTGTCTCAAAAGAAAGGCCTGGGCACGGTGTCTCATGCCTGTGATCCCAGCACTTTGGGAGGCCCTGGTGGGCAGATCATGAGGTCAAGAGATGGAGACCATCCTGGCTAACACGGTGAAACCCCATCTCTACTAAAAATACAAAAAATTAGCCGGGCATGGTGGCACATGCCTGCAGTCCCAGCTACTCGGGAGGCTGAGGCAGGAGAATCTCTTGAACCCGGGAAGCGGAGGTTGCAGTGAGCTGAGATCGTCCCACTGCACTCCAGCCTGGCAACAGAGCAAGACTCCGTCTCAAAAAAAACAAAAAGTAATGGGAAGCCATTGGAGGTTGTTAAGCAGGAAGACACAGCATCAGATGAACATTTTTCAAAGTCCTTTCTAGCTGAAGCAGGTTAGAGCAGTCATGGAAAAGACCTTTCAGGATATGGTTTCAGCAGCCCAAATGAGAACAGATGGTGATGTGGACTAAGGTGGGGACAGTGGAGAAGTAGGCAGAGTTGAGAGAGATTTAGAATTAAGCCGGCAGAGTTGAGAGAGATTTAGAAGTAAGCCGAGGGACCTGGCAATTGATGGGAATTCATGTCTATTATTTCAATTGCTCCTCTTCCATCTCAATCCAATGGATAAGAACCAGAATGGGCCCAGTCACTGGCGGGAGCTGTTTATGAGATACTGCTTCTCACCCCAGATTAAAAACCATAGCTTAGCCAAACATTGAAAGGGAGAAAGGATCCAAATGTGGAGAGAGAACCTGGATATATGCCAAAGCTTAAGCAGCCAAAAGCAGAAATCTCTATCAAGGCCTGGGATCAAGAGTTCTGATACAGGAAGAGCTAATCAATCAAGAGCAAATAAAAACAAAGGGCATAGTAGGAAGGTTAATGCTTGTGGTGCTCCTCATGAGCTGAAAGAGCTAACATTTATTGAGCCAGGAACTGTACCAAAAACTTTACATACATTATCTCATTGCTTTCTCACAACAAATACTATTATCTTTATTTTACCAATGAGGAAACTGAGGTTGGGGGACATATTCAGAGTCATATGGGTGAGGCTCAAATCCAGGAGTATTTGATTCCAAATGCTAGTGTTTCTAATCAAAACCTAGACTCTCTCTTTCTCCTTTTTTTTTTTTTTTTTTAGATGGAGTTTCACTCTTGTTGCCCAGGCTGGAGTGCAATGGCGTGATCTCGGCTCACCACAACCTCCACCTCCCAGGTTCAAGCAATTCTCCTGCCTCAGCCTCCCTAGTAGCTGGGATTACAGACATGTGCCACCTTGCCTAGCTAATTTTTTTTTTTTTATTTTTAGTAGTGACGGGGTTTCTCCACGTTGTTCAGGCTGGTCTTGAACTCCCGACCTCAGGTGATCCGCCCACCTCAGGCTCCCAAAGTGCTGGGATTACAGCACCGCACCCAGCCTTTTTTTTTTTTTAAAGCAACAGGGTCTTGCTCTGTCATCCAGGCTGGAGTGCAGTGGTGCAGTCATAGCTCACTGCAGCCTTCACCACCCGAACTCAAGCAGTCCTCCCACCTCAGCCTCCCAAGTAGCTGGGACTACAGGTGTACGCCACCATGCCTGGCTAGCTTTTTTTGTTTTTGTTTTTGAGATGGATTCTTGCTCTGCCGCCAAGGCTCGAAGGCAGTGGCAGGATCTCAGCTAACCGCACCCTCCACCTCCTGGGTTCAAGTGATCTTTCCACCTCAGCCTCCTGAGTAGCTGGAATGACAGGCACGCACCACCACTCCCAGGTAATTTTTGTATTTTTAGTAGAGACAGGGTTTTACCATGTTGGCCAGGCTGGTCTTGAACTCCTGACCTCAAATGATCCACCTTCCTCGGCCTCCCAAAGTGCTGGGATTACAGGCGTGAGCCACCACACCCGGCCCTGGCTAGTTTGTTTGTTTGTTTGTTTGTTTGTTTGTTTGTTTTGTAGAGATGGGGTCTTGCTATGTTATCCAGGCTGTTCTCAAACTTCTGGGCTCAAGCGATCTTCCCACCTTGGTCTCCCAAAGTGCTGGGATTACAGGCATGAGCAACCACATCCGGCCAAAAATCTAGACTCTTAATCATTGTGCAAACTGGTCTCCCAAATTATTAGGCCTCTTGGAAGACAAGAGAGTTTTCATTACTCTGGTAAGAATAACCATTCTGGAATAATCTCCCTGGTATTTGTGATAGCATTTATTTTATAAAACACATTTGATAACAAGAAAAACATAGGTCTATTTCTGTTAAACACAGGCAAGCAAAAGTCACATGTAAAAACACAGCTAGACAGAACATCTAGGGCCTTCACAAGTATCTGCTTTAATTAATGTTGGTAAACAAAAAGACCCAATGCAGTGACACATTTGCAAACATTATATCTAAATCCAACTAGATCACAGTTTCCCAGTCAATATAGCTTAAGTTTCTCTGAAAACAAAATAGTTTATATATTACGAAAAACAAAAAAACACAGTTGGGCTCAGTGGCTCATGCATGTAATCCCAGCACTTTGGGAGGCTAAGGTGGGCAGATTGCTTGAGCCCAGGAGTTTGAGACCAGTCTGAGCAAGGAAATCCAGTCTCTACAAAATATAAAAAAATTAGCTGGGTGTGGTGGTGCATGGTCTATAGTCCCAGCTCCTCGAGAGTCTGAGACGGGAGGATCACTTGAGCCTAGGGAGGTTGAGACTGCAGTGAGCCACGATTGCATCACTGCACTCCAGCCTGGGTGACAGAGTGAGAGCCTGTCTCAAAAAAAAAAAAATAAGAAAAATAAGAAACCCCTTTTCATAGTGATGAAGCAATCAGCTAACTGCTAAAGAATCTTCACAGGCGAGGCTGGGTACGGTGGCTAATGTCTATAATCCCAGCACATTGGGAGGCCAAGGTGGGACGATTACTTGAGGTCAGGAGTTTGAAACCAGCCTGGTCAATCTAGCAAGACTTCCTCTCTACAGAAACGAAAAAAATTAGCCAGGCACCCTCACGCTCAGTGCCTGTAGTCCCCGCACTTTCAAAGGCTGAAGCAGGAGGATCCTTTGAGCCCTGGAAGGTCGAAGCTGCAGTGAGTTGTGATCGCACCACTGCACGACAGCCTGGGCGAAAGAGTGAGAACCTGTCTCAAAAAAAAAAGAGAATCTTCACAGGCATCCCTTCCTCCCAAGTCTCCTCACTTGTCTTATCTGAAGGTTTGTTCCCCAGAACTATGAGAACCCTCTACATCTCTTTCTCTCAGCCCAGCCAGGTTCCTCTGGGCTTGAGTCCTACATCCCTGGCCTCAGCTACAAGGTGAGTACAGTCTAAGGACCAGCTCCTCTCATTGTCTATTTCACTTATTTATTAAAAGTGTAGACCTAAAGTGTCTACTTCATCCTCTCTTGCCTAAAGTGGGTATATCTGGAAAAGTCTGTAGCCACAGAGGAGATTTTCATCTTAGAGTTATGAGGTCTCTTTGAGAGACTCTCCATTCCATTGAATAAGCATGGCTTAGATCTCTCTGGACAATCTGTACTTACCTTGGGAGTTAAAAGATTCCACAGGGTTGAGATGCTGAAAAGATGAGAAAGTTCCAGGAGCTCTGATCTACTTAGGAGTCCCTGCAGTTTGGCTGAGGACAGTGGTAATCCTCAAAGGCTAGAAATGGCTTTCAAATCTGAGCGCTCTGCAGAACAAGTCCAGGAAAAATGCTGCTTTGGTATTTCTGAGAATGAAACTAGAAGGTTGCCGCCTTTTTAAAGTTTCCATTTCTCAGAATTCTCCTACTCATTTTAGGCCTGCCATTCTAGCCTCAAGGGGGGAATATGTGCTATTTCCTGTTTATCAATAGACTAAGTGGGCCAAAGACTAGTTCTGGCTAAAGACTAAAGAAACTTTATCAGAAGAAATGCTTCAAACACTTTGGAGAATAATGCTACAAAAAAGCTTTTTTGGATACACACCAAACTGTTATTAAGGATTACTTTCTCAGAAGTAGAACTGGAGAGGAAGAAGATGGAAAGGGAGGAGAGAATTGTTACTTTGTACAGTAGGCCTGAGTTACTCAACAAATATTTTTTATTGGCAAGGAAAAGGGAAAAAACAAAACAAAAAGAAACAGTGAAAGAGCCAGAAAGGAAATTAAACAGTGCATCTCACTGACTTTCTCATTCAATTTTTATAGTAGCCTCCATAATCCTAATAGTTGTTGTAATTAGAGCCGAGATGGATTCACTGCTATTAATTTAGCTGCTAATACTGTTGCTATTGTTCTGATCAAGTTTCTGCTACTTTTTGACCTGCTGTCTCCCTCAACAGCTGTAGGAGTCACAATTCCCTTGAGCTCTTGTTGGTTTCTTGTTCCATTTTTTTTGGGTTTCTATCCTTATACATTGAAAAAATTATTACAGTGTGGATTTAGCAATCATTTTTAGCTATAAGAAAAGGTGCTGTGCACTAGAGGGAATTGAATTAGAGATGTCATTCGTTAATCAGATAATTAGTTCCCAATCTTGGCTGCTTGTTCAAATCTTTTGGCATGCTTTTTAAAAATTCAGATGCTAAGGTCCTTCCCCAGACATTCTGAATTATACTGTCAAGTAGTGGTGCAATATCAGGAGGTAGAGACATATCACATATACACAACACACACATATAGGCATAAACATAAAGACAGACACAAATAGATCTTATAATTTTCATTTAAAATCTTAGCCATGATTAGGTATACATAAACACAAAATTTAATAATTTTGATAAAAATTGATTCTCATCTTTGCCTATTAATATTTTCTTTCGATCTCATCTTTCCATAGACATTTGTTTAGGATGACAGCTTTCTTTTAAAAAAAAATCCTTTTAGATATAAAAGTTCAAATCTTCAAAGGTATACCTGTCTTAATTGTGACTCAAAACCAGTAAGTTTTTATGGCTTAAAACCTATAAGCCTTTTATCACTTAACCATGGATGTAAGAGACATCCCCAAGGAGGATGCAAACCATGCAGCCCTTTTGCCGGGCGCGGTGGCTCACACCTATAATCTCAGTATTTTGGGAGGCTGCGGCGGGCAGATTACTTGAGGTTAGGAGTTCAAGACCAGCCTGGCTAATATGGTGAAACCCTGTCTCTACAAAAAATACAAAAATTAGCCAGGCCTGGTGGTGCATGTCAGAAATTTCAGGTACTCGCGAGACTGAGGCGGGAGAATCACTTGAGCCCGGGAGGCGGAGGTTACAGTGACCAAGATCACGCCACTGCACTCCAACGTGGGCGACAGAATGAAACCCTGTACTCAAAAAAAAAGAAAGAAAGAAAGAAAGAAAGAAAGAAAGAAAGAAAGAAAGAAAGAAAGAAAGAAAGAAAGAAAAGAAAAATGAAGGTTCAGGTGACAAACGCCTCTTATGGACTGGGACCTTTTATTAAGACAAACTTCTCTGAGAGCTGGCACAGGCGGACGAAAATGCTGCTTATCTTAGATTTTGGGTTCCAGGCTGGTGGCCTGATGCAAACCAGCAACACTTGCGCCCTCTGGCGGCGAGGACCAGAGAGACTATTTTAAAGCCAAGCTCTCGGGACATAAAACGAAGGAAGAATCGAATCTCATGATTTTCTTCCTTATGACAAACAACACAAACGACAGAGACAAGGACTTTTTATTATTCCTTGGAGGCTGTGGATCATACCCAGACCAAATTTATAAAAGTTACAATTCAAAGAACTCATTCTTACAAATGTTTTTCTCCTGCCAATCTGAATTTGGAAAGGAAGAGACAAGGAAAATTTACGTTCTCCTCTCTACAGGGCACTGCAGATAGATATGTCGGGGGACTGACTTTGGTAAGAATTCTTACCTTCTGCAGGTTCTGTCAGCTCTTCCGGGATCCTACCCACAGGCTCTGAAGTGAGTGGCGCATCCCAACCTTCTAGGGTCCCATTTTCATTGCCAGAAACCACAAGGGAGGCAAAATTTTACCTCTGTTCTCTTAGGGATTTTGGCTAGGCCTGAGAATTAACTTGACCTATGACAGATTAACAAGAGAAAAACATACAGATTTTTACATATAGGAGCCCCTATAGAAAATTCAAGACCTAAAGAAGTGCCGAAACCTAAATGCTTGTATAGTAGGGTGAGCAAAGAGTACAACTGCAGAAAAGTAATTACATTAAAGTATGTGTGAAGGCAAAGTAAGATAAGGGTTATTTTAGCAAGGTCTGTTTGTACAGAATTATCCTGGGTATGACCCCCGTCAAAGAATGTTTTTTATTCTCCTGGTACAGGGAGGGCATCTTTCACGTGGGACTTTTATCTCCTGTTTTAAGGAAGAAAAAAAGATTAAGATTCACTTTTTGCATCTGCTATTTTCTTTTTCTTTTTATTATTATTTCAACAGTTTTGGGGGGAACAGGTGGTGTTTGGTTACATGGATAAATTCTTCAGCAGTAATTTCTGAGATTTTGGTGCACCCATCACCCGAGCAGTGTACACTGCACCCAGCGTGTAGCCTTTTATCCCTCATCCTCCTCCCACCCTTCCCCCAAGTCCTCAGAGTCTATTATTTTTATGCCTTTGGGTCCTCATATGCATCTGCTATTTTCAAGTGCCTTTAGCTCCAAATAATCCTTATGCCAAAATGGCATATTTGGGGGCAACACATTCTGCCACCCTTCAGTACCTTTGGCCAAACAGAGGTTTGCTTTCCAGACCTCCTGGGTTCTGTGACTGGCAACTGCACAAGCAGGGCACGCTCACATGCCATCTTCCCACAGTGACCCGTGGGGAAGTGACGAAAGAAGGCTGCTTCTGTCCTAATTGTGTTGCTCTGTTGTACAGTTCCCTAAAATGTCTGCCCCCACCCCACCCCACCCTACCCCATATTTTATGGAATTAGGTGAAGAGCTTTTTCCTCCTTTACTTGCCCATCATCCTCTTCTTCCCTGTAGGCATGAGTTCCTGCTGTTCATGAAACCAATTGGAAAGTAAGGGGCACTACTGCACTGATAATCTTGGCTCCTTGCTCAAAGGCACGGAGAACCACCTCTCCCTAACCTGCAATGTGGGAAATGTCTCACATACTATATGGGAGACTGCAGAGAAGAAAGGGGTCACCAGAACAATAAACCCAAACAGGATATACAATGGAATGTACGCTATGATTACAACTCTGCTAAAATATATCTGCCAGTGGACTAGCCCAGGAAACGAACAAGCAAAAGTGAAAGCAACTGCATGATTCAGCGGTAATAATAGGGATTGAATTTTCTTTTGTGGTTCTCTATTTTCTAATCTTTCTATAATGTAATTATATAGAACTTGTAATGACAGGTATATCTTTTATGTTTCTTGGTATACAAAATGCTCTCCTCTGAACGTTTCTTATTATGTAAGTCATTTAAGTAATCATATTGATTTTGTAGAAAAATTTTAGAGGCTAAAAATACCATCAGTATTCTAAGTGTATTTGATCCAAGCCTCAGCATAAAATCAAATGAATTACTGTCAACACAGAAGGAGACTTACGTCTTTAACTTTGATGTACAAACAGAAGAACATAGAAGCTAACATGGACTTTGGAGTCAGACAGACATGAGTTCAGATCTCAGATTCAGAACTTACTAGTTCTGTGATCTTGGGTAAGGTATTATTATTCATTTGCTTATTTATTTACTTATTTATTTATTTTTAGAGATAGAGTCTTGTGGTGTTATCCAGGCTGGAGTGTAGTGGTATGATCATGGCTCACTGTAACCTTGAACTCCTGGGCCTAGGCAATCTTTCCACCTTAGTCTCCCAAGTAGCTGGACTACAAGTGTGTGCCACCACGCTCTGCTAATTTAGAAAAAAAAATTATAGAGACAGAGTCTCTCTATATTGCCCAGGCTGATCTCAAACTCCTGGCTTCAAGCAGTCCTTCAGCTTTGGCCTCCTAAGGTGCTGGGATCGCAGGCATGAGCCATCGAAACTGGCCCTAAGTATTTATCTTTTAAGTCATAGCCTCCTCAGCTGTAAATTGGAACTAGTAAGATCTAAAATTTATTGAGAGCTTTCCACATATTATGCTTTATTTAAATGTCTTATTTATTTATTTGTTTGTTTATTTATTTTTTGAGACAGATTCTCACTCTATCATCCAGGCTGGAGTGCAGTGGCGCGATCTTGGCTCACTGCAACCTCTGCCTCCCGGGCTCAAGTGATTCCTCTGCCTCAGCCTCCCAAGTAGCTGGGATTACAGGTGTGTGCCACCACACCCAGCTAATTGTTTTGTATTTTTAGTAGACACAGAGTTTCACCATGTTGGCCAGGCTGGTCTTGAACTCCCAACCTCAAGTGATCTGCCCGCCTTGGCCTCCCAAAGTGCTGGAATTTCAGGCGTGAACCACCGTGCCTGGGCAATGTCATATTTATTTATTATTTTTAGTTTTTTAGACAGTATCATGCCCTGTTCCCCAAGCTGCAGTGTAGTGGCCCCATCATGGCTTTCTGTAGCCTCGACCCCCTGGGTTCAATTGATCCTCCCACCTCAGCCCCCAAAGTAGCTGGGACTAGTGGCACGCACCACCATGCCTGACTAATTTTTGGGGTTTGTTTTGTGGAGATGGGGTTTCACCATGTTACCCAGGCTGGTCTCAAACTCTTGGGCTCAAGTGATCCAACTACCTCAACTTCTCAAAATGCTGGGTTTACAGCTGTGAGCCACAGTGGTCGGCCTAAATGTAGTATTAACTTTCAATCTTCATCTTTACCTGAAGACGTAGGTATGAATTTTACCTCTATTTTATAGATGAGAAAACTGAATCTTGAAGAGGTAAAGTAACTTGCTCAAGGTCATCCAGCCAATTAAGGAATAGAGTTGGAATTCAAGGCCAGAGTCAATCCGACCCCTGGACTCAAGCTCTTAACACTGCCTTATCGTACCTTACTGCTATACATAATTCAAAGACTGGTTGGGGGTTAAAAGATATATTTTAAAAACAATTTGCACCATGTCTACTACATACTAAGCACTTAATATATGTTTGTTGTAACTGTATATATCAGAGGAGACATCAATGGGACTGTAAAGGTATTTTGATGTATTAGCTGTTGACTGGTGGGGTCTGTCATATTTGGCTGGCTAGGAAGGAAGCACCTGCTTCCTTCATTGTTTCCCCCTCTACCACATGCCTCTTTCAAGCTGTACAACTGGGCAAAGACAGCCTTCCCTGATTAAAGCAGGGATAAGGGACTTTATCTGCAATTGGCCCAAGAGAACTCTGAAGTAGTAAACAATAACAAGAGGAAATACATTAAAAAATTAAAAGGTCCTGTTCATGGTCAGAGGCATCTTTTCTTTTCTCTTTGTACCTTATGTCAGTTTTAAGTGACCACAGATTTTTTTTAATACAGTGTCGAGGTTATATAATTCATGTTTCTACCCATAGTTCTCCAAGTTAAGATCTTCTCTGCAGCTCCAGGTTAGGGTGGTGAGCCTTAGTTTCACTCTCTGTGCTCCCTTGCAGCCCTTTTAGAGTCACCTGTTTCCAAGATATCATTGCCTCTTTTTTGTCATCAGAACCTGATATCAGCATTTTGTTCTCTTAGTTAATGCAACAAAATTTATACGTTATCAGATGCAGTGACTGGGGTTTTCTATTCACTTCCCATCAGAACTAATCTGAATAAAGTGATTCTTTCATCCAAGTCACCTTTTCATCCAGTAAGCCCATCTCCAGGCATTTATAAATATACCAGAAAAAGAAAAGGTTGTATGCCTGAGTATGTGCCTGGCTTAATTAAATTGGTGTAAAATTGCTAGTGACACGAATGACAGGGGAATGATCGCTGAAATTTCATATGATCTGGCTAGGATGCAGTGCACCCATTAAAAATGATTATATTGAAGACTGTGCTACCACATGAGGAAATGCCTGCATTAGTCAGCTAAAGCTACAAAACAAACAACCTTGAAATCTCAGTCATTAAATAATAAGCTTTTATTTCTCATTCATGCACTTTCAGATCAGCTGGATTTTGGCTAAGCTAGTTAGGACTGGTGGAACTTGGCTCCAGGCCATGAGTTGAGTTCAAGTTGGATTCACATATCTCAGTGGCTGGTGGGCCACCCAGGGTACATTCTTTGTATGGAAACAGCAGAAACCCGAGAGAGTAAACCCAATGCTGAAAGTCCATGTACAGCCTCTGTGCACATCAGAACTACTAACATTCCAAGTCACATGACCAAGGCCACATTACAGGGGTGGAAAATATCTCTACCTCTAATGTTAGTAACTACAAAGGGTATAGATATAGAGAGGTAGGAAATATTGGGAACAATAATGTAGTCTATAGCAATATCTCACAAAACAATTAAATGGAAAAAGCACACATATACGTTATAAAGTTGATGGCACAACTTGATCATAACTGTGTGAAAATATTTTTCCATATCAACAAAGAATAGAAATAAATAAGCAAAAATGAAAAAATGTTACACCCAGATAACAAGATGATTTAAGAACTTTTTTTTTTTTTTTTTGAGACAGAGTTTCACTCTTGTTGCCCAGGCTGAAGTGCAGTGGCGCAATCTCAGCTCACTGCAACCTCCACCTCCCAGGTTCAAGCAATTCTCCTGCCTCAGCCTCCCAAGTAGCTGGGATTACAGGCATGCGCCACCATGCCCAGCTAATTTTGTATTTTTAGTGGAGACAGGGTTTCTCCATGTTGGTCAGGCTGGTCTTGAACTCCTGACCTCAGGTGATTCACCCACCTCAGCCTCCCAAAGTGCTAGGATTACCAGCATGAGCCCCTGCGCCCAGCCTGATTTAAGAACTTTTAATTTTGCCTTTCTCCATTTCCGAAGCTTCCATGATAATATTATATTACCCTTCTTTTTAAAAGTAAGTTTTAGAAGCTTCTCACAGTTTCTAAAGCTTCTCTTTTATCTTAGTTATTTCATTTAGTTAATTGCTTTATCCATCATATTAAGACTTTGTAGAAAACATTGAGAATTCTAAAACAACCAAGTTAGTCCATTATTCTTAGTCCCCACCAGTTCCTAATCTTACATTTGAATCTAATGAACTATCATCATAGATCCTTAATTTGACCTGTTGCCTAAAAACAATTGAGTTGCCTTTATTGTTCCCTTATTCTTCATTATTACAGTGTTAAAGATTATTCTCCACACTGACTTCTTTGAAATCTCTAACATTAGAAATTCATACTATCGAATTGAATCATTGTAGATTCTAGTTTTCTAAAAGCTACAAGTACAATTCAGCAAATATTTACTGAGCACCTGCCCTGTGTGAGGCACTGTACTAGTTGCTCTAGGGGAAATAAGGATGTGTAAGTGACTCATCCTCTTACTCTCAAGGAGCTCACAGTCTTAATAGGAAGAGAAATGTGCACACATTTTTTGAGGACAGAAAGAACAGACTAGGAGAAGGGTTCAATGGTTCTCAACCCTTGTGACATATTAGAATCATTTGGATTTTTTTTAAGAGATAGAGTCTTGCTCTGTAACCCAGGCTGGAGTGCAGTGGAGTAATCATAGGTCACTGTAGCCTCAAACTCCTGGGCTCAAGTGATCCTCCCACCTTGGCCTCTGGAGTAGCTAGGATTAAAAGCATGCACCACCATGCCCAACTAAGTTTTTAAAAAAATTTTTTTTGTAGAGATGGGGTCTTGTTATGTTGCCCAGGCTGGTCTCCAACTCCTGGCTTCAAGTGATTCCCCCAGACCTCAGCCTCTCAAAGTTCTGGTATTACAGGCACCAGCCACTGCACCCTGCCTGGACAACATTTAATAAATACCGATGCCCGAGCCTGTGTTCAGACACACTGAGGTTAATTAGTCTGGTGTCTGGCCTGATCACTGATTTTTTTTAAGTCGCCCAGGAAATTATAATGAGCATCCAGGGTTGAGAATCACTGAGTTAGTTATTCTACTTTCATCCTGATTGAATTGTTTCACTAGACTAAGAACTGACAAAGACTCTCAAATTCAATATTTAAAACAATTCTTTACAAATCAATTCTTTTATTAAAAATTATATGATGCATGCATATATTTTAAAAAGTCAAATGGTACTAAGGCTTATGACTAAAATATAGCAATTCCTTGTCCCACTCATACTCCTTCATACTCTGTTGACTTTGACTGTTTAAATTATTTTTATAGAATTCATACATCTCCCTACATCAGAATGTCAATGCACTGGCATCTTTTGCAAAACCGATTGCTGAACTTCATTTCCTCCTATCCAAAACTACCCTAAAGCCCCCAAGGAAAGGTAAAAAGGAAGAAACACCAGGTAATTAGAGCAGTAGGAAGCAAGGGAGAGGTTTTTCTTTTCAACCCGTGCCTAGGTACAGACTAGCCCTTCTAATGGGCCTAAGCAATTCAGAAAGGCAGCTAAGAGAGCTTCTCGAAACCCTGCCTGCTCTTCCACCTCTTGGAAGGCTGAGGGGCTTTATCTAAAATCATAACCAAAATTTCCACATGTCTCCTGGATTCAAGCCTCCCCAGAGTCAATCAAGTTATCCTAAACTTTTCTAGAAGTTAAAAACAGTTTGGAAATATGAATACTTCCAAAGCAATTTAAAAATCCTTGCAAAAGCAAGAGTAATTTGAAGAGTACAGAATTGGCTCAGCCATTTGGGGAACTGACTAGAAAAGGGGAACTTTGATTTCATTTCTAATATGTATCATATACATTGGAAAGTTTCACTTAGGGAGATAATAAAAGTTTAATTGAGGTAGTAGGCATTTGAAAAAGGATGTGATTGCCAAGTAAGGATTTCAAAGGTGGAGGGGACAGAAAAGGGTTTAAAGACTGAGAAAATGGCACAGGCACAGACCAGGAGTCGGGGATGTGTGTGGGTGGTGTTGGTGGTAAAGTTGCCACCAAGGATCCCCATAAACTCTGAGAGTTGGATTTAAAAATTAGCACCAAGTCATAATGGAAGAAATCAGAGATGTGCAAAGGCCCCTTGTAGGAAGACTACTTTCCAGGCCAGCGGCAGAGTATAAGGCATTTCTAGCCTACATGAATGTATTCACATACATAGAGGATAAATGTAGGCAAAATTTGTATATGTTGGGGGCAGTAAGGAGAGGGTTGGTGGTGAACCTGGAAATTTTAGAAACCAAGACAGAGAAAAAAAAATTCATCTGAGGGCAAAGAATAATGAAAAACTAGTCATCCTTAGCATTCTAAATTTGCTTTAGCTTGTAAACTGTAAACTAATTTGTCTAGTCCTTGTGATAGAAATATCTTTATTTTAGAAATTATTGCAATCTTATTTTATATTAAGTTGGTGCAAAAGTAATTGTGGCTTTTGCACTTTTGCACCAACCTAATAGATATTGCAATAGTCTAATATAATCTGAAGATTTTTAAGATTTGAATCAAATTACCAGCTTCCCTTACTGTAAGGCTATGTTCATATAATTTGGCTTCCTATATTACTGTTGAGGGCACTGATTAGCAAAAGCATTTGACCCACTTATGACTATGGTCCTCACTATAAATTAACAGAGTAACATTTTGATGTATGCATTGGTCCTTTGTGAGCTTGATTAGCATAAAGCATCCCCAAGAGACTGATCTAGACTTGGTACAAAAAGGCAATCAAGTTCTGGACCTGGAAAGCTTGAGACCCATAGCCAGTATGAGGTGCCAGTCAATTGGCTACTTTTGAGACCTATGCAGTCAAAGTAACCAGCCTGGAGGGCACCATACCACCACCCAAAAATTATGCCAGGTGGGCTGGGGTGCATGAGAAACATGGGGAGATGGAGATACAATAAAGGATGTGGTTGGGAGAGCAAGTCAGGGCATATTAATGAAAGCCTTGAAAATTGGTTAGGTTTGAAGGCTGTGGGGACTCATTGAAGATATGTTAGCAAGGTATTACATAAAATCAGTTCTCTATTTGAGGAAAAATTCTCTGATGGATGACAGCTGGATTGAGTGGGAAAGCTGGAGACAGGGGACTAATGAAGTCTATTGTAATTGTATAGGTAGGAGGTGAAGGAAATTGTGAAAAGGCCAGTGGCATTGAAATAGAGTGGAAGGCTCAGCTCCAAGAGACATTTCTGTGGCTCCAGGCCATACTGATGTGCCTTGATTTCCTCACTTGTAATATTAAAATGGAGTCACTGCTACCTGTCTAGGAGAAAGGACTCTGCTCTTCCTGTCTTCCTCTATTATTTGTAATAATTTTCAGTAGGCTGCCCTCTTTTCATAAAGCAGGTAGAGGTGTTTAATGGCTCTTGAAGCAAAGCAGAGCTTATGAAATTCCTCTGACTGGTCACATTCTGGACTAAGCCCAAACACGACAGTCCTCTCCAGGCCTGAAAATTGCTGAATACTGTCTAAAACAATGTGACTTCCCCAAACACCGGTGGCCGGGCTAAACACAACCTCTGATGGTCTGTGGGTCTCAATTAATTCCATTGCTTTGAGTAGTGCAAGCCTATAGCGTCCTCTGTCCTCCCCTCTCCTGCACAGAATTGCTATATCTTTGGGCAGATAGCCACACTGGAACAGGCTGTGACATTTTCTTGCCACATAGTTAGCTATTTGTTCTGTTGTCAGATTAGTCTTTGTCTCACACACCCCAGGCAGAGCCTGGGCACACGTTGCTTCCTCATAGGCAGTCTCGCTGAACAATGCTAATGTGTCTGGAGACATGTTGGAGGGAGGATTTTCTTTGATCCTCTTCATTTCTTCTTTCATAACCTTCGCTATTTCCAGAGCACAGTGGATCCCACTGGTGATTGTTTTTCGAGGAAACTGAGCAGATGGAGGGGGAAGGCCATTGACATCTGCGTGATGGATTTGAAAAGGGTCAAGAAAAAGCCAGAGAATCCCATGGTGAAGGTTTTCACTTCCAGTCCCCTTCGCCTTTGGATGGGTGATGTTCTTAGCCTTCATGTACCAATTGCCATATTTGCTGCAGAAATTCTCAGTCTCATCCATCACTATGTGTTTAATCTTTAGAAACTCCCCTTGCATGAAAGTTTTCCTGGTCACAGCTTGGCAGGTGGTTTGTTGGCTGTAAGGACGGAAAAAACAGGGCTTGAGGCATATCAACAAAGAGAACACCAGCAGTCATTACTCTCTGGAATGGAATCAGAGGCTGATTCTCATCTGCAGGCTGAGTCATTGATTCAGTAGTGTGAATACCACAAAACTGTTCTAATTACAAGTTACCTGACAGACAGAATGCATAATTTTACACCTTGCTCTTTGGGGTTATCCAGTTAAACCTGCATGTGAAACTTCTGAAATGAACCCAGGTAACAGATTGTATTATGTCTATTAGTAATCCATTCCTACTGTTTGGCAATCCTGAAGACAAGTTCATTACATCTAAAGGAAATCTCAAAGTTAACTTACACTTCTTACTACCATTTCTTTACTTTCTATCCTCTTTAGAGCTGGAAAACAGTTTCCTCGATGCATATCATAATTTTTATGTGCAAAAAAAGCACGGACTAGTTCAAATTCCTCTAAAGCTTCTTTAGATTTTGGTAAGAGAAACATCAAGAGGATGCTGAGTTCCACGACACATCAAGTAGGGTACCAAATCTATGGGGCTATGCCTCTTTGGAGCTACCTCATTTACTTAGCTCAATTTTCCTTTATAGTACGCTTTAGCATATATGTATTTTTTCTGAACGAATTTGGTTGTTTTTTGCCTCCTTTAATTTGGATCCAAGTAACATCACTCATCCCTACAGATTCCATGATTTTACATATGCAGTTCCTAGGGCCTTTACTCCCTATGCCTTGAATCATAACTATGTTCTTCTCTTCTGGTTTGGACTGTGTGGACTCAAATAAAAGTACTGATTCTTAGCCATCTTTGTATCCCTCTCACATTAAGGGTTTCATAGATATTTGTTGAGTTAGCCTTTTGACTGGAGTATTTTCAAACTTAGCTATGAAACTTAATAAAGAACGTAGTCCTCAGCACAGTCTACAGGATCCCTGATAATCTGGCGTCTACCTCCTTTTCAACATCACCACCTGCTGTATACCCACAGTCTGCACAGCTCTAGTCAGACCTACCATTCTGGTTCTCTGGTGTCTCCATGTCTTTGAACTTGCTGTGCCCTTTGCCTGGAAAGCCCTCCCCTATTTGATTCACTTCTCCTGCTGACTTCTTAACAGTGTGCCCAATGGTCTCCTTCACTGGGGAATATTTACCAACCAACCTCTAGCCTGTTAAAATGGGCATGAGGCCAGGTGCAGTGGCTCACGCCTGTAATCCCAGCACTTTGCGAGAAGGAGGTGGGCGGATCACCTGAGGTCAGGAGTTCAAGACCAGCCTGGCCAACATGGTGAAACCCCGTCTCTACTAAAAATACAAAAATTAGCTAGGCGTGGTGATGCACACTTGTAATCCCAGCTACTCGGGAGGCTGAGGCAAGAGAATCACTTGAACCCAGGAGACAGAGTTTGCAGTGAGCTGAGATCGTGCCACTGCACTCCAGCCTGGTTGACACAGCAAGACTCCGTCTCAAAAATAAATTAATTAATTAGTTAATTAAAATGAGCATGTCTTTATTATTATACAATACTCACATTGTTTTTTTTATGGCAAGGTCTTCAATATGTTTTCTCCTCTAACACTAAATGTAGCACAGTAGATACCACATCAACAGTGCTCAAAAAGATTTATTGAATAACAAAACCAAGCCAAAAATCATAATGATTTTGCCCTCTTTTGCTGAATTCTATAATGACCAATTCATTTTACTAAATTAAAAGTTAGAGATTTAAATCAGAAGTGAATTTGCATATTTTCTAAAATTACTGATGCAGAACAAGTCAAAAATGAAAATATTTTATGAACAAAATCAAACTGTATTTAAATTCAAGTTTCACTAGGTACAATGTCTAATTAGCAGAAATACCCTATGACTTTAAAACATTACATATCAAACAGAAAGTATACTTAAAGCAGAATGGGTTCATTTCTACTTCTCTTAAATGTAAGGCCATGGATTGTGAGAAAAAAAAAAGTTTCTGGTTCTGTAAATGTAAGTTATGCACATGTGGGTTATTTATAATGAGATGTTTAAGGTTGAACATTATAAATTACCTGTTTACAGCTCAATTCCATGATTATTTGGAAATGTGTATATAGTTTGGGCTCTTGCACTTATGCAACTAAGGCACTGCAAAAACTTAAACTAAAAACACAAATCACTTTTGTGACACTCTTGAAAAGACTGACTAAATATATTTTTGTGTGTGTGTGCAACCAACTCCCAGCACATCAGGTGGGTAACTCTTCCCACACGAATAGTCTGCCTACCCTCAGGAATATTTTTTGTCTGTGGTACCTCAGCCTATCGTTGTTTGAATGGCTCTTCAGAATCTATATGCTTCCTCTCATTCTTAGCGCCCCCTATGACCATCTACACTGAACAAGATTTATACAATCATGTCGTACCTAAGCCCCGCAACAAAAGGGTACCCATTCTTCCTTTTGTTATCGGAGCAGGAGTGCTAGGTGGAGTAGGTACTGGCACTGGCGGTATCACAACCTCTATTCAGTTCTACTACAAACTATCTCAAGAACTAAATGGTGACATGGAACGGGTCTCTGACTCCCTGGTCACCTTGCAAGATCAACTTAACTCCCTAGCAGCAGTAGTCGTTCAAAATAGAAGAGCTTTAGACTTGCTAGCCGCCGAAAGAGGGGGAACCTGTTTATTTTTAGGGGAAGAATGCTGTTATTATGTTAATCAATCCGGAATCGTCACCAAAAAGTTAAAGAAATTCGAGATCGAATACAACGTAGAGCAGAGGAGCTTCAAAACACTGGCCCCTGGGGCCTCCTCAGCCAATGGATGCCCCGGATTCTCCCCTTCTTAGGACCTCTAGCAGCTATAATATTGTTACTCCTCTTTGGACCCTGTATCTTTAACCTCCTTGTTAATTGGACCCTGTATCTTTAACCTCCTTGTTAAGTTTGTCTCTTCCAGAATCGAAGCTGCAAAGCTACAAATGGTTCTTCAAATGGAGCCCCAGATGCAATCCATGAGTAAAATCTACCACGGACCCCTGGACCGGCCTGCTAGCCCATGCTCCAATGTTAATGACATCAAAGGCACCCCTCCCGAGGAAATCTCAACTGCAGAACCCCTACTACGCCCCAATTCAGCAGGAAGCAGTTAGAGCGGTGGTCGGCCAACTTCCCCAATAGCACTTGGGTTTTCCTGTTGAGGGGGGCACTGAGAGACAGGACTAGCTGGATTTCCTAGGCTGACTAAAAATCCCTAAGCCTAGCTGGGAAGGTGACCACTTCCACCTTTAAACATGGGGCTTGCAACTTAGCTCACACCCGACCAATCAGATAAGAAAGAGAGCTCACTAAAATGCTAATTAGGCAAAAACAAGAGGTAAAGAAATAGCCAATCATCTATTGCCTGAGAGCACAGCAGGAGGGACAATGATCGGGATATAAACCCAGGCATTCAAGCTGGCAACGGCTACCCTCTTTGGGTCCCCTCCCTTTGTATGGGAGCTCTGTTTTCACTCTATTAAATCTTGCAACTGCAAAAAGAATATATATATATGTGTATATATATACACATATATATACATATATATATACACATATATATACACATATATATACACATATATATATACACATACATATTTTTGTGTGTGTGTAGTTGGTAAAACTCTTACGTCACAAAATCCTTTAGGGAGTCGCTTTCACAAACATAGAGGATCTCTTTTGGTTTGCAGTGAAACAAGTCCTTAATTTTCTCCATGATCTTTATGGCTAGGGCTGTCTTCCTGACTCCTGGAAAGCAGTAGATGAATAATTCACGTGTCTTCTGAAGACTCTCAGAAAGCAACTGGCTCTGCTCCATTATGAGCAAGTTGAAAAATTCACAGCCCATCTGGTCACTCAGAAGAGATCTGGAGGACAGGGAGACCACCACCAGAGCCTGCAGCAAGTCTTCCATTTCCTCCTCATCAGCAAGCCTGTAGGACCTGGGGTAACGCAGGGGGATCTCACCAGGTCTACTCTGTGTGCTGCTCAGGTGTATCAGCCTTGGAATGATGCACACTTTCCCTGTGTAACCACCAACAGTTTGCAGTTTCTGCTTTAACTGATGAGCTGTGTTTCGGGCATATTCAAGTCCTCCAGGCCAATTGGGGTCTATTAAGATTGTATAGAGTACCACGGGGCTGTTAACTGCTATCAGGAGAGCATCACACAGGACATTCTGTTCTTTCCTGAAGCCAACATCACCAGCCCAGCTTCTAGAAAATATCACAATCCCCTGAGAACAAGGATGTATCAGGGTCTTCATTAAACCCTCCAGTTCTTTATGATCTGAGAACAGCTTCTTACAGAGGGATTCTGGTTTAAATTGTACCTCTTCCTGTGTCACTGAAAATTCAAGGAATAGATGTTACCAAAACTTACAAAAGCATGTGGTAAGTATTCCTGCAACGTTGCAGAAAAAAATGATACCTGGTGCATTTGGGAAAATAAGAGCTTTCCTTTAGAATTGTGATTCTTAATCAGGAGCAGTTTTACTCCCCAACTCTCCCCCATCCCCACGGACATTTGGCAATGTCTGGAAAATTTTTTCTTTTTTTGTGAGACGGAGTCTCGCTGTCACCCAGACTGGAGTGCAGTGGTGTGATCTTGGCTCACTGCAGCCTCTGCCTCCCTGGTTCCAGTGATTCTTCTGCCTCAGCCTCTGGAGTAGCTGAGATTACAGTCACATGCCACCACACCTGGCTAATTTTTGTATTTTTAGTAGAGACAGCGTTTCACCATGTTGGCTAGGCTGGTCTCAAACTCCTGACCTCAGTTGAGGTCACCCGCCTTGGCCTCCCAAAGTGCTGGGATTACAGGCATGAGCCACCATGCCCGGCCTGAGAATTTTTTATTGTCACAATTGGAGGGGAGCTACTGGTATGTAGTAGGTACCAGATAGGAATGCTGCTAAGTATTCTACAATTCACAGGGCTCTCCCTCCCCCAGCAAAGAGTTATCTGACTCAAATGACAATAGTGCTAAGGTTGAGAAACCCTGCTTTAGAAGAAGTTCAGATAACCCAATGGCTCCTTCTGCATTGGAAAGCTAGGGGCAGTTTTTTGATGGTTGAGACCTGAGAAATTCCCTGCACTCTCAAATTTGGAAAACAAAAGCCATATGTTATGAGAAGTTGGAAGGCACACAGAAATAGTAATAGTGGGAATCAGATGACTGGAAACAAGGGTCAGATATATAGATATATAAATATTATATATAATTATATATAATAATTATATAATAAATTAATAATAAATATTAATAATTATTTTAAATAAGTATATATATGACCCTTGTTTTCAGTCATATATATATTATATATATAATATATATATTTCAAATTTCAGGATCATTATGTCGCTAAGTCCTTCATTTGACCTTCCCTAAGGAGAAACACCTGAACTCATTACTACTAACACCTCCCAACTCAATTTTAGAAAACAAATAGTCCCCTAAGTTGAAATCAAGAGGGAATACCTGGAAACAAATGTCGTTGCAGAGCCTCCTTAAATTTGTGGACTTTTATGGGATATCCGGGACTTTTTCGTGCAGATGAAGCTGATGAAATCAGGCAAGAGTTGTAGTCTGTGACCAAACTGGGAGGAGCTAGACAATTACATGGAAAGTTGTTTCAGACAAAAAATAAAAAGTTAAAAAAAAAAAAAAAAAAGCCTCTTTTTTTGGCTCTTCTTACTGGAGACCTGTGATGTGCATGGGTGCCTGAGCAGTCGTACTTACTATGCGTCAGACAGCTCACGTATGTCAGGAAAGGAAGTCTGGGGATTCCTACAGGGGACATATCACACATATTCTAAGTCACTGTGTGACTCGGCTTGAGCAAGTCATTTCACCTCTCTCTCACGCTGGAGTGAAGTAATAATCCCTAAGCTTCCTTTCAATTATAATATTCTGACTCCAGGTTATCTCTAAGAAGAAAAGGCATCTAGTGGGGATCAGCAAGGATTAAAGCACAGTATTTTAAAAATGGTGTTGGCCAGATGTGATGGCTCACACCTGTAATCCCAGCACTTTGGGAGGCCGAGGCAGGCGGATCACGAGGTCAGGAGATCAAGACCATCCTGGCTAACACGGTGAAACCCCGTCTCTACTAAAAACAAAAAAAATTAGCCAGGCATGGTGGCCGGCGCCTGTAGTCCCACCTATTCGGGAGGCTGAGGCAGGAGAATGGGGTGAACCCAGGAGACGGAGCTTGCAGTGAGCCGAGATAGCGCCACTGCACTCCAGCCTGGGTGACAGAGCGAGACTCCGTCTCAAAAAAAAAAAAAAATACAAAAAAATACAAAAATTAGCTGGGCGTGGTGGTGTGCCTGTAATCCCAGCTGCTCGGGAGGCTGAGGTGGGAGAATTGCTTGAACCTGGGAGGCGGAGGCTGCAGTGAGCTGAGATCGTGCCGCTGCACTCCAGCCTAGGCGACAAAGCAAGACCCTGTCTCAAAAAAAAAAAAAAATGTTGTTACAGTTGTTTATGTCCCCATCTAAGGTTAGATGGAATCAAAAGTGGCAGGATCTTTAGGGGAGAGGAGAAGAGAAGTGAACTCAAACAAATTAAGAGAAAGAATGACCCAATAAAATTCTCCAATCACTCAAGTTTTGATGAAATCTGGAACATACTGGCCGTGAAGGCAAGCAGATAGGCGTAGTTCGGCCTATAGTCCTTTATGGATTGATTAGGAATCACCAAGGCTGATTCCAATCAAAACTGAAAGGTAAGTGAGAACACCAGGGGTCCTGCTCCCCCCAGCACCCCCTTGCCCTAGCATCTCCTTTTGCATCATTTTCCCCCACTTGGTGGTGCCCTAAGCCCAGTGGCTTAAGGTTATTAGCTCCTAATGTTACTGAAACAATTCAAATTTGTCAACAATGTTTTGCTTGAAAGAATTAGTGGAGTAGTGGAGTCATTTATTTTTATTTTTTTATTTTTATTTATTTATTTTTTTGAGACGGGGTCTCGCTCTGTTGCTTAGGCTGGAGTGCAGTGGAGTGATCTTGGCTGACTACAACCTCCACCTCCCAGGCTCAAGCAATCCTCCCACCTCAGCCTCCCATGTAGCTGGGACTACAGGCATACACCACCACGCCTGGCTAATTTTTATATTTGGGGGAGAGATAGGGCTTCGCTATTTTGGCCAGGCTGGTCTCAAACTCCTGGGCTTAGGCAATCTGCCCACCTTGGCCTCCCAAAGTGCTAGGACTGCGCCCAGCCTCAGAGTTATTCTTAAACAGTGTTTCTCTAGAATATCATCTCTAAAATGAGGCTATTCCAATTTTGACTGGGATGATCAGCCTGCACAATTTTTTCAACAGGTTTATAGACAATAAAAGGAGACCTTTCCTAACTCATTGCTGATGGCATACTGTAACTTTCCTTTAAAAGTTGCTTAGGCTGGCCAGGAGTGGTGGCTCACACCTGTAATCCCAGCAGTTTGGGAGGTGGAGGTGAGTTGATCACTTGAGGTTAGAAGTTCAAGACCAGCCTGGGCAACATGGCAAAACCCCATCTCTATTAAAAATACAAAAATTAGCCGACATGGTGGTGTGTGCCTGTAATCCCAGCTACTTGGGAGGCTGAAGCACGAGAATCACTTGCACCTGGGAGGTGGAGTTTGCAGTGAGCCGAGGTCACACCACTGCACTCCAGCCTGGGTGACAGAGTCTAAAGAAAAAAAAGTTGTTTAGGCCATAGAATCCAAACATTTCTTGACCTCAGTTTATATTCTGAGTCTTTGGAACTAAAAATGTTAGATAAGGAACACTGTAATGGGAGAACACTTATAAGAAAAATAAATTTCTATTTTTTAACTAACATATGTGATCAAATACCCACAAAAGGCAGAGAAAGGGGTTCCTCCCTGCTGATGGGGACAATGACTTCACTTCCCTTTACCTGACTGAGTATCCAGCATCATGACCACCCACTGCTCAGCTGTCAGCCGTGTGACAGAATTGTCTTTCATGATCCAGGAATCTGGGGCCTCTGCAAACACCACGCAACAGAAGGGCTCCACTTGAATCACACAGACATAACCATCCAGGACATCTTTTTGGTACACATTCAGGATTTTTGTAGTGAAATTTACCTTTGGCTTCTCACAGCAGAAGTGGAATGTAGGCAATTTTTCTATGCAGTTTTCGATTTCTTTTTTTAGTAAGTCAGGATTCACTTTTTCCCACTTACATCCAACCACTTCTTTGCTCTTATCATCCACCCCAATGAGGACATATCCCCCTTGAGTGTTGGCAAATGCAGAAACATAATGAGGCAGCATTTCCTTAATCCGAGGTATGACTTTTTTGGTGGTGAACCTTTTAAATTCAACATGTGTTGACTCAGTAAAGTTGAGTTTCTCCTTATACATGAGTTTGTCCTTTTTAAAAAATTCTGAGGCCAATATCCTCATATCTTCCTCTTCCTGAATGCATCTATTGAGAACCTGCTGAGGATGCAACTTCTTCACCCTTGGTCTTCCTCTTTGGGCTCTAAACCCCTTCTCTCTGAGAAGCTCCAGGGCACTGCTAGCACTCAAGTTGATAGCAGAAGTCACATCTCTCCGATACAAATTGGAGCGCAAGCTGCAAATCCTTAGTGGAAGGCTGAAAACATCTGGGCTCCATGACTTCACAAAAATCAGGAGATTGTGCCCCTGCTGCATGTAGTCAAGGTATTTCTGTGAACCTGAAGGAAGGAGCTTTTGAAAAGAAGTTTCCAAATCCTGTCCCAGCCCATGGCATTGGTAACTATAGGTTTTATCATCAATCTCTGCTTTGATCACACCACCTCCAGAATTTAACAGTGCACATATAGCCCGGATAATTCTAGAATTCTCAGATCTTTTCAAACAGCTGTTGGTCATCTTCTTCCTGTTTTCTTCTCCAAAAATCACTCTGCCCACATCTACTATTACCTCAGGATACGGCATTTCAGTATCAGTCTTGAGACTCTCCATTTCAGCAGCCCCTCTGTGCTCCAAACAATAAAAGAAAGGAGTTCCTATAATCAGGACAGAAATATTGTTTCTATATTAATAAGAATTCCAAAGATTACAATATTTTCTTCAAAACTATCAATTACTGGAGATATATTTTAATGTTGGAAGTCATCTCTCTCTATATGTATATTTGTTGTTGTTGTTTGTTTTGGGTTTTTTAGTTTTGTTTGTTTGTTTTTGAGATAGAATCTTGCTCTGTTATGCAGGTTGGAGTGCAGTGGCACAATAATAGTTCTCTGCAACCTCAACCTCCCAGTTCAAGTGATTCTCCAACTTCAGTCTCCCTAGTAGATGAGACTACAGACACGTGCCACCAAGCCTGGCTAATTTTTTTTTTCTTTTTTGTTCTTGCTATTTTTTTTTTTTAAGAGATGGAGTCTTGCTACGTTGCAATCCTCCTGCCTGGGCCTCCCTCCCAAAGTGCTGGGATTACAGATGTGAGCCACCGCACCCAACTGGAAATTATCTTTGATACTGCTGTTTTCTAATCACTTTGCCAAATATCCTTAGCCTTGCCAGAATAAGTAGGCATGGATAAAGGTGAATGCCTAATATTTGTCATAATGGAAAAATTAAATTGCTAACATTTTCAGCCATTTTGCATTTCAAATCAGGAAACGCCAACACTGAGCCCAGATATAAAGGGCATGGGTTGGCACAGGAGCCCAGGAAGGTATTGGAGAATATGCAGAAATAGAAGTTGAAGTGAGAAGATGCTCTTATTTATAATTCAAAAGGGGAAGAAAGGAAGGCACTAGAGAACTAAGGAAGTATAATTTTACAGTATATGTACTGTAGAAGATCTTGCTATAAACACAAACATAGGCTGGGTGTGGTAGCTCACATGTGTAATCTCAGCACTTTGGGAGGTGGATGTGAGAGGATTGCTTTCGATCAGGAGTTGAGACCAGCGTGGACAACATAGCAAGACCCCATCTCGACAAAAGATAAAAAAAAAAAAAATGTTAAACATTAGGCAGGTATGGTGGTGCGCACCTGCAGTCCCAGCTACCTAGGAGGCTGAGGTGGGAGGATCTCTTGAGCCCAGGAGTTTGAGGCTGCAGTGAACCATGATCGCACCACTGCACTCCAGCCTGGGCAGCAGAGTGGGAACCTGTCTAAAAAAATAAAAATAAAAGTAAATAAATAAAATTCTATATTTTTATGTATTATTTCATACACTTTGAAAAGCTTTATTTTACTCCTGAAAGAATGTCAGTTGATACCAAATGCAGAAACCTTTTCAACTCTTCACATGTTCTAAATCTCAAAAGTACATTGCCTCATATACAGTGTGATGTGACAGCAGCATTTTCCTTCCCTTCTAATAGTTCTGCCCTGTGCTGTGGAAACCCCTAAGACTTGGAAAAGAACATGAGCTTTTGGGGCATGGTAACTAAACCATTGTCACCCTTCTTTTGCTTCCTAGACCAGAAAACAGCCACCTAAACTGAAATTTGAGCTCTGAAACAAATATTTCAGAAAAGATCTGCTTACCTTTAGTCAATTGCAAAACAAAATATTTGCTAACTCAACCAAAATTCTTCCTCTAGGAGAAGAGAACCCATCTTTCTGTGTGATCTTTGCAAAGCAGGGGCCCTGTGGGCATTGTATATACTCACCAAGAGGAAGAAAGCAGGCATCCGGCAAGACATGTGCACTCCCCTGATATCAATTTGTTCTTGGTTGCCTTCTCACTTCCTTCAGGAAAACCAGAATCAACCTGGGGAATTCTTTTTAGAATGTGAGCCTCTTCTATAGGTACATGTAAATGTAGTATTTTATGGCTCCTTAGGGAAATTTCCCATAACATTCTATTTATATCATAGAATCACAGAAGTGTTGGAAAGGACTTTAAAGATCCTCCAGTCCAACAATCTATAGGATTCTAAAATCTCCTCTATAATATTGCCAACTCCCAACAAGTTGCAAACCTCCAGCAATGAGCAACTCACTACCTATCAAATAGTCCCTCTAGTCCCTTCTAATTTCTGACGTCTGTGTTAGAAATGGTCTCCTTACTTTAAGCTGCAATTTGTCTCCCCATAACTTCCACTGATGGGACCCACAAAACAAATCTAATTGATTTTGAATAGCAAACCCTATGGTCTCGTGACTCGTAAGTCTCATCAATGTTATTTGAATGCTGATAACAATTATGATAAATACAACATTTACTGAGATTCTAGCTCGAGATGAATATCCTTTCCACATTTCCCAGGACTTTTTTTTCTTTTTTTGAGACAGAGTTTTGCTCTGTGCCCAGGCTGGAGTGCAGTGGCACGATCTCTTGGCTCATGGCAACCTCCGTCCCCCAGGTTCAAGTGACTCTCCTGCCTCAGCCTCCAGAGTAGCTGGGACTGCAGGCAAGAGCCACCACTCTCGATACATTTTTGTATTTTTAGTAGAGATGGGGTTTCACCATGTTGGCCAGGCTGGTCTCGAACTGTTGACCTCAGGTGATCCACCTACCTGAGCCTCCCAAAGTGCTGGGATTATAGGGACGGGCCACCACGCCAGGCCTTCCCAGAATTTTTTATTCATTTTCCTTTACAAATTTTCCCTAAATACTATTTTACTAATCCCTCATGCCCTCAGATGTAGACTGCACCTAAAATTAGATAAATGAGATATTTTTAAGAATTTTTTTTTTTTTTTTTACCTATGCTCCTGTGTTTCCTCTTGCTGCTTCAGTTTCACATCTGGCTGTAGTCTGAATGTTTGCTTCTGTCACAGCCCCTTTTGCCCTTTGATATTAGCCTGGGAGGAGCAGACTTCCCACTTCTTCATAACACTGACATACTGAGGAAGGCCGATAAGGACTCATGAAGAGCCTGTGACAGGGCAGATTAGCAGGCCAGGGTCTGACCTCAGGGAGTGAATGAGGTCGTAATGAGAAAATGCAGGGGTGAATGGAAAAAGTTAAACTTAGCACTTCTAAGAGACTGAGCTTCATTTCCACATATCATACATGTACCTTCAGCGCTGGAAAATTGTGTGTGCAAAGCTCTGTTTTTATTTTAAATTAGGCTTCCTGTACATATTCATTGTGGGCAATATTAACCTATTTCATTACCTCCTAAATGGCTTGTTCTTTTCTATTTATTTTTATTCTTTTTCCTACTTTTCATCTTTGTTAAACACAAGACCCAGCCTAGAAAAATCCTCATAGATTAGGAGCTGGCAATCCCTGGGTAGGAGGATTAAAGGTAATTTTTTAATTAATTTATTTTTCTTCCCTTTATTATCTTTAACTGATCTGTATTTTTAATGGTTTACAATGAGTATAAATTGTTTTTCATAATTAAAAAACAAATGGTAAAAACCAACAGATGGGCTGGGTGTGGTGGCTCATGCCTATAATCCCAGCACTTTGGGAGGCCTAGGTGGGTGGATCATCTGAGGTCAGGAGTTCGAGACCAGCCTGACCAATATGGTGAAACCCTGTCTCTACTAAAAATACAAAAATTAGCCTGGTGTGGTGGTGTGTGCCTGTAATCCCAACTACTGGGGAGGCTGAGACAGGAGAATTGCTTGAACCTGGGAGGCAGAGGTTGCAGTAAGCCGAGATCATGCCATTCCATTCTAGCCTGGGCAACAGAGGGAGACTCCATCTCAAAAAAAAAAAAAAAAAAAAAAAAAAAAAAAGAAAGAAAGAAAGAAAGAAAGAAAAAGAAAACCCAACAGATGCTGGGGGCAGTGGCTCATGCCTGTAATCCCAGCATTTTGGGAGGCTGAGGCAGGCAGATCACCTGAGGTCAGGAGTTCAAGACCAGCCTGGCCAACATGGTGAAAACCCCGTCTCTACTAGAAATACAAAAATTAGCTGGGCATGGTGGTGGACACCTGTCATCCCAGCTCCTGGGGAGGCTGGGACAGGAGAATTGCTTGAACCTGGGAGGCAAAGGTTGCAGTGAGCCGAGATCATGCCACTGCATTCCAGCCTGGGTGACAAAGTGAGACTCCATCTCAAAAAAAAAAAAAAAAACAGATACCGGGCGCAGTGGCTCATGCCTGTAATCCCAGCATTTTGGGAGGCCGAGGCCGGTGGATCACGGGGTCAGGAGTTCAAGACTAGCCTGGCCAACATGGTGAAACCCCGTCTCTACTAAAAATACAAAAATTAGCCAGGCATGATGGCAGACACCTGTAATACCAGCTACTCAGGTGGCTGAGGTAGGAGAATCACTTGAATCTGGGAGGTGGAGGTTGCAGTGAGCCGAGATTGCGCCACTGCACTCCAGCCTCCAGCCTGGGAGACAAAGCGAGACTCCATCTCAAAAAAAGAAAAAACAACCAACAGATGGGAGGCAGTGAGTTATCTTATTTGAGGATGGTGGCTAAACTGGGTCAAGCTTTGATACACACAAAAGGGGAGGAGGCAATGTGATCACAGAAGCAGAGATGGAGTGATGCAGCTATAAGCAAAGGAATGCCAGCAGCTACCAGAAGCTGGAAGAGTCTCCCCTGGAGCTTCTGGAGACAGCAGGTCCATGGCAACACTTTTTTTTTTTTTTTTTTTGACAGAGTCTTGCTCTGTTGCTTAGGCTGGAGTGCAGTGGTGCGATCTCGGCTTACTGCAACCTCTGCCTCCCAGGTTCAAGCAATTCTCCCACCTCAGCCTCCAGCATAGCTAGGATTACAGGTGCGCACCACCATGCCTGGCTAATTTACATATTTTTAATAGAGGTGGGGTTTCGCCATGTTGGCCAGGATGGTCTCGAACCCCTGACCTCATGTGATCTGCCTGCCTCAGTCTCCCAAAGTGCTGGGATTACAGGCGTGAGCCACCGTGCCCAGCCCATGCCAACACTTTGACTTCAACTCAGTGAAACTGATGTTGAACTTCTAGCTGTAAAAAAAATAAAAAATTTAAAAAAAAAACGCAAAAACAAAAATAACCAAATGAATGGAGCTGGAGGCCATTATCCTTAGCAAACTAATACAGGAACAGAAAACTAAATACTGCATGTTCTCACTTATAAGTGGAAGCTCAATGATGAGAACACATGGACACAAAGAGGGGAACAACAGACACTGGGACCCACCTGAGGTGGGAGGAGGGAGAGGAGCAGAAGAAATAACTATTGTGTAGCAGGCTTAATACCTGGGTAATGAAATGATCTATACAACAAACCCCCGTGACATGAGTTTACCCATATAATAAACCTGCACATGTACTTCTGAACCTAAAATAAGTTTTCATAAAAGAATATGTTTCTGGGCCGGGTGCAGTGACTCACGCCTGTAATCCCAGCAGTTTGGGAGGCCGAGGGGGGCGGATCACGAGGTCAGGAGATCGAGACCATGCTGGCTAACGCAGTGAAACCCTGTCTCTACTAAAAATACAAAAAATTAGCCAGGCGTAGTGGCGGGCGCCTGTAGTCCCAGCTACTCGGGAGTCTGAGGCAGGAGAATGGCGTAAACCCGGGAGGCAGAGCTTGCAGTGAGCCGAGCCGAGATTGCACTACTGCACTCCAGCCTGGGTGACAGAGTGAGACTCCATCTCAAAAAAAAAAAAAAAAAAGTTTCTGTTGTTTTAAGCCACCAAATTTGTGGTGATTTGTTGCAGCAGCCACAGAATACTAATACACCTCTCTCCCTCTAAATCAAACCAGCAAAGTACTCTGTATCTCTACTTCAATTCGTTTATGATGAAACGACATTCTTAAATAAGTCTCTGGACATCCCTATTTTTGTCGTTGTTGTTAGCTGACGCCACTGCCCAACGAAGTTCTGCTCTGCTGGCATCACTCTTTGTACATGTTTGGCTTAAAAGGAGTTTCCAGGAAAGGAGGCAGAATGGGTACTATGATATATAATTCACACAGCAACATAATAAGCTCCAAAGGCCTGCTCTCAGCTTTAACTCATTTTTCATTCGTGTCACTTCTGAATCCAGTCTCACTTTTAGTTCTCCTGTCTACCTTAATTCTCGGCCTCACTTTCATATTGAAATCCCTCTGATATTACTTATGTTTCAAAGGCTAAAAATGACCACCATTTACTAAAAATGTGCTTACCAGATGCAAGGGACCATGCTGGGAGCACTACACATCACACAAAAACTGAGACTATACGGCCAGAGAGTGGAAGAGTGACGATCCCAAACTAGGTCTGTCTAATTCAAAGACTTGTACTCTTTCACTCTTTCAAGTTTGGGATTCTGGATTGCTTGAAAGCCCTCAAAATCAGAAGTCTAAGTACCTCCCCATTTTCTTCCCAATCAAGAGGAATAACATCATTTGGTCAGGAGAACTAGAAACTAGATTGCTGTTTTCTTCTTCTTCTTCTACAGGGTAGTACTGGGAATCAAATCAAGAGAAGCGGGGAATAACGTGGAAAATGAGCAATGAGAACTTCTTTTCCTTCTTCAAAGCGTTTTAGTCAAGTCCCTTGGATATGAATAGTTAGGTTGTCAGGCCAGGGAGGACTTCACATCTTGGCTTTGATAGCTCCCAAGCAAATGTTCCTGATACAAAACAACTTGAAATCAGTAACTTAGATTATGCTTTTTCCTGTCTCAGGAAAATTCATCTGGCCATGCTATTGATGATTGCTAAGAACAAGAACCCCGAATTTATTTTAGATGTGTTTATTCACTAAGCATTTCTGTTTATCCACAGTTGTACTTATGTTCACCAGACGCAAGCCTGCATGTTCACCAGACATAAACTGTCAAATAGCAACTAAAGGGGAAAAGTTGGTCTCTTTACCCCCAGATGCCTCCATCTCACCCCCAATTCTTTCATAGAGATGATCCAAAGAGTGTAAATAGAATAGTGACCAAGGGCTCCATTATGCCACTACCTGACTCCGTGTAAGTTTCCTCACTTTCATTCATTCTTTCATTCGATCAGCTATTTTGGGGATCCTAAGGTGTTCAGATCTCAGCTCTGCCACATTCTAGCTATGAAAACTTTGTTAAACTAACCTAAGCCTCCAATTTCTTCTGTGTAAACTGGAGATAATAACAGAGCCTCCTCCACAGAGTATTTGCCAGAATGAAGTGAAATGATACACATAAAGAGTAAATGTGTGTTAACATGTGCTCTTTGCCGCATATGGTGCCCGGCATGTAATGCCATTTTCATTCAATAATCAATTGTCGGCTAAGCGCAGTGGCTCACGCCTGTAATCCCACCACTTTGGGAGGCCAAGGCAGGCGGATCACTTGAGGTCAGGAGTTCAAGACCAGCCTAACCAACATGGCGAAACCTCATCTCTATTAAAAATACAAACATTAGCTGGGCATGGTGGCATGCGCCTGTAATCCCAGCTACTTGGGAGGCTGAGGCATGAGAATCACTTGAACCCAGGAGGCAGAGGTTGCAGTGAGCCGAGATCGCACCACTGCATTCTAGCCTGGGTGACAGAGCGAGACTCTGTCTCAAATAATAATAATGATAATCAATTGTTGAGCGCTTACAATGTTTTAAACATGGTGCTACAATCTGGGGCTACCCATCAAAATAAAAGCTCTTATTTAGTAACTGCCTTCCTTGAGCCAAATATGCAACTTTCCTTCTCAAATATAATCCTCAGAATAACTTGCAAGAAGTGTTATTTTCACATTACATAAATGAAAAAAACTGAGTTCATTGAGGTAAAGCACAAAGTTACACATCTAGCAAGTGGCAGAGCTGAGAGCTGAACACTGACCTATCTGAATCCAAAGCCCAGTTACTCTCATCCTGCCAGAAAGCCTTACTATTAGCTGGAAGAATAAGACACACGTCCCTGCTGGGCTCGGTGGCTCACGACTGTAATCCCAGCACTTTCGGAGGCCAAGGTGGGTGGGTGGATCACTTGAGGTCAAGAGTTCGAGACCAGCCTGGCCAACATGGCGAAACCCCATCTCTACTAAAAATAAAAGAATCAGCCGGGTGTGGTAGTGCATGCCTGTAATCCCACCTATTTGGGAGGCTGAGCCAGGAGAATTGCTTGAGCCCAGGAGGCAGGGGTTGCAGTGAGCTGAGATCATTCACAATCTAAAGAGGGAAAACATGTACTAAACAACTCATAACAATACAACATACACAATAACATCAACTGAGCACTCTATGTATTAGGCATTGTTGTCATTGATCTTGTAACAGTTCTATTAGGTAGATGCTATTATTAGCCTCCTTTTTACAAATAGTGATACTGAAGAACAAAGAATTCAAGTTACTTGCCAAAATAGTCCACATACATGACCACTACGCTCTAGTACCACTCTAAAGAGTTTGCAATGTATGAGCAGTGTTCTCTAGGTGTTCTGAGGAGTGACAATAACTATGAGTGAGCATCAGAAAAGATTTCCTAGATGAGATGATTTGTGAGCTGGAACCTGTAAGTAAGAAAGCAACAGGTTTCCCCCTCTCTTCCTTTCTCCGCCATCGTGGTATGTGCTTGACTCTGCTTCTTGCCATGTCTTCTCACAAGACGTTTAGGATTAAGCAATTCCTGGCCAAGAAACAAAAGCAAAATCGTCCCATTCCCCAGTGGATTCAGATAAAAATTGGTAATAAAATCAGGTACAACTCCAAAAGGAGACATTGGAGAAGAACCAAGCTGGGTCTATAAGGAATTGCACATGAGATGGCACACGTATTTATGATGTCTGAAGGTCACAATCACATTATCATATCAACCTGAAAATGTCACCACTATCTGGAGAGTTGGACATGTTTTATTGGGGACATATTTTTTCTCTCTGAATCTGTTATGAACGCTTTGGTTGGCTGAGTTCAGTAATAAATATGTGAGACCTTTCATTTCAAAAAAAAAAAAGAAAGCAAGCAAGCAACAGGTTGAGAGAAAGGGAGATGGATGGGAGAAAGATAAACCAGGTAGAGGAAATAGCACGCGCAAAGGCACATTGTCTTCACTGTCTAATCTCTCCAATCCTTAACGAACGAAAGAGGCCTTGAGTGGGTCTGGTACAGAAGACTCTCCATTTTACTTCTTCATGTCCTTTTACCCATTCCTGTCTAACATTCATCACAATCCTCATTCGCCTTTCATATGCCACTCCTCTATTTCCACTGCCAATCTAATTTAAGCTCCTATTAGCTCTCACCTGGACCATTGCAATAGCTTTCCCTCCTTTCGCTCTCTGCCCCCCACCAATCTAAACACAGTTGAGGCCGGGCACGGTGGCTCACGCCTGTAATCCCAGCACTGTGGGAGGCCGAGGCGGTAGGATCACCTGAGGTCAGGAGTTCAAGACCAGCCTGGCCAACACGTTGAAACCCCGTCTCTACAAAAGTACAAAAATTAGCCCGGCATGATGATGGGTGTCTGTAATACAGCTACTCGGGAGGCTGAGGCACGAGAACCGCTTGAACCTGGGAGGCGGAGGTTGCAGTGAGCCGAGATCGCGCCACTACACTGCAGCCTGGGCGACAGAGCGAAACTCCATCTCAGGAAAATAAATAAATAAATAAATAAATAAATAAATAAATAAATAAAATCAGCCGGGCGTGGTGACGCCTGCCTGTAATCCAAGCTGCTCAGAAGGCCGAAGCAGGAGAATAGCCTGAGCCTGGGAGGCGGAAGTGGCAGTGAGCCGAGATCGCGCCACTGCACTCCAGCCTGGGCGACTTGAGTGAGACCCTGTCACAAAAAAAAAAAAAAAAAAAACCCAAAACCATTTCTTCCCGCAATCCCAGGGCACACACACTATAATCCTGCCTCAAATGCTCATTCCCAGTTATGAAACAGGGTACAGGCAAAACCACTCTGCCTAACAGTCACCCCGACGGCCGACGGCGAGGAATTGTGGAGGGGGCGGGGGAGAATTGCTCAGAACTTGGAAAGCGACTGGTCTCTCAGGATAGAGACCGCGACGCAAAGAAGTGACGGAAAAGATGCGTCCGCCATCCCTTTTGCTCCACCCCTGACGTTGGCCTCGGCCTTCGATTGGCTGCTCCTCCCACCAGCCCCGCCTCAGGGGCGCCCACGTGACCCGATGGCCGCCGTGGGATTGGTTGTTCGGCGAGAGCCGCGCTAGGCTGTAAGACCTGAGCCGGGCGGAGAAGCAAAGGAGAGGGAAGCTGGAAGCACCTTTGGCCCGGGACAGAAATCTGGAGAGCTTGGCTACCTCCATCCTCCTCAGGCCGGAGCAGGCTTCCTGAGAGAGTCCAGGTCGTAGGAGTTTTACGACTTAGAAAAGCGGGCTGCAGATTCCTTCCTGGGTGTTTGGTTCAAGCCTTGGCTCCAGCCTCACTCTCAGTCTTCCCGGGAGTTCGTGGGATTTGGACCTTAGATTATTAGTATTATTTTGAGGGCCTCCTGTGTGTAAGCACTGGTTGTGCGCAGATGGCTGTGCAGAGGGCCATGAGGTAGAGGCTGGGGAAATGAGGGCTTGGAGGTGCTTGAGGTATGGTCTTTACCTACGTGAAATGTTGGAGGTAAGTCGGATTTATAACTTGTGTTGATGCTTTTATAATCTAGGAGCTTAGGGTTTAGTAGGAAGAGTCGCTCATTCAATGAATTAAACGCTCATTCCTATGTACTAGGCACCATTCCGAGTGCAGTGGCTACAAAGACTAGTAGAACATAGTCCTGGTTCTTTAGGAACTCTGTGATTGGGCAAGTGGGAGAGAGGGCGGAAAACGTGAACTGGTGAGTAGTTGGCGTGTGATGCGTGCCGTAGTGGAAGAAAGTGCTGTGAGAGTTAGAAGAGGGGGATGATTGAAGGAATTAAGGACATTTAACAGAAAGTGATATTTGAGTAAAGTTTATTTTTGTTTTGTTTTTTTTTTTTTTTTGAGACGGGAGTCTCGCTCTGCCTCCCAGGTTGGAGTCCAGTGGCGCTATCTCGGCTCACTGCAACCGCCGCCTCCCGGGTTCAAGCAGTTCTCAGCCTCAGCCTCCCAAGTAGCTGGGATTACAGGCGCACACCACCACGCCCGGCTAATTTTTGCGTTTTTAGTAGAGATGGGGTTTCACCATGTTGGCCAGGCTGGTCTTGAACTCCTGACCTCGTGATCCACCCGCCTCGGCCTCCCAAAGTGCTGGGATTACAGGCCAAAGCCACCGCTCCCGGCCTTGAGTAAAGTTTAAAAAGTATACTTAGGGTGGGTATTTATCCCTCCATGAAAGCGCCTTTTACTCAGCCAGCACAGAGCCATCCCTTTGCCCTTCCAGATGCCTGACTGGGACCTTGCTTATGGATGTGTGAGCTTTTAATCTCTGGCTGTAATCTTACCCACTTCAACCTAAACTTGGAATGATTACTCTTGACCCTTTTTTTGAGTGATAAGGCAAATCTCCCCACACCTGGGCATTTTAAAGTTATATACTGTATGTTTAAATATCCCCCTTAAAAAGCCTGAGCTATATAACAATCTAGATGTGTCTATCTTACTCTTTTCCCACAAACTAAGAATCCAAATAATGTTAAAAATCTTTAAAAAAAAAAAAAAAAGTATACTCAGGTTTTCTCCCCATCGAAAGGGGTGGAGAAAGCACTCCAGGAACTAGGAAAATGTACCTGCCGCATGTGGCTGGAGCACATGGGAGGTTTGCCCAGCTGATGATGAAGCAGATAGGGAGTTCAACTTGTAAAGATCTTGAATTACATGGTAGTCTGGCTGTCTGGATCTTAAAATACAAAGTGAAATAGGTACCACAAAACAGGTATTAAGGTGCTTTCATAATTCAGAAGGAGGACAGATACTTCCTGTTGGATTGATGAAAAAAGGCTTCATGCAAAAGATGGCATTTTGAAGGGTTGCAAACTGCAGGGATAGGATTTTGAAGTACAGGAAGGATTTCTACACAGGGGGAAAGACTTTCTAGATGGAGGGCATAAGGTCAAATAGAGCCAATATGAGGACTAAGGAATAATCTGGGTTGATTAGACTGTAAGATATGTTTGGGGGCCCGGCACGGTGGCTCACACCTATAATCCCAGCACCTGGGAGGCCAAGGCAGGTGGATCACTTGAGGTCAGGAGTTTAAGACCAGTCTGGCCAACATGGCGAAACCCTGTCTCTACTAAAAATACAAAAATTAGTTGGGCATGGTGGCTCATGCCTGTAATCCCACCTACTTGGGAAGCTGAGGCAGGAGAATCGCTTGAACCCAGGAGGCTGAGTTTGCAGTGAGCTGAGATTGCACCACTGCACTGCAGCCTGGGCGACAGAGCGAGACTCTATCTCAAACAAACAAACAAACAAAAGACATGTTTGGGTTATTTATGGTGTATTTAAGGATAAATATTGGTCTGTTTTGAAACATCTTGATTGCTAAACAAAGTCGTTAGGACTTTATTTCCTAGACTATGGGGAGCAACTGAATGCTTGTGAGTAATCACACCTCCATATATAAGGGTTAGTATGTGTGTAAGATTCAAAGTACATTGGATGGGAGAGAAACTGGAGGCAGGAGGCCCATTGAGATAGCAGTATTGTCTGCCAGAAGGAACGTGGGTTTTAGAGCCAAGCACTCATTGGTTCAGAGCTTGGCTTTGCTCACAAGTTTCATTATTTTTGGCAGATTTATTTAAGTTATTAAGCTCTGATCTCTGTCTCAAAAGAGGGAAAGTAACTGATGAAGTGCCTGTTACACAATGGTTATGCTTGAATGCTTAAACAGAGGCTGAGGCCTCTGTTTTCTTTTTCTTTCTTTCTTTCTCTTTCTTTCTTTCTTTCTTTCTTTCTTTCTTTCTTTCTCTTTCTTTTTTTCCTTCTTTCCTTCTTTCCTTCTTTCCTTCCTTCCTTCTTTCCTTCCTTCCTTCTTTCCTTCTTTCTTTCTTTCTTTTTCTTTCTTTCTTTCTTTTTTTTTTTTTTTTTTGAGACAGGATCTCACTCTTGTCGCCCAGGCTGGAGTGCAGTGGTGCAATCTCAGCTCACTGCAACCTCCGCCTCCCAGGTTCAAGCTGTTGTCCTGCCTCAGCCTCTTGAGTAGCTGGCATTACAGGCGCCTGCCATCATGCCCGGCTAATTTTTGTACTTTTAATAGAGACGGGGTTTCGCCACGTTGGCCAGGCTGGTCTGGAACTCCTGGCCTCAGGGGACCTGCCTGCCTCGGCCTCCCAAAGTGCTGGGATTAGAGGTGCGAACCACTGCGCCTGACCTAGTTTTCCTCTTTATGGAGCTTAGTTGCTGAATAGTGAACACAGACCAATAGCTGTCAGTTTTAACTAGGGAATATCAGTCTATTGATGTTTATAGATGGCTGAAGGCAGTATATGGTGGCCCCAGAATTTTAGATACTGACAATATCATTTTGAAAGTCTGGAGAGGCCAGGTGCGGTGGCTCATGCCTGTAATCCCAGCACTTTCAGAGGCCGAGGTGGGCAGATCACTTGAAGTCAGGAGTTCAAGACCAGCCTGGCCAACATGGCAAAACCCCATTTCTACTGAAAATGCAAAAATTAGCTAGGCCTGGTTGTGCATGCCTGTAATCCCAGCTACCTGGGAGGCTGAGGTGGGAGGACTGCTTGAACCCAGGAGGCAGAGGCTAAAGTGAGCTGAGATAGTGCCACTGCATTCCAGCCTGGGTGACAGAGTGAGAATCTGTCTCAAAAAATAAAGAGGCCAGGCGCGGTGGCTCACGCCCATAATCCCAGCACTTTGGGAGGTTGAGGTGGGTGGATCACAAGGTCAAGAGTTCAAGACCAGCCTGGCCAATATGGTGAAAGCCCATCTCTACTAAAAAGTGCAAAAATTAGCTGGGTGTGGTGGTGCACGCCTGTAGTCTCAGCTACTCGGGAGGCTGAGGCAGGAGAATCACTTGAACCCGGGAGGTAGAGGTTGCAGTGAGCCGAGATTGTGCCACCGCACTCTAGCCTGGGTGACAGAGTGAGGGAGTGGAGTGGAGTGGAGGTCAGGTTTCTCATTCACAAATTGATTTTTCAGATTGTGAATTACCCATGCTTTGCCCTGCTTTATCTTCCATGTCCTTCCTCATTAGTAAATCTAAAGGTAGTACCCTAGAGAAAAATGAAATTGAACCTTTTATTTAGTTGCTACTGAAAAAATATAAATCTGGTAATCATACCTCAAGTTCTCTTTCCAGCTCTGCAGTTAATTTCCTATGGATCTTCGGCAAATCATAGCCTCTCTGGGTTCTTGGACTCTTCAGATAAAAGATTCTAGTTTAAAAACTTTTATGACTATAATTTTAATCTTTGTTGGCAGAAGAATTATAAATCAAATTGCATATTAAATGAACTGGAGTTTATAAAGAAATTTAGTAGAAAATCTTTTCTAGGCCCGGTGTGGTGGCTCACGCCTGTAATCCCAGCACTTTGGGAGGCCAAGGCTGGCAGATCACTTGAGGTCAGGAGTTCAAGACCAGCCTGGCCAACATGGTGAAACCCCATCTCTACTAAAAATACAAAAATTAGCTGGGCGTGGTGGCACATGCCTGTAGTCCCAGCTATTTGGGAGGCTGAGGCTGCAGTGAGCCGAGATTGCGCCACTGCACTCCAGCCTGGGCGACACAGTGAGACTCCATTTCAAAAAAAAAAATATTTTCTAGGCCAGGTACAGTAGCTCACACCTGTAATCCAGCACTTTGGAAGGCCAAAGAGGGAAGATCACTTGAGCCCAGCAGTTTGAGACCACCCTGGGCAACATGGCAAGACTCTGGGCGTGGTGGTGCTCACCTGAGATGTCAGCTACTCAGAAGGCTGGGGTGGGAGGATTGCTTGAGCCCAGCAGTTTGAGGCCACAGTGAGCCATGATCGTGCCACTGCACTCCAGGCTAGGTGACAGGGCAAGACCCTGTCTCCAGAAAAAATAAAGAAATTTTTAAAAAGAAAATATATTTTCTAAAGCTTTTGCTTTTGAACTAGGCTAAGGGCAGGCTTATGGGCTCAAGCCTGTGATCCCAGGGTTTTGGGAGGCCAAGGCAGGAGGATCACTTGAAGCCAGGAGTTTGAGACCAGCCTGGGAAACATACCGAGACTCTTGTCTCTACAAAAATTTAAAAAGAATTAGCCAGGGATGGTGGACATGCACCTGTAGTCCTAGCTACCTGGTTGGATCACCTGAGCCCAGGAGTTTGAGGCTACAGTGAGCCATGATCACACCACTGCACTCCAGCCTGGTTGACAAGAGTGAAACCTTGTCTCAAAATAAAAATATATATATATATTAATTGAAAACAGGCCAGGCATGGTGGCTCACGCCTGTAATCCGCGCACTTTGGGAGGCTGGAGAAGGTGGATTGCTTGAGTCCAGGAGTTTGAGAACAGCCTGGACAACATGGTAAAACCCTGTCTCTACAAAAAGTACAAAAATTAGCCAGATATGGTGGCCTGTGACTGTAGTCCCAGCTACTTGGGAGGCTGAGGTGGGATGATCGTCTGAGCCTGGGGAGGTTGAGACTGCAGTGAGCCATGATCAGGCCATTGCACTCCAGCCTGGGTGACAGAGTAAGACCCTGTCTTAAAAAAAAAAAGAAAGAAAGAAATATTAATTAGAAACCCATGGTTGAAACTTACCTGAATAGAAGGCTTTATTTTTTTTCATAGGTAAGCCTATGTTTTCTTGGATGTGAAACTAGGGCACTGGGTTGCTCTTAGGTAATACAAGGAGATGAAATGCAGCGATGCGATGATGAGTGAAGTAGAGCCTGACCTGGTATTGCCATTGCTTCACTGTTGGCTTTGACCAGGGTATGATCTCTTAATCTTCTCTCTGAGCTGATTCTGATTGTGGTTTTTCCACACAGGTGTGTTGTATCCTGTTTGGACACTGGTTTTATTATGTTTAAGATGTTTCTTTTATTTTCTTTTGAATTACTGATATTCTCATGTTTTCCTCCTTAGGTTGAGATGAAAACTCTTGCTTTGAATTCTTCATGGAGGACTACATCATTTCAATCCTGAATCTGGCTCAATTCTATTATTCACTTATTACTGTATTAAAAACGTTTAATTGGCCAGGCACAGTGGTTCACGCCTGTAATCCCAGCACTTTGGGAGGCCAAGGCAGGCGGATCACTTGAGGTCAGGAGTTCGACACCAGCCTGGCCAACATGGCAAAACCCCGCCTCTACTAAAAATACAAAAATTAGCCAGGCGTGGTGGCACGCACCTGTAATCACAGCTACTTAGGAGGCTGAGGTGGCAGAATTGTTTGAACCCAGGAGGTGGAGGTTGCAGTGAGCCGAGATCACACCACTGCACTCAAGCCTTGGCATCAGAGTGAGACTCTGTCTCAGTAAAAAAAAAATAAATAAATAAAAATGTTTAATTAACCATGATATTTGCTTTGGTAAAACCTTTGAGGTTTAATGAGAATTTTAAAATTCATTATACTTTTCTTATGGCATATAAAAGTTTTAATTTTTTTTATTGTCTCAACTAACATCATAAATGTCTTAATGTTAAAATCCATGGGATATTCTATTTAAAATTTTAGCTTTATCACCTTTGTGCTATCAGAGAATGTGCTTTGAACTGGTAAAATGAGTTAAAGTATTGGAAAACACTTATGTCAGCAGAGGCTCTTAAAAATCATTTTCATCCTTCCTCTTCTAGTGATGATTTTTTTTTAACCCATGTTTTCACCAGTCTACCAATCCAATGGCATAAATGCTCCTACATAGGCAACTTAAGTGTTTCTTAAGTTGATGCAAGGTATTTTGCATGAGGCTGAATTCTTGTTGTCGGAGCAGAGGATTTTTGTTCCAACTACTGAATTGGCAAAATGTTAAATATAAAAACACCTCAAAAAGTCAAAGGTAGTCTGAATGAAAAATTTATTTTAAACACCTCAAGTAATCTTTACATTTCTACAAAATCATAACATAGTTCTTTTCCAGAAACATTTATTCTTAAAATCTACTTAAGTGTTTCATAGAAACTTTAGTAATAACCAGAATAATTCATGACACTTTAGCAAACTCTTAGCAGCAAGCAGAAAGAACTTATTAAAATATCCTTTCTTTACACAATTAGATTAGTATTTTGCTTCATGTCTTCATTGCTTGTTAGCTTTGCTTTTACACAGGAATCTTCAGACTACTCTCTGTAACACTCAACCCCTATTCCTTTTTTAACCAGTTTCTCAAGAAGGATATGGAGAGCTCATAAAGGAATATCCTCAAATATCCTAAATATCCAACTTTTAAAATACCTTTTTTATCCTTAAAAGCTGATAAACAATAGATGTCACTTAACAAATGTCTCACAGTATATGGAAGGAGCTTTTTTCCCCCCCAGAGTGTTTCTAAGCATTTCTATCAAGAGCAAGTCTGCATTTCTTATCGTTTGCAAACTGATGAAATTTCCACCTTACAGACAGGCAGGTAAATGCTTTCTTTTCTAAAAAGAAGTCTTGCTACCACCTCACTGTTCACTTTATTTTTTATGCGGTCTAACCTGGGTTTTTCGTAAGAGCTCCTTTATTTCTTATATTTTAAGGAAAGGGATAGGCAAAAACTTGTGTACTCATTATTCTGTTTAATCTCTACACTGGCCCTCATATCCCCTGCCAGTCCTGATCCTTCTACTTTAAGCAGCTTGGTCAACTGTAAGTAGGGTTCTAGAGAGCAGGCTAAAAGGTTAGGATCAAATGGGCATATCCTTTTAAAGAAATCCATATAATCATTTAAAGTTCATATAGTTATGAATTGAGGCTGAGAAGTGTCAACTCAATACCATGCTGAAACCAGCTCTGTGACATTACAGCGCAATACTTTTGTTGTGAGGATAAGACATGATTCCCTTTCAGTTCTCAGGGGAGTAGAGTTTAATCAGATGTTGTACTTCTGTTGGATAACCTGTGATGGGACAAGCTTGGTGACTCCTCACATAATGAAACACACAGCGGTAACAAAACACATAGCCAGAGGTGGCAAGAACAGTATCATTCACCCGGGTTTTACGACACAGTGGGCACACAGTCTTCATTTTGGGTAAGAGGGGAGAATCAGAGTTATAGTCTAGGTGTACAGGTGGTGGTGGAGTAGGCAGGGCAGTCAATGACTTGATGGTTTCTTGATTTTCAGATGAGTACCACCAGTCAAGGAACTGCAAGAAGAATACACCCACAGAAAGGCCAGTAGACAGGGATAAGGCAACACCCCCAACAGCTTTCTTCAGAGCTGAGTTTATCTTCTCACTAACACTGTTGGGAGAAAAGAACAAGGAGGCAAAGAGAGAAACTTTATTTAGGTATCATTACAAAGTGACTAATATAAATGCAATTCTTACATTTTTCATCAGAATCACTGGGGGACTGAATGGTTGGTAGACTGGTACTATCTCCTTAAGGATCTATTCTAAGTGATTCTAACTTACAATATTTTAGGAGCATAGGAGCTAAGCTTTGTTTTTAGTAACATGATTAGGGTTTGGTTTTGTGTTTTGAAAGATAAATCAGAGAATTTGATTATATAGACCTCCCTTTTTTTAGTGGAAGATAGTGATCCAGAAAAAAAAAAAAAAACCCAATTCACTTAATAAAAAACTTAGCAGTATTGAGGAATGTATATATTTGAACTTGTAGGAGAACACAAATATGAACTAGAAGGAGCACAGCATCATGATTAAGAGCACAGTCTTAGGCTGGGTGCAGTGGCTCACAGAGCACAGTCTTTAGAATTGTATTGGTTTGGTTTGAATCCCAGCTCTGCCACCTTCTATGTACCTACGTGACTTTGGCAAGGTACTTAACTGCTTGGGTTTAGTTTCCTCAACTGTGAGCTAATACATTTACTTCATTGGGTTGTGTTGAGGATTGAGATAATGTACGTAAAGCAAGCACCTAGCACAGGGCCTGGGACATAGCAAGTATGCACTAAAGTATACCTAGAATGATGAAGGTTACCAGGATGACAGTCCTTGTTTTATGGACACAAGGAATAGCTTTTCTATGACTCTATGAAATGCCACAAAGTTAACAGGGAGGTGAATTTTACAAAACTGGGATACGATTTTCGAATTTACTAACTAAAGATCTTTTGGAAATGTTAAGGCCTTACCTCCTGGCTGGTTGCTGCATCATGCTGGCCTTAGCTGGTTTGTGCTCCAGAGCTTGTATATCCTGAACTGTCAGTCGACCTAGCTGAACTCCAGCCAGCCTCAGCAGTGGTGAGTGATGCTGAGCTTTTCCTAGGATGTATCGAAGTTGTTGTACAAGAAACCATCCTTCCCAGGCCATGTTCACAAATGGGTAGGCTGCCAGGAAAGCTCTGTAAAATCGTTTCCAGCGGGAAGAAGGGGGATGAATAGAATATTCATCCTCTTCTCTCAGGCTAGAAACCAGCTTCTCCAGCTTCACTTTCAGATAGGGAAGAAGAACCAGGAACATAATAGATTTCCAAAGCTGCTGCTTTGGGAGACCAGCACTAGCCAATCTCTGAGACTTGTGAGTGTCCCCCATTACAATTCTCTTTAAGCCGTAAAAGTTTTCAGAAAATGAGGCACTGGTTCTAGACAGATAATGTTGCTGGAGCAGAAGATCTAGCAGAGTAAAGATTTCATCAAACCACCTCCACAAGAAGCCATAGTGGGTGGGATTTGATTCTGCAAGAACCTAAAGCAAAATAAAGCAATAAGTGAAATTCATTCCATTACACAAGTTCTACACCTATTTACATTCCCCCTTTTCCTCTAAAGTCTACACAATTTGTTTTAAATAAGTCACTGTTGGACCCTGAAATGCTGGGTATTCAGTACAGGTCTCTACACATAACAGAGACTCAGTAACTCTTAAGTCATGGGATACAAGTTATTTGCAAATTGGCTATTTCAAACGCTAGGCTACCAAATAAGCACAAATTATTCGTTTGTTTTTTACCCAGTTGTCCCTAAAACCTTTCCAAGAATTAATACCTTACCTTGACCACATGCTGAAGAGCGGGTCTCACTGCTGTCATTAAACTGTCCTGTGCTACCACCTCAAAGATGGATGGCTGGTCATCGGCCACAGAAGCAGCTGTGAAGTGAGCCCCGTGCTCAGCCATAGTTTCCTGCGTGTACTGGCTTTCACTTTTCCCACAAACTCTCTCGTGAGCATGAACTTTTTCGGGAGGAAGAGTATCAGATGGGTGCTCAGTCTTAAAGGTAAACTTTCTGCATGATATCTGAAACTCGAAACTCAATCTTATGGGCAAAAATGAACTGGGAAAAAAAGACCTGGAGGCCGAGGGTAGTCTCAAGAAGGTTAAGAACAAAGTTAACTCGGACGTGGGTGGAAGTAGTATGTGGCGAGGGGGTAACTTGTCAAATGCTGCACGTCAGGGCAGAGCGTGACTGTGGGGGACAGGTATGGGGGAAGGAACGCAATCCTCTGGAGCTGCGAACCAGAAACGCCCCCTCCTCCCCAATCGTGAGAGCTCAAAAGCCAGCCGACTCTGAGGATTCAGTCGTGCCACTGTGAGCCCGGGACACAAGGGCTGACTCCAGCTGTTGGCTTTGAGTATCCCCGCCCGCGCCCGTCCTTGCTCGCTGACCCCAGGCGAGGCGCAAACAACCCACGACGCCACGTTTGAAGGGAGGTCTCCGCTTTATGACAGAAGCCGCACCCGGAAATGAAACCACCAGGACCTCTGGGATGCCTGGCGGAAGAGAGGCGCTCTAGTTCCGAATGCGGTCCGGAAACCAGAACTAGAGAACTCTATGACCCACCTGAGCTTCCGCTCCCGCCCCGCTGAAACAGAAGAGGGCCCTTGTGGGCTGGTTTTGGCTAGTTTGGTTTACTTTTCGTAGCTGGGTCTGCATGGTAGCCTCGCTGGAAAGCTACAGCTCTGAACCTCTCTCTGCGAGGTCTTTTTGACAAGCTGTTTGGGGCACCGCGCAGACGTCTGGCGCCGGGAGCCAGAGCTCGGGCCCGTTGCTGAGCCCTGTGTTCCTGCAGGCGATGAAGCTAGGGGCGGTGGGAGGAAGGGAATCTGGAGGTGGAAAGGACTTTGCTGTACGCGTGCGGCAGGGATGGTGGTTAATTTATATGTCTTAGCCTTCCAGAAATGATTTAAAGCGACATAGCAGGAGATAGGAGCCTTAGATTTATTGCCGCCAATTATAAGGAAAGATGATTGGATTGAGAAAGGTTCATGCTTGTTCCTCAGTACTTGAGACGGTTAATTTTCATCCAAGCTGGTAGTTTAACGTCTTCCAGGTTTTGGCTATATTCAAGCATAACTGCATGCACTTGCTATACTGGATGAAAATGGTCTCCATCCTTGAACACAGTTGTATATGTCACCACCAGCGATATGAATACAGTACTAACGCAGAGGGAGCTTTATGAATTGTAACTAGCATGCACTGGGGACACTTGACAGAAAGTTTCCTTTCATGCCGTTTTTATACCAAAATGAATGTGATTTACCTTAAGGTTTGTAAAGTGCTTTTATGTTATGTACAGCTTTGTCTCGCTGAAGTTGGCTGACACAGCCTTATTGAATTTGGATGAGAGTTCCACCTCTCCTCCCTTCCTCTGGGAAGTGCCACCTCTGGGCTAAATAGCTGGGAATAGAAGGTATTGTTTACTGCCCTAGAGGCCCTTATGTTATAAAAATAATTGGTTTGCATAATGAGAACCCTCAAAAACAAGGTTTGGATTTAGTTATTCCAATAGGAGAGAAAACCTTACAAATTGTCCTTAATTATAGTTATAAAAAGTGTTTTTTACTCTACCAAAAGACATTATATTGATATATGATTTTTACCTTACAGAGTTTTAAGACTAGACATAGTTTATCCATATGAAGCACCTGGATACATATTAGGTGCTTGTTTAATAGTAACTGTTATGTACAAGCTTTTCTTAAGTGAATAGCAAAAATACAAAGTTGAGAGGTAGCATCAACTAAATCAAGCAGGAAATTAAACATTTTTGTCACTTAGGGATCTTTGGTTACAAGCAACAGAAACAAACAGGCTAATTTAAACTAAAACGGAATTTATTAGAAGTGTATGGAGTAGCTCACAAAATAAGTAAAGCCAGCCCTGAAAGAACAGGAACTTAACAATACTATTGGGACTGCCTAACAGGAATTAGAAGTTCTTATCCAGGCAACGTTGTTGCAGTGAACGAGCTTCCACCAATTTCTGTTTGTGACTCTGCTCGTGATACAAATTTTGACTGACCTCTCTTGGTTCAAGTTCCCTCTCCACCCTGTCTTTCACTCTTAGCCAGGGGAAGGCAGGATGTCTTGATTGATAGTCCCATGGAAGTACTCCAAAAGTTAACTAAACGTATGGCATAAGAACGCCTATAATCCCAGCACTTTGGGAGGCCGAGGCGGGTGGATCACCTGAGGTCAAGAGGTCATGACCAGCCTGACCAACATGGAGAAACCCAGTCTGTACTAGAAATACAAAAAATTAGCTGGGTGTGGTGGCACATACCTGTAATCCCAGCTACTCGGGAGGCTGAGGCAGGAGAATCGCTTGAACCCTGGAAGCGGAGGTTGTGGTGAGCCGAGATTGCACCATTGCACTCCAGCCTGGGTAACTGAGCGAGACTCCATCTCCAGAAAAAAGAAAAGAAAAAGGAAAGGTAGGGCCTGGTATGGTGGCTCATACCTGTAATCCCAGCACTTTGGGAGGCTGAGACGGGTGGATCACGAAGTCAGGAGTTTGAGACCGGCCCAGCCGACATGGTGAAAACCCATCTCTACTAAAAATACAAAAATTAGCTTGGAATGATGGTGCATGGTGGTGGATGTCTGTTATCCCAGCTACTCTGGAGGCTGAGGCAGGAGAATCACTTGAACCCGGGAGGTGGAGGTTGCAGTGAGCCGAGGTCACACCACTGCACTCCAGCCTGGGGGACAGAGTGAGACTCTGTCTCAAAAAAAAAAAGAAAACAGAAATTTGCAACTCGAATAAGAGGTCTGGGAGGCCCAAATCTTTTAGACGTGATAATCGGAATGCCCTTCTGAGGACATAACAAAGGCCTAAATTATGAGGAGCCAGCCATATGAGGAGTTGGGGAAAAGAATATTAGGCAGAAGGAAGAGTATTGTGAAGACCCTAAGGTGGGAAAGAGCTTGGTGTGTTTGAGGGCTATTATAACTGGCAAAAGGTGAAATGATGAGGAAATGAGCAGTAACTGAAAAGCACAAAATGATGTTAGAGAGGTAGACAGGCCAAACCATGCAGGGACTCACAGGCCATGGGAACAACCCTGGATTTTAGCCCAAGTGCAATGGGAAGCCAATGAAGGATTCACACACCAGAGATGTGTGATCAGGTATATATATAAACAAATATATATATATATATATATATATATATATATATATATATATACAAATATATATATAATATATACAAATATATATAATATATATACAAATATATATAAAATATATATACAAATATATATAAAAATATATATACAAATATATAATATATACAAATATATATAATATATAATAAATAAAATATATAAATATATAATATATATTTATATATTTGTATATATTATATATTTGTATATATATTTGTGTATATATACATATATTAAAAAATATATATATATATATTTTTTTTTTTTTGAAACAGAGTTTTACTCTTGTTGCCCAGGCTGGAGTGCAATGGCATGATGACTCACTGCAACCGCCGCCTCCTGTGTTCAAGCGATTCTCCTGCCACGGCCTCCCAAGTAGCTGGGATTACAGGCGCCCGCCAACATGCCCGGCTAATTTTTGTATTTTTAGTAGAGATGGGGTTTCACCATGTTGGCCAGGCTGGTCTTGAACTCCTGGCCTTGTGATCTGCCCACCTTGGCCTCCCAAAGTGCTAGGATTACAGGCGTGAGCCACCGTGCCTGGCCAGGTTTATATTTTTTTAAAGATGTCTCTGATGGTTTTGTGGGTATGCAGTATTTATATCAAGCTTTACATTTATGATATATGCACATTTTTGTTTTTGTTTTTGTTTTCTTGAGATAGAGTCTGGCTCTGTAGCCCAGGCTGGAGTGCAGTGGCACAGTCTCGGCTCACTGCAACCTCCACCTCCCGGGTTCAAGTGATTCTCCCACCTCAGACCCCCCGGAGTAGCTGGGACTACATGCATGTGCCACCACACCCGGCTAATTTTTGTATTTTTAGTAGAGACAGGGTTTTGCCATGTTGGCCAGGCTGGTCTCAAACTCCTGGCCTCAAGTGATCCCCCTGCCTCAGCCTCCCAAAGTGCTGGGATTACGGGTGTGAGCCACCACATCAGGCCAGATATGCACATTTTTAAATGTATGTTATACATCCAAAAAAGTTAAACAACCTGGCCACTACGTGGAGAATGGTAGAGAGAAGACTTATAGCCTTCTAATAGTCTAGGCAAAAGGTGATGGTGGATTTATGAGATTGAATAGAGGGAGTTGGATGGCTTGGAGTTGTTGTTTTTTTTTTTTTTTTTTTTTTTTTTGAGACAGTCTTGCTCTGTTGCCCAGGATGGAGTGCAGTGGCGCAATCTCGGCTCACTGCAACCTCTGCCTCCCGGGTTCAAGCAGTTCTGTACCTCAGCCTCCCGAGTAGCTGAGATTACAGGCGCCCACCACAACGCCTGGCTAATTTTAGTAGAGACGGGGTTTCATCATCTTGGCCAGGCTGGTCACGAACTCCTGACTTTGTGATCCACCTGCCTTGGCCTCCCAAAGTGCTGGGATTACAGGTGTGAGCCACAGCGCCCAGCTACGGCTTTGAGATTTTAAAGGTAGAATTGACAACTGGAGATGGATTGGATGTGGCAGTTGAAGGAAAGGGAAATCAGGAATGACCCCTAGGTTTCTGGCTTGAGCAGCTCAGTGCAATTTATTAAAATAATCACAATTACAGGAAATAGTTCCATAGTCCATGCTATATGCCAGCCATAGTTCTAAGTGCTTTACATTTAATTTATTTCATTGTTCAATATTATGATTAGATGTTACTATCTTCCTCCATTTTATAGATGAGAAAACCAAAGAAAGCACATAGATGGAGGAAACTGGGGGAAGAATAGCTTTCAAACATGTTAGGCAATGAGAAGTTGATGAAAGTTTTTGAACAGCAGAGAGGTATGAATCAAAGCTCTTAAATATTTTTCTTTTTCTTTTTTTTTCCTTTTCCTTTTTTTTTTTTTTTTTTTTTTTTTTTTTTTTTTTTTTTTTGAGATGGAGTCTTACTTTATTGCCCAGGCTGCAGTGTAGTGGTGTGATTTCGGCTCACTGCAACCTCCTCCTCTCAGGTTCAAGTAATTCTCCTGCCTCAGCCTCCCTAGTACCTGAGACTACAGGCATGTGCCACCATGCCTGGCTAATTTTTGTATTTTTAGTAGAGTCAGGGTTTTACCATGTTGGCCAGGCTGGGCTCAAAGTCCTGACCTCAGGTGATCCACCTGCCTTGGCCTCCCAAAGTGCTGTGATCACAGGCGTGAGCCACCACGGCCAGCCTCTTGAAGATTTTTCTAATGACATCTTTACGAAATCTACCTCTGTCTGCTAGCAGTTGTACCTTGAACGAGTTTTTTCTCTCTCTCTCTCTCTCTCTCTCTCTCTCTCTCTCTCTCTTTCTTTTTAGAGACGGTCTCACTCTGTCACCCAGGCTGGAGTGCAGTGGCATGATCATGGCTCACTACAGCCTCAAACTCTTGGGCTCAAGTGATCCTCCCACCTCAGCCTCCCAAAGTGCTGGGATCATAGGTGTAAACTGCTGTGCCCAACTCTGTAACCAGGTTTTTCTAACCTCCTCCATTCCTTATGATTTAACCCAGCAGTATAGTTATCGATTTGGTGATGAAATTTGGGGAATAGGTCTAGGCTAGAGATAAGAGATTTTGGAGCCATATATGTAAGAAAGATAATTAAAACCATGGTATGCTAAAGGGTTAGTGTAGAGAAAATGTATGAGTATAGAACTAAACTTGAAAAAATTGGCTGAGTTTGGTGGCTCATGCCTATAATCCCAGCATTTGGGGAGGCCAAGGCAGGAGGATCACTTGAGCCCAGGAGTTGCAGACCAGCCTGGGCAACATGGCAAGACCCCCTCTCTACAAAAAAAGAAAATTAGCTAGGCGTGGTGACACATGCCTGTAGTCGCAGCTACTTGGGAGGCTAGGTAGGAGGATTGCTTGAGCCTGGGAGGTCAAGGCTGCAGTGAATTGTAATGGCACCACTGCACTCCAGCCTGGGCAACAGTGCAACACCCTGCCTCAAGAAAGAAAAAATCCTTGCCACTGTTTTCCTCAGATACCATTTCTGCTTTCTTTGGTCATACTTTCTTATGAGTTATCTGCAACTCCTGTTTTTATTTCCTCATTTCTAATCCATCCTCAAACATCTGCAGTATGACTTTTGCCTTCATATCTCTACTGATTTCTCAGCAATAACATCAAATACCTCCATGTTACTAAATCCTGTAGACACTTTTTAGCCCTTCTCCTGTCTATGGCAACTAATATTGTTGATCACTTATTTATGCGTTTAGTCAACATATATTAATTTGTGTGTGTGTGTGTGATGGGGCTAGCCTCATGTGTGCAAGAGTGAACAGATTGGTATAGTCCCTACTTTCATGAAACTCTGAAAACATCCTAAAATATACTATTCTGCTTTTCCTCCTACCTCTCTGACTACTCCTTCTCAGTCCTCTTTGCATTCTTGGGTTTATCTGTTTCTACCCCAAGCACTCACTCTCCACATTCTTCATGAATAATGTTCATGCCCACAGATTGAATTATCATCTGTATGCTCACAGTTCACAAATTTAACTCCAGATCATTCCTTATCTTCAGACACATATAATCAAGTACCTCTTGGGTAGAGATCTTCACTCTAACCTAACGTATAAAATGAACTCATCACCTCCCTATTCTTCCCCAAACTTCTGCCATTTCTTATATTTTCCTATTTTCAGTGACTAGTACCACCGTTCCTCCCTTGCCCTAACCTAAAACATAAGCCTTATCAGCCCTAGTGTCAGACTTCCTGGGTTCAAATCTTAATTCTACCTTTGTGTGTGTGTATGTGTGTGTGCGTGTCTGTGTGTGTGACTGCAAGCTCCGCCTTCCAGGTTCATGCCATTCTCCTGCCTCAGCCTCCTGAATAGCTGGGACTATAGGCGCCCGCCACCACGCCCTGCTACTTTTTTTTTGTATTTTTAGTAGAGATGAGGTTTCACCATGTTAGCCAGGATGGTCTCGATCTCCTGACCTCGTGATCTGCCCGCCTCAGCCTCCCAAAGTGTTGGGATTACAGGCGTGAGCCACCGCGCCCAGCCATCTTAATTCTACCTTTTAACTTCTCTGTATCTCTTAAAATAGAGGAAGTAATAGTACCTACTTGGTTATCAGGTGGTGCGGATGTAAAAATGTACTTAGCAGAGTAACTGACATAAAATCATAATAAATATCAACAGTTATTTGTTTAAACCACCATCATCGTGTGGCTGGATCATGTCAACAGTTTCCTGAGTGGTCTCCCATTAGATTATGAGCCCGTGATGGTCCCAAAAGGTGAAAAGAAGGGAGATTGGTCCATACTTTCACCCAAAAGTGGAAGAGAATGAAGTTGGAAAAGCTTTCGGATTGATGCTATATTTTGAAAATAGTATTGGTTCATTTTTCCTTAAAATATATGCATTTTTCAGAGAAAGGAATGGAAAATAAAACAAATATAAAGAAGATAACATTTGTAATCAGCACCCAGAGGGAACCACTAATAGGTATATATACTCCTCTGGATTTAGAGTTTTGTATCTTTTTTTTTTTCTTATTTCAAAGCATTTTTCTGTATCATATTTTTCAACAATATGATTTAAAAGGCACATCCCAACATAGAAATAAATACATGTTCATTGTAGAACACTTTGAAAAATACAGAAAAATATTAGGAAGAAAAATAAAACTCTCACTATCCTGCAATAACCACTTTTAACGTTCTGCTGAATATCCAAGCTTTTTTTTTTTTTTTTTCTTTTGAGATGAGTCTGGCTTTGTTACTCAGGCTGGAGTGCAGTGGCGAGATCTGGGCTCATTGCAACCTCTACCTCCTGGGATCAAGCCATTCTCCTGCCTCAGCCGCCTGAGTAGCCGGGATTATAGGCGTGTGCCACCACCCCCAGCTAATTTTTGTTTTTTCAGTAGAGACAGGGTTTCACCACATTGGCCAGGCTGGTCTCAAACTCCCGACATCAGGTGATCCACCCACCTCAGCCTCCTAAAGGGCTGGGATTGCAGGTGTAAGCCACCACGCCTGGCCTATCCTAGCCTTTTTTTTCTATACATATATAGTCATACTGTATACTGTATTGTTTGGTGTCCTTTTTTTGCTTAACACTTTATGAATTTTCTGTCATAAAATATTCTATAACATTATGCAGCTATCTGATTTACCATAACTGTTTGCATTCTCTCACCTTATACCTGGCTTTCTAATTTCCCCTATTCCCCTATTTTAATAACAGAGGAAATAATAATACATGAGTATGTTATACAAAATTTTAATGTACTTCTGATCACTTTTTTAAGAATGAAGTTTTAAAATACTGAAACACTTTTTGACTCACAGAGTTCATAGGCAAAATGTGAGAAAAATCATCACTTTGCTCTCCATCCTTCCTTACACCCTGAAATTAACCTTAGGGACAGCTAGTTCATTTAACATCATCAATCTTGTTCTCCAGTTCCAGGTCCTGGAATCTAGCTCTTAGTGTCCGAAAGAAACTTACTTTTGTGTAAGCACACCTATTATATACTAGGCACTTTACCTAATTTATCTGGTTTAAACTTCACATGCCCGAGAGAGATACTATCATTGTCTTCATTTCACAGATAAGAAGGTTGATGAGACATTAACTGTCTCAGTCACATTCAGGGTAGGGATTCAAACTCACATCCAATGCCTCCTCAACCTCTTTTACGTGCAGCACTATCCTCTAGCCCCACTGCCCGTATATAGGCCTGGGCTATATCACCATTGTCCGCCCTTGAGCCTGGAAGGAAAATGAGCTGAGGGGTTTTGTTTTTTCAGAAAGGAACAGGATATTTCATCATCTCTATGTTTACGTTTTTCAGAGAATTTCTGTGCGAGGAAACAAATCCATTGTCAGCTTTTTAAAATATATCCCTTTGGAGTAGCCACTTAACATCCTCTGAGGCCCAGATGGGCTAGCTTGCCGGGACCAAAGGAAATCTTTGGGTCTGGAAGGCGACAAGAGATCACAGGCTTTCTAGGTCTACCGCGCACCCCGATGACGTCACGCGGCGACGTTCTCTGACGTCAGAGTTTCCTGCCCACCATCTTTGTCCCTGGCAAAGTGGGTTTTGCGCAGTGGCTTAGACCTAGAAAAGAATCGTGACGGGCAGGAAACCATTACACCACCACCTGGGCTGTGCTCTCCGGCTCCCGCCGCCACCCCCGCCCTCGCCTTCGCCTCCGCCTCCGGTGAGTTCAGGGCGGTTGCCTTTAGGGTGTGTCCCTAATTGACGGGGTCGGGGACGGAGAGAAGGGTAACACCAGGCTGGGTCGGAGACCGGCGGAGGCGAGGAAATCCTAAGAGCGTGACCGTTGATGATGCAGGGAACCGTCGGGTGTGACCATTGAGAGGGAAAAGGTTGGAGAAAGGGTCTCTACCATGATGCCTGTGGTGCGGTGAGGGAATCCTCGGGTGTGGCAGCAGGTAGTTGGGGGCAGGAGGGGAAGATGTGTTTCGGAATTGAGGGTTTAGGGGGACCAGAGGCCAGGGGTGTGGCTGATAGAGCCTGGAGGCCGTGGGGGGAACCGTCTTTCTTCCCCGCTCGGCGTCGTTCACTGAGAGGCTGAGACGTGTCCAGCAAGCCAAAGGGAAAAGGGATTCCCTCAAAGGTTTGCTCATTGATGGGCGAACGTCGTCTCTCGGGTAACTTGAGGGTAAGAGACAACCTCTTCCCTGCTCCGTAATGGAGGAGCATATCGCTAGAATCTTGACCACCTGGGGAAAGAAGAGGCATTCCTTACTCTTGGAGGAAGGAAAGAGTAACCTCCAGAATTGACCCGATGTAAGAGAGGGGGAAGCAAATGGGGGCAAATCTTAACCCAGCATCTTTTTTTTTTTTTTCTTTTTCTGGGCTCTGCAGTAATGGTCTGGTTTGGGAAAGGCTGTAGATTAAGCTGAAAGTAAAGAAACTGGAACGTCCTGTTATTTCCTTATCATTTGAATCCAAATCATTTGTTCATGCTGCTTGTTTTCAAGAGTAGTCTTCTATTGGAGGGGTGGGGTGGGGGGGGACAGGCCTTTATTGAACTCACGCGGATGCTTCATTAAACTTTTGACTTTTATTTTATTTTATTTTTGTATTTTTAGTGACAGGGTCTTACTGTGTAGCCCAGTCTGGTCTCGAACTCCTGGGCCCAAGCGATCCTCCCGCTTCGGCCTCCTAAAGTTTTGTGATTACAGGCGTGAGCCAGCGCGCCCAGCCAAACTTGACTTTTGAGAAGAAAAAATGTTTTGAAAACTGCCAAAGACTTATCATAACCATTGTGGTTTAAAAGAAAGTAAATGCATTAAGCTTAGAAAGGCAGAATGACTAAGAAAGAAGGTGGTCTCAATGAGAATCAATTTAAATGATTAGTTACCTTCCTTGTATACTTCAATTGCTTAGCCTCAGGGTACACTTACAAAGTAGTAATAGAAAGCAGCAGATGAAGGAGGTGCAGCTCTATAAGAAAACGTGTTAAGACATTCCAGTGATGACTAAGCGTGCTGGTAAGGTGAGAACTGTTTGCAGTATCTTAGCCGTTGAAACTTTCAAGGAAGCAGAAAGGATGATGTATAATGCAAACATCCTCACTAAAAGCTGGGTGGTAAAATCAATATAAATCTAATATTCTGACTGTGTATGAAGAAACTCAAGGAAGTCCAGTTCTTTCATTCTTTCTTTCCTTAAAAGATCCATATTTTGAAATACTAACTTTTTAGGCACAGGTTTGAACGAAGCTGAGCAAGGAATATATTAAATAGGGCACGTTCTCCTTTCTCTTGTCCTTTCTTTCCTTCTAGCCTTAGGTTTTCCAGAGTTTAATGTTATTTTGGTTAAGAATTAGATGTAAAACTTTTGAACTCCTTTGCTTCGTTATAATATTAAGAAGCTACTTTGTAGTCTGTTATGTTTAAATAGAAATCACAGGTGATTTTAGCTTTTGTGTCTCATAATTTCTTATGAGCAAGGTAATACCTGATGATGCTATTGTCTTTGCATTATTACTGAATATTTGATTAGAAATGAATTTGGCACCTCTCACCTTTATAATAAAAGATTACTGGAATGACATTTCTGCTTTATAATTTGGTTAACTTTGGCCAGTTTTTCACTATGAGCACTGAGCTTTGTAAAGTCCCACTTTGTGAAAAGAAGGGTTTAGTGACTTTACAAACTAATTTAGCTTCCCAGAGAGCCATTTGAATTAAGACCCTATTAATTTTTTTCTGACCTTATTCTACCCAAGGTATTAATCTTATTTTGCTGCTCAGTTTCTCTTTTGGGGAACTGGAGGGAGATATAGGAGAGGAGGGACTTTGACAACCTATATTTGGTAGAAACTAGGTTATGTTAAATCTGGATATATAGTCCTGTGCAGGGAGGCCTTCTCCGAAATGCAGTGACATCACACTCTGGTCGAGGGCAAGTAAGAGTGATTATGTGCTTTGACTCTGGCAGCTTTGTTGTTTAACAGTGGCCTTAGGCCATACCGTAAATCCTCAGAACAGCCGTTACTTGTCTGGTTTGATCTGGTAGAAAGGTAGTGTGAGTTCAAATTCCATCATGGCTTTGCTTATTTCTCTGGCTCTTCTGAAGGAACATTTTCTCCCCCCATAGGAGCAGCTTGATTTTTGAGGCACTTCAGCAAATATTAGATTTTTTTTTTCTTTAGCTCTATTTTGTTTACTTTTTCTGTAACTTCTTTTTTTTTTTTTTTTTTTGAGACGGAGTCTCACTCTTTCGCCCAGGCTGGAGTGCAGTGGCGCGATCTCGGCTCACTGCAAGCTCTGCCTCCTGGGTTCACACCATTCTCCTGTCTCAGCTTCCCGAGTAGCTGGGACTACAGGCGCCCGCCACACGCCTGGCTAATTTTTTGTATTTTTAGTAGAGACAGGGTTTCACCGTGTTAGCCAGGATGGTCTCGATCTCCTGACCTTGTGATCCGCCCGCCTCCCAAAGTGCTGGGATTACAGGCGTGAGCCACCGCGACCGGCTGTAACTTCTAATGAAGACGTCAGTTTTTGCCATCCTGTATTTTGGAGACTCTGGCTATGTCCATATCTAGCATGTGATTAAGTGTATCTCTCATTATATGAGGTGAGAACTCATTATATGAGAGATACACTGAATCATATATATATGTGATTTTTTTTTGAGGTGAAATTCACGTACCATAAAATTAACCAGGTTAAGGCATACAGTTCAGTGGCATTTAGTACACTGACAGTGTTGTGCAACAATCATGTCTTCTGATTTGTTTTTATTTACACTATTTTCATTTTTCTTGGAGTTTCTTTTGGCTTAAGGCAAGAACCAGCTTGGCACCATGTTTCTCTGCCAATATGGTTAGGGAATATTTTGTTACTATTGTTTACAATATGGTTACTAGAGTGATATCCCTTCTCTTTAGAGCAGCAGGGACTCTTAATTTAGAATCTATCTTATAGGCTTCTAAAGATACTTGACCCTCCTCTCTTCCCTGAAATTTTGTGGGTGGGTGCATTATTTTCTAGTTAAGACAAGAACACTTAATGCTCACAGTGAACAGGATAGTAATATATTCCTTGACATTGAAATTGTTAGGGGAGATAATGAAATATGTGAGCTACTGATAAAGGTATGACTTAAGACTTAGGTTAATTTATTGTTTAATAGAATGTAGTGAAAATGCCTGTTAAGAATTTACTCATGCCTGTAATCCCAGCACTTTGGGAGGCCGAGGTGGATGGATAACTTGATGTCAGGAGTTCCAGACCAGCCTGGCTAACAAGGAAAAACCCTGTCTCTACTAAAATACAAAAATTAGCTGGGCGTGGTAGTGGGTGCCTGTAGTCCCAGCTACTCTGAAGGCTAAGGCAGGAGAATCACTTGAACCTGGGAGGCAAAGGTTGGAGTGAGCCCAAATTGAACCACTGCACTGGAGCCTGGGCCACAGTGAGATTTTGTCTCAAAAAAAAAAAAAAAAAAAAAAGAATTTAATGGGCTGGGCACGGTGATCCCAACATGTAGTCCCAGCTACTCGGGAGGCTGAGGCAGGAGGATTGCTTGAGCCCAGAAGGCAGATGTTGCAGTGAGTCCCAGCTGGGACTACAGGCATGTGCTACCATGCCCGGCTAATTTTTGTATTTTTATTAGAGACGGAGTTTCGCCACGTTCCCCAGACTGGTCTCGATCTCCTGAGCTCAAGCCATCCGCACGCCTCGTCCTCCCAAAGTGTTGGGATTACAGGCGTGAGCCACCGTGCCTGGCCAAAAAAAATTTAATATGTGTATGTATAAGAGGCTTTTCAGAGAAATTGGGTGACAAATTCTAAGGAGGTTTTGTTTTAAAATCTTAAACAAGTTTTAAAGGACATAGCATAGCATAGTAAATATCCTAGACAGATTGTAATGGATTTGAGCTATAGTCCTTCTTTGAGGCTCAAGTAATCGTTTCTGTTTACTGGTTTTTCTGTTTGTATATATACATTCATAAATAACTTCAGATTTATTCCAGGTCTTTTATGTGAAGAATTCCTTTCTTCATTTGCCCACTTCACATTTAGTTTACATTATGAATGGACTAAATGATTATAACATTCTTTGAATTTTTGCTAGAAACACATTGTAAAAACATTGCATAAGGCAAGCTTCAGTATAATTTTTAATTATAACAAGTATTAAAGGAGAAATTTCTATATTCTGTAATGATATTTGTGAGTCCTAGCTCACTTCTTTTAACAAGATCATTCTGTGAATTTCTGGTACAATCTAAAGAGCTATTAGGATCAAGACTATAAATAGTAATTAGCTGGTTGGAAAGATAGCAAATGAGTCTAATTTCCATTAAACTGTACAAGTAGCACGTTTTAGAGATCAGATTTGAACCAGAAGTTTTTCATTATTTTATGTTTATCTGGCTCTTTTTTCTTTTCTTTAATTACATTGATTTGTTTGGTGCTTAGGTCTTTTCTCCTAGATCCATATTTACTATTGTTTGCCAAATACATTATGTCATATTGACCTGATAATAATGAGCAGGTGCCAGCATGTCTTGTCCTGAAGTTGGTGATAAGTATTATTAGTGATGGTGATAAGGAAAAAGATACTCATTTTGAGTACAGAAGGAATATTATTAAAAAATATATGTATATTTATATATTTTTTTCCCCTTGAGACAAGGTCTCTGTCGCTGAGGCTGGAGTGCAGTGGTGAGATCATAGCTCCCTGTAGCCTTGATCTCCTAAGCTCAAGCGATCCACACACCTCAGCCTCCCAAGTAGCTGAGACTACAGGTACATGCCACCATGCCTGAGCCACCGCGCCTGGCCCAAATTCCTATTTATTTATTTATTTATTTGAGATGGACTTTTGCTCTGTTGCCCAGGCTGGAGTGCAGTGGCGTGATCTCGGCTTACTGCAGCTTCCGCCTCCCAGGTCCAAGCGATTCTCCTGCCTCAGCCTCCCAAGTAGCTGGGATTAAAGGCACGTGCCACCATGCCCAGCTAAATTTTGTATTTTTAGCAGAGACAGGATTTCACCATGTTGGCGAGGCTGGTCTTGAACTCCTGACCTCAAGTGATCCACCCGGCAGCCTCACAAAGTGCTGGGATTACAGGCGTGAGCTACTGTGCCTGGCCCCAAAATTTTAATATATTTAAAGAAGTCTGGTACATTGGACAAAGTCTTATAGTTTCTCAAATCAGAAAAAGTAGTCTTATTATTTAGTAAAAATGTGACCAGACTGTGCCGTTTTTGTTAGTAGAGCCATTTGTCATCTGGATTACTTCTTCTGGAAATTGGGATGGAAGAGTTAAGGTTGAGGTTGAGATCCACGTTCTTTTGTTTCAACACCAGTTTGATTCTCGTGTCTGAACGGATGTCTCAGTCTTTTGCCTTGTTTTTAACTATAAACTGGCATTATTTGGGAATACTCTTGGGCTAAATCTGGATTGTTGGAAGTAAGAAAGCCACATTTTTTTTTAAATCCAAAAATATAGTTAGATACAATGAATAAGATCTAGTATTTGATAGCACAAAAGGGTGACTGCGGTCAACAATAATTTACTGTACATTTAAAAATAACTAAAAGAATGTAATTGAATTGTTTATAATACAAAGAAAGGATAAATGCTTGAGGTGATGGATATCCCATTTACACTAATGTAATTATTATGCATTGTCTGCCTGTTATCAAAATATCTCATGTACCTATACGCACCTACTAAATACCCACAAAACTAAAAATTAAAAAAATTCCATGCATAAGTCATGGTTGCCTCTCTAGATGTTTGTTGTGAAAGAATATTGTCCTACTAATTTTGAATTTTTTTTTTCTGAAAGAGATTCTTTTTATTGAAAGTTTCATGTCATAGATCGGCAAAATTGTTTTTTCTTTTGACCTTACACTGCTTCAGAATATATGTTTTGGAGTGATTCCAGCTTGAGGCAAGGAAGTTACCAGATTTTCCTGAATGGAAAGTAATTGCAGATATATTTATAAAAAGGTCCAGCTTTAGCTCTTGAAAGCTTTGAGGAGTTACTGTGGATAAAATCACAAAGCCATAATAGGTTCATACTTTTACCCAGTTGCATTTGGCCTTTAGATTTTTGCCCCATTAGCTTGAGGAGTTACATTCTTAGTTTTTCTTGAACCATCAACGGTGGTGATAAAGGAAGATGATACTCATTTTTAGAAATTCTTAAATATAAGTGTTCCTAAAATTAATTGGATGTTCTTAAAATTAATTGGATGCCTTGTTGGATATCTATAACCTGAATGAAGGAATTCTTTTCTCTTGCTATAGGTGCACATTAAAGATCCAAAGTCATGACTGACTCCAAGTATTTCACAACCAATAAAAAAGGTAAGTATGAGAATACAATCAAATCTTTTGAAATTTTCAAAAGTTGTAGTGTAAGATTGCCCCAGGCAGAATGCTGCTGACCTCTTCCTTCAGACATACATGTAGCTGACAATCTCACTGGACATCTACTACTTCTATAGATGAATGTATTCAAGCAAGTTATTAAAGAGTAGGTTTTAAAAGAGAGGGCTGTGATGCACATTATTATGACTTGAAGGTTCTGTTTAGTGAAAGAGACTCCTCTTTGCTGTTTGAGATGATCCATTGGAGATTGGTTAAGTGTGAGGAGGACAAAAGAAGCAGCATACTTTTTCCCTTTTATTAAATAATTTTTACTTGGAAATAAACATTTTATAACAAAGAATACAATTAAAGCAATACAGATATGTATGTAAAAGGTAAAAATGAAAGTTCTCCCTTCCTGTTCCTATTCCCAAGGGAACTTGGTGTATATCCTCAAGTCTTTTTCTCTGCATATGAGTGCATATATTAATACATATGATTTAAAATTTTTTTATCTTTAATGAAAAAGCAATCTTGCAAAACAATGAATAGAAATGAGTTATTTTCATATCCGTCCATATACATCTACCATGTTCTTCGTCTAGATGTATATTTAAAACGGAATCTCTAGAGCCATCTATGGTTTTTAGGTCATAGACGGAATTACTTGAGGGACTTTGCACTTATTACTCTCATCATCTTTGTTATCAGTAATATAATGCTTGTTTTTACCTATGAGTTTGGGTCTAGGAACAAAGGATTCTTCTGGGGAAAGTCCAACCCTTCATCTTTTGTAAAATTGTTCCTAAATAAAATAGATCATTTCTAGAAATGTGGAGGGTCTTCCCATCAAAGACAAACATTTTAGCCCATCTCAGCTTATTGTGCCTGTAGCTTAGCTTGCTTTATTTGTTGCTTAGGATCAGAATTCTGTGCTTTTGTGTTCAGGAGTCCTTACATTTACCAAAGTATTCCAGACATGGCGCCAACTACCATTCTTCTTTTTCTCTTGTTGCAGTGAGTTGCTTAATTATGTCAGTTTGTTGTCTGTAGCTTTCAGTCTTGGCAACACATCAGAATTGCTCAGCCAGGGAACTTTGAAATAATACTGATGCCTGGGTCTCAACCTCAGCCTGATTTCAGTTGTCCTGGATATGGTCTGGGTGTGAGGATTTTAAAGGTTCTCCAGGTGGCCAGGCATGGTGGCTTATGCCTGTAATCCCAGCACATTGGGAGGCTGAGACAGGAGGATTGTTTGAGTGCAGGAGTTTGAGACCAGCCTGGGCAACATGGTAAGACCCTATCTCTATGAAAAAAAATTTAAAAATTAGCCCTGTACGGTGGTGCACACCTGTAGTCCCAGCTATTTGGGAGGCTGAGGTGGGAGGATCACTTGAGTGCAGGAGGTTGAGGCTGCAGTGAGTCGTGATTGTGCCGCTGTACCCCAGCCTAGGCAACAGAGAGAGACCCTGTCTCAAAAGAAAAAAATTAAAAAGAAAGCTCCCCAGATTATTTTAATGTGCAGCCATGATTGAGAACTACTGCTAGCTGCTAACAGTGCTTGGTAGATTTGATTGGGGGGAGGAGGAGGGAGAAAATATAGGAATTTAATAAAGTTGTAGAATATATGACTTTGCCTCTTTTAGTACCCCTCTTTGGTCCTGCCCAACTTTTTCCTCCTTATTTTTATTACTTACACCTCACAAAAGCCATTAGCCACTTGTCATTCAGTCTCAGCTTTTTCTGATTTTCTTTTGGAAATATGTTTATTTCTTCTTCTGTTAGCATTTTGTGTGCTTTGACGAACAAAATGTCTATAATTATATAAAGGGATACAATTACAATTAAATAGTTATAATTTTAAAACTCTCCTAATTCTTCAAACCTACTCTTGAAAAGTGTCCTGGTGACCTTTTTTTAATTCAGGCATTTGTAAAAGTTTGAGACTGCAGATTGAATCACTGCTAATAAACATCATACTTAAAAAAAATTGATAGATTGTGTTCCCTGTACTTCCTGCAACACCCACCAGAACTGCCACTGAAACATATTCTTTAAATTTATGCTTTTGGAATTGGAATAATTTCTGTTACATCCTGCTTTGATTCTATAACACCTGCTGCTGTTCACAATTCAGACTTTCTGAAACCCCGCCGTTTGTCCTTCACTGTTCCCGGAAGTGAATGAGAGGAACTCTAAGAGCTGGATTTGGCAGGATGGGACATGGTGAAGAGTCCTATGAAGAATGACTCTTTAAAGGGCCCAGCTTTTCTTGCTATGCTACTTTTGTAGCTGTTGATTAAATAGAAATTTTGGAACAATTTTTTTGCCTTATTGGCCATGGATATTGAAACGAAAAAGTGCTCTACTTCTGTGTCTTACTAATTTCATCCTTTCCACATAATGGTTTCAGGCAAATCACGTAGTGTTTGTCCCCACTATTTCTTTCTTTTTTTTTTTTTTGGAGGAGGGGAGGTCAGGTTTTAATGTCCCAGTCCTCGGGCGCCGTCATCCCGCGCCTGCCAGGCCCGGCGGCCATGTCGCTCACTCGGGTGGCGGCCAGCCTGCCTCATCAGGGCCTTCCGCGGAGGCCGCCCCGTCGCCCTCGAGCACCAGCTTCACGTCCAGCTCCAGCTGCCCGGTGTAGAAGCCCACGGCGGCGCACACCCAGAGCGGGCTGGTGGCGAGTACAGCGCCCGCAGCTGCGCCCCCTAGCGTCAGCTGCATGGGCCCCCGCAGCGCTGCCAGGCCCCGCAGGCGCTGCCCCACACCGCACACAGGCCGCCCAGCAGGAAGAAGCCATATGCTGCTTCGTGATCCATGTCACTCTGCATGAAGGAGATAACCCCGATGCCCTATGCCAGGAGGCCATTGTGGAACCAGGAGAAGAAAGCTGTCTCGTGCGCCTTTCGGAGAGGAGCCTGGCGCCTGCACGGTCCAGCTCGGACACAGGTGGCGGCGAAGCCCCGTTGTGGGGGCCGTGGCCGGGGGCGAAGGACCCCTGGGCGCCCCCGCTCCGGGGCCACTGAGGCAGCAGTAGCGACCTCCGGAAGCGGAGACTGTCCCCACTGTTTCTATGCTGGTAAATGAGATCTGGTTGAAAGGAACGACAGGAACAGTCTTGAAGGTGGAGGAAAGTCTTTTGAGGCAGTATGGTAGATGAGCTGGAGGATGTAGATGGAAAGTTGAGATGGGAGTAGTCAACCTCTTTTTCATGGACTTAGTGTTTTTTTTCCGTTTCTTTTAAACAATATTAGGGTTGTTACTTTCTTTTTTATTTTGGTTCCGGCTTCTTGCAGATAGGTGAGCCTGGAGACCAGGCCTTAAAATAGTGGTTACAGTCCCTGACAGTTTACAGTGCGGAGCCTAAGCAGTCATTCAAGATTGTACCTTTGGAAATGACTCCATTGTGTACCATTCTTGGTTTCAAGATTATTCTTGTTTGATTGAATAGCAAGGGCCTTAAAGCCCACTGATTTATTAAAGTACTGATTAAAGTAGTGATTCTCAACATTGGGTGTGCGTTAGAGTCACTTGGTGGAGCTCTTAAAGGTATAAATATGAGTTCTCTTTGACATTATGATTTATTTGGCCCAGAGTGGAGCCTGTACTTTGCTATATTTAGTATTTCTCAGGTAATATTAGTGTGTGGCCAGGGCTGAGAACCTTTGCATTCAAGAGTCAGGAGACACAGTGCTAAGCCCAACTTTGTCACTGACTCTGTGAACTTTGAGCCTCATTTCTTAATCTGTAAAGCCGAGCGTGGGTAAATGAGGTAATACGCGCCTGCTCCCTACCTACGTTTATGTTCTCCTCCAGACTTTAACATTCTGATGGAAGATCATCCTTCATATACTGTTCTCTCCCCATTGTAGCTAGATATAATGAGATTTGGTTTTTCCCACTCTTGTGGTTCTTGAAGATCTGGATTGCACCTTCCTCTCTGGCCATAATTTAAAAGATTTTTAAAACTTACTGATGGCTTCCTTGTCAGTGAGTCAGGTAATATTCTAGGGCTTTGAATTTTATATATTCTATAATTTTAAAATCTTATTTTAGTTGCTGCCCTGCTATCCTGGTATTGGTTATTACATAGTGTAGTATTCTGCTCTAAGTCTGTGGTACTGGAACCTTACCAGTTTGCTCTCATCTCTTGCAGGAGAAATATTTGAACTAAAAGCTGAACTCAACAATGAAAAGAAAGAAAAGAGAAAGGAGGCTGTGAAGAAAGTGATTGCTGCTATGACCGTGGGGAAGGATGTTAGGTAAGAGTAATCACCCTTGCCATTGATCACTTCAGAGGTCCATACCCCATCTTATGGCCTTTACTGCTTTTCCTTTAAAAGTATCATAATCATAGAACCTCTAAGAATGGGTTTGTCCCACTAAAAACATCATTAGGAAGTGCAGTTGCCTTTGTATTAATGCTCTACTTTTTGTTTGTTTGTTTGTTATGGGGTGTGTGTGTGTTTGTGTTAGAACAGTGAAACGAGTTTGATTTCATTGCATTCAGATCTAGCATAACACCTCCTGAGAGCTGGCACAGTTACAAATCTTTTTGCTGAGGTCGTTTTAGAAGATGATAAAAATACACTGAGAAGCATAAGTTCACATGATCTTTAACTGGCTCAAGCCACTGCCCTCAACTTTACAACTGTACATTCAATTGCTGGATTCAAGATGAAAATCAATGTTAACCAAATCCATGTAGTCTTATTTTTTATTTCTGTAATTAAGACCATTTGGAAATAAGTAAGGACTATATGCAGGCCCCTAAGGATTATCCTAAGACCCTTTCGGGGGGTCCGTGAGGTCAAAGCTGTTTTCATAATAATACTTAGATGTTACTTGCCTTTTTCACTATTTGGATGTTTACAGTGATGGTGCAAAGCAGTGGTGGGTAAAACTGCTGGTGCCTCAGCATGAATGAAGGCAGTGGTGCCAACCATAATGGTAGTCATTGTATTCCTTAACACCATGTGCTAAAAAAGAGCAGTTTCACTTAGGAATGTCCTTCATGAGCAGTAAAAATTTGTTTTATTAAAACTTGAACCTTTTTAATATTGTGTTTGATGAAATAGGGATTACCCATAAATCTCTTCTGCTGCGTAGCAGTGCAATGGTCGACTTGAGAAAAAACCCTTGTGCAGTTGTTTGAACTGCAAACACCATTTTTATGTGAAAGAATGATTGACAGACAAACTATATTTAATCAGACTTTGGTATTTGGGAGATATTTTATTCAAAAATGAACAAAGTGAACCTGTCACTTCAAGGGAAAAAAATTGACAATGGATACGTTTCAGGTTTTAAAGTAAAAAATTAGAATTTTGGAAAATTTGTATCTCCCATCATAAGCTTGACAGCTTCCTAATGCTTAAAGACTTTTCTGAGGAGATTGGTGGTGAAATTAATGATTGTGATTATTTGCTGTTTTATAATGAAATGTGTCAGCATAGCTCAGTGAACCAATATTTTTCCAAATGACCAGAGCATATGTATATCACAAAATTATGCATGGATAAAAGATCTATTCGAAATAAAGTGTGGAGGCCAGGCGTGGTGGCTCACGGTTGTGATCCCAGTATTTTGGGAGGCCGAGGCAGGCGGATCACTTGAGGGCAGGAGTTCGAGACTAGGCTAGCCAACATGGTGAAATTCTGTCTCTACTAAAAAAAAATACAAAAAAATTAGCCGGGCATGGTGGCATGTGCCTGTAATCCCAGCTACTCTAGAGGCTGAGGCAGTAGAATTGCTTGAACTCAGGAGGCGGAGGTTGCAGTGAGCCAGGATTGTGCCACTGCACTCCAGCTTAGGCAACAGAGTAAGACTCTGTCTCAAAAATCAAAAAACAAAAAAACAAAATAGAATGTAAATGAATGGATTTTAATACAATCAAGTACAAAAAGTTTATCGATACGGCTTCAGATTCTATATTGCAACTAACTTTTAAGAAACTACAGTGTGTGGACTCAGAAAGAGGAAAACAACCATTTGTCTAGTTTTATTTATTTATCATTATTTTTTTTGAGACAGAGTCTTACTCTGTCACCCATACTGGAGTGTAGTGACGTTATCTTGGCTCACTGCAACCTCCGCCTCCCAGGCTCAAGCGGTTCTCCTGCCTCAGCCTCCCAAGTAGCTGGGATTACAGGCGTGCACCACTACCACCCGGCTAATTTTTGTATTTTTAGTAGAGACGGGGTTTCACCATGTTGGCCAGGCTGGTCTCGAACTCCTGACCTCAAATGATCTACCTGCCTTGGCCTCACAAAACTGCTGGGATTACAGGCATGAGCCACTGTTCCCGGGCTGTCTAGTTTTAGTGTAACATCAAGAATTTCTAGTTATAACAAAAAAAAAAAGAAAATAAGGAATATGTAGTTATATGAAAAAGCTATTAAAATATTATTTCCTTTTCCGAGTTATATACGTGTATGAAGCTGGATTTTCTTCTTATATTTCAAAACAACATTCTACAAAAGGTTGAATGCAGGAACTTATGAGAATCTAGCTGTTTTTATTTCAAGTAGATATTAAAGAGAGTTGCAAAAAAATAAAAAAGCAGTGTCACCATCTCATTAATTTAAAAACAGTACATTTTACCTTTAAAATGTTATGAAATGGGTTTATTCTTATTTTAATGGATTAACTTTTTAAAAATTTCTCAGTTTTAATTCCTGACATGGTAAAATATCAATAGGTATATAACCCACATGAACAAAAACTCTTTGGGATGTCAGTAATTTTTAAGAGTATGAAGGGATCCCGAGACCAAAAAGGTGAGGGCTGCTTCCCTAACCAGACGGGGAGCCCAGATAGAAATGGCAGCGTAGGAAATGACTCTGTATCTTCTCTTGCTCCAGGTGCTGCTCTTCTGAGGTGAATTTTTGTTATTTTTCTTTTGTTTGTTAGCACATAAAGCACATTTGGTTTTTAAATTGCTGTCCTGTGACCATCTATCTAAGGAGTTGGCAAACGTTTTTGTAAAGGACAAAATAGTAAGTACATCAGGCTGGCATAGTAAGTACTCTTTGCTTAGCAGGCAAAGAGGCAAAATTGAGTTTGGTAGGTAGGTACTTACATAACAAGAGAGAAGACAAATTTCCACAAATTTTTTATTGAGGATATTCAAAATAAAATAATAGTTAAGTATAATGTTTTGTACCACAGGTATACTATTAAGTGGGATTCTTTTTGGGGGATGATAACATTTTGCGTAATTAGGATTCATAGTATTTTTCATCATCAGATTTGTTTTATTTATTTATTGTTTTGAGATGGAGTCTTGCTCCATCACTCAGGCTGGAGTGCAGTGGCGCAATCTCGGCCCACTGCAGCCTCTGCCTCCCGGGTTCAAGGGATTCTCCTGCCTCAGCCTCCTGAGTAGCTGGTACTGTATATGCACCTGCCATCACTCCTGGCTGACGCCAAGTGATCCGCCTGCCTTGGCCCCCCGAAGTGTTGGGATTACAGGCATGAGCCACCATGCCCGGCCAAGATTCATATAGATGAACACTTAGTTCATCTATAAAAACCACTTTTAGCTCATGGATTGTACAAAAATCCAGCATTGGGCTAGATTTAACCCACAGGCGGTAGTTGCCTATCTGTGATCTGTCTAGTCACTGAAGGGCTGTTTTTGCCAAAGAATAAATCTGGATTGAAAACATCAGTACAAACGAATTGGTAAAAATTGTCATAACTCTTTTTTTTTTTTTTTTGAGACCGAGTTTTGCTCTTGTTGCCCAGGCTGCAGCGCAATGGCGTGATCTTGGCTCACTGCAACCCCCGACTCCCGGGTTCAAGTGATTATCCTGCCTCTGTCTCCCGAGTAGCTGGGATTACAGGCATGTGCCACCACGCCCGGCTAATTTTGTATTTTTAGTAGAGATGGGGTTTCTGCATGTTGGTCAGGCTGGTCTCAAACTCCCGAAAAATTGTCATAACTCTACAGGGGCTGTTGTGGTTTTGCCAAGCTTATTTCTGTATCCTGCAGAAAAGTTAAAACTCTTGATTTTTTTTTATATGCTTGCTATTGCTGATACTTTATTATGTACTTAGCACTATACCACTTATCATTATTCAAACAAAAGGCTAGTGGATGTCTGTTTGCCTTCATGATTTTTACTGTCTAGTTGATGAAACCCAAAACTTGAAAAATTAGGGAAAAATAAAATATACTTATGTAATTAGGCACTGAAGTGTATATTTTAAAGGCAATACGAGTTCTACCAAAGAGAGATACAGGTTAACAGGAATAGTTGAAGAACCCTTCTTGGAGATGAAATATGAGCTGTACTTAGAAAGATAGTGCAAAGAAATAAAATGGAGATTAGCTATTTGTAGATTGTGATATTTCAGCCTTTCCTGCAAGTAACCTCAAGTGCAGCACTGGCCAGTGGAAATACAGTGTGAACCACATATGTAATTTTAAATTTTCTAATAGCCATTTTGAAAAAATGAAAAGGAACAGATGAATTAATTTTAGTAATACATTTTATTTGACCCAGTATATCTAAAATATCCTTTCAGTATGTAATCAACATAAAAATTATTAATGAGATATTTTACATTATATTTTTCATGCTAAGTCTTCAAAATCCAGTGTGTGTTTCACATTTACATCACATCTCAGTTCACACTCGCCACATTGTGTTTAGTAGTCACATGTGACTAGTGGCCACCATATTGGAAAGTTCAGGTTTCTAGTTTATAGGTTGGCACTTAACACTTTTTACTTCTTGCTTGATCTTTGGCTATTAAGTCTTCTTGACCTTGTGTAGATTGCTAGAATTAAACTATTTAGGATCTTGAATTTATTATTGGTTAATGTTTAACATTTACTGGTTATCGTTGTTTTGTGCATGAGCTAGTCTAGGAAATAGAAAACACATTTTTGGAGAGTATTTACTAAATATCTACAGGTGCATGAAACTACCGTAGGTACCATGCATACAAGTGAAACACATAGTTTGCTTTCCAGGACAGAAGTTACTGGTTCACTGGAGATATGGTGGATTCTTTGACCTGAGTCCAGCTTCCTTTCTGTGAATAATTTCTACTTCTGTACCCTTTTGTGTATATAGGACCATTGTATATACCCTGTGACCAGCTATTTCATTCCCTTTTTTCCCCTTATTTTCCTTGTGGAAATACACCTACATTTGTTTTTTCTTTCTTCTATGCTAGTAGCAAGATGTTTAGCAGTATTAAAAATGTATAAGGTACTTTGATAAAGCATTGTGGGGAAGATTTATTGCTAACTTCCCATAAAGTTACAGTTATCCTATATTGTAAAGATACAGCTTACACTTTAGAATCTGACAAGCTCAACCCTTCCAAGCTAATGGTGCTCCTTTAAATTTGTTTCCTGTGGCTTATAGGAGAATGGTAAATCATGAAATAACTAGAACTTAGGAAAGGTATAAACTCCTTTTATATTTGATTACTCTCAAATTTTCATTTGTCTGAATATGTAATGTTAAAAAAATAATTTCACTAAAAGGGAATCAGGACATCTTGGAGGATGACTGATTCTAGGTCTGGAATTAGAAATGTACAAAATGAGCCTGGATGGGGCATCTTGTCATAAAGGAAAGTATGGAAAATACCAGGTCATATCACAAGGATTCAGGAGCTCAGTTCCCACTGGTCAAGACTGGAAGAATATGAACTTTAAAAAGCGTAACTGAAGTGCTTTGAAACTGTAGTAGATGGATATGAAGAATTATTGTTCCTTTTGCCCTGTCGCACTCCTGAAAGCAAGATGATTCACCAGCAGCTCTACTGGAGCCACCCGCGAAAAGTCAGCCAGGGTTCTTGCTATTGTGTCTGCTGAAACTGGGCACAGTCTGATCTGGAAATTGAGCCTCGTTACATGCCACCAGTGTTTCCATCATACGTGAAGGATATAGATTTCATTAAGTTGGACTAAGTGATCTTCCACGAATGGATTATCTAAGGCACCCACCCAATGAGAGAAACCATGTTAGCTTTTTGTACATAAAATAAATATTTTAAAATAATTATTGTTATTTTTTATTTTTATTTTTGAGATGGGGTCTCTCTCTGTTCCTCAGGCTGGTGTGCAGTGGCATGTTCGTGGCTCACTGCAGCCTCCGCATCCCAGGCTCAAGTGATCCTCCCACCTCAGCTTCCTGAGTAGCTGGGACCACAGGCGCACACCACCATGCCTGGCTAATTTTTAAAATTATTTATAGAGACGAGGTCTCACTATGTTGCCCAGGCTGGTCTCACACTCCTAGGCTCAAGCAGTCCTCCCACCATGGCCTCGCAAAGTGCTTGGATTACAGACGTGAGCCACTGGGCCTGGCTTTTTTGTTTTTGTTTTTGTGTGTTTTTTTGAATGTGATAAAGGTAGTGGAAAAAAAAAAAGACACTTGCCTGTGCGTGGTGGCTCACATCTGTAATCCCAGAACTTTGGGAGGCCAAGGCAGGTGGATCACCTGAGGTCAGGAGTTCGGGACTAGCCTGGCTAACATGGTGAAACCCCATCTCTACTAAAAATATAAAAATTAGCCGGGAGTGGTGGCGCACGCCTGTAATCTCAGCTACTTAGGAGGCTGACACATTAGAATTGCTTGAACTGGGGAGGCAGTGGTTGCAGGAAGCAAAGATGGTGCCACTGAACTCCAGCCTGGGCGACAGAGTGAGACTCTGTCTCAAAAAGAAAAAAAAGGATTCTTAAGATACACATTAAAATATTATAGATGAAGCTGGGCACAGTGGCTTATGCATGTAATCCCAGCACTAGGATTAACATTTTTTCATAATAAAAAGCTTTTTCTAAAACTATAGAGACCTTGTTGAGAACAGCACTACAATTTTTTTCTTGTTTTTTTTGGATGGGGACAAGGTCTCACTCTGTCATCCAGGCTAGAGTGCAGTGACGTGATCATGGCTCACTGCAGTCTCGACCTCCTGCTTCAGCCTTCTGAGTAGCTAAGACTACAGGTGTGCACCACCACACCTAGCTTTTTAAAACAAATTTTTGTAGAGAGGATCTCGCCATGTTGTCCAGGCTGGCCTTGAACACCTGGTCTCAAGTGAATCCTTACACCCCAGCCTCCCAAAGTTCTGAGATTGCATACCTGAGCCACCATGTCTGGCCTACAGTTTCTTTTCTTTTCTTTTCTCTTTTCTTTTCTTTTTTTTTTTCCTTTTTTTTTTAGACACAGGAGTCTCGCTCTTGTTGCCCAGGCTGGAGTGCAATGGTGTGATCTCAGCTCACCGCAAACTCTGCCTCCCAGGTTCAAACGATTCTCCTGTCTCAGCCTCCTGAGTAGCTGGGATTACAGACATGCACCACCATGCCTGGCTAATTTTTTGTATTTTTAGTAGAGACGGGGTTTCTCCATGTTGGTCAGGCTAGTCTCAAACTCCCGACCTCAGGTGATCCGCCTGCCTTGGCCTCCCAGAGTGCTGGGATTATAGGCGTGAGCCACCGTGCCCAGCCAGTTTCTTTAGTAATTCATTTCTGTGACAGTTACCACTGTGGGGACATTTGTTCTTGCATCAAATCACTGTTAGTTAAGGCTATTCATGTTCTGTCCAACAGCTTGGCACCAACACCTGCTTACTTTCCTTTTCTCTTTTACCCTCTCTTCTCAGTTCTCTCTTTCCAGACGTAGTGAACTGTATGCAGACTGACAATCTGGAACTAAAGAAGCTTGTGTATCTCTACTTGATGAACTACGCCAAGAGTCAGCCAGACATGGCCATCATGGCTGTAAACAGCTTTGTGAAGGTAACTTTTCCCAAGGCCTCAATAACAGAGTTTGAATTGCAAATAAGTAACCTCTGTTCACAAGGAAGGAGTGTAGGGAAGTGTTGGCAATGACTAGGAATGTTCATGTTTTAAGCATTCTGTATACCAGTGTGTGTCATCCAGGGAAATTCAAACCATGTGCTGAGCTTTCTGTTAGTGGGGCTTGGTGCATCCTTGCCAGATGGGTAGAAGAAAACCTGGTGAAACCCCACTGTTTTACCTTCTGAGGCTGACAAAGGTGGGCATATCATTGTACTATCAGTAATTGGGGGCTTTACCTATTTTATCTTTGTAGAAATTATACTTATGAGTCAGCAGTAGTGGAGACTGCCGGAGTTTCTACTTTCATTTCATTTAATACGTCTTACATCATTTGATTAATTTTTTTTTTTTTTTGATACAGAGTCTCACTCTGTCACCGAGGCTGGAGTGCAGTGGCACGATCTTGGCTCACTGCAACCTCTGCCTCCCAGGTTCAAGTGATTCTCCTGCCTCAGTCTCCCAAGTAGCTGGGATTACAGGTGACCGTCACCATGCCCAGCTTATTTTTGTATTTTTAGTAGAGACAGGGTTTCACCATGTTGGTCAGGCTGATCTCGTGCTCCTAACTTCAAGTGATCCACCCACCTCAGCCTCACAAAGTGCTGGGGTTACGGACACAAGCCACCACTCCCGGCGTGATTAATTTTTTTTAATGGAAAATTTTAAACATATTCAAGAAAAAGGACTAGTATAATAAATTCCTAAATATCCGTCTTGCAGTTTTAACAGTTACCGACACATAACCACTCTTGTTTGTAATCCTCATACATATTTTCTGACCTCCAACCCCCTCTCCTGCTGGATAATTTTAAAGAAATCCTGAACATCATATATTAAATAGTTTTGTCTTTATATTTGTCAAGATAAGATCTTTTATTTAAACATAACCACAATATCATCATGTCTTTAAAAATGGACAAAATATTTTCTTATTATTGAATATCCAGTCAAATCTTTCCTATCATAGATTTAAAGAAAATAATAATGGGATCATTCCCATTAATTTTTTTTTTTTTTTGGTGACAGAATTTCACTCTTGTTGCCCGGGCTGGAGTGCAATGGCGCAATCTCAGCTCACCACAACCTCCGCCTCCCGGGCTCAAGTGATTCTCCTGCCTCATCCTCCCGAGTAGCTGGGATTACAGGCATGCACCACCACACCTGGCTAATTTTGTATATTTAGTAGAGATGGGGTTTCACCATATTGGCCAGGCTGGTCTCGAACTCCTGACCTCAGGTGATCCGCCCACCTTGGCCTCTCAAAGTGCTGGGATTACAGGCGTGAGCCACCATGTCCAGCCTAATATTTTTTTAATAGTTGTTTTTTCTCTGTTTGGAACTTAGTGTACATTTAAAAAAAACAGACAGCATTTCTAAAATTAGCTTCTATTTAAAATGTTTTGAAAAATAAGCAATATGCTTTCTTCTTTCTCATGAACTTTTTGTTCTTTTCCTGTGTTTAGCTACATTATAGAGTCAGAACGTAACAGTTTGTTCTCCATGACTGGTGGTTCATAGAGGGAATATATCATTGGGAAGAATTTAGTTTACATTTTTTGGAAGTTAGAGTTGTGCATAGATTTACATGGGCTTAAAGACATTTTTTTAGTGTAAGGCAGTTTAAAAGAGTGTTCTTTCTCCATATTCTATTTACTATATTTGGAAGCACTTGCTAGTAAAAGAGAATGTATGTTAGCCAAGAGCTCAGAGGGCCTTCTCTGCTGCTTAACTCCAGGTACTTATTTCAAGCCCAGACCAGCTCCTGTGCTCCCCTTTGTTTTCTTGGCTGCAGGCCACAGAAATCTAGCTCTCTTTTCTATTTGATGTTTAGGAACTCACTGTGGAGTAGGGCACGGTCTTTACAGCTCCTCTTTTTTTTTTTTTTTTTTTTCCTGTGCCGGAATACAAGCCCAAAAGCTTTTCCTGTTTTTAGGGTAGATCCTAATGGCTGTGGGATGGTACGAACTCCCTAAACCTCTGCCTGGCACTAGAGTGAATCCTGCTGAGCTGTTTCTCATTTTGTATTTAAAACAGTTAAATGACTTCTTCACCTAAACTCTTAAATAGGGCAGCTAAGATTTGTACTTAGGAAAGGAATAGCATGGAAGATTGGAGCTCATGTAGAATGTATCTGGAAGCTTAAATTAATGAGGTAATTCTTTTGCAGCTTACATAAACTGGACTGTTTACTTTTAGCCACCATGTATACCTACAGTTGTTGGTGATTGTTTTCTGCAGGACTGTGAAGATCCTAATCCTTTGATTCGAGCCTTGGCAGTCAGAACCATGGGGTGCATCCGGGTAGACAAAATTACAGAATATCTCTGTGAGCCGCTCCGCAAGTGCTTGAAGGATGAGGATCCCTATGTTCGGAAAACAGCAGCAGTCTGCGTGGCAAAACTCCATGATATCAATGCCCAAATGGTGGAAGATCAGGGATTTCTGGATTCTCTACGGGATCTCATAGCAGATTCAAATCCAATGGTAATAAGCTTCTGCTTTTACAAAGAGAGCAGTATTTAAAATGAGTCCCTTGTTAAAGCGTGTTTAATATGAACCTTGTCTTTGGAATACTGGGTTATGGGGTAGCTATGGGAAACATGACTTTGTGTGTCTCACAGATTGTATATTTCATATCCTAGGTGTTTTTGAGGTGAGAACCAAGTACTAAAATGCAGGGATCTTAAAGCAAATCTTTGTATTGTACTTATGCTCATATTTGCCCATATTGCCCATGATGAAAACTTTCATCATTTTCTTCAGGAGGTTTGGCCGTAAATTTATATATATTTAAGATTATTTTCTTCAGATCAATATTTGTGGTATTTTCTGGTGGTGTGGGACTAGAAACTGAATGAAAATGATCTTTATTACCTAATTATTATCATGCATTTCTCTATAGGGGAATTTCTAGGGCAAGATTATTTTTAGCCAACTTGGTTATGTTGTAAATGTTTAGCAGCCAGAACATAGCTTAACACCTTAAAGTTTTGGGACCTTTTCCTTATTGACATTTTAAACTTTGCTTATATAATGAAGAAGGTCAAGTCCCAAGTGATATGTTTGACTCCAGTAATAACTAAAGCTCATTTGAATTGGGTACTAATTGAATATATTGGATGGGTCATTAAATATTGTTGCCAGGAAGATGGAGGAAAATAGCCACTTTCTTTAAAGTGCTACCTTTTTGGTCTAATGCAATGTTTACTGAAAGGTGCATAACACTAAGAGTTAATCAGTGGATAACCTTTGAATATTCCCTTTTAAAAATTATTTATCTATCTATTTATTTATTTTTTACAGATAGGATCTTGCTCTGTGGCCAAGCTGGAGTGCAGTGGTGCAGTCATAGCTCACTGTAACTTTGAACTCCTGGGTTCAAGCACTCCTACCTCAGCCTCCTGAGCATCTAGGACTGCAGGCACATGCCACCACATCCCGCTAATTTTTTTTTTTTTTTTGAGACAGAGTCTTGCCTTGTCGCCCAGGCTGGAGTGCAGTGGCGTGATCTCAGCTCACTGCAAGCTCCGCCTTCCAGGTTCATGCCATTGTCCTGCCTCAGCCTTTTGAGTAGCTGGGACTACAGGCGCCTGCCACCACGCCTGGCTAATTTTTTGTATTTTTTAGTAGAGACGGGGCTTCACCGTGTTAGCCAGGATGGTCTTGATCTCCTGACCTCGTGATCCACCTGACATGGCCTCCCAAAGTGTTGGGATTACATGTGTGAGCCACCGCACCCAGCCTTATTTTTTATGGAGATGGGGTCTTGCTATGTTGCCCAGGTTGGTCATGAATTCCTGGCCTCAAGCAATCCTCCCACCTTGGCCTTCCTCAGTGAATTACTGTGCTTGGCCTGAATATTTTCTTAGTGAACTTTAAATGGAGAATTAGAATTTGGCTGGACATAGATGCTGTCTCTCATTTGTAAATTACCTGTTCACTTCTCTGCTTTGACATTTTGTTTGGTTCATTTTATTTTACAGGTAGCCTTGGCTTCTGTTTATTATCCTTCAAGATTAGTATTAAATCCACAGGATGAAGCAAGTCATAATTTTTTAAGGTTTTTATGGTAGTAACTACCATTAGAAATCTTTCAACCTAGGCATAAGGGTGGGCGTCGGTGTGGGTGTGGAAGTGCAGATGCTTTAACCATGACTTCTGACAGAGCATCACCACCAGTACTAGAAGATTCAACCCTGCCTTTTATTTCCCCTAAGTAACACCATATGGTACCTTTTATTTATTTTTTATTTTTTTTTGAGATGGAGTGTCACTCTGTCGCCCAGTCTGGAGTGCAGTGGCATGATCTCGGCTCACTGGAACCTCTACCTTCTGGGTTCAAGCGATTCTCCTCCTGCCTCAGCCTCCTTAGTAACTGGGATTACAGGTGCCCACTACCATGCCCGGCTAATTTTTGTATTTTTAGTAGAGACGACGTTGCACCATGTTGGCCAGGCTGGTCTCAAACTCTTGACTCAGGTGATGCACCTGCCTTGACCTCCCAAAGTGCTGGGATTACAGGCATGAGCCATCACACCCAGCCCCCTTTTTAAAAATTACATAAAGAAATTAGTTGGCTAGGCATGTTGGCTCATATGCCTATAATCCTAGCACTTTGGGAGGCTGAGGCAGAAGGATCACTTGAAGCCAAGAGTTTGAGACCAGCCTGGGCAACAAACTGAGACCCTGTCTCTACAAAAATTTTTTTAAAAAATTCGGTGGGGCCGGGTGCAGTGGCTCATGCCTGTAATCCCAGCACTTTGGGAGGCCGAGGTGGGTGGATCACGAAGTCAGGAAATCAGGACCATCCTGGCTAACGCGGTGAATCCCCGTCTCTACTAAAAATACAAAAAATTAGCCGGGCGTGGTGGCAGGCGCCTATCGTCCCAGCTACTCAGGAGGCCGAGGCAGGAGAATGGTGTGAACCCAGGAGGCGGAGCTTGCAGTGAGCCGAGGTCGTGCCACTGCATTCCAGCCTGGGTGACGGAGCGAGACTCTTGTCTCAAAAAAAAAAAAAAAAATTTTGTTGGACGTGGTGGTGCATGCCTGTAATTCCAGGTACTTGGGAGGCCGAGGTGGGAGAATCCCTTGAGCCCAGGAGTTTAAGGCTGTAGTGAGCTATGATTGCACCACTGCATTATAGCCTGAGTGACAAAGACAGACCCTTCCTCAAAAATATAGAAAAATAAATATTGTCTAAAGTTAGTAGTATCTACTTTACAGAATGTTTAGCTGGCACCAACTTGTGTTTTTGGCATTGCTTTTGATTCACTGTTATTCTGAGCAACTATCTATAATTCTCTACCTGAGGACAGATGAGATGAAAAGTGTTTGTGCTGCAACCGTCAACCAGGTGGGCAGAATATCATGTACCCCGTGGAAACTTATTAAATATTCAGTGGTGCTAAGAATATGGAATGGCTCAAAGGGAAAATGAGTTCTAACTTACAGGCGACTCCAGTTTGAGGCAGCATCTCTATGCTAATGTAAATTCTTTAATGCAGAACCTATACAGTTAGATGGTCAGGGATAAGGCCTAAGGGATGTTTAGCAGTAAAGTCGTGTGTGTGTGTGTGTGCGCGCGCGCACGTGCGCACACACACTCAAGTAGCACATTTAGAGATCTTTATCCAGATAAACCGAGAAGAATAAAATGATTCTGGAACAAGCTTAGTTTGTCCGATTTATTCAAAGTTTACATTGCAAAGGAGAGAGCTAGTTTTCATCTAGTCCATAAAATCAGGTGGCATACGTATGCTATTTATGTATTTGTGTTTTTTATTGTGGGAATCTTCAAACATTCAAAATTAGGACAAATAAATGAATACAATAAATAAAATGAATTCATTTATCATCACTAGATTCACTAGTCATCAATACATGCCAATCTTGTTTTACTTATTTTCTTTCCCCATCCCCTAGCTATATAAAATTTAAGCAGGCAGCACATGAATAGGTCTCTATTTGAATTTAGTATATCATAATATTATAGTAAACTGTATAGTGTTCTTAATTTTTAACCTGTTTTTACTACAACAAATCAAAACGTGACTTGGGGAGATTTTCATAAATATTTTTGAGGAGACTTTTAGAGAAAATTTAAAGCTACTTGGTAGATTTTTGAGAAACAGTTTCAGGAATACCTCATATTTTGTTGTCTCTTTATTTATAGATTTTCCTAGAGCAGGGTGTCAGCATTAGATAGCAAATTATTGGACCAACTGCTCTCTGAATAGAAGATCTTTGCTGTTTTGTCAGAACTCAGTAGCAGAACTTTTCTGATATTGTTTGACTTAGCCTAAAGAGGTGCCTGGAGTGTAAAATTTAAGAAGACACTCATTCTCAGGTGCGAACTCTGTACCTCACAAGCCTGAGAACAGAGTGCCTCCTTAGTTTTGTGCCTGGAGTGCCTCACTTGCCTTACTCTTGTCCTGGCCTTGTTACACATACTCATATTAAAATCATTTTTTGAGCTCTTCATTCTTGTTTTAGTGAAGAACTGAAAAGCTTGGGCTTAAGAGGTAGCCAACACACATAGATACATACCTACTTTTTATTTTGAATTTATACTTTTCATCTCAACTGTATTCCCTACTTATTACCTTAGAGTATTACAACTGTCATTAGAACACTTAAATTTAAGTGCCTTCTATGCCATGCACAGTGGTAGATGCTTTTACTTACAATGTTTCACTTAGTTCTCACATTTCTCCTTAAAGCAGAGGTTATTCCATGTTACAGGTCAAGAAATGTTTACTCAGACTGAAGAACTCTTCCTAAAATCATGCAGCTAGTAGTAATGTAGCTAGGATCCCAACCTAGTTCTGAGTCCCAGACTCCATTGCTGGTTACTACCTTCATGGATGAATGTATACCAGAGAATTTAGGCCAGGTGTGGTGGCTCACGCCTGTCATCCCAGCAGTTTGGGAGGCTGAGGAGGGTGGATCACCTGAGGTCATTTAAATGTGTATGTGCGCACACACACACACACACACACACACACAGAACTGCTTCATTTTCTCAAAGTGTTTACGTTTGAATACATAAAGACTGAGTTATCTGAACACTGCTTCATTATAGAAATCTCAAAAAAGAAAAAAAAAATGAAAGATACAAAAAAAAAAGAAATATCAATCCTCTTATTCCAGTGATGGATATGAGTCCTTATTTTACTGCTCTTGAGGAGTGATTTTGTTCCACTTTTTCAGAGGCTACTCCACATGGTGGCAGCACTGCACCAGCACATATTAGATTCTCTTAGAAAAGAAAAGAATGAATGCTTCCAGGGGTTGTGCCTTAGTAGTTTTCTTGTAGCTCACTTCAGAAGGGCATCCTAGATTTGAAAGCACTAGAATATCTGCAGAAATGACTTTGAAATCTTCTAATATGAGAGATAAATGTTGGTCGAGGGCTGAAAATTCTTGGTGTTATATTGACCTCAAGTCTGGTTCCTAGTGACACTGTGCCTTGCTGCAGGTAACAAAGCTTTACCATAGTTTTGTTTCCTGTGTTTTGCAGAGAATCACATACATCTTACTTTCCTGCAGTTGTTTTACAATTTATAGTTTAGTTGAAGCTAACTTTTGATGAAATACTAGTTAAGAGAGAAAAGATGAATTTAGAAGTAAAAAAATCTCACTCTATTAAGTCCTAGCTTTATGTTCATGTTGTTTAACTTACCCAAGTCTGTTTCCTTTCCTGGAAGATGAAGGCTACTATCTTAGAGAGTTGTTTGGATTATTAATTGAGCTTTTGCATGAAAAGTGCCCTGTAAAGTGCTTGGCTTATGGGAGCTCATAAGTGGTGGCTGCTACTGTAATTATGAAGTAGGTATTAGGCAGAGGTTAACATTATTGCTACAATATTAATTTAAAAGGTTCTGATTCCTTTAATATTTGTATGGACTATCTGTTCCAAGGGAATTAAACTTGTCGTCAGATGTGGACTTTATTAGTTCATTATTTTGAAGGTAAACCTCCATCCAGAATAAGGAAACATTTTAGAGCTATAGGGAAATAGCTTTTGTGGTTTTTTTTACAAATGTCACAAGTATATATTTGCAAGAAAATGTGTATCTTTTTGGTATATGACTTGTTTTATTGAGATATGCACTTTTGAATGAATGATAGTATTCTCTAGCTTCGTTACTATGGTTTTCTTTTTTGCTCTCAGAGGCATTTAGGGGTATTCAAACCTCAGTTAACTTACGTATATTAGAATTTGCAACTCCAGAGATGCTCTTGACAGCCCCACCATATGTGCTTTGCTTTTTGTTTTTATTTATTTTAAAAATTTACTTTTTATTTTTTGAGAGACCTGGTCTTGCTCTGTCACCCAGGCTGGTGTGCAATGGCTTGATCATAGCTCAGTGCAGCCTCAAACTCCTGGGCTCAAACAGTCTTCCCGAGCAACTGGAACTACAGGCATATGCTACCATGCCCAGCTAATTTATTTTATTTTATTTTTTGTAGAGATGGATCTTGTTTTGTTGCCCAGGTTGGTCTCAATCTCCTAGCTTAAAGCAGGCCTCCAGCCTCAGCCTCTCAAAGTACTGAGATTATAGGCGTGAGCCACCATGCCTGGCCTGCTTTTTGTCTTCTTGGGTTCAGTCCTCGTAAGTCCCTTTGGTTTACTGCGTAGCCCCTTTGATCTTCATCTTCCAGACTGTCTATCACTCTCACAGCTGCCCATGAGAATACCTGTGCTTCATTGTTCTGTCCTCTCTGCAAAATTGCAAACTGTTGAATTAGTAAAAAAAAAAAAAAAAAAAAAAAAATTTCTCATTTGTTAAGTGTTCTTCTGCATAAGCAGCATGCTCTCAGAATAGCCTCAATTCAGGCCAAATATAATCTTTACCAAAAGTTGTAGTTAAACTTCCAGCTTCTTTTAATTTGAACTTTTGCTTGAAAACCATTTTATGAAAAATAACATTTTTCTTCTCAGAAAGCAGTATGTATTTTGACTATGTGCTAGCCAGCACGTAGACACAGCATGGGATTATGATGGTGGTTCTCAACCAGGAGTGATTCTACTCTCCAGAGGACATTTGGCAATGTCTAGTAACATTTTTTTGGTTGTCAAACCTGATGGGAGGAGTGCTACTGGCATATATCGGGTAGAGTCCAGGGATGTTTTCAACATCCTTCAGTGTACAGGACAGTCCCCCGACAACAAAGAATTATCCAGCAGTAAATGTTAATAATGCCAAGGTTGTGAAACCCTGGATTATGGAAATAGCACTGAGGCTTCAGAGCCAGAGTGGCTGCTGTTTGAGTCCTGGCTTGGCTGCTTACTAGAAATGTGGCTTTGAACAAGTTATTTAAAATGAACTTCAGTTGTCTTATATGTAAAACTGAGGTAATAATGCCGATTTTAGTGAATTATTTTGAAGATGAAAGAATAATGTATTTAAAATTTTAAACTTTGCCTGATATATGGTAAATGCTTAATAAACTGCAGCTATTCTTGAGGAAGTGGCCTAACATTATGCACCTTCCGGTTGTTATAATCTTCATTTAGGCATTAGGAAGTTTACTTGTGTGGTGATTTGTTGTCAACCTAAGATGATAAAATATTGAAAAAATGCCATCTGTCTAGATCTCTTTCTAAGAATTTTTGTCAGAATATATTTGGTATTCATGTAGGCTATGTTAAACTGCCTATTAAAGGTAGGCCCAGAATGCATAGAAAAACTTAATGACTTAACTTTATTTAGTACGTTAATTATAGGATTGTTGTTATCCTTAAATATATATTAGTAAGTAACAATTACAAAATTAAAATATTATACATAAATGAAATTTAAAATGTGTAATACTTTTCATATCAAATGTCCATGAAGGAGTTAGAGCTGGCAGAATTTTAGGCACATATGATAATGTCAGTATGTGGTGAGCACTTGATAAGAGTAACATTGAAGGTAATACATTCAGTCTGTATCTGAGTTCCTCAAATTGTGTTTCATATTATAAAAGGAGCTGCTGTTAATTTTTGCAGGATTGAAGTTTGGGTAAGTGGAATCATTGGGGGCTGCTTTGATATGAGGCCAACTTCCCAGCTCTTGAATTTCCCACCAGTTGGTCTGAGTGTATTTCTGTCTCTACTTATAGAGAAAGCAAACACTTTTTGTTTTCCTTTTATAATGTGCTTTGTGGAAATCATTTTCTGTGTATTTTCACTTTTAAAAAATCATTACGTCGTTTTATATTATTATGAACTTAGGTTTTAAAAAATATCTCTTTTTTTTTTTTTTTTTTTTTTTTTTTTTTTTTTTTTTTGGAGACGGAGTCTCGCTCAGTCGCCCAGGCTGGAGTGCAGTGGCGCGATCTCGGCTCACTGCAAGCTCCGCCTCCCGGGTTCATGCCATTCTCATGCCTCACACTTCTGAGTAGCTGGGACTACAGGCGCCCACCACTACGCCTGGCTAATTTTTTTTGTATTTTTAGTAGAGACGGGGGGTTTCACCGTGTTAGTCAGGATGGTCTCAATCTCCTGACCTCGTGATCCGCCCGCCTCGGCCTCCCAAAGTGCTGGGATTACAGGCATGAGCCACCGCGCCCTGCCAAAATACCTCATTTTTTAGAGGAACAATTTTAAATTTACAGAAAAGTTACAAAGACAGTACAGAAAGTTTTCATATACGCTTCAGTCAGTTTCACCTAATGTTAACATCTTACGTAACCGTGGTACATTTGCCAAAACTAGGAAATTAGCATTGGGATGTTACTATTAACCAAAGTAGAATTTCACCAGTTTCAACACTAATGTCCTTTCGCTATTCCAGGATTCAGTCCGGAATACCAAATTGTGTTTAGTCACTTCCTTTTATAATGCATCAGTCTACTCTGTTTGAAGGTAGCTCGAAAACAGAAAAGTGCTTTACAACCATGAAATGGCATTTTTCATCCAGTCACCATAGCATAGTGGTTGAAACTCAGGCTCTAGAACCAAATAGATTTGGGTTTGTATCCTGGTTCTGCTATTTCTTAGACGAGTGGTGTCTCTAAATTTTAGCATCCTCATCTACAAAGTGGAGATTACAAATAGTGCTTCTATCGTAGGATTGTTGTGAATATTAAAGGACAGAGGGCTTGCAAAGCACTTAATACTGGTCCTCATATGGAGTAAGCCCCTAATAATAACAAACACATATCCTTTTTTTTTTCTTAAGAGACAAAGTCTTGCTCTGTCGCGTAGGCTGGAGTGCAGTGGCACAATCTCGGCTTACTGCAACCTCCATCTCCTGGGCTCAAATAATTCTCCCACTTCAGCCTTCTGAGTAGCTGAGAGTACAGGCACATGCCATCATGCCTGGCTAAGTTTTGTATTTTTAGTAGAGACAGGGTTTCACCATGTTGGCCATGCTGGTCTTGAATTCCTGACCTCAAGTGATCCGCCTGCCTCAGCCTCCCAAAGTGCTGGGATTACAGGCGTGAGTGAGCCACCATGCCCAGCAGAAACATATATTCTATATTGTACAGTGATTGTAGTGCCGGATATTAATAATTTTAGAAGGGTTAGTATTTCAGTGGCAAAATTTACTTTTTAATTTTATAAGATTAAAATTTTAAGGTTAAGATTAAAACTTTTAGGATGAAGAATTTTAAAGATTAAATTTTTTAAAGCTCTGAGGGCAACTTACCCACAAATGAAGCTAAATCTAAGAGTACTACTTACTACTTTTACAAGGTAATTATTCAAGGGTGTACGTTTAAAGTAGTTCTCAACAGCAACTTCCTGAAAGCTGGATCTGTTGTGTGTTGTTTTGGTGGTTTGCCAGTATATCAAGGCTCATTTGTCACTTTAAGATGACCTCAAGGCTGTAATTTGGCTGGGGAATACTTTACTCTTAGAAATGGGGAGATCATAAGTGGTGTGATAATAAGTGTTTTATTTTGTTCAAGTTGCAGCTTGCTTTAATGAATTTTAGGGGCCATGGTCCAAATAACTGTGATGGTTATAGGCATGCCTTTTATTTGTTTATCGATATTTATTTGTAGTGTTTTGGCTTTGAGAGTACTTGAATTTTGTTAAATCATATCTTAAACCACTTAAGTAATGAATTTTATTTTTTGTAAACCTTGTTACTATGTAATCAGACTTTCTTTTCATAATGAGATGTGTTGGCTCACTAGGTAGTTTTACCTCTCATTCTAAGGAAGAAGATGGGGAAAAAATGGAATATTCTAGATTGTAATGTAGCAGGCATATTAACAGTTGGCATTCTAGACAGTGTTTTGGATTAAAGTATAAGCCCTAAGTTTTACTTGTTTGACTGGTACTGCAGTCATTGTCTCCTTAAGGAGATAATAATGACTGAAACTCTCAGAACAAATATGTTGTCCTATGCCTCACATGTCATTTGAGGTCATTCTGTAAAGGAGATAGCAATATTCTAACACTGCTAATTTAGAAGAGAACAAAAATATGTAAACCACCTGTGTATTTCCTCATAATAGTTTTGGTCAGTTACTCTACTTCTTTCACTTTATTCAAGTCTTCAGGGATACCAGCCAAAATAATTGTAAATTGAGCAGAAAAACTGAAGCATAAATCTGTTCATAGTGTGTGACCTTGAAGGTCATTGCTGGAAATCAAAGTCCTGTAAATAGTAATTTACTTAACAGGAAGAAGTCACTGAACTGGAAAGTGGTAAGTTTCTAAGGTTCCAAGGCCACGAAAATGAGTGAAATTAGAGTGCAAGGTGAAAATCATTTTAAGGGACAGGGAAATGGGTGAGAGATTCCTCATAAGTGAGCTTATGTGTGTGATATTCCACTCCCAGTTTATATCTAGATTTCCTTTGAGAGTCCTTTTTTTTACAGGGTCATTTTTATTCTAACCATACCTACTGTACCAGCTCACTCCTTTTTTAACAAAATGAGGTCAAATTTATTATCCTCAACTGCTGCATATAAGACAGGTATAGATCATAAATCATATTTTATAGCTAGGTAGTAAATCTTTCCCTCCCTAAGTACTGTAGGATATGATTATCTCTGAAATGTATAAAGTAGAATACATTTTTCTCCTTGTATATAAATCTACATGTCACCTTTGCTGGAAATAATGTTTGGATTATATTATCCTCCCCTACTCTGAATCTTCTTTCCCTTCCCTTGGTTGAAGTTCACAAGTCTTGGAAGCTCTATAAATGCTGGAGACCAAGTATTAGTACTCAGACACTGGAATCAGATGCAGACCTTGAGTTCAGATTCAAGCAGGAATCCCTTTCTGGCTGTGTTGACCCTAAGCAAGTCACTGAACTTCTCTAAGTCAGTTTTGTTATCTGTAATAGGTGGCTTTTAGTAGCAGCTACTTCAGAGTTGTTATGAGGATTAATAGCACAAAGTAAATATTCAATACATTTTAGCTATTCCAGTCTTTTATCTCTGTAAAACTCATTCTATTAGTATAATGTAAGTAAAAATACAAATTGCTTATCATTAAAAATTCAGGCTGGGTATGGTGGTTCACACCTGTAATATTAGCACTTTGGGAGGCCAAGGCAGGAAGATTGCCTGAGGCCAGGAGTTTGAGAGAAGCCTGGGCAACATAGTGAGACCCTGTTTCTATTTAAAAAAAAAACAAAAACAACCAGCAGATTCCACAGGTCCATAAGGAAATATCATATTGAAGAGAAGTCTGTAATTAAGGCGGAGAAAGATTTGTCTAGGATTGAGTATGATTTTACACATCTACATGTGCTGCTTTTATATATATGTTTGTGTTTAATATCTATCTCTGTAAAGTATACATAATTGGGTTAGCTCTTTGAGGGGATGTGAGGGGTGGGGAATGTTTAGTTTCAGTCTCCCCAAGAATAGAATTTACCATAATTGGGAGGCAAGATGAATAAAGGATTTTTTTTAGTTTTTTATTTTACTTTTATCTTTTTGGAGACAGAGTCTCATTCTGTTGTCCAGGCTAGAGTGCAATGGTGTGATCTTGGCTTACCGCAACCTCTGCCTCGCATGTTCAAGTGATTCTCGTGCCTCAGCCTCCCGAGTAGCTGGGATTACAGGTATGCACCACCATGCCTGGCTAATTTTTGGTATTTTAATTAGAGACAGGGTTTCACCATGTTGGCCAGGCTGATCCCAAGCTTCTGGCCTCAAGTGATCCACCTGTTTCAGCCTCCCAAAGTGCTGGGATTACAGGCGTGAACCACCGTGCTCGGCCAAGGATTTATTTTTTTAATGCTGCAAATGTGTCCCTTTGTCACCTGGATGCCAACTTTTTATAAATCAACTTGTGCTGAGGAAGCTCTCTTAAGAAACCCTATTTGTAGGCCAGGTACCTTATGGTGGCTCACACCTGTAATCTCAGCACCTTAGGAGGCCAAGATGGGAGGACTGCATGAGGCCAGGAATTTGAGACCAGCCTGGACAACATAGTGAGACCCCTGTCTCTACCAAAAAAAAAAATTAGCCAGGCATGGTGGCATGCACTGTGGTCCCATCTGCTAGTTCAAGATTACAGTGAACTATATGATTATGCCACTACACTGTAGCCTGGGTGACGGGCAAGACCCTGTCTCTTAAAACCAACCAACCAAACAAACCCCAAGGAAATCCTATTTAAAAATTCATTTTTAAAGCGAAACTTTCTCTAGAAACCCCCCTTTTTGGCTGGGTATGGTGACTCACATCTGTAATCCCAGCACTTTGGGAGGCCAAACTGGGAGGATTATTTGAGACCAGGAGTTCAAGACCAGCCTGGGCAATATAGCCAGCCCCATCTCTAAAAATTTAATTAAGAAACTTGACTGGGTGTGGTGGTACAAGCCTGTAGTCCTGGCTACTCAGGAGGCTGAGGTGGAAGGATCACTTGAGTCCAGGAGTTTGAGATTACAGTGAGCTGTGATCAGTGCGACTGCATTCCAGCCTGGGCAACAGAGTGAGACCCTGCCTCTTTAAAAAAATACAATTTTTTTCTTGGAAACTCTAATTTTTCTGAAATGGTAGCTAAAGGCCATTGTTCTCTTTCTGTCAGTATTTCCTAAGAGAAATGCCAATTTTTTGACAGGAGAAGTGTTACACATAGTTGTGTTAACAGTTCTAAATCAAAGTAATAGTTCAAATGAAAGAAGCACACCTTTGTCTTAGTATACAGGTGAGTCAAGGCAGTTATTGTAAGGGTTGGATTTGTTCTTTTGTGATATTATTGTCTAGAGAAGACTCTGGAGGAAGAGGAAGTAAATCTTGAGTTTCAATCTATTATTTTAAAAGTTTATTTTAAAAACGGAACAATATATATTCATAGTACAGAATTCCAAAGAAACAGTATAAACATTGACAAGTGAGTTGTCATGTACTCTCTAGCCACCCAGTTGCTGTCTCAAAGTTAGTCTTTTTCTTTAAGATACTTTAGATTCAGTGCGACTGATTTATTTTAAGTTTTCATTGAAGAGTGAGAGAAACTCGGCTTACGGACCAGGAAAACTGAGAGTGCTGCCTGGTGAGCCTGCCTCAGTATGTTGCTAAAAATGTAACAGTCTGACTGTGGAGATTAGGAGATGAAAGTGTAGAGATAGGATGGAAGGAACTTCAAGAAATTTTAGAGAAACATTAGAGTTTTGGTATAGAGGGGTAGGATAGCATCTCCTCTGGACGGTCACCATTTGGCAGTGATCTCTCTTATTTGTGCAGGCTTTGCTAAACAATCATCTAATCTGATCTTTCTGGATCCTTAAGTTAGACTTACTTTTCTCCATTTCATTTCTTGTTTTAATGTCATGATAAGTGGCAATTGCCTATTTAAACATCAGACCATACACTTCATTAGGTGCATTATACACTTGGTTTAATTTCCAGTTGCCTATAATAACAGAGGATTTCTAATTGCTCATTCTGTTTAGCATTCTTCTGGTCTTTTTCTCCCCATTGCTGTTTTTAATTCTCCCCCTTCTCTCGTTTTCTTTGTCTATATTTCCTATTACTAGACCTTATATTTAATCTTTTTGTTTTTTTAAACATGAAAAGGGTTTCACTGACAGAAGTGGTAATTTATTTCAGACAACTGGTAACCAAGACTGGGCATGTGTTGGCAACAATAAATCAAAACAGGCATTTGGCCTTCTGATATGATATTTTGATTCTTTAGACTATAATAAGGTCAACTAAGTATGTTGTGCAAGGGAAATAAAATATCTTGCATGTGAAGCACATGGAAGGGATTATTATTTCTCTCTTTATGGCTTTTCTCATGCTTGATGATAGAGTTAGCAAACAAAAATTAAGTCAGAAAAGAGCCTCATACATGTTACCATCCAGTAGGTGGGCTAGATAAGTTTTCCTGATTTGTCTTAACAAGTATAAAATAGTATATCTGTAACCATATTTACCAAGTGAGTCTCTGATTTTTCATCTTAGCATCTTTGTTCTGATCACCAAAGTATAGCTTGAGATGATTGCATTTGTGGCATCATTATCCTTTACATAATAATGGACATTTTTGTAAGTATATTATTTGTTAAATAAATCACATTCTCTAGACATTTATCTTCTAGATAAAATCATATGCTGGGATAATCTGAAGATTACACAGATGATGTGAATACTAAAATCAATAGCTAGATTGTAGTCATTATGTTTCTTCCCTTGCTAACAAAATGATAATCATACAAATCTTAATTTCTCTAGTTTTTATTAAGGGACTTCAGTAAGAACTAACAATGGTTTTACATTTTTGAGAATATTTCCAATATATATAATTGCTGAAGCTTGTCTCCTATCACATCTCATTTATACTTGGAGAATATTTATTTATTTATTTTTGAGACGGAGTCTCACTCTGTCGCCCAAGCTGGAGTGCAGTGGCGTGATCTTGGCTCACTGCAACCTTCACCTCCCGGGTTCAAGCAGTTCTCCTGCCTCAGCCTCCTGAGTAGCTGGGATTACAGGCACACACCACCATGCCCGGCTAATTTTTTATATTTTTAGTAGAGACAGGGTTTCACCATGTTGGCCAGGCTGGTCTCGAACTCCTGACCTAAGTGATCCGCCCATCTCAGCCTCCCAAAGTGTTGGGTTTACAGGCGTGAGCCACCACGCCCAGCCAACTTATACTTGGAGAGTATTTATATTCAGCCTCACTTTGCTAATCTTTCATCAGCATCTGGGAACCTCACTGCAAAACATGGTCTTAATTTACTTGTACAAAGCCACAATATATAGTATTTGTATGTATGCATTTTTTTTTTTTTTTAGTATTTTTGCAACTTTTAAATGACTTTAGATGTTCTTCCTTTGTAGATTTCTTAAAATTAATTTGTAATTTTGATAAAGTGTTGACTTTTCTTCCTGCAGCTAAATGGATTCCCAGATCTGTGAGTCAGGATACAAGTGTACTTTCTAGTATAAGGTAGCAATTTTTCAGCCGGGCATGGTGGCTCACACCTGTAATCCCAACACTTTGGGAGGCTGAGGCAGGCAGATCACCTGAGGTCAGGGGTTCGAGACCAGCCTGGCCAACATGGCAAAACCCCATTTCTACTAAAAATACAAAAATTAGCTGGGCATGGTGGCATGCACCTGTAGTCCCAGCTACTTGGGAGACTGAGGTGGGAAAATCCCTTGAACCCAGTAGATGAAGGTTACAGTGAGCCAAGATGTGTGCCTACTCAGAAAGAAGGATACATTTGAAATACTGTATTTCATTGAATCTTTAATGCCACTGATTATAAGATGTATTATTATTTTCTGTATTACTAAGAAAGAAAAATGCTTCCTATTGAACTGACAGGCCATTGATTATAAAATGCAACCCAGTTTCAAAGGTGTTAATGTGAAAAACTGTAGCTTACAGTTGATGAATTATGGTAATATAACCAGCCACCTTAAATTTACATAAGGCTTTGTAGAAAGCACTTACACATATGTCATCTGATCTTATCCTTAAACTAAAACTAATCTGTGAGGTGGATTAAATTATCTCGTTTTCAGATGAAGAAACTGAACTTCACAGAGATTACATATTCTCTCAGCATTGTATACTAGTGAACTAGGGTCTCAGGCCCACATATTCTCACTCTAAGACTTGTAGTATGATTAATGGTGTCACCTCCCCCAAACCCATACATATACAGCTACACAACTATAAGATTATTTGGCCTAGATTTTTCTCTCTGTTGCCTAATGTACATATTTCATATTCAGACTTTGTCATTTTTCATATGCTGTTCATATGTCTTGATTTTGAAAGTTTTGAGTGCTGTTAACATGGTTAATGTATGTTTTCCTATTAAATAACATGTGACTCTGCTAATATATGAATTGTTTTAATTCTGGGTTGCCTTACCACTATATATAATATCATTGGTGGTTTAATATATGTTTTGAAGTGATTTATTTGTTTCTATCTGACTAGGTAAAATGTTCAGGAATGGTTATGAATTGAGATCCGTGAAATGACCCAGAGAAGGCTGATGAAGTGTTTGTCTATAGCTGTGCTGTTCTTGGTGAATCAAGGTCATACCCCCTTCTTTTCCAGGTGGTGGCTAATGCCGTAGCGGCATTATCTGAAATCAGTGAGTCTCACCCAAACAGCAACTTACTTGATCTGAACCCACAGAACATTAATAAGCTGCTGACAGCCCTGAATGAATGCACTGAATGGGGCCAGATTTTCATCCTGGACTGCCTGTCTAATTACAACCCTAAAGATGATCGGGAGGCTCAGAGGTCAGTCTGTTTTCCTGGCTACTTTCTGGTAGTCTTGCCTGATGCAGTAAGTTCTGGAGTCTGCTATTAGAATAAATCTGTTGAGGAAGGTCAGTGGCTTCTGGGGTAGATATTGCTATCTCCAGGGTATTTTCTCTCTGGATTTAGGAATATTTTAGGTGGTAGAATAAACTATGCAAAACTATTTCTAAGAAATGTATGTTTTTCATACAGTTACTTCTGCTAAAATCTCTTTTATCGTCTTACGTCTCCCATGCACAGTTCTTGGCCATTTGGCCAGCAAAGATTATTGAGTATCTCTCTTTGGGGTGACAGATTTTTCATTCTATTAGATATATAGAAAGTGGCTTCATATTAGTTATTGAGCTGACCTGTATATATAATTCAGTATGAGAGAGAGTATGTTAAAGTCAGCAGAATATATCCTCCTTTCCAGTAGATATGGAAACCATGTCAGTCTGAATTTGAAGATTTTAGAAGGCACACCTAGATTGTTCTGCTCAGCCTGTTACCATGTAATGTTGCAAATTTTCTTTGGTTATTAGAAATTGACTACTAAATTTCATCTACACATACATACATTTTAGTTTACAAAGTTGGAATTATCCCTAATTTTTATTGAGCATTTTGTATATGCAGGCACTGTACTAGGCAAAGTACTTCTGAAGAAATGTTGGCTCTTCATTAAAGTTGGTATATTTTAATTATGGTATTTAAGAACTGGTCTGGCTGAAGCTGATTTCCAAGCTACTAGAATGTAAGTGATCTTCACTTATCTGGGAAATTGTCCCTCTGGACTGAACTAAAGCTCACTCTGATAGTTTCTTTCCATCACTGAAAGTACAAATATAGTCTGGAAATAACTTTACTGAGAATTTTATTTTCTTCTGTTGGCCATTGACATCACATTCATTCATTCACTCACTTAGCAAATATTTATTAAGTGCATACTGTGTGCCAGGCAGTGTTCCAGGCTCTGAGGATACAGCAGTGAACAAAGTCATGGCCCTCTGGGATCACTTATTCTGAAGGATGGGGGTAGGAATATATATAATATGTATAGATAATATAATATATAATATGTATAGATAGTGTAATATGTAATATGTGAGATGGTGATAAGTACTAACAAGAAAGTAAAGTAGAGAAGAAATCTAAGAAATGCTGGGCATTTGGGGGTGAGGGGTTGTATTTTCTTTTTAAAGGATGGCCAGGGAAGACCTCACTGAGAAGGTGGCATTCATATAAAGACCCAAAGGAAGTCAGGAATAGGAGGAAGAGAGAAGTACAGCCTATTTATCTTCTTTCTTTAATACAGTAAGTTAGCTACTTGTGTTGCCCAAGCTACCAAAATTGGATTAATTTCTAAAGAACCCTCAACAGATAATTAAATATCAACCATTTTATGAGGCATGTAAGTGTAGGTGGCAGGGGCTAGGAGAGGGGGGAGACAGGAAAATATAGTAGTGGTGTCCTGCTATTTAAAAAACAAACCCTTTTCAGAGAGTCCCTTATTCTCATTATCCTTAAGAGAGGAGGTTGGATTGTTTTCCCTACCAGCCTGCCTCCTGCTGTATCTTACAATGAAATCTTCAGCCACAACTGCGTTTGCTGTCTCTTCCTATGAAATAACTCTCAGAATGCTTAATTTGACTTCCTATAGGTTGAGTAGAAATGGGCTGAGAGGCAGGGAGCCTTAACATAATATGGGGAGACAAAGAGGACTATAAAACAAGAAGGTAAATGGTGTGAGCTCAAGTGTCTTGGGTATTGCTAGGTTCTTTCCAGTTTGAACATCCCTTATTACTGGTTTCCTGAAGTCTTCTTATGTCCCTGCTCTGCCTGTAGTTTGCTGAGAATGAGGCTTCTGCATTGTTGGATCCCAATTTTACCTAAGCATGGAGCTTTGACTTTTCTAACTAATTCTTTAATTTTTTGATACTTGGCCATTAGACTCTGACATATTACCTTATAGAATGAATTCAGCAAATAAATTATAATTCATGATATTAATTTTCATTCTCCACCCTCAGCATCTGTGAGCGGGTAACTCCCCGGCTATCCCATGCCAACTCAGCAGTGGTGCTTTCAGCGGTAAAAGTCCTAATGAAGTTTCTAGAATTGTTACCTAAGGATTCTGACTACTACAATATGCTGCTGAAGAAGTTAGCCCCTCCACTTGTCACTTTGCTGTCTGGGGAGCCAGAAGTGCAGTATGTCGCCCTGAGGAACATCAACTTAATTGTCCAGAAAAGGTTGGGAAATAGCGAAGTGTTGATTAAAGTGTTTGTAATTTTGCATTAAGCTTAATAATGTCAATGTTAATTAGGCTAGTGTTAATCTCTTTTTAATATATGGAAATGAAAATGTTATATGGCAGAAAAACTTGCTTGCCTAGCACCAGGAGGCTAACAGTTGATATTACAGTGTTTCTATAATAAATGCCATGCGTTGCTCCACAATCCAGTTTGTTTTCTGAAGGGTCTCTTTCTGATATACTGTCTAGTGCCTGGTTGATATGGTTCAGGCTGTAGTTTAGAGCCAGATTGTTGTTCTAGCAGTTCTTCATGGCAACATGTGCCCTGATGCTTAAAAAGGATAAAAATAATCTGCCAAGTGGAACTGATAAGAATAGAGGCGTATAGAGGAAGTTTATGCTTTTTTTTTTTTTTTTTTTTTTTTGCCTGAGTGGAGCGAGAGGAGAGCAGAGAGGCACAGATTAGGTATTAATACAGTCTCAGAAGGGTATATCAGTATATGCCTTCACCTTCCTTTCTTCTGTTTCTGTGTACCCTAGGCCTGAAATCTTGAAGCAGGAAATCAAAGTCTTCTTTGTGAAGTACAATGATCCCATCTATGTTAAACTAGAGAAGTTGGACATCATGATTCGTTTGGCATCTCAAGCCAACATTGCTCAGGTCAGACTTTATGCAGACTCAAGTTGATGATGATTTAGCTCTTAAGGTCTGGCCTTTAAAGAAGCTAGGCTGTGAGATTGCTATTTGAGAATCCTTAATGATTAACCACTTCCTGGGTTTAACAGGTTCTGGCAGAACTGAAAGAATATGCTACAGAGGTGGATGTTGACTTTGTTCGAAAAGCTGTGCGGGCCATTGGACGGTGTGCCATCAAGGTGGAGGCAAGTGTCTGATGGTAGTTAGGATCATGTATTGGGGATTCTGAGAGTTCTCTTCACTTTTTTCTTTAAAATAATTTTTAAGTTTATCAAAATAATAAAGCACACAGTTTCAATGTTAAAGAATTTTTAATGGAAAGCAGCTGTCTCTGGTTCCTCCCTTCCCTACCTAGACTTTCTTCTCAGAGGGAATATTTTTAACTCTGATTTTGCTTTTAGTTATTCTTTTGATTAAAATAGGTCCTCCATATCCATGAGTTCCACATCCGTGGATTCAGCTAACTGCGGATCAAAAATATTCAGGGGAAAAGAAAAAGGATGGTTTTGTCTGTACTGAACATGTACAGACCTTTTTTTGTCTATATTCCTTAAAAATATAACAATTATTTACATAGTATTTACATTGCATTAGGTATTATAAATAATCTAGAGATGGTTTAAAGTATACAAGAGAATGTGTATAAATGCAAATACTATACCATTTTATGTAAGGCACTTAAGCATCCATGGATTTTGGTATCCACAGGGGCCCAGGAACCAATCTCCCATGGATTTGGAGACATGACTGGGCTGCCATATCTCTAAATAATATTCTTGGCTGGGTGCAGTGGCTCACACCTGTAATCCCAGCACTTTGGGAGGCCAAGGTGAGAGGACTGCTTGAGCCCAGCAGTTTGAGACCACCCTAGGCAACATAGTAAGGCTCTGTTTCTACAAAAACTTTTTTAAGTTAGCTGGGTGTGGTGGCACACACCTGTAGTCCCAGCTACTTGGAAGGCTGAGGCAGGAAGATTGCTTGAGTCTGGGAGGCTGAGACTGTAGTAAGCTGTTATTGTGCCACTGCACTCCAACCTGAAACCTTTTCACTCTGGGTGACAGAGCAAGACGCTGTCTCAAAAAAAGAACAACAATAATATTCTTATGCTATTATTTATTAATTTACCTATCATAGACTTTTTCTGTTAACTATCTGCTATAAGAAGTTTACTTCATACACCCACCATTCCCACTTCCGTCTCCTGTTTTCCAGTGTAGTTACATAATGAAGGTTTTTGTTCCTATATCCATTATCATGGTAGATTGAAATAATATGCCTTTGTTTCTTATTCTATCAACTGTTGGCTTGCAAAATTTATGCATATTACGACTGTGTAAATATTTAGGGCCAATGTAATGCAAATGATTACATTTTCTTTCTTATAGCATCTTTTTTTTTTCTGGAGGTTTTTTGTTTTGTTTTGATTTTTGAGACAGAGTCTCTGTTGCCCAGGCTGGAGTGCAGTGGTATGATCTCGGCTCACTGCAACCTCTGCCTCCCGGGCTCAAGCGACTCTTATGCCTCAGCCTCCTGAGTAGCTGGGATTACAGGCATACGCTACCACACCTAGCTAATTTTTGTATTTTTAGTAGAGACGAGGTTCGCCATGTTGGCTGGGCTGGTCTTGAACTCCTAGCCTCAAGTGATCCGCCTGCCTCAGCCTCCCAAAGTGTTGAGATTATAGGTGTGAGTTACCACACCTGGCCCTGGAGTTTCTTTAATTGCCTCTTTTTTTCTTGCATGTGTGTCTTTATCATGCCCCTATATTATTCCTGTTCCTTAAGCATAATATCAAATCTGTAAACTTTCTTTTGTCTTAGACCCTTCTCTTTTGCAGTCCTCTGTCTTCTTGTTTTTTCTACTCTGACTGATTGCTTTTCTGGCTTCTGCACATCATTCCATACAGCCTCCCTATTTCTTGTTATTGGTATATTTTTCCTTGCATTGCTCTTTTTGTGGTTGCAATAGCTTCTTGAATCTCTGAGGATATGAATGATTCGTTTTTTTGTTTCTGCACTTTGAATTTAATTATCGGATATTTTTTGGTGATGATTGCATATCTATGCATATAATTTTTTAATTGAGATGTATACCATGCATACAGTAAAGTGCAGCTCGTTTCTGTTTAAGAAAGAGGTAACAGAAAAGTTGATTAGGACTTCTGTATACATAGGCAAGGCTGTCGACTATCAGGTTTCTGCTTTAGGGAAGGGGGTTTATCTTTACATGGAAGACCTCTTGAAGAGCCTATCTGGTCTTAGAGGGCAGATTGGTTTCTAGCTTGGCTGCAGCCTTCCGGTAAGTATTATGGGCTGTAATTTACATTGCCCTGCTTCATCAGTCAGCAGTCCTCCATTTGTTTGTCCTCATTCAGAAATTTGTTGAAATTAACAGTGGCTTCTGTTCACTGTTTTTATGGGTTCAGAGCCCCATGTTTGTTCTTGCTACTTGATTATATGCAGTTCTGCCTAGAGTCAGAGGATTGGACCATATGATTTCTCAGGAATACGAAAACAATTTGTACAGTATGACCAGTACTTTACCGGAACAAAAGGAGGCAGATGTGTGTCAGAGAATCTTCTATGAAATACCTGTTCCTAATTGGCCTTCCTTGTTTTTTTTCAGTTTAGTGCTGCTTCATGTAGTTTCTGTTGATAAATAATTTAATAGAAAGGCTGTTAACAGCAAGAAGTTAGCTAGTCCTGGGTTCTATTCCTGGTTCTGCTAGCTCACTTGATTCAGATATTTAATGTTTCTCTTCATTGGAGAAATGTTAAAGTCTTTTTGTTGGATCTTGATATGTTAACATTGTTTTTATTACCACTGTCACCACACGTCACAACTTGTTTTTCTTTTCTTTTTACGTTAACATATCTTACTAGCCGTCTACTTAGTATTAATGTAGATAATTTTCAGAGAGATTTTGGTAGCATAAGAGTAAGGTGGTTTTGTTCTCTTCACTAGTGTACATAGCCATCTTTTCCACAAGACTGCCATTGTCTTATGACCTACCTCTCTGACAAAGCTGTAAACAGTAATACAAAAATTATATCTTATTCTGAAGTTCAGAGACTTTCTAGCCCTGGAATTACTAGAAAGTGTTCTCAAAGCATCTAGATTCCTCAAGGCTGTTAGTCATCTATTGTGACTAATGGAAAGGTTCTCCATAATCTTCTGGAAAAGACTTCTGATGGCTTTCACTTCTTCCTTTGACTAAGCGTGCTTTGATGGGAGTATGACAGGATGTGAGGAATGAACTTTCCCAGGAAACTTAAGGTCACCCTTCAGGAATCCTGTCTTATCTAGTGCTGTCATTTCAGATTACCCAGATTTACCTTAGAACTTTTCCTGTAACTGTTTCAGCCATGAAGGTTTTCAGTTTGACAGAGTTGCCAAGCCAAACAGTTAATTGGACCAGGAGAGGCAATGATTGCCTGTTTGCACTAACTCATCCATGGGACAGGAATCAGCAGCATAAGAATTGTAATGAACTTTCTGTATAGCTTTGGGAAGCAACAAGCTGTTGAGCAAATAAATAGCACTGAAAAAGCAATCCTATGGTGCTATTTTTTTGTTCAATAACTTTTGCCTATTTCTTTCAGGAGTAAACAAACTCCTGGTCCTTTTCAGTTTTAAAAAGGAGAGAGGTTGAGGCACTAGGTTAAGACCAGGAGTTCTTCACTTCCTGGTCTTCTGGTTATTTTCTGTTTACTATTTCTGATTTTTATATATTAGAATAAAATATTGGTTTGTGTGTCATTTCTTAAAGACAAAAAACATATTTTTCCTATTAGGAAAACCATATTTGTTTACTATATATAATTATAGAACAAGTTAAACAAAAAATGGGGTACCCCGCTTTCCCCATCTTCTGTTTCACTCTCTCAGATATGCAGTGGACATAATCTGGTAGACATCATTTTATATCATTGTTTATATAGTGTTCTATACAAAGATGTATTTTTTTATAAAAATGAAATCATTCCACAAATGCTATTTATTTACTTTGTTTTATCCTCTACTTTTTTTTTTCTTACTAGTAATATCATGGACATTGATCCACATTATAAAGAAAAATTTATGTCATCTTTAGTTTCTGGTTTATAGACATAACGTGATTACTTGATAACTTACTGAATTTGTAACTTTATCCCTTATTATAGGACCTTAAAGTTGTTTCTACTCTTTTTCCAAATGGTGGTATAAGGAGTATCCTTGCAACTAAATCTTTGAACTCTAGTTGAAGTGAACATTTTTTCATAACAGTTATGCTTATTAGCCATTTGGGAATTGCTCACTCATGTCCTCTGCACCTTTTTCCAATATGTTATCTTTTCCACATTGTTGTTTTAAAGTCTTTTGTAATTGAGATGTTAACCCTTCTTTTAGTTAGCATTTATTTTCCTAGTTTGTTGTCCTTTAGATTTCTTCTGCTTTCTTGATGCACAGAAGTTTAGATTTTTGTATCAGCTTTTCTCAGTCAGTGTTTTTCCTCAGTGGCACACTTAGAAAATTGTGCTTCACCTAAAGTTATATAAAATTCACTATTTTTTTTTTTTTTACTTCTATGGCAATGATTTTGTTTTATTTGTTTTTTGGGGGGTGGTGGGGAAATGGAGTCTTGACTTGTCGCCCAGGCTGGAGTGCAAATGGCGCAATCTCAGCTCACTGCAACCTCTGCCTCCTGGGTTCAAGTGATTCTCCTGCCTCAGCCTCCAGAGTAGCTGGGATTACAGACATGCACCACCATGCCCGGCTAATTTTTGTATTTTTAGTAGAAACAGGGTTTCACCATGTTGGCTATGCTGGTCTTGAACTCCTGACCTCAGATGATCCACCCGCCTTGGCCTCCCAAAATGCTAGGATTACAGGTGTAAGCCACTGCACCCAGCCCTTGTTTTATAGTTTAAGGGTAATTTTAATCAACCGGGAAATAATTTTAGTGAAAGATATGAGTAGAGTGGATCAAATACCAGAACAAATTGTTCTTTCCTTACTGTTATGAAATGTTGTCTTTATCATATACTGAATTTTGTATGTATTTCTGTTTCTGGACTTTTTGTATATACAATGATGGGATGTTTACTTCTGTTCCTCTGCCATACTGCTTTAATGGTAGTTTTTTTTTTTTAATCAAAAGCAGTATGGTTGAGATGATAATTTTCTTTGAAAATTAATATCCCTGACATAAATGTTTTTCAAATGTTTATACATCATGAGTAACATCCTTTTATTTGTATTCATTTTAATGATAATACTACGGATTTACTAAATATGAGCTTTATATCAAGCACTGTGCTAAGCACTTACTTGTATTATTAATTTATGGTAATTCAATGCTTACAGTGGCCCATATTCTACATACTACATAATTTATTAATATAACAATTATAATATTAATAAATATAGCATATTTAAATTTTTCCAACTGTTTTGCTGTTGCAATAACAGCAAAGGAATTAATAGCTGAAAATGAATAAAATAGAGGACATAAATAGAATCAGAAGAAGGACAGAACTACATAAAAGACTGCAGAATCGGCCGGGCGCGGTGGCTCATGCCTCTAATCCCAGCGCTTTGGGAGGCCGAGTTGGGCGGATCATGAGGTCAGGAGATCGAGACATCCTGGTCAACATGGTGAAACCCTGTCTGTACTAAAAATACAAAAATTAGCTGGGCTTGGTGGCCCATACTTGTAATCCCAGCTACTCAGGAGGCTGAGGCAGGAGAATCACTTGAACCAGGGAGTGGGAGGTTGCAATGAGCATAGATTGCGCCACTGCACTCAGCCTGGTCACAGAGCGAGACTGTGTCTCAAAAAAAAAAAAAACAGACTGCAGAATCATTTCATGGTACAACAGAACCATCCTATATATGACCTCATATAAATGATCTCAAGGTACAGTTTTGTTTTTATTAAATTGCTTATAGTGGTTTAGATTGTTATAGTACTTCTAAAGATCTTATTACAGAAATTTTCAGGTGTACAATAAAGTAAAACTGAATAATGAGATCTTGTGTAGTCATCATCCATCTTGAGCAAATACTGATATGTTAACTGTTTCCGTTTTATCTTCTCCCTCTTCCTCTTCCTTCGGGTGGGTGGGATGCGAATACAAATCCCATATATCATCTTACTCAAGTAGTCCAGTGTGTATATCTAAGAGATAAGATACTTTAAAAAATATATTGTCACATTACCATGCCCAGCAACTAACAATAATTCTTAATTTTATTGAATATTCAGTACATGTTCAATTGTCCCTAATTATGTAAAAATGTCTTTTTACAGTTTGTGCAAATGAAAATCTAAATATGGTCTGGGCCAGGCGCTGTGGCTCACACCTGTAATACTAGCACTTTGGGAGGCCGAGGCGGGCGGATCACTTGAGGCCAGGAGTTCGAGACCAGCCTGGCCAACACGGTGAAACCCCGTCTCTACTAAAAATAAAAAAATTAGCCGGGCATGGTGGCGCACGCCTGTAATCCCAGCTACTCGGGAGGCTGAGGCAGGAGAAATGCTTGAACCCAGGAGACAAAGGTTGCAGTGAGCCAAGATCATGCCACTGCATTCCAGCCTGGGCAACAGAGTAAGACTCTGTCTCAGGTCTGCACATTGCATTTGAATAATGTGTCTCTTAAGTCTTTTTACTTACTTATTTTGGTGCCAGGTATTGAAGAAACTAGGTCATTAGGCTTATAGAATTTCCCACAGTCTGGATTTGGCTGTTGTATCTTAGTGATGCAGTTTTATCTATTCCTCCATCCTCTTTAAATAATTAAATCTAGAGGCTTGGTAATTTTCTTGTTCAGAATTTTTAGCAAGAATACCTATTGGGTGATTCTCTGTACTTCCTGTTGCATCTTATCAGGAGGCACATAATGGAGTGACCCATTATAGTACATTGTAATATATGATAGGCTGGTCCTTGACTTTTAGGATCTCTGTTCTGGTATCTCTCTCTTTTAAAAATGATCACTTATAGTTTCTGTACATTTGTTTTTTCACCTGTATTCTCTCATATTCTCTTCATTAATAAAAGATTAACAGATAAAACTCCATTTTATAGATTAATTATAGGCTATGGAAAATTGTTGTTTATCTAATGCCATAGACTTTTAAGTTTCATAGCCCCAATATTGGTAAATTGTCGAGTACTACAGTTCTTTGGAGTGTTTTGGATCATGTGTAACTTTGAAAATGTAATGGAAGTTGTAGACCCACTCACTGGAAAATATGCTTGAAAGCTCCTACAAAATTTGGCGATTTCATTTCAGTAGGTTTAAAGACACCCTCTGCTATCTCCACTCATCCATGAACTTCAGTTAAAGACCTCCTACTTTGGCTTATTCTTTAATTCTTATTCTTTCCTCCTACGATGGCTTATTCTTCTTACTTCTATCTCCTGGCCATCCAAGATGGGTGTGTGTGTTTCTCTGTTTCTGGACTTTTTGTATATACAGTGATTGGATGTCACTCTACTTCTCTGCCATACTGCTGTAATGGTAGGTTTTTTTGGTGGGGTTGGGGGCATAGTCTCGCTCTGTCGGCCAGGCTGTAGTGCAGTGGCACGATCTCGGCTCACTGCAACCTGTGTGTCTCCCGGGCTCAAGCAATTCTCCTGCCTCAGCCTCCCAAGTAGCTGGGATTACAGGCATGTGTGACCACTCCTGGCTAATTTTTGTATTTTTAGTAGAGACGGGGTTTCACCATGTTGGCCAGGCTGGTCTAGAACTCCTGACTTCAGGTAATCCACCCACCTCTCACCTCCCAAAGTGCTGGGATTACAGGCACAAGCCACTGCACCTGGCCATAATGGTAGTTTTTTGTTTTGCTTTGTTTTGTTTTGTTTTGTTTTTTGAGACGGAGTCTCGTTCTGTCAACCACATTGGAGTGCAGTGGTGTGATCTCGGCTAACTACAACCTCTGCCTCCTGGATTCAAGCAATTCTCTGCGTCAGCCTCCGGAGTAGCTGGGATTACAGGTGCCTGCCACCACGCCCGGCTAATTTGTGTATTTTTAGTAGAAACAGGGTTTCACCATTTTGGCTAGGCTGGTCTTGAACTCCTGACCTCATGATCCAGCTGCCTCGGCCTCCCAAAGTGCTAGTGCTGGGATTACAGTCATGAGCCACAGTGCCTGGCCTTTTGTTTGTTTGTGTTTTTTGTTTTGAGACAGAATTTCGCTGTTGTTGCCCAGGCTGGAGTACAATGGCGCGATCTCGGCTCATTGCAGCCTCCACCTCCCAGATGCAAGCAATTCTCCTGTCAAAGCCTCCCAAGTAGCTCGGATTACAGGCATGCACCTGGCTAATTTTTTTGTATTTAGTGGAGACGGGGTTTCACCATGTTAGTCAGGCTGGTCGCAAACCCCTGACCTCAGGTGATCCACCTGCCTCAGCCTCCCAAAATGCTGGGATTACAGGCATGTGCCATCACGCCTAGCCTTGGTAGTATTTTTTTTTTTTTAATCAAAAGCAGTACGGTTGAGATGAGAATTTTCTTTGAAAATTAATATCCCTGACATAAATGTTTTTCAGATGTTTATACATCATGAGGAACATCCTTTTGTTTGTATTCAAAGGATTCATTTGAACTGATTCACCTATCAGTTCAAATAATAAATAAAACTGTATCATATAGCTTGGTATCTAGCCTGTAGTACAGCTTGGTCAAATTAAGTGCCTGATCATTTAGTTTGGTTTAGTTGATGCACCTGCATGTTTCAAAATTTTTATGTTGAGGTGGTGTTATCGCATAGATCATCTGACTTCTCATTTTTTGTATTTTTCTTCCCAGCAATCTGCAGAGCGCTGTGTAAGCACATTGCTTGATCTAATCCAGACCAAAGTGAATTATGTGGTCCAAGAAGCAATTGTTGTCATCAGGGACATCTTCCGCAAATACCCCAACAAGTATGTCCAAATACCTTTACCCCTCTTTCTCAAATTACTTAGGAAATGTTTAAGGCACTTTGAAATTGCCTAGGTAAGAATTACTCTTTTGAATGTTCCTGGTCATAATAGGATACTTTATCAAAAATCGGAAACATTAAAATGGTTAGCACAGGGATTAAAACCTGAGTTTTCACTCTGCTTTCTTTCTTTAGGAAGAATTGAAGCTCTGCCTGAATATGCATTGTCTATTGGCATATTTTAAAGTTAACCAGATTCTTTGATGGCAAAGTTACTGTTAAATAGGACATCTATATATTCTAGGTTGTTCAGGCATAATCTCAGTTTATACCTGTTATCCAGACATAATTAATGATTGTGCACCTTTTCTTCTCAGAAATGTATAAGTTTGGATGATATATCGTATAGCACCCTACCATAAAAGCCAGGAAGGGAACAGCTGTGCTATTTACTTTGCATGTTACCTACTACATTGTGGAGAATTACAGAACATGTAACATTATCAGTCTCATGCCTTTTCTGAAGTATTGTAGTTATTCTCATACAGATATATAAAAAAAAATCTGCATTTTTACTTCACAAGTTTTTCAGATTGAGGGCCTCTTAGTATATGAAGCAAAAATACTTTTTAGATTTGATTTTTGAAAACAAGTAATTAAGGAATCTGAAAATGAAATAAAAGCAGGTTTTATAAGCATCTTAAATCTCATTTTGCCTTACACTCATAGAGCTTCTGATTGTCTTTTTTGAGATGGAGTCTCACTCTGTTGCCCAGGTGAGTGCAGTGGTGCGATCGCAGCTCACTGCAACCTCCGCCTCCCGGGTTCAAGTGATTCTCCTGCCTCAGCTTCCCAAGTAGCTATGATTACAGGTGCATGCCACCATGTCTGGCTAATTTTTGTATTTTTAGTAGAGACGGGGTTTCACTAGCCAGGCCAGTCTCGAACTCCTGACCTCAGGTGATCCATCCACCTCAGCCTCCCAAAGTGCTGGGATTACAGGCATGAGCCACGATGCCCGGCCCACTTCTGATCGTCTTTAAAGATAGTGTTAAATGAAGCAGCTTGTAGTAAGTTAGCTTAGTGGTGGGCTCAAGAATTAGTAGATATATTTTGGCAAGGTAGTGGTTTATTAAGCATTGTGTATATTTTTAAAATTTTAGAAATAGTTATTTTGGAAAGAGAACCACATACTTTTACTACTCTCCCAATAAAGAAGAGGGTCGGTTTCTAAATTTTTTTTTTTTTTTGAGACAGTCTCACTCTGTTGCCCAGGCTGGAGTGCAGTAGCGTGATCTCAGCTCACTGCAACCTCTGCCTCCCGGGTTCAAACATTCTCCTGCCTCAATCTCCCGAGTAGCTGGGATTACAGGTGGCTGCCACCACACCCGGCTAATTTTTGTATTTTTAGTAGAGACAGGGTTTCACTGTATTGGCCAGGCTGGTCTCGAACTTCTGACCTCAAGTGATCCCCCCCACCTCGCCCTCCCAAAGTGCTAGGATTATGGGCATGAGCCACTGTGCCCAGCCTAAACTTTTTTTAATTAACTTTTTTGTTTGTTTGTTTTCAGACAGGATCTCACTGTGTTGCCCAGGCTGGACACATACTCCTGGGCTTAAGTGATCCTCTTGCCTCAGCCTCTCCAGTAGCTAGGACTACAGGCCTGTGCCACTGTGCCCGACATTTAAACTTATTAAGGGTGAAGATGTGTATCTGAATGTGATTGGTAGAGAAATGTATCCATTTCTGGTTTATGGTTAATAAAGAGTTAGGACGGTTTATGTTTAAGAAAGCAATCAAGAGCCTGGTTTAATCAGTAAAAGTAGGCAGATACTTAGTTAAGTGTGCTATTTAGTTGTCCACATCTAATTTATTATACAGGGTCATTCTAATCGTTAAAACTACATTAGCCAAGGAGATGGATTCAACATGGTAAGCCTGAGAGAGCTGTAGATATGTAAAAATAAATATTTTAATTACTTCTTTCTTTGGAGAAATAAGTCAGTGCAGGTACCTTTAGAAGAACTAACATAAAGAAAGATCTCTTTGGGGCCAGGCGCGGTGGCTCACGCCTGTAATCCCAGCACTTTGGGAGGCCGAGGTGGGCGGATCATGAGGTCAGGAGATGGAGACCATCCTGGCTAACATGGAGAAACCCTGTCTCTACTAAAAATATAAAAAAATTAGCCAGGCGTGGTGGCGGGCACCTGTAGTCCCAGCTACTCGGGAGGCTGAGGCAGGAGAATGGCATGAACCCGGGAGGCGGAGCTTGCAGTGAGCCGGGATCGTGCCACTGCACTCCAGCCTGGGCGACAGAGCAACACTCCGTCTTGAAAAAAAAAAAAAAAAAAGAAAGCTCTCTTTTATAAAAAGCAGAGATAAGTGGATTAAGGGACAGATTTACCATTTCTTGTCTGGACACTGTTGTTGTCTAACTTCATTTGCCTAAAAATAAAGTGGAATTTCTGTTCCTCTCTACCATGAAGGCAAAATGGAACAATAGGAAAATTTTCTAATGTACTTATATGAAAGATTGTTACAAATACAAGGTAGTGGTATTATCTTACACCACAGGTTAATTTTTCCTTGTAAAAATGGCAGTGTGGCTCGCACCTGTAATTTCATCACTTTGGGAGACCAAGGTGAGAGGATCACTTGAGGCCACAAGTTTGAGACCAGCCGGTCAACATAGCAAGACCCCCATCTCTACAAAAAAATTTTTAAAATTTAGCTGAGTGTGGTGGCACTAAATTGTAGTCCTAGCTACTTAGGAGACTGAGGAGGGAGGATCGCTTGAGCCCAGGACTTTGAGGTTACAGTGAGCTATGATCATGCCAATGCACTCTAGCCTGGGTGACAAGAGTGAGACCCTGTCTCCCTGTCTCAAAAAACAAAACAAAAGAACATCTGATGAATTTTTATAAAGGTTTTAAGGTCTAGGTCTTAAAAAATAATTGAAGGGAAATTTAAGTCATTAAAATCTTCTGACTTAAAACCTATTCATTCTCTTGACTAAAAGCTTTTACAGTTTGGTGGTTTGGTTTAGGGTCCCTTGTTTGTGGTTTTGCCTTTAGCCTTCACTGTTAAATTAGTTCTTAGTTTTGCCCTCAATAACCATAGTTCATTTTTTTTCATCAGGTATGAAAGTATCATCGCCACTCTGTGTGAGAACTTAGACTCGCTGGATGAGCCAGATGCTCGAGCAGCTATGATTTGGATTGTGGGAGAATATGCTGAAAGAATTGACAATGCAGATGAGTTACTAGAAAGCTTCCTGGAGGGTTTTCACGATGAAAGCACCCAGGTAAGTTCTTGTCTCTTGTCTATCCTAGTAGTTTTAGATGTCTTTGGGGAGATTTCAGAGAAAGCAAAGGTTATAGGCAGTTTCTTCTGTGTCTGTATTTACATATAGTATGTTCATTTTTCTCCCAACAGGGATGTCTCTTCTCAGTTTTACTAATTTTTTGTTTTTGTTTTCGAGACAGAGTCTCGCTTTGTTGTCCAGGCTGGAGTGCAGTGGCAGGATCTTGGCTCACTGCAACCTTTGCCTCCTGGGTTCAAGCGATTCTCCTGCTTCAGCCTCCCAAGTAGCTGGGATTATAGGTGTGCACCACCACACCTGGCTAATTTTTATATTTTTAGTGGAGACAGGGTTTCACCATGTTGGCCAGGCTGGTCTTGAACTCCTGAACTTAGGTGATCCACCCGCCTCGGCCTCCCAGAGTGCTGGGATTACGGGCATGAGCCACTATGCCTGGCCAGTTTTACTGATTTTTTTTTTTTTTTTTTTTTTTTTTTTGAGACAGTTTCACTCTTGTTGCCAAGGCTGGAGTGTAGTGGCAGGATTGTGGCTCACTGCAACCTCTGCCTCCTAGGTTCAGGCGATTCTCCCACCTCAGCCTCTCGAGTAGCTGGGATTACAGGCATTCACCATCACTCCCAACTAATTTTTTGTATTTTTAGTAGAGACAGGGTTTCACCATGTTGGCCAGGCTGGTCTCGAACTCCTGACCTTAGGCGATCCACTTACCTCGGCTTCCCAAAGTGCTGGGATCACAGGTGTGAGCCACCTTGCCTGGCCAGTTTTACTGATTTCTAATGTTAAAAACCTACATAACTCAGACCAGTAGTTCTCAAACTTCAGTGAGCATTATTAACACCTGGGGGGCATTTTTAAAGCACATGTTGCTGGGCTTCACCCTGAGAGTATCTGACTCAGTAGGTCTGAGATGTGCCTAAGTATTTGCATGTCTTACAAGGTTCAGGGTGATGCTGCTGCTGGCAATCCGGAACCACACATTGACAACCACTGGCTTAGAGCAGTAGTTACCACTACTTTTTTATTTTCTGTCACCTAAGAATGACTACACATTTCTGTTAGTAATGGCTGTGGCTCATTACAGCAGGGATTTTCGCTAGAGGCTGTGGTGAGGTTTGAAAAGATTATCTTTGGATGAAAATTCTGAGACTGCTTCTCACTTTCCCCTACCAAAATTAGAGCCACAGAACCAGGAAGCCAATAAATTATTAAGCCCTTTTTTCTTGGCATTTGTACTCAAAGCAAATAGAAAATAATGTATGTAATCTACTATAGCAATTTTAATAGACCTAATTCAAGGAGTATGTACAAGTCAATAGCTTTGTGGTTTAGCAGCCAACTCCTAATAGGCTGTAATCTGACATAATTCTACTGTCTTGGCTCTTGCCCCAGTACGACAGATGATTCCATAATTCCCCCCAAATTGTAGCTTTTGGTAGAAGTAAATAATGAAAGACTTGCTCAGGAGCCAATTTTATCACCATCAGTATGTTAACATATACTTTAAGAAATACAAGCCAGGCTCGGTTACTCATGCCTGTAATCCCAGCACTTTGGAAGGCTGATGCGGGAGAATCGCTTCAAGCCAGGGCTATGAGACCAGCCCTGGCAACATTGCAAGACTACATCTCTACAAACAATACAAAAATTTTAAAAATTAGTTGTAGTGGCTTGCACCTGTAGTCCCAGCTACTTGGGAAGCTGAGGCAGGAGGATTGCTTGAGTCCAGGAGTTTGAGGCTACAATGAGCTATGGATGTGCAGCCTGGGCAATAGAGGGAGACCTTGTCTCAAAATAATAATAGTAATAATAATAATAATAAACACAGGTAACTATCTGTCTTAGAAACAAGCAATATTTTGTGCCAAAAATGCATTTCGAGGTTAAAAGGGTAGAGTTTTCGGTTGAATACCTTTGTATTTCCCACGAATACTTTTGACTGCTGTTGTTGATATTGATTGAGTTTCAGCCTTTTGTCTCTTAACCAAAATCAGAAAGGCTCCATAGTAATTCATAGTTGGGGAAACACCACTTTGGAGATGATGGCAGGGAATAATGCCAGTGCCATTCTTTCACACTATCACAAATTATGTCTGTTTAGGTGCAGCTCACTCTGCTTACTGCCATAGTGAAGCTGTTTCTCAAGAAACCATCAGAAACACAGGAGCTAGTCCAGCAGGTCTTGAGTTTGGCAACACAGGTAAGAAATCTGGAAAAAGCAAGATGTTGATTTGTCTTGTTTCAAATTGTAGGAAATTATGAAACTCTTCCTAGGGGATTCATTTGGGGAAGCTTTATTTGAAGGAAGTATGGCCTTTAGATCCTGTTAAAATATTAAAACAATGCCTTTTTACGTGTTCAACTGAATTGTAGCTAATTCTGTGGCTTTTAAATGAGTTGACTGATTCCAGTTTTCATAATTCATGAAAATTGAACCTAGACTCTTAGTTTAGTGAAGGACATACTTAGATGAAAATGACGTGATCTGATAGTACCTGCTTCACTGTGACTTCATTTCAGCTTTCAAATGAAAGTACCATGTGGAGATAATAGATGCCTCAGTAAAGTTTCATGCATTGTTCTACCTTCCAGAGTAGTTGCCTTTCTCACAGAAATTAAGTGTTTATGCTGCTTCCTTGTATTATTTGATATATTTGGATCTCCTTGGAATTATTTGTTTTTTTAGGTCAGAAGAAAAGAAGTTTAGATGGATTCAGATCTCAGGAAAGTGGCAGCTGGCTTTAAATATCAGGTCATTATATTAGATCCACAGAAATCAAAATAATTAGGTTTTCTAGTGTAACTAGTATAATGATCATCAGTCCATTGATGATTTAGTAATGTTCATAAATGGATTTGCTAACAGGCCGGCTTTTTAGCAGGCTGTCAGAGTTACGATGTGTGTCTGCAAATGGAATATGATTCAGATATCCAGTTTACCATTTTTCTGTCTTTGTCATCCCTTTATACTGGTGTGTAATCAAAATTTAAAACCCTTTCACAGTACTTTGCCTAGTTCTGAGCCATAATTTTTCCTGTTACTACAACTTAAAAAAATGTATTTGTATGAGCTTTTTGAAGTATTTTAAAAACTTTCTTAAGCATCTTCCTCTGCCTGAAGCAAAGCAATTATAAACATCAGTGGTTAATATTATCTGTATTGAATTGAGCATTCTAATTTCCTGGATCCCATTTGCATCTCTAAGATGAATTCAAAACAATTTCTTTATTCCTCCCACACCCCCCACAGCCTTTTTTTTTTTTTTGTACTCTGTTTCATGTTTTAATTTTAAACTCCTAAGTCAGGAGTGTCCAGTCTTTTGGCTTCCCTGGGCCACATTGGGAGGAGAATTGAGAATTGTCTTGGGCCACACATAAAATACACTCACAATAGCTGATGAGCTAAAAAAAAAAAATCACAAAAGAATCTCATAATGTTTTAAGAAGGTTTACGAATTTGTATTGGGTCACATGTGGCCTCAGGTTGGACAAGCTTGCTGTAAGTGGTCACATAGAATGACATTATTAGAGCAGCTCACATTCTGTCAAAACAATTTCTAAAGAGAATTTTGGCCTTTCTTCCTCTCTGCTTACTGTAAATATTCAAGCAAGTATGTTTAGTAGTTTCCTCTGTTTTCACAAGTTCTCAACCTTATCATCATTGTCTGTTAAAGCCTATGTGATTGTATTTAACAGGCACCATAGGAGAGCTGTATTACGAATTCTGGCCAGACTTCAAACTCAGTCTCATTACCTCTTAAGTATTTATCAAAATTTGACTGAGATAAAGTATTTAGGAAGGATTGCTTAAAGGATACAAGGTAGTGCTGTTCTTACAGATAGTCTGAAATTCACCTCTGAATCAAGCATTATTAATAGACATCTGGATACCTGGACTGCATTGTTTTTGACCCCTAATAAAATTGCTTTTACTAAATTACGCTGATACTAAAATACTATCAGTCTGTAGTAATAACAGTCGTCATGGGAAACTACCCTATTTGGATCTGTTGTTAGCTTGTTATCAGAGTCATTACTTACTTCATTATGTTTTCTTCTTTATGAAGCCCCATCAAATTTCTAACAAGTTTTGGATTTTTCTGTGTATCAGTGTAGCATGCCTGATCAGCTTTCTTTTCCATATTGGTTGTTTGAAACCTTAGAATCACATTTAACAATCTCCCATGGAAACTATGTAGGCCACTGTGGCATGCAGTTTCCTGACTCTGGGTTTAATTAACGCTCTTTAGCCTTAGATGCATTTTTCATAAGCTTCCTAGAACAGGACAGGCTAGAAACTCACTTAATCCTAGTAAGGGTTAGTAAACGATTTCTATTTTATAGATGAGGAAACTCAGAGAGGCCTAATTATTATGGGGCAGAACTAGGACTCAGACTCAGATAGTCTGGCTCTAGGTCTTGCCCATGGTCTTGTCCACTGTGCTATGCTTCCTCTCTAGTCTGAAGGTTAAGAATGACTTGGAGAATACCTATTCCCTGCCTGAAGCAATATTGAGCATAAGCCCATATGTATATGTGTGTTTGCTAGTTTTAAGGTCTTTGTGGATGATTATTTCATACTATAAATAATAAGCAACTTCTCGAGGCTTGCCTTTTTTCAAGACTGAGTCTAGCTCTGTCACCCAGGCTGGAGTGCAGTGGCGTGATCTCGGCTCACTGCAACCTCCACCTCCCGGGTTCAAACAATTCTCCTACCTCAGCTTCCTGAGTAGCTGGGATTACAGGTGCATGCCACCACGCCCAGCTAATTTTTTTTTTTTTTTTTTCCAGTAGAGATGAGGGTTCACCATGTTGGCCAGGCTGGTCTTGAACTCCTGATCTAATGTGATCCTCCTGCCTTGGTCTCCCAAAGCACTGGGATTATAAGTGTGAGCCACAGAGCCTGGCTGAGGCTTGCTTTTTCTGTCCAATTAATTAATGAAGTCTGAGAAGTTATCATAAAACAGTAAGTATGCTGCTGGGTGCTGTGGCTCACACCTGCAATTCCAGCACTTTGGGAGGCCAAGGCGGGCGGATCACTTGAACTCAGGAATTCGACCAGCCTGTGCAACATGGCAAAATCCCATCTCTACAAAAAATACAAAAATTAGCGGAGCATAGTGGCACACGCCTGTAATCCCAGCTACTTGGGAGGTTGAGGTGGGAGGATCGCTTGAGCCCAGGAGGCAGAGGTTGCAGTGAGCTGAGATCATGCCACTGCACTCCAGGCTGGGTAATACAGCAAGACTCTGTCTCGGAAAAAAAAAAAGAAAGAAAAAAAGAATAAGTATGCCTATGTAAGTCTTTTTACCTGGAAGTTTTCTGTTTTTTCCCCAAGTTTGTGAAATAAGAACCTAAATATTTATGGCTAGTGAGTACCAATTTAAGTTTAGGATGCAATGTGGTCGGCTGAATTGTGTTAACTTAAATTGGTATATGTGCTGCCGAAGCGAGCACATGTTAACTTAAATTGGGTAGTGAGGTTCTGATGATGCTACTTCCACTGATTCTGGACATGACTGAGCAAATTTCTTTCATACTGCTTTTCTTCTGTCTCTATAGTAGAGTTAATTAATACTGTTCTTTACCTGTGCTGAGAATTAAGTGAAGTATATGTGAAATCTTAGTGCTTTTAAGTAAAATGGGAGTATAATTAAAAATATTATTAGTTAGGGGGAAAAACCCAACCCTTGAATCTGAGGCTTCATTTCAAAAATTTATCTTTTTCTCTTACCTGTTACACAGAAATTCAATACAATATTCAGTTCAACTGAGTAAAGAATACAAACAAAGGCCGGGCATGGTGGCTTATGCCTGTAATCCCAGCACTTTGGGAAGCCGAGGCAGGTAGATCATCTGAGGTCAGGAGTTCGAGACCAGCCTGACCAAAATGGAGAAACCCCATCTCTACTAAAAATATAAAATTAGCCGAGCGTGGTGGCATGCGCCTGTAATCCCAACTACTCGGGAGGCTGAGGCAGGAGAATCACTTGAACCCGGGAGGCAGAGGTTGCAGTGAGCCAAGATCGTGCCATTACACTCCAGCCTGGGCAAGAAGACCTAGACTCTGTCTCAAAAAACAAAACAAAACAAAACAAAAAAATGTCTAGACGTTAGTAATTATTCTTTGTGATACATGGAATAGAAGTCTTCATGTTTTTCTGTCTATGAACTAGGGGCCACCATCATCAGAATCATTTGGGCTGCTTGTTAAAAATACTAATTACTAGGCCCTACTTTTGATGTAATGAATCAGAATCTCTGAAGTATGGCCCCTGGGTTCTGCACTTTCAGTGGCATTCCTGGTATGTTAAAATGTTGATGCACATTATAGTTTAAGAATTACTGTTTTAGTGCTGGCCTGGTAAGTATTGTTTTGGGACCTCTTCCCCTGAGGAAGGCCTATGGGTCTAGCAGTACAGTAGATCCAAAGCCAAATTATCTGAGTCACCAAACATTTAATGGCAACTTAAGATTACAAAAAGGTCCTGTATTTTTATTTATCTCGGTCTTGACGGTCTGAATTACTGTGGCCTCCATGTAAAATGTGAGGCAGTTGGTGAGGACTGGCTTACAGTAGGCCTAACAGGTCATCCCTCAGAACGACAGAGTTTGAGCAGTTAGGAGATTCTTCCCTACTCCTGACTTTTCAGCCTTGGGAGATTTGCACTCATTTCTCATAGGATTGTATTTTTCAAGTTAGTGTCTGTTTAGACTTTGATCCAGTAACTCTATCTCCAGTAGTTTGCCATATTGCAGCATTTTGAATAATCTGTAGAGGAACTCTCAAATTTTTTTCATATATATATAATTTTTTTTTTTTTTTTTGAGATGGAGTCTCACTCTGTTACCCAGGCTGGAGTGCGGTGGTGCAATCTCAGCTCACTGCAGCCTCCTCCGCCTCCTGGGTTCAAGTGATTCTCCCTCCTTAGCCTCCCAAGTAGCTGGGATTACAGACATCTGCCACCATGCCTGGCTAATTTTTGTACCCTTTGTAGAGATGGGATTTTGCCATCTTGGCCAGGCTGGTCTCAAACCCCTGGCCTCAAGTGATCAGCCTACCTTGGCCTCCTGAAGTGCTAGGATTACTGAGCCACCGTGCCTGGCTGAGATTTTTGAATTTTGTGAATCCCTATAGGAATTTTTCTTTTTGGTCATTTGGTTAAATTGTTTACATTACATATGGGAGAAATAATTTGAAGAAAAAGCATTTTATTTTGATGAGTATATTATTAAACTATGTATTATAAAGTTGAATACCTTTAAGATATTACTAGTCCATAAAGACAAACTGAATTTTCTAAGTTAATAAGATAAATGCAGTGTTTAATTATGTAATAAAAACCATACTTTACAAATTCTAAAGTACATGTGCCTTAAGGACTGCATATATAGGTTAAAATTTAACGTTTAAGTTACATATAAAAAAATGTGGGAGAGAGGAGTTGCTTCCCTGACCTGATATTTTGAGAAACTTGTATTCTGCTCTTTTAAAAATATCAACTTGTTTTTGTTTTATAATGTTCAAGCTTTGTTTTCAAATGAAGATCTAAATGAGGAGGTTTCAGGCTGCTATTTATAAACACTTAGGAGCAAATTAGTCCCTCAGTGCCCCCCCTCCCCACACACACACAAACAAAATCAACTAAATTAGATATAATTATCACTGTTTCTTTTTTTTAACCCGGGCATTTCAAATACTAGAGACATTTTGATAAGACATTCATATGTATACATATACATATACACATACACACATTTCTATTAGAATAATGCAAGTTATAAATGTAAAGATTATCTTGAGATAAAATTTACTGTTTTAATATTTTATTAATTTGCTGTATTGCAATGTTCTATATGCTTTTCGTCTTTAACCACCAATCCATTATGAGTGCAATTTAAACAATCTGTGACTGAGAAAAACCATTTAAATCTATATAGTCAAAAACATCAGGGTAACTACTGCTATTGAACTGGATGATAAGGGCCTTAAGTGGCTAAATCGTGAATCAATTCATCTGCTCGCTTAGAAACTAAAATGGAAGCCCTCAGATTGTCCTGTTTTAAAGAAAATGTTTTTTGTTTGGTTATGAGTTTTTTGGGTTTTGGGGGTTTGTTTTTTTTTTTTTCTTTTGAGACAGAGTCTCACTCTGTCATCCAGGCTGGACTGCAGTGACTTGATCTCAGCTCAATGCAACCTCCACCTCCTGGGTTCAAATGATTCTTCTGCCTCAGCCTCCTGAGTAGCTGGGACTACAGGCATGAGCCACTGTACCCGGTCTGGTTATGAGTTTGAAATATAGAAATTGAAACAGGGACTTATTGTTGCCTTTAATAAGTTGCTGTTGGAACAACTCGTGCATAAATAAATGCCATCATATAGACATACTTTTGAGGTAGGTACCAGGATATTTATTGCCACTTTATAATGATGACAAAAACAATAAAGAAAACAATAGGCCAGACACGGTGGCTTATGCCTGTAATCCTAGCACTTTGAGAGGCTGAGGTGGGCGGATGACTTAAAGTCAGGAGTTCAAGACCAGCCTGGCCAACATAGAAAAACCCTGTCTCTACTAAAAATACAAAAATTAGCTGGGTGTGGTGGTGCGTACCAATAATCCCAGCTACTTGGGAGACAGAGGCAGGAGAATCACTTGAACCCGAGAGGCAGAGGTTGCAGTGAGCCGAGATACGCCACTGTACTCCAGCCTGGGTGACAGAACAAGACTCTGTCTCAAAATACATGCATACATACATACATACATACATACATACATACATACAAATAAAACAATAATAAAGGTAGAAAGGGAAAAATGGGCAACAGTGAAAATGTCCCTCAATAGTGGACTAATAATTAATGGTGCAGTGGGCATTACAGTGGAAAAGTGCAGTCGTATATATCAACATGGAGAGCAACTTCAGAACAGTATATATAATATGAAACTGGTTTTATATGAAATAAGTGTGTGTGTGTGTGTGTGTGTGTGTGTGTGACCCATCTGGACAGATATATACCACATTACTAATCATGGCTATTTGGGGGATTGGGAGTTGAGATGGAGAAGGGTTGGATAATTGGGGGAGATTTTTTTTTTATGTCACACACTTAAAAATTGTGATGTGGTATGTTTGGTAATAATTTCTTTTTAGCCATGAACATGTATACAATTATTTAAAAACCACCATAGCACAAAACAAGACCACCAAATTCAAGTGTTACTCCTTTTGGAAGCAGTTATGTCCTCTCTTTAGCAGTTTTTGATTATTTAGATAATAGTACCTTTCATACTCTATTGAAATAGTTAATATTACGTGAGCTCCTTAAAGTCAGGCAGTGTATTGTTACCTCTTTATTTCCAGGGCTTAGCCAGTGTCTCAATAGGAGATACTTAATAAATATTTGAATGAAGGAAGAAGGTATGGGTACAATATATGGAAGATATAATATATGTTATTAATAAGCCTGCTAATATTTAAAGCAGTTAAAAAAAATTTCTTTTTTTTGGAACGGAGTTTTGCTCTTATTGCCCAGGCGAGAGTGCAGTGAAACAATCTCGGCTCACTGCAACCTCCGCCTCCCGGGTTCGAGTGATTCTCCTACCTCAGCCTGTTGAGTAGCTGGGATTATAGGCATGTGCCACCTTGCCTGGCTAATTTTTTGTATTTGTAGTAGATACGGGGTTTCACTGTGTTAGCCAGGATGGTCCCAATCTCCTGGCCTCAGGTGATCCTCCCGCCTCGGCTTCCCAAAGTGCTGGGATTACAGGCGTAAGCCACCGCGCCCGGCCCTAGTTTAAAAAATTTTTATGTCCTAAGGCCGTCTCAACCAGTTAACTTTTGCCAGATTAAACATTGTTTTTCTATTCTTTATTTCTGTTTGAATTTGAGTCTTAGGATTAACCCATCTTAATTTATAGTTACATCCCTTGAAACATTAGAGATTACAGAATTATGACTATATTAGGACCATGTTGAGTTAACACATTTGTTTGCTTTTTGAGACAGAGTCTCACTCTGTTGCCCAGTCTGGAGTGCAGCGGTGCAGTCATGGCTCACTGCAGCCTCAACCTCCTGGGCTCAAGTGATCCTCCTCCCTCAGTTTCCTGAGTAGATGGGACTACAGGTACATGCGGCTCTACACCCCGCCCTGATAATTTTTGTACTTTTATTATTATTATTATTTTTTGAGACAGAGTTTTACTCTGTTGCCCAGGCTGGAGTGCAGTAGCGTGATCTCGGCTCACTGCGACCTCTGCCTCCTGGGTTCAAGCTATTCTCCTGCCTCAGCCTCCTGAGTAGCTGGGATTACAGGCACACGCCACCAAGCCCAGCTAATTTTTGTATTTTTAGTAGAGGTGGGGTTTCGCTATGTTGGCCAGGCTGGTCTCAAACTCCTGATCTCAAGCGATCCGTCCACCTTGGCCTCCCAAAGTGCTGGGATTACAGGCATGAGCCACTGCGCCTGGCTGGCCCTGATGATTTTTTATATTTTTTGTAGAGGCAAGGTTTTGCCACGTTGCCCAGGCTGATCTCAAACTCTTGGGTCCAAGTGATCCGCCTGTTTCAGCCTCCCAAGGTGTTGGGATTACAGGCATGAGCTATGAGCTACCACATCCAGCCTGAAGTATCTTCTTAATACCCAGTCTGCATAAATCACTACAACATTGGTTGATGATAAATCCAGCAGTTTGGGTTTCTGTATGGAGAACAGTTTCATCTCCACCTCCTTGCCTTTGCCTTTTCTTTAGGATTCTGATAATCCTGACCTTCGAGACCGGGGCTATATTTATTGGCGCCTTCTCTCAACTGACCCTGTTACAGCTAAAGAAGTAGTCTTGTCTGAGAAGCCACTGATCTCTGAGGAGACGGACCTTATTGAGCCAACTCTGCTGGATGAGCTAATCTGCCACATTGGTTCTTTGGCCTCTGTGTATCATAAGCCTCCCAATGCTTTTGTGGAAGGAAGTCATGGAATTCATCGTAAACACTTGCCAATTCATCATGGGAGGTAAGAAGGTGTGAACTGTCTCTGAGTGAGAAATGACTCTTGTTTAGACAGCGTTGCTCTTCTTTATGCTTTTATAGTCTGGAAAAGAACTGCTGTACATTTTTGCTTCTTTATGCTTTTATAGTCTGGAAAAGAACTGCTGTACATTTTTGGACACCTACTACTATACAACCCCAGGGAGCTCCATCTGAATACCAGTGACCACACATAAAATCGGTGAAAGACTCCTCTGTGTTCCAATCTAGGAGTACATTATGGCTTTAGAAAATTGTGGTGAAGACCTTCTAAATTGATAAAGTCTGAAAGTTGCTTAAGTCTGCAGTAAGAAGAGACTAGAAATAACCCCATAGTTGAAAACTTGGAAAAAAGCCTGTGTATACATTTAGCCATCTTGATCCATTACTGTAGCTTTTGTTGAGCCTTCTGGATAGTTAGCAGGTATAACTTATGCTGTAAAGCTGTTAATGAAATAATATTTCAGTATTGTTTTATTTAAAAAAAAAAGCCTGACTTCTATGTGGACTTAGTTTTTCAGTTACCTGTACTTTTTTATATTGGCCATATCAGCAAGGAAATTGTTATGAAAAGGCTCTTGGGTAACATGGAGCTCTTGCTTTGTAGCTATCTTAAAATTCTAATTAGGCAGAAGAAACACTCTAATAAACTCTTACAATGGGTATCTCAGAATCTTTTCAGAATCTGATTCCTTCATCAATCATAGTAGACCTTGATTGAAGTAGGATTTCCTTCCAGAGTAGTTAGAATAATTGGGCTTCTATTAATGAGTGTCTTGTACCATTGTCTAATATATATTATTGTTTAAGTGGTTTTTGTGAATGGCCAAAGTATAGGATTTATTGCTTTACAAATTGGCGTGGTCAGCATTTTGGGTTCTATGTAAATAGACTGTGGATACAGATAAAGGAAAAAAAAAACAGCAATACCCAAGGAGATTATTAATCTTTCATAATTGAGTTGAATCTTTGGGTTTACAGCAGGTGCTATAATTTTAATCCAGAGGAGATGTGAGCTTCATAAGGATTAGTCTTTATAGTAAGTTAGGGTGTTTCTCCTTGTAGGCAAACATGTTTAACATTCTATAGATGAGACTATTTAACTTCTAAGAATTTCTCCCAGTCTGTGCTTCAAGTTTCGATGTAGATACGGATTTTCTGTTGTAACTTCCCTCTGTAACCGTGTTTGTATCTAGCCTCCTGCTAACTTTTAACCCTCACATGGAAGTGGGGAAATGAATCAACAAACAAAAACAACGCTTTCTTAAACACAGGGAGAGAACCAACATTTAAACTGTCTAAAAAGAAAGTGTCTTACATAAGGCCTTTATCTGATTAATAGCCTTTAAGTTCTTATCTTCACAATTTCTTTTGTGGTTCCTTTTTGGATAACCTCCTTTTTGTCATTTGTGCATGTTTTGTGTTTTTTAAAAAAATGCAAGTACAGGGAAAATCTGTTTTGATATAAATGGGAATGATACGTTGCTGCAAATGACATGTCTGTAATAGTATTGACATTACCTAGCTCTCTTCTGCAATGTGAGGTTAATAAGTGATACACCTCTCATAGGAAACAAAGCAACACTTTAAACCTTATTCTGCATCTTCTAGAGGTTTAAAAATACTCACTTCACTAGGTCTTTTAAAATCATCTGGGAAAGAGAGAAGTGATTTTTACTTGGATATTGCTTACTATGCTTATACTTGTCAGCTGCTCTATGGGGGTGAGGTAGTAAATAGTTGTCTAATTCAGAAAAATCTCACCTTTAAAAAATATTGCTTTAATGACAGTTATGCAGTTATTTCCCTTAAAATTGGAAATGTCTTTATATTAATTTTCTTATATTTTCCATTGAGAAAGATGTATAATAATGATGTATCATATTCTTGTAGAATCTATAGGATCATTTATATCTTTTCATTGAACTCACTTTATCTTCTCATATTATTCATTCCTTTCCATTAGAGTGAAGAAAAATATGTGCATGATACCTATTCTACCTTCTTTTTAGACATACTGATAGAACCATGTGTTCTGTCACATTTTCTAAATGGTATGTCAGAAGATGACAGAATTTCATGTGTAGAGAATACTCTGTGAAAGATTTTATTTATTTCTTGTCAGGTGTATGAAATCATTTCCCCTTTTTACTTCTTTCTTAAAGCCTTTTCATCATGGCTTCCTGGACACTTTCCTTGTAAATTAGCTTTCCTAGATTGTATTTCTGTCTTTAATCTTTGCAGTTCCATGTTTCTTCTCTTCTCTGATTATTAATCTTGGTTGTATCAAAAGGTTCAATCTGAACCCTTTCTTTCTGTGTTTCTCTACATATTCCCTTAGGGAAATTACCCACTGACCACTAATATATTACAGAGCTTTACCATTTAGACCATGTTTTCAATTGATCCTTGCTTTAATAAAACCTTATGCTTCAGTGATATTGTTATCACTGAAGAAATTTTGTCTCACAGAGGTTGTCGCTTTCCGAAAATTATGCAGCTAGTAATTAATGGAGCCAACACTTAATCCCCTGTTTTTACCACCATCCTACACTGACCCACACCCTCATGATTTCACCTGAGATGTGTATGTGAATTTCTAACCAAGCTTACTTCTCTAGCTCTGACTGCCAGTCCCTTGGTTTTGTTTTTGTTTGTTTATTTGTTTGTTTGTTTTGTTTTGTTTTTGAGACGGACTGTCATTCTATAGCCCAGGCTGGAGTGCAGTGGTGCAATCTTGGCTCACTGCAACCTCTGCCTCCTAGGTTCAAGAGGTTCTCCTGCTACAGTCTCCTGAGTAGCTGGGACTACAGATGTGTGCCACCACACCCAGCTAATTTTTTTGTACTTTTAGTAGAGGTAGGGTTTCACCATGTTATCCAGGCTGGTCTCGAACTCTTGACCTCAGGTAATCCAGCTGCCTTGGCCTCCCAAAGTGCCAGGATCGCAGACGTGAGCCACTGCGCCCGGCTGGAATATGAACAGGTTCTGAATTATCGACCCCAGTGCTCTACCCTGAGACTCTGGGCATGAGCCACCGTGCCCAGCCCAGTCCCTTGTTGCTGTCAGGCTTCTCTACTTGTTTTTCTTACTTATCTTAACAGAATTGAAACCTGCACATATAATTTTTCCTGTCGTCCTTCTAGAGTCCCCTGTGATTATTAGCTAATCTTTTGCTTCTTAGTTTTTGTTTGTGTCAAAATTTAACTAGGCTTTTTTAAAGAAAACATTTGTTTTTTAATTAAATTTTTACAATTTTTTTTACTTTTTTTTTTTGAGATGTAGTCTCGCTCTGTCTCCCAGGCTAGAGTGCAGTAGCACAACCTTGGCTCACTGCAAGCTCCACCTCCTTGGCTCAAGTGATTCTTGTGCCTCAGCCTCCTGAGTGGCTGGGACTACAGCTGCCTCCTACCACTCCTAGCTAATTTTTTTGTATTTTTAGTAGAGACCGGGTTTCACAATGTTGGTCAGGCTGGTCTCAAACTCCTGACCTCAGGTGATCTGCCGACCTTGGCCTCCCAAAGTGCTAGGATTACAGGTGTGAGCCTCTGTGCCCGCCTGTTTTTTTGTTTTGTTTTACTTTTTATCATATAAATCTTAAAATATGCAAGATAGAATGGTATAACAAACTTGGATATACCTATCACTCAGCTTTAGCAGTTATCAGTATCTTGCCAGTCTTATTTCATTTATTGCCCATACAGTTGTTTTTGAGGTGGCTCAAATATTTTAAATCCAATCCCAGACCTCGTATCTCTTCACCCGTAAGTACTGTACTTGGTATCTTTAACAGATAAAGACTTGAAATTACAATGTTATCAAGCCTAACAAAATTGGACATAATTACTTAATATCATCCAATAAGCAGGCTAACCTACTTTCATATTTTCTCAATTGCCATTCTCTAGTCTCGTTTAGAGTTTATTTAAGATCGGCTTTACTTTTTCCTTAAATGTTTGGAGGAATTCACAGTGAAGCCCTCTGAGCCTGGAATTTTCTTGGTGGGAATTTTACTTTTTAAATTGACATCTAATTTATAATAACCTTAGCATTAAGGTTATTGCCTGACCTTTGCACGGTCAGGATACCACGGCCGTTGAACATATGTCACTGGGCAGGCAGTGCCTCTACTACTGGTAATGCTAGCGGTGATGTTTTTGGTAAACAAGCTGGGTAAGATTTGCCGAGTTCCTTTTACTGTTTGTAATCTTTCCTTAGAGCATACCTGTGTTGGATTAACAGTATAAATAATAGGGTGTTTATTATATTGTTTATTAATATTAGGCTGTCAGTGGATTATTCCGGTCTGATATAAGCTTATGCAGTGGAGAATATCTTCATGTTACTTATATTAACATTATTGCTTCTATTAAGTAATAGATTAGTCCAATCTGTTAGTAATAGATTAGCTCGCTAATCTTAGCATTTAGTGCTCAATGAATTTTTACATATGTATACACTCATATAATCACTACCCTGATCAGATATAGAATATTTTCAGCACCCTAGAAGGTTCCTCGTGTTCCTTTACTGTCAGTGTGCACACTCCAGAGATTACCACTGTTCTGATTTCTATCACTATAGATTCATTTTGTCTGTTCCTGAGTGTGCTATAAATGGAACCTACAGTTTTTACTCTTCTGTGTCTTGTGTCTTTTGCTCAACATAATGTGAGATTAATCTGTGTTTTTAGTAGTTTGCTCCTTTTTATTGGTGTGTAGTATTCCATTCCATGAATATACCATTTATATCTTCTATTGCACCTTTGGGTTATTTCTAGTTTGTGGCTGCTGTGAATATTCTTGTATTTGTCTTTTGGTAGACTTATGTATATATTTCTCTTGGGCATATACCTAGGAGTAGAATTGCTGGATCATAGAATAGGTTTCTAATTAGCTGTAGGAGACACTGCCAATTTTCCAAAGCAGTTGTACCAGTGTATACTCTTTCTAGCACTGTATGAGTTCCATACATCTATCTACATTGTCAGCAATGCTTGGTAGTTTAGTTTTAGTTTTAGCCATTCTGGTGAGTGTATAGTGGTGTCTTGTTATAGTTTTAATTTGCATTTTCCTGATGAGTAAAGTTGCTAAGCACATTTTCATGTTACTGTATCCTCTTTTGAGACTTGCCTATTTTTAATGATTTGTCTTTTTCTTAATGATTTGTAGGAATTCCTTATATAATTTGGATGCAAGTCCTTTGTTAGTTATATGTGTTGTGAATATCTTCTCTCAGTTTGTAGAGAATATCTTTTCCCAATCTCTTAATGGTGTCATTGGAAGACATGTTCTTAATTTTAATGAAGTTCAGTTTATTACTTTTTTTCTTTTGTGGCTACTGCTTTTTGTTGAAACCATTATCTTCTCCAAGCTTATAAAGATGCTACTCTAGGTTTTCAACTAGGTTTTACCTTTCACATTTATGTCTGATTTATCTCAATTTTTGTTTACCTTGTGAACCATAGGGGGCCAAGGTTCATTTTTCCCCCACATAGCTATCCAGTTAACCCAGCACCATTTATTGAAAAGATCATCGTTTGTCCTACCTAGTCCTTTTAACATGTCTTGAAACTCACCACTTTCTTTTTATTTTTATTGCCTGTTGAGTTGTTGTTATTTCATACATTGTTGATTACAGTAGCAGTTTAGATTACTCTTAGCTGATCTTCATGTCCATTCTCCTAACTTCAGTCCGTTATACACACAGGTGCTAGAATAATGTTTCTCTAATGTTATTTTTAGTTTCTGTTCTTTGTTCAAGAAATAAAAGTGATTCTGCATTTCTTATCATATAAAAAATCAACTCTTGGCCGGGTGCGGTGGCTCACGCCTGTAATCCCAGCACTTTGGGAGGCTAAGGTGGGCGGATCACAAGGTCAGGAGATCGAGACCACGGTGATACCCCGTCTCTACTAAAAATACAAAAAAAATTAGCCGGGCACGGTGGTGGGCGCCTGTAGTCCCAACTACTTGGGAGGCTGAGGCAGGAGAATGGCGTGAACCTGGGAGGCGGAGCTTGCAGTGAGCCGAGATGGCGCCACTGCACTCCAGCCTGGGCGACAGAGCGAGACTCCGTCTCAAAAAAAAAAAAAAAATCAACTCTCCAGACTAGTTTTCAAAGTTTTATTTTCCTTATTCTCTCTTCCTCCAAATTTTACCAATCCCAAACTCTGCTCCTGCCAATATAATTTTTTCACCACCCCTAAAGTCAAATTGTTCATTTCTGTGCCTTTGTACAAACCTTCTCTTCCTCTTTGGAGGTTTCTCTCTGGTAGTTCCTCATAAAACCATTCCGAGAAGCTTTTAGAATCAGCACCGTTGATTTTGTTGTGTTTCTCTCTCATATCCTATCAATTATGCAGACACACAATACATGTTTCTGCTGTTACACAGTAAACTTGCTTTTTATTCATTTTGTAAATGCTGATTTTTTTGTTGGTGTGTGAGCCATTCAGGGCAGGAACCATATATTTTACAGTTTCTACAGAGAACCATAGAATTCTCCTTACAGTGTTCCCTCATAGACGTTTAATTAAAATTGACCAATTATATTATATAACTGACAAGGTTTACATAATATAATTTATTTTCATTTTAGCAGCTGTATTTTGATAAAAATAAGAATTGCTATTATCTCTTCATGAACATAAACAAATGGTTATAAAATCAGAGAGTTTTTCCCCCTTGTATTTGATAGTTATATATAGCTATATGTTTCACTGTTGTTGCGATGTTATGTCCTAGGTGAAACTGACTTTTCTCTTTTCTCCATTTTATGTGTATGTGACTTTAGCACTGATGCAGGTGACAGCCCTGTTGGCACTACCACTGCAACGAACCTGGAACAGCCTCAGGTTATCCCCTCTCAAGGTGATCTTCTAGGGGATCTTTTAAACCTTGACCTCGGTCCCCCAGTCAATGTGCCACAGGTGTCCTCCATGCAGATGGGAGCAGTGGATCTCCTAGGAGGAGGACTAGATAGTCTGGTAAGCATCTTTCTTCCCTTGTTCTTTTGGTTATTTTTAGTTCTTGATATGCTAGAGAGTTTTAAATTATTCAGCTTTTTAGAACTAGACCTTTCCTTGATGAGCAGTAGTGTCCTTTGATAAAGGACAGGATTCTTTGTCTTTAGTAAGACAAAATTATAATTAATACTGTTCATCATCGGTAATGGGGTATGTCTGCAAGTGTATGGGATTATTTCATTGTCCTGCCTCTAAATAGAACTTTTGACATTTAACCATCCTATTGTTCAGCAATTTTAATGTTTAGTATCTTTTCCAGAGTTTATTATTGTTCCTAGCTCTTAACTCTGGATAGCCCACATAAATTCTCCTTTTGACCTGAACGGCATTAAAGTGACCTCACACAAATCATCCTATTTTGAGGCTTTCAAACCTTTGCCTTTTTAATATTTTATTTACTTATGCCCTAATTCTGAAAGGTTTTGAGGCAGCCTTTTTTTTTCTTCTTCTTCTTTTTTTTTTTTTAAGTAAAATGTACCTTTATTACAGTTGGGAAGGGCTGCTTGATTGGTTCTTTTTTTCCCTTCTTCCCCACCTACTCCATTCTATCATACTTCCAATTTAATTAGCTTCCAGGATTCTAATACTAAAAGGCTCCAAAGTCCAGAATACCTGCGAACATTTGCCACCAATGGGAACCAAAATTATTTTTTGTTTCTGTACAAGATAAATGAATTTTAAGGGTGACCATCAATCTATGAAGAGAAGGCCAGAAAAATAACAAGTCTATTACAAGACTGCCTACATAGTAGGTACTTAACTGTGGTGGAATTAGAGAGGCTTTTCTAGCTAGACCCTTGCAAAAGAGATTTTTGTCAACCCAATGACTATAAAGATGCCCAACAACGATTTATTTACCAATATCATTGGAGGGCTGACATCTTAGATATGAAAATATGTGTTCCCAGAGATGACAGACACAAAACAACTGCACTCTCTGCTGCATATACTGGCATCTTCTCTTCTACTTTATGAGGAGTTTTATGTCTGGGATTTATACCAGCCAGTAGAGGTTCATTTACTTTTTGGCTAGCAGAGAGTCTAAGGAAATAGGGTTATAGTCATATCTCTGTGGGTTGTGCATTTTACTAATGGAAAATCACTGCTTCTAGAATTTATACATTGACCAAGCTGTGGACTCCAGCTTATATTGACACAAATGAGCACTTCTGTTGTCTTTCTTGGGAATATAAGCAAATACTTTTTATATTCATATCTTTAATGATTGAAACTGACTGAATAGCTTCCTCATATGATCATTCTACTTATATTGCTGTATAGCCTCCTTATAGACTCCGGAGAGTGACAAATATTTAAATGTTCATGGAGGCTCCTAAGAATCCCTTATAAAATTAAAATAGCTCTTCCTTTTCTGTTCACATTCAACCACAAATTAAATATTGCATCCTCCTCAAGTTTATTACATTCCCTGGTGGGGAAGCTTAGTAAAGGTGGACTCATTGAACCTAAAAATGAGAAACAAAGTTCAAGGGATAGAGGGGAGAAAGAGGCCCTGCCTTTTCATGTTGCCAGACCCAGGACCCTGCTTGACCCACTATAAACATAGAAAAAAAGAGACATGTTACTTTCATTTGACTTTGTATTAGCTCATGCCAACTCCAAAACCAATGGGTTTTGTCATCATATTTTACATAGCTGCCCAGTCATCTGCATTAGAATTCCTGCAAGTATTGTATCAAAGGGAAAAGCTGTTAGAACCTGCTTGGATTGTAGTAGCCAAAGTTGCACACAGGCCTATTTCCTTTTTTTTTATATAAGGGATATTCTTTTGGGGATGGGAAAGTTGTTGTTTTTCTAATTGGATTTCTAAATATGCAACCTTTGCTAGATAGGCCCAGTTATGTTTTTATGTAACTCTAAATTTTAACATTTCCTGACTTTGGGATCTAAAATGGTATCCTTGGTGTTACAGCCCCAGAAATTGTTTACAGTGCAGTTTTCTTCAGCTTATTCTGAGATTGAAAGATATCCCAGAAATCAAGATGAGAAGAAATTAAAGCCCTTATTTTTGCTTTGGATCCGTATGTGGTTAAATATATATTCACTCAGAGAATCAAGGTTCCTTTTTCGAGAACATCACAAGGAAGACCTAAATTTGCCTGTGTGGAAGAAGATGAGTTTCTAAGGCGGCAGTGGACTTTTAAAATGCTTTTATTGTTCTTATGCAAATTACCTAAAGAGAAGATTAATCCTCAAAGCCATTTTTTGAATGCATCCTTGCCTTACAGAGTGCTTCTCAAAATAAATTATATACCTTGAATCTCCTAAAGATTTTGTACAAGAGAGGGTTTGTTTTGTTTTGTTTAGTTTGTGGAAATGGGTTCTCACTATGTTGCGTAGGCTCATCTTGAACTCCTGGGCTCAAGCAATCCCCCTGCCTTGGCCTCTGGAAGTGCTGGGATTACAGGTGTGTGAGCCAGCACACTGAGCCTGCAAGAGATGATTTAGTTGGTCTGGAGTGAGACCTAGAGTCTGCGTTTCTAACAAGGTGACACTGAAGCTGCTGGTCCATGGGCCACATTTTGCATAGTAAGGACATAGAATATCTTGTGACCACTGTGAACTACTTCAGTTTAGTGTTTGAACTGTAGCTACCTAGATGCTCAGATACCTTTTTCTTTTTCTCTCTCTTTTTTTTTTTTTTTTTTGGAGGTGGAGTTTCACTCTTGTTGCCCAGGCTGGAGTGCAGTTGTGTGATCTTGGCTCACTGCAACCTCACCTCCCAGGTTCAAGCGATTCTCCTGCCTCAGTCTTCCGAGTAGCTGGGATTACAGGTGCCCGCCACCACGCCCGGCTAATTTTTTGTATTTTTAGTAGAGACGGAGCTTTACCATGTTGGCCAGGCTGGTCTCGAACTCCTGAACTCAGGTGATCCACGTCCCTCAGCCTCCCAGATTGCTGGGATTATAGGCGTGAGCCACCACGCCTGGCCCTTTTTCTCTTGACTTCAGTAGTAAACAGACTTCTGGAAAGAGGGCTCCTCCTCTCCCTTAAATTAATTCAGAGGGCAAGAAACTTATTAAATTATTTTGTTAAAGCTCTTTCTTTTGCCCTGTAGGGAGAATAGTGTAGCTAGGAGTGGTAGAATTCAACCCAAACCCCTGTTTAAAATATGGCCATAGTTAGAATTGTGTGGTGGTTTGGGAAGCAGCGTTTAGGTTAGCTCAGTGATCATTTCAGGAAGGCTATCAACCAGGCCACTAGACTGTTGGTTCTATTTTTATCATGGGTTTCTAACAGAACCTCACCCATAGAGGCCAGTGGTGTACTGCTAACAAAGTATTGCCTGGTTCCTGATGACCATATGGTTCTCAACTCTATCTGCAGAATTGGTCCCACATAATTACCAGTTTAAAAAAAAATACTCTCTAGCCATTGAAACTATAAAGAAAAAAAATACTATCAATACTTGAGTCCAGGAGTAATTAAATACCACCTCTGGGAGGCAGGACCTAGACATTGCTATTTTTAAAAAGTTACCTGGGTTATTTTAATCTTGCAGCCAGTGTTGAGAACATTAAACCAAATGAAATTCCAAATGGAGTTAGGTAGAGATGTTAAAAACTGATCTCTAAGCCAAGACAGTGACCGCCACAGAAGAATCATATTCTCGAGATCCTCTTTGGCACCTCCTACAAAAACAGATATCTCTGACTTTACTTTTGTTCTTTTCCCCCTGAATATTTTTCTGTTATGATATTCTGTGAGGTTATCCATCGTGTCAGAAGTTGACTGGAAGTTGAATTTGACCAATTTAGATATGGTCGCTCAGTCCCAGGGTCCTTTTTATCCTTGCTTACTTGCCATAATTGGAGACCGAAAATTGAGGGCATTTTATATTTTGGATTGTCTAACCATTTTCTATTCTTCTATCTTAAAACTTGATATTCATGAGAAGATATTTTTATTCTTCCTTTTTCATAGCCTGGTGATCTTCCCTTAGATCTTGTTCTGTTTCATCTTCTTTTACTGTCACACTCATAAAATTCGGCCAGCGTTAAGATGTAGTGAGTTGTGACCTTTTCTTATTAGGTTGGAGCAAAAGTAATTGCGATTTTTGCCATTAACAGTATTTACTTTTGCTCCAACCTAGTAGAACTGTCACAGTCAGGAAATACTTATCAATTTATTATTTATTTGTTGATATTTCTAGTCAGGAATGTTTTGCCACAACATTCCTGAAAGCTGTGGCCTTCCTCCATCAATAGTAGTGACTCTCAACATTGGTGATTCTTTAAAGAGGAGTAGGGTGGGCCATTGCTGTGATATAAAGAAAGTAAACATACTGTAGCTCCCCAGGTGATTGATTCTTGTATGCTTTTTTAAAGAAAGCAGACATCTTTGAATGGAATGCCTCTTCATCTCAAGACTTGGATAAAAATGGATTTCTACCTATTCTTTTTAGTCTCCTTACTGAAACATCCTTATTTTTTTATCGCATTTCAGCATATTCTCTTTTGCTTGTACTCTACAGGTAGTTTATTCCATCTGTCAGTACAAACTGAACTATCGCTTTGATGTGGAGTAAATTCAAGTAATGTAGTTTATGCAGTTGATCTGCTCTACATGTAGAGCATGACAGTTTACTAGTTAGGTATAGGCTTGCTTGCAAAGTAGTTATTTGGGCTTTTTTTGTTTCCTTTGGAAGCCATGTATGTGGAGTTTTTTGGGTTTGGGTTTGTTTTTTTTTTTTTTTTTTTATGACTCTGGTACTTAATCTAAGAAACTGCTCGTTCTGAGTAGTGTGATTTTTCTCACCGTGCAGATCCTTCTGGTTTGGTGTAGTGTGGGAGGTGACCTGATGCCCATGTGTATAACTCTTGCATATGTGTTATGTGCTCATGAGTCTGACATCTGCGAGGATCACTGAAGTAATAATTGAATCTCAGTTATTTTCTTGCCTTTACTTCCAATCTGTCAGCAGAGGCCTTGGCTAAATTACAGCCTTTTGTTCATCCAAGGTGCTGTGCATTATTCTTTTACATAAACAGTGCTATTGTGTATATCAAAAATGGAAAGGAAGAATTATCCAAAGTGCCCTTTCTCTGTGCTGATGAAGGATTTCATCCTGGAGAAATATGCTGTGTGCCCAGCTTGAGTGGTATGGAATTGAAGAGAAACTGCCTTTTCCTGACCCTCAGTCCATGTTTTTCCCACTGTTTCTTTCAGGTTTTTACCTTTCAGATTATTAAGTCATAAGCTATTTATTAATAGTTTTGAGATTTTTTAGCCCACAGGAAATCCATCATCTATACTAGTTTTGCATCTTTATTTTTCTTCCTTTGGAGGAGCTTTGCAATGACTTAAAAGTTTAGTTTTTAGAGTTTGTGTTATGTGGAAAGATCTTTGTAAGTTGTTGCCTGTTAAATTTCTCAGTGAGGCTTCCATAACCACCATCTTTGTATCAGTGCATACGTTTAGTCAAGGCTGGCCTCAGACAGTTTTGAGAATAATTACTAATTTCTGAGTTCTAGTCCCTGTGCTAGAATTTTTATAATTTCTAATCCTCAGAACAACTCAAGAAGATAATTGGTATTGGACCCCATTTTACAGAAAACTGAAGGTCATACAGTAAGTTGCAGAGTTGGGATTTGAACCCAGGGCTTCTTTAAAACTTCAAAGTTTGTACACTTTATACTGTCCTATGATTTTCCAGTTTGTTTGTTATTGTCATCTTGCAGAATAGAATACAGTTTCACCTAACTGGTCCTTCTCAAACTGGGAAATGCAGTCTCTGGAGTACACAGCAGAGTGCAGGGTGCATTTGAAGCTGCAGAATAAATATGGCTCATTGTCTTGCAGTGTCAGTCTTACTTGATGGTAAATAATGTAAACAGAATATACACTGGTGTGTTACCACTTAGAATGTAAAATTGCATGACTTTAAGATAAAAAATACAGCTTGCTTGCCCTGGGCCTCTTGATGGTGTACATCCCAGGTCCCTGAGTATATGAGTTTGGGTTAATGTGTCACATGAAAGTTGGAGAAGGACTACAGAAGTGTGTTCATTCATGAAGAAAAGAGACTGAATAATGAGTAAGTTCATGCACCTTTCTTGCAGCAAGAGGAACAGATTGTTCATCTTATCCTTATTTATTTATTTAAAGACAGGGTCACTGCAACCTTGAGCTCCTGGGCTCAAGTAGTCCTCCCACCTCAGCCTCCCAAAGTGTTAGGATTTACAGGCATGAGCCACTATGCCTGGTCATTTTATTTTCATTTAAGTAAAACCACAAAAATCTCCGTTTCCCATCTCTTCACCAGTGAGCTGTAATAAAGCAGTAGTACTTTGAGGGCAGTTAAATGATGTGCAGGCATTCTTCTTCTGAAAATTTCCTATCAAAACCACTCAAACAATACATTTCCTCCCTAGAATGAGTTTTGACCCGGCTGGGAGATGTTTGTTTATTTATTTTTTTGAGACAAGGTCTCGCTTTGTCACCCAAGCTACAGTACAGTGGTGTGATCATAGCTCACTGCAGCCTCAAACTCCTGAGCTCAAGTGATCCTCTAACCTCAGCCTCCCAAGTAGCTGGGACTACAGGCACATGCTGCACACATGGCTAATGGGTGTTCATTTTTTTTCCTCAGTTGGTTCTATTCATATGTTTGTCAATGTTGATGCAGATATTGTGCTCTAAGTAAACAATTTTGTCAGGCTTTTGTCCTTTTGGTGATAATTTTCCCTAATAAAATGATTCACTTCAAGATTGTCTCCCAGGAAATACTGCCAGTAGCCATATATATATTACTGCCAGTAGCCATAAATTTATATTTACGAAACATTCATTCATTCAATAAGTAAATATTTGAGTGCCTAGTATTCAGGCTCTATTCTGTGTACTAGGCATATAGAATGGTCCTTGCAACCTTACGAAACAGTCCTTGGAAGCTTACATTCGCGTAGGGGAGACAAATGATAAAGTAGCAAATGCTGTGAAACAAAGTGAGACAGAATAAAGAGGTTCTCTTGTTGATTTTTACTATATTCATCATTGAGTTCTGTCTGACCTAAGAGACCTGTGGTGACCATTCTAAGGACTTTTTGTCTTACATCAGGAAGTAATCCGTTCCATCCCCCTACTTTTCCACTGATAGAAGCCTTTTCCCCCCTCAGGTTATGGAGTCTTCTGATGATTTTTATATGATCTCAATGCGTTTATGCTATTCCTTATCAAGTCTGCTCTTAGCCATCAGTTTATTAGCTTTTGCATGGTTACAGAGTCTTTCCACCAATTTGATTAATTATATTTTATGATGCTTTTTGGAATAGCTTTTTTTTTTTTTTTTTTGAGACAGGATCTCACTCTGTCACCCAGGCTAGAAAGCAGTGGCACTATCACGACATACTGCAGCCTTGACCTCCCTGGGCCCAGGTGATCCTCCCACCGCAGCCTCCGAACTAGCTGGGTCTACAGGCGCCCACCACTACACCCAGCTAAATTTTGTATTTTTTGTAGTCATGGTTTTGCCATGTTATTCAGGCTGGTCTTGAGCTCCGGGGCCCAGGCAATCCACCTGCCTCAGCTTCCGTAAGGGCTGGGATTATAAGTGTGAGCCACTATGCCCAGCCTTGAATAGCTTTTTGAAGATCATATTAAAATTTGCAGCCTAGTAGCTAAAAACCATACTTTAACCTACAAGATACTGTGTGCCATCTAAAATTTAAACTCTGTTAGAAAGACACACACTGATGGTTTTGATACCAATAGGATTTTGACGATAGTTAAGTTTTATTGTTTGTGAAGGGAATCATTGTATACTATTTTTGCACCATTCTGTTGACTCCTGAATAATAGAGCTATTGGTAAGCTATATGGCTTGGAGCATTCCTTAGATTCCCTTCAATTCAGTAAGTTCTAGAAAACAGTAAATAAAAGAGACACTAGCTCTAAACAGGAGCATAGAAATGTCTGAGCTTAAGATATACACCTGCAGTTAAGAGAATGTCTTCAGATACCTAGACAGCTCCACAGTTTTAGAAGCAAACAGATGTACTTTGGACTGGCCAGACATAGGTCAAAGGGGCTAACCCAGATCAGTCATTATGATAATTTGTGGGATTTTTTTTCCAGTCCGCTCAGTGGTTATCTCAGATGATATTCCTTTATAAAATTTAAAAATTCCTTTTCAAATTTTCTTTTCTTGGAGTCAGGCGGATTTATTCCCCTATATAACTTCAATCTTGAGTTCCTTCTCTGTATTTCTGCTGTTGTAGCACATTGCCATTGGACAGGGGCATTTCCTTTTGTTATCTATAGCTGAACTGAGCCTGTATGCGGGCTCAGCTCTGAGACTTTTGGCTCTACCTGGCTCTACAGAGCTCATGTAACCATGCCGAAATCCCTTTAGCCCATAAGTTACAATAAGTCACCATAAAACCCCTGTTTTCTGTCCAGTTACTGAACATTATTGTGCAATGACACATTATTGTGTAGTTTAACATGAACCAAGTTCCACTCAGCATTACTTCAGATGTGGTAAAGTGACCACTCTTTGGCAGTAGACAAATGTTAGTATTATTCTCAGTGCCATTTAATGACTACAGCAATTATGGGGGACTACACCACTAGCAGAAAATTTGGATTTAGGTATCAGTTACAGATTTTTAATACAGACTGTTCAATTCTCAGTATTTGAAATATTCTTTTCCTGAAGTTGCCGTCTTTCCCCCTTCTTTCTGTATCTGATTTAGTTGACCTATAATTGACATCATTTTCTTCATGGAGAAAATGGCAGCCTCAGTAAGGCAATCCTGGGAACAATAGTGAGTGGACACCTCCAAGAGACACTTAAAACACAGTATCTAGACATTTAAGATCAGGATCAAAGCCATACCCTGCACTCCTATTCCTTTTCCCTCCTGTCTCCTACCAGCTCACTGGATAACAGATATCACTCTGAGTTTTACAAGTTCTAGTTTGATTGATTTTGTACCCTACCTGATAAGTATGGGCTTAGAGTATGTCCAGACAGATGAACCTGAATCCCAATAATCTCAGGCTGGGTGCAATGATTCATACCTGTAATCCCAGCACTTCATGAGGCTGAGGTGGGAGAATCGCTTGAGCCCAGGAAGTTAGAGCCCAGCCTGAACAATGAAGTAAATTTTTTTCTTTAAACAAATAGTGTCCAACTGAACTGAAATAGCTACTGTCTAGTTCAGGCTGATATACAACAACTTTCTTGTGTAGTTGTTCACTTTCTAGCTTTCTTTTTTCTTGATGAGTATCTCCTTCCTCCTGTTTATCACTTGTAGATAGGAGAGGCCACTCACTGGGTAATTCGCTTCCATTCCTGCTGACATCTCCCTATTAGTCACTCACACCCATCATCATGCTGTCACCTTGCCATGGTTTCAGAGAGTAGGATAATCTCCATTAGAATATTTTTCAGTTAAGAGGGAAGTTGCTGAATAGTCCGCATAAGCTGTAGTCTTGCTAGTTAGAAAACATGTATAGTATTGAAATTGTCCTTTCCCTTTGCTCTCTGAACATAGTACAATTAGGTGAACCTTTGTATCCCTGGCTGTGTCTCTGATATCTTTTGGACCCTGTCTTTGTGTCAGATCAGAGTTCATGTTTCTAGCTGAGTTGTATCTGATATACTGAACATAAACAGAGGAATGTCAAGATTGCTTTTCAGTTCTTCATGATTTTGAATAAAATTGACAAGCACTGGGGGACAGTACTTTCAGATCCTTTCCAGCTAAGATAATATTCATATATCATTCAACGATAAAAAGAATGAAATCTAAGAAAATAAGGGCTATGAATGTGCTTTCTTTCCTTTGGTCTAAACACTACCCATGAATCTCTTTTCTCAATGCCTTTTATTGAATTTAGCAAAACTGCTGTTTCCTTTCCAATGTGTTTTTCTTTCTTGCTGTTCTGTGCCAAGCAGGTTCATAAAGAATTCTATCTCTTTGAATCTTGGATTATAAGCCTAGCCAGAAGAGGGGAGAATAAGTTGCGGTGAGAGGGGGTAAGCCCATCAGAAAGTCGAAAACCACCTCAGAGTATCAGGACAAATGAAACATTTTTCGTAGGATCCTTTCCATGGGTTTTCCTCGCTGCTCAAATTTTTTTTTTTTTTTTTTTTTTGAGACGGAGTCTTGGTCTGTTGCCCAGGCTGTAGTGCAATGGCATGATCTCGGCTCACTGCAACCTCTGCCTCCCAGGTTTAAGCAATTCTCCTGTATCAGCCTTCTGAGTAGCTGGGACTACAGGTTCCCGTCACCAGGCCCAGCTAATTTTTGTATTTTTAGTAGAGACGGGTTTCACCATATTGGTCAGGCTGGTCTTGAACTCCTGACCTCAGGTGATCAACCGGCCTCGGCTTCCCAAAGTGCTGGGATTACAGGTGTGAGCCACCACGCCCGGCCTCTCTGCTCAAATCCTGACTTCCTTTTTATTCACAAGTTCCAAAGTCATTTCTGAGCAGATGAAGTCTTGTCTGACTCTAAATAACTGATTCTCTAACGGCAGTGTTTTCAACCTTGGCTGTACATTAGAATCAACTGGGGAAGCTTTTCAAAATTCTGATGCCCAGGCTACACCCCAGAACAATTAAATTACCATCTCTGGGGGCGAGTACTTTTTAAAGCGCTACTCTCTGCAACCCCCACACACAGATGGTTGATTCCATTGTGTATCCAAGGTTGAAACCATACTACTGAAACATAATTGACATAGTTATTAGTATTCTTAGAAAGCTTAGTCTAAGAAACCTCCAGGTTTTTATGAAGGGGAAATTAAAAAATTAAAAGACAGCCTTTGCAAACTTATTTTGTATGAGTATTTTTTTAAAACACATATCAACCCTGTGTTCCAGTCTAACTGGCCTTTTCATTCTTCCATGCTTTCTTCACCTTTGTTCATGCTATTTGAGAAATGGCCTTCCCCCATTTTTGCTTTTTATAATTCCACCCTACCACCTTTTTGAAGTTTCTCTTCATTCTTTCAGCCAGAGGGAGGTTCTTCCCTTCAGAACTTCGCTTTTTTGCTTTAGTATATTCTGTATGGTTTTGCATTTGTGTTTTATTTCTCCAGCTAGTTTGCAAAGCTTCATTCTTATCTATGTAGTCCCCTCATTGCCAGGCATCTTTATATCCCTTGTAATGCCTTGCATCCAGTAAATGTTATGTAAATGTTTGTTTGAATAAAAGGAATTTCAGACGTCATGCTGCAGATGTGTGCTATGATAGAACTAGGGAGAAAGCAGATGTGTAGTATCTTTTCTATTCCCTTCACACTTTTCTAGTTACTCAAATTCTTGGTTTGGGGATGCCTTTTTTTTTTTTTTTTCCGAGATGGAGTCTTGCTCTTGTTGCCGAGGATGAAGTGCAATGGCATGATCTCAGCTCACCGCAACCTCCGTCTCTTGGGTTCAAGGGATGCTCCTGCCTCAGTCTCCCGAGTAGCTGGGATTACAGGCGCCTGCCACCACAGCCTGCTAATTTTTGTATTTTTAGTAGAGACAGGATTTCACCATGTTGGCCAGGGTGGTCTCAAACTCCTGACCTCATGATCCGCTCACCTTGGCCTCCCAAAGTGCTGGGATTACAGGCATGAGCCACCACGCCCAGCCAAGGATGATCTTTTTATTTATTTAAGTATGTGATTTTCATCCCCTGTGCAACCATTAAGTAGTCTTCAGGAATCAGATTCTGGAAATGTTAGCTCTGGTTTGGAATGCTTATAGTTTACAACAGAGCATGCTTGCTAATGCCAGTTATGAAGCACCTACCAGGGTTATTTTCTTTCATGGTTTAAACAGAACTTTGTTGTAGTCGTCACTATTTTTCAATATTTAAGATTAATTTTTAGATTTTTGAGAATGCCATTTTATGTACTACTCTCTGTTCATTGAGAAGATAAATCCTCTTTCCCCAATCTTAAAGATGCAAAATAATTTTTACAGCTCAACGACCTGCAACTTTCTACCACTAAATGACTATAAAGGAGAATGTGCTTAGAACAGACAAGGCATTTGATGATTCAAGGAAGTGTTTTAGATGCACAGTAAGAACTAGGGAAGAAACAACTGTGGAACTGTAGCAAAAAGTAGATTTTGCTTTTTAAACAGCTCCATTAGTTGTGTTTATGTGTGTTTTACATTGCCTATATGCCACCTATTTTCAGCTTGAGTTCTTTAATGTTTTTGTCAAGGAAGACCGACTTCAGAGTGAATTATATCTATCAGAATCCTGAGAAAAAAAGCAAGACTAAGACCATGTGGAGTTATTTTCTTGTCAGCTAGGTAATTCAGTTAGTCTGATTCTCTAATGCGTAACATCCTTTTTAAATGATCTCCAAATAAATCCACATTTCTCCTTAGTAGAATTGACTGTGAAAGAGATTTGAAGCACTGCATGCTTCCCCACTTCCTCCTTAGATAGTTCAGATATTTTCTTTTTTAGGAACATTCCAAACTCTAAAAATCACTTTTGTTCCACCTATAATTTTTGCAGCTTGAAGTTGCAGCTCAATACTAGTTTGGCTCTTACTTTTTCAGTGGGGCAGCAGGTTTTGTAAATTAAAACACATTAATTGTTTTGTTTTTTGGCTTTTCCTTTTCCAACACCTCCCCACCCTTTCCGTCCGCCCCCCACTATAAGTTTCCTTTTAAAGAAAAAATAAAGCATATTCGAAATATTGCCGCTTGGGGATAGAGCGTCTTAGAATATGCAAACTCTTTAAATCTTGTTTGGGTTTGTGCCTGTGTACCCCAGTGCAAAGATTGGATCTGAAACATCCCTGAGATGTCCCAGCTCCGTCTTCTTTACAAGTTTTCTCCAAACTGATACACCATCACTACCACCACTTAGTTCCCCTAGTACATATTTCTTTGTAATCTAGAATTTTTTTAGGCTTTGGGAGACAAGTTGAATGGCATGTATTTCCAGCAACTTGGTAGAGCAATTTACAGATTCTATATGGGCATCTAGTATTTAGCTAAATGAACTCTACCTCTCTCTCCTCTCTCTCCTTTCTCTCTTTCAGCTTGGCAGTGACCTTGGCGGGGGCATTGGAGGAAGTCCGGCAGTAAGTGCCATCTGTTTTTTTCACCATGAGAAGCACTGCCCCCTGTTTGATGCCTTTCCTATGTACACATTATCAGACCAGCCACTGCTGCTGTCTAGCACTGCACACCAAAACCTCTATAACAGTATATGGGTAGTAGAAAGTAGTATAGGGTTACTTGGAATTGTTGGGGTCATGCACCACATGGTGTAGAGACATCTTTAAGGTTTAATGTTCCAGTGCCTATAGAGATCTTTGTCTTTCTGATATTAAAGAGCTAAAGGAAATGGACCCTTCCATCTTGACTGGAGAATGCTTATTCCCTGGTGTCACCTAGAAAGAACTTGAGAGGGTCAGCTGGACTCAGAGTGAGACTCTCCTCGTAAATGAGTTAGTTTCAGGGGTGTGAATGTCCATCTCCCTGAGGAGAGCTTCCTACTAGGTATTTATGCCTAAATGGGAAAGGAAATAAGACTTTGCTGAACCCAGGTGGAAATGGAACTGCTGTTTAAGTTGGATACTTCTCCCTCTTTCTATAAAAACAAACTCCTTTCTTAGGGTACCCGTAGGCCTTTTGCACAGAATCATGGAAGCTAAAATTGGAAACAAATACAAAATCTTGGATCACTGTGTTCCTGTATCCTACTGAGTACTCTCTTGATAAAGCTTCTAAAGAATGTGTGTTCTTATCAATGACGAAAAAATAACTGTCATGATTAAAAAGATGAAGAATATACTAATTTGACTCCTAAGAATATTGTAATTATGGTGTTTTCTTATTGATTTATCAAAACTACTAAGATATATAGCAATATTTTAAGGACTGTTAATCTGTTCTTCCCAATCTCCCCTCTCCCTTTTTTTTTTCTCCTGCAGGTGGGACAATCCTTCATCCCATCATCGGTGCCTGCAACCTTTGCTCCTTCACCTACACCTGCTGTGGTCAGCAGTGGACTGAATGACCTGTTTGAACTCTCCACAGGGATAGGCATGGCACCTGGTGGATATGTGGCTCCTAAGGCTGTAAGTAAAGAGTTAACATAGCAATACTTTCTTAATGGACAGGACCCAAACTGTTTCACTTTCAACATTTGTGTTACTTCTACTGGTAATAAATCAAAGGTTTGGGCCCTTGTTCTGGAGGACTTAGAGGAAGATGAAAGGTGGCTTCAAACTTAGCAGTAGGAAGCACCATTAGCATCCTTGTTAAACATTTTTATAATTAGACTTAAAATTTGACATATTAATTATTTGAGTTTTGTTCTCATGTTTAGAAATATTGTCTAGTTTGTCAACATTGAAGTCAATCTAGTGAAAATCTAGTGGTATGTAGTGCAGCAGCAGGAGAAAAAAATGCAGAGAAGTCATTTCTCTTATTCCTCTTTCCCCATTGGTATTACGTATGGATTCTAGAATGCCACTGCTCAGATGTGGTTTTCATGGATTTTAGTGTACCTTTTTAGAGTTCCAATTTAGGTTTGTGTCACTGGGGCTCTTCTTGTCTTGTCTTAACCTTACTTGATGTCACTCACATTGAAGTTCAAGAGGGGAAACTCCCGGTTAATGAAGCTCATTTAAGCCCTTGGGAAAAGCACCATCCAGGCTAGGCCAGGCTTCATACAGTCTTACCTTTCTGAGGACCAATTTGGCTGAATTCTCTGCTTTCTAATCTGACTCCTTATGGGGGATCCCTGCTATAGAGATGTAGACCAGTTGTCCATTCCAGGAGTTGTAACTGTGATAACTGAGTGTGTATAGTTATTACAGTACATAGCAAAACCGAAGATATTCAAAATTGAGCCATAGTGTTTTGGCACAACTCGGTAGCTTTGTTGTAAGGTTTACTATATGGGATATTATCTTCAGACTTTTAATTATTAGTTATCTAATGCACTCATTTACTAACATAAAAGTATTGTATACAAATGACCAACGTAAATAATGTAAAAATGTAAGAAGGAAAATTGTCTCCCCCTGCCCCCATTTCCCATGTATAGCCACTGTTAACTTTCTTGTGTGTCCTTTCAAAAGAAAAAGATCATGCCCATAGCTGTATATTTGTATCCTTTGAACATTCCGTGTCAGTGGGATATACTATTTTGCACCTTGGTTTTTCTCTACCATATTCTTTTGAATCCGTATATCTACTGAATTGATACACCATAATTTATTTAATCACTCCTCTGTTGATGAACATTTAGGTTATTCCCTGGTCCTCCCCACCACCTGCCACTCTTTTAGTATGGCTGAGTACATTATCATGATTATTCACCACCCACAGATCCTTTGGTATTCTGTCTTAGGTGGTCAGAACAGCTCATGACTCCTGATTTTTTTATTTTATTTTTTTTTAGACGGAGTCTCACTCTGTCGCCCAGGCTGGAGTGCAGTGGCGTGATCTTGGCTCACTGCAAGCTCTGCCTCAGCCTCCCCAGTAGCTGGGACTACAGGCGCCCGCCACCACTCCTAGCTAATTTCTTTTTGTATTTTTAGTAGAGGCGGGGTTTCACTATGTTAGCCAGGATGGTCTCCATCTCCTGATCTCGTGATCTGCCCTCCTCAGCCTCCCAAAGTGCTGGGATTGCAGGCGTGAGCCACCACGCCTGGCCTTAAATTTTTTTATCTTTATTTTTTTAATAGTATAGGCCAGGTATACCACAGGTTCCAGGACCAAGGGGCGTGTTATGAATTATTTAGGTAGATAAAAAGAATAGGCATTCAGATTATATGAGCAATATCTGAGTATTTACTATTTACCACAAACTATAGCAAGAGTTAAAAACGTATATAAGACATAGTCGATGCCTTTAAGGGAATTACCAATAATGGCTTTGGTTGGAAATGATGAAAAAAAATCTTCAAAGATTACAGCCATGCTGTTTTCATTAGTAGATGCAGTTTCTTCCCTTTAAACCATTTTACCAAAACTAACAGAAAAACACATTATGCTCATTGGAATTTTTCTTTTCCTCTTGGTAGCAGTACTTAAAAGTAGTAAAATAACCAAGCTGAACAGAAGGTAGAGCAGAAGCCAGGGTCGTTTAAAGACTGGTTTTTTAAAATTATTATTATTTGGTTCTTAAATAATTGAGAACGATCTCAAAATTCAGAAAATAAGACTCTATCCGGAGTCTTTTGCACTGGCTTGATATTTATAGTATAAAAATTACTATAATTGCCTAAGGAAGTGAATTTGTTCACTTAATTGTTAATCTTAATTTGTTTTTTATTTGTTAAAAAATGCATAGCATCAAGATAAATCTTGTCTGATTCTATTGAGCTTTATACTGTGTTTCAGGTCTGGCTACCTGCAGTAAAGGCTAAAGGCTTGGAGATTTCCGGAACATTTACTCACCGCCAAGGGCACATCTATATGGAAATGAACTTCACCAATAAAGCTCTGCAGCACATGACAGATTTTGCAATCCAGTTTAACAAAAATAGGTAAGCAATCTGGGTCCCTAGCTTGATGTTGAGACAACAGTTTGCCTTAGAACCAACAAGAGAACATTCCATTTAGCACTGGTTAAAAACTCACATATTGGGCCAGGTACAGTGGCTCATGCCTATAATCCCAGCATTTGGGAGGCCGAGACGGGCTGATTACCTGAGGTCAGGGGTTCAAAAGACCAGTCTGGCCAACATGGTGAAACCCCGTCTCTACTGAAAATACAAAAATGAGCTGAGCATGGTGGCAGGTACCTGTAATCCCAGCTACTCAGGAGGCTGAAGCAGGCAAATCCCTTGAACCTGGGAGGCCAAGGTTGCAGTGAGCCGAGATTACGCCAATGCACTCCAGTCTGGGCGACAGAGTGAAACTCCATCTCAAAAAGAAAACCAAACCTCACACATTGGCAGATGCTGTATGTAGAGTGAGCCCTGGCTCTTGCAAGCCTTTTCAGTTATCAGCTTCAACTCTGGAGGCACTAGGGAGTTTGTTGGGAAACTCATCCAAATGCGATGAAGAAACCAGAACTTATTTACTATCTTGGATTCTAGGATTAGAACGTTTTTGATAAATTTTTAACTGAAATCCATTTATTCATTCAACAAATCATTGTTTAACATTAGCATGAGCCAGACATTTCTAGGTACTGGGGCTAGAGTAGTGAACCAAACAAAGCTCCTGACTGAAAGTTCACATTTTGGTGGGGGAAATTAGCATATTTGGTTGGTATAAGAAATATGGAAGTATATATGCTGAACAAATAATCACATAAACCTTGACAACCTCCTTTTAGCAATGAATTCTCTGCCTTAATAAGGAAGAGAGCATGAAGAAGTAAAATGTTAATGTCTTATTCTTTTTGAAACATCAGTGGGTTTTATTCAGTTTTATGGTTCAGGAAAATGGCTGTTAGACCTTAATGGCATGTCCATTCATTTGTAAATACAGGATATTTAGCCCTGCATATAAAAAGTAGTAATTGGACCCTTAAAGCAGATTTCATAAAATTTGTCAATGACAATTTGCATAAGTGACTGTCTGATTTATTTCTCATCATTTGGAAACACTTTTGTACTCTGGATTTGAGAGCTTGGCATGTTAAAAATCATTTAACTATCTAGAAAGTCTGTGTTTCTTTCTGTCAAGACTACCAATGTTTCCAGCCATTTTTGAGGAGCTGGCCCTGTTAAAGGCCAGGGCTGTTGGGAAAATAAATAAATAGGCCAAGGCTATTGGTGGAATTCTGTTGTAATAAAGGAAATCTGCAGATGCAGAGTCTGCATTCATCTCTAGCCTTTTTTTTTTTCCTTTTTTTTTTTTTGTGGGGGGATGGAGTCTTGCTCTGTTGCCCAGGCTGGAGTGCAGTAGCACAATCTCGGCGGCTCACTGCAACCTCTTTTGTTCTGTTCCATTGTTTTGTTTTTGTTTTTCTTCTTTGGGGTTTTCAATTATTCATTTATTGACTCTTTGTTTATCTTTTATATACTGTTTTTCTCTCTAATCGTTAAAAAAAATCATCAAATTCTTTTATATCAGCAAATAACCAATTAGTGTCAGATTTTCACAGTTGTCTAATGTTTTTGTACTGTTTACTTTGTCTGAACAGGGTCCCAATAAGGTCCCATACATTGCAATTGGATGATAAGTGCCTTAAGTCCCTTTAAATCTATAGGTTCCTCCTCCTCCTCTGTTTTGTTCCTTAAAATTTATCTCCTCCTCCTTCTCTGTTTTGTTCCTTAAAATTTATCTGTAGAAGAAATTAAGTCTTTTAGTGTGGAGTTTCCCACAGTCTCAATCTTGCTGATTCTACCTGTAAATTGGAGGCAGATTATAGATTTAATCAGATTTAGGCTCATATTCTGGCAGAAAGCCTTCATAATTGGTGGTGATTGCAAATCCTGTTTCTCTTTTAGTTATTTATTTTTCTTTTTCTCATTTTATTCTCTATGTTTCTTACCATGTTTACTATGATGTCTGTTTCCTTGTTCTTTGTAAGTCAGTCTTTTTGTCACTATAATTGTACCTTTTCTATAATTTTTTATAAATGAAATTACATAATATGGAATCTTGTATCTGGTTTCTTTCTATTAGCATAATGCTTTTGAAATGTGTATATCAGCAGTTGATTTCCCTTTTGTTGTTAAGTAATACTCCATTGATGAATATACAGTTTGTTGACGTGCTCACAAGTTGGGGGAGTTTGGTTGTTTTCAGTTTCATCTTTATGATAAAGTTGCCATGAACATTTGTGTATACATCTTTGGTTGGACATATGTTTTTGATTTTCCTTGGTAAATAACTAGGAATGTTATTGCTAGGTTATATGGTAAGCTTGAGAATTCCAGATATTCCACATCCTCACCAATTTTAGCCATTCTTGTCGCTGTGTAGTAGTGTCTCATTTTAATTTGCATTTCCCTAATGACTACTAATTTTAAGCATTTTTTAAAATAAGCATATTGGTCATATATATCTTTCACTTAAGTATCAGCTCAAATCTTTGCCTTTTGTTGTTTTTGGGGGGAGAGAGAGGATCGTCTTATTATGGAGTTGTTAAAGTTCTTTGTATATTCTGGATACAAATCCTTTATTGCAAATATTTTTTCCCAGTCCATGGCTTGCCTTTTCTTAATAATGTTTTCAAAAAAAACCAAAAGGGTGTTTTTGTTTGTTTTTTTGTTTGAAACAAAGGCTTGCTCTGTCACCCAGGCTGGAGTGCAGTGGCACAATCAAGGCCTACTATTGCCTCAAATTCCTGGGCTTAAGTGATTCTCCCACCTCAGCCTCCTGAGTAGCTGGGACTACACCTGTGTACCACCACACCCAGCTAATTTTTTTATTTGTTGTAGAGATGGGGTCCCACTCTGTTGCTCCAGTTGGTCTCAATGTCCTGGGCTCAAGTAGTCATCCTGCCTTGGCCTACCAAGGTATGGGAAATACAGGCATGAGCCACTGCACCCAGTCGAAAGTTTTCAATAAAGTCAGGTTCATCAGTTTTTTTTCTTCTTATGACTTAGGCTTTTTGTGTTCTAAGAAATCTTTGCTTAACCCCATGGTTACAAAGATTTTTTTGGCATGTTTTTAAATATAAGCCTTATAGTTTTTGTTCCTACATTTAGTTTTATAATTCATTTTGAGATCGTTTTTAAATATGTTGTAAATTAAGAGTCAATGTAAAAACTTTTTCCGTAATAGGTCTTGAAATCAGATGGCCTAAGTCCTGCAACTTTTTTTCTTTTCAAAGCTTGTTTTGGCTATTCTTGGTCTTTTACATTTCCCTGTAAATTTTAGAATCAGCTTGTCAGTTTCTACAAAAAAAATGCTGAGATTTTTATTGGAATTGCAGTGAATAAGTAGATCAATTTGAGGGAGAATTGACATCTAAACAATATTGAGTCTTCTAATCCATTAGCATAGTATATCTCTCTGTTTAGGTCTTTAATTTCTTTTTGCAATGTTTTATAATTTTTTTATGCACAAATCTTACCTTTTGTCAGATTTAAGTATTTCAAATTTTTGATGTTATAGTAAATAGTTTTTTTTTTTTTTTTGAGACAGAGTTTTTCGCTTGTCACCCAGGCTGGAATGCAATGGTGTCATCTCTGCCCACTGTAACCTCCGTCTCCTGGGTTCAAGCAGTTCTCCATCCTCAGCCTCCTGAGTAGCTGGGATTAGAGGCACCCGCCACCATGCCCAGCTAATTTTTGTGTATTTAGTAGAGGCAGGGTTTCACCATGTTGGCCAGGCTAATCTTGAACTCCTGACCTCAGGTGATCTGCCTGCCCTTGGCCTCCCAAAGTGCTGGGATTACAGGTGTGAGTCACTGGGCCCAGCAGTAAATAGTATTTTTAATTTTAATTTTTTATTATTGCTAGTATATAGAAATATAATTGATTTTTATATATTGAACTTGTTTCCTTCAACTTTGTTAAACTTACTTTTTCTTTCTAGTGGCCTTTTTGTAAATTCCTTCTAGTTTCCTACATAAATAAATCATGTCATTTATGAACAGAGACAGTTTTATCTTTTCCTATTCAATCTTATGCCTTTTATTTTTTCTTCTTGTCTGATTGTACTAACAGGACCTCCAGTAAATGTTGGATAGGAGTGGTAAGAAAAGTGTTCTAATTCATGGGAGAAGCATTCAGTCTTTCATCATTAAGTGTGACGTTAGCCATAGGTTTTTCGTGGAGCTTGAGGAAGTTTCATTCTGTTCCTGGTTTTCTGAGTTTTATTATGAATGGGTATTAAATTTTGCCAGATGCCTCTTCTGCATTTACTAAAATGATTATGTGAACTTTTTTAGTCCATTAATATGATGGATTACATCAGTTGACTTTTCAAATGTTAAACCAACCTTACATTCCTGGGATAAATCCTACTTGTTTAGGATGTGTTGTCTTTTTTTGTGTATTGATGGAGTTCATTGGCAGAAACTTTTTTACATCTATGTTCATGATATATTTACTCTTCATTTCTGATATGATTTACTTTTTTTTATTATTTCTTTCCTGAGTTAGATTGGCTCCCTTTACCTTTTCCTGTTGTCTTGCCCTCACCTCACATTATCTGGTCATCCCTTCCCCAGATGTTTTCTTTTACTGTTGTGTGGTCTTCCTTGGTAGCTAGCATTGTTGTTTGTTTGTTTGTTTGTTTTGTTTTTTCAAGTATGTTTTGTTTGTCATTAAGGAAGTTGTACTGCTGTCTTTCCACTTTTTTATAATAGGGCTTTGAACAGTTGCTGTGTTTTTTACCATTATGATACTTATATTTGAATGAGTTGGAATTTGCAGGACTAGCTATTAGTAGACTTCTATAGAAAAGGAAGCTAGGCGGGTAGTTTTTTAGACTTTGCTCCTCAAGAACGTTTCCTTCTTTGCTCTGGTGTAGCCACAGCTTCTTAGCCTCTCTGAATCTAACTTGATTCTAGAGGGCTGATCTTTGCCTTCAAGCCCTGTCTTTCAAGGAAGCCCTGTCTTCCAAGGTGTTTGTTTTCTCTTTAGAAGGTGGTGCTTTTTGAGCTCTTTCATCTCCAGGGCCCCCTTGGTAGAAAGGGACTTGCTACCTTTTTTTTTTTTTTCCAGCCTTATTCATATGCTGCTCCTGTTTGATCTTGGTCTACTCTGGGAATGGGGCTGTCTTCTGAGAATGAATATTTGTGGTCAGTCTCTAAGACCTACTACTACTGGTTTCCTCTGAACTCCTTGTGCCTGCCTACTGTATCACCAGAGCATCTCACCAGTTCTGTGGACTTTCTTTGACAGTAGTTTTGGAGAAGGTGAAATTACAGCTTTATAGGGACTTTTTCCCCCTTGTTTGTTTCCTCTATTTCATTTCTTAAATGAGCACTTGGAAGATTTGGAACCATGCTGCTGCCATGTTTCCCAATATTGACTTAATGACAGAGTTTTGATGACTGTGAGAGCAAAATCAAAAGAGTAAAATTTTTTTTGCCTTATAACTATTATGCCTAAATGAGTGATGTGAATTCTCAAGATCATTTCATTATTACAATTTGGTAGTCTTAAGATGTAGTTTATCTAGGAAAAGGAAAATATTTCTTTAGCCACTCTAACTCTTGGAAGAGTATGTGTGTAAACTCTTTTTTTTTTTTTTTTGAGACAGAGTTTCGCTCTTGTTGCCCAGGCTGCAGTGCATTGGCATGATCTTGGCTCACTGCAACCTCCGCCTCCCGGGTTCCAAGTAGCTGGGAATTACAGACGCCCACGACCACGCCCGACTAATTTTTTTTTGTAATTTTTGGTAGAGATGGGGTTTCACCGTATTGGCCAGGCTGGTCTCAAACTCCTGACCTCAGGTGATCCACCAGCCTCGGCCTCCCAAAGTGCTGGGATTACAGGCGTGAGCCACCGCACCAGCCTGTATAAACTCTTTAGTTAATTTTATAAACGTCGTAGTCCCATCTTCCATCATGTGGCTATTTAGAATATAAATTCAATATAAATTTGTATCATTTTGTTTGTTATCTTCTAGGCCAATTTTTTCTTTCTGCTTCATCTTTATAAAATTTTGTTTTCTTCTTTTTTTTCCACCCGAAACAGGGTCTTGCTCTTTTGCCCAGGCATGGTGCAGTTGAGGCTCACTGCAGCCTCAACCTCCTGGGCTCTCAACCTCCTGGACTCAAGTGATCTTACCACCTCAGCCTCCTGAGTAACAGGGACCACAGGAACACACCACCACACTGGCCAATATTTGTAATTTTTTTCCAGAGACAGGGTTTCTCTATGTTGCCCAAGCTGGTCTTGAACTGCTGGGCTCAAGTGATCCACTCGCCTGGCCTGGGTCTCCCAAAGTGTTGGGATTACAGGCATGAGCCACCATGCCCAGTCTATGGTTTTGGTTTTTTTTTTTTTGTTTTTTTTTTTTTTTTCAGACAGTCTTGCTCTGTCGCCCAGCCTGGAGTGCAGTGGCACAATCTTGGCTCACTGCAACTTCCGCCTCCCGGGTTCAAACAATTCTCCTGCTTCAGCCTCCTGAGTAGCTAGGATTACAGGTGCCTGTTACCTGGCTAATTTTTGTTGTATTTTTAGTAGAAATGTTGTTTCACCATGTTGGCCAGCCTGGTCTCGAACTCCTGGCCTTAAGTGATCCGCCCGCTGCAGCCTCCCAAAGTGCTGAGACTACAATTGTGAGCCACTGTTTCCAGCCCCAGCCTATAAAATTTTATCCTTATGCTTCTCAGACCATCTGTCCTCCCACATATGTATTTGTTTTCTATTTAACTTCAGATTCAGACTGAGTTTCCCATCTCTTTACCATTCTTATATTATTAAACAAGTTTTCCTGGATAAAACTGGTAGCTATTCATTGCCTGCCTGAAGCTTAGAAAGTGGCCATGTTTGGCTCTACAACTTATCCTAATTGTTTGGAATTTATAAGCCAGTCAATGCCACTTAGACTAGCTCTTTCCCAGTGATTGTGTCCTATGTAAGTGAAAAAAAAAGGAAAGTGAGAATTACCAGTAAATAATCCTCTGGACTTATCAGTCAGGTTATCAAGCCTGTAAAATAATTTATTATACTTCTCTTTACAGAGTAGAAATTGGTTTTCGTTTTTGTTTTTGTATTTTTAAAGACAGGGTGTCGCTCTGTCATCTAGGCTGGACTGCAGTGATGCAGTCACAATTCACTGCAACCTCTAATGCCTGGGATCAAGCAAGTGATTCTCCTACCTCAGCCTCCAGAGTAGCTAGGACTACAGGCGTGTGCCACCATGCCCAGCTAATTTGTTTTCTTTTATTACTTTTTTTTTGGTGGGGGGTGGGCAGTAAAGACACGGTCTCATTATATTAAGTGACCCTCCTGCCTCAGCCTCCCAAAGTGCTGGGATTACAGGCGTGAACCACCACACCTGGCCTCAGGGTGGAAATTCTTAATTCTTCTTTCTCCCAAGAATTATCTAAGGAAAGATTTATTAAAAATGATATTCATCAAACCTGCCCTCTAGTGACGTTTTAAAGAGAAGGAACTTTCAGAGTTATAGCACTAGCAAAGCAGTTCTGCACTTAAGAATATTTTCTCCTTCCTCAAATTCATTTAATGGAAAACAGAAAATTATGATGTAACCAGTGTTATAGCAAATTGGCATTGAGCACCTTGATTCCTGCTATCCCTTTTATTTAATTGTATTAAAAATTTTGTTTCCTCACCTGTAATCCCAGCACTTTGGGAGGCCAAGGTGACCAAATTGCTTGAGCTCAGGAGTTCGAGACCAGCCTGGCCAACACGGTGAAACCCCATCTCTACTAAAAATACAAAAATTAGCATGGCATGATGGTGCATGCCTCTAGTCCCAGCTACCTGGGGGACTCATGTGCGAGGATCACTTAAACCTGGAAGTTGAGGGCTGTGGTGAGCTGAGCTGAAATCATGCCACTTTGCTCCAGCCTGGGTGACAGAATGAGACCCTATCTCCAAAAAAAAAAAAAAGTTTCCTTTAAATGGAGCAAAATGCCATTAAAACCCAAAGATATGGCAAAATCCTGCCTCTTTTTTTTTTTTTTTTTTTTTTTTTGAGATGGAGTTTCACTCTTATTGACCAGGCTGGAGTGCAATGGTGCGATCTCGGCTCACTACAACCTCCGCCTCCCGAGTTCAAGCGATTCTCCTGCCTCAGCCTCCCAAGTAGCTGGGATTACAGGCACCCGCCACCACGCCCGGCTAATGTTTTGTATTTTTAGTAGAGACAGGGTTTCACCATGTTGGCCAGGCTGGTTTTGAACTGCTGACCTCAGGTGATTCACCCACCTCAGCCTCCCAAAATGCTGGGATTACAGGCATGAGCCACCATGCCCAGCCTAAATTCTGCCTCTTGATTAACCTCTGTGATTTATGTATCCTCTCTTCTAGCTTTGGTGTCATCCCCAGCACTCCTCTGGCCATCCATACACCACTGATGCCAAACCAGAGCATTGATGTCTCCCTGCCTCTCAATACCTTGGGCCCAGTCATGAAGATGGAACCTCTGAATAACCTCCAGGTCAGAGATTTACTTCACTCAGGTGGTACAAGTTAATATCTTGACAATTATTATTATTATTATTATTTTTAAAGACACAGTCTTACTCTGTTGCCCAGGCTGGAGTGTAGTGGTGCGATCTTGGCTCACTGCAACCTCTGCCTCCTGGGTTCAAATGGTGCTCCTGCCTCAGCCTCCCAAGTAGCTGGGATTACAGGCACAAGCCACCACGCCTGGCTAATTTCTGTATTTTTAGTAGAGATGGGGTTTCACCATGTTGGCCAGGCTGGTCTCGAACTCCTGACCTCGAGTAATCTGCCCACATGGACCTCCCAAAGTGCTGGAATTACAGGCATGAGCCACCGCGCCTCGCCCAATTTTTCATTTACATGTAAAAAAGTCCCTCTTTCTTCCTTAGGTTTGAGTTAGTCATGGAATCGGATTTGAAATAAATCTTTGTGGACGAGAGTTTTATGTTTTGTTGTTAAGAAAAACAAAAGTCATGCATGACATAGATATTCATTCTTTTACTCAACAAACACTTAGAAACTTTTTTCTTAACTTCTTATTTGTAAACCTTTTTTCCTTAAGACTTTTATAGCAAAATTTGAATGTCATTAATATAAGAAGAGATTTATATGGAGGTTATCATTGAACATTGGACCACAGGTAGCTAGGCTGTTTGGATTTAAATGCCCCATTAGCACCTATCTATGATAAGTATAACAGCATCTTAGAAGAATTTTATGTGGTCTACAAGAGCCTCTTTATCTTGAAAATGTCGAATTTTTTAGAATGCTTGGGTGTCAGCTTAGAGTTTCATTCAGTTTTCACCTACCTCGAAGTTTCCTTTGAAATATAAACCTTCTGGGCTTCAGGCAACATGAAGGCAGAGCAGTAAGCTCATAAGTCAGAACTGTAGCAACCCTGGAGGTTGCTAGCGGTTATGGTTTTAATGTTCACAAGAACAGGAAGAAAGCCTTGGGCCACCCAGAAATGGGGAACTGTAATCGATCCCTGCATAAAGCAGAGACCCTGGAAGGGCAGCTCCCTCAAAGAAAGGAGAACTAGGAAAATGTTTTCGCCATCTCCCAAAGATGATAGGAAATTTCTGAGCAGGGTTCTGGGTATAGCCCCTTGTGAGAAATTCAAGGCCCAATCAATGCCATAGATGAGTTATATATTCCAAATTTACACTACTTATGTAGGTGTAGTAACCTCCAAATCAATAAATTAATATAAAATTGGCCCAGGACTGGTGAAACCTAGAGTCCTGTCAGAAGCAAATACAAAGCAGCCCTTTAACAACAGTTTTAAATTTAGGGCCTTCAAGACCCCCAGCTGAAAAGAAAGTCTCTACTGAAAGTGAGCTCACAATTTAACAGGAGAGAGAGAGAAAGATACACTGTGAAGGATAGTCAAAAGACATTGCAAAGAGGAGGACTGGTACTGTCCCCACCCCCACTAAGAGCTTAAGATAGAACAGTCTGAATGAGACTATGAAATATATTTAAAATGATGAAAGAAAAATGTCAGCTTTCCTCTTTCCAGTCAAGACAGGTGGGATCCCATTGTTTAATCTAGAAATACCTGTGTGAGATACTAGTATTGATGGTGAGACGTCAATAGTAAAATATCTTGGAGGTAAAACTAAACATTCTTCAGTCATTTAAATACCAGCACAGCAGGCCTGTTTGCCAGTTCACTAACTACCTTGTTGCCACAGTAGTTGACTGCCTTTTTTTCAGCAAAGGGAATAATGATTTAGAGGGTAGACGAGTGAGTCACAATGTAACTTGGCTCAGACAAGAAGAATAAAGCAAGGATTACTATGCAGATGGAATTGGCTGTTACTATGATGACAGTAATGTGTTAAGGGGCTTTTCCAGCACAGGATCCTGAAGAAACTTAACCCAAATCTACATCTGTTCCCTTTTCATTGAAATCTAACCTCCCATTGGCCACAGAGCCTCAAGCCTAATATTTGAGGACAGTCAGCATGCACGCAAGAATGCTTTACCTCATAAGTAGGAAAGAGAATTTGGGTCACAGAAACCAGGGCAAATTTTCTGCTCTTAAAATGAAAAGAAAAAAAAGAAAAGAAACAGTAAACAAATTAATGAATGTCAGTTTACTTTCCTGTTGGCATTTCCATTTGACTAACTCCTGAACAGGAACCCTCACAAGAGAAGTTGAATCTTAGTCCAACCCTTTCCTCAAAAGTATTGATGTGATATTAGAACTAGCAAGTTTTAATTTTCATAAACCTGATATTATAAGAAGCAAACTTTAAATTTTTCCATCTATAGTTAACTACTGATTTTTCAAGTTTCCCACATGGATTCTCTTCTTTTGGGGATGTCATAATTGTGGCTATTTTCTCATTAATTGGCATTTCCCAATGGATATGATAAACAAAACTTGAAAAGAGAAAAACTTTTTCCCCCTGTGAGCAGCTCTACTTAGTGTATGCTGGTGAGAGTTGGAACTAATGTAATGGCTAGCTTAGGGATGTGTAGGGTACTTTAGATTTCAGCTTCCATTCTGCCCTTTTCCCCGTATGAACAAGAAGAAAATCAAAACATCATTCCAACAAGGTTAAACTATATATACATCCAGATAAAGCCAGGTAAAGATTGATCTAGCTTTTAAATATATTTGTATAATGTTTAGATTCAAGAGCTCATGTGGGAAAATTAGTATTTTTCTAGTACTACAGACCATAAAATTGGGAAAAAAAAATGTTGGGGATTGAGGAAATGAAATTTTGAATTCCATGTGGATTTTAGCTATTTTGGCTAATTTAATATCAATGTGTAGAACAATTAAATCAAGCCCAGCTGCCAGAACTGTAGTATAAAACTTATTATAAAAACTTTTCATCAGAACACTCATTAAACTACTTATTGGCTTATAGACTATTTGAAACACTATTTAAAAATTTAAAAGATACCATTCATTCTTTTTTTCTTCTTTGAGATGGAGTTTCATTCTTGTCACCCAGGCTCGAGTGCAATGGTGCAATCTTGGCTCACTGCAACCTCCGCCTCCCAGGTTCAAGCGATTCTCCAGCCTTAGCCTCTGAGTAGCTGGGATTACAGGCACCTGCCACCACACCCAGCTAATTTTTGTATTTTTAGTAGAGACGGGGTTTCACCAATGTTAGCCACGCTGGTT